>NC_000004.12:66421381-67671381 GCF_000001405.40 Homo sapiens
AGGGATGAAATTTTAAATAAAGTGTTCAGAAAACACCTTACAGATTATATTATTTAGCTATTATAATATAAGGATTGGCTTGTCAACTCATACTCACACAAATCAGGTATCAAGCTTTCTAATAATTTTAAGGATATACATAATTAGGAAGTTCATATGGAGTAGAGAGATTGGTTACGTTGAGGATGACTCCAGTTCCTACCTTCCCAGATAAGACATGAACTCATCACCTAGATAAATTATAAGGTCTATAATAAGCTTTGTGGGTCATTTCACCCAGGAGGGAACATTTAATTTATCAACCTCAACCATCTCCATTTTATACATGAATGAATGCTATAACACACTACATGCTTCAGAAAGGCATGCCTCATCTATACATGTATTTCAGTTTATTAACTATATATAACCCTTTAGCCAGGGTTATCTTCCTAAGAAATTCTATAAATAAATTCTGCTCATGACCAAATATCAGAATGTATCTACAGTTGATTTTTTATTTCACCTAGTGCGGTCCCCACTTTATGAAATTAGTGAATGAATCCTAGTCCAGCTGCTTTAAATTTTCCCTCTCCCATCTTTATTCTATTTAAACATACTCATGAAGGATATGTATAGGGCCTTTCAATGCAGAAGGAAAAGCTAGGAAATGGTCCTGTGGCAAGGAAATTCCTGGTATGCTCAAAGAACAACTAAGGCTGACTGTATATATCCTCAGGGCAATTGTGAAGACTCTGAAGGTTGAATGAGATAAAAACCCAATGAAGAGAATCAAGCAAAGAAGTGATATAATAATATTTGATTTAAAAAAAAAAACATTCTTTAGCTTTTGTTTTGAAAACAAGCTGTAGGATGGAAAGAAATGCCAAAGAATGAAGAACAGTTAATAGACAATTGGTGGTGATCATTTTACCTAGAATTGGAATTCATAGAACTGGAGGTGATGTCAAGTAATGCTGTGTATGGTTTTGAAGGCAAAAAAAAAAAAAAGAATTTGCAGAAAAAAATTGAATGTGGAGGTGAGAGAGAAGGGAAAGAGTTAAGGATGACCTCAAGGTTTTTAGTTTAAGCCACTGGGAATAGTAGGGTTTCCATTTCCTGTAATAGAGAAGATTACAGAAGGAGCAGGTTTCCAAAGGTTAATATTCTAACAGTTTTTATTATAGACCTTTTAAATTTAGAACATCTATTCAGTTTCTAAGTAGAGATAACAAATATGTACTTGGATATATTATTCAGAATTTCAAAGCTGAATTTATAAATAAGTAATTCATCAACTATACATGTTATTTAAAAGAAAGAAACAGAATAAATTATTAAGGGAGTGAATATAGATAGAGAAGATTTCAAGTTATTTCAGTGTTCAGCAGTTGGCAAGATGTGAAGGAACAAGCCAAGGAGACTGAGAAAGAGCAACAGGCAGAGGAGAAGGAAATTATTGTATCCTTGAAGCCAAATAAAGAGTGTTTATAAAGAAGAAACTAAGAAGGAAACAGAACAAGATGGCTGAATAGAACCTTCTAGTGATCACAAAACTGAACACCAAACTGAACAACTTTCCTCACAAAAAGCACCTTCATAAGAACCAAAACTCAGATAAGTAATCACAGTACCTGGTTTTAACATCTTATCAAGGAAAGAGAAACTGAAGGGGGTAGTAAGGCAGTCTTGAATTGCTGACAACACACCTCCATTATCCCTGGGCAGTGCACAATGACAGAGACAGAAATTCTGTGCACTTGGAAAAGGGAGAGCAAAATGATTGTGCGTCTTTGCATTGGAACTCACTGTTGTCCTGTAACAGCAGAAAGCAAGATAGGGCAGAATTTGGCCAGTGACTATGTAGGGATCATTTAGACCATCCTTACTCAGAGGTCTCAACCCAAGTTCTGGCTAGCCCCACTACTGAGAGTGAAAGTGCCCTGGGGTCCTAAGTAAACAGGAAAGACAGTCTAGACCACAAGGATTTCAATTCCTGAGCAAGTCCTGGTGATGTGCTGGGCTCAGACCCAGTGGATGTGTGCACATGACCAAGTGAGACAGCACTGGGGTGGCCAAGGGAGTGTTTTTATTACCTTCCCCAATGCTAGGCACTGCAGCTTGTAGCTCTGGGAGGAAAGGGACGAGTAAATAGCACAGTCCTGTAACATGGATACCAGCTCATCCAAAGTAAAATAAAGCATGAAGCAGAGTCCCGAACCCCCATTTTATACCATTGTTCCCAGATGACATTTCTAGACCTGCCTTGGGCAAGAAGAGAAGCCACTGCCCTGAAGAGAAGGTCCATGTCCTTTCAGAATTCACCACATGCTGACTAAAGAGCCCTTGGTCCTTGAATAAGCATCAGCAGTAGCCAGGCAGCAGCCACCACAGGCTTGGGCAAGGCCTAGTATTGTGCTACCCTTGGGTGTGACCCAGCACAATCCTAGAGGTGGTGGCCACAGGAGTGCTTTTGTCATCCCTCCACAAACTCCAGGGAGCTTAGCATGGAGAGTGAGACTTCATTCGTTTGTGAGAAAGTAGGGGGAAAAAACAAGAGACTCCTCTCTGGCAATCCAGACTATTCTTCCAGATATTACCCAAGATTGCCAAGGCTGGTACTTCTACAAATCTGCAAAGTAACAGTGTTACTGGGCTTGGAGTGTTCCCTAATGCACATATGGCTGCAGTGACCAAAAACTTATTTCATAACACTCAATTCCCTTTGAATTCTTGGAAAGCTTTCTCAAGAAAGATGGGTACACATCAGCCCAGACTGTGAAGATTAGAATAAATATGTAAATCTTCAATGCCCAAACATTGGTGAACATCCACAGGCATCAAGACCATCTCAGAAAAAAATCACCTCACCAAACACTAAATAAGGCACCACTGCCCAATTCTGGAGTGATAGAGATATGTGACTTTTCAGATAAAGATTTCAACATACCTGTTTTAAGGAAGTGAAATAAAACCACACAAAAAAGGGAATTTGGAATTCTATCACATAAATTTAACAAAGAAGATGAAATATTTAAAAAGAGTCAAGCAGAAATTTTGGAGCTGAAAAATTGAATTGACAAACTGAAGAATGCATCAGTCTATGAACAGCAGAACTTATCAAACAGAAAAAAGAAATTGTGTGCTTGAAGAGAGGCTAGTTGAAAATACACAGAAGAATCAAAAGAAAAAAGAGTAAAAAATAATGAAGCATGCCTACGTGATCTAGAAAATAGAAAACAGCTTCAAAAAGGCAAATCTATGAATTATTGCTCTAAAAGAAGTAGTAGAGAGAGAGAGACTGGGTAGAAAGTTTATTCCAAAAGGTAATATTAGAGAACTATTCAAACTTAAAAAAACCTATCAATATTCAAGTACAAGAAGGTTATAAAACATCAAACAGATTTAACCCAAGTAAGACTACCTCAAGACATTTAATAATCAAATTCCCAAAGGTCTGAGATTAAAAAAGAATCCTAAAAGTAGCAAAAGAAAAGAGAAAAATGACGTATAAGAGAGCTCCACTTTGTCTGGCAGCAAATTTCTCAGTGTAAACCTTACAGCCAGGAAAGACTGATGTTATACATTTAAATTACTGAAGGAAAAAAGGCTTTTATCCTATGAAATTATATCCAGCAAAAATATCCTTCAAACATGAAAGAGAAATAAAGTCCTTGTCAAACAAAAGCTGAGGGATTTTGTCAACACTAGAACTATCCTACAAAAAATGTTAAAGATAGTTATTTAATCTGGAAGAAAAGAATGTTAAGGAGCAATAAGATATCATCTGAAGGTACAAAACTCACTAGTAACAGTAAGCATACAGACAAATACAGAATATTATAGCACTGTAATGTAGTGTGTAAACTACTCACATCTTGAGAAGGAAGACTAAATGAAAAACCTACAAAATTAATAACTACCACAATTTTAAGGTATATATGGTATGATAAGTTATAAATCAAAATTAAAAAAGTTAAAAAGCAGGAGGGATGAAATTACAGTTCAGAGCTTTTATTAATTTTTCTCTTTATTCCTGCAATCAGAGTTAAATTGTCATCAGTTTAAAGTAATGGGATATAAGATGTTACTTGCAAGCCTTAGTGTAGCTTCACATCTAAAAACATAACAACAGATACAGTAAAAACAAAAGAAAGAAAGTAAAACATACCACCAGAGAAAACCACCTTCACTGAAAGCAAAACAAGTAGGAAAGAAAGAAGGAAGAGTAGACCACAGAACAACTAGAAAACAAATAGCAAAATGGAAGTAGTAATTCCTTACTAATCAATAATAACATTGAATGTAAATGAACTAAACACTTTAATCAAAACACATAGAGTGACTGAATGCATTTAAAAAACAGATGGAATAATCTGTTGCCTACAACAAATACACTTCCCCTATAAAGAAATACAGAGAATGAAACTAAAGGAATGGAAAAAAAATATTCCATGGAAATGAAAAGCAAAAAAAAAAAAAAAAAAGCAGGAGTAGATGTACTTCAACCTTATAGCAATACTGATAGCTTATATCAGATAAAAGAGATTTCAAGACAAAAACTGTAAAAAAAAAAGAAATTATTACATAATGATAAAGGAATTGATTCATCAAGAGAATATAATAATTGTGAATAGAATAAATATGCACTCAAAAATGGAGCACCCAGGTATTTAAAACAATTATCAGAAATAAAGAGAGAGTTAGACACCAATACAATAATAGCTGGAGACTTCAACACCTCACAGCACTGGATTCATTCTTCTCCTTAGCACATGGATCGCTAACAAGGATAGATTATGTTAGGCCATGAAACAAGTCTTAAAAAACTCAAACTGAAGAAATAAATAAATCACATCATTCCTCCCAGACTACGATGAAGTAAAACTAAAATCAGTAACAAGAGGACATTTGGAAACCATCCAAACACAGGGAGATTAGAAAATATGCTCCTGAACAGCCAGTGAAACAATAAAGAAATTAAAAAATAAATTGAAAAAAAATTGAAATAAATGCAATGGAAACAAAACATAACAAAACGTGTGGGATACAGCTAAAGCAATGCTAAAAGCAAAATTTATGGCAATAATCACCTACATCAAAAAAGTAGAAAAATTTCCAATAAACAACTTAACAATGAACCTTAAAGAACTAGAAAAGCAAGAAAAAATCAAAACTCAAATTAGTAGAAGAAAAGAATTAATAGTAATCCGAGCAAAAGTAAATGAAATTGAACTGAAAAAAATGAAAGATTAATGAAGCAAATAGTTGGTGCTTTGAAAAGATAAATAAAATTGACAGACTTATATTCAGATGAAGAAAAAATAGAGAAGTCCTCAAAAAATAAAATCAGAGATGAACAAGGATACCTTACAACTGATGCTGCAGATCCTTTCTAAAGGATCGTTAGAAACTACAATGTGTACCTATATGCCAATAAATTGGAAAACCTAGAAGAAATGATAAAATTCTAGACACATACAACCTACAAAAATTAAACCATGAGAAATCCAAAAACTGAATAGACCAACAGCAAGTAATGAGATCAAAGCAGTAATAACAAGTCTCCCAGAAAAAAAAAAAAAAAAAAGCCTGGGACCTGATGGCTTAATTGTTAAATTTTAACAAACATTTGAAGAAAGAATTAGTAGCAATCCTACTCAAATTATTCTGAAGAATAGAGGAGACAGGAACACTTCTTAATTTATTGTATGAAGCCAGTCTTGCCCTGATACCAAAACTAGACAAGACATATCAAAAAAGGAAAACTACAGGCCAATATCCCTAATGAACATTGACACAAAAGTTCTCAACAAAATACTAACAAACCAAATTTAACAACACATTAAAAAGATCATCAATACTCATCAAGTGGGATTTATTCTAGGATTGCAATTATGATTCAACATATGCAATTCAATCAATGTAATACATTATATTAATAAAATGAAGGACAAACATCCTATGATCATTTCAACTGATGCTGAAAAAGTATTTTATAAAATTTAATGTCTGTTCATGATAAAAATCCTCAAAAAGCTAGGTATAGAATGAAAATACTTCAACACAAGAAAAGCTATATGATAACAGATACATAGCTAGTATCATACTGAATAAAAAAATTAACATTCTTTCCTCTATGATCTGGAAATACAGCAAGTATGCCCAATTATATTACTGTTATTGAACATAGTACTAGAAGTCCTAGCTAGAGCAATTGAACAAGAGAAAGAAAAAAAAGACTTCCAAAATTGGAAAGGAAGAAGTTAAATTTTCCTTGTTCACAGAAGAATTAATCTTATTTTGGAGAAACCTAAAGACTTCACCAAAGAATACTATTAGAACTTATAAACAAACTCAGTAAAGTCACAGGATACAAAATCAACATACAAAAATTAGTAGCATCTCTATGTACCAACAGTGAACAATCTGAAAAAGAGATCAATAAAGGAATCCCATTTATGACAAGTACAAATAAAATCAGATACTTAGGAATTAACTAAGGATGTTGAAGATTTCTACAAGAAAAACTATAAAACACTGACACAGGAAATTGAAAAGGATACCCAAAAATGGAAAGATATCCCATGTTCATGGATTGGAAGACTCAATATTGTTATAATATCCATACTATTCAAAACAAACTACATATTCAGTGCAATTATCAAAATACCAATGATATTCTTCATAGAAATAGAAAAAAAAATCTAAAATTTATATAGAACCACAAAAGACCAAGGATAGCCAAAGCCATCCTGAGCAAAAAGAATAAAACATCTGAAGGAAAAACATTTGTTTATGTATTTATGAATTGCCACATTTCATAGGGCATCAAAGTTACATTTTTAAATCACATTTCTCTTCAAAACTTGAAACAGAAGTACCAACTGAGTTTAACCACATGATCTACTGCTTGAATTTCTCTTTTCTTTTCTATTAAGTTCTGTAATAATATCCAGTTCAAAGAATGTGAGAAAATTAATTGAGGCTGCATTTAAATAATCTATTATGGTGCCTCATTTGTTAATTTCCTTTCCTCATTTTCTCAAAAGCAAATTTGAAGAGATTTTAATTTAACACAGATGTGAGTTATTCTGATTTCATTTAAAATGCTAATTAGATAACTTTTTGTATATGCAATTAACATTATATTAATATTTTATTTTTATGGTACTGGAGTCATTTTACTTCCAGGTTTCAATTCATTAAGGTAAATGTTAAATTTTTAAAGTATGTGTAATATTTCTAATTATATTATTTGCTTATATGTCCATTTGTCTTTAATCAAATATTTCCTATTACTACTCTTTATGAATAACTCTGTATGTTGCACCAACTTAAAGAGTATGTTAACAGAGCATTTCAGGGGCTGCTTTCTCCAAATCAACTTTATTTTTCTGTTATTGATCTCTGTGTATCTATTTTTCCAATTTAATTGACTCATTTGTGAAACTAAGTTTTTTTGTTTTTCATGTCCAAAATCATGGAATGATCAGTTTTTTCAAATGAGCAGCTTTTTATTGGTGCTATTCTCAGGCACTTTCTTCAAAATATCATCTTTTGCTTTTTCTATTTAAGTTTGAAGGGTTTATTTCATTTTCCACTGGAAGTGAAAATGCAAAATAATATTAATGACTGAGATATGTTTAGGGG
The DNA here is from genome assembly GCF_000001405.40 of Homo sapiens. NCBI lineage: Eukaryota > Metazoa > Chordata > Mammalia > Primates > Hominidae > Homo > Homo sapiens. The sequence continues at coordinate 66,429,014 of NC_000004.12, forward strand.
ATATATGTTAAGGTTTTCCTATCGGCTTTATAATAGAAGGCTATATAAATTTCATAATGTATATAAAGAATAAACAGTCAATTTAAATGGTAAGATTTGTCCTGGATGAATACTGTATTCATGTCAAGAAAGTAAAGTAAAAGCATATATTTTACAAGAATGTAAATAAAGTTTAAGATATTTCATTTTTTAAATTTAACATAATTTTAGTTTACAAAAAATGATTACCCTTAAATCAAAATATCTGAGATAAACATAACTTTTTCATATGTGAGATAAAATGTTAAAATGAAAAATGTGAGCATTGTGTTAAAACTACTATTTTTAGAAGGCATATTAATAATTTGAGGGGTAAATTATACACTCTGGTTTCGGAAGATTTAAGTCATTGATTTCAGTCACACCACTAACAGCTGGAATCAATAATGATGGAACTGCAGCTGCACAGATGTGCTGTAAATGGAATTTTGGCAGCATCTTCCAAAGGTCCTCAGGAAATGAGCCTGGAAAGAACCATTCATCTGGAGAATGATGGAGGCTTTGCTTTTAAAGAGTAACCAGTGAACCACATAAACTGGATATGACACTAAAGATCAAGTATGGACTGACTCTTCCTGTGGAAAAAACTGAGTTATTGTCCCATCCATACATTGTTTCAAGGACCCTTTGGTGGAAGGAAGAAAGAAAGAAGTGATCTCCTATCTAAACTATGACCCATTATTTGCATAATCATATACTGGAAATCAATATGCTGTAGAGTACATTTCTCAACCATCAAAGTTAGTATAAGTTACCTCAGATCTTGTAGAAATATAGATTCTAATTTAGGTTGCTCCCGGGGTGGGGTTTAAGAGTCTTCATTTCTAGCCAGCTCCCAGGTGACACTGATACTGCTATTCCACAGATCACTTGGCCCACAGATTGTTTGAGTAGCAAACAAGAGTTTAAGGAATCAATGAATAGCAGTATAAAAGAGAAATGAAAAAATATTAATAACAGAGGCTAGAAGGTAGAACGAATCTATAAATACTGTTCCTTTTGAAATCCTTAAATAGATTTCCTTTCCCTCTCTTGGCCTCACTTTTCTTGTACATTTCTTACCTAGGAATAGCTATTGTTGTACCAATTTAGATAACTACTAATCTCTTACTTACAAGGTACATGGTAAATCATTAGTTAAAAAAGGAAACTCATGTACATTCTATTGACATCAAATTTAATCATCATTTACCTTCTGTAATCAACATTTTTATATTAGATTATCCATCTGTAGAAAATTATTAAAATCTGACACCTAGTAGCAATATTTCAAAATCCATTTCATTATTAACCATCCATCTGAGGTTAAGGAATTGAGTTATTTTCTGGTCTTCTGTTTCCCCAGATACATATGTTGGAGGATGTTGTTTTGGTTATATGAGATAATGCAGGTAAAGTGTGTACTGCAAATTCAACACTCATTACATGTCTGTTTTTGTCCAAAGTATGTTCAAAATAATTTTTTTAAATTGCATATTTTGATAATTGATAATTCTCAAAGTATTGTGGCCAAGTTTGTATGAATACATTTTACTCAGCTGTATCTTAGAATACATGCAATTTGGGGGCAAACATGTTTTTGATTACTACTTTAATTACATGATTTTTGAGAGATAACTGATGTCTAAGAATTAGTCTTCCGCAAACTTTAAAAAATGTTCTTACAGCCAATATACCTCTAAAAACATAAAATAGTTTTAGGGAAGTAATAAACTGTAATCTCTAAAAGATTCTCTCTGTCACACACACACGTATATATATGAAGAAGATAATGTTTGCAACATACCAATGACTAACATATATCAGTATATTTTAGGTGATTACTCAGTCTCTCTATGTGGAAGAACAATCAACTTGGGACCTATTGGTGTTGTTTTCAAAGCTGTTATTTATCAGCTATGTGAACTGCTTGCATGTGGAGAGTTACTTCTTGTTATCAGTGGGCTCAGATAAGCAAATCTGGACCTCGTTATTTCTACATTTCCTGGAAGTCAAAGAGAGGAATGAGCTCTTTTGTTCAGGCCCATGGCACTGGCAGGATGAGTAAGGGCCCTGGACTTCATACTGTCAGGAAGCTCTGTAGTCACTGATGAGACAAGAAATGTCATAAACAGTACAGGGAAGTTTATTTGGGCACAGCCCTGAAGGCCAACAGTTTTAAAGGTGCTTCAAATGCAAAGGGGATTATGCTGGAAAAAGTAGAAGTTGAAGCCAAACAACCAAACTCTGCCTTCCGGAAGTGTTTCAGGGTCCAGCTGATCAAGAACAGCAAGAAAATCACATCTGTTGTAACCCAATGATGGTTGCTTGAACATTATTGAGGAAAACAATTAGGTTCTGGTTAGGGAATTTGATTGAAAAGATCATGCTATTATTGATATTCCTGGAATCCACTTTAAGGTTGTCAAAGTAGCCAATGTCTCTGTTTTGGTCCTAAACAAAGGCAACAAAGAAAGACTACGATAATGAATTTGATGGTGAAACATAGTAGTAATTAATTTTCATATACCAAAAAAGAAAGAATGAAGCCTCTGTAGATCTGCATTGCATGTTGAATATTTTTCTCTTTCCTCTTCAACAAAATGTTATAAATTTTAAAAATTCACCCAAACATAATAAAATAATTTCTTGAATTTTTTTGAGAAACAAGTAAATTATTACTTTATTGACTCATGATAGTCCTGAATATTGACTGTTTATGATGTGTGCATTCATAGATTTCAAATATGTTTATGTTCTGATTTTCAACTAAACTTGCCTAGTATAATTTTGGTTATATGAACATATTTTAGACCTTTTGTTATAATGTGTATAGTGGATTTTGAATAAAAGAAAATCTGAATTTATGAACTTATTAGTAATTTTATTCTTGTCCATTTAAAATATTAAATACAATGAATATTTTATCTTCCACCCTCTGAAGCAACAGCCCAAGCTGTACTGTGGCCCTTTTTAGCCATAGCTGGAGCAGCTGGGAAGCAGGGCACCAAGTCTCTAGACTGCACAAATTTTTGATGACTAATTAAGCAGAGAATCATAATTTGGTAAAGCAAATTCGAGGAAAGCAATTCTTCCCAGAGAAATTCATTTTAAGCCAATTCTTAAAGGTTGATCTTCATATAATTCAAAAAAATCAAGTTGCAGAATTTCAGGTATAAGAATCCTGATGCAAGAAGTAGATAAAATAGGTAACATTTGTAAAGTTGGGACAACACATGATGTAAAAGTTCTCTACTTCTGATGTCTTCAGAAACTGGAGGAAGATGAACCCAGAAAGACTCTTGGTTTTACTGGTTAAGATTTATTACCAGTGTCTGAGTAACAAGGAAGCAGAAACTAAGTAAGGATCCCTGTATATTTTCTGAAGTTCCCTTTATACAATTATGTATAGAAAACTGTATGAAATTTTGATAGTATAGGTTCATTAATTCTCAACACTACTACTAAGGACTTTGCGAAGTCTTAACTGAGACCTCTCTTTTTGTTTGTTTGTTAAATATGGAAAACCAGGTAGAAACCTTGTGTTACAGATTCCTTGGCTCTGTTTGCCACTCCAGGGTCTGCTGAGATATTTGCCTTCTTATAAGCTCACTTTTTTTTTCAGATCCATCTGATATTAGAATATACCCATCTTTAAAGTTTATTTAATGTGCAGAGTAATTATCATTTGTACACATTGAGAGTTTGCTTCTCTCCAGAAGTCATAAAAATATTTTTTTTCCTGAGTTGTGTCCTATTACAGCTCTTTTGTATTTTACATCCTGTAGCTCTCTGTCCTATGGAGTATTATACATATTTCTATAAGGAAGGGCTATTGTACCTTTACTTGACAGAAGGTGAAATGTCCCACAAAATGAATTTCTCTTATCCTACTGAGCAGAAGAGGGAGATTTTTGACTCTTCCATAAAACTATGAAACATTTTTGGGAGCTGTATTAGTCCGTTTCCATGCTGCTGATAAAGACATACCCAGGACTGAGCAATGTACAAAAGAAAGAGGTTTTTTAAACTTACAGCTCCACATGGCTGGCGAAGTCTCACAATCACAGCAGATGGTGAAAGGCACATCTCACATGGCAGCAGACAAGAGGAGAGAGCTTGTGCAAAGAAACTCCCCTTTTTAAAACCATCAGATCTCATGAGACTTACTCCCTATCACAAGGACATCATGGGAAAGACCTGCCCCCATGATTCAATTACCTCCCACTGAGTCCCTCCCATAACACATGGGAATTCAACATGAGATTTGGGTTGGGACACAGCCAACTATATCATTTCACTCCTGAGCCATCCCAAATCTCATGTCCTCACATTTCAAACCAACCATGCTTTCCCAACAGTCCCCCAATGTCTTAACTCATTTCAGCATTAACTCAAAAGTCCACAGTCCAAAGTCTCATCCAAGACAAGTCAAGTCCCTTCTGCCTATTAGTCTGTAAAATCAAAAGGAGTTAGTTACTTCCTAGATGCAATGGGGGTACAGGAATTGGGTAAATACAGCCATTCCAAATAGGAGAAATTGGTGAAAATAAAGGGGCTACAGGCCCAAAGCCAGTCTGAAATCCAGCAGGGCAGTCAAATCTTAATGCTGCAAAATGATCTCCTTTGACTTCATTTCTCACATTCAGGTCACAGTGATACAAGAGGGGGGTTCCCATGGCCTTGGGCAACTCTGCCTTCATGGCTTCCCAGGTTATAGTCCCCCTCCTGGCTGCTTTCACTGGCTGGTGTTGAGTGTCTGTGGCTTTTCCAGGTGCATGATGCAAGATGTAGGTGGATCTACCATTCTGGGGTCTGGAGGAGAGTGGTCCTCTTCTCAACGCTCCACTCGGCAGTATCCCAGTAGGGACTCTGTGTGGGGTCTCCGGCCCACAATGCCCTAGCAGAGGTTCTCCATGAGGGCCCCACCTCTGCAGCAAACATCTGCCTAGGCGTCTAGGCATTTCCATACATCCTATGAAATCTAGGCAGAGGTTCCCAAAACTCAATTCTTCACTTCTGTGCAACTGCAGGATCAGAGCCACATAGAAGCTGCCAAGGCTTGGGGCTTCCACCCTCTGAAGCAAGAGCCCACGCTGTACTGTGGCCCTTTTTAGCCATAGCTAGAGCAGCTGGGAAGCAGGGCACCAAGTCTCTAGACTGCACAAAGCATGGGGACCCTGGCCTGGCCCATGAAACCACTTTTTCCTCCTGGGCTTCCAGGCCTTTGATGGGAGTGGGTGCCATGAAGACCTCAGACATGCTCTGGAGACATTTTCTTCATTGTCTTGGAGATTAATATTTAACTCCTCATTACTTATGCAAATTTCTGCAGCCAGCTTGAATTTCTCCTCAGAAAATGGGATTTTCATTTCGATCGCATTGTCAGGCTGCAAATTTTCTGAACTTTTATCGCCTGTTTTCCTTTTAAAACTGAATTCCTTTAACACACCCAAGTCATCACTTGAATGCTTTGCTGCTTAGCACTTTTTTTTCCACCAGATACCCTAAATTATCTCTCTCATGTCCAAAGTTCCACAAATCTCTAGGGCAGGCAGGGGCAAAATGTCACCAATCTCTTTGCTAAAACATAACAAGAGTCACTTTTGCTCCAGTTCCCAAAAAGTTCCTCATCTCCATCTGAGACCATCTCAGCCTGGATTTCATTTCATATCATTATCAGCACTTTGGTCAAAGCCATTCAACAAGTCTCCAGGAAGTTCCACACTTTTCCAAATTTTCCTGTCTTCCCCTGAACCCTCCAAACTTTTCCAACCACTGCCTGTTACCCAGCTCCAAAGTCACTTCCACATTTTCGGGTATCTTTTCAGCAAAGTCCTACTCTACTGGTACTAATTTACTATATTAGTCCATTTTCACACTGCTGATAAAGACATATCCAAGACTGAGCAATCTGCAAAATAAAGAGGTTTATTGAACTTACAGTTCCACGTGGCTGGGGAGGCCTTACAATCACAGCAGATAGTGAAAGGCATGTCTCAGATGGCAGCAGGCAAGAGAAGAGAGCTTGGACAGGGAAAGTCCCCTTTTTACAACCATCAGATTTCACAAGTCTTATTCACTATCATGAGAACAGCAAAGGAAATACCTGCCCCCATGACTCTATTACCTCCCACCAGGTCCCTCCCACAACACATGGGAATTCAAGATGAGATTTGTGTGGGGACACAGCCAAAATATATCAGGAGAGTAACATTTCCTTTCTCTCTTGTTAATTATCTTATGCCTATATAACTTGTATTATAGACAAAATGCATTCATCTAATAGCTTACTCTGTGTCAATATCTTTGTCTATATTGGAGACAATACTGTGTTTCAATGTGTTGAATATACTATTATTTAAAAATGCATCATTATATACCACAGAGAAAGAACAAAAAGACAAATTAAATTATTATACCGCATATCAGCAATGGCACTCAGTAACATGTTAATCACTCCCACCAGCCCTTTTTTGCTTTGAATTTTTTTTCAAATATTCAAGGCATCTGCTAATCTCTTCAGCTAATAGTAGCATTGCTTTGTCCATGAAAAGAAATCCTTTTGCCTTTATTTCAAGAATAAAGTACTATACAGCTTCAAAGCAGTGATTCTCACAGTTTAAACATACAAATCACCTGGGATCTTATTACAAAATAAAATGTAATTTAAAAGGTTTGGAATGGAGCCTAAAGTTCTGTATTTCTAACAAGTTCCCAGCTGACTGGGACCAAACTCAGAGAAGGAAAGGAACAAAACACTCAGTTGAGGCTTCCAAGGAAAAATGAGATTGTATCGTCCTTCAAATGGCAAATACTTGCTTCACTTAAAACAAATTGGTCTGTTTCTGTGCCTTTCAGGGTATAAAGGTGCAACATATAACTTTCTGTTGCAATGTTAAATCAGAGGTTATTGTTGATGAAGTCACTTTAGACACATATAGTACAAGTAATGTATCAAGTTCAACTGAAGTAAGATCAGTTTGAAAATATATGACCAAAGATGTTCATGGGATGGCAATGTTGAACTGTATCCGAGCCCTGCACTCATTGAAAGCAGTTATAGTTTAAAAACCTGTGCATCATTTTGTATTCTAGGAAACAAGCTAATGACAAAGGACCCCCTGCCCTCACATATCTTGGTATAAAACTTGTCTCCAAGAGCTTCAGCACAGCAAAAACAAAACAAAACAAAAAAAAAAAAAAACAACTATCCTCAGAGTGAACAGGCTACCTACAGAATGGGAGACAATTTTTGCAAACTATCCATCTGACAAAGGGCTATTATTAAGAATCTACAAGGAACTTGAACAAATTTACAAGAAAAAAACAAAACTCCATCAAAAAGTGGGCAAAGGATATGAACAGACACTTCTCAAAAGAAGACATTCATGCGGCCAACAAACATATGAAAGAAAAGCTCATCATCACTGGTCATTAGAGAAATGCAAATCAAAACCACAATGAGGTACCATCTCTCCCCAGTTAGAATGGCAATCATGAAAAAGTCAGGAAACAAAAGATGCTGGCAAGGATGTGGAGAAATAGGAATGCTTTTACACTTTGGTGGGAGTGTAAATTAGTTCAACCATTATGGAAGACAGTGTGGCAATTCCTCTAGAACCAGAAATACCATTTGACCCAGCAATCCCATTACTGGGTATATACCCAAAGGATTATAAGTCATTCTACTATAAAGACACAGGCACACGTATGTTTATTGCAGCACTATTTACAATAGCAAAGGCTTAGAACCAACCTAAATGCCCATCAGTGATAGACTGGTTAAAGAAAATGTGGCACATATACACCATGGAATACTATGCAGCCATGAAAAAAAGAATGAAAGAATGAGTTCATGTCCTTTGCAAGGACATGGATGAAGCTGGAAACCATCATTCTCAGCAAACTAACACAAGAACAGAAAACCAAATACTGCATGTTCTCACTCATAAGTGGGAGTTGAACAATGACAACACATGGACATCGGGAGGGGAACATCATACACCAGGGCCTGTCAGGGGGTGGGGACCAAGGGGAGGGAGAGCATTAGGACAAATATCTAATGCATGCAGGTCTTAAAACCTAGATGACAGGTTGACGGGTGCAACAGACCACCATGGCACATGTATACTGATGTAACAAACCTGCACATTCTGCACATGTATCCCAGAACTTAAAGTAAAATTACTTGTTTTCTTTAGCACTCTCTTGTTTACCTGGTGCTGTAGAACTGCAGGCCATATTCCTTTACTTTGAGGTTTTCCTCATTAATGAATATTCTCCCCTATTACAGTAGCCAGAATAAAATCATCTTCTTAATTGCTCACTTCATACTGCCATTCACAGCAGGCAATATCTATTTTCAGAGTATATCATAGTCGTTAAATGTGTGGACCCCAAAGTTGGAGTAATTAGTTTTTAGACCCGGCTCTTCTGATCATTAACTTACGTTAACTAGGACAAGAGATTAAAACTCTTGTTAAACTCCATAAACTTCTGTAAACAAAAATGAAATTTTAAGAACCCTAACTTACTGAATGGACTCCTCTCTTGGGCCAAGGAGATCCCAAAGAAATCTGAAAAACTAGTTCAGGCCAGGACAGGTAGAGATATCAGACATGCTTCATTATACCCTGCTTGCTTTAGAGTTTAAGCACAACTGACCAGCATTAACATTAAATTAGAGATCAAAAGACTGACAAAACAGACTCTTTGTAGCAATAAGGAACCAAATTCCAATCTCACTCTGTATATCATCACATGACAGATAACAAATTCTAAAGGCAAAAAAGTATTTTACCCCAAAATATATTTCTTTTACATATTTTGGAATGGCCCTGCAAAGTTGTCTCCTGTAGGGGAGATTTGGATTCTGTAAAGAATCTTCTTTCCTTACTAGATCTTTTGCAGAGTCTGGAAACCTTTTAAAGTCTGTTAAGAGATATTTACCATGTATTCTCTCTGATGCATGTTACTTAGAGGCTTCATCTACATAAACAAGAACCTTGATTTCCACATCTCTGCTTATCAAACATTTCTTTATGCTAACTTCAACTTTTCATGCAAAGCTTAACTCTTTCAACCAATTGCCAATCAGGACATCTTTTAATCCACCTATGACCTGCAAGCCACTCCTTCTTCCCCCACCTGCCTGTCTTTGAAATGTCCTTCCCTGTTTCCAGGCCAAATCATGTATACTTTACATGTATCGATTTACGTTTTTGCCTGTAACTTCTGTCTCCGCAAAATCTGTATAACCAAGCTGTAACCCAAGCATCTTGGGCACATGTTATCATGACCTCCTGAGGCTGTGTCATTGTCCTCATATTTGGCTCAGAGTAAACCCCTTCCAATATTTCACAGAGTTTGGCTTTTTCATCAACACCTCAAAACCTCCATTTCAACATAACTAAAGAAGTAATAGTAAAGTATTTTTATCCAAACACTCACTTCCCTGTGCAAAAACTATGGAGCTCCCATCCCACTTGCTGGGAAATTGAAACGCATTCTTAGGGCCCCTTGTGACCTCTCCTTTCTCCTCTCTTCTCCTCCCTTCTACTCACTCTGCTCAGGTCACTGTGGCTTCTTTTTTTTCATTCTGGGACTCATGAAGCTGTTTCTCATATTGAGACTTTTCTTTATGCTATTCTTTCCTTCCTAGTTATTCCCCAGGTATTGTTATAGCTGGCTTTTTCTCATCACTCAGGTTTCTATTATACTGTCAACTTTTCAAAAGTCCTTCCCTGATATCCCTGTCCAAATACTCCTTCTCATCCATATCAATTCCCTTCCTGTATTCTAACATGTCCACATCTGCCATTCTAATGATTTTTTTACTCTCTGTATTCTCATGAGAATGCAAGTTCGAAATGGGGCAAGCTACATAATTTATGTAGCCCATTGAAAAATGAAAATGTGAGTCTCCTTGCTTAATAAAAAAGGTATTAACAGATAAAGCTTTCTCCTTCTGTGCTCCATCTTTCTCCCTCACTCAGTTAGTTGGTCATGGAGTTGTTATTTGCTATCTAATGCAATTTTAAGTAAAGAAGTATTTTAATTTTATTACTTACATTTGTGTTTATACAATGACAGTTTACATGAAAATGTGGGTGCATTTAACTCATGCAAAACATCACAGAAATTACATAGTTCATACATATTGATCTAACCAAAACGGGACACACCACACAAACGTAGCTCCACTCTTTTGATTCTATTTCTCGATGTATTAACATTCCACCTATACACTCTACCTTTGGCTTACTGATGAGTAAGGAAGGACTGAAAGGAAAAGGAACTCTGGGTTATGCTATATTTCCCTTACCTTCTATGTCATGATTTTCTGCATTAGTGATTGGAAGCTTCCCTACATTGCTTATTTTGTACTTGCTTTGAGTCCCATTAAATTTCCATGCATCAAGGGTTCACCAGAATTCTGCAATCATGGGGCATCATATATGCCATATGTAAATGGCACAGGAAGGAACAGTGGTAGACATGTGTATTGCATGTTCCTCTTCTGCTTGTGCTCCATTGTCACATGAGCTTTGACATACAAAACACTAATTCAAATATAAAAATGTTAATATAGCACAAGTGGAGCATTAAACCAAGAGGAGGGTCCTTCTGAAAATGAGGCATAGGTCACATGGCCATGAAGGCAAACCCTCCATTAGCTCAGGAACTCTCAGACTGATTTATTTCTGCACTCCTGATGGGGAGAACAATGCCTGAGCATGCAGAAAATGAAGAAACATCTTTGAATAAATGAATAAGTACATGAGAGTTATATACCTCATGATTTCTTAGCAAAATACCTGTCACCTAGTAAGTTATCTGCTTATAAAGCATATTATTACTATTTTCACTGTTATCATTATTACATGTTAGAGAATTTACACATTTTGGATTTACTACTGGAAAACTGATAATATTTTGACAAAATTTCTTCTCGTGTATTTACTCTAATTATAGGATTAGTTGAAGTGGATGAAATGAGAGAAAATTCAAATGAATTTTCTCATCAGCTGATAAGAAGTTGACTTCTCATCAGCTTGTCTAATAAAAATGTAGGTAAAATAGCAGATTAAATGTTATAGTAAAAATAATAGCTTCAAGTTGAGCACAAGTATCTGAATTAACTATATGTATATTGTACCCAACTATTATAAGTAATTTTTATAATTTATGTATATTTCTTTCTGAAAAAATCCACACTTCAATTTTATTATGTTTTTCAAGACTTGGAATAAGCAGTGGTAGCTTATTAACCAGCACGTTTTTCAACTGTGTCCCCAAATGGCTTGGCTATCAAGAGATAAGAGGTGGGTTTAAACATCTCTATTTCTCTGCTCAGATCTTTTTTCTAGAATAATGTCAAACTAGGCTAAATCTAAATAATCAATTTATAAATATTTGCAGAATGTAAGTATGAATGAGTAAAAGTAATTGGAAGGAGAAAAAGTTAAGAAGGTATAAGACATTTTACTTCTTTCACATAGTTTTTTTAAAGAGGTAAATAAGACTTCAATGAGACACTTCAAGACAAAATATATTTAATAACAAGTGAATAGTTGTTAGCTTCACATGTATCTACTACAGCAAAGTACACAAATTAAAAAAAAAAAACAAGCAAACAGCTCCTCACAGATATAGATATGCCATGTATACCATATATATATATATATATATATATACATATATATATATATTCTTTTTTCTTACATGCCATCATGCATACAAGTATCTTAAAAATATGTGGCAGTTGCATAGAGTTGAAGACTGTAAGGAAAATTAGGGTAAAATTTTACTGAATGGAAAACTATGCATTGTATATAGCAGACCTTTAGAATTACCTGATTCTAAAACTGTGGGAGCTATTTTTCAATCCTGTTAATTGTAGATTACTGATAACATTACAAAATTGTTCTTGTCTATAAACATACAAATTAATTCTGTGTTGGGAGACAATCTTGACTCCCTACATTTATTTCAATACATCTGATCTACAAATGTTCTATTCATCAGGATTTCCTGTTTAACACTTGCCAATTTCCTCATTCATGAGTTAAAATCTTTAATACATCCTCATTCTTATATCTTTAAGCTAGTCATATTTTAACTTTTTAATAAATATCATAATGAGGCTTATGTTTATTTTATTATTTTACTCTACCATGCACAACGTGTATCTTTCATGTCATAATCTAAGATGTCTGTTCCAGCTCCTACTATTCTATCCACATTCCATTCAGAAGGATCAAGGGAAAGCTGAGAAAAGGCCAACCCCCTTTGCTTTTTGGTCACAAATTTCATGCCCAGTCTCTTCTCACTAGCCAGAAGTAAGTCAAACAGCATATTTTGGCAGAAGAAACTGGAATAAGTTATCTTTATCCAGCAAGCCACCTGACCAGCATTGAATTTTGAATTCTATTACCAAAAAAAAAAAAAAAAAAAACAAAATAAAAGGAACAGCAGACACTGGTGAATAATTGGCAGTCTTTACAAGTAGTTTTATAGGGTGAATAAAAAAGCCTTAACCTCCCTCTCAGCCTGATGAATCTTTAAAGAGTCTTCATCCTAACTCTTGGGCCCTGACCTCCCTTTTCTTAGAGCATTTATTTAGAAAACTTGTACGCGGCCTCTCTGCCTGTTTGAGATGAGTATCTTTTTAAAAAGCCTCTTACCAGTTTTACAACCAGGAATGTTTCTAAGACCTGGGAGCTGTCCCTTTGAAATGAAATCTCTGTGGGAGAATAGGAGCCTTATTTTGATGGGCACCAATTAGCAAACACACATGGCCTAATGACAGAGAAAACATACGCAAACTCAGAAATAACTCAATATGCTCTGCACATCCCATTGATCAACTTCCCCCTACTAATGTCCTCCAGTACTTTCCCACTAGCTTACCCTCGTGGTTAAAAAACCTACCTGCCTTTTGGTCAGCAGAGCTGAGCTCAGAGTGTGGTCTGATGTCTCTTTCCTATGGAAATAACATTACATAAAAGTCTTGCTTGCCTGTGTAATGTCATCCCATGCAATTTTTCCTTTGTCTAGGGATTTGGAGGAAGCAGGCATAACAATGTGCTCAACTTATCTGGGAAGACATCTTCATGGAGAAAAAAGATTGATTTGTGTTCAAAGATTAGTAAGATATTGGATAAATGGAGAATTACAGAGATTCATATATCTGATAAAAGAAATAGTGAGTAATCTAGTTCTGAAAGTTTCTTCTAACATAACGACTGAACCATGTAAGTTTCATAAAGTCAAATGCAGGCAAGGTAATGCATGAAGTAGCCCAGTGTAAACTGAATGGCTTAATAGGGACTGTAAACTAGACGGCTCATGCCCTTTCTGAGAAGATAGCCTTTTTCAGGCTCATATAGTGGCTGTCATGTTGTCAAAATTTTTAATTTTTCAAAATGAACTAGAATATGGATTTACATTTTAATTTCTAATTTCATCCATACATAACTAATTCAAAGTTAGAAAAATAAATGAAGCTATAAACAACTGCTAGGCTACACAAAGTTTGCTTTATTTTGGTTCTTCTTTTAGTTAAGTAATACTTGAGGCATAAAGTAGTAAAAGGAAAAATGGGTTTAATTGGGAAGTGAGTTACTTCCTAATTTTGTCATCTTGGGCCATTGGATTAATTTTTCTGCATCTCAGCTTCTTTACCTGAAATCTGGATAACTATTACATAGGGTTGGTGTATTCATATTGAGACAATATTAATAAAGGTGTTTGGAAAATGATAGTGTAATATAAATACAAAGTATGTGTTACAAGAGAGTTTATAACATAGAAATTAAGCGTGTAGACATGTAAGTATGTAGGCAGATATTTGTCAAGTAGCTTTCAAAAGCCATATAACATCCGATCTACAAAATGAATATGAAAATACCATCTATTTCGCAGTGCTGTGCTGAGGATGAAATGAGAGAACCCACATTAAAGTTTTTTAGTGTGGTTTGTACTAACTGCACAGAGTCTGTGACTATCGGTAGGAAGAGGAATAGGACATAGCATAACATAAACCATAATTTTTCTGTCACCCAGGAATAATCACACCTTCTTGAAACTAGCTAAAGTTAGAGAAAAAAATTAAAAAAACAAGAAATCGTATCACAAAGATTGCCAATTATTCTGTGGAATATTAATGCTCATTTTATGCTGACGCTGCCTTAATGTTAATTAGGAATCCAGAGTCTTCCTTTGTGCACATAATGAATGTTCCTTCTCATGCTCTACTTGTTTGTCCCTGACAATTACTAAATTAATTACTTCAAATCTGAGCTCACACCAGTTTTTAACCCTTCCTGTTTGTGCTAAATGTGGAATTTTAATTTGATACTCCAAAGAGTTTTTAATATTGGTTTAAGTATTTAAATAAAACATCTATAAAAAATCATTTATGGTCAATGGAACAAAACTGTGTAGCAGACACAGGAAGATTTGAAAACGCAGGTCCTACAAAAAAATAAAATTTGATCAAAAGATGTCAATTTAATTTGCTTGATATTGGTATTTCTTGGCCTCTGTATTCATACAACACTGAAGCTTGAAATAAACAATAACTCTGAGAAATATGAAATCCACTATTTATTCGGTTGAAAACTAGTAATAATTGAAATTCATTAAATTAATATGAAGACATAAATTTAATATAGTAAGCAAATTTTATCTTGGGTGTCAACTGAGTGTATGTGTGCTGGTGTGTGTGCATGAACAAATAAATGGTTATTAAGGTGAAATATCAGAAATTTTTACAGCTGATAATAAAATCACCTGGAAATTTTTAATAATCTCCTCTATGAGTCTGCTAGGGCTGCCATAACAAAGTACCATATACTGAGTGGCTTAAACAACAGAAATTTATTTCTAATAATTCTTGAACATGGGAAGTACAAAATGAAGGTGCTGGCAGAGTTGGTTTTTAGTATGGCCTCTTTCTTTGGCTTGCAGATGGCTGCCTTCTTACTGTATCCTCACATGGCCTTTCCTCTGTATGTACACAGTCCTGGTGTCACTTCCTCTTCTCATAAGGACACCAGTATGGCCTCATTTCATTTTAATTACCCCCTTAAAGGCCCTATCTCCAACTATAGTTACAATGAGGATTAGGGCTTCAGCATATGAGTTTTCAGGGGGTACAATTCAGTCTATAATACCTGGTAAAAAAAAAAAAGTCAACATCTTCTTCATAATAGTTTACTTAATAGCTTGAACTGTGACTTCCCAATCAACCATTTTGTCCTAGCCCATGAATACTGTGTATGTACATATATAACACACATTTACATGTTATAAAATATAAATATAATAAATAAACATAATAATATAAAATACATATTTTATTCCCTTGACTCTCAGTGATGTGAGTCATACTTTGGGAAATAATTCTTTTATTTGATGTTTTGATGTTGGTTTAGACTGGGAGAGATATGATATCTCACTTGGGGAATAATACATTTTTGTTTTTGATTTGCATTACTTTGAGAGCACAATCACATTCATTAATAACTTGGCACCAAAGAAGGCTCTTGCACTGTCATAGCACTTAGGAAAATGTTATTTACATAAAAAATATATTTTTACAATAAAATATTATTAAGCATTAAAAAAAGAAGTTTTTATGCATACTAGGTCGATGAACCTTGAAGACACTATGCTAATTGAAATAAAGTGGACAGAAAAGAACAAATTTCATGTGATTCTACTTATATAAAGTACCTAGAGTAGTCAAACTCATAGAGACAAAAAATAGAATGGCGGTTTCTAGGGGATGGGGGAAGAGGGAAATGGGGAGTTATTGTTTAATGGGTACAGAGTTTTAGTTTGGGAAGAGGAAAATTTATGGAGATGAATGATGGTGATAAACAATAATGTGAAGGTGGTTAATTTCACTGGATTTACAGTTTAAAATGGTTCAAATGATAAGTGTTATGCAAATTTTACTGCAATATAAGGATTCTCAAAGAAAATAGATATTATACTATCCTTTTAAAATAAATCTGTCAGTGGAAAGAAGACATAAACATTGAAATGAAATCATTAAGTTAAACATGAGAATACATAAAAGTACAACTGACCAATCTTTTTGTTGTTGTTTTCTTTGTTTTTCTTCAAAGATTTTTACTTCAGTTTTAATTACTTTTATTCTAAAGAGATTATGTTTTAAATGTCAATTCTTCCTTCTTCATTATTGATCAAGGTGAACTACTCCAATATATCCAAACTACTTTATTTATGTGTGTGTATATATGAGTTGGTGTGTATTATACAAATATACATAGAAATGAAGCCCATTTTAGATGAAAAGAAGTCTAATTTATTTTATCAACTACAGTTGATTAAAGGAAATATATTCAAATACAATCTGTATGGAAATTTAATATAATATTAACAAAGACTCTAATAGTTCCCATTTCTTAATTGGTTGGATAAGAACGTAGGCCTACCTAAAATCATACAGCCAATATCCTAAAACAACAAAACCTTTTAAAGTACTGTTTCATGTATTACATTTCCCCAAACAATAGCATCTGTATTATGTATCATGAGGAAATTGAAAAGTTAAATAATAGAATAATGTGCTTAGCTTCACAGAATCTTCCTGAGATCTCCTGGGGAAATGTGCCCTTGTAATAGATAACCTCCCTCCCATGTTCCATATTCAGACAGGTCATCGATTTCCTGAAATTGGCTAGATTAAAGAAGCATGTTCTCTCATAATGATGAACAATGCTTTTATATTTGACTACTACAATATCATCAAGAAAAACTCAATTGAATGTACTTATTATTTATTTTCCCACAGCAATGAAGTAGCAAAATGGACAACATACTAATGATAATCTATCTGGATTTGAGGAAAGCTTTTATTCTCTTAACAAAGCTGATCGATCTGAAAGGACAGCATGAGGGTAGAAGGAGAGATCTATTGAAATGAATGAGACATAGTCTCAAGTGTGGAGATAGACATTGTCAATAAAAGGATTAAAAAATAGTCAATCAAACAATCCCCCTCCCCCAAAAATACAACCTGACAGATTAGATAGCAGAGGATATCCAATTATATACAGTTTTAGGTAGGATAACCTTTGCTAAGATTTGACTGTGAGAAACACTTTTCAACAAAGAAAAATAAAAATGTAATAAATAGTCAGATTAAGTTAAAACAATGCATTTAAGTTGTTACTTTCCCAATTGTTTCTGTAAGTAAGGAATTAGTTGGCTGAAATTTACATTGAAAATGGGTCTTGATACATTACACAACGCTTTAAAACTTGTGATGGTTAATTTTATGTATAAACTTGACTGGGCCACAGGATGCTGAGATTTTTTTTAATATTACTTCTGGATATGTCTTTCAGGGTGTTTCTAGAAAAGTTTAGCATTTGAATTAGTGGACTGAATAAAGCAGATGTCCAATATGGGTAGGCCTCATCCAACCCATCAAAGATCCAAACTGAACAAAAGTGCAGAAAAAGGTTTAATTCTTTTTGCCTGAATGCTGAGACATAGTTCTTCTCCTCTGGACTGTGATCTATACCATCAGCACTTCTGATTCTCAGGCTTGGAGTGGAATGGAATTTATTCCACTAGCTCTCCTGGGTCTCCAGGTTGCAGCTATTGAGATTTCTTAGCTTCCATAATTGCATGAGCCAATTCCTTACAACAAATTTCATTCTACATTTTCATATTCTACATTTACAAAGTTCTGTTTCTCTAGAAAACCCTAACTAATACTAAACTGGAATAATCAGAAAACCATCTTTAAAATGGCTAAAACATTAAGAAAACTTATTTTCTCACCTAAAGATCTCAGACATAATTTGATAAGCAATTCAATAATATTATCAAACACCACGATTATTTCCATCTTCCTAGTCTAGCATTCTTATTATCAGCCCATTCTTCCTAAGGCTTTAGAGTAAAAGCTCAAGGCAGCTAAAAGTATTTAAGCAATTCTGAATTGCATGTAGTTTGAATTATTTTATGCATAATGGAGCAATCATTTACTTTTTCACTTTTCACAGAGAAACTCAATTACTCCAGCTCTCCATTTTGTTCATTTATGTCCTCTCTATGTCTGCACTTATTCACCTATCATCTATCTATTCTTTCTTTTTTCCAACTTTTAATCAGCATTTACTTCTGTGATAGCCACTGTGCTGACCTGCTAAGCATTCCTTAACCTTCTGATTTTTCTTTATAATTCTACACTCTCACTTAGCTTTCCCCTTATGTAACTCTAATTCTTTGTACATTTCCTACATTGTGGAATCATTTTTATAGGATTTTTTCCTATACCCAAATTAATTACGAATTACATTTTAAAATTGTATTCTTTTTCAAAGATATTCTGTATGTATACCAATGAAAAGGTCTTTCAAAATGGAGATATACAAAATTTCAGAGAATATAGACTCAGTATTATGGTGTTTCTTTTAATTATTTTTACTTAGATATACTATTGCTGGTCTTCTGGAGAAGTAAATTACATCATATCTGGAAATACTATAGAGTATTTCCAGACTTTTCGTGGTTTTCGGAAAGTATAGCTATTGGGACCTGACATAGCATACAATATATTTATTATACATTATCTGTTCATTTATTAATTAATCTATTAACATTTGCTTCAAGGAAGAAAGGTAAGGATATCCCTGTAAATGTAGAGAATCTGGAATTAGCACTCACAACTTTCAGACATTTAGACACATGTTTCTGGGCCTAGTATTTCAGTGATTATTGTCAAGCCAGTAAAGCTGCTATTCAATCTTGTTGTGTCCTTATTTAATGCAAGGCTGATGTAGGAAGAGCTGCTATTAAATTTTAAAGCAGTGTATTAGGTAAAGGATCTATGAATCTCACTGAGGTCTGTCAAAATCGAGCAGCTAATAATCCTACAGGCAGCCTAGAAAACACAGTGCATGTGAGCCCAGGATGAAAAGTTTATCTTTATTACCCTTTTTAAAGTATCTCTCTATTTTATTGAATTGCACAAGTTAGATAACCCTGTGGCCACATGATCTATGCTTGGGATAGAGAAAAATAAGTAGAACTTGTCAGATTATTTATTGCTGTTGACAAAGCTAAACTTTCCAACAAGACATCACCTATTTTAGTGTAAAGAGCAAAGAAGTAAGAATCAAAATACCTGAGTTTTAAAAAACCTCTTCTTACTAGCTTTGTAATTGTGGTATGCACGTTTGTTAGGTATTACTTGGTTGGAAGAAATAGAAATCTTGAGGGTAAACTCAGGTAAAAAGAGTGAAGATTGGTTATTTGAATAAACCAAATAGAGCCAAGTCTTCTAAACAATTGAAACTTTTCTTCCTCCTTAGACCTAAGCCCCATTACTCCAATTTCCTTCTCAGGTCTTGTGGGAACTCCAACACTAGGGTCACCCTTAGGATACATAAGATTCTCAGCAAAAGTTTGTTTGTAGGCCTCATATTCTTTACTGTCAAACACCTTGTTTCTAGATAATTTTACATTAATAAGAAAAGGTAGCAATGCTATGTTATTCCCAGCAGTATGGTTTTTTGGAACATGTTTGTAATGAAGCAATATAGATCTTCTTGCTTCTCAAGTGTTCTAATTTAACATATTTCATGCTGATTACATCACTAATCCTGACCCAACTTTTTTCTTCCTGCCTCCTGTGAATACTAGGTTTCACTAACTCCTTCAGAAGCTGTTACTGAGCCTCATTGATGATGGTCACAAATGCAAGTCTTCCACAGACTATGTATAAATGTGAACAATGATATGTTAAGTTTACTATTTGAAATTTTAAAGTGTAAAAACACAATAATGCATCTTCCAACCATGTTCCTATTGAAATGTTTAGATGTTTTTTGTATGTTTTGGAGGTTTAAGCTCTTATCCCAATATTTTGTTGCTTGAGGGAAGCATCTTGGTCTACTATAGACAACAATTGTTTGCATTTAAATTCATGTTTAATCTGTAGAATAAATACAATAATAATTGTTATTAAGTGTTTAGTAGGCTCATTACTTTTCAAGAACTACTACTTCTAATTTAAGTCTTATGAGATAATCTATGAGATAGGCATTTATTTTTATTAATAAAATGAGACAGAGATGCCTAAAGAAGAAAATCAATGTCATTGAAATCAAGTAACTTTAATGTATCTGATAATAATTTATCTGAAAATGATTTGGGGATAAAGTATATGATGTTGAAATTAAAAACAGTCTCACACTCCTATATCAAATACCAGATGTCAATATGTGTGATTAAGAATTTAGCATATTTCATCACATTTGAAATGCTGTATTTAGTTGGAAAGATAAATGTAATATATGACAATGTTATGGACTGAATTTTTCCTCCCTAAATTCATATGTTGAATCTCTAAACTCTGATGTGTTTATCAGGAGGTAGAGGTAGTTAAAGGAGTATTTAAGATTAACTGAGGTCATAAGAGTGGGGCCCTACTTCGATAGGACTGGTGTCCACATACGAGAAAGAGACACAGGAGTTTGAGCACAAAGAGAAAAGACCATGAGAGGACACACAGTGAGAAAGTAGCAGTCTGAAAACCGGGAAGTGATGCCTCACCAGAAAACAAGCCTGTTGGCATCTTACTTTGGACTTCTAGTCTCCAGAATTGATAGAAAATAAATTTCTTTTGTTTAAGCCTCCCCGTATGTGATATTCTGTTATAGCAGCCTGAGTAGACTAATACAATTAACCAACCTTGCAATATTTCACATCTTTTGACATTATTAATAAAGGTTTTTAAAGACTCAATGAAAATAAATTTAGTTTCAAATTTTAGTAAAATAATTCAAATTGTTAGCTCTTATTAATGAGTTTTATGCTCATAATTATGAACTATACCTTGCAAATAAGTACAGTATAAATTAAAATAATATTCTTATATTATTTTTAATATTCTACCATGTCCAGGTAAAAGCATGTTTTCTCTAACTTTACATTATTGTTTTATAGTAATAAATTTGAAATCATCAGAGAAAGCCCAGAGAAGGTAAGTGATTTGTTAAAGGCCAGGGTTATGTTCTACCAAATATGAGATTATAACCAGTCTACTTTAATCAGTTAGTATTCTCTTCCGATGCTTCTTAAATACTTTCCTTCTTACACAATGTATTTTATGAAAGAAATAAGAAACTGAGTTAAGTTTTATGTAGTATTGAAAAATGAGCAAAAATGATGGCTTCTAGGAGACTTTAATAAATAACAACCATATTTACTATTTGGGAATATCAATGCTGGTAATATTTTTATGTTACAATCTTTTGCATTATAGCATGCCATTTATCCACTCCCTTACTCCAAGGGATAGATTTTCTTTGTAAAATGATCAACTGCAAAATAACAGTAATTCTAGCAGACAAAATGAACAAACCCAGAAATTTTAGTGGCTTAATGCATCGACAATATATTTCTGATGAAACTACTGTGAGTTGGAGATAAGGCAGCCCTCCTCCAACATTTGAATCATGTGGTCTCCAAGATTAACACAGGAAAAAATAGATAGGATAGAGAAACAATGGCCCTTACCTTGGGCCACACATCATTTTTGCTCTCAGTTTATTGACAAGAACTAGTCAAATTACTGCAATCTAACTATACAAGTGCCTATTAAGTATGGTAAGGAGGCTGCTATGGACAGAACTGTGCTCTTCCCAAATTCATATGTTGAAGCCCTAATTCTCTATGTGGCTGTATTTAGAAATAGAACCTTAAAAAACAAGCTAGTTAGTTATGGTTAAATGCGGTTATAAGGGTAGGACCCTGTATCATTATAGGAGACACCAGAGAGCTCACTCTCAACCCAAGTGTACAGAGAAGACAAATGAGTCCGTAGTCAAATGGCAATTGCTTTCAAGCAAAGAGAAGAGGCCCCAAAATGAAACCTCGCTTGCTACCATCTTGGTCCCAGACTTCCCACACTACTAAACTGTGAGAAATATATTTCTGTTGTTTAAGCAACCCAGTCTGTGATATTTATTTATGGCAGCCTGAACAGACAAAGACAGGGAAAGAAATAAATACTTGGTAAGTTGTCTCTCTCCTTATTTTGTTTTGTGATTATTGTTATTGTTATTATTGTTTTAGTTTACAGTGTCCTCTATATTAGAAATCAGATATAAAGCAGATTATATTCTTTAATTAGAAATTTTCTCTGTCTAAAGTAAATCTATCATAGATAAGTACACTTCGTATTTAGAGAAATTTTGCAACATGTAGCTGTGATTTGGGGTCAGGATAGCCAGCACAGTTTATTAGTTAAAAGCATCGACTGCAATCAGTCCAACTATATTTGAATTCTAGTTCTAGCACCTTTTAGCTAAATTGCTTTGGAAAATCACCTTAGTTCCTGGTGCATCAGTTTTCTCATCTGTAACATATGGATTAGAATTCAAATAAGTCCCAGGGTTTTTATACAAGTTAAATGTGTTAATATTTGAAAAGTATGTAGAGTAATGCCTGGCACAAAATAAGTGCTATCTGTTAGTTACTAAGTAAAAATAAATAAATAATTGGCTTGTATGAGGAAATGAGACATGCAAACTACTGTTCTGAAGGTACAAAAGCAGCTTGGTTTTTGATATCAGAGTCCAATTAACTCAATTTTCAATTTTATTCTCAAACATTTACGACACCTTAGAGAACAGTGAAGTCTCATGATGTACTCTATATAAAAAGGTATTTGACAGCCAAATATATCTGAGAAATTCTGCATATAAAAGCTGTTGACAAAGAAGTCATTCAGGAGAGAAACTGTTTCTCTTCCAAATTTGTTCAGCCAAGAGCTTTTCAAACTTATTTGCACATGGATCCTTTCTGTAATACATTTGAACATACTAGGAAACCTAATGTTTTTGGAACACACTCTGGGAAATGCTGTCATAGAAAAGTCCTAACATGTATTAAGAAACAATATAAAACATGACTCAGATAAATGGAACATCATGAAGTAGATAGAAAATTACCAGAATCTGAAGCTACAATATACATTGTGATTGGAGTACATGAAAAAGTAGCAGGAAGACCTAACTGGAAGAATCTTTCTGTAGCTTATAAATTAAGCACATGGTCAAAAGTCAGAGTAAACATAAAGATGACTTGATATTGAGTTACAAAGTTGGGTTATTGTATTTGAAACACTTATGCCTAAAGTGAGTATCAGCCTAGAAATGGAACTGAGGTCATACATCAAAGTTTCAAGGAATCACCCATTAGAGAATGGTCAAAAAACTTCCTTAAAGGGTCAGATAGTAAGTACCGCAAGCTTTGTGTTATATGGTTTTTATCTTACCTACCTGATGTTACCACTGTAGCAGTGAAAGCAGCCCTAGAAAATACCTAAACAAATGACCATAATTATGTTCAAATAAAACTATCTCTGATTACTGGAGTTTGAATTTCATATAAGTTTCAAACCATAAAGTGTTATTCCTCCTCTGATTTTTTCAAACAATTAAAAATGTAAAAATGATTCTTAGCTTACAGAGTGTACAAAAACAGACAGTAGGCAGGATTTAGCCTGTAGTTTGCTCAGCTGTCTTTTAAGAAGAAAAAGTTCAAATAATTGGGTAGTATACCTGTGGAGGGGAGAAGTGGAGATGGTGAATGGGTACAAAAATATAGTTAGAATGAGTAAAATCTAATATTTGATAGCACGAAAGGGTGACTATAGTCAGCAATAATTTATAGCACTTTAAAATAACTAAAATAGTATAATTAGAATGTTCATAACACAAAGAAATGGCAATGCTTGAAGTGACAGATACCTCATTTGCCCTTGCTTATTGTTACTCATTGTATGCTTATATCAAAAGATCTCATGTACCCCATAAATATATATACCCACTATGTACACATAAAAATTAATTTTTTAAAGAAGAAAAACTTTAGTTATGAGAACATCTAATAAGTCTAATACAAGAAGCCAATTTTAATATTATTAGGCACTACTTTGGAGTGAACAATGTAACTCATTTAAGACATATTGGCCTCAGAGCATAAGCATCTAATACGATTCAAACATTTTTAAGAGGACATAACCCTGTATTTGAAAACTGTATTCATACACAAATGGGTAATGGTTAAATTAAAAATGAGGTTCTGAGGAAAATGAAGTAAATGAGATATTGTGTGGAAAGCACATACTAGTTCCTGTATATGTGAAGTTCAGTGTACAATGAAATTTTCAGAGTACAGCAGTGTAAATTGGAAGAAACTTATCCCCTAAGAAGATTTGTTTATGATATGAAAAGTACTCTATCACTTGGGACTACCAAAGCACTCATTTGAAATATGCATGCTTACTGTGCATCTTAATGGGCTTAATTGAGGAGTTTAATAAATTTAAATCTTGTAGAAGTAATTTAAAAAGTGATTGATAATGCTAATAATATGGTGAAGCAGTAAAAATCTAGAAGTAGATAATTCTATGGATATCTTGGGAGGTTGTAAGTACTTATGACACTGGTTATTGTCAGCTTAAAACAAAACATCTGGATGCAAAGTTAAGTATTCAGTCACTTATGCCAAAGTTTTCATGTTCAGGGCAAACATCTGAAAGATTCCATGCAATATTTATTTTTTATTTGAACTTGTAGTGCTAATAAGTTACACTACAATGAAGCCCCTATTATACAAATAAAAATGACTCAGATTTTCTAAACTGCCTTTTGTGATATACACAATTAATTTCATCCTAAAAATGTAGTAGTTTATGTATTTAAAAATAACAATGATGAAAATAGTAAAAGTAGCAATATTTAAAGCCTACATTGATTGACACGTTGTATTCTGCACTCTCTTGTTCTGGTTCTCCAACTCAGAACTCATATCTAGGCAGGCAAAGGGTGACAGTGAAAACTGAGCCATCATGTTTTGGGTAGCACTGAGAGAGCTATTTGATGGCTCAGTTTAAGACCCAATGGGCCAATGAAGACATTAAAAGACAAGTTTAAAATTTTCTTGAGACAAAGGAAAATGGGAACACATCATATCAAAACCAATGGGATAGATCAAAATGAGTTCCAAGAGGATAATTTTTAGCAATAAAGGCCTACATCATCCACGAAGAAAGATCTCAAATAAACAACGTAACTTAGCACCTTAAGGAACCTAAACCAAAATGAATAGAAGAAAGAAAATAATAAAAATTAGAACAAAATAAATTAAATAGAGACTAAGCAAATACAAAAGATCAACTAAAAATAGATTTGTTTTTGAAAAAATAAACAATGTTGACACAGTTTTAGCAAAACTAGCTAAAAAAGAAAAATTTGAATACATAAAATCAGAGATAAAGAGGGGACATTACAACTGATACCACAGAAATACAAACGAACATAAGATACTATTATGAACAATTGTATGCCAAAAAACTGGGTGACCTAGAGAAAACAGATAAATTCCTGGACACATACAATCTAACAAAACTGAATGAGGAAGAAATAGAAAATCTGAACAGCTCAATAATGAGTAACAAGATTGAATCAGTCATAAAAATCTTCCCATCAAAGAAAAACCCAGGACCTGATGTCTTTGCCGCTGAATTCTATCAAATATTTAAAGAAGAACTAACACCAATTCTACTGAAACTATTCTGAAAAATTGAAGAGAACAAAATACTTCCAAATTATGTCTATGAGGTCAGCATTACTCTGATATCAAAATCAGACAACAATACAACATAGAAAGAAAACAACAGGTCAATTCCCCTGATGAATAGAAATGCAAAATCCTCAGCAAAATACTGGCAAATGAAATTTCACAGAACATTAAAAAGATCATTCACTATGATCAAGGGGGATTCATACCAGGGATGCAAGAATGGTTCAACATAAACAAATCCATAAACTTGATACATCACATTAAAAGAATGAAGTGCAAAAACTGTATGGTAATCTCAATAGATACAGAAAAAGCACTAGTAAAATTCACCTTTTATATTTTCATGATAAAAACTTTCAAGTTGGATGTAGGAGGAATGTACCTCAAACAATAAAGGCCATACATGACAAATGCACAGCTAATATCATACTGAACAAAGAAATGTTGAAAGCTGTTTCTTTAATATTTGGAATGAGACAAACATGTTCACTTGTGACACTTAATATTCAACATAATACTGGAAATCTTAGCCAAACCAATCAGGCAAAAGAAAAAAAATTAAAAGCATCCAAAATTGGAAATGAAGTTAAATTGTCCCTGTTTGCAGATGACATGGCCTTATATAGAGAAAACCTAAAGACTTTAGTAAAAATGGTTAGAACTAATAAGTGAATTCAGTAAAGTTGCAAGATCCAAAATTAACACAAAAAATCTGTAGCACTTCTATATGCTAGTAGCAAAGTATCTGAAAAATAAATAAGGGAAAAAATCCTATAGCTAATAAAATGTATTTAGGAATAAATTTAACAAAGGAAGTAAAAAAATCTCTGCACTGAAAACTATAAAACATTGATGAAATAAATTGAAGATACAATAAATGAAAATATATATCATGGTCATGGGTGTGAAGAATTAAAATTATTAAAATGTCCATACTACCCAAAGTTATCTAGATATTCAAGCAATCCCTATTAAAATAGCAATGACATTTTTCACAGAAATAGGAAAAGCAATTCTAAAATTCATATGGAACTCTAAAAGACCCCAAATAGCCAAAGCAATCTTGAGTGAAAAGAACAAAGCTGGAAGCATAATGCTACCTGACTTTAAAATATGTTACAGATCTACGGTAACTAAATCAGGATGGTACTGGTATAAAAATAAATACATACTCCAATGCAAGAGTATAAAGAACACAAATAAATCCATATACTAAGAGACAGACAACTGATTGTTGACAAGGGTGACAAGAACTCATGGAGAAAGGACAATTTCTTCAATAAATGGTGCTTGTAATCTCTATATTTATATGGAAAAGAATAAATCTAGACAAAATTGAACTTCAAATGGATTAAAGACTTAAATGTAAGACTTCAGATAATACAACCACTAGAAAAAAACATAGGGAAAACAGTTTATGACATTGATCAGGACAAGATTTTTTATGGGTAAGAACCCAAAAGCACAGACAATAGCAAAAATAAACAAATTATATACAAACTACAATCGTCTGCACAGCAAAGGAAACGATCAAGAGTGAAATGACAACCACAGAATGGAAGAAAATATTTGCAAACTGTGCATATGACAAGGGGCCTATTTCCAGAATATATAAGAAACTCCAACTGAATAGCAAAAAACTCAAATAATCTAATTAAGAAATGGGCAAAAGACCTGAATCAACATTTCTCAAAAGAAGACATACAAATGGCCAACAAGTATATGAAAAATGTTCAGCATCACTCACCAAGGAAAGGCAAATCAAAACCACAATGAGATATCACTTCACCACAATTATAATGACTATTTTTAAAAGACAAAAAAAAAATGAATGCTGGTGCAGATGTGGAGACAGAGGAACTCTTATAAACTGTTGATGGACATGTAAATTAACATAGCTATTATGAAAAATAGTAAAAATCTTCTTCAAAAAATTAAAAATAGAATTTACATATGATCCTGCAATCCCACTACTAGTTATATATCCCAACAAAATGAAATCAGTATGTCAAAGAGCTATCTGCACTCCCATGCTTATTGCAGTACAATTAATAGCCAAGATATAGAATCAAGCTAAGTGTCAATCAGTGGATGAATGGATAATACAATTGTTATACACACACACACACACACACACTCACACACACAATGGAATACTATTCAGCCACAAAGAGAAAAGAAATTCTGTCATTTGAGGCAACATAAATAAACCTTGAAGACATTGTATCAAGTGAAATGAGTCAGGCACAGAAAGACAAATAACACATGATCTCACTCATATGTCTAATCTAAAAAAGCTGATCGCATAGAAGTAGAAAGTAGAATAATGAATACCAGAGCCTGAGGAGAGCAAGAGGAAGGAGGGAAAGGGAGAGATTGGTCAACGGGGTACAAAGTTACAGTTAGACAGAAGGAATGAATTCTAGTGTTTTATTGAAAAGTAGGGTGATTATGGTTAACAACGTGGTATCGTATATTTCAAAATAGCAAGAAGAAAGGATTTTAATATTTTCAGCATGAAGAAATCATAAATGCATTAGGTGATGGATATGTTAGATAACCTGATTTGGTTTTTGCACAATGTATACATTTATCAAATCATTGCAAGCACTTCATAAATATGCACAATTATTGTATGTCAAATTTTTATTTTTTTATTTTTATTTTTTATTATACTTTAAGTTCTAGGGTGCATGTGCACAACGTGCAGGTTTCTTACATGTGTATACAAGTGCCATGTTGGTGTGCTGCACCCATTAACTGGTCATTTACATTAGGCATTTCTCCTAATGTTATCCCTCCACCATCCCCCCACCACATGACAGGTCCCAGTGTGTGATGTTCCCCACCCTGTGTCCAAGTGTTCTCATTGCTCAATTCCCACCTATGAATGAGAACATGCTGTGTTTGATTTTCTGTCCTTGAGATGGTTTGCTCAGAATGATGGTTTCCAGCTTCATCCATGTCCCTACAAATGGTGTGAACTCATCCTTTTTTATGGTTACATAGTATTCCATGGCATATATGTGCCACATTTTCTTAATCCAGTCTATCATTGATGGACATTTGGGTTGGTTCCAAGTCTCTGCTAATGTGAATAGTGCCACAATAAACATACATGTGCATGTGTCTTTATAGCAGCATGATTTATAATCCTTTGGGTATGTACCCAGTAATGGGATCGCTGGGTCAAATGGTATTTCTAGTCCTAGATCCTTGAGGAATTGCCATACTGTCTTCCACAATGGTTGAACTAGTTTACAGTCCCTCCAACAGTGTAAAAGCATTCCTATTTCTCCACATCCTCTCCAGCACCTGTTGTTTCCTGACTTTTTAATGATCACCATTCTAACTGGTGTGTGATGGTACTTCATTGTGGTTTTGATTTGCATTTCTCTGATGGCCAGTGATGATGAGCATTTTTTCATGTGTCTGTTGGCTGCATAAATGTCTTCTTTTGAGAAGTGTCTGTTCATATCCTTTGCCCACTTTTTGATGGGGTTGTTTGATTTTTTTCTTGTAAATTTGTTTAAGTTCTTTGTAGATTCTGGATATTAGCCCTTTGTCAGATGAATAGATTGCAAAAATTTTCTCCCATTCTGTAGGTTGCCTGTTCACTCTGATGGTAGTTTCTTTTGCTCTGCAGAAGCTCTTTTGTTTAATAAGATCCCACTTGTCAAATTTGGCTTTTGTTGCCATTGCTTTTGGTATTTTAGTCATGAAGAGCTTGCCCATGCCTATGTCCCAAATGGAATTGCCTAGGTTTTCTTCTAGGGTTTTTATGGTTTTAGGTCTAACATTTAAGTCTTTAATCCATCTTGAATTAATTTTTGTATAAGATGTAAGGAAGGTATCCAGTTTCAGCTTTTTACATATGACTAGCCAGTTTTCCCAGCACCATTTATTAAATAGGGAATCCTTTCCCCATTTCTTGTTTTTGTCAGGTTTGTCAAAGATCAGATGATTGTAGATGTATGGTATTAATTCTGAGGGCTCTGTTCTGTTCCATTGGTCTATATCTCTGTTTTTGTACCAATACCATGCTGTTTTGGTTACTGCAGCCTTGTAGTATAGTTTGAAGTCAGGTAGCGTCATGCCTCCAGCTTTGTTCTTTTGGCTTAGGATTGTCTTGTCAATGCAGGCTCTTTTATGGTTCCATATGAATTTTAAAGTAGTTTTTTTTTCCAATTCTGTGAAGAAAGTTATTGGTAGCTTGATGGGGATGGCATTGAATCTATCTTGGGCAGTATGGCCATTTTCACTATAGTGATTCTTACCCATGAGCATGGAATGTTCTTCCATTTGTTTGTGTCCTCTTTTATTTCGTTGAGCCCTGGTTTGTAGTTCTCCTTGAAGAGGTCCTTCACACCCCTTGTAAGTTGGATTCCTAGGTATTTTATTCTCTTTGAAGCAATTGTGAATGGGAGTTCACTCATGATTTGGCTCTCTGTTTGTCTGTTATTGGTGTATAGAAATGCTTGTGATTTTTGCACATTGATTTTGTATCCTGCGACTTTGCTGAAGTTGCTTATCAGCTCAAGGAGATTTTGGAATGACACTATGGGGTTTTCTAAATATAAAATCATGTCATCTGCAAACAGGGACAATTTGACTTCCTCTTTTCCTAATTGTATACCCTTTATTTCTTTCTCCTGCTTGATTGCCCTGGCCAGAACTTCCAACACTATGTTGAATAGGAGTGGTGAGAGAGGGCATCCCTGTCTTGGGCCAGTTTTCAAAGGGATTGCTTCCAATTTTTGCCCATTCAGTATGATATTGGCTGTGGGTTTGTCATACTTATTATTTTGAGATACATTCCATCAGTACCTAGTTTATTGAGAGTTTTTTAACATGAAAAGTTGTTGGATTTTGTCAAAGGCCTTTTCTGCATCTATTGAGATAATCGTGTGGTTTTTTCATTTGGTTCTGTTTATATGATGGATTACATTTATTGATTCACATATGTTGAACCAGCCTTGCATACCAGGGATGAAGCCCACTTGATCACAGTGGATAAGCTTTTTGATGTGCTGCTGGATTCAGTTTGCCAGTATTTTATTTAGGATTTTTGCATCGATGTTCATCAGGGATATTGGTCTAAATTCTCTTTTTTTGTTGTGTCTTGGCCTGGCTTTTGTATCAGGATGATACTGGCCTCATAAAATGAGTTAAGGGGGATTCCCTCTTTTTCTATTGATTGGAATAGTTTCAGAAGGAATGGTACCAGCTCCTCTTTGTACCTTTGGTAGAATTCAGCTGTGAATCCATCTGGTCCTGGACTTTTTTTGGTTGGTAGGCTATTAATTATTGGCTCAATTTCAGAGCCTGTTATTGGTCTATTCAGGGATTCAACTTCTTCCTGGTTTAGTCGTGGGAGGTGTATGTGTCAAGGAATTTATCCATTGCTTCTAGATTTTTTAGTTTATTTGCATAGAGGTGTTTGTAGTATTCTCTAATGGTAGTTTGTGTTTCTGTGGAATCAGTGGTGATATCCCCTTTGTCATTTTTTATTGCATCTATTTGATTCTTCTCTATTTTCTTATTTATTATTCTTGCTAGTGGTCTATCAATTTTGTTGATCTTTTCAAAAAACCTGCTCCTGGATTCACTGATTTTTTGGAAGGGTTTTTTGTTTCTCTATCTCCTTCAGTTCTGCTCTGATCCTAGTTATTTCTTGCCTTCTGCTAGCTTTTGAATGTGTTTGCTCTTGCTTCTCTAGTTCTTTTAATTGTGATGTTAGGGTGTGTATTTTAGTTCTTTCCTGCTTTCTTTTGTGGGCATTTAGTGCCATAAATTTCCCTCCACATACTGTTTTAAATGTGTCCCAGAGATTCTGATATGTTTTGTATTTGTTCTTATTAGTTTCAAAGAACATCTTTATTTCTGCCTTCATTTTGTTATGTACCCAGTAGTCATTCAGTAGCAGGTGGTTCAGTTCCCATGTAGTTGTGCAGTTTTGAGTGAGTTTCTTAATCCTGAGTTCTAATTTGATTGCACTGTGGTCTGAGAGACAGTTTGCTATAGTTTCTGTTCTTTTACATTTGCTGAGGAGTGCTTTACTTCCAACTATGTGGTCAGTTTTGGAATAAGTGCAATATGGTGCTGAGAAGAATGTCTAATCTGTTGATTTGTGGTGGAGAGTTCTGTAGATGTCTATTAGGTCTGCTTGGTGCAGAGCTGAGTTCAATTCCTGGATATCCTTGTTAACTTTCTGTCATATTGATCTGTCTAACATAGACAGTGGCATGTTGAACTCTGCCATTATTATTGTGTGGGAGTCTAAGTCTCTTTATAGGTCTCTAAGGACTTGCTTTATGAATCTGGTTGCTCCTGTATCGGGTGCATATATATTTAGAATTGTTAGCTCTTCTTGTTGAATTGACCCCTTTACCATTATGTAATGACCTTTTTGTCTCTTTCGATCGTTTTTGGTTTAAAATCTGTTTTATCAGAGACTAGGATGACAGCCCCTGCTTTTTTTTTGTTTTCCGTTTGCTTACTTGGTAGATCTTCCTCCATCCCTTTATTTTGAGCCTATGTGTGTCTCTCCATGTGAGATGCGTCTCCTGAATACAGCACACTGTTGCGTCTTGACTCTATCCAATTTGCCAGTCTGTGTCTTTTAATTGGAGCATTTAGCCCATTTACATTTAAGGTTAATATTGTTATGTGTGAATTTGATCCTGTCATTATGATGTTAGCTGCTTATTTTGCTCGTTAGTTGGTACAGTTTCTTCCTAGCATGGATGGCCTTTACAATTTGGCAAGTTTTTGCAGTGGCTGGTACCAGTTGTTCCTTTCCATGTTTAGTGCTTCCTTCAGGAGCTCTTGTAAGGCAGGCCTGGTGGTGACAAAATCTCTCAGCATTTCCTTGTCTGTAAAGTATTTTATCTCTCCTTCACTTATGAAGCTTAGTTTGGCTGGATATGAAATTCTGAGTTGAAAATTCTTTTATTTAAGAATGTTGAATATTGGCCTCCACTCTCTTCTGGCTTGTAGAGTTCCTGCTGAAAGATCTGCTGTTAGTCTGATGGGCTTCCTTTTGTGCATAACCCGACCTTTCTCTCTGGCTGCCCTTAACATTTTTTCCTTCATTTCAACTTTAGTGACTCTGACAATTATGTGCCTTGGAGTTGCTCTTCTCGAGGAGTATCTTTGTGGTGTTCCCTGTATTTCCTGAATTTTAATGTTGGCCTGCCTTACTAGGTTGGGGAAACTTTCCTGGATAATATCCTGAAGAGTGTTTTCCAACTTGGTTCCATTCTCCCCATCACTTTCAGGTACACCAATCAGACATAGATTTGGTCTTTTCACATAGTCCCATATTTCTTGGAGGCTTTGTGCATTTCTTTTTTACTATTTTTTGTCTAAACTTCTCTTCTCGCTTCATTTCATTCATTTGATCTTCAATCACTGATACCCTTTCTTCCACTTGATCGAATCAGCTACTGATGCTTGTGCATGCGTCACGTAGTTCTCGTGCCATGGTTTTCAGCTCCATCAGGTCATTTAAGGTCTTCTCTATGCTGTTTATTAGGCATAGAGAAAAGATTAGGCAGTCGTCTAATCTTTTTTCAAGGTTTTTAGCTTCTTTGCGATGGGTTCGAACATCCTCCTTTAACTCGGATAAGTTTGTTATTACTGATCTTCTGAGGCCTACTTCTGTCAACTTGTCAAAATCATTCTCCATCCAGCTTAGTTCCATTGCTGGTGAGGAGCTGCATTCCTTTGGAGGATAAGAGGCACTCTGATTTTTGGAATTTTCAGCTTTTCTGCTGTGTTTTCTCCCTATCTTTGTGGTTTTATCTACCTTTGGTCTTTGATGATGGTGACCTAGAGATGGGGTTTTGGTGTGGATGTCCTTTGTGTTTGTTAGTTTTTCTTCTAACAGTCAGGATCCTCAGCTGCAGGTCTGTTGGAGTTTGTTGGAGGTCCACTTCAGACCCTGTTTGCCTGGGTACCACCAGCAGAGGCTGCAGAACAGCAAATATTGCAGAACAACAAATGTTGCTGCCTGATCCTTCCTCTGGAAACTTTGTCTCAGAGGGGCACCTGGCTGTATGAGGTGTCACTTGGCCCCTACTGGGAGGTGTCTCCCAGTCAGACTACTCGGGGTTCAGGGAACCACTTGAGGAGGCAGTCTGTCCATTCTCAGATCTCAAACTCCCTGCTGGGAGAACCACTACTCTCTTCAAAGCTGTCAGACAGGGACGTTTAAGTCTGCAGAAGTTTCTGCTGCCTTTCGTTCACCTATGCCCTGCCCTTAGAGGTGGAGTCTACAGTGGCAGGCAGGCCTCCTTGAACTGCTGTGGGATCCACCCAGTTTGAGTTTCCTGGCCACTTTGTTTTCCTACTCAAGCCTCAGCAATGGCAGACCCCCCTCCCCCCAGCCTCGCTGCCGCCTTGCAGTTCAATCTCAGACTGCTGTGCTAGCAATGAGCAAGGCTCCATGGGTGTGGGACCCTCTGAGCCAGGCGCTGGATATAATATCCTGGTGTGCCATTTGCTAAGACTGTTAGAAAAGCACAGTATTAGGGTAGAAGTGTCCTGATTTTCCAGGTACCATCTGTCACGGCTTCCCTTGGCTAGGAAAGCTAATTCTCCGACCTCTTGAGCTTCCTAGGTGAGGCAATGCCCTGCCCTGCTTCGGCTCACACTTCATGGGCTGCACCCACTGTCCAACAAGACCCTTTGAGATGAACCCAGTACCTCAGTTGGAAATACAGAAATCACCCGTCTTCTGAGTCCCTCATGCTGGGAGCTGTAGACTGGAGCTGTTCCTCTTCAGCCATCTTGGAACCCTCTGTATGTCAACTTTTTTAGAAACTAAAATAAGAAAGATTACATAAAAAAGTAATTTTGTGTAAAAAGGATAATAGAATTATACAACAGTATTTGTGCGACTAGTTAACCTGCAATAAGGATAAAAGAATTATACAACAGTATTTATGTGACTAGTTAACCTGCAAAAAGGATAAAAGAATTATACAAGAGTATTTATGTGACTAGTTAACCTGCAAAAAGGATAAAAGAATTATACAACAGTATTTATGTGACTAGTTAACCTGCAAAAAGGATAAAAGATTATACAACAGTATTTGTGTGACTAGTTAACAGTATTTTTGTGATTAGTAACACTGTAAAATATAAATTGTAAGTAGTTTCCAAATACATGATTTCAAATCAATTATGCCAATATTTATATATCTAAAAGAATATTAGTTTTTTCAGAATATTTAGTCATTTTATTCAGTCAAAAATCTGCAGAAATTCTCCCTTTAAAATTTATACACAGCATCCAGCAAAGCATCTTGCTTAAAGTATGTCTTTAGTGCATGCTTACTAACGTCAAACAGTAACAAGTCCTATAGGAAAATCTGTCGTTTATTAAAGAGCATTGTTTTGTATACTATAAAATTATCACTTTTGGAGATTAAATACTTTAACTCTCCAGTCTTGACCTTGACCTTATTTAATTCAAAATGTTACCGAATTGAATTAACCAGTGTATTAAGCAGAAAATACTTAAGTGCATTTTAACAGTTCTCTAAAATCAATTAATTCCTCATGAAACAAGTATCTACCACCTTCAAAGGAATGTGACACTGGTAGCCCAAAGAAAATAAATCTCCCATGACAATTATTCTGAAGTGGAGGGGAGAAACAAAAAGTCTATTGTTTATTGATAGATAAAGAATGTTTCTCAAAATGCCTATATCTTTACATTTTACTTCTGCACCATGTATATATGCATAGACAATTCAAGGAGAAGACTTCCTTTTATTATTATTATTATTTTTGATTTGAAGTCTCCCTCTGTCACCCAGGCTATGGTGCAGTGGCACAATTATGGCTCACTGCAGCCTCTATCTGGCTCAAGTGATTCTCCTGCCTCAGCTTCCTGAATAGCTGGGATGGCAGCTGTGTGCCACCATATTCTGCTAATTTTTTTTTTTTTTTTTTTTTGGCAGAGACAGGGTCCCACCAAGTTGCCTAGGCTGGTCTCAAACTCCTAGGTTCAAGCAATCCTCCAGCCTCGACCTCTCAAAGTGCTGGTATTACAAGTGTGAGTCACTTGCCTGGCCCTACTATCCTTGTAAAAGGACACAACAACTGCACAAACTCCATATAAAAAACTGGTATAAAAATAGTCTTTGTTTAGGATTTATTGATTTATATTTCAGTTTTGACTGATGGGCTGATAAAGGTTACAGATACTTGAGTAGCTTTTTAAATCATACATAGGAAGATTTACTTAAATGTGTATTTTAAGAAAAGTAAGCATAACATTAAAATAACAAGAAAATACATGTTAAACACATCTTGCAGAATCTACTGGAATATTAATAACCTGTTTAATTTAGTTCCCAGTTTTCATCTTAATTGACCTTTCAGCATCATTTGACACTGTTGATTGCTCCTTCCTCCCAGATATACTTTCTGCAATTGACTTCTAGGACACAACTTTCTCTTGTTTCTTTTTCCCCTTTATATATTCTTGATTACTCCTAATCAATCTCCTCTGCTGTTTCTTCCTTTTCTTCTGGACCTTTAAATGTTGAAGTGCCTCATGACTCACTCTCCTTTTGGGATTCCTTTTCTTTCTACACACACTCTCTGGTGATCTCATCCAGTCTCACTTGTCCACATACAATTGATATGGTGATGCTCCAAGCTTTATTTCTCCTGCACACACTTTTCCAAAATTCTTACTTTCAGGTGTTCAATTGAATCTAATGAGCATTACAATTTCCATACGTCCAAGGTTAAAACATTAGTCTTGGCTGGGCCCGGTGGCTCACGCCTATAATCCCAGCATTTTGAGAGGTCGAGGCAGGTGGATTACCTGAGGTCAGGTGTTCCAGGAACAGCCTGACCAACATGGAAAAACCTCATCTCTACTGAAAATACAAAATTAGTTTGGTGTGGTGGCACGTGCCTGTAATCCCAGCTACTCGGGTGGCTGAGACAGGAGAATCGCTTGAATCCATGAAGCAGAGGTTGCAGTGAACCAAGATCACACCATTGCACTCCAGCCTAGGCAGCAAGAGTGAAACTCTGTCTCAAAAAAAAAAAAAAAAAATTAGTCTTGCCCTCAAACCTGCCCCTCCTAGAGTCTCCCCATCTCAACTGATGACAACTGTATTCGGCTAAGAATACAGTTGCTAAGTCTAACCTAGAAATCATGCTTGATTTAGTTTATTGTTTCATAGGCTACATCTAAATTATCAGTAAATCTTGTTGAATCTATTTTCAAACTAGGATCTAAACAATTTCTACCAAATCTATAGCCACAAACCTTGTCTGGGTTACTATTATTTTTATGTGGTTAATATTTTAGCATCCTGACACTTTCCAGGTTTCTATCTTCTACCACTTCAGTCTATTTCAACACAGCAGCCAAAGTGATCCCTCAGGCAGAAGGGGCAAACTAGAGTGAACGTTTCACTTTTGGAAGGGCCAAACAAACAAGCATACAATATTTCAGGTTAATCCTCTTAGATGTCATTATGTGAGATTAAAGACAGCACCTTACAAACTCTGGAAGAAATATTTGTGAGCAGGAGAAAACATGGCAAAAACAGATAATGTGAAGAAGATTATTCAAAAGACAAAAATGGACAACCCTGGAAGAATCCTACCAACTTCCAAAAGTTTAACCTGTTGATAAAACAAATTTGTTCACTATGGTTTTTTTTTGTGGTTTTAAAAAATCCTTAGAAAGCAACATTTGAAAGAATGACACAATTTATTCCATTGTTCTACCTGTTGCCCCTGTGATAGTGGGATTCTCAGAAAGAGCTTTGGGTCCTTGAGACTTGGGGATCTTATTGTACCAAGAAATGGAAGACCTGTGCTTCTTAAAAAGAACAATTTAAGTCCAAGAAAAAGGTCTGGAGCTCTGAATCTTTAGAGTTAGAGAGCTTAATAAAACCTGACATGGGAAAATTCTCTAGCACTGAGTTAAGGGATGATGTCTGTTGGTTCCTGGAATAGTGGGAAATGATTCTTTAGTGTGGTGAAAACCCAGAGCGACAGGCACTCAGGCGACTAATTGCAAGGTTCATAAAGGCAGGAAAAGTCTTGCATTGGAAAACACTGGGTTGCCACCTTGACATAGGAGTACAGGGGCAATGGAGGACTTCTGATCCCTCCCTTTTGGGGGAACTCTGC
The DNA here is from genome assembly GCF_000001405.40 of Homo sapiens. Lineage (NCBI taxonomy): Eukaryota > Metazoa > Chordata > Mammalia > Primates > Hominidae > Homo > Homo sapiens. Next base: position 66,466,853 of record NC_000004.12, read on the forward strand.
AGACGTGGATTAAAAAGAAGCCACTTATTAAAAGCTGAGACTTATTCAATTTCCAACCACTTGTGAAGTGGGGACTAGTGGTAACTTAAATCTCTGTCAAAATAATAAAGTAAATACAACTTGTAGTAGAATAATCAGCCTAACCTCTATGGTAGGCCCAGTCCATATAGAGCAGATTAGCATCCGGAGGGCTAGATCAAATTTAGACATTTGATAGGGGACCCACAGAAAGTGAAAAAAAAAATTAAAGAATGTGCCCTAGATATTAGAATGCTCTTTCTCACTGAATGTTTCTGTAGCACAATAGCAATAGTGATGGTTTATTGCAAGTTATAGCCAAAAAAGACAAGAAAGCAAGTAAATGCTTACAATTACCAGGAAACAGACACCAGTCTTTAGCTACAGAATTGTCTTATGAAGGAAAATAACTGAAATATTAAGGGTTAAGTATTCAATATATTTATAAAAAATTAGGTATTAAGTGTTCAAGGTATTTGTAAAAAATTTATCTGAGGGCCAATTTCATTTAAATAGAAAAATAATCCAACTGATATACAACTTCAGTTAAAATAAGTTTTAATTGTTAGCATACTTGACAATATTTAGGACAAAAGATGTCATAATTTATCTGAACAGTTACATGATCTTCAAACTAGTGATTTAATTACAAAAAAATAATTTTTTTTTTTTTTTGGAGACGGAGTCTCGCTCCATCTCCAGGCTATAGTGCAGTGGCGTGATCTCAGCTCACTGCAACCTCTGCCTTCTGGGTTCAAGTGATTCTCCTGCCTCAGCCTCCCGAGTAGCTGGGACTACAGGCTCTTGCCACTACGCCCAGCTAATTTTTGTGTTTTTAGTAGAGATGGGGTTTCACCATGTTGGCCAGGATGATCTCGATATCTTGACCTCATGATCCATCCACTTCGGCCTCCCAAAGTGCTGGGATTACAGGTGTGAGCCACTGTACCTGGCCAGAAGTTAATTTTAAAACATTTATTTAGATTGAACAAAATCCTATTTGGCATCTGAGTGTACTGATTATTGTCAAGTTTTTGTTTTTTGTTTTACATAATGTTTTCTGGCAAAACCCTCATATAGAGCTTTATCACCAGTATACATTAGGTCTCCTTGTCTTTATGCAAAGTTGAATTTTTAAAAATACATAATCCTATATTACATTACTTTCCAATTAGCTCACTGCTTGTGTAAAAGTCATAAATAGTACCAAATAGTAACACTTTCAATGTATTTGTTAATAATAAAACTCATTTATTTAAAGTATTAAATAAAATTGGTATCTATCCTATTAGAGGTAAATTTTTTCAATAATATGAGACAGCAGCTCTCAAATACTGTATCTGAGGAAGTGCAAAAGGGTGCAAGGAAAATTTCAACTATGGTTTGCTTTGGGAAGAGGGAACCAGAAATGTATTGATATAAGCTATAAAACTCCTTGGTTATAAAAATACGACAATTCTTTCTTTCTCAGAGAAAGTGAGTATAGGAAAAGCTGGATCTGTAGACCACAGGAAATAATACACTATCAATTATCTAAATATAAAAATAATAAAGAAGCATCAAAAATATGACTTTTGAGATGAGTTATTTTTGTCTCTTTTAAGCTGAGTTCTTTATCCAGTTCATCATTTAGTCACATTCCTGAAGCCATCTATAATGTAGTTTGCAGTCATGACATTTTAAGAGAAAAAAAAATGAAGGAATACATTAAGCTCACTTGGTATTATTTATTTATTTTTCCCATGAATGCATCATTCAAATATTGCTTTAGATATAGCACTGAAAGCATCAGAAAAGACTGGGCTGGCAAAATACCTAGTTTTAGTTCTGGACAAGAATGGAAAGCTCCGGTAGTCATAAATCTGTGAATACAATTTATTGAATACATTTTTCAAGTCATTGTGGTGAGACAGGCAGAATTGAAATGGGTCTATGTGCATGTCTGTTTCATTCCATTTTATGTGAAAAGGGCCTGTCCTGGACTGAGTCCAAATTGACAGAAGAGCTCTAGAAGAGTGATAAATTTTAATATATCTGTTAGCTGATAGTGATTAATGGGCATATCTCAAACTCTTTAAGAAGTTTGAGATTTAAAGTGTCCCACTGCCTCTAAGTAGATTTATCAGAGACAGTTAACGGATGTTTCCACAAGGAAAATTACCAACACTAAAAAGACTCCCTATCATAAGTTGACTGGAGATATAACTAGTAGAAGAAAGATCTGGGCTTTATGGAAAAAAAAAACTAATATATACAAAACCGAATTTTAGTATAGTTTAACCTAATGGAATTAGGTGATGGAAATTAGTCCAGCTTGATCAAAGAGGTTACTGAAATTTTAACATTCAAATTTCACTTATCTAATGGGGCTAATTCAAAATACATTCTTTTTGAAAGTTATAATTATATATTTTTTAAAGTTTTACATGAAATTATAAATATGATGTAGTTAATCCAATCTTCTCAAAAATGCAGTATATTCATAGACCAAATTCCCAATAGGAAACAAACATCTACATATAATTTTTGGCTTTATATTCATATTTTGCCTTCAAATTGATGTCACCTGATTTCATGCCATGTACTTTTCTTCATAAAGTTTGCCATTGAATGTTAGAATTCACATTATTAAACCATATCAGTGAAGACTATTACCTCACAAAAGTGCTATGTAGAAAATTTTTACCGTTTGAGGAAAACATTTCAAGGAGCACCAAAAGCTTTACTTTTAATGTCCTAGCTTACTCAGTCTTTCTCTTTTCGTACTCAGAGAAAACTGCTCTGCAAACATTTAAAAATGAAAATAATTAGTATAATGAACAAAAATATTGTTGCCTCTGATAAAAGGAAAACATAGTGAAATCTTTTAATATTTAATTAAAAGCACTGTGTGCTTTTACAAAAGAAATATATGCTAGGGAATTTGGTTATCATCATTATTTTAAGAGTGAATGAACTTAATATGCACAATCGATCTGGATAAGGGAAAATATCAGCAGTATAATATTGAAGGTTTTGTTATCCTCATAAGACTTCTTTCTCAACACCATGTCTATCTGCTCCTTTTACTTTTTAAAATCTCTCAGGTCTTCTAGGAGGGAGTCCAGTAATTGTTCACAGAAAGCTGTATTTTATATTGCATCCTACATTATGTCTAGTCAGGTTCTCCAAAGGGGTATATCAATGAAGTTTCAGCAATAATTTTAAATAAAATCATAAAGAAGATTTAATAATAAAATGCAATATAAAATTTCCCACAGTTTGAACACAAACTTCCTTCAAATATGAATTTTCTAAGAAAAAAATAAGTCCAAAGATTCAAAAAGTTGACCCACAACACCACAACATTTGTTTCTGTATACATATATATGTATTTTATAATATAAATACATATACAATATACATGTATTTATAAATTCATATACAGTATATATGTATTTATAAATACATATAATATTATATGTGTATATATATATATATATAATAGCCATGCTGGCAAGCATGAGATAATCTTTTGTTGTGGTTTTGATTTGCAATTTTCTGATTATTTGAGTTGTAAGCATTTGTTATATATTTTGGGGATTAACCTCTTATCAGATGTATGTTTCGTAACTATATTTTTCCATTCCATAAGCTGCCTTTTGTCTCTGTTGTTTTCCTTGCAGCAGAGAAGCTTTTTAGTTTCATGTAGTCTTACTTATTTTGTTGTTGTAGCCTGTGCTTTTAGTATCATAGCATGGAATCATTAACAAGACCGATCTCATGAGTTTTTTCCCTTATGTTTCAGGTCTTACATTTAAGTCTTTAACCTATTTTGAATTTATTGTCTGTGTGTGGCATAAGATAGAGTTCTGTTTTCATTCATTTACATGTGGATATCCAGTTTGCTCAACACCATTTGTTGAAGAGAGTATATTTTTTTTCCTTGTATATCCTTGGTACTCTTGTCAAAGTTCAATTGACTGCATGTGTTAATTTTCTTCTGGGATCTCTCTTCCATTCTATTGGTCTATGTGCCTGCCTTTATGCCAATGTCATGCTTTTTCAATCACTCTAGTTCTGTAATATATTTTTGAAATTGGGAATTGTGATGCTTCTAGTTTTTTTTCTCACTCTTGAGGTTGATTTGGTCATTTGTGATCCTTTGTGTTTCTATGTGACTTGCAGAATTGCTTTTTTTCTATTTAAGTAAAAAAAATGTCATTGCTATTTTGATAGGCATTGCACTGAATCTGTAGATCACTTTGGGGATTACGGACATTTTAACAATGTTAAGTAAGTCTTCAAGTCCATGAACACAGATGTCTTTCCATTTGTTTGGGTCTTCTTCAATTTCTTTTACTAATGTTTTGTAGTTTTCAGTATACAAGTATTTCACCTTATTAACTTTATTCCTAAGTATTTTATTCTTTTTGGTGCTATTGTAAATGGCATCATTTTCTTTGTTTCAGATTGTTCATTTTCAGTGTATAGAAACAGAACTAATTTTTGAGGATATAGAGAAATTCTAACCCTTGCACACACTGTTGATGGGAACACAGAATGGTGTGGCCACTATTAAAACCAATATTGAAATTTCTCAAAATATTAAAAATAGAACTACCACATAATTCATCAATATCACTTCGGGTATTTATTTAAAAAGAATCTGAAATCAGGATCTTGAAGAGATATAAGCGTTCCTATGTTCATGCAGCACTATTTACAAGAGCCAAGCTATTGAAAAAACTACATGTTGATTAACAATGAATCGATAAAGAACATCTTGTATATACATAAAATAGATTACTATTTAGACTTAAAAATGAAAGACACTTTGCAATATACAACATTGTGGATGAACATTCAAGACATTTGCTAAAAGAAATAAATCAGTAACAGAAGGCTTTTGTGGTAGCTGGTATTATTCCTTTATTTCCATGCTTTGAATTCCCTTAAGAATCTCTTGTAAGTCTGGTCTTTGGGTAACTAATTCTTTTAGTGCTTGCTTGCCTGGAAATGATTTTATTATGCTTCACTTATGAATCTCATTTGGGAAGATATGAACTCTTGCTTGGAGTTTCTTTTCTTCAGGAATACTAAAAATCTGCCCCCAGTCTTACCTGACTTGTAAGGTTCCTGCTGAGAAGTCCACTGTTAGCCTCATGGGGATTCCTTTATATGTGATCAGATATTTTTCTTTAAGAGTGTTAAGGGCCGGGCGCGGTGGCTCACGCCTGTAATCCCAGCACTTTGGGAGGCCGAGGCGGGCGGATCACGAGGTCAAGAGATCGAGACCATCCCGGCTAAAACGGTGAAACCCCGTCTCTACTAAAAATACAAAAAAATTAGCCGGGCGTAGTGGCGGGCGCCTGTAGTCCCAGCTACTTGGGAGGCTGAGGCAGGAGAATGGCGTGAACCCGGGAGGCGGAGCTTGCAGTGAGCCGAGATCCCGCCACTGCACTCCAGCCTGGGTGACAGAGCGAGACTCCGTCTCAAAAAAAAAAAAAAAAAAAAAAAAAAAGAGTGTTAAGGAATTTTTCTTTAGTGTTGACCTTGGACAGTCTGTTGACTATATGGCTTGGTGATGTTCATTTGCTATAGTATCTCTCAGGTATTCTCTGGATTTCTAGTATCTAGATGTCAACCTCTCCAGCAACATTAGGGAAGTTTGCCCAAATTATTCACTCAAATATGTTTTCCAGGTTGTTTACTTTTTTTCCTTCTCTCTCAGAAATGCCAGTATTTTGTAGGTCTGTTCCATTTACATAATCCCAAATTTCTTAAGATCTTGTTAATTTTTTAAATTCTTTTATCTTTATTTTTATAGGATTGGGGTCGTTTGAAGGATCATTCTTCGAGCTCTGAAATTGTTTCTTCTGCTTGGTCCAGCCTATTGATAAAGCTTTCAATTGTACTTTGAAATTCCTTAAGTGAGTTTTTCAATTACAGAATATCTGATTGATTTCTTTTTAGGATGTTTATCTCTTCCTTCATTTCTTGTATTGCTTTAGAAATTTCTTTATGTTGATTTTCAAACTTGTGTTGGATCTCGTTGAGCTTCCTTGCAAAACATGCTTTGAAATTTGTATCCATCATTCTGAGTTTCCCTTTTGGTTAGGGATGATTGCTGGAGAGCTACTGTATCCTTTGGTTGTGTCACTACATTCAGATTTGTCATGGTTCCAAAATTTTCACAGTGGTTTCTTCTCATCTGGAGACACTGGCATTTGGCTTTGCTTCTATAGCCCTATGCACTTCTTTTGGCAGGTTTTATATTGGGCTGTTCAGTTTGACCCACAGGGCCAGTAAATGGTACTTATGGGTAAGAACTGGCTGTGGATGGGTATATAGTTCATCCTTCTTTACTGGGAGAAGCTCTCTGTTGCCTCAGGCAATGGGCTGATTCTTGGAGTGCACAGTGGTCTGAGCTCACTGCTCAGATCTAAGGGGGCAGGGTCAGAGATTGGTGGGGCTGGATTGGGCAGGTCTGCCTACAGCTTGTCTTGTCTGATGGCAGACACAAGCACCAGTGCCAAGGGATAAACCAGTGAAGTTATAAGGCTTGTCTCCATGTTTTACTAGTTATTTAAACTTTAAAAAACTACTTAAAAAGATGGCAAAGGAAAGGATGCCTCATGAATTTGCTAAAATAATCAAATAAAATGATGCACAAAAAATGCTGATAGAATCAAATAAAATGATGTACATAATGTGTCATTAGCACTAAACAAATAGCAGTTAATAACATTTTATCAAAGAGTTCTTTGTGAAGATTTTTGAAGTTGATACATATTTTAGAAATTACATCGTGGCCATTTTATATTTCTGGAAGCTAGACTGTCATTGTGAAGAACACTTTATTAATTTAAAAATTCACCATTCATCACCAAGGAGTAGCAAAACATTATTTGTAAAATAAAATTGTTAGACTCTGAATATTCAATCCTCAAACTATTCATTTATTTAATATATTCCAAACATTTTTTTAATTACCAAAGATTTTTTTCCTTAATTTTATCTTGCGCCTTTCTTTGTGCCTAGACCTGCAAAAGCCATAGGTTTTCACATGTTTACAAGCATAAGGATGAAGACCTCTCATAGAACAGAAAGAAAGCCATCATACCAACCTTGGACAGCACTCAGTTATATCTTTCAATGAAATGAATAAACCTGTACCACTTAGAACACTCAAGTAGAATTTTTGTAATTAGAAGCTAATTCTCTGATAATATGTAATATTTTAGCTTTCATGTGAATTATTTAATGAGATAAACCCAAGAGAATGTTATTAGTTCTGTCTTTAAGATCTTTCCTAGAAGAAATGAACAAATTTATTAGTATACACTATTTTGCTGCATAAAAATAATTTTTAAAATTATCCGTTTTAAGACTTTGAAATTAAATATATGAAAGGTAGCTAGATGATTTTGAGTTAGAGAGAAAAAGTAGGAAGATCATTTTCAAAAGACCAATATTATCCAACTCTTGACTTGTTAACAGCTTCTCAATAACAACAAAGAAAACCTAAAGACAATGGTACAAATACTCTCAAAATAATGAGAAAAATTAAGCATCCTATAATTTATACACACTGAGAAATTATTTGATGAATTAGAGTAATACAGAGAAAATTCCATATGAACAAAACAGAGTTGTTGTTGTTTTTTTTAAACGCTACATCCTCTCTAGGTAAATTCTTAATATATGTGAAAGGATAGCTATGCCAGATAGAGGTTTTATGATACAGTATGAAATAGTGAAAGAAATATACATGAGAAACAACTTAGTTGAGGGAAAAATAAAATGAAAAAAATACTTATCTTCTTAAATGAAGACAAAGGGGAAGGCAAAGAGCATAATTAACCTCAGTAACCAGATAAAGTCTTTGAACTTAAATATATCAGCAGTAATGAAAAATAAGAATGTTGTTTATACCTCTTTCAAAGAAAGTGTGGATGAAATATAAAATTCACCTTGATATGACTTGCAAGATACAGACTGAGAATGTTAAATGAATAGGAGTAAAAGAATGGTGAAAATATCAAGTAAATTTTAAAAGAAAGAATGCTGTACGGTTACATTAACTTCAGACAAAATACAACGTTAGAAAACATCATCAGGGATAAAGAGGGCTGTTCTCTAATGATAATAGCTCACTTTTTCGGAACATACAATAACCCTGGCAAAGCACACTCCTAGTAACGAATTTTCGACACACCTACATACACCTCAACTATGAGGAGAAATAGTAAAATCCACATAATATTAGGAGATTTTAAAATATATTACTCTCAAAATAGGATAGAGTAGGCAGGTAAACATTTCAATAAGGATGTAGAAGATTTGAACAAGCCAATAAATCAACCTGATGTCTTAGACATACAAGAACATTCTACTGGCTATTTATTGCTCCGGGCAAAGATTTCAGATGGGTACAATGGAAATGGCTTTGCCCTGCTCCAAACTATCTAGGGCCTCACACGGAAACTCTAAAGTTTAGGGACTAAAATGGTCTGAATGCGCATTCGCTCATAAATCTTACATTTGGTACCATCTAGGAGACTGGCTGCAGCTGTAAATGGCAGCACCTACACATGTAATCTTCATGTGGTCACAGCTTCCCCAAAAGAAGGTGACGGTGTTAAAAACAAGTTATTTACAGGTGAAGAGAGAGAAAGAGAGAGACAACTCAGAATGGGGAGGAAGGTGGCAGAGAAGGGCAGAAGTCCAAAGCTGCCTCTGCATTTTAAATCATAAGTAGTGAACTAAAATCTAACTTAGTATATAAACGAATGCAGCCCAACTTGAAATATACTCTTGTAATAACTAGCTGACTTCAGCCAATCACAGCAACCAAGTTATAGCCAGTCACAGGCTGCCAGTTGATAAGACCATGTCCACATAAAGCACTGCCTCATGCCGAAATCCGGCAACCACACAGCTGTAACCAATCAAGCTGTTTCTGTACCTGACTTCCTGTTTCTTACTCTAAGTACAGCCTGCCCATATTGCTGAGTGGAGCTCTGTGAACTTCTGTATCTGAGTGCTAATTCATGAAACATTCTTTGTTCAAATAAACTCTGATAAATTTAATTTGTCTGCTTATATTTTAATGAGTAAAATAATTCCAAATACACTTTTATGGATTAAAAAAGTAATACTTTGAATAGAAGAGTGTTTGTAGAATTGAACGACAATAAAACATTCCACATTAGACTTATAGAATACTGGTAAAGCACGTAAATTATAAGAATTTTAAATATTCATAAATACTTTTATCATAAAGTGTTCACAGAAATAATTTTGAAAACATCAGGCTGATATAAGTAAGTGAAGCCCCAGCATGTGAGAGAAGCACAGCATTTTAGCCTCAGACCAGAGATTAAAGTACCTACCCTGGAGCAGGACAGGGGCCTTCACTGCCAGAACTGCAGAAAGTACCTCAGCCATAGGTACTGGAATTGCGCTCTCCCCACCACAAGCCTGAGGTGGGAGAAGGGCTGTACAGCTGCAGTTTCTCTTGGGCAGTGAGACATGAAGCCAGGGCCAGCTTGGCAACCTGGAACTGGTCTGCGTGTGCCATTGCTGGGTTTTCCTGCCTGCTCCACTGAGATCATGGTGAGGCAGGGCCCCCTCCATTCAAACTCCAGGCAGAAATTCAGACATCTGAAGCACTCACTTGCCTGAACCAGCAGCCTAAGCCGCCCCACTTTTCATGAACACACATTAACATGAAGTGGGGTCCCATCTGCTCCACACTCAGGTAGATCTCCAGGCATTCAAATCACCCACTCACCTGGATCAGCAGGCTGACCCACCCCACCCTTCCTAACCAGAGATCCTGGTGCAGGAAGGCCCTCTCTGCTTCATGCCCAGGTAGATCTCCAGGCATCTGGAGCACTTACTTCATAGATTAGGATAGACTGCTCCCCAACCTGTGCAGAGAACTTGGGGCCAAAAAGTTTTCCCAGCTCCATGCCTCGGGACACCCTGGGCACTTGGTGGTTACCCACTGGTTCCTCTCTTGGAGCCAGTGCTTTTGCCTGCTATCAGGGGACCTGTATGCAAACCTGCCCCATCCAGAGGTTTGGAAAACCTCTGCAATATTCATTTAAAACATGAGAAAAATAACAGAAAAACAATATTAGTAACATAAAATGAAATATGGCTATAGATGCAACAGATATTATGACAATTACAAGAGGATGTTATGAGCAACTTTTGCCAATGCATTTTAAAATTTTGATAGATTGAAGGATAGGGGTCTCCACAGCCAGAACTGCAGAAACTTACGCCATATCAAATATAACTCAAGAAAAAGAACACAACTTTAATCTTATACAAATTATTCCAACATGTAAAAAATATTTTATCAGGATATTAATAATTTGATAACAATAACTGACAAAGTGTTGAAATAGTCACTTTAAAAAATAGCTTAAAGATGCAGAGTCAGTGGGAATAAATCCAACAAAGTTCTGTGAAAAGAGCACGGAGATAAGTATAACTTTACTGAAACATATCAAATTCAACCTGATATCTAGATTTGTGGATGGTTAGGTTTGGTTTGAGGTCAAGGAACTTTATTTTATGCACTGCCATATTTCTAATACTTTGGACAGTACTTGGCACATATTGATGAAAGACATGAAAAAGGCTAAGTAGAAATTAAAATTTTGTAGCACTTTCAAGACAAAATTGTGGCTGGAAAATAATTTATTCTCACCTCCTGCTTCAATCATTCTCCTTCGTTTATCAGGGAGTTATTTCTATGTCCTCCATTATCCTTCTCTTATGGTAGAAAGATATGACATAACCTTCAAAGAAGACACACACGCACACAATGTAGAGCAGAGGAGATTCAGTGCTGTATCAAAGGGAGCATTACAAAACAAGCAAACAAAAACCTAGCAAACAGCAGATTTTATTTCCTCTGTGTTTACCTGAAATCTTATCTCCTTGTCCAGTTCACTTCCATGTCCCATTCAAGCAGTTTTTATCTCTTGGTATAAGCATTGCAGTAACCAAAGATACAACCTCCCAAAGCATATTTCTTTTCATATCACTCTGATACAGTTTTCAGTGATTTTCAGACCTAGATAAAGGAAACCCCCATTTCTCATCAGAATCAAGGATCTTTTATAATTTTTAATTAAACTTCTTTTAAAACATTTGTTTTCTCTCCTACCCACCCCCACCATTTTTTTGAGACAAACATACATTTATTAATGAATGAGCTTTTTTTAAATTATACTTTAAGTTTTAGGGTACATGTGCACAACGTGCAGGTTTGTTACATATGTATACATGTGCCATGTTGGTGTGCTGCACCCATTAACTCGTCATTTAACATTAGGTATATCTCCTAATGCTATCCCTCCCCCCTCTCCCCACCTGACAACAGGTCCCGGTGTGTGATGTTTCCCTTCCTGTGTCCATGTGTTCTCATTGTTCAGTTCCCACCTATGAGTGAGAACATGTGGTGTTTGCTTTTTTGTCCTTGCGATAGTTTGCTGAGAATAATGGTTTCCAGCTTCATCCATGTCCCTACAAAGGACATGAACTCATCATTTTTTATGGCTGCATAGTATTCCATGGTATATATGTGCCACATTTTCTTAATCCAGTCTATCATTGTTGGACATTTGGGTTGGTTCCAAGTCTTTGCTATTGTGAATAGTGCTGCAATAAACATACGTGTGCAAGTGTCTTTATGGCAGCATGATTTATAATCCTTTGGGTATATACCCAGTAATGGGATGGCTGGATCAAATGGTATTTCTAGTTTTAGAAGCAAGGCAACAAAAGCCAAAATTGACAAATGGGATCTAATTAAACTAAAGAGCTTCTGCAGAGCAAAATAAACTACCATCAGAGTGAACAGGCAACCTACAGAATGGGAGAAAATTTTTGCAATCTACTCATCTGACAAAGGGCTAATATCCAGAATCTACAAAGAACTTAAACAAATTTACAAGAAAAAAACAAACAACCCCATCAAAAGGTGGGCAAAGGATATGAACAGACACTTCTCAAAAGAAGACATTTATGCAGCCAACAGACACATGAAAAAAATGCTCATCATCACTGGCCATCAGAGAAATGCAAAGCAAAACCACAATGAGATACCATCTCACACCACTTAGAATGGTGATCATTAAAAAGTCAGGAAACAGCAGGTGCTGGAGAGGATGTGGACAAATAGGAACACTTTTACACTGTTGGAGCGACTGTAAACTAGTTCAACCATTGTGGAAGTCAGTGTGGTGATTCCTCAGGGATCTAGAACTAGAAACACTCCCACCATTTTTTAAATATATATCTTATTTGCAGACTTCACAAAAATCTGCAAGCACTGGTCACATTTTCTTGTCTTTATATTCTAAGTCATACATGTCTCTTTATGCGATACTACTCTTCACCATATCCATCTACTAAATAAATCAACCCAACCTGCAAGATCTATCTCAAAGTCTACCTCTTCACTGAAATTCTCTGTGGTTCCTCCATACACCAGGTTAAGTTCTCCTTCTTTCTTTCACACAAACAGAAATACATATTTTTAAAAACCTGTTCAACAGCATAGATAACTTCTTACCTTATTTCATTACTTTTGTTTATGTTTTAGACTTTGATGTGTTTCAAGATCAAAGAATATGTTATCCAATTTATATTTTTCCATGACATATGGCATCTAGCAGAAGTCCAAGTATGTAAGAGAGGATCAATTAATATTTTTAAATTAAGTGTATAATTTAAAAATCTTGTGCTTTATGAAAAAGGTATACATATGAAGTATGTATATATAGATTGAAACAGCAGATGAGAATGAGTTATTTTCCAGCTATAATTTTGTCTTGTAAGTGCTACGAAATTTTAATTTCTACCTAACCTTTATTTATGTCTTCCATAAATATGTATATGTGTCAAGTACTGTCCAAAGCATTAGAAATATGGCAGTGAATACATACTAAGTATGTACTCTCAGTATTTAGAAGTCAGTGTTTTTCATAAAGCACAATTCTTCTCAAACATTAGAATATGTATATATAAATATTTTTAGTTTGCTCTTCCTCCTATTTTCTCTGTTACAAAATAATTAAGAAACAGCATATTCATTCTTTATTTTTTGACCAGTCACAAAATATTTGGTTTAACATCATGAGGAGACTGAGCAACATGCTCTAACCTAAGTATATATAACTTGATCACTAGTTTATAGAAATGTATGGTCAATTTTATAGGATTAATTACTGTCTCTCACATACAAAACTCCCAAGAATAGTAAAACTGAAAGGAGTAAATTTTAACCAGGTGAATTTCTAATTAGCATCTCAATGACCCACACTTACACACCTTTTGAAACTCTTTGCCGGTTGCAGCTACATTACTTTCTACAAGGGCATATAAAACCTCATAGAATAAGTGGTAAAGATTGTTCAACAATGCAAAAGTTTTAGCTACATTCCTTGTAAAATTTCTTCTTATATTCAAATTTCCTCTAGGAAGAAAATCTTTATTGAACCCTGCACAGCCATAACAGTGTTTTGCTCTTTGCCCAGTATGCTCTTTGTCGGCAGGCGGAAAAGACTGCATTGTCTAGTAGGGGGTGTTAATTTCAGAAGTTTTTCATGTTTACCACAGTAACTAAAAGAAAAAAGTCCTTTCTTTTTCTATAGGCAGGGTCTAATCTCAGAGCTCTGTGATGTGAAGAAACAGAGGGTGGTAGAGTAGGCTGAATGGACTTTAGCACTATGTATCTTTTCATACAAATGCGGAGGACAATTATTCCCTCAGGTTATAAACTCTTTTTATTTTCACTTTCATTGATTCATCATTAGTTGCTCAAATCAAAAGCAGGATATCTGCCTGCCTCTATGTTTTTGAAGCTATACATCCTCTACTTCCATTATGCCTTTTAAACAAAGTTTTTCTCTAAAGAGCCGTTTGCCTTAAAGGATGTGAAAATTTAACTTAATACGCTATATTGGAATGGAACCACAGTTAGTGCAATCATATTATATTTTCTCTGGTGCACTTGATATATTCTAAGATTTTCTGTATTTATCAATCACAATGCATAGTAGTACATTGCATGAATAATAGGCATGTATTTTTCGATATCAGTTATTTATTAACTATTAAGTGAGACATAGGGAAAGGAGTGGTGGCTGGCTCTACATTTCCAATGGCAGAAATCTTCAGAAATCTTCAAAGTCAGAAATCAGTCAGAAATCTTCCAAGTTTCCTGACTGTAACTTTTGGCTGAAGCAACTATTTGTTTATCAAGAAGTTTGTAAAAGTAAATTTTGTGTATAAGTTGGATTATAAAGGATAACCGTAAACATTTCTTGCTGAGACCAATTCTAAGCAATTTATACATATTAAGTCATTAATAGAAACCACAGAATGTAGGTGCCGTCATCAATGCCACCATTATCCTTTGCATAATGAACGTACAGAATTTTAAAATAATTTGCCCAAAATTTATACAGATGTCAGTGATAGCACTTGAGATGCAAATATAGTTAGTCTGGCTCTAGAGCATGTGCTCTTAAGTACTGCACTCTACTGAGTAGGTATATTTGCCTTTTATTCTGCCATTTAGCTATATGGTTAAGAGAATCCTTTTCTGTTATTTTTAGCAATGCCTCTGTATTGAATAACCATAAACTGATCAGTTTCACTGACTGGCAAAATCAGAATTCTATAACCTGGCTCTATGAGGCAAATAATTCCTAGAATTGGAATCTACTAGATTTTTAAATGCATATAGTCAACTATAGACTAAACTTTTATAGAATGAATTATTATGAGGTAGATTTATATAGAAAATCAAATAATTTGCCAGTAATAAAACAGCAAATATTATGATATATAGACAGGTGCAAATTAAGCCATATATTAGATTACTTCAATCTAATATTGTGTAATCTCTTTTTCTTTAATCTATTTTGAGATGAGATTCTGCTATTAATCAAAATTATTCTAATATATTCATATATACTTGTGTAGCCTATATTTGTTTGACAATGTTCTTATTGAAATAAATTTCCTTCCATAGCTTCCTAATTGATAATATATTATCAGGAAGGCCAAGGAGTAGAAATAATACACTCAACAAGTAGAATCATCTCCGTTAATTTTTTTTTTATAATTTTGTTGTTTAAAGTTAGGAAATGACTGTGCAGCAGGAGGTTCTTTCTGTCATTGCTGGGAAACAGTCATTTGTGATTATTTCAAGGTATTGCCACCTGGAGTAGAAAACACCTTTCTGTGCCAAGGTGCCAGATTAGACAGATAACATCGCCTTAAGACCAAACATCTGCTGAAACAATGTAGAGTGGGCTATGAATTGGCTACATTTTTTAACAGCATTTGTTTCAAAATTTCATGTGCCAGTTAGTCCATAAAATATTTACAGAGTCTCTAATATATTCAGAACACTGTAGTAGCCACTGTGGGCAAACAAAAAGTAATAGTTTACAATCTACTTCTCTACAGAGGGCCAGAAATAGTTTTGAACATAAAACAGATGTGACGTTGTCTCAAAGGAATTTACAGAATAGGCACTTCTGAATCAGAAGCTGAATGAAGGGCAGAATTAGAGACTACCTGGTCTAACATCCTACCTTTTGCAACATGTTATCATCTAACTTTTGCTTGAATAAATTCAATTCTATCTATTATCTATCTATCTATCTATCTATCTATCTATCTATCTATCTATCTATATCTATCTATGTATCTATCAATCGATCTGTCTCTATCTAGGAGGCAACCACTTCCTCTTTTGAGGAGTCCCAATTACAAATCATTTACACCATTTTCCTCATTGTGCAACTCATAGCACATTTCTTCAAAAATCTCATGATCACCCCCTTAAAAATGTGCCATTCACCTATTCTCTAAGCTTAGCTCTCTAATTTCTTCATACAATGATATAGCTTTATTTTATTTTCATTTAACTCTCTTTAAGCCACTGCTTGACCTATCCAATACATATTCTGTCCATTTTCAATTACCTCTCTAGCTTTTTTACTTTTATTGAGTCAAAATGAAAGATTTATTAGTCAACAAGGATTAGCTTCTCCCCTTCTCCAACATGTATGTTCTGGATGATAATTATTTACACAAAAAAACCTGGTGGCACACACAAAAGTTTTATTCAGTTCTCACAGGAGGGAATGAGAGCCACTGGAAAGTTTTAAAATAATTTAAAGCCAGATAATCCTTTTGCCATGGCAAAGTTGGGTGGATAGAGTGAAGTTAGGCCTGAAAGAAAAGTACCTGAACTAACAAGATGCAATGACCAAAATTTGACTAAGTTTTAATGGCAGTAATTGTGGCTTGAGGTGCTACATAAAGAAAAGGGCAGAGACAAGAGTGTGCTTGGGTAAGACATAGTTAGGTTAACTAAAAAAAAATTCAGTTAATGTAATTCAAGATATTTCCTGCATCTTGGCTTATATATTAAACTAGAGTGCAGGAGGATAGGATAACCTCCCTTCACAATGAGACCAGGAACAGTCTCAAAGAATTAGACAGTTTGCCTAGATGGTGTAAGAGGTTGTTTCTCTCTAACCTGCCATGAAAAACAAAGAACTCCAAGGGTCTTGAAAAATGAAGCATTGTCCAAATGAGCAATTGCTTTCTGATGCAGTTTGTCATTGCCCTGCACAGACATGGTATGCTGATATGGTTTGGGTCTGTGTCCCCACCCAAATCTCATGTTGAAATGTAATCCCCCATATTGCAAGTGGGGCCTGGTGGGAGGTGATTGGATCATGGGACAGATTTTTCCCTTGGTACAAGGTTGTGACAATGAATGAGTTCTCATGAGATCTGGTTGTTTAAAAGTATGCAGCACCTCCCCAAACTTTCTCTCTTACTCTTGCTCTGGCCATGTGAACTGCCAGCTTCCCTCTTCACTCTTTGCCATAATTTGATTGTAAGTTTCCTGAGGCCTCCGCAGAAGCTGAGCATATGCTTCCATGCTTGCTGTACAGCCTGCAGAATTGTGAGCCAATTAAAACTGTTTTCTTTAAAATTTATCCAGTCTCAGGTTTTCTTTATAGCAGTGTGAGAAAGGACTAATACAGTATGCCAAAGGAAAAAAAAATGAGGCTGAGCTTTATAATCTCTGTTCTTTTCTATTGAAATGTTTAACATATTTTAATGTGATTTTTACAGACCTATAGTTTCAGCAAAATTTCAAATTATTTACTTTTATTGCATTGAATTCCATACCTTTGTACTTTAACAATTAAATATGGTGTTTTAAATTCTAAGGTTGCACAATTTATTATTTTATTATGAAGTTGTAACGATTAATATGTTTTTCCTATTTTCAGCATGGTTTACCTTTTGGTAAGTTTTATGCAATCTAAGCTAACAAAATAATTTGTCCTTCACGTAATAAGGTCCTAGTTCTCTTTACCACTTTATAGATAAAATCAACCACACTATTGGTGTTAAACCACAGTTTGGGTCATTGAAATTAATAACCTTTGTTAAAAGTTATCATGATGTAGATTTCTAGTTCAGCATAGCTTGATGTATTTTTCTACTTTAAAAACGAATAAAAATAATTTTCATCATAAAAGCTAATTGAGTTTCTTATAGTTTTATTCTACTTAAGAGTGACAGGAAAGAACCTCTTGATATACAAAAATACAATGTTTGGATCTGAATCCATATCTGGATGTCTGATACTGCTGTTTTAATTCTTTCTGAATATCATGTGTGCTTTTATTAAAAAAAGACAGACACACCCATTTAATCTTTCATATTGGCCACAGTAATAACCTCCTATTAAATATTTCATATTGTACTAATAAAGAACACAAGACATTATGCAAAACTTGGCACAAACTTGTTTCAGGAGAGCATCTGCTTAAAAATAAAACATTTGAGAGCCTGGTATTTAGCACATAGCAGCGCTCCTAAGAATACAAACCAGACAATTTGTGAGTTCAGTTATGTTATTGTGGGCTTCCATAATGATATTCTGCCCTTATCTTTATAGTGAAACTGTGTCTCAGCTGTTGTGTGCTCCTAGAGTGATGTGACAAAGTTTCCTGTAAGCCTGTCCTAAGGCCACTGGTCCAGTGAAAGCTGGTTAATAAATCAATAAAGAGTTTATCTTATGCAGTCTCAGAACATCAAAGTGAAACCAATTTTTAATGTTTATTAAGCACTCTCATAACAGGTCTTACACAATATTTATATTATAGTGAACAGAACTTAAATGGGAAAAATGATTTACTGTATAAATGTGGTTTTTCACTGAAACAAAAATTAATAGCCTCTGAAAAACCACATGTCCATAATGACATCGCTTTTACCTGGAGATCCGACTACTATTTGATGATTATTCTTCAGTATTTAGAAACAACGGCAAAGTTAATGATCTGAGTGTTTGTTTTAAAAGTTAAAAAACATATAAACATTCTTAAGTAGGCCACAATTGTCTTCTTCTTCTACAAATCCTTTCTCCCTTTTACTGGTTCTCTTTTTTGGAGAAACCATTCACTCTAAGTAAGGTTAGGTTTCACTCACTCTTCTGGTACAATATCCTTCTTCTATCTGTAAAAATATAAAAACAAAGTTAATTTTTTGCTTAAAGATATTGGGGGTGGATACAGTCTAAATATTTAATTTAGTTTTTTTATGAAATTAAGACATCTTATAATAAAGAATACAAACAATATTACATGAAAGAATATAATAAAATGAAATGTATTGGTATAAAGAAAAAAATGTTAAGTATGAAAATAGCCAATACTAGAATATGAATTCACAAAGAAGGTGTGCTGAAATTTTAAAATTTTAAAAATATATGTAATGACTTTAATACATATTGAAGTTGAAACAGATTTCTAGATGATGTGCCCCTGAAAGAAGAGTATAGTTCTTCAGGGATCTCAAAATGGTGGGTAATATATAGCTCCATTTCTTGAAAGTTTAAGATATAGATATAGATATAGATATAAGGTAAAATGTAGGCAAATTTCCTAAAGGAGAGTAATAATTAATAATGAAGTACTGCTTTTATCTTCAATGAGCTTGACTTTAGGACACTGATTCCATTATTATTTTCTCCAGTGTATCCAAAATTACCTAGCAGAGCAGAGTCATGTGATCAGATAGGGCTGAGTTCAAATTAAGCCCTGTTTCTCACTAAAAGTGAAATTTCAGCTCTCAGACATTCAATTGTCTTACCTGCAAAGAGAAAAAAAAAATATTTAGAGAGTAATACCCTTTACAGATTTTTTTTCAAAGCATACTATTTATACAAAAGTAGGTGGTATTTATGTGCTGTGAACTTTATAGTGCTTTACAGATTTCAACATACTCTTTCTGGCCATCAGCTTAGTCTCATATATTGAAAAATGATGACACCTTATGATATGATATACACACTCAGCATTATTTCCATGTATTTCCATTTAAATATGTAAAAATATATTTATCCACAGGCAAAGGTCAAAATAGGAATAATATTTTAGCAGAATTATAAAATTTATTAACTCCTCGCACCTTTTGATAAAATGGCTTTCACAGCCTAAATTTCTTGGAAATAGATAACATTGATTTTAATAAGAAGAAAAAGTATTCTGCAATTTTCACCATTTTTTCTTCTACAGAGGAAGTGAATAAAATTAGCAATCTCAACAAAACACTAAACCAGATTAATTAAACCCAATGTTTGCCATTAATGAATATTTGGCTAAGTAAATCATGTGTTTAATAATCCTAAAATTTAAAGAAGTAGATTTCTATTTCAGTATATATTGAATTAATAACTTTTAATAAAAGTTAACAATTTCAATGGCCCAAAATGAGGTTTAATCCCAAAAGGGTAATGGATTTTATGTATAAAGTGATAAAGAGAATTAGGACCTTATTATGTGAAAGACAATTTATTGTGTTAGTTTAGATTGGATAAATACTCAATAAAATTATTGTGAACCTAAAGGCTAAGAAAAAAATTAATTAGGATTATTCCTATAACACTCTATTCTAGGAATTAGGTTCTTGTAAATAATCAAAGATCAGTTCACAGATAAAAATAATATTATGGTGCGAAGGAAGAAGGGGAAAGAAAAAAAACATAACAAATGACTATGTGTTGTAGGTGCTAGAGAATGAGAAGTATTGCCCAAGGCTGAGAACTTTGAGGCCTGATGATAGATGTAAAAAAAAAATAAATTAAGATATATCCTGGTCAACTGCTCTTTTAAATGGGTCCAGGTAATGACAAATATATTATTTATTTCTGGGCTAGGGGGAATGAGCTAAATTAAATCTAACAAGGAGGAAAAAATAAATAAAAAATAAACAGATATCAAAAACAAAACAAAAAGAAATTCCAGAAAAAAACAAGTGAAAGCAAACCTCTTAAAATTCTAGGTAGACAATCAACAATAAGAAATAATTTGGATCCATCCCTTAAAGACTAGGAAAGCTATTAGGTTGGTGCAAAAGAAATTGCAGTTTCTGCAGAAGGTAATGGTGAAAACCGCAATTACTTTTGCACTAACCTAATATATTTAATAGTACATCGTTAGGTTTGAAGATAATACCATAAAGAGATTGAATAGACCAGCATAGTTTAATTCAAACAATAGCAGAATAGCAGAAGAGTTTCAATATGACAGTGAAATTGGTGGTGCTACAAGTTATTATCTATAAGGAAAGGGACATGTCATCCAATACTATGAAATTACTTAAGTAAGAGAATATCCAAATAAGTGAGGCCCATTAAGTGATGCTAGGCAAGAAAACATATACAGATGAAGTTCGAGCAGGTAGAGGTATTAAACCAATCAAAAGTTACATTCTAGGTGACTGTACATAGGCCAACATAAGCAGTGAGCTGGGATGATAAATACTTCTCTGCAGACACGCAAAGTATTCGCTTTGTATGGCTCCCTATAAAGAAATCATACAAAACAGAACCAAAAGCAGATATTATAAGATAAAATGTCTAGTTCTAAAAGCAAAGACATAGGAAAAGGAATACTGACCCTCTGAAACTGGTAGTCTAGCACACAATGGAACAGGAAATGGGCTAACATCTAAAGTAACTAATTATTATTTTTTAATTTGCCCAAGCCAATCTTAAAGAAGAAAGGAAACAACATAGAAAAATGAAAAACCCTGCTGAAGAAAAACATTTAATAAAAAAAAAAAAAATTCCTGCTATCATTGAAGTAACACAAATCCCTCAGGGCTGAAACATTGAAATCTCCGTAAAGGTATGAGTTGGGAGTAGCCACACTACAGAGGTATTGCTCTGCCTTAGACACCAGGTTGTGTAGGCATCAATGCTCAAAGCAGCCTCAGATTAGGGCAGAAATCTTTAAGGAATGAATCTTCACCTGAGGTGAATTAGGGCTAGAATAAATCCTTCTACTAGATGTGAGATTTCTAGGACAAAAATTTACAGTGATAGGCACTATAAAAGACTCAAGGATTTGGCTGAAAACCAGAAAATTCATAGAGACTAGGAAAAAAATATGGGGCTTTGAATGAAAACATCTCATTTATACACTGTTTGTGGATTTGTAAATTGGTATAGACATAAAAATATTTTGGAAATTCCTCAAGAACTAAAAATAGAACTACCATATGATCTGAGAATCCCACTACTGGATACATATATATCTAATGCAAGTTAAATTTGTGTCTTAAAAAGATATCTTCACTCCCATGTTCATTGCAGCATTGATCGTCATAGTCAAGAAATAGTATCAAGTGTCCATGGATAAAGAAAATGTGAGACATATACACACATACAGGCAAACACACACACACACACACAAGAAAATTATTCCACCTTAGAAAGGATGAAATCCTGCCATTTGTAAAAACATGGATGAGCCTAGAGAACATTATGCTATTTGAAATAAGCCAGACACAGAAAGACAAATACTGCGTGATCTTACTTTTTTGTGGAATCTAAAAAAGTTGAATGCATAGAAACAGTATAGAATGATGGTTGTCAGGAGCTGGGAAGTAGGAGAAATGGGGAGATTTTGGTTGTACAAACTGAAAGTACAAACTTTCAGTTATATGATTAAACATTCTGGAAACCTAATGTACAGCATGGTGACTATAGTTAATAATACTGTATTGTGTATTTGAAATTTGCCAGGAGAATAGACATTAAGTGTTCTCATCACAAAAAAAAAAGCGTAACTGTGTAATGTGATTGATATATTTATTAGTTTCATTGGGGGAATCATTTCACTATATGTATACAAAACATCACATTTTACATTTAAACATATACAATGCTTATTTGTTGATCACATCTCAATGAGGCTTCAAAACATTTGAAGAGTGACTATTTTAATTGAAGGTTGACAATTGACATTAGATCATGACTGTATTACCATTTACAAAGAAAATACTCGAGAGCAAAAGTAAATTAAAAGTGGGTTTGATACTAAAAGAAGAAAGCCTCCAGAAAGCACTATGATGGAGTGTCAGTACAATTATCTAGTTATGTATTTATTCAATTTGCTTTTTTGGGAAAATTTGTCTTGACTGTTTCTGAGAAGGCAGTGTGATCACTGGATCACCACTCCATCACCTCCACTTCAATATGACACAAGTGGTGTCACCCTAAACTTATTTAGAGATTTCTCCCAACTGAGTTTAAATGTGTAGGTTGTGGATTCTGAAAAACTGGTTTAGACTCACTAGCATCCTGGTGACACTGGAAGTATTGACTCATTCAATCAGAATTTGCTGAAGTTTTAATAACCATTTATTTATTAATTCATTCAATGAATGAGAATTGAGTGGCTGCTATTTGTCAACTCTAGGCACTAGGGATTAAAACATTTCAAGCCTTATAAAGCATACATTCAAATGTGTGAAATAAACAAATGCTTCCTTTTGTGTGTGAGAAGCTGAGGAAAAATAGAGGACAAGATTTTTGCAGGTGAGGACCTAGTCAGGGAATTGAGAGGACAGATCTTTCATATAAATATTGAAATCAATAAAGCTGATCAACAGTCTGGGTCAAGAGTAGTGTTAGGGTAAGTGACAGTGATTCTGATGCTGGAATCTTCATGGAATGAGGGAGAGTGCCCCAGAAGTTGAGAGAGGGCTGCAGCAACCTAATGTTCAGAACCAATGTTTTTATAGTTGGGGAAGGGAGATTAACCCAGAAACAGCGGTAGAAAGCAAGGGGGCATTGTATTCTATCTCCAGACCCAGGGGTTCTGAAGAATGAGGGGAAAAAAACATCTACTGAAAAGACCCACAAAGAAGTAGAAAAAAAAACAAATTGCAGTTAAAAGAAGAACGTCAAAGAAGAGGCTGAGAATAGACAGGTATTTACTGATGACTAACCCTGCATTCCAGAGGGCAAATTGGAAGAGTTTCAGAAAATGGGAAGCATGTGTTTTGTGACATGACTGTTTCTGACGTAAAGAGTGTCAGAGGATTAGAGTCTGTGTGATAAGAAACGACCTGGGAGACCCCTGTATCTTGTGGTGATTTATATAACTTAGAAGGGGCATGGCATGATGGAGTCTTAATGCATACAGTGATCGTGAAACTGTAATTCTGGTTTTCCACTTAGCCTTACCACAGGAAGCTTGAAGAGAGTGGACACTCTTAACCTCCATTAATATAATCCTATGTGTAGCCTATTATAAAAGTTTGGTAAGTTATATTTGACATAAAAAGGAAATTTGGGGCCTAGGGTGAATAGTGGTCCTGAAGTTAATTACTGGTTTTTTTTGTTTTTTTTTTTTTTTAGCTGCATTTCAGAGTCTTCTTCAGCAAAAGGTGAGCATTCCACCAATTTTCTCAAGAAAAGATCCGAAAGAGCAGGAGTTGAGATATTAGGAGTCTTTACAAGAAGGAAATAGCACTACTTTAGGCTGGTGCCAAAGTAATTGCAGTATTGGCAAAAACCACAATAACTTTTACACCAACCTAATACTATCTCCTTCCTGAAAAGCAGCACCCACCAGCTTAGAAATTAAGCTCAATGGAATATGAAGACAATATCATAAAATCTAAAGGGAAGGGAAAAATTAGTTTAGTTAGATTTATTGACTCAGATGTCATTCTCCTCTCGCAACACCCTCACTGACACAGCCAGAAACAATAGTTTATCAGCCATCTAGGCATCCCTCAATCCAGTCAAGTTGACGCCTAATATTAACCATTATACCCATGAACCAAACTGGGTTCAAATCCCATATTGGCCATGAGTTAGCTGGGTAACCTTGGGCAATTTTCTTAATCTCTTTACTCTTCAGTTTTTTCATCTTAAAAAATACAGAAATAATGATATTATTTACTTTAGAGGGTTGTTGTGAGGATTGAGTGGGAAACATGTCACATGCTCAGAAAAATGCCTGACACATAAATTAACCAAATTGAAAGTACTACTATCATCATGATTTTTCTTGCTTACCTTAAGTTTCTTTATATATTCATGTACTGTATTTCTTTTAGTTTATACAAGGGAATTTTTGCTATTTGGAGTTTCAGCACTTTTTGCTAAGATAAACTTTATCATCCTGCTAAGATATCTTTAACATTAATACATTAACTCAGAAATTTTTTAAGTTTCTCTTTTGTCTAATTTATAAGACAGTGTCTACCCTCACAGATCTTATCATCAAGCAAGAATGATGGCTAGTAATTTGCAAGCTGTTGCAGACACAAATTTGAACAACATAGATTATAAGGTAGATGCAGAAGTGAAAAGTTTAGTTAGAAGTCAAATGTCTGGAATCTTCTTTTTTCATTTTCACTCTTTTTAGAACAAATTTCAAAAGTCATTATTACCTAAATAATTTATGCAAAAAAATATTAAATATGATCATTTTAAACTTAGATTTTGATGAAATTCTCATTATTCAGTTTAACAAGGATGTACTCTACTAAAAATACTATTTTCCTCTCATCTTTTCTTTAATTCCAAAATTGTCACTGGTCAGCAAACATGTGTTGAATGAATAAATGGTTATTTCACTTGTCTTATTAGCATTGTGGAGCCTATATTGAAAACAGTAATTAACTTAATTCACAGTGTTACAATGAATCTAACTAATCCAATTTTTCCCATTGTAATTATAGGCCCCAGAGTGCACAGGACACTCCTATGGTACGGCCTATATTCTGAAGAACAAACTGTTCGTTTTTTTTTCCTTTACCATTCCAGTAGAGACAAAGAACTTAGAAGTGGGTCTGTGGGGGACCATGTAACACTCATCTGAAGTGGTCATTGTGTGAAGCACACATACAATTTATCTTTACTTGCAAAAGTATCTACTACATTTACAGTATTATAATGGAATATTAAAGGACATACTTTAGTAGCACCACACTATTTATTTTTGTATAATTAGGATTACATGGAAATCTTATAATGCAAGTCATATCTTTTCTCAGAAAATCCTACTGTCATTCTAAAGAATTTTTTTTAATATTTGAAAAAGCATCAAGTGAAAGAAATTGTGAATGTAAAAAATTAATGAAGCTAAGTGCAATGAGGGCTACTGGTATGGGAGTTGAAGTTAGTGACCACGTGACATCTATGTAAGTGATGCAAGAATTCAGATTTTACTCAGCTATCTATGGACTGAGATAGCTATTTCTTAGACTTCATGACTTCTGTAAAGGATGTGATATTCTTCAGATTTGACTCAGAATGGATACTGGAAAACAGTTCTCGGGATGGCCTTGGACCTACCTAGTTCTCTCTCTTTCCTCACTTGCAGTTCTCAAGGGCAGAGTATGTGCTGGTAAGGCAATATCCTGAGATAAGGAAGGAAGGACATCCTGGGCTCTGTTTCAGTCTCTCCTAGGAAAGGATGTCCTTCAGTGCTTTAGACCAGAGAGTCTTGCCACATTGGGGTGCAAAACCAAGAGCAAGCTGCTTTCCTGGCTCCCTTAGCTGTGGCATAAGTGGGGTACGAGCTGATGAGACCCCATCCGCCCCAGGCAGCTTTCCTGAGCATTGGACCAGCTCATCATGAATCCTAGACTTCTGTTGTCCTTTGATGTTTGTATGTAAGTCATAAATCCCCCTCATTTAACTTGTGTGTGTGTGAGTGTCTTGTCTCACCGAATTCATGCAAGTAGTAGAAATTGCAGCTCAAGATGTAGTGGGCTGAAGTGGTAACTGGTGCAGACACTGATGGCCAAACTCTTTCCCCATCTAAAACGTCATAGGTGGAAAGATATTCAGCAACCATAGCAGAAGTGAGAGAGAGAGACAAAGAAGTGTCAAAAAATGAACAAAAGAAAGAGAAGCCAATATTCTCTAAAGACTGCAGACATTTGTAGAGGCTAACCTGAAGATAAAAAAGCAAAACAAAAACAAATATCACTTCTCTTTAGAAATACCATAGATGAACAGAGAATTTAACATGTAAATTTTAATTAGTTGGAAACTGTCTGAACATTCCTAAAACTTGATATAAAAGCCCAGACACAAGTAGCTGGCTCTTCTGATACAGCCTTTGTGGGGTGAGTTGGACAGGGGAAATTGAAGAAAAATAGAAATGTCTAGAACCATGATTAAGAAAATATTCAAATTAAGGACTATTTGTATATTTCAATTGCTTATGCTATAACAACTATTGCAATAAATAATTCAGAGTTATAACTACATGCATTTTCATAAAGGTCACAAACATATCACTTAACAATAAAATTTTTGTGTATGATCTATACATAATACTTTAAAAGACTTCAACAACAAAAGAAGATCTGACATTTTATTCCAAATGCAATACTTATTTGTGTTTTGTTTTCTATTTGTTGAAGAAAGCTAAAACTTGCATTTTGTATCCAATTCTATCATTGTTATTCAAAACATACACAGAAGTTAGTTATTATAAAATAGAGAAGGGAGCCTTATCAAAAGGTTTTAATGATTTTATTAATAAAATTAATTGATACTGCTATATGTGGTTTAGATAATAGCTTCTTGGATAATTATTCTTTTATAACTTTATATAAATTATTTTATTTATATATTTTATATATTATTTTTATTTTATAAATAAATATTGAATAATATATTATTTAATATATTTAAATAATATATAAAAATTATATATTATTTATATTTATATAAACAATTATTATGGATAATTATTCTTTTATGACTTTATATACCAAGGTCTTTATACCTTTATGTACCAAGGTCTACCTATGTACTTTAGAGAGTCAATAGTTTCTTGGATAATTATTCTTTTATACTTTTACATAAATTATTTTATTTATATATTTTATATATTATTTATATTTTATGAATAATAAATATTCAATAATATACTATTTAATATATTTATATAATATATATTATGTATTACATTTAAATAATGTATATATTATTTATATTTATATAAATATAATTATGGATAATTATTCTTTTATACCTTTATATACCAATGTCTATTCCAGGGGATGTGGCTGAGTAAAAGACATACACAGAAAAAAAAATTTATTTTATATACACTACATATTATTTCATACACATTCTATACAGTATATCAAAGCTACTCGAATGAATGAATGCTTAAAAATTGTTCAAATACATCATTTATACAACACTATGAATATTGACCTGAACTAAGATATACTTCTATAATCACAATTTCTTTTTTCCTCTAAATTTTAAATATTCTTCACTCATAAAATATATTATTTACTTTTATTATTTACTGGATTAGATTGAATATTGATCTCAATTCTTCACTCCTCATATCTGTGCCATTTCTTCATCATGGGAAAAGTGTATTTTCCCACCCTTTGACTTTGGGCTTGGCTACGTGACCTGTTTTGATAATTGAATGTTAACAGACATGATGTGAACAGATATTTGAATAGAGACTAGATGGCGTAACTTGGCTTCTTGAACTCCAGGCATCTAGTATATATACCCATGAAGCAGAAAAGAGTTTACCAAATGTGGAGTATACCCCCAAGTCTTTTTTGGCTTAAGGGCAACTAATTACTGAGGTTACAGTCAGCCATCAGCACAGCAGACTAAGCTATATGCATTTATGCCTAAAGTAAATTCATAATTTTTAGAATCACTTCAGAAGTAGTTTGAGTCTCTAACCCTTTGTGGCACTGCATATTCCTGCTTCAAATGAATAGATTTAAAATAAATAATCACAGCTTCACAGTGATTGATTATAAATATGCAGAAATAGAACTTGAGTAACTTTACTTCTGTCATTTTCTTTTTTTTAATTAATTTATTCTTTTATTATTATACTTCAAGTTTTAGGGTACATGTGCATATTGTGCAGGTTAGTTCAAACTATACTACAAGGCTACAGTAACCAAAACAGCATGGTACTGGTACCAAAACAGAGATATAGATCAATGGAACAGAACAGAGCCCTCAGAAATAACGCTGCATATCTACAACTATCTGATCTTTGACAAACCTGAGAAAAACAAGCAATGGGGAAAGGATTCCCTATTTAATAAATGGTGCTGGGAAAACTGGC
The DNA here is from genome assembly GCF_000001405.40 of Homo sapiens. Classification (NCBI taxonomy): domain Eukaryota; kingdom Metazoa; phylum Chordata; class Mammalia; order Primates; family Hominidae; genus Homo; species Homo sapiens. Next base: position 66,495,364 of record NC_000004.12, read on the forward strand.
TAGCCATATGTAGAAAGCTGAAACTGGATCCCTTCCTTACACCTTACACAAAAATCAATTCTAGATGGATTAAAGACTTAAACGTTAGACCTAACACCATAAAAACCCTAGAAGAAAACCTAGGCATTACCATTCAGGACATAGGCACGGGCAAGGACTTCATGTCTAAAACACCAAAAGCAATGGCAACAAAAGCCAAAATTGACAAATGGGATCTAATTAAACTAAAGAGCTTCCGCACAGCAAAAGAAACTACCATCAGAGTGAACAGGCAACCTACAAAATGGGAGAAAATTTTCACAACCTACTCATCTGACAAAGGGCTAATATCCAGAATCTACAATGAACTCCAACAAATTTACAAGAAACAAACAAACAACCCCATCAAAAAGTGGGTGAAGGACATGAACAGACACTTCTCAAAAGAAGACATTTATGCAGCCAAAAAACACATGAAAAAATGCTCACCATCACTGGCCATCAGAGAAATGCAGATCAAAACCACAGTAAGATACCATCTCACACCAGTTAGAATGGTGATCATTAAAAAGTCAGGAAACAACAGGTGCTGGAGAGGATGTGGAGAAATAGGAACACTTTTACACTGTTGGTGGGACTGTAAACTGCTTCAACCATTGTGGAAGTCAGTGTGGCGACTCCTCAGGGATCTAGAACTGGAAATACCATTTGACCCAGCCATTCCATTACTGGGTATACACCCAAAAGACTATAAATCATGCTGCTATAAAGACACATGCACACATATGATTATTGCGGCATTATTCACGATAGCAAAGACTTGGAACCAACCCAAATGTCCAACAGTGATAGACTGGATTAAGAAAATGTGGCACATATACACCATGGAATACTATGCAGCCATAAAAAATGATGAGTTCATGTCCTTTGTAGGGACATGGATGAAATTGGAAATCATCATTCTCAGTAAACTATCGCAAGAACAAAAAACCAAACACCACATATTCTCACTCATAGGTGGGAATTGAACAATGAGATCACATGGACACAGGAAGGGGAATATCACATTCTGTCGTTTTAAATGATGTCTCAGAGCTTGTATTTGAGAAGAAAATTTTTAACAATTAAAATGCAAATTTGGGAGGAGTAAATTTTTTGCTTTGAAAATGCAAATTTTAGATCTACTATGAAATATTTTATTGAATTTGAATGATATCTTTAAAATTTTAGGTACATTATTCTTATAAAAATATTGTTTAAAACCAAAGGCAGATAAATAGAATAATGACATTACTGATTAATAATTATCTCATGATTGTTTTTAAAAATTATTTTATAATTTAAGGGAAAAAAGGCATTAATAAAGAATCTGTTGAGGATGTCAAACATAGCAATTAGGTTCCCGAGGAAAAGATGTCTTTACATAGAGTTCCTTCAATCAGGGGTGCAAAATAAGGCAGAAGTGTTGACCCAACCATAGCTGGAGCAATCTGAGCCAAATCACAGCTTGAAGCTGAAGGACAGTTAATTGACACACTAGTGAACGTAAGAATAAAAGCTTACTGTTACAGGCCGTGAGTGTTGTGGCTGTGTGTTATTTAGAATTATTGTGGCAATAGTATACTGAGACACGTACTGTCTTTTGAGACTTTCAGTTATTTACTGCTCAAATTGTTTTATCCACCATTTCACCTTACACAATGTCTCAGTCACAGAAAGGTCGCAGTGATTATCTGTTGATTGATTGATACACAGCTTTAGACTCAAGGAATTTACAATCACACTGAAGAGGAAAAAAACCTACCTAAAAAATTGTAACAATGTAGGACGTTATATGATTGTGCAAGTACTATGCACATGATGAATCCTAGAGGAGTTTGGAAGAGGAAAGAAGACAGTTTTATTGGTGACGTGGGAGGCATAAAATATAGTGGAAGTGGTAAAGTCTGTTGAAAGTCATATTTTGTGTTGTATTTAAAGAACTTATTGAATTAATCATGTGTAGTGAATGAGAGATAATAAAGTGCATAACAAGGGCATAATTGAGCATGACATTTTCAGGAATAAGTGTGTAAGGGAAAGGCTATCTTTGGAAAAGCCTGTATCAGATTCAAGTCTTCCCCCTTGCCCACATGTATAATTAAAGGGACATTACTTAATATTTCAGTGCCTATATTTTCTTCTCTGTGGGCTAAACAATACATTATTAGTAGGGTTATTTTGAGGATCAGGTGTGGTTTATTACAAACTGACAAACATATTGTATACAGTATATATACTGTAAACATTGTATACAGTATATATATATATACTGCTGTATATATATGTGTGTGTGTATATATATGTATATATACATATATGTATACACCATTCACTTAATTTTTTTCATTTCCATAAACTTTTTTTTCTTTTTTGTTTCCTTTTCCAAGCTCAAGACATACCCACATTTAGAATATTTGGCTTAAGTTTGAAATGATATAACTGAGAGAAATAGAGCCACAAAACAGGGGGATCTGTAATTGGAATAAAATCCGGGTATCCTTTTGTTAAATCTGGTGAATTTAGCAAAAAACTTTCAGCTAAATGGTCATATGAATAGAGCTAGAGTCCATGCCTTTCTAGGTATTCTTCAGTGTGAATGAATCAGGATGCATAATTATTGGCAGAAAATGAGAAAGTCCTCTGTGATTTGTAAATATTGCTTCTTCAGTAGCTCAGCAATCTAGAATACAACGGAGCAAAGGCCGTACTAGAGAGTTAATAAATTAGTTAACAGATGTGAGCACATGCACCCTCACGTGCATGCACACACACACACACACCTCTTATAGGATCATTTGCCTCCAGGCACACACACACTGCATCTTATTACAAGCCTTTCTGAATTTTAAAGAATTAGTCCTGAGATACACAGGTTCAGTGTTGCACTAAAAAAGATCCTGTTGTATAGTCTTTTTTGATGGACAAACTTATTACACGATTCCTAGGTCAAGAACAAACGCCTTGGTGGAAGATGCTCTCTGTTCTCTTATTTTTATTGCTCTGAGTGTTCTTGTCTTTGGCATCTCTATAAAATATTTTATTTATAAAATCCTTTATAATAAAAATAATTTTCAAAAGAGCAAAGTATTTAACTTGTGTCTGACAGAAGCATTAATTTTGTTTGGAGGATCCTCAATTCAGAAATAATGGTGTTAACACAGTTCAAAAGGTAAAAGCATGGACATAATTATGAATGCATTACATGAAACTAAAAGATAGCTAATAAAAATCATTTGATTTAGATTATTTATCACATTTTTAAGGCCTTCACCTCCTTTTGTGTTGGCAGAATCAGAAAATGTCAATTTGAGACCCACTGGAAACTTCAGTGGGCCAATGGGGATGAAGAAGCCAAAGAAAAAAGGATTGGGGGAGGGTGTTAACTTTGAGTAAGCTGTAGAGTGTCCCCTCTCAGAGTTACAATCATCAGTGCACTCTAAGTTTTCAAGGGGAAATAGCAACTTAAAGTTAATCAAATTAACCTTAATAGCAAATGGGCTCAGAAACATTATTGGGCAGAACAGCAGCATACATTCAGCTACTGAGCAATATTCAGTTAAATGCAGAGTTACCATGTCTTCAGATTATGAAATAATATTCCTTTTCTACTGGGAAGCTGGAAAAAAGTAGAAAAAGTGTAGGCATCTCGTAGGAAGGTGAAATTAAGGATTTTTTAAGCCAAGATGTCCTGTATTTTAATACCTCAGAATCATCTCTGTGACCCCAGTAAAGAAAGCTAAGTTTGAGGTTACAGTTTCACTTTCAACAGGGAATTATAGTTTGAATTAGACAAAAAACATAGTAAACATAGTGGGGAAAAAAACAAAGCCTAAAGCATAACGTTACATACACTACCAGGGCTTGCCTGAGTCGACACTGGATACTTCAGTGGACACAAATTCCAGGCTGCAACCATTCAGAGAGTGGAGGCTTGTAATATACAAATGGGATTGTTTCTATATTGGCCCAAATGAACACATACATGAGAGGATGAGTAAGTCTGTAGAAAAAAAATACTGGATAAAAACTAAATGCTACTATCAATATCATGTGGGATTTTGGGTCGTCTGAAAAACTAAAAAGCATCAAATAAAATAAAAATTATAACAGAAAAACTACTTGCAGAAAACAATACATTTATTATATTTTACTTCTGTTTTACTGGAGGAAGGAATTATATTCTCAATGTTAAAATGCTTTTTTAAATGTATTCAGTCTTTGCTTCTTTATTTAAGAATGTTATGAACAAACATTTACATCTTGTCTCAAGGACTTAACTATCATATAGGAATGCTATCTGAGCCTACTTAGTGCTTTCCAGGGTCTCTCCATGTCTACCGGTGAGTTTGAAGGCAGTAATAAGCCTCAATGCTACATTCTAACTCCCTGAAAAAGTTTTTTGTTGTTTTTGCTTTTTGTTTTGCTGTTTGCTTGTTTTCTAGACTCTACCTTCTTCTGTATCCTCTGAATCTAATTTGTTCTGTTCTTCTATCTTCATTTTTTTTCCCTGCTGCTTGGTTTTCATTTTTTTCTCCTTAGATGCAACTTCACTTGAATTATTTACTTGACTCTTAATTTGTCTGATTGTGTCTTTGGGCTTTGATAATATACAAACTGAGGACTTCTGAAATCTTGCCCCATTGCCAGACCCAGGGTCTTCAATCCCCCATCCTCACATATGATCATTTGCCTCCAAGCACTCATTTGTCTAGAAGGGAAGTTTAGACATAAAACTCACCCTATTTAGGAAGAATTAGACAAAAATGATTGAGGATATATAATGATTTTATTTTTTTTGAAGACTTCAAAATCAATTAATGAAACTAAAGCAAAAAGTTTTCTAAGTTACTGTACTAGGCAGAAAGCTTTCTAACGTCAAGAATTTTGCTTGTCCATCAGCCTCTGAAACAAAGCCCAGCACATAGGTACACATAAGGCAGAGTTTACTGGGTACTGTAGCTGACTTATCTCCTGACTTACTGACTGACATTATGAACGAATGAAACCAAATACCTTCTGAGGTACCTTAGACAATATATATGAAGTATTGAGGCCAGAGTGAGTGATAAGCATAACAGTTTATTGACAACAATATATATCTCATTAAAGGTAAACTTCTCAATATGACCATATTTAGAGATAGAATATTTAAAGAGTTAGTTAAGATTATGTGAAGTCATAGCAGGGAGACCCCAATGCAGTATGACTGGCGTCCTTAGAAGAAAAGGAAAGGACACCATGAATGTGCACAGAGAGAAAAGGATAAGTAAAGAAAACAGTAAGAAGGCCATCTCCAAGCCAAAGAGAGAGACCTCAGGAGAGAACAAACCTGCTGACACTTTGATCTTAAATGTCTAGTCTCCAGGACTGTGAGAAAATAAACATATTTTTTATGCCACCTGGCTTGTGGTATGTTGTTGTTATCGTAGCTTTAGCAAACTAAGACACATAGTTATAAAGCATTTTTATTACATGATAATCAGTGTTTAAGAAAATGCTGGCCGGGCACAGTGGCTCACGCCTGTAATCCCAGCACTTTGGGAGGCCAAGGCAGGTGGATCACCTGAGGTCAGGAGTTCGAGACCAGGCTGACCAACATGGAGAGACCCCATCTCTACTAAAAATACGAAATTAGCCAGGCATGATGACAAATGCCTGTAATCCCAGCTACTTGGGAGGCTGAGGCAGGAGAATCACTTGAACCTGGGTTGTGGAGGTTGCCGTGAGCAGAGATCACATCACTGCACTCTAGCCTGGGCAACAAGAGTGAAACTCCATCTCAAAAAAAAAAAAAAGAAAAGAAAATTCTATGTTCTTCTAAAGGATATCTGGAAGTTGTCCTAGTGACAAGTTGTTTCATTGTGTTCTTTGAAATATTTTTCTTTTAATAAGAACTTATTTTTTCTAATATGTTAACTTTTGTTAGGGATTAGGGCTTAAACATCTGAGTTTTGGGGGACACAGTTGAGTTCATAACAATGTGCACTGTTTCATACCTATAGTTTTAAAATAAAAATGTAAAAACCTATTATTTATACCCCTTAATCTTTCTCACAATTTGAAAAACGCTTGTGCAGATCAATTAACTGATGATATACTATATAGTCTTGTATTAGCTCTTGTTTTTTCTTTCATTCTTTTAGTAATGGATTGTAGTTAAGTCACAAATTGTTTTTAACTTTTCAAACACATTGACTTCACTTTCTGTAATATCTCTAGCCAGCAGATTTAATAAAAATAGTGTTATTGACGTGTTTAGATACATTTTTGTGGAATTAAAAAAATCTTTTTCATTTCCAATTGCCATATATTTATGCAAATCAGTCATCATAAATAAATAAATCAGTGGAGCAAAAATTAAAAATAAAAATAAAATGTAATTTCTCCACTGAAGACATGTGAAATTCAACTCTAACTATTGAACTTTGACTACACTTTACCCTAATTCTCTCCAACATGTATATTTCTTGTGGCAATCAACTTACACAGGCATCTGAAGAATTACTGAAAACAGATATCAATCTATGTCTTCTGGTATCACCTAAGTTTTGACTATGCATTTCTTATAGAAAGTTTCATTTTAACATTTAGCATTTTGAAAACTGGTTTCTAGTCATTGATACTGCTGAGTTTTTCAATCTGTTTTCCTTTCTGGAATTCTATCCATGGCATAAGCAACCTTAATTTATTACTGACATCATCATTTATTACAAGCGTTCATCCTAGCAATCCATTGTCTTTTAATGTCCTTTCTTTTTACTTATTTATTTTGATGGCCTGCCCAGCTCTGTGTTTGCCTTGCATTCCCAATTTGTTTTTCAGCCAAGTGGCTAGTGCCAAGTGATCAACTATCATCATCCATCACCATCAGCAAGCTGCACACTATTCATTGCATTTCAATGGATGGAACACTTCGGTTTCACATCCCCAATGCCTTTGGCCTCTCTGCTGGTAAGTCTTCTACTCTAATATTTTAGAGGCACCCAAAACATTGAATGTTTGAATATTCGGCTTCACAAGTAAACACACAAGGGTGCAGCAGGAAAAAATTACCTCTAACTGCATCTCTTCTTCCCCTTCTGGTGTATGAGTGCAGTGATGGCCTTTAAGTTCTTTGTCCTTCAGTAGGGAATCACCAACATTGTACTGATGCTAATCTTCTTATTGTGGAAAATATTGCTTTTTGACAAATGTGCAAAGTTGTAAATCTTTTAGGTGAAAGGAACTTTGGAGTCTAATTAATTACTGTGTTTATTTATAAACAACAGTTATTTCAAATAGCTGAATCCCAAGTTATTCTCACAATGAGAATATTTTGCATCTAGAATACAGTTCAGATTGCAAAATAAGCATTAATTATTTTAAACATAGTAATTTGTGTTCTATTCTATTTTTGTTATAAAAATCTGGATATATATTCACTATTACACTTCCCTTTGACAAGGGCAAATTCAGAAAGAAAAAAGAAGCAGATGTTTTAATGTGGTAAGCTGGAACGCTTACAAATAAAAGCATATTAAGCTCAATAAAACATTTAATTTTAATTGCCAAAGGTTATCATATTATCTTTACTTTCTTATAATTTCATATGACAAACTAAGTTTAAATCTGAATTTAAACATGTTTTCCAGATGCTCCTTAGGCTTCCTTATGCATACCCTCAATCATAGGGTAAGTACATAAATTATTGTACAATCCAGAACACTTTAGATACTGGAAAGGTACCAAAAACAATAAAACTTGTATATATTTTTGAAATATTGATTGCTGATTGGTTTATTAAATTGCTAAGCTATGAAATAATTCTATGTAAAAATCAAATTTCATTCTGTCATTTGTGACTACATGTGTGAGCCTGGAGGATACTATGCTAAGTGAAATAAGCTAGGCACAGAAAGATAAATACTGTATGATCTCAGTTATATGAGGAATCTAAAAATATTTAACTCAAAGAAGTAGAAAGTAGAATGGTGGTTATCAGAGTCTGGGTGGGGAAGGTACATCTTAAATTGACACATCTTGGTAGATCATAATATTTTTAATTGAAACAATATTATTTATCTAGGAGCTGACATGACTGATAAGTTCAGAGCAAACTAAATAACATCGAGGATTTTCTAAAGTCTAATTTACTTCAAATAAAAATATTTAAACATTTTATCTAAAATATTTAAGTAGATGTTTATGTATACTATCACAATTTAGAGTACATTTCTTTGATAAATATTTTTACGAATAAAAGTCTCCAAAATGTTGTCTTTATGACACATTTAATGTTACACCAAATTTATGCCTAGATTAGATACTGGAAAAATCAGATACCTAAATTTGGTATAACATTAAATGTATCAAAAAGACAACTTTTTGTGATTTAGGCCAAATCAGGCCTTCTTAATTTATTACATTTTGGTAGAGAATATAAATGTAACTGAATATATGTGCTCTATCAAAAGATCCTAACCTCAATTTGAAATTTTTCATAAAGCATTTATAGGCCAGGTGCAATTGCTCATGCCTATAATATCAACACTTTGAGAGGCTAAGGCAGGAGGATCACTTGAGAACAGAGATCAAGATCAGTCTGGGCAACATAGCAAGACTCCATTTCTCTTAAATTAAGAAAAAAAAAGAAAGCATTTCTAGAACTGCATGATTTAATAGTTTAAATTTGAGCATTCCTAATTTTATTTGTTGGGGTCTCTTAATTTTGTAGGGATATGATGAAATTTTTTATTTCTAAGCTTTGTCTCTGTTATTTTCTAAAACTTTTAACAGCTACAATTTTGATATTCATTAGTTCAAATATTTTGATTAAATATTTTAAACTTAGTTTGAACCAAATACACCTACAATTTAGATAAGAAATTTACAAGAAGTGTCAGTATCTCACTGAAGTTTGATTTATCAAGGTTAATTTTTTTGGAGAGTAAACATTTCTAAAATTGAATTTATGATAATCAGTAAAAAGAGAAAGCACAGGATGCCACGCTGAAGTCTATTTAGTTTGAAAAATCAGCTGTTCACAAAAATATTATAGTTTAGGCACACTATGTAATAAAAAGTATGCAAAGTTTTACATTTTATTTCGCTGCTAGTCACAGCTTATTTTGATGTAGTTATAAATTATGTCTGCACAATAATAAGTTCCAAGTATATTTCTAATCCATTAGTTTTTTAATTTAGTAAAAGCATTTTAAAATAATACTGTGCTCCATCAAAATTTTTATTCTTGTTAACACAGCAAAATCAGATGGATATATGTCCAACGTTGAAAGTTTAACTGAATTTGCAAAAGCATCACAATAACATGTAACATTTTACCTTTCATGAATTGAACCTCTAGAGCTATACTTTGAGGTTATAAATTGGATAAAGGTAAATGATCAAACCATTATTGGTATTCACTAGATTTCCATTTCAAGGCTTTGAAGAACTAATGTAAAACTGGTATCATTTAAAACTTTGTGAAGTTTTCTTTATTTGCTAATGGAGTCAGTGAATTCACCATTACTATTTAATTTGGAATAAAAATTTCAGTAAAATTAATTTAGAAGAACCATCTTATGATCTAAACAAAAAGTATTTATTTATCAAATGATATAAAAATACAGTTTTGCTGCGGCCCAATTAAATAGCTGTCCCAGATACAGTTTTAATAAAACAATATCACTTTAGAGTAAATGCTGATATTTTTCATTGGATTTATGCCTTCTAATTTTCATATATTCAATGATATATCCAAACCTCATGATATAGACCAATGTTTAAAAAAATGTAATTTTTACATTCATCAGCTGTCTTAAGAAATAGAGACTCAGCACTTTCACCTTTTAGTCCTTTGTTTATGAAAAGTTTCATAAGTAAATGATTAATGGTTAAAAAGAGATTACCTTTGGTTTCAGCTCCAGCAGGTAAGGAACTTGGAAGTCATCACTCTGTTCTTTAGAAGAAACATTAGGACAACCTGTAAATGAGGGCTCATCAGAAAACTATAGTTGCAGGGCAAATCACCACAGCAAATCCAGGAGTCTGGTTAATCCATAGAGACACAAGTGAGACCTGTTTATGTGGAGCAGAAGCCACTGAAGCCATAACTGGTAGAAACAATTCAATAGTTGACTATTTTAATAAGTTGCTGGGGAATAATGCTAATAAACTAGTGTACTAGTCTGTTCTCACACTGCTATAAAAAAATACCTGAGACTGGGTAATTTGTAAAAACAAGAGTTTTAATTGACTCACAGTTCTGCATGGCTGGGGAGGCTTCAGGAAACTTACAGTCATGGTGGAAGGCGAAGCGGGCACATCTTACATGGTGGCAGGTGAGAGAGAGTGTGTGAGGGAGCTCTGGAAAAACTACCATTTATAAAACCATCAGATATCCTGAGAATTCACTCACTATCATGAGAATAACATGGGGAAAACGCCCCCATAATCCAATTACTTCCCTCCCTCAACACATGGGGATTACAGTTCCCTCCCTGGAAGTGTGGGAATTATAATTTGAGATGAGATTTGGGTGGGAACACAAAGACAAGCCATATCAACTAGCATGAGTGTTGTTGCATGTATTTCCTTGTTTTGTCCTCTGAGAAGACTTAGAAACAATGAACTTGCAAAGCAACAAGCATATCTGGCATCTGTATTTTGGATTCTCCTGCCATTTTCCAGTATAAGGAATCAGAGCTTCTTTGAGAATGTCTGATTAAATTACTGGGCTAGGAAATATATAGAATAAGTCTGAAGCATCTTATGGTATCAGAAAGTAAGAAAACATTCTAAATTAAATGCAATGGTGGAGATACGTCACAGGAATAAAAAGAGCTTCCAATGGCAAAGATACAACAATTTGAGTAACTAAATAAATAATGTAGTGTTGAATTATAACCCAGTGTATAAACAGAATATGCATGAGGTCATAAGTATATAAATAAATGATTGAATAAATAACTAAATGGGGGGGATAGACAAATATCTAATATAGGAGAATTCCCAAACATGATGTAGATACCCTGTCCACAAGGTGATGGAACATAACTTTTCACTCCTTAAGTGTGGGCTGTGCATAGTTGCTTCCTTTCAAAGATGATGATATGAAAAGGGTGAAAAGAGACACTATGCAGTAGAAAGACCTGACATGAGCTATATCATGATCACAATTAACATCGACAGAAATGTCATGTTGACAGTATGTACTCTTGATATGTTATAAAAATGCCAATTTACTCTGTAATCTTTCTCGCATGAACTCATAACCCCAATCTAATCATGAGAAAAAAACATCAGACAAATCCCGACTAAGGGTCATTCAACAGAATACCAGTATTCCTCAAAACTGTCAAGGTCACCAACAGAAAAGGATTCTAAGAAACTGTGGCAGCCAAAAGAAGACTAAGGAGACATGATGGCCAAATGTCTTATGGCATCCCAAATAGGATCTTGGATCAGAAGAAGGACATTATTCAAAAATTAAGAAAATCTGAAATCATCAATTTTGGTTAAAAATAACTTATCAATATTTTTGCAACTTTTCTGTGAATTTAAATATACTCTAAAATAAATGTTTATTTCAAAAAGTAAATTTCAGAAACAGTATATTATCAGCAAACCAAAAAATTAACAGAGATGAGATTTTCACCATGCAGAAATTGATAAAAGAACTATAGCAAAAACATTCTGGCCATATATTCTAGAAGAAGATGGCTTAGCCTCTATTTCACTCACACTCTATCAAGAGTGACCTGGTGGTATTTATATCTCATAGACTCTAACACATAGTTCAACCGTTCCTGTCAGCCACTTGAAGTACAAGCCAGTTGAGCTATGTGCTAGGGTCTACAAGATATAAATGCCACCAGGTCACTTCTTGATAGAGTCAGTTGAAACATAGACATTTATAAATGGAAACCAATAAATGATGTGAGTGAAATAGACGCTAAGCCAAGACTAGATGCTTGAATCAGGAAGCACTTATTTTGACAGTGAGCAGCTACACTACTGATCTGGAAGGGGGTTGTTCAATTACTTTGCCTCTGAGATTTTCAGGAAAGGAGAGGCAGACTATCACTACTTTTATATTTATTCATGTAATAAAAGTTAAAAACTCTGTTGAGAGCACAAGCATCCTACACTCTACCAGATGAGACCATGGCAGAAACTATAACACAAATCTACCAAACCCTCTCTGACTTATATTTAACTATACTAATAATGTGTAATTTAATTTTTAAAAACTCAGGCAAAATGCTAAACTACATGGGACACCGGGATATAGGTAAATATCAGAAATGACGACTGTCTGCAGAAACCCAGGGTGTATGGCCATTTTATTCAATAAGTCTCCTGAGGATTCTCAGTTGCCAGGGTTTGTGTTACAGCTCAGTTCACATATTAAGGGTTTACAATTCATGTGTTTTTATTACTTTTACTTTGTTATGAAAATTGCCAAATTGGAACTAGGCAAGACTTTGGCAGGTGATCTCATCCATTGCCATAATTTTACCAAAAATGTTACAAAAGCACAAGCAGGATAAGTGATGTGAAGTCCACAAGGATCATTCATGTCAGACCCATAATTACAACCTACAGCTTCAAAACCCCAGGCTTGTTCTCTCATTTCACCACCTTGATAGTTTATGCTGAAACCATATTCTTCATTGGCTCCATACTGATGTGCCTTAGGAGCTTTGTTTCAGAGTACCCTGGATGGCTTTATGAAACTAAAGGTATTTATGAAATGATTTTTTAATATATTTTTAATAACATTTAAGTTGTGCTTTTATAAAAGTAACACATTGAATCAGAAATAAAAGGTATCATTCAACCTGGTCAAACTCCTTCTTATGAAATGATTCCAGTGATAGAATTATTCCAGTGATTCAGTCAGCATCTTTTTTAGGAAGCATCTACTATTTCTAAACTTAGGTAGGAGACTGAGGGGTTTAGAGTGGGGCAGAGTATGAAATGTCCAAGTAGCTTATCTAGAATTGAAGAGTCAGAAGTGGGTGTAATTCAAGGTGATATATATACATCAGGTTATAACATAACATAATTTTATAGGAAAACCAATTGGAGTAATATTAATTCTGACTGGAACATCAGGTAGAGAATCATGAAGAATGGGATATTTGAGCTTCCAAGTTGAAGTAATGGTAGGTAGGAATAACAGGAAAAAGGATAAAACATAGTTGCTAATGATGACTGCAGAATGACAATTGCCCTTATTTGTTAAGATGTTTCTTTAAGGCAATTAGTGAAGATTTTATAGAAAGGTATATTGGAGCCACATCATAAAGTTCCCCCAAAGTTATTCTAAAAGAGTAGACAAATTGACTGAATGTCATTTAAACTACTGTGTAACAAATACTATATAGTGCAAAAGTAGCATCTTTGAAATGAGAAATATTTACTAAATTTTATATATGATTCACTGTATCAAAGTTCCCTGGATCAGTACTATAAAAGTGAAAAGGGAAATAAATCAGAATCATCAAAGGTTAGAAATAAAAGTAAGCAATGGTAAGCATTTGAAAGATTCCACCTAGTAGAATAGCAGCAGTTAGTGTGTCATGTGGAGCTGTTACAAGGCTTTCTCTCCAATGGTGAGACTTCTCTGGTGTTGGTTAGTGTTACCTCTGGAGCCTTTGCTGAGGCTGAGGGCTCCTGCCTGCCTAAGGCCAATGAATTGTATCTCATAGAGGCTTTTGATTAAACAAGTAGAGGTATACACAGAGGATAATATGTTTTATACAAAATACAGTTTACTTGAATACCTATACCATGTATAAAAATTTAAATTCGAAGATAACAACTTCTTGTATTACAAATATACAATAAAGAATTAGGGCTTAGGTGAAAGAAAAAAATTATGAAATCATTTATATGTGATTTACACAAACAGTCAATATATATTATTTTTATATATTAATTGTGATCTAAATCTACACATAGATTTTTAAGCCTTGTTAATTTTCTAGAAATTACAAGAAATATTGATTTTATTCTCCTAGTTATGCTCTGAAATATACTGTTTTAGGGAAAAAAATTCCACAAAAAAATTTATTTCTCTTAAAAGCAAATAACAAATAAGGTAAAATTTTATTATTTAGTTATAGTAACAAATTCTCAGAGTAAATCAACCAAAGAAAATTATAATTTAATTTAAATTAAATATAATTTAAAATAAGTATAAGACATATAAAAATAACATAACTGTTTATAAGTTAAAATGTGCTAACTTTTGAATTATTTCTATAAAGTGACAACTCAAATGAGTGGCTGTTATTCCGATGAGGTTTTCAGGTTTAGTATTTATACATTTTCTTAAAAATGGGGTTGGTGAGGGACACAGATAAGTAGAGGAGCAGGTAGTTAGTTGGATGAGTAGTTACATTCTTATGAGACTTTAATTAGTGACCAGTAAATCTTCATTTTACATGAGATAAAGTGAATATCTGAAGAGACAAAGGGAGTAAAAGAAGAGTCAATTATGCAGCTATCTCTGGGTGAGTAGAAGAAAGAGTCTTGACTTTGTCCAAGAACTTGTCCTGGAAAGATAAGCTTATAATGACATTATCCATGTGGAATGGAACACACTTCAGTTTTAGGAACTAGACTTAGATTGTAGACTTAAAGTTACAATTGGCATGCCCTTTTTTATAGGAGCCCGGCAAAGAACCTATAGATGAATGATCTGTAGAGGCAGTCCTCCACAGATGCCTGAGAGCTTTTACCTTTCCATGGGGATCTGGTTGAGGCAAAATGTTAGTAACAGCTATCCATTTGAAAGATGGTGTTGCAATGACCTTCTCCTTCCATAAGAAGTTCTAGCGGCCCTGAGATTTTTAAATTTTCTTTTACAAAAGTTAGGTAAATATAGTTTCATAAATATTCATTATTTACCTTAAAATGTATTATATAAACTACCCACATAGTATAAGGCAATAATATACATATAAGAACAAATACAAAATAATGTTATATAAAATTATTAATGTAAATACAATATATAATTTAAATAGAGTATATTATTTATAAGATATCATAAATGTAGTATTCCACATGCACCCATTCTGGGAGAATCTATGACAGAATATGCGTGCTGTATTAGGGTTCTCTAGAGGGCAGAACTAATAGGATATATATATATCCTATTACTCATATATATATATCCTATTACATATATATATATATATATATGAGTTTACTAAGTATTAACTCACATGATCACAACATCCCACATTAGGCTGTCTGTAAGCTGAGGAACAAGGAAAGCCAGTCTGAGTCCCAAAACTGAAGAACTTGGAGTCTGATATTTGAGGGCAGGAGGCGTCTTTCTCCCAAAGTGTGAGAAAGATGTAGGCTGGGAGGCTAGGTCACTCTAGTCTTCACATTTTTCTTTCTTCTTTGTATACTAGCTACGCTGGCAGCTGATTACATTGTGCCCACCCAGATTAAGGGTGGGTCTGCCATTCCCAGTCCACTGACTCAAATGTTAATCTCCTTTGGCAACACCCTCACAGAAACACCCAGAATCAGTACTTTGCATCCTTCAATCCAATCAGGTTGACACTCAGTTTTAATCATCACAATTACTGTTAATTATTTTTGGAGAATGCAATTAGTGGCAGGAAAAAAATTCATATGTAACTAAATTTTGACTATGTAAACTAAAATTAAAATCCTAAGCCCCTCAGTTGACTGAATGGACCACTTCTTAGCCAGGGGAATCCAAGAAAAACCTTAAAAACTAAATTTCTAGCCATGAGAGGAAGGGAGGTCAGACATCCCTCATTATACCCCCTCCCTTTTGGGGTACAGGCACAACTGACCAGGGTTAATATTAAAATAGAGATCATAAGACTGACAGAAGGGACTCTTTGTGGCAATACTGAATTATAAATAGGACCTAAGGCCATGCAAAGCAAAGGTTAAGTCACACCTTACAAACCATAAAATCGCATTAAATGGGTTTTTTAATTAACTCAGTATAATACAGCTTACTTTCTAACATGGCTCTGGTATATTATCACATAACAGACAGCAAACTCCCTTACCTTAACTCAAGCATTCCTTTGAACTGATTTCAAGTCTTTAGACAAAGCTTCACTCTTTCTACGAACTGTTAACGAATAAGAACCCCTACACCCATCTCTAATTTATAATCTCCTTGCTTTGAGATGTGCTATTATTTTCTGGCTGAACTAGAAACTTTCCATGTATTGATTTATAATTTTACCAACAATTTCTGTCTCCCTAAAATGCATAAAACAAAACTGTAACCCCACCTCCTCAGGATGACTTACTCAAGGCTTCTTGGGTCTGTGTATTCTCTGGGCTGCAGTCACTCATTTTGGTTCACAACAAGCCCTTTAAAATATTTTACAGATTTTGTTTTTTCCATTAACAACTGTAAGTTTTCTTAATGTTATGACACGAATGAATTTTAGACATAACCCAATAATTAATTGTAATATCTAGATATGTATGAAGTTTTTGAAACTGTGTATATTTGCAGATTGAAAGCAACTCAACATGCAGAATAAATAAGAAACTTGTACCTCTAGCCCCAGGTCAGTAACTAATCTGTATCACTTAGGTGGTTTATCAGCTGCCAGATGAAAATTTAAGGAAATATTTACTAGTCACTAGTGCTGCCATGACATAAAAAAAAAAATCCAGAGAATTGTATAAAGTCGTTGCATATGCAATATGCTAAGAAAAGAAAAATAAATAAGTAAAACAAAAGACAATGGGGACTCCTATCACTCTCATAGGTAAAAAGCCACAGTCTCAGCTCACCAACACAGAATGCCACACCCATACACACAATCCCACGGAAAATCTTAGGTCCCTACACACCTCACTGGTTCTAAGCTTTTGAACAGAGCCCTTTGGACTGAGTGTTGCATTACCAAAGAAATAATTAGTTTACTGTGGAAATTATTGCTAGGCAGTTTTATTGCTCTAAAATTCTAGGAAGGAGTCAATCATCAGGTAAATCCAGAGAACAGGCTGTCTTCAGCCTTCCCTCAACTAAGCACTGAAATTAGTGGCATTACAATTATTCTGCAACAGAGATACAGAGATGATTTTCTATAGTTAATTGAAAACAAAGAAATGTTCTTGCTTTCTAGCTAATTCATTAGCTACATTTCTGCAGATAGTTGTGTTTTCTTTCTCCAAATAAGAATTGTGTTTTGTTTTGTTTTTTTCTGAAGTGCTTTATATGTTTCTGAGGTGACTGAATCTAGAAAATGCAGGTTTGTTTGTTTGGCTTTGCTTTTATTTTCCACCACAAACATTTTTTTAAAAGAAGAAATGACTTTTTTAAACTTACATGCTTGTTTTTGGAGAGTCAATCCTTGTCTAAGTAATTTTACTTCTGTTACTTTGTTTCATATTTTCTACCATAATTAGCAAATTTTATATATATATATATACACACACACATCTACAAGTATAATGTGTAATCAGGATAGTCACTGATACATGGGACCAAAAGCCTCCTTTATCAGAAAATGCATATGCATTTTTTAGGCTTCTATGAAGAGATTTTCTTTTCTTTTTATTTCCTGCTGTTATTTGACTTACTGGCTGAGCCATGTGTCACTCTCTGAGCCTCTTTTTAATCTAATTTATTTCCAAAATCTTTAAGATTCTGAATTATACTTGTACTAGAAATGTAATTCTCAGCCAAACTGAAGTTACCTGTGTTGTTCTACGGATAAGTGGATCAAATTATTGATAGAGATGTACAAATTTTAAGTCCAAGTGTTTCTCCCTGTCAGTTAAATTTTCCTGGATTCTGCTTCTGTTTATTTCAGTCTGCTGAAATAAATATAAAAATAAAACAATATACCTATACATATGTGGCCATAATCTGTTGCACGTGTTTTCTACCTATTTGAGCTATGATTTTAAGTACTTACAATGTCATATATCAATATTTTTATAAAATTGGATTTATGTAACAGTATGGAAAACATTTGTAAAGTCATATGTTAATAGCAAAAGAAAGGTATAAAATGCTACATTTATACATGTGAAAATCTATATTTTAATGCCAAATAAAGAAAGGGATCATAAGAAGAAAAACAACAAATTTGGCAGTATTAGAATATAAATAATTTATTTCCACTTTGTCATTGATATACTTCAAAATTAAAATATTTAAGCAACTGTAGTATTAGCAAGCTGTATTTTCTTTTCCAAAGAATCATTTTCAACAATTTTTAAAAAATTCGTACTGGTAAACTATAGTTTAATGTAAATCAGTTGACTTAATGTATATTTGTTTTATATTTAAAGTAGAGAAATATTAGTAAAAATGGTGTCAATTCTAGGTCAACTCTCCTACTAAATATCAGAACAGGGGTTTTCTGTCACAAATATGCTAAAACTGATCTCTAAGTTTCTTTCCAATTCTCAGATATTATTATTTTAATATGTTATATATAAGCTATATAATATGTAAAATTAATCCATATTAATATGTTAATATATGTGTTACTTATAAAATCTGTTTAAATTAATAATATATATAAGTATAGATCTCAACATAATAAAAATTGCAAAAAATGCAGATGACACTAAAACTTCCTTGACTACTACTCAAACTCTATCCTCCTGATGTTTACCTTCTGTAATATTGTTTACCCCTCCAAACATCTTATGTATTTTGTGCATAAACATACCAACATGTAAATTTATTATGTTATATATGGTTATCATTAAATTGAATTTTACTTTCTGGAAAGACAATTATGCATTTACAAAACTGAAAGAGAGTTTTAAACATTAAAGTAAAAGAGTGGTAGTAATTTTATGTTGAGCACCTACAGAAGTTAGGAAATAGCACTGCTGCCTCTAGAATTAATGTAGTTTGTATTCACTTCCTCAAGCCTGAGATCAGGCAGTTTTTCTGGGACTCAGCCTCTCAGAGAAGGTTATCTTGATGTTAGAGTTTATAATGTCACAGCTGATGCCATCCAATGAAGTATAATATCCTTCTTGTGAGTAACTCAGGGTTATGTGACAGATATAATTTTAAATAACCTCTTTTAAACACATATGCTATATATGCTTTAAATATTAATACAGAAATGAAACTGTAACCAGGGACTGGACTACTGGATTCTAGGACACTGTTAAGTCAAAGGAAGATGCTTGAAGTATATATATATACTTTTTTTTTTCCAGTTAGGTTGTTAGTATGTTTCAAGGATAAACTAAGGTCAGGTTCTAACCTGCATCACAGAAATGTTTATAAAAGCAAAGATTTCCAGTGAATCCAAAGTACAGAAAGACTTTTATTTCCCAATCTGTGCAGTATTCCACCTAAGAGAAACTAATAAATACAGCAGAAAATTTTACAGAAATTCTAGTTCAGAACTTTATCTAGTTGACCAGAGACATAGTAAGGGGTCAATATGATATTAAGCTCAAGATCAAGCTAAAGATAAGAAGAGGAGTAGTTGAAATTAATCTACCTAGGATCAGTGAACTTTGTCATTTTTTCTGCCTTTTTTTAAAACAGACCACATTATTTTTAATCCACTTTTCCTGTACTTAGAAAGGTACTGAAAATCAATACCTTTGGTGAGATGTGCAATACTATTACTTTGGAGTTGTGGTTTAATCACTCTATACCTCTGCATGTTGTTATGTTACTTTTAACTGGGTTTGACTGGTAATATTCTAGTACAAAAAGATACCTTGGTTCTACCTCCTAGCTCATATGAAGGCTAGACCATGTGGCCTAATCAGTAAAAATAATTAGTAAAAATTTATTTCTTCTTTCATAGGAAAGTTAAGGTAGACAATGAAAAAGGCATCTATTATTGAAAAACAATTCAGCAGATTCATTTTTCTAATGAGGGAGCAATACATATACGTGTTCATTTTCAATATCTCCATTATTCAAAATGCCAGATTTTTTACTGTAAAGAGATGTAGAAAAGATAGAGAGTGGGTGCATTAAGCAAATGGGCTGGTAAAAAATATTAAGAAAATTAAAACGAAGAGACAAAAAAAGAGAAGAGAGAGGGAGAGGGAAGAAGGAAGAGGGGAGAAAGAGGAAGGGAGGGAGGTAGAAAGACACTTCAGAAAATTAAACCCTTTGTCTTAAGAATAACTACTGCTGGTTACCACTTTTTGAACTTGTCCAAGGGCAGAATTCATGCACAAAGGCCTTTAACATAAAAAAAGAATTATCCACCCTTGATTAGTTTTGTTGATGGTTGGGGACAACCTGGGTTTGTTCATCTTTTCAATATTTTACTCATCTATTTAAAAATATTTATTTAGAGCATTCTGTGTTTTAAATTACCTGCTGCGACCTGGGGATATTTTGGACAAAAAAGAAATCACTCCTGCTTTCATGGAATTATACAGGCTATCAGAGTTAGTAATCTAGGATTTAACTAATCTGAGAATGATTAACCGTCAATGTTTAAAGCATAATGTTATTTTATATTACTAAATATTTTAATAAGGACTAATAATTGAAACCACAAGGTAGCTTGTTTCATGTATCAAAAAGATAATCTCTTTGTCTTTCTGTTCTGCTATCCTTTGGGAAAATTACATTAATCACATGATGATACCTGTAAGTAAGGCAACTTTAATAGTAGAAGAAAGGAGAAATATAAGTGGCCAATAGTCAATGCTGGGTATGTGCATGTGTGTGTGTGTGTGTGTATGTGTTTTAAGTACGTTTTGGAATTTCCAATAAAACAAGTTTTCATTACAATTCATAGACTACGATGATGCAAAATGGCAACGTTCCTTGCAAAGGATGATAGCAGATACATTTTATTTTTTTAATTGGACGTATTTTCTCTTCTTCTCTCTAATAAAATCTAATTTTCTTACAAAGCATAAACAATGCATAGTGAGTAAAGAATTAATAGTCTCTGAATAGCATAGAGGAATATATCTTAATTTGTTACACATGAGTGCAGATAGTTGGATGAGGGCAAAACTTAAATGGACAGAGTAGAGACCAGAAAGTCAGCTTGCTAGGGAAACAACTTGCTGAGATATGGGAACCTAAAATAAATAAAACTCTCCTCTGTCTTCTTTGAGATCCTGTATATATATATATATATATGTGTATATATATATATATATATACACATACATATATATACACCTATATGTATGCGCATATATATATACACCTATATATATGCGCATATATATATACACCTATATATATGCGCATATATATATACACCCTCCCATCCAGACACATGCCTGATGTATTTGTTCATTGGACTATTTACCAAGAAACTGTTTTAAAGTAACCTTTGAAAACAGTATATGGCATACAGCTACCTTTCTCATAAGGAATCTGTAAAAAGTGCTACTGTGAGTACATTAGGTGTTCCATTAATATTCTGATTTTAGAAAGAAAACAAAAGGGAAATACTTTCTAACCAATAGAATTTATGGCTTTAAGATATACTTAGCTGAGTTCTTTTACCAAATCAAGTAACTGGGGAACAAAATAAGAAAGAGGTAAAAGGATGAAAAAAAATATGGAGTGTGATTATTGTCTGACATAGCTGAAAATGATGAAGACTCATTGTAGCTGATGCTTTGAGCATCTTTCCTGAGCAACAGATTGCTCATAAATAATGCAACACTTAGCATAATATTGGTTACCATCATTTTAGTTAAAAGATGCTAAAAGCTTATTAGATAACAGTCTATTTCTTGGCTTTGCCGGCTTGAGTCCCTAGAGACAGCACATAACACTTGATCTCAGTCAACAGACCAAAAGGAAATAGTCATGATATATTTGAAAACGTATTATAGATCTATGGCACATACTCAATTACCAGAAGACAGAATAACAAAACCCTAAATATATACTACTGAAGTTGACTTTTGTATGAGAACAAAGACTACTAAGCTTATACTACATTTTTGAACCTTATTTGCTCATGTTCTTCAGTGAGCTCATCGTTTGCTACATGGCTCAATAAATAAGCTGTAATTTTTTCTCATATGGTATAATCTTAAGAACAAATTTAGATGTTTCTAGTAAAATCTGATATTTTTTATTTGTTTTTGATACAGAGTCTTGCTCTGTCACCCAGGCTGGAAGGCAGTGGTGCCATTTCAGCTCACTGTGGCCTCGATCTCCTGGGCTCCAGTGATCCTCCCACCTCAGCTTCCCAAGTAGCTGTGACTACAGATGCATACCACCACACCTGGTTAATTTTTGTATTTTTTGTAGATACAAGGTTTTGCTACATATCCCAGGCTTGTCTTGAACTCCTGAGGTCAATTTATCCACCTCTCTCTGCCAAAGTACTGAGATTACAGGTGTGAGCCACTGCACCTGGCCTTAAAATTGGATTTTTACACCATCATTAAGTTATTTATTAAGAACTACAAAATTAAAAAGTTTTACAGATAGGAAAATATCATTAAGCTTTTTTTTCTTTTTACAAAGAAAAAAAGTTTCATGAATTTGAAAAATATAGGTGACAAATTCCTGAGGAGGATGTATTACTTTTTTGCCTACAACAAAAGCTATTTTTAGGCATTATGTTTTTTTTTAAAGCTACAATTTGTTTTTTTCTAAATCTTCCAGAGTTTTAGCTGTGATTTTCTAAGTGATTTCTTTCTCACTTATCAAAATATGTGCACATTCCTTTACATTAGTTAAGATAAATGTGCTATATAAAAATGCTTTTGTTTCTACCCAACCCTTGAGTAGATGGAAGAGCAGAGATGGTATCAGAGCTGGAGCTGAATTTCTCAAGAAGAATAGATTGTCTTTTTCAGCTTCTAGACGCAGTGTGCACTTGCTTTGAATTGATTCACCAGAAGTACAATTAATTCCTAAGTGTAAGTCATCCTTTTTCTTTTACAATTCCCAACTAAAGGAGCAAACACACAGTATTATGCCTACTCTTCCTATGTCTAGCTTACCTGTCTAATGACACTTGGCTTCTGTTGACAAACAACAATAACAGCTGTAATAATAGAAAGCTTAAGGAGCAATTTCTATGTCCCAGACATTGTTTGTTCTAAGCCCTTTATATCTATTCTCTCATTTAACTTTCCCATCAAACCTAGAAGGTAGGTATATATATTGTGTAGTTATTGTCCTATAGGAAACCAAGGCATCAAGACATTAAGCCAAATACAGACCAATTCAGTAAATATTCAAAATAAGTTTTTATTGTGCAAAACAATTACTACTTAGCATGTTGAGGCTTTAGAACTGAGCTAGAGCAAGCAACTACCCTTGAAACCAACAAAACATGGTGTAAGAAGTTGCACAGAGTGCTGGGCGCGGTGGCTCAAGCCTGTAATCCTAGCACTTTGGGAGGCCGAGGTGGGCGGATCACGAGTTCAGGAGTTCGAGACCATCCTGGCCAACATGGTGAAACCCTGCCTCTACTAAAAATACAAAAAAATTAGCAGGGCGTGGTGGCGGGCACCTGTAGTCCCAGCTACTCAGGAGGCTGAGGCAGGAGAATGGCGTGAACCCAGAAGGCGGAGCTTTCAGTGAGCCGAGAAGGTGCCACTGCACTCCAGCCTGGGGGACAGAGCCAGACTCTGATTCAAAAAAAAAAAAGAAGTTGCACAGAGAATGTAAGTTGTAGAAAGAGCTATAAGTTCACATCCAACTGATAAGGTATGTTGCAACCATATTTAACAGATGTATCATTAAAGTGATGAGACATATTAAATTTGCTATAAGAAGACTTTGAGTAATGAAGTCACTGTTTAGCAAGAACTTATAGGACATGTGTTTAAATCCTGTCTCTGACAGTCACTTGTAATTTTAGGAATATTATTTAACATCTCTCAATCTCAGTTTCTTGTTATACTTTAAAGGGTATAATGAAGACTAATAGCTTAATGTATGAGTATTCTTATACTGGGAAAAGGTTATTAAAATTATTACATTTTATGCATTTTAATCATTTTTATGTCTCACATATGAGTTAAATATTATCTCTATTTTACTTATGAAGAGTGGAATATGAAAGAAGTAATAAGTGCAAATAACACAAAAATAAATTGATGCCAAATTTCGAGATTTATTTACAACCTAGAAAAGTCACAACAAGCATTTGCTGTATCACATTTCAGATTTCTACATTTTAAAGAATTCTAAGGAGATAGTTTTTCCGACATAACCGTAATAAACTATGAGTTTTCTATCTATAGTTATCTCAAAAGGTAACTAATCCTATGACTTGTAGAAAACAATTTGCTAAATTTCTCTCCTTTTAAAAAACGATGTATTAAAGCACTTCCTTAAAGCACTATGCCTTTAAATGAGAATATTACAGTTTGGCTCTGCTATTATTTTTATAGATAATTCCTTCAAAAAGAACAGCATAAAGAGATTTGATGAATTAAAGATTGATACCTTGCCCTATGAATAAAATTATAACATTCTATCAACTACATTTTGAAATGTTGAGTGTGATATTAGACAGCCACAGTTTACAATTCAGCCAAGTTTTCTACTACTGCTATATAAAGCCACACAAACTACCATAAACATTAAATCATTCCAGTCTTCACTAGAAAATTCAGGTCATATATCCCCAAGTTGAGGAGACTAGAGAGATATTTTTAAAAATCTTACATAAGATTTTTTCTAAAAGCTTGAAAAATGTGTTGGCATCATTGTTTCATCAAATAGCATCAAAACATCAGATGCTCTATCACTTTTTGAAAACAGTGGTTAAGTCCTTGATATTGATTCAATGGATGAGCTTTCTTAACATGAATTTGGCAATCTGATTATTTCCACAGTCATGCTAGTTTAATTGCCTCAGGTAACAAATATGCCTTCTTCTATTTGATTTACATGTTCATGCCATGTAACAATCATGGCTAACAATCTCCAATTCTTAAAACAAAACAAAAACATTCTTTTCCAATTTGATAAGGGAAAAGAAATAACACAGAGTATATTTCATATTGTTAGCCCTCAGTATGACAACTAGAAATAAATATCTTCTGTTAGCTAAATTTTAGGTCTTGTTATATAATGGATTAGGATTGGAAAGTGTGGGACTTGAAAGAACCTCAAAACTGGCTTGATTGACTTAAACTAGAAAGATCAAAGAGTCTGTCTGGAAAGAGAAGGAAAAAATGTGAATGGAAAAAAGGAAGGGACAGAGAGCTGGCAGAGACTCAGTACTGGGGAAGTTGAGAAGAGAGACAGGAGACAGCATCATGATATTATGTATTAGTTGGACTTGGAAAAGAAAATTGGATAAGAAAAATACTTTAAAAGTATTGCTCACTATTATGGAAAGAAATTCACCTTTCAAGTTTCTTAATACAAATCAGTTAAGATGTATATCATTTTTCAATTAAGGGAAGGCATATTTTGGTATGCAAGACAGTAAGATGGGTTACCTGCAGAAACTGAAATTAAAGGTACTTGTCTATAACTTCTTCCAAAGAGGGAAAATATTAAGAAAAGTTTCTAATACATAGCAATGCAGTATTGTCAAAATGACAAGAAAATACTTAATGGGCCAGGGTCCAAAACCTGAGCATTTAGAAACACTGGCATTTTGGGTAATTTATGAGAAAAAATGGGCATGGCAACTAAAGTTGCTCTTTCATAGTCACTTATTCCTCATATCTCTTCTGTCCCAACTGTAATCCCTCTTCTATCACTTTAGGCACACAACCTACATGTTCTTTTTCCTCAACCCAGGTAAAATCCATCGGTAATTTTTTTTTGTTTTTGTAAGTTACAAACTCATTCTACAGACACAAATTAAAAACACACTCTGGTTCACCAATATGTGGTAACCACAGTTATCCCAGTTCTTCATTCTTATAACTAAAAACATTTGGACACAACAAAACAAGAAGACAACTCTGAAAGGTGGAAAGAGGAAGAAGGCTCATACCTGGAAATCTCAGGGCTTGAGAGAGACAAAGTGGTGAGCCTCATAAGTTTCTTTATTTCTCACATATAGCCCAGGAAGGGCACTGCAGAAGCCTCCAACCTGGAACTGCCAACACTCACAGACCAAAAATAAAGCTCCACAAAAAGCATGTTCTCACTAGCAGAAAGACTGGAACAGGGTGACCTGACAAAGAACACGTATTTCTCCAACACCTGCCCTAGTTCAGCCAAATACCAGCAGAAAAATCATATAGCTTTACAAGATGTTGCCATTTGGGGAAACTAGGTGAAAGGTCCTCAAGTTCTCTCTATATTATTTCTTAGAATGTATGTAAATCTGTAATTATCTCCAGATTAAAAGATTGATTAAAATATCTTGTTTCAAGTTGTATGCTATATGCAGATTAATATATTTACCTGTGTGCTTGTATTTTAACAGATATCTAAACCGGGGAATAACAACATGAAAACTTGGGAAAAACTCATGAAACTTATATCATCAACCAGTAGGTCAGGGAGGGCAATTTTTATGTGGAGGCTGTATTAGTCAGGGTTCTCTAGAGGGATAGAATTAATAGAATAGATATATGTATAAAGGGAAGTTTATTAAGGAGTATTGACTCACAGGATCACAAGGTGAGGTCCCACAATAGGCCATCTGCAAGCTGAGGAGCAAGGAAGCCAGTCCAAGTCCCCAAAATCTCAAAATTAGGGAAGCCACCAGGGCAGCCTTCAGTCTGTGGTCAAAGGTTCAAGAGTCCCAAAGCTAAAGAACTTGGAGTCCACTGTTTGAGGGCAAGAAGCATCCAGCACTGGAGAAAGATGTAGGCAGGAAGACTAAGAAAGTCTAGTCTCTCAATTTTCCTCTGCCTGCTTTTCCTTCCAGTCGTTCTAGCAGCTGATTAGATGGTGCCCACCCAGACTAAGGGTGGGTCTGGCTCTCCCAGTCCACTGACTCAAATGTTAGTCTCCTTTGGCAAGACCCTCACAGACACACCCAGAAACAATATTTTGCATCCTTCAATCCAATCAAGTTGACACTCAATATTAACCATCACAGAGACAAAGTACTTCAGAAATCATATAATGTATGCTTTTGTTCAGTGAACTTTTTATGAGCCTGTATTATATGCCAGGCCCCAAGAACAGAGAAGAAAGCTATATGATGGCAGTTACCTATTAATGACTCATAATCTTCTGGTGAATACAAACATAAACCAAAATTGTATTATACAGTGATAAATACAAGTGCATATGAGAACACAATTATGAGAGCAGAGCACAGGAAAGGAATGGCAAAGGTGGCAGCCAGTTCCACATATAGGTAGTTGACTCTGCTTTGGCCCAAAAAATGTAGAGGAAGTACAGTTGATGGTGATTTTTGTATAGTTCTTCTGTTAAGATTACACTATACCCTAAGTATCTATTCTAATAACCACTTAGGTTAAAAATACCCTAAGTGGTATTTTTAAATAGTGCAGATATTACTGGTGGCATTTATTCACAGTTTATACCCATGTTCCAGTTCTATCTTTTTTTAATTATATATATATATATTTTTTTATTATATTTTAAGTTCTAGGGTACATGTGCACAACGTGCAGGTTTGTTACATATGTATACATGTGCCATGTTGGTGTGCTGCACCCATTAACTCATCGTTTACATTGGGTATATCTCCTAATGCTGTCCCCTCCCCCCACCCCACAACAGCTCTATCTTACGAACGTCTTGTCAAAATGTACCTGCAAATTTTTAAACTAAAACACATTAATAGTGTTATTTTAAAGATATGAAAATAATTTAGAAGACACTAACATCACAGATAATTATGAGAAATAGAATACTTTGCTGACAAATGAAATACCTGTGAGCTTAAGATCTGGAAAACATTCGAGTCGTAGATATTTGAATTAAGAATTATGAGTTAGAAAGCCTATATAAAGCCACTCAACCTAACTTTTATAGCGTTCAGGTGTTTTCTGTTTTCACAAACTTTATGTCGTCACTGTGTTCAAATTATCCTCACTTCATTAACCTTTAGATACTTACTTTGTCCAAAATAAAGAGTAATTTTTTTCACTGAAAAAACTGTAGATTAACTTTTTTTCTACATAAAGAAAATTTTAAGCAATTAATGCAAGTGTCACAGTCAATATCAGAGCTCTATATGCCAAGCATTTGAAATAATTTATGTTACAATTTGTAAGTAATGGTCAGGAAACTATATTTTACAGAGAGACAGACTAATACACACTTTCTGGACTTTATCAAGAAATAGACAGATGTTTCATATACCTATTGTTACATATTCTAATTAGATCCAAATGATGTGAATGCATTAAGAAAAGTGATTATTAAAGCAGGGAATTTGGAAAAGCTTATTGCAATGGTTTATGATTCAGATAGACTTAATTGATGTAAATATATTTTTAGTAGCTGAGCTATCCAGCCTCCAAGACATCAATGGTCCTGCTTCTTGGTATACACACCCTTGTATAGTCCAATACCATATTGTACCAGTGCTGGTTGTTTGACCAATAATAGATAGCAGAAGGGATGTTATGTCTTTGCCAATATTAGGTTATAAAAGGCATTGTGGCTTCAGTCTTGGTTGTTCTCTCAGATAACACATATAGAAGGAAACCATCTACAACTTGGGAATCAGTCCTATGGAAAGGCTCCCATATCAAGAAAGAGAGGTATTTTGACAAAAGCCCAAGTGACGGGTTAGCAAAGTCTTGGATGACTGTTGCCCCAGCTAGTTTAATGGCAACCTCATTAAAGATCCTGAACCAGAACCAACCAGGTCAACTCCCAGGTTTCTAATCCTCAGTAAATATGTAAGACAAATGTTTGATATCGTCACCAACTAAGTTTCGGGGTGATTTGTTACACAGCAAGAGACAACAAATACATTAATGCTATGGGTTAAACATCTTGCTGTTTGAGAATGTTATAAATATATCATCCAGAGTTCCACTTATGATAGATGCTATTTATTGTATAATTATGTACAATGTTCCAGATACTTTGTACAAATTATATGTACAACGTTCATAATACTGTGTATAGTGTTCCTGATACTTTACCTACTGGTTTTCAATTATCTTTGCAAAATTATTTTTATTAACTTTTCATTTCTCTTTTACTGAAGCCAATACAAATGATTTATTTTAATTGAGGAAAAATTTTTATATACAGTATGTAGCCTTTTATGCTTAATCCAAATGAATTTAACACTGCTCTGAACTCTGTAAATTTCAACTCCACTGCACATTCACACGGTTGCAACATTAACACATAGAATTCCAGGTTAGTTCCTCCTCCCTCCTTCCCTTTCTTTTCTTATTTCTTCAACAAATTCTTAATGAATTTCTATTATGCACAAGACATTGTACTGGGTGCTGAGCATAAACAGTAAAATATAGAGCAAAATCTGTAGTGAGGGAGCAGGCAATATATAACACAAAAAAAGGAAATAGTGTGCTAAATAGTGGTAAGTGTTAAGAAAAAAAATAAAGCAGATAAGGGGGAGAAAATAAAGATAGAAGATAGTTTAATATTTAAGATAGGGGAATTTTTGAAGGAAACTATTCAAATTCCACAGTAGTGAGAAGGTAGAATTTGAATAAGACCTGAAGGAAGAGAGGCAGGGAGTGAGTTTATAGACGTGGGAGACGTGCTTCTTAGCAACGGGAATACCATCTGCAGTGGCTATGAATGGGAAAGGGAAATGGTTATATCTGAGAAACACTCACTAGCAGCACAAGGGTAGAGATAATTAGGGGAAGATCTCTAAGAAGTCATATAAGAAAGACAGTTCAGGCCAGATAATGCAGGACTTGGAAGAAGAAATTTGACACAGTAAGGACTGAATTTTTATTAGAACAAAATGTGGAGCCATTTGGAAGTTATTGAGGAAAGAAATGACACAGGACAAGTCTTATCTTTTAAAAAAATTACTTTGGCAATTGTGTTAGAAATAGAATCAAAGAAAGAGGCAAATGATGAAGCAGGAAGAATAATTTAAAAGCAATTATAATAGTTCAGTGGATAGGTGATGATGACCTATATCACTGTATTGTAATACCACTGTTTTGAGTATTTTTGCATCTGTGGTTATGAAGATATTGATTTATAGTTCTCTTGTTATGGTATTATTTTATAATGGCATGTGCTTTATGATTTCCCATAACACCTATATTTTCTTAACACCATCTATTTTCAAACAATATACCAATTCAACACTTACCTCATCAGATGCATTATACTATTATTGATATACATTAACACACACCCAAATATATGTTAACATTAAATATATTTGTATGTATTTTATACATGTAAAATAATCCTCACAATATGTTATTACTGTTAAACAGTTCATTATCTTTCTAAAAATGGAAGAAGTTACTCATATTTTTTCATGTACTTATCATTTGGGGCACTCTTATGTAGATCTATGTTTCTGTGACTATTTTCCTTCACTCTGCAAAATTTATTTTTACTTCCTAGTATGCAATTTTATTTCAAGTCTTTCTATTTGATTTCATAGGTACACTGGCGATAAATAGCTTCAGTTTTTTTTTCACTGAAGAGATCTTTATTACACCTTCAATTTTCATGGATTTTTTTTTAAGATTAGAATTTGAGAGTGACAAATTTATTATTTTCTTTCAGTCCCTTAAAATGTAATGCCATTTTCTTCTGACTTGCATTGTTTACAATAGGAAGTCTGCAGTCTCTATTATATTTGTTTCCTTGTATGCATTGTAATTATTTTTACTCTGAGTATCTTTATGATTTTCCATTTATGACTGTTCTTCAACAATTTGATTATTAAGAACATTGTCATATCTTTCTTTGTTGTTACCACTTGAGGTTACTTGACTGGTTTGGGTTTCTGGGTTGACATTTTTCATCAATTTCAGAAAATTTTTATTATTTTTACAAGTATATTTTTCTGTGCCCCCTTCTGAAACTCCAGTATCATATATGGTAGGACAACTTGACACTTTCCATATATCACTGAGACTCTTTATATTTATTCTCAGTTTTTTTTTTCATTTTATGCATCAATGTGTATATTTTCACTATCTTTTTTTTCAAAATTAAGTTTTTTGTTTGCTTATTTAGGATTTTGATATTTTTGGTAGTATATTATCTGTTTAGTGAAGTTTTTATTTTAGATATTGTATTACTCAATTATAGAAATTCCATGTCTTCTTAATCATATTTTTCCTCATTATTTTCTTTTAAATTTGTGAATGTATTTATGATAGCTGTTTTAAGGTCCTTTATAGTAATTTTATTATCTTTGTAATCTCTGATTCTGCTTCTATAGATTGATTCTTCTCCTGGTCATAGGCCATATTATTCTGCTCTTTACTTCTCATAATTTTTATTGGATGTTGGCTATTGTGAAGTATTTAGATTTTCTGTGCTCCTTAAAAGAGTGTTGATTTATGTTCTGATCAGCAATTATTTTATCTTGGAATCATCTTGATCCATAACTAGTGATGGTTTTAAATTGTGTTGTGATAGGTCTAGTGAAAACTTTACTCTAGGGCTAGTTTAGCTCTCTATAAAAAGAGGCACTTTCTGGGTCTTGACTGAATACCCTGAGTATTTAGTGAGGTCTCTTCACTCTGGCTGTTTAGAATTATTACATGTTCTAACCCTCTTTGATCTCAGCAAGTTTTTCAGATTATATTTTTTTTAGCAATTGGTATTTGTTTGGGCTTATAGATTACACTCCTGGCACTGCTCTACAGATCAATGGAGAATTTTCCTGAGTAGTTCCTTCTTAAGCCAGGACTCCTGAAAAATTTCAGCTTCCTCAGTCTTCCCAAACTACTATCTCTGCTTCATCAGCTCGGTGCGGCTCACATTGCTATTCTAATATTTCCCCTTGCTTCATTGTGTTCTAGAAATTCCCTTCAGGACAAGATTCTGTGCAAACATAAAGATGATATATTTGTTTCCTTTTTTATAAGTGTTGCTGAATTCCATTTTCTGACAAATAGTTATGGCATATATTTTGTCCCATTTTCCAATGTTCTACACAACAGAGCCTAATCTGATGCCAGTATCACTGTTGTGGTCAGAGGCATGTGTCTCTGGATTCATTCTGAAGAGAGAACTGAAATGATTTGCTCATGGATTAGACAAAGAGTAGCAACAATAACCCTAAGACTTTTACTTTGTGTACTTAGAATGATAAAGCTGCCATGAAGGGGACAGGGATCACTGTGGGAGAGGAAGGCTTTTTATGATTTTATGTTGGTGAATGGTATAAATACCCAGAAATGTACTAATATGGGTTGGCTATGTCCCCACCCAAATCTCATCTTGATCTGTAGCTCCCATAATACCCATATGATGTGGAAGGGACCCAGTAGTAGGTAATTGAATCATGGTGGTGGGTCTTCCCTGTGGTATTCTTGTGATGGTGACCAAGTCTCATGAGATCTTATGGTTTTATAAAGGGGAGTTTCCCTGTAAATGCTGTCTTGCCTGCTGCCATGCAGGATGTGTCTTGCTGCCCCTTCACCTTCTGCCATGATTATAAGTCCTCCCAAGTCATGTGGAACTGTGAGTCTATTAAACCTTTTTCTTTTATAAATTACCCAGTCTTGTGTATGTCTATTAGCCAAGTGAGAACAGACTAATATAGTGAATTGGTATCAGGTAGTGGGGCACTGCTGTAAAGATATCCACAAACGTGAAAGAGATTTTGGAACTTGGTAACAGGCAGAGGTTGGAATAGTTTGGAGGGCTCAGAAGAAAACAAGATTATGTGGGAAAATTTGGAACTTCATAGAGACTTGGAGGTCTAAGAAGACAGGAAGATGTGTGAAAGTTTGGAGCTTCATAGAGACTTGCTGAATGGCTTTAAACAAAATGCTGATAGTGATATGGACAACAAAATCCAGGCTGAGGTGGTCTCAGATGGAGATGAAGAACTTATTGGCAACTGGAGCAAAGGTGACTCTTGCTATGTTTTAGCAAAGAGACTGGTGGTATTTTGCCCCTACACTAGAGATTTGTGGAACTTTGTAATTGAGAGAGGTGATTTAGGGCATCTGGTGGAATAAATTTGTAAGCAGCAAAGAGTTCAATATCTGACTTGGGTGCTGTTAAAAGCATTCAGTTGTATGTATTCACAAAGATATGGTTTGGAATTGGAACTTATGTTTAAAAGGGAAGCAGAGCAAAAAGTTTGAAAAATTTGCAGCCTGACAATGCGATAAAAAAAAATCCAATTTTCTAAGGAGAAATTCAAGCTGGCTGCAGAAATTTGAATAAGTAATGAGGAGCCAAATGTTAATCACCAAGACAATGGGAAAAATGTGTCCAGGGAAAGTCAGAGGTCTTCATGGCTACCCTCCTATCACAAAACAGGAGGCCTAGGAGGGAAAAATGGTTTTCTTGACTGGGCCCATGGCCTGGTGGCTTTGTGCAGTCTTGGGACTTTGTGCTCTGCATCCCAGCCATGGCTAAAAGAGGTCAACATAGAGCTCAGGCTGCTGCTTTAGAAGGTGCAAGCCCCAGGCCTTGGTGACTTACACATGATGCTGGACATGTGGGTGCATAGAAGTCAAGAATTGAAGTTTGGGAACCTCCACCTATGTTTCTGAGGATGTACGGATATGCCTGGATATCCAGGCAGAGGTGTAGGGCAGAGGCAGAGCCCTCATGGTGAACCTCTGCTAGGGCAGTGCAGAAGGGAAATGTGGAGTTTGAGCCCCCACACAAAGTCCCCACTGGAGCACTGCCTAGTGGAGCTGTGAGAAGAGGGCCACCATCCTCCAGACCCCAGAATGGTAGATCCACTGACAGCTTGTACCACGCACCTTGAAAAGCCACAGACACTCAACATCAGCCTGTAAAAGCAGACAGGAGGAGGTGAATTCTGTAAAGCCACAGGAGAAGAGCTATCCAAGGCTGTGGGAGCCCATCTCTTGCATCAATGTGATCTGGATGTGAGAGATGGAATCAAAGGAGACCATTTTGAAACTATAAGGTTTAATGACTGCCCTACTGGATTTTGGACTTGCATGAGGGTGGTAGCCCCTTCATTTTGGCCAATTGCTTCCATTTGGACCAGGTGTATTTACTCAATGCCTGTACCCTCCTTTTATCTAGGAAATAACTAACTTGCTTTTGATTTTACAGGCTTATAGGTGGAAGGGACTTGCCTTATCTCAGATGAGACTCTGGACTATGGACTTTTGAGTTAATGCTGGAATGAGTTAAAACTTTGGGGAACTGTTGGGAAGGGATGATTGGTTTTAAAATGTGAGGATATGAGATTTGGGAGGGTCCAGAGGCAGAGTGATATGGTTTGGCTCTGATCCCACCCAAATCAATATTTGCTCCCATAATTCCCATCTGTTATGGGAGGAACCTGGTGCTAGGTAATTGAATCATGGGAGTGAGTCTTTATTAGCAGCATGAGAGCAGACTAATACATGTACTTGTAAATGCCTTAGGCTTGAGATATCTGCCAGAATTATTAGAGATATACTGTGTTTGGAGTTAGATGTATAATTTTAAATTTCAGGAAAGTAATTCAGGATAGTGATTTAAACTGGGGAGTTGTCAGTGTACAGAATATATATAAGTCTTGAGACTAGGTAATATTCCTCTAAAGATCAAATATATATAATAAAAGAGATGACAAGCAAACCTCCAACCATGGACCTATTTAGGATCACTTTAATGGAAAATGAATTATTATTAGTTGAATTATTTGTGATAAAAATTATTTATTATACTCTAGGTTTTGTGCTAGTTAGTTAGTGGTACATAGAGTGGAGGCTTTTTGTTTATCCATGTACATGGAACACCAACACAGTAATAGTGAAAAAAAAATTGTGAGAGAAAAGACTGGAAAAGATTGAAAATATTTAAGTAGATATTATTGAGGATTTGAGCTCAAATATATTATTCTTCTGACATACAAGATAATAAGTCCCTGGAGGACAAGAATATTTTGTTAAATTTTATTTATGTATTTATATATTTATTTATTTTGCATGCTCTGTGATTAGTTTGGTGTAGTAAGACCTAACTTCTATTGGACACATGGCATGAGCTAGGTGCTTATTTTAAGTACTTTACTGAACCTTATTTTGTTTCACCAAGAGGACACTGATTATGAGTTGTACCATTATTAGTGAGCAACTAAGAAAAATAAAATAAACTACAAATTAAACTCTAACACACCATCAAATCTATGATGAATCTCAAAATTTAAAATGTTTGTAAGTGAAAAAATGCATCATAGAATATATATACAATTATACATATAATTGCATGTGTATATCTCTATATAATATCTATCTATCTATCTATCTATCTATCTATCTATCTATCTATTGGAGTCTTGAACCTTTGCTAACTCTATGGAAGAAAGGGAAAAAGTAAAGGTAGAGAAAGAGAAATGTACAAGGCAAAATACAAATGCATTTAGAACAGTGCCTGTTCTAAACAATGTGTAAATCAAAATTTACACATTGATTGAGCAAATACATTGTTCATCCTTTTATTTCTTTTTAAATAAGAACTTATGAGAGACGTCCTGAAAAAGTTTTAGGTGGGACTAGTTCAGTTTTGGCCTTAATAAAATGTAATTCTTGGACTATAGCAAGAAAAATAAGTTAATTTCATTGCATTTGGTTCCATATTGGATTGAAGCTACTTCATACTGTGGATAATATTACTTTTAAGCCACGGATTAAAGTGATTTTTTGTTTGTTCCATACCAATCTAATGTTAACATTTTAATAATTGAATTTGAAATAATTGAATTTGAATTTAATATATTGAATTTGTTGTTTTTGTTTACTGAAGCAATACTGGTTATATCACAAGACTATAAATCACTTAGGCGATAATAAAGATGCTTCTATAGTATCATACAAATATAATTTCAGCATTATCTGTGGATTTCATGAGAATAAATGTCATTTAAATATTTATTTATAATAGTTTATATGTAATCATTGAAAGAATTATATTTTATATACATTTCCTTGTATTGAATTTCTATATTTTGCTTTTTAGTTCTACTCCTAAGTATAGCAGACTACTAAAGGCCTAGACTTTTAAATGAACCAAAATATTGTAACTCTTTTCTCATTAAACATTTTCATCAAACATTAGATAGAAAATTAGAAAACATTTTTTGAGTTGATAACTTAAAATTCTGTTATTTTATAAAACTTGTATAATCTATGTCAGAAGTCAAGTAATATCTCCCTAAAATAGTAAGAATCATTCAGCAATTATTGCTTTTTAATTTGTAAATGTAAATAAGTATCAACATTTTTGAAAAATATATATCATAAATAAATCATCTTAGCTATATCAATTTGCGCATTTCACTAGAATAAAACTAGCCAACATAACATATGAAAAGAGCCTGAACACATGATAATAAAATTCAAAGGCCATTATCAAGGAAATGTTGACACTCAAGCAGTCAGTCTTTTCTCAAAGTTTCAAGTTACCATACATAGCGGTTATCCTGAGTTCACACAGGAATAGTGAGCCATTGGGCAGAGTATACCTTCAGGTAATATAAAAAATACAGTTAGATTCTTTTGTTTTGATCAAAACCTCCAAGGCAATGTACAGATGACTTCATAACATAGTACAGTAGTTCCATAATTGCTACATTTACCAAGTTATCATAAGATATAATTTGTATTAAAATCCTTATAAAACATACTTCCTATTAATCTGCAGAAAATATACAGAGAAATTGGCAACTAATTTTTCCAGATAATGAGATAAGGTAATGTTTGGCAAGAACATTATTAAATTTGGGTAACTTGCATTTTTTTCTTTTTAATCATGCACTTGTATTATTTCATAACAAAATAACACAAATATTTATGGACAAATAAATGAAATGAGAATAGTAAGGTATGTATTACTGATTTTAAAATTGGAAAAAATACTTGGCCAAACAGAGCATAAAACAGACATTCAAAAATTTACTGATTAATTCAACTACTGGGAACATAAAGCTTTAAAGTTCTGAAACATCACAAGAAATCAATAAATTAATCAGTAAACAAACAAGTAAGAAGCAGAGGTCAAACTAGAAGAAATATTCAACTTAAACATGTTGAAACACATACTTGGTGAAGCATTAATGATCATAATACATATAGTTTATATTAATATGTAACAAATGCTAAATTCTACTTAATATGAGAAGATGCATAAGAGACAATGTGGAGAACAAACAAAGCTGGCCTATTAACTAAGAAATGTATAATAATTAATAAATAAAAATGAAGGTACATTTTAAAAAAGATTTTACCTATCACATTTGCAAAGAGACATGCATCTTGAAATATATTTTAGTTTTCAGGCATAAATTATTTTCAAGCATAATAAATTAGTACTATTTTTGCAAAATATTTTTGAGTACTGTTTCAGATTTTTGTGTGTGCCATAGAGTGTGACACAACATTTACATTTTCAAGAATCTATCTTAAAAATTTATAAAAACAACAAATGTATTTTATATGTTTATATCAGTATGAATTGTATCAATAAGAAATTAGTAGTCCAAATCTCAGAGAAAAAATTTAAAAGATCACTAAAAATGAAAATATATAAATATTTAACTTTCTTTTTTCTTGGATGGTGGTGAAATTACAGGTTCTTTGCTTTAATGCTTACTTATCCCAATATCCATTCTGTTTTTCTTTCCTTAAATAACAGAACAGTGACAATTTTACCTGGGTACCTGACCACCTAGTTAGAGACAGTATTAGCAAGCATCCTTTGCAATTGAAACTTGTCATGTGACTAACTTCTGTCCAATAGGATGTGAGCAGAAATGATGTTTGAACTGTCTAATGATTATTTTAAATAGAAAATGATCTCCATTTAAGTCTGCTTTCTAACATTCAATGGGACTTTTCAGATGTGGCATGATGAGATTAACATCCTAAGGGATGAAGAAGCAAAAGTATAAAAGATAATCCTCTTCTTTCACATCACCTTGTATTACATAATTTTTGGAAGAGAATGATACTATCTTGTTTAAGCCACTGCTGTCTGTTCTAAATTTAAAAGTGTAGCTAATATCTCATCTGATTTAATAGGTTTCTGTATTTTAAAAATAATGTACAAGGAATATGTATGTGGAAACACAAGTTGAATTTTATTTTTAAAGGAGAAAGAAACCAAATCTAAAAATGGACAGAATTCATTTAACAAGCATTTTACAACTAAAAGCTGATGGTCATAACTTTTAAATTTTGGGGAACCTAAAATAATTTTTAAAGGCTTGTCATTAAAATGTATTATTCTATTTGTAAATAATATTCATAGAATGTCAACTTTAAATAAAAAGTTGCCTCATCTATTAATATATAGGTGAATATCACAGAATTGACTGACAGGAAGAAATTTATCATGGTAAAATTCAGGTTCTAGGGATAGAGTACCTGAGTTTCTGTCTTGGTAAAATTACTTAGGCAAGAGTCTTCTTCTGTGCAAGCTTCGTTTATTTACATCACATGTAAAATGAGCATAATAATCCAATCTAATTCATTGAGTTGGATGAGGATTACAAAGAATTTATTATGGTAACTGGCCCAGTTTGACTTCCATAAAAATTAGTTTTTATTATGAGAATGCTAATTTATAGATGGATATTAAGACTAAATAACAAACTTGGAAATGTATATGAAGGCTACTCTCAGTGGGATTCAAGGTTAAAAAGTTAATGTGGAGTAATTGAAAAAGACTAGGTGGTAGTTAATAAATTTTCACTTATCAAGTTAGCCAGTAATTTAAAGTTTTAGAGTGCCTTGGAACAAAGCTATAATAAGTGCATATTTTAAAATATTGAGCCATGTCAAACTTCACTTAACATGTGTATTTAAAATTTATTGTGCTGTGACACTTATTGGCACATTTAATTAATATCCTATAATGATGCTATGAGGCAAAGTTTTATAGAACAAGTGTTTTATAGACAGTATTCATACTCAATAGAGAATATTTTATTTGTAGTGATATTCAGTATCAAGACTTATTAATAAATTATTGATAAATTTAAATGTAGCAGATCTCTGATCTCTGGATTGTCACTGCATTCTTATAGAATGTCTTGCAGAGTAAGAAGATGCAGAAAATTAGATTCATAATTTTTCTTTTATATTATTTTATGGAAAGGTATATAATTTGTTTTACAAATAAGGGCAGGTAAAGGTGGGATAAAGTAGAATGGATGAGTAAATACAATTGGCATAAATTTAAGGTGTTTTATCATTATACATTGCCCTAAGACCAAGGTGTGAAGGTAACTATTAATACAATTTATTAAAAACCATAGGGTAGATACATTATAGAGAAAGTCTAGAGTAAAGATTATATGGTGAGTATGGGTAATTTATTTTTTTTCTTTAAGTGTTAATGATTATAATATCCATTTTCTCTTCCTTTTAGTAATAGAACATCATGCATTAATATTTCAAAGTAATTTTCTCTTTAGTGATAAAGAGTGATATCTTTAGTGATAGGGAAGTGTTGGTAAAATGAATGAGTATAGGGTGAAGATAATTGTTCTTGTCACCATGCATGCTACTCCTGAAATATGCAACAGAGAATACTTTACAATTAACTCATAGTATATTGATAGAATTTCCACAAATTCTAGTTTCGGCTGTAAAAACTGAGGCTTAGAAACGTTCATGTCCAAAATCCAACGTTTTTAAACGGCTGTGCTGGGATTGAATCCCAGGACTTTCTAGTTCATGTGTGTAATTTCCTACTAAATACTTGGAAAAATATACACGTTAAATTAGCATGGCTTCAGAATAATAATCAATGAGTCCAATAAATACTACTGAGTTTTAGTTTTTAATTCTGATTTTACCTTTCAGATATTTTACCTAGTTACAACATTTCATAATTTCTTTTGCAGTTTGATATGGTCATATGACTGTGTCTACACTAATGGCATAAGAACGCAAGCAATATGTGCAACTTTTGGTTTATCTCATTGTATTCGATTCTTTCATCAAACAAAAGGTTAGAATACAGATTTAATAGTGCTTTATTTTGGACCATGAGGACCAGGACAAGATCTTGGGGATGGTAAATGCATAAGAAGAGGGAAAGTGCTTTAGTTCTGGAAGAACATTCTAGATCTCAGCCAACATAACTTGGAGATATGAGAAAGACAAGTAAGCATCTATCTTATTTCAGCCACTGAATGCCCCATTCTCATTATTACTACATGCATTTCCATATATATCCTATATGCTAACTAATGTAGAAGCAAGAAACCAGAACAGAAAGAAGGATACAACTTTAATTCAAGCAAGAGATCAGAATTCAATTCATGTAAATCAAGAGAAGTAGGTGGCAAATAGAAGGTAGATAAAGAATTTGAGAAGGAAATGAACTGAAGATGTCTATGAGAACTGAAGACCGGCGACACATGTTGCTTATAAACACAAAGAGCCCACCTTGGGCTACAGGTACGAAGAGGAAATAGAGAACCATAGGAGATTTACTCCTTTTCAGTTAGCTCAGAGAAATTAGGATGAAGATGAGGAAAATAATAATTGAGAAAGTTTTTTCCTCTTAGAAAGATAAGCAAATGGATGAGAATCAGCTTGGCTAAATATCAGCCAAGTGCAGGGGAAAGAATTGATGCCTATGTAAACATGAAGAATTCTTCACAAATCTATTCATTCAGGAACTTATTTATTCAAAAAACTTTTGTTTTGGAGTTTTTTTTTAAATTTTGGTTTGTTTATTTGTTTGTTTGTTTTTAGAGGTAGGGTCTCACTCTCTTGCCCAGGCTGGAGTGCAGTAGCACAAACATAACTCATTGTAAACTCCTCCTCCCAAGTTCAAGTGATCCTCACACCTCAGCCTCCTAAGTAGTTGGGATTACAGTTGCACACCACCATGCCTGGATAATTTTTTATTTTTTGTAGAGACAGAGATCTCACTATGCTGCCTAGGCTTGCCTTGAAGTCCTAGACTCAAGCGATCCTCCCACATCAGTCACCCAAATTGCTGGGAATACAGATATGAGCCACTGTGCCAGCCTCAAAGGCTTAAGTAGTATGGCCTCAGGTTACATTGTCTCACCTGAATTACAAAATAGTTTCGAACCTCAGTTTTAGCACATAAAAAAAGAGTGGTTTTAAGAATTTGATAAAATCCTATAGAAAGTAGATGACAAAAAAACGCTGTGATTATTTTTGTTGATACCTTTGCTACAGAAAATGAGGTAGCTAATTCTCTGCAGTATCTGACATTTTCAAAGTGGAATGTGATAGTTTATCTGTGCTTTGAAAGATAAGTAGATATCTTTCAAGAAGAGAGCAGGATAGGACTTCCAAATTGAAGAAAGATTATACTTAAAGGCAGGAAGCCATATAAGAACACCATATATAATGGAAATAAATAGAGATTTACTAAGTTTGGAACATAGGTGACAAAATAAGAAATAATCAAATAGGCTGATATAAAAAATTTCTAAAAACCATTGATTAACAATTACAGATATTACACATAATTGTATACATTTTTAAAAGCAGTTTTTTTAAAAAAAAGATTGACATAAAAGATGTTTTATTCAAAGAAATTCAAGATTCTGTACATCAGGAAAAACAGAAAAGAGTGAGACCAGCTATTGAGAAATTAAACAAAAGGCTGTTGCAAGTGATTAGGCAAGAGAAAATGTCTAAGTTAAATCAGCGAAAGTAGATGTACATAAAATACGGCATTCTAGTAACTAGAATCACAAATTTAGAAACTGGGGAAGGAACAGGTTTGTGGAAGAGAAGTGAGTTGAAGTTTTATAGTGACAAGATTTTGGTAAGAGTTTAGAGGAAAATGTGTGTCTCAGGTATATATCCTTAAAATAAAATACTGCATTTGTGAGTAACATAAGTTTCTCTCGTATTTGTGTTATATTGACCATCTCATATATTTGTATACCTCTTCAGAAGGAGTTTGTGTATGGAACAGCTGCTCACTCTCAAGAGAGTATTTTGATGTCAGTGGAAAGAGCTCATTACATTAAAAATGAATAGCTCAGGCAGTGTGCTCAATGCTAGGGATAGAACTAGAAACAAATTGGATATGGTCCCTGCATTCATGAAGCTGAGAGTCTTAGAGGGAAATAGACTAAGAGAAATTTCTGTCAAGGTACAATCATAACCTATGGTGGGAAGAACTGGAAGGTGAAGCCTTTGCGTGGTAAGTGGGATCATATAACTATTTTGTTCAGTTGTGCTCTCTTTATAACATTCCTTGCTATGTATTCACAATTACATTTTATTTGGGAAAATTAAAATTCAGAGAATGCAAAGTTACAAACAGATAGTCTGTAATTCAATCCTCAGTCTTTCCAGTTAGAAAAAAATATAAGATCAGGAAGCTACTGACATCATTATGAAAAAAAAGTTCCCTAAATAAACCCAGATATGCCCCTTCTAATTGACCTCTCTCTGATGGAAGTGAAGTGAGTACCTTCCAATACAAAAGACTGGTACCCAGGAAGAACAGGAGAAAGAAAAGAGCCACTCATCAAATTTAGAAAGGCTTGATGGAGCAGCAGTGAGAGTAGAAAGAAGAAAAAGACTGGCATTTTGGGAGTCCATTTGCTTTGAAAACCTTTTTTTTTTCAATCCACAGTGGCCTAGTCCTGAGAATTTCCAAAGCAGTTCAGTCTAATACCAAGTTAACATTCTATATAAAATCCTAAAATCAATATGACATAAGTAAATGTTAACTAAGAAAGAAAACAAAACTTGTTCACTTAATCCATACATTAATAAAAATAATTATTTATAGAAAGAAGGAGAGACCAAGGGTGAATAAGTAAGGGTAGAATGGAATCCTGCCAGAATACACTTTGTGACAGTCTTGGTTTAGAAAACATACAAATGTTTCACATATTTACAAAGAAAATTTAAATTTACAGAAGCAAACTCCTCCCAAAATTGAAAAGAAATATAACAAATAAACCTAACTATATATAAGGTAGTGACATAGCCACATAGAGGAATAAATTACTTTAAGTGAGTTTACAGTAAATTAGAAGCCCAAAGAAATATAAATATTATTTGGGAGTCTAAGTGTTGGAGTAAAATTAGTATTACTCTTTTAAATTAACTGATTATTTAGAATAATGCAAATGAGTAAATATGTTAATGCTCTTATGGACCAATATTTTCAATTCAAAGAAATAAGATCAAGATCAAATAAGCGTACCTTAAATCCCATAATATTCAATTGATTTAAAAATACTATTATGGACCGGGTGCGGTGACTCACGCCTGTAATCCCAGCACTTTGGGAGGCCAAAGCAGGCGGATCACGAGGTCAGGAGATCGAGACCATCCCGGCTAACACGGTGAAAACCCGTCTCTACTAAAAATACACACACACAAAAATTAGCTGGGTGTAGTGGCAGACGCCTGTAGTCCCAGCTACTCCAGACACTGAGACAGGAGAATGGCGTAAACCAGGGAGGCAGAGCTTGCAGTGAGCCGAAATCGCGCCACTGCACTCCAGCCTGGGCGACAGAGCGAGACTCCGTCTCAAAAAATAAAATAAAAATAAAATAAAAATAGTATTATGGACTCGTAAGTCTTCTTTACAAAAATACATATTTGTATATGAAAAAAACCCTATAAAATATTCATGTCATGAAAAGCCTTCTAAAAGAGTATGGAACTGATGCAGATGAGGTAAGAATTCAGAGATGTAATAAAAGCACCCATTAAATTCTAGAGTATTTATTTTAAATCCAATATTTAGAAATGCTTAGGCAAGTTTACTTTAAATTTTAGAGAAAATTGTCAAAAATGACAATTAACAAAAGAGTAGATACCTTTTTCCCAAATTGAATCAGCAAAATATTGCTTAAGCTATTAATTGAAAATACATTTTTAAGTCAAATTAGATTTTGATAAGTATAAAGCAGTCTGTAACTATGTTAAAAGTCAGTTCTTTTGAAATTCTCTAATAAGTTTTATTGAGTAATGTTTGCAGAGGTGGGCGATGTGTGTGAGCAAGAGCAAATTCATAAAAAGGAAATAAAAATGGAGTTAAGTATCTAAGATTTGTTTTTAATTGATTTTTAGGGTTTCTGGGTTGGTTTTTGTTGTTCTTTTCTGAAATAATAAATGTGTTAATTTTTCTTTTCTTAGAAATAAGGAAGTCAGTCTTTTAAAAAGATCTACTTATATGGTGTCATGTTGATGCTATTATAATACCACGGACATACTGATAGATTTATTTAGCATTGTTTAGAAGAAATCTGAGGTCCACACTATTAAAACTTTTTTTTATTTTTAGGATAAAAAATGTTAGATTGCAGGCACAAAAATCTAATGTTTAAATAATTGATGTATTTATTAATGTACTGCTTATGTAACAATTGAAAACCTCAGAACTACAGAGTAATATTTAAGCTCAACTGGAAGCCTGTGAACATCAGAGTTCCACGCCGATTCAAGGATTCCTGACAGATTTTTATTTATTTTTAATAGAGTAGCAAAAACATTTAACAGAACTCAGGGTGATTTTCAGTATGTCTCTCACACAACGTTAGTACTTCATGAGAACTGCAGGCATCTGTGAGGCAATCATTTTGCTTTCACTTTTTTCCCAATTCACTTTGTCTAAAATGACTTGACACAATGTAAATTTACTTTATTACACTTACAAATATAAAAAGAATGGTCCCTCTTATTTTACGAAATAGTTTCCCCTTTCCCATATATCTTTCCAAACTGACAAAAAGAATGCATATTAGAGTCAGTGTTAATCTCACATTCCTCTAAACTTTCATTCAGGTAA
This sequence comes from Homo sapiens, assembly GCF_000001405.40. Taxonomy (NCBI): domain Eukaryota; kingdom Metazoa; phylum Chordata; class Mammalia; order Primates; family Hominidae; genus Homo; species Homo sapiens. The sequence continues at coordinate 66,540,167 of NC_000004.12, forward strand.
ACACATAAATCTGCATATTGTAGTTACTACAAATCTGTAAAGGTTAATTTAGACATAATTTTTAACATATCATTTGCTAGACATGAAAAGCAATGCAATGATCATTTTGATTCCATTTATGCTCTCTCTCTCCAGAAATCTCCTATCAAAATTTTTTCAGATTCTGTGATCTGTATATAATTTTTTAAAGGTTTCTATTTGTCTTCCCAGTACCATCTTCCATCAATGTAGTATGTTTCAATAATATTGACTTTTTTCTTATTTTACAAAAAGTGTTTAGTAAAAGTTAATGAAAATTTAAGATATCTTAAAATAAACTATTTGAAAAAATGTTTATCCTTTTGTTACACGTATTATTTTGAGGCTTTCATAATGCATAGTGCTATATTTTCAATCTGTTAAAGCAGTGTGTACTTTATGGTTAAAATACTTTACGTAATTTGTGTTCCTATATTACTAGTATCTTTGGTAAATTATTAATTAATCTCTGCCTTTCTTTAAATTAATGTTTTGAAAATACTAATTCTATATAAAAAAATTCCCCTTAAGTCTGTTCGTTTTTAGAATACATATCAATTTTTATGTTAAGGTTTTGAAACAAACATGTTTCTATCTGACATTTGTTATATAAAACATTAAGAAAATAAATGATAATTGTGGGCTACATGTGGTGGTCCATGCCTGTATTCCCAGCAATTTAGGAAACCGAGGAGGTAGTGTCGCTTGAGCCCAGGAGTGCAAGACCAGCCTGGACAACATGGTGACCCCCTGTCTCTCTAAAAAAGTCAAAAAATTAGTCGGGTGTGATGGTGTGCACCTGTGGTCCCAGCTACTTGGGAGGCTCAGGCGGGAGGGTCGCTTGAGCTAAGGAGATCAAGGCTGCAGTGAGCCATGTTCCTGCCCTTGCACTCCAGCCTGAGCAACAAAGCAAGAATCTATCCCAAAAAATATATATATTATATACATAGTTGATATTTTTCTTACAGCTAAAAAAAAACTTTTATGAGTTACCTAAGAAAACACAAAATTGAGTGATAAGACTTCAACTTTTTAGTATTATACCAGAAATTAATTTTAATACCACAGAAGTCACAATTTTCCAAGTTCTCCATTTTCACAGATAAAAAATTAGAGTTTGAATAGAAGATAGCTAAGTCCTTGAGAGTTTTAAATTTTTAAAAATTATTTTGTTAATATTACCTACCTATACTATACTAAGTGAATATTACAAAATTGGACATTAATTTAAATATTACTATATTTGCACAACTTATTTGCCTACTGTTCAGGCTTCTGTCATGGTTACTCTACCAAGAGCTCAAAACAAAATGCTTCTGGTTTTTATTCAGGTATCAAAAAGTGTTATTTTTTATAATATCGTTATTTCCTTTTAGAAAACTGAATATTACTATCTATTTTATCTACTTGTTTAAAAATTATGTTTGAGAATGTGGCTGGGAAATTTCTGTATGTTTTTAAGGACTGATCATTAGGAAAATATTAAAATATTAATCGCATTTAAAGAAATATAGAATATATGTAATATTTTATAACTTTTTTATAGCATTACAACTATTTTTGTGCATTCTTTTTCTCCTCTGAGAAAGAGTAAACATGTCTAATTCTTTTCTTCAGATACCATAGCACTCACGGCGAGCACTAAATGTACACTTAAACAATAACATAATTAATTTGGTATTGCTTGTTTCTCTTGCAGGGTAAGTTAAAAGAAAGGAAGGAAGGAAGAATAGAAGGAAGGAAGGAAAGAAGGAAGCTTCTTTCTATATCTTAAAACTTTCCTTTTTTTAAATTCAATTGTTTCCGAACTGGGAAAACAAAATAAAATGAAACAAAATATATCCTCCCTCAATATACTGCTCTCCATTCTAATTCCAGTTCAGACTCTTCTTTACTGGGCATTAGCCCTGAACCTGCCAAAGTTCAAGACTTGCAGAGGCTAACAAGGCTATGTCCAAGAATCACATCACTTCACCAGGCCTAAAGGAGAAGAAGCAGACTCTGGAATCAAAGGGGAAGATAAGAGGTGCAGGCACTTCCTCCATCACTCGCCACTTTATTTATTGCATCCATGCCTCAAGGGATGCATTTAAAATTTAGTTCTATCATCCCCTTTGGGAAGGATAGTTAGAGATTGAGGAAAATAATGTTCTTCCACAAAGCTCTAGATCAGTGGTTTTCAACCTTGGTTTCACTTGTAACCACCTGGGGAATGTTAAGCAAATACCATCTCCCAATCCCCTCACACAGAAAATATGAGAAAATTAGTCTGGGAGGGACACCAGTATTCATATATGTAGTCTTTTTGACAATTACTGTCTAACTTGGGAGCTCTCTGGAACAGTTTTCAAAAATATGATAAAATAATCTGAGGACAATTTGAAAGAACCGTAACTGAAACACATTACTTTTATGCTTGCCTTATTCAATATAGTATGTATGGGCATGATTTCAACTTTTTTTTAATGACCCATTACAAATGTTTTGGAATTATCCACATGATCTTGAATGTTTCAAATTTGAGCAGAAATAACTACTGAATCACTGAAAGTGAAATGTGGGTATCTAAGAGATGTTATGTGTGTTTACACAAGTCCTGTCTTGTGTGCAGATTTTATCCAGTAAGAATCTATTTTCACCTCAGATTCCATTTATCAAAAAGAACCTATTATATTCATCCTCATCATTACATTATGGTTAAAAGCAGAATATAAAACATTAGAAAATACAGATTGTGGTGTCAGGAGGCAGAGCAAGTTGATAGAATAGAAGGCTTCACTAATCATTCCCCTAAGAAGGTCACCAATTTAGCAACTATCTACATGTAGTAAAACACCTTCATGAAAACAAAAATCAGATGAGCTCTTATAAAACCTGATGATAACTTTGTATAGCTGAAAGACACACTGAAGAAATAGAAAAACCAGCCTCGGATCACAAATGCCACTGTTCCCCCATGCCCCAGCAGTGTCAACATGGTGCAGAGTGTGTCCCAGAGCACTGGGGGAGGAAGAACACAACAACTGTGAGACATTGAACCCAGTGCTGTCCTGTTAGAGCAGAAAGGAAAACTGGAGGAAACTCAGCTGGCAGCTACCCACAGAGGAAGCATTAAAACCAGTTCTAGCCAGGGGGGAATTGCCAACCGCATGGGTCCAAACTTGAGTTCCTGGCAAATTTCAAAACCAAAGGCTAGAGTGTTCTGGATCTCTAAGTAAACTTGAAGGGAAGTCTAGGTCACAAGGATTGCAACTCTTAAGCAAGTCCTGGTGCTGAAGTGGGCCTGGAAACACTGGACTGGGGAAGCACGTGACTGCTGAGATACCAAGGGGGGTGGCTAAAGGAGTGCTGGCATCAACCATCCCCTAACCCAAGGCTGCAGAGCACATAGCTTCATAGCTTATCCACTTGAGAGGAGAGAAAGTAGTGGGGAAAACTTTGTTCTGCACTTTGGCTCAGCCATAGCAGCATAGGGAACTGGTCAGAGTTATGAGGTGCCCATTACAGGCCTTAGATCCGAGACAACATTTCTAGACACACCCTGGGCCAGAAAGGCACCACTGCCTTGAAAGGAAGGGCCAGTCCCTGGCAGCATCTATCACCTGCTAACTGAAGAGCCCTTATGCCCTAAATAACAAACCTTGATACTCAGGTACTACATCAAGGGTCTCAGGTGAGCCTCCAAAAGTTGCTGGCTTCAGGTACCATCACAGCCACAAGGGCGTAGAGCACCAAGTGGGCACTTGGGGGTCCCTGATTCCAAAATGTGACTCTTAGCATCTCTGGACCTGCCCTGGGCCAAAGGGGAGGCCACCATCCTAAAGGGTTAGTCCTAGGCCAGGCAGCTTTCACCACAAGCTGACTTAAGAGCCCTTGGGCCTTACAGGAACATTGGTGGTAGTCTGGGAGTACTCCCAGTGACTGTGACATATGGGCTCCTCTGCCTTTGAAAAGGGGAGGAAAGATTGGGAAGAACTATGTCTTATGGTTTGAGCAAAGTCTTAGCTGCAGTACAGTAGAGTGCCAGGTTGACTTCTAAGGTTTTCCAGGAGTTGCTGACTCCTGAACAGCACCTCTGTACACACCTGGGGCTTTGGGGACCTCATCACCCCGGAAGACACAGGACTGCCTGGCTTTGCCACCTGCTGACTATAGCGCCCCTGGACATTGAGCAAACATAGGCAGTAGCAAGGAAGTAGCAACAGCAGGCCTTGGAAGAGACCCAGCACTGTGCTAACTTCAAGTCTAACCCAGCACAGTCATAGTGGTGGTGGTCACAGGGTTGTGGAGAAAAAGAAACACTTAGACACTGTTGGTGGCAGTATAAATCAGTTCAACCATTGTGGAAGCTAGTGTGGTGACTTCTCAAAAATCTAAAAACAGAAACATCATTTGACTCAGAAATTCCATTAATGAGTATATACTCAAAGGAATATAAATCATTCTATCATAAAGACACATGCATGCAAATGTTACTTGCAGCACTATTCACAATACCAAAGACATAGAATCAACCTAAATGTCCATTAATTGTAGATTGGATGAAGAATATGTGATTTATACATATCATGAAACACTACATAGCCATAAAAAAAAAAAGAGATCATGTCCTTTGCAGGAACATGGATGGAGCTAGAGGTCATTATCTCTAGCAAACTAACACAGGAACAGAAAACCAAATACCATATGTTCTCACTTATAAGTGAGAGCTAAATGATGAGGACACATGGACATATAGAGGGGAGAAACACACACTGGGGCCTACTGGAGGGTGCAGGGTGGGAGGAAGGAGAGAATCTGGAAAACTACTGGATACTATGTTTAATACCTGGGTGATGAAATAATCTGCACAAAAAAATTCCCATGACACAAGTTTACCAATCTAACAAATCTGAACATGAACAGTTGAACTTAAAAGTAAAATTAAAAATAAATTCAAGCCCAGCGTGAGCAACGCAGAAGACAGGTGATTTCTGCATTTCCAACTGAGGTACCAGGTTCATCTCACTGGGGTGTGCCAGACGGTGGGTGCAGGACAGTGGGTGGAGTGCACCATGCGCGAGCCGAAGCAGGGAGAGGCATCGCCTCACCCGGGAAGTGCAAGGGGTCAGGGAATTCCCTTTCCCAGTCAAAGAAAGGGGTGACAGATGGCACCTGGAAGATCGGGTCACTCCCACCCTAACACTGCGCTTTCCTGATGGGGTTAAAAAATGGCACACCAGGAGATTATATCCTGCACATGGCTCGGAGGGTCCTATGCCCACGGAGTCTCGCTCATGGCTAGCATAGCAGTCTGAGATGAAACTGCAAGGCGGCAGCGAGGCTGGGGGAGAGGCGCCCGCCATTGCCGAGACTTGATTAGGTAAACAAAGCGGCCAGGAAGCTTGAACTGGGTGGAGCCCACCACAGCTCAAGGAGGCCTGCCTGCCTCTGTAGGCTCCACCTCTGGGGGCAGGGCACAGACAAAAAAAAAGATAGCAGTAACCTCTGCAGACTTAAATGTCCCTGTCTGACAGCTTTGAAGAGAGTAGTGGTTCTCCCAGCACGCAGCTTGAGATCTGAGAACGGGCAGACTGCCTCCTCAAGTGGGTCCCTGACCCCCGAGTAGCCTAACTGGGAGGCACACCCCAGTAGGGGTGGACTGACACCTCACATGGCTGGGTACTACTCCTCTGAGACAAAACTTCCAGAGGAACGATCAGGCAGCAGCATTTGCGGTTCACCAATATCCACTGTTCTGCAGCCACCACTGCTGATACCCAGGCACACAGGGTCTGGAGTGGACCTCTAGCAAACTCCAACAGACCTGCAGCTGAGGGTCCTGTCTGTTAGAAGGAAAACTAACAAACAGGAAGGACATCCACACCAAAAACCCATCTGTACGTCACCATCATCAAAGACCAAAGGTAGATAAAACCACAAAGATGGGGAAAAAACAGAGCAGAGAAACTGGAAACTCTAAAAATCAGAGCACCTCTCCTCCTCCAAAGGAATGCAGTTCCTCACCAGCAATGGAACAAAGCTGGATGGAGAATGACTTTGACGAGTTGAGAGAAGAAGGCTTCAGACGATCAAACTACTACAAGCTACAGGACGAAGTTCGAACCAATGGCAAAGAAGTTAAAAACTTTGAAAAAAAATTAGACAAATGGATGACTAGAATAACCAACTCAGAGAAATCATTAAAGGACCTGATGGAGCTGAAAACCAAGGCATGAGAACTACATGATGAATGAAGAAGCCTCAGCAGCTTATGCGATCAACTGGAAGAAAGGGTATCAGTGATGGAAGACGAAATGAATAAAATGAAGCCAGAAGAGAAGTTCAGAGAAAAAAGAATGAAAAGAAATGAACAAAGCCTCTAAGAAATATGGGACTATGTGGAAAGACCAAATCTACATCTGATTGGTGTACCTGAAAGTGACAGGGAGAATGGAACCAAGTTGGAAAACACTCTGCAGGATATTATCCAGGAGAACTTCCCCAATCTAGCAAGGCAGGCCAAAATTCAAATTCAGGAAACAGAATGCCACAGAGATACTCCTCGAGAAGAGCAACTCCAAGACATATAATTGTCAGATTCACCAAAGTTGAAATGAAGGAAAAAATGTTAAGGGCAGCCAGAGAGAAAGATTGGGTTACCCACAAAGGGAAGCCCATCAGACTAACAGCTGATCTTTCAGCAGAAACTCTACAAGCCTGAAGAGAGTGGGGGCTAATATTCAACATTCTTAAAGAAAAGAATTTTCAACCCAGAATTTCAAATCCAGCCAAACTAAGCTTCATAAGTGAAGGAGAAATAAAACACTTTACAGACAAGCAAATGCTGAGAGCTTTTTGTCACCACCAGGCCTGCCCTAAAAGAGCTCCTAAAAGAAGCACTAAACATGGAAAGGAACAACTGGTACCAGCCACTGCAAAAACATGCCAAATTGTAAAGACCATCAAGGCTAGGAAGAAACTGCATCAACTAATGAGAAAATAGCCAGCTGATATCATAATGACGGGATCAAATTCACACATAATGATATTAACTTTGAAGGTAAATGGGCTAAATGCTCCAATTAAAAGACATAGACTGGCAAATTGGATAAAGAGTCAAGACCCATCAGTGTGCTGTATTCAGGAAACCCATCTCACGTGCAGAGACACACATAGGCTTAAAATAAAGGGATGGAGGAAGATCTACCAAGCAAATGGAAAACAGAAAAAGGCAGGGGTTGTAATCCTAGTCTCTGATAAAACAGACTTTAAAGCAACAAAGATCAAAAGAGACAAAGAAGGCCATTATATAATGGTAAAGAGATCAATTCAACAAGAAGGGCTAACTATGCTAAATATATATGCACCCAATACAGGAGCACCCAGATTCATAAAGCAAGTCCTTAGTGACCTACAAAGAAACTTAGACTCCCACACAATAATAATGGGAGACTTTAACACCCCACTGTCAACATTAGACAACGAGACAGATAGTTATAACATAGACGACATAGATCAATGAGACAGAAAGTTAACAAAGATACCCAGAAATTGAACTCAGCTCTGCACCAAGTGGACGTAATAGACATCTACAGAACTCTCCACCCAAAAGCAACAGAATATACATTCTTTTCAGCACCACACCACACCTATTCCAAAATTGACCACATAGTTGGAAGTAAAGCACTCCTCAGAAAATGTAAAAGAACAGAAATCATAACAAACTGTCTCTCAGACCACAGTGCAAACAAACTAGAACTCAGGATTAAGAAACTCACTCAAAACTGCTCAACTACATGGAAACTGAACAACCTGCTCCTGAATGACTACTGGGTACATAATGAAATGAAGGCAGAAATCAAGATGTTCTTTGAAACCAATGAGAACAAAGACACAACATACCAGAATCTCTGGGACACATTCAAAGCAGTGTGTAGAGGGAAATTTATGGCACTAAATGCCCACAAGAGGAAGCAGGAAAGATCTAAAATTGACACCCTAACACCACAATTAAAAGAACTAGAAAAGCAAGAGCAAACACATTCAAAAGCTAGCAGAAGGCAAGAAATAACTAGGATCAGAGCAGAACTGAAGGAAATAGAGACACAAAAAACCCTTCAAAAAATCAGTGAATCCAGGAGCTGGTTTTTTGAAAAGATCAACAAAATTGATAGACCACTCGCAAGACTAATAAAGAAGAAAAGAGAGAAGAATCAAATAGACGCAATAAAAAATGATAAAGGGATATCAGCACCGATCCCACAGAAATACAAACTACCATCAGAGAATACTATAAACACCTCCATGCAAATAAACTAGAAAATCTAGAAGAAACAGATAAATTCCTCTACACATACATCCTCCCAAGACTAAACCAGGAAGAAGTTGAATCTCTGAATAGACCAATAACAGGCTCTGAAATTGAGGCAATAATCAATAGCTTACCAACCAAAAAATGTCCAGGACCAGATGGATTCACAGCTAAATTCTACCAGAGGTACAAGGAGGAGCTGGTACCATTCTTTCTGAAACTATTCCAATCAATAGAAAAAGAGGGAATCCTCCCTAACTCATTTTATGAGGCCAGCATCATCCTGATACCAAAGCCGGGCAGAGACACAACCAAAAAAAAGAGAATTTTAGACCAATATCCTTGATGAACATTGATGCAAAAATCCTCAATAAAATTCTGGCAAACCGAATCCAGCCACACATCAAAAAGCTTATCCACCATGATCAAGTGGGTTTCATCCCTGGGATGCAAGGCTGGTTCAACATACAAAAATCAATAAATGTAATCCAGCATATAAACAGAAACAAAGACAAAAACCACATGATTATCGCAATAGATGCAGAAAAGTCCTTTGACAAAATTCAACAAACCTTCATGCTAAAAACTCTCAATAAATTAGGTATTGATGGGACGTATCTCAAAATGATAAGAGGTATCCATGACAAACCCAGAGCCAATATCATTCTGAATGGGCAAAAACTGATAGCATTCCCTTTGAAAACTGGCACAAGACAGGGATGCCCTCTGTCACCACTCCTATTCAACATAGTGTTGGAAGTTCTGGCCAGGGCAATCAGGCAGGAGAAGGAAATAAAGGGTATTCAATTAGGAAATGAGGAAGTCAAATTGTCCCTGTTTGCAGATGACATGATTCTATATCTAGAAAACCCCATCATCTCAGCCCAAAATCTCCTTAAGCTGATAAGCAACTTCAGCAAAGTCTCAGGATACAAAATCAAGTGCAAAAATCACAAGCATTCTTATACATCAATAACAGACAAACAGAGAGCCAAATCATGAGTGAACTCCCATTCACAATTGCTTCAAAGAAAATAAAATCCCTAGGAATCCAACTTACAAGGGATGTGAAGGACCTCCTCAAGGAGAACTACACACCACTGTTCAATGAAATAAAAGAGGATACAAACTAATGGAAGAACATTCCATGCTCATGGGTAGGAAGAATCAATATCATGAAAATGGCCACACTGCCCAAGATAATTTATAGATTCAATGCCATCCCCATCAAGCTACCAATGACTTTCTTCACAGAATTGGAAAAAACTACTTTAAAATTCATATGGCACCAAAAAAGAGCCCACATTGCCAAGTCAATCCTAAGCCAAGAGAACAAAGCTGGAGGCATCACACTACCTGACTTCAAACTATACTACAAGGCTACAGTAACCAAAACAGCATGGTAGTGGTACCAAAACAGAGATATAGATCAATGGAACAGAACAGAGCCCTCAGAAATAACGCCACATATATACAACTATCTGATCTTTGACAAACCTGAGAAAAGCAAGCAACAGGGAAAGGATTCCCTATTTAATAAATGGTGCTGGGAAAACTGGCTAGCCATATGTAGAAAGCTGAAACTGGATCCCTTCCTTATACCTTGTACAAAAATTAATTCAAGATGGATTAAAGACTTACATGTTAGACCTAAAACCATAAAAACCCTAGAAGAAAACCTAGGCAATACCATTCAGGACATTGGCATGGGCGAGGACTTCATATCTAAAACACCAAAAGCAATGGCAACAAAAGCCAGAATTGACAAATGGGATCTAATTAAACTAAAGAGCTTCTGCACAGCAAAAGAAACTACCATCAGAGTGAACAGGCAACTTACAGAATGGGAGAAAGTTTTTGCAACCTACTCATCTGACAAAGGGCTAATATCCAGAATCTATAATGAACTCAAACAAATTTACAAGAAAAAAACAAACAACCCCATCAAAAAGTAGGTGAAGGATATGAACAGACACTACTCAAAAGAAGACATTTATGCAGCCAAATGACACATGAAAAAATGCTCATCATCACTGGCCATCAGAGAAATGCAAATCAAAACCACAATGAGATATCATCTCACACCAGTTAGAATGGCGATCATTAAAAAGTCAGGAAACAACAGGTGCTGGAGAGGATGTGGAGAAATAGGAACATTTTTTACATTGTTGGTGGGACTGTAAACTAGTTCAACCATTGTGGAAGTCAGTGTGGCTATTCCTCAGGGATCTAGAACTAGAAATACCATTTGACCCAGCCAACCCTGTTACTGGGTATATACCCAAAGGATTATAAATCATGCTGCTATAAAGACACATGCACACGTATATTTATTGTGGCACTATTCACAATAGCAAAGACTTGGAACCAACCCAAATGTCCAACAATGATAGACTGGATTAAGAAAATGTGGCACATATACACCATGGAATACTATGCAGCCATAAAAAATGATGAGTTCATGTCCTTTGTAGGGACATGGATGGAACTGGAAACCATCATTCTCGGCAAACTATCCTAAGGTCAAAAATCCAAACACCGCATGTTCTCACTCATAGGTGGGAAATGAACAATGAGAACACATGGACACAGGAAGGGGAACATCACACACCGGGGTCTGTTGTGGGGTGGGGGGAGGGGGGAGGGATGGCAATAGGAGATATACCTAATGTAAATGATGAGTTAATGGGTGCAGCACACCAACATGGCACATGTATACATATGTAACAAACCTGCATGTTGTGCACATGCACCCTAGAACTTAAAGTATAATAATAATTTTAAAAATACATATATATATTATTGAAAAAAAATTCAAAAAAATTAAATAATAGTAAGCATCTTCTCTGCTCATAAAGGAATACAACTTGAAATTAATAACAAGAGGAATTTTGGAAACTATAGAAATGCATGGAAAATAAACAATACGCTGTTGAATTACCAGTGGGTCAATGAAGAAATTAAGAAGGAAATTTAAAACATTTTTGGAAACAAATGATAATGAAAACACAACATACCAAAAACTATGGGATACAGTAAAAACAGTACTAAAAGTGAAGTTTATAGCTACAAGTTCCTACATCAAAAAAGAAGAAAAGCTTCAAATAAACAATCTAACAAAACTTATCAAGGAATTATAAAAGCAAGTGCAAACCAAACCCATAATTAGTAAAAGAAAATAAATAATAAACATCAGAATATAAATAAAGTTGAAATGAATAAATACTTTTTGTGAAATAAAAAGTATTTCACAGTGAAGTAAAAATTTAACATTTTTCAAAAGTTAAAAAAATTGACAAACCTTCAGCTAGACTAATGAAAAAAGAGAGAAGTTCCAAATCAATAAAATCAGACATGAAAAAGAAGATATTACCAATGATGTTCTTCACATAAATAATTAAAAAAACTATTCTAAAATTCATATGAAACCATTAAAGACCCAAAATAGCCCAAGCTATTCTAAGAAAAAAAAAAAAAAAAAACAAAATTGGAGAAATCACATTACCTGATTTAAAAATGTACTACAGAACTACAGTAATCAAAACAGCATGGTACTGGCATAAAATCAGGCACATAGGTCAAGGGAACAGAACAGAGCATCCAGAAAGAAATCCACACTTCTACAGTGAGCTCAATTTCGACAAAGTTACTAAGAACACACACTGGGGAAAAGGCAGTCTTTTCAATAAATAGTGCTGAGAAAACCAGATATCCATATGCAGAGGAATAAAACTAGACCCCATCTCTCACCATATATGAAAATCCAATCAAAATGGATTAAAAGCTAAGACCACAAACTATGAAACTACTACAAGAAACATTGGAGGAAATCTTCATGACATTGGTCATGGCAAAAATTCCTTGAGCAATGCCACACAAGCACATGGAACCAAAGGAAAATAGACAAAAGGGGTTATATCAAGTTAAAAAGCTTCTGAACAGCAAAGGAAACAATCAACAAAGTGAAGAAACAACCCACAGAATGTGAAAAAATATTTGCAATCTGCTCATCTGACAAGGTATTAATATCCAGCATATGTCAATTCAAACAACTCTATAGAGAGAAATCTTATAATTAGATTTAAAAAATGGGCAAAAGGCAATAGGCTTATCTCAGAAGAAGACATACAAATGGCAAATAGGCATATGCAAAGGTGCTCAACAGAATTGATCTTCAGAGAAATGCAACTCAAAACTACAATGAAATATCATCTCACCCTAGTTAAAATGGCTTGTATTCAAAAGTCAGGCAATATCAAATTCTGTTGAGGATGTGGAGAAAAGGGAACCCTCATACACTGTTGGTGAGACTGTAAATTAGTATAACCACTATGGAAAATAGTTTGGAGGTTCTTCAGAAAACTAAAAATTGAGCTACCTTATGATCCAGCAATTCCACTGCTGGGTATATACCCAAAAGAAGGAAAATCAGTAATATCAAAGAGATATCTGTAGTCTCACATCTGTTGCAGCACAACAGCTAAGATTTTGAAGCAACCTAAGCATCCATCAACAGATGAATGGGTAAAGAAACTGTGGTACATATACACAATGGAATATTATTCAGCTGTAAAGAGAATGTGATCCTGTCATTTGCAACAACGTGGATGGAACTGGAGATCATCATGTTAAGTGACTCAAGACAGGCACTGAAAGACAAACATCACATATTCTCATTTATTTCTGGGATCTAAAAATCAAAACAATTGAACTCATGGACCTAGAGGGTAGAAGGATGGTTATTAGAGGCTGGGAAGTGTAGTGGGGGACTGGAAGTGGAGGTGAGGGTGGTTAATGGTTACAATAAATAGACAGAAAGAAGAAGATCTACTATTTGATAGCACAACAGGGTGACTATAATCAACAATAAATGAATTATACATATTAAAATAACTAAAAACATGTAATTGGATTGTTTGTAACACAAAAGATAAATGAGGGGTTGGATCCCCCATTCTCTGTGATATGATTATTTGACATTGCAGGCTTGTATCAAAATATCTTATGCACCCCATAAATATATTCACCTACTATGTACCCACAAAAAGTCAGAACAAAAAAAAAATTAAAAGAAAATACATTATCCTGTGGTCAAAAATAAAAGCATGTGAAACAACTTCTAGAAAATACACAGAAATAGCCTTTTCTCTCACTTTTTCTAATAAATGTTTTAAGAAAAGTGCATATATCTACACAGGTTTTCTCTCTTCTTCCTACTGCTATTTTTAACATAAGATCTGTCATTAACTGAAGATTTTCAAACCATGAGAGTTTTCAGGATCATATGTCCCAAAATTGTAGAGTTGCTATTTTAATATATAATACAAAAGAAAAAAATCATATTTTTTCAGTCACATTTGACTGTGTTTCCACACTTGAATTCATTATTAGCAATGAGTGTTAAGTCCAATACTGAGTCTATTCTTTATCAAATAGCATTTTATTAAATATATTAGAATCTGATATTCTTCTGTGTGGCATCCACTTAAGAATTGTTTCCTTGCTTTAATTCCATTACTTTTTTAAAAATAAATCATTCTGTCCATCATATATTACTGAATATATTCTCATATATTTCTCAGGTATTTCTGAGATAGATTTCTCATATATTTCTCAGATATCCAAGTGTTTACTGAATATGTCTTTATTAGTAAAACAGATTCTCAAAAATTTGCAACAAAATGTTACATATGAACAGATTTATCACTATATTCTAATAAAATAAAATAGCTCAAATTTCCCTTCTAAGTGCACTGAGTTTGTGTATTAAGTCAATCGATCAATCAGTCAGCTAATCAATGTTTATTGAGTACAAGATTCTGTACATGACTAGATGTGGGGCCAGGAAAGCTAACAAACTAACACTATATGCAAGATGAAAGTAAAGTAGTGAAATTTCTATACTCCTTGCAAACTGTTAAGGACTAATTGATCAAATATTTTAAATTATTAAATAAACTCAGAACTCAGACTCTAACTTCTATTACTAAAAAATCAAGTTAATAAACCTCATTTTCTCCACAGCCTGCCATTTAGTATTTTGTTATGACTTTAAATTTGTCTGATTTTATATATATATATATATCCGCTTTGATTCATATAGAGAAATGAGAGAATAAATTATATCGATATGGACAATTCAAAATCAGTTTTAGACTGAAGATTTTCCAAAAGGGTTTCTTTCCTCTTATTGTGTTTTATATTGTGTAAACCTCTGCAATAGACTTTCAAGATATCAAAACACACACAAATAACACAGTGTATTTTTTTTTGTATGTGTTAGGTAACTCAGAAATGAGATTCCCATAATGTTCTCAATACTATCTAGGTCAATATTGTTAATTTTTCCTTATTTCTCAAAATGGAAATAAGAGGCCTAACTTCTGAACAAAACGAATTTTTATTTCTAGAAATCAGTCTTGTAAATACATTTTAGCTGCAGACAAAAGGAAGATGCGTAGGTTAAGAATAGCTTTTCCATTGAGTTTCCTGTTCTCCTTTTATTCAAGGTGATGTGGTTGAGAGCTGACTTCAGACTAGAGTGATGATCTAATCTAGCATTCATACCAGGACACTTTGAGAAAAAAAAAAAGAACTATTAATCATTAGGCTAGGACAATATACAAAAACTAGAACTCTACTGTGCATATCAGGACATGTGGTCCCCCTTATCATGAACACACCTGAAATTTAAATCCTAATTTTATCACTTTATTAGTTGTAACAATTTATGGAAATTGTTCAACACACTGGCATCTCAGTTTTATTATTCATAAAGAATAAATTTCAATGTCTAAATTTAAGCCAGAAAATACATGCAAAGTATATATGTCACATATTAAGCATTCAAAAATTGGTAGCTACCCCCTAGGATATTTTTCTTTGCCAGGGCAGGGGAGCATTTTTAGTCTAAATTTAGTTAGGCATCAGCTATTTCAATTTTTCCATGCCAAAATGTTATCTATTTGTGCATTCCAGAATATCTTCACACTTTACAAATATTTACGTCTTTCTCTCTTGCATGTTATCGTTGTCAGAGAAGAATGTGACCATTAGCTCCAGGGGAAGGATGAGAGACATGAGAAGAACAATCTCAGGCAAGCTGAGTCAAAACTAGCCAAATTTTTAAGCTAAGTGTCAGAGGATATTTTTTCCATAAAAGGAAACACAGTAAATAATTTCAGCTCTGGGGCCATACAACCTATTTTATTTGCATTTAGTGGCATAGTACCTGTTATAATTAGCTTGAAATTTATGCTAAGCAAGAACTATAAAATTAGATAGCATCCTAAAAATTTTTACCTGTCATCTGCAAATTAAAAACAAAACAATAACTGATTGGCAGATTTACAGTAATCAATTATACTAAAACTATATATAAAACATGTATATTTGTGTTTGCAGGCGTGTGTGTATCTAAGAATCACAATTAATATGGTCTTATGTGTATATGGTAATCATTAATCTATTAAACGAATGTATTTGGTCCTCTACTTTTTAGGCAGATGGTAGAATAACATTTTTTGCCCATCTCTCATTAGGATTATATGGAGTCATGTGACTAGTATGAAAGGAAAATAAATCTCAGGACCCCAAACTCACTAAGCCAAGGGGAAAACTCAAGGTGGGAACTGAGTCTTAAACCTGTCTCCCATTTTGTTCCTAAATAAGATAGCTACAAAGATAAAAAGCTACATACTCCCCTCACAATTTGCCCACAAGGAAATTCCTTGTGGGCCCCCAAATCTTTACCCATAAAACAGGTCTGTTGAATTTCACCATGGCAATGTAAATTGATAGCTTATCTTTACAGGCTCAGGACAAAGGACAGAACTCAAAGTCATTCCTCTGCTCACTTGAGACAAATGTATATCTGATTGCTTCTTCTGCCCTGTTGTTTACATTATGTTATGTAAAATATTCCTCTTCTCTCCTCTCACATGTAAATTATATATTCAGTAAAAGCCTGATCAAAGACTCAAAAGAATGCAGCCGTTTGTCTCTTATCTATCCATACCTTTAATTTTTTCCTCTTTCCCCAATATCCGCCATTCCTCTTTAAATATTAAAGCCCCTCAAAATCATCTTTGAAGAAAGGCATAGACCTGTCTCCCAGGCGAATGTCCTTAACTTTAGCAAAGAAACCTCCTAAAATGATTGAGACTTGCCTCAGTCATTTTCATTGATTCACACTAGCTCTCGCCAATAAGGTAACATTGTAAGATTTTCCCCAGGCTGAAAGCTTAAGAAGATGAATAACTCCTCCTTTCTCAGGCCCAGTCCCAAGGTGCAAGACCACTTGCATCAGCAGGGTGCATCAGCAGCATGTGCCAGCAAGACAGCAGAAGCAGGAAGAGAGCCGGCGGGAAGACATCTACTCTGGCGGGAAAACACATACTTCTGAAGATCCAGAAGGATGCTGTCTGGGTACTATGTGGTAGTTACGTCAGACTAGGACACTTCCTGTTTACAGGAGACTACAAAACCTTTGCCCCATCCTCACTTGGGGCTGAGGCCATTTTAGGCCTGATGCCATCTTAGGCCTCAGCCCTCTTGCACCCAGGTGCTCATTAAAACAGCATGTTGCTCCACACCGCCTCCTGTTGTCTGTTGGCACACTCTCGGAATTTGAACTGATACAAAAACCTTACAAACATACGGTAAGTGACAGAACATGTATTATCATTAGATTGAGGATTTTCAGAACTGACATTGCCTCTGATATAACACGAACTCTTAAGATGGCGGATGCTCAGTCAGCTTGGATCCTTTAAGGGCTGTGATTGTGGTCCCCTGTTGCTGTCTGCAAATGGACATGTAGTATAAATGACAATTATCTTGTTTTGTCATATGAATTTGGGGTTGCTTATTGTCACCATGTAACCACATATAAATCTTGTGTATATAAATGCTCAAGATTTGGTTCCAATACTGTATTTAGTTTCAGAGTTACCTTTTGAAGTTTAATATGTATTACAAAATAAAATAACTTTCAAGTCAATATTGCAGTCATCCTATTTAAAAGGCAAATATTGTTTACTTTTCACAACCACATCATTAATTTACAAATTTCACAGGGCCTAAAATTTTCTCCACATGAAGTTAAATATAATATTTCAGAAAATAAATATAAGTGTCACATGTAGTTCCAGCAGATATACTTGGCTCTTACAATCAAGCCTTAAAATTGCTAATGTAGACCAAACCAATTTCTTTATGTACACTAAGCTTCTATCAGAAAGTCTAAAGCAAGTCAATTATGGTCTGTAAAGAAATACCATAAAATGTTCCTCCATACAAACAAAAGCAAATAAATGACACGCTGGATGAATTTTTCTTATCTATAAGTAATTCTTACATTTTTCAAAAGGAATTGAGGTCTGGTGCCTTGAAATAATGCAATTGTTAATCTGTGAGTTGTTGTGTCTTTTCTTTGACCTAAGTTGCTTCTCAAAGCACGTTAATATAAATTCTGCATTGCAAGTATCCTCTCTTGATTTAAGGAAATGAAAGGGCAAACGAATCACCACACAGTTTTCTTACCTTTTACCGCACAATCAATTGCATTCAATCTGTTGCTAGAAATCCCCTAGTTCTGCTTAGCACTAAATCACCGGTATTCAAAGTTTTATTGCACATTCACACTCATTTGTCATTTGCAGGAAGTCTAATTGAGAGAATTTACAGTTGGTTGTGTGCTTCATTTAGATTGTGCATGTTTAATAAAAGCTTTTTAAGATACTAATCTCAGCTCAGGAAACAACAAAAGTGTTTGAGGGTTAAAGAATAAAACATAGCAGGTAAATGTTATGGTGTGACATTGCCTTATAATGTTTCCAAGTAACTGCATTTACTGGGTTTGAATTGTTTTTACACATATAATGTGCTTTGCTGGAAAAATTTAGCCTATTAGTTATACCATGTGACAAAAATGTGAAGGTAGAATTACTCCTCAGTCAAAATGCTGTGGTTAACAGAAAATAGTGTTAATAATCATTGCCCTGTAGGAGAAAGCCTAAAATAATATCTTGAGTAAAATAATCTTGAACATCTTCTCATAAAAATAAATCTAATTAAATTGTAGAAACTGACTTCAGCCTATGTTACTCTGCAGTCATTTTAAAATGTGATTCTGATTTTCAGCTTGAACATTAAACCGTATGCATTGTTTATGGGATGGTACTACACAGTGGGAACTCATTTTACAAAAATAACCCTCATTGCCATTTAGACTTTTATTTCAACAAAAATACAAAACTGTAAATAAGAATGACCAAAGGTTAAGATTCAAAACATGGTAGAAAAATACATCAAAGAACCCACAGACATCAGCATCTGCATTCTCTCTGAGTTAGTGTGCTAAAACTGGCCACATAACAATAAGAAAAGTCAGATGATGCTGTTGAACAATGCTATGTAACAAAAATGGAAGCTTTGAACCATCTCTTTTAGTGGGAAGTTGATAAGAACTGCAAGTTTTCTCATTTCCCAGTAAATGTGAGTGTGTTGCTTTTTTCTTTAGTGTGGTGTACTAAGTGCTGGTATTACTGCATGACACTGAGCTGCTATTTAAACTCCGTTGTTTCTAAATAAGCTCTTTTCTTAAATGAAAGTGTTAATCCACCATTACTACTTAGCACATTTGGATAAGAATTTGAGGAAAAAGATACATGCATTCTTTGGAAATTTTGTTGATAATAAAGTGAGGCATGAGAAACTTTAGTATATTATAATAGAAGAATTTATCTTTATTTAGAATGAATTTACGGTGCACAAAATGAAGAAAAACATTCTCTAACTTACACAGATGGCCAAAAGTAGTAATATCAAGTAGAGTAATGAAAATATTCTCACTGCTTTGGTCATTGGACAAAATTTTTCTAAATAAGTATATTTGAATTGATTTTTATTTTAATTAAATTTGAATCAGACTCCCTTGCCTTGTATAGTTTGGAAAGCTTAAAGAGGAATGATCGAGGGAAATACTGTGACAACATGGAGGAGAAGGTTTCAAACAGGGAACAATTAAGCATCTTCTATAATTTTCTAGATGTTGGAGGTGGAGCAGTGAACAAACATTCTTCCTGTGTCCACACAGCATACATTCGGGTGACGAAAAGAGATGTATAAGCAAATAAAAAACTAAATGTCTTCTTTATACATTTTATTGAGAAAAAACTTGCAAAAAGAGGGTGGATGTGAGGTATGTGACGATATTTTACACTTTTATAGAGTGTCAGTAAGGGTCTCACTGACAATCTGATATTTGAACAGAAACTAGGTAGAAGTATCTGAGTGCACCATATGGCTCACCAGGGAGAAAAATGATCAACACTTTAAGTCGAGATTTAAATCAAGTCAAAATTAGCTAAAGCAACATTAACAGCAACATACAATAAAATTGTCTCTTGAGTCATTAATTCCTTGAAAGCTTTTTTCAATACAGCACAAGATTAGCAGTCTTTATCCTCATTTACCATTTCCTTCATTTCTTTTCTGAGCTGGCTTCATCTCTTGCCCTGGCTTTCATAACACTAGACCCTCAATGCAGTCTGCTGTTTTAGGCGGTTCATGCCACTTTAACAGGATCCCTGAGATAGGGTAATTTATTTAAAAAATTTATTTCTTATAGTCTGGAGCCTGGGAAGTCCAATATCAAGGTACCGGCATTCACTGGTCATGGCCCATTCCTCATAGACAGTGCTTTCTCCAAGTGTCCTTTCCTGGTGAAGGGACAGAAAGGCAAAAACGGACCTACCACTGTATAATGCCACTTTTATGATGTCCTTAATCCCATTCACAAAGGAGGAAATCTCCTGACTGAATCATTTCCTAAAGGTACCACCTCTTAATACTATTTCTTTGGGAATTAAGCTTTAACGTAAATTTGGGACGGGATCCAAACATTCAAACCATAGCTCTGTTTAACTACTAGTAGTGTGTCCAGAATTGGTGGGTTCTTGGTCTCACTGACTTCAAGAATGAAGCCGCAGACCCTTGCGGTGAGTGTTACAGCTCTTAAGGTGGCGCGTCTGGAGTTTGTTCCTTCTGATGTTCGGTTGTGTTTGGAGTTTCTTCCTTCCGGTGGGCTCGTGGTCTCGCTGGCTCAGGAGTGAAGCTGCAGACCTTCGCAGTGAGTGTTACAGCTCTTAAGACAGCGTCTGGAGTTGTTCATTCCTCCCGGTGGGCTCGTGGTCTCGCTGGGTTCAGGAGTGAAGCTGCAGACCTTCCCAGTGAGTGTTACAGCTCTTAAGGCAGCACGTCTGGAGTTGTTCATTCCTCCTGGTGGGCTTGTGGTCTCGCTGGCTTCAGGAGTGAAGCTGCAGACCTTCGTGGTGAGTGTTACGGCTCATAAAAGCAGTGTGGACCCAAAGAGTGAGCAGTAGCAAGATTTATCGCAAAGAGCGAAAGAACAAAGCTTCCACAGTGTGGAAGGGGACCTGAGCAGGTTGCCACAGCTGGCTCCGGTAGCCTGCTTTTATTCTCTTATCTGGCCCCACCTACATCCTGCTGATTGGTATAGCCCAGTGGTCTGTTTTGACAGGGCGCTGACTGGTGTGTTTACAATCCCTGAGCTAGACACAAAGGTTCTCCATGTCCCCACCAGATTAGCTAGATATAGCGTGTCAACACAAAGGTTCTCCAAGGCCCCACCAGAGTAGCTACAGAGTGTGGATTGGTGCATTCACAAACCCTGAGCTAGACACAGGGTGCTGATTGGTGTGTTTACAAACCTTGAGCTAGACACAGAGTGCCCATTGGTGTATTTACAATCCCTGAGCTAGCATAAAGGTTCTCCAAGGCCCCACCAGAGTAGCTAGTTACAGAGTGTCCATTGGTGCATTCACAAACCCTGAGTTAGACACAGTGTGCTGATTGGTGTATTTACAATCCCTGAGCTAGACATAAAGGTTCTCCACCTCCCCAGACTCAGGAGCCCAGCTGGCTTCACCCAGTGGATCCCACACCAGGGCTGTAGGTGGAGCTGCCTACCAGTCCCCCTCCGTGCACCCGAACGCCTCAGCCCTTGGGTGGTGGATGGGATTGGGCGCCGTGGAGCAGGGGGCGGTGCTCGTCGGGGAGGCTCGGGCCGCACAGGACCCCACCGGGCGGCGGTGCACAAGCATAGTGGGCTGCATGTCCCGAGCCCTGCCCCGCGGGGAGGCAGCGAAGGCCCGGGGAGAAGTCGAGCGTAGCGCCGGTGGGCCTGCACAGCTGGGGGACCCAGTACACCCTCCGCAGCTGCTGGCCCGGGTGCTAAACCCCTCATTGCCCGGGGCCGGCAGGGCTGCTCCCAGTGCGGGGCCTGCCAAGTCCACGCCCACCCGGAACTCCAGCTGGCCCGCAAGCTCCACGCGCAGCCCCGGTTCCCGCTCGCGCCTCTCCCCCCACACCTCCCTGCAAGCTGAGGGAGCCGGCTCCGGTCTTGGCCAGCCCAGAAAGGGGCTCCTACAGTGCAGCGGTGGGCTAAAGGGCTCCTCAAGTGCCGCCAAAGCAGGAGCCCAGGCAGAGGAGGCGCCAAGAGCGAGCAAGGGCTGTGAGGACTGCCAGCACACTGTCACCTCTCAGTAGTATAACATCAAATAGCCTGCACAACTACATCCTTATCCCTCTCCGTTTTTGTTTATATAACCATTGCAGATTTAAGAGAAATAAGGAATTCACCCACTCACTCTAAAAGTTAACTTTTTTTCCATTTAACAATACATTAGTTTCTTCAATATTTGTCTATTATCCTATAATGCATTCATATCTTCAATATTGGTGTAAAATTCATATCACTTGGAAAAGACATCCTTGCATTCCAGTGAGGTCACATTACCATTCATTACTCCTGCTTAGAAAATAAGTACATATTAGTTTCTATTGCTGTTTCAACAAATTACTGCAAACTTAGTGGCATAAAACAACATCAATTCATTATCTCACATTGTTATTGAGTCAGAAGTCCAGGCAAGGCAAGGCAAGACTTAACTGGTTCTCTGGTTAGAGTCTCACAAAGCCAAAACCAACATGTCAGCAGGGCTGCATTCTTTTCCAGAGGCTCTTGGGATGAATCTGCTTCCAAGTTCATTCAGACTGTTGGCCTAATTCAGTTCTTTGCAGCTACAGTAGCCCCTGTTGCAGCTGCTGAGTATAAGCCAGAGGGGGGCTTTACCCTCAGAGGCTGTCTACATTTCCTATGTTTTACACACACCCCTGTCCCCAGCAGCAGCAGGTCTGGTCCACACACTCCAAATATTTCTGACCTCCCCTTACCCTCATCTCTCTTCTGCCTCCCTTTCAGATGCATTTCTATGATCCCAATTAGAGATTTTCTCTACTTTCAAGGACTCAAGTGTTTTGATTGGGCCCACCCAGATAACTGAGAACAATCTCCCTATTTTAAGGTCAGGTAACTTTGATTCCACCTGAAAAGTCCTTTCAAAGCAGCTCCTAGATTAGTGTTTGCTTTAATAACCAAGGGACAGGAATCTTGAAGGAATATCTCAAGAATTCTGCCTACCACAAAGTGCTAGCACATTTTGTCAGTTTGCACTATCTTAAGAGCAACTGTTTAATCTTCATAATTTTCTATTATAAATTAAAGCTATTATCATTTTATGTTAGAAATAGGAAAGGCTTTTATTTACTGTTCTAAAGGAGAGTAGTTCAAGTGCCTCTATAACCTGAACTCAAAAATAGTTGCTTAATCCAGCTTAATTTAAAACTATTCTCTTGACTCCTGCTCATCTAGAGGTAACATCATCCTACATGCAATTTATGTGATTATTTCAGGAGGAAGATGTGCTCTGGAATTATATAGATGTTGGTTTAGGTTCTGTTCCATGTCTCACTGGGTAAAGAATATTGGGTAAATTACTTAAATCACATTCAATATTGCACTAGAATTACAATATCATGATTTTTAAAAGGCATAATTTCTTTCAATAATCGAGTATTCAAAAGATAATCACTTTCAAGTATTCAAATCGAGTATTCAAATCGAGTATTCAAAAGATAATGCTAACTGAAATAGTGACAAGAGTTTTAATGTTAATTCCAGATCCTTAAGGTAAAATTAACTAATTAGCTTTTTAGGCAAGTTTATGTTTATAATAATGTCAACTATGAGCTTCAGCTTCTACACACCATTTGTTTGTTTATTCTATAAGTTTTAATTAGATATAAGTAATTCAAAACACAGAATAACGGATCTTATAGAGAAGGATTCCTAAAGCACAAATAAAAAGGAGGAGAATTTGACAATACACATTAAATTAACGATAGAGTCTAACTATAAAATTTGCAAACATATTTGGATATGGAGCCAAATTAGAAAATTCACGATTAGAAAGTCCTTAATGCATTAATAGTACCCACATTTTCTTTTTCTATGATTCAATTAATATATTAGATATTAGAGAAAGCATTACCTGACTTGTATTATAGATGTATGGCCTTCAAAGTTGTTTAAAATAGAAAATAAAATAATTTTCATAGTAAATAAAATAAACAAGAACTAAACATAATGTTTAACTTTTAAAATTCAGAGCTGAATAAAATATGTGTGTATCTGTAAAGTATGTGTGTGTGCATACACATATTTTTTACCCAATTTTTATTATATTGTAATTTCAAAAAATAAAAAGAAATCAACATAATGCAAGTTTGTTCACTTTCCCAAGATTCATGAAGCCCACTTAATTAAATTACTATACAGAACCCATTGATCAGTATGTTATTATTCATCATTAGTTGCAGCATGGAATTTGTATCTGTTTTCTCTTGAACTCTAGGTCCTGTCAAATTAAAAAATAATCTGTAAATATGACAAACAATTTACAAAAAAAAAAGAGATAAATTCTGTTAATAGAGACTACACAATAAGAATTCCCGGGCCGGGTGCGGTGGTTCATGCCTGTAATCCCAGCACTTTGTGAGCCCGAGGCAGGCAGATCACTTGAGGTCAGGAGTTCAAGACCAACCTGGCCAACATAATGAAACCCTGTCTCTACTAAAAATACAAAAATTAGCCAGGCTTGGTGCATGCCTGTAAGCCCAGCTACTGGGGAGGCCAAGGTAGGAGAATGGCTTGAACCCAGGAGGCAGAGGTTGCAGTGAGCCGACATCACGCCACTGCACTCCAGCTTGAGCAGTAGAGCGAGATTCGGTCTCAAAAAAAAAAAAAAAGAAAGAAAGAAAGAAAAAGAATAATTCTCTTCTTAATTGTTGACAAATTTAATTCACAAGAAAAATATTCTTGTGTTTATTGGTATATTGGATAAAATTTGAAGGTTTTTCTAGCACATTGTAGTATCCTAAAGAACGTAGCTTTTAACAGCTGTTATAACTTTAAGGATTTGGCATTTTCTATACTAAAAAAAAAAAAAACCACTACAGGAAAATGGGCTGGGAAAAAGTTAAGCTTACCACACTGGAAGCAAGAACCTCTCTTTTCTATGATTTTTAACTCATTTCCAGGCCACCCGCCTAGTTTTCTGGATGGTGAGATTTCTTTTCCTTAGACTAAAGCCAGAGAAATTGTTCAAATACCTTAATTCTGAGACACTGCTTGGCACGCACAGGGTTACTCAGAGGAGCAACACTGCAGCATTTTCATAGCGCGGCATAAAAATGGAGGTTTGCGTGTATCAAATCCTTGACAAATGTTCCAGCAGTTAAGTAAAACTTTGTTTATATTGCCTGCCTCTCAGCAGAAATTAAGAACTGTGGAAACAATTCACGCAAGTGGTGGGCAATCTTCTCTCGTTCTCTCTTAGTGAATATGACAAGCTCACCTGCTGTGGGAGGCTGAAAATAAAAGACAATCTCACCACATTAATAAAACATGAGCCACAACTGAATCTGAGGCCAACTAAACCACCAGAGATCTAGTGTGACGCTTAATTTTGTCGATGATGGAAGTACTTTAGCCCAAGGTAACTTTCATGGAGGCCATATTTGCGTGCAAACCTTCACTTAAAGCACTACCGCCGGGCAGAGTTAATGTTCATGGGAGTGTAAACTTACAGTAAAAGGCAGGAACCACATAAGAAGCTACATCACTCAAGCCAGTAAACTTTGGTAGTGGTGTAATGTTTTATTGAAGCTCATTTCTCCTCAAAGGAGATCTGAAAATCCACTTAGTGCCCTCAGAAAATTGTCTGTTTGGACTGCATGAACTGGTTCCCAATCACAGAAAGATCAAAACATCAAAAGAAGCTAATAGGGTTTTGCCATGAAATACAGTCCCAAGAGATCTAGAATTAAAAAGGGGCGGGGGAGGTTTCCAGGGTAACTATTAAGTTCGAGGTTTTGCTGGAATTAGGGGAACATACTTCAGTAAAGAGAAGGATAGGGGAGACAGAAGAAACATACATGAGAAAGGGGAAATCAGAAGGAATAAAAAATAAGAAAAAAGCAATTATTTCCTTGGAAGTGGAAAAAAGGAAGACCCAGCAAATTGAGTAAAACCATTTTTAAATTTCTTATCAGTCATACAGTATTTGAAAATGATGCTGAGGCACTGAAACAGAATTATGGTGATTCAGATGAAAAACATTCCTTGGAAAGTCATTTTGAATAATAAGAATTCATAACAGAATGCTGCCAGAGAAAAGACATTTTGTGAAAGAGAATTTTTCCTTCTGTCAATTTTATATTTGTAGGCACAGATTTTAAAATTATGTTTTCATTTATTTCTACCTTTGTTTCTTGAGACCAAAAATTTGATTTCTTTAATTAATAGTAATAATTCATATTCTCAATCAGATAGTGTAAATGAGAATATGAAGAGAAGGCATATAAAACTGTTGATTATTGAAGAACCCTGGAATTTGCTGTTGATCTGAACCTCAGTTATTTGTGAGATTTTAACCAAAGGCTTACGGAAAAAGTTTATAAAGGAAAAAGTGCAATTTATGAAAAGTTAATACTTCTCAGTTGCAGTATGCTTCAGTTTATCCTGAGTATACTAACACCATGGTTTAGGAGGGAAATGTTTTATCACCTTTTGTACAACTGCAAAATGTTATATCTAATAACTCATAGGAATTCTTTTTGGAGAGGATGGCACCAATGAACTGGTTTATAAATTTATTACATAGGATTCTGCTATTTTTGGTAAAGGTGTTAGATCACAAATTTAGAATCATATATTCTCATATTTGTGAGATCATACATGTCATTCTCTTTTCTTTCTTAGATTTCATAGCAAAAAAAGCTTTTAAGATAGGAATAAAGTAAATTATTGAAATGTATGTCACCTTGACAACTCTTGGTATTAAACATGAACCTAAGCCAAACATAGACTTTTAGAAATGATTGTCATTGAGATAAAGGTTTCTCCTGTTCTTCCATATCCTAATAAAACATTACCTCAGGGAGGAGTTGCAAATTTCTTCCTCTTCTGGCTGAATTCAGCCAGCATATGCATTTCATGTGGCCCAGACACACTTTTATTTTTCAATTTTTAATAACTTGGTCTAATTTTGGAATATGAAGTGGTTTTACACTCGAAATCTGCATTCCAGCTTCTCTTGAAAGTTAGAAGATCTGGCAATACCAAGCCCCTAATATCAGTGGCCACCAATCAGCTTGAGTCATGCCAGTATGGGGTCCTGTAGCCAAACTTCTGCAGCCCACCACCGTCTCTCTGAAACAAAAATTTGCCATTTATCATCTCACTTGCCCTAATTCAAATTATATTTTTCAGTAGCCAGTGTCTTTCCAAAGGAAAATGTGGATAAAATAAGAAAGCTTTATAGTTAAAAAAAATCGAAGACTGTATTTTCGTGTGGTGATGAAAAGTGTGCCTGTGTTTAACATATAATGTATGCCTATGTCTTCTACCTGGACTCTTCACTCACCTTACCTGTCTGTCCCTTGTGTGCATTTACATTTTAACCCTTGTCGCATTTTTTTTTCCTTGTTGGAATGTTAATCTCTGTCTTGTAAATTCCTAAAGCAGTTTTCATGAAACCGAACTGTCTCATTTGTACTGAATAATGTACATGCCTCTCCCTTTTAATAGACTAAAAAATCTTTCAGGGCAAGTCTCATATATTCTTCAGTTTTGTCGTCCCAAACACATTTGGCATAATGCTATTAGATAAGCTTCAACTTTTTTTTTTCAGAATAATCAAATGTGTGAAAATCAAATTGGTTAACAAACACTACCTTCATTTGAAAGAAAAGATGCCTTAAAAGATTATTACCCAAAATATTATAAAATCTGGAAGAACTGGTTTGACTGCTATTGGACTTAATAACCAGATCTCTTCCTTCTATAAACACAATAAATAAAAGTGTTATGCATACACCTCCTTTACTCTAGTTTGTCTGGCCACTATGCCTTTTGATCAAGGCTCTGCTTTTTATTTACCAAACATGTCATAATTTGCAAGTGGAATCAGATGTAGAATGGCATTCTCTAGGCTCTTTTCACCCTAGATGAGACAAACATTTAATGACTATTGTATTTTTTACAAGTAATTTTACTTCTATTTATATTTGAATTGGAGGCTTATTTGTTAATTAGCCCAGAGTTATTTAGAAAAGTCATTTAATATGTAATCGGTTATATGTAAGAATGATGTTCTAGTAATGAACTTCATTAACTAACATCTTAAATAGCTAAAATTTCCCAGAATTCAAAGAGTAACTTTAATAGATAAAACTGTGACTAAAACTTTACATAAGACACCATAAAAAGTATTCCTTAGAGAGCTATCTACATGAGGCTACAGTGATAAATGTCCTAAAACTATTTTTATTGGTTCCTCTTACATGTTTGTAAAGTTTATTTTGCTAAAGACAATATTAATTATACATAAAACTGTATAATAATAATCTGGACTATAAAAGTTGCTGATGAAGTTATTTCTATATGCTAGATACCGTAAAAATATTTTACAGGTATAATTCAAATGTTCACAACAACCTTCACTGTACTGATGAGTAAAGTGAAATACCTAAACATTATGTAACTTGTTCAAGATCACCCTGCTAGTAAGTAGCAGAGCCTGATTTTCACCCAGTATTGCTAGCTTCTGGGCTTGTGTATTTATTAGGGCATAATTTATAATACTGCCTCTGTTTATGGCAATTACTTGTGAACTAATTTGGAGTTTTAATAGTTAATTTTGCTAACTATGCTAATTTGCTAATTTTGCTAATAGTTAATTTTGCTAATTTTGTTAATTACGCATAATATGCATTTATGCGTAGTTTATTTAAAAAGTGGGCATATCTTAGCACATCTCATAATGGCTACAGTGCATGCTACCCACTCTGTGTAGATCTCGTCCTTCTTTTTACAGTTGGCCCTTTTGTATGTTTTAGGCTCCAACTTAGATATTACCTCCTTCCCTTATTGATTTTGCACTTCACTCTAATTTCTCTGCGAATTTATCTAATTTCATCTTTGCTTATGTGCTTTGTATGTGCCTGTTAGTTCTTTCTCAAATTAGAGAATAAATGTCAGAATGGTGGAAGGCATTTCCATTGCATTCATTCAGGCATATCCATTACCTTTCATAGGTACTAGCACTAAGAAATGTGTTGCATAAAGAATTTTCAATGAGTTGTAATCATTTTATACTAAAATATAGAAGCTTGGTAGTTGAAATGGGTAAAAGACTAATAAGAGATGAATTGGAGAGAAAGCCAAAAAGCCAAATGTATTTCACAGAGAGTCTTTTATGCTCTAAGTAATTTCATCAACACCTTTTAGTGCCTTCCAAAGCATTTTTCTTACACATTTCAATCAAAAAAACTTTTTGAGTATACCTTCCAAATTAAACATACTCATCTTTTTAAAATATAATTTCCCTTCCATGGCTGCTTCCCTTGTATAAGCTACTCTGAATCCACTTCAATTACTTTCTACTCATCATTCCTTGAAACAGTGGATATGCTCACACCTTGGTACTATGTATGGGCTGCTGCCTCTGTCTGGATTGCTATTCTCTCAATTATCCACATGGAGCACTCTCTCAACTCCTTCAGGTCTGTGCTTAAATGTCATCTCAGGACTACTCAGAACACACTATCTAAATCACAACCCAATCTCCCCAAATTCTCTATACCTTTTCCTATGCTCTACATATTTTCCATACCATTTTTGACCTTCCACTATATTTCAGTGCATTACATTCATGTTAAGCAAGTATTTACTCTTCTCCTTCTACGTTAAAGAGGGTTTATACCACCCTGAACACAATATTTCACTCAGCTAATGGAATGTGAAAGAATTAAAGCAGAGACTAAAAAGGAGCCTCTGAATTTTGGTTTGCCTCTGAGGTTCCTGGGATGCATAACTGTATTTTGAAGAGTATCTAAACTCTCAACAGAAATTAAAATTTTCATTTATTATTAACATCTAAAGATGTCAAAATAATTCTAAATCTTATTGTGAAGACTAACACATAAAAACAACTGGAAAATTCAGAATAGCTGAATAATGGTTGTGATAACCTATTTTAATAAACATTAAACATATTATTATAAAGATACTATATATGAAACACTGGCACTGGCATATGAATGGGCAAAAAACATAGCCAGGGAAACAGACCTTAGAAAATGTTTGTGGATTTCTCTATCCTTTCCCTTGACTGTGCCATGAACTCATTGTTGGCAGCAAGAAAGAGTGAGGAAAAAAAAAAAAAAAGCAAGTCTCTGACAGGTGCTAAAAGCCCAATACAAACTGAAAGACTCAAAATCAGAATGAGTTTCCAATGTCTACTTACCCACTTTCCTTTTAGCTTGATTCATGGACATTAGGTTTATTGTCACTGTTTGTAAAAATATTACTGAGAGAAACTGCAGATTAGAGCCCTACTTAATTTTTTTCAAGTTCTGTGAATCTTGTTTTCTTTAACCATATACGACCTTTCACCTCAATCCTTTCTCCAACATAGAGATTGTAAGTTCATGTGTCTTGTTAGTGCATCTTTTGAATATAGGTGATAACGCTCATTTAAAAGTCGATATCAAGCAGCGGAAGCCCTATAACCAGATAAAGGACGTGTTCTATTTATGCAGTTGGTACCCTGAGAATTCCTCTGCCTTATTCTTTTTCTTCATCTTCGTGATCATCAGCTCCCTTCACAGTTATCTCTTTCCTATTATTTCGATGTCTGATGTAAATAACTCACTGTATTAGTTTTCTGTTGCTGCCTTAACAAATTACCACAAATTTTTAGCAGCTTAAGCATCACAAAGTTATCTTGCAGTTTAGTAGGTCAGAAGTACCACATGGATTTTGAGGTGTCTACAGGGCTGTGTTCTTTTCTGATTGTTCTATGGGAGAATCTATTTCCTTGCCTTTTCTAGGTACTGGGGCTATCCACATTCCTGAGTTTGTGATCTCCTTCTCCTGTCTTCAAAGCCAGCAAAATTGCATTTCCTGGACCCTTCTTTCATTGTCACATCTAACTCTAACCTCAGCCAGGTTCTTACTTTTACAAACTCATTTATATGAATGGACCGGTTGTACCCATTCTAATAATCTCCATTTCAAAATCCATATTTCTATTCACATCTGCAAAGATCCTTTGACTCTTTTGCCCTGTGAGGTAATATATACCTAGTTTCTGGAGATTTGTGCTTGAACATCTTTAGGGGTTTATTATTCTGGCCTCCACATTTACCATATCTTCTCTCCAGTATAGAAATTTACTATGTGAGATCTGAAGCAATGTAAAATACAGATGCAGATTTCCACATGTACATAAAATACTTTGATCTAATTCAACCTGTGTATTTATTAATAATCTCATAAATGTCTATATTTTAGTATGCCAAATTTTATTCTGATCAATATACACTCAGTATAACTTAATAAAACACTAATATTTTACAATAAAGGCAGAGATTGCGCAACTGATGTTATAAAAATGGATTATTTGGAAACACACACATTTATATCCTCATTTTAGGACTCATTAGAATGAATGAAGATGTAAATTGAAATAAAATGATCAAAGGGAAGGCTGGCTGCATCTGGCTCTCTGCTTTGGAAGCTCAGGGATTCCCTTCTTACCATTTTCAAGGATAATCAGTCCCTCAGGGACTATCTTATGTTAACTAAACAGTGGAGACAGAAGGAAAAAACAGATTGCAATTTTATTAATTACAGTGAGAATAAAGTTGTCACAAGACCTGAAATTCAGAACTTATGTCAGATCAAGTAGCAGATCTTCATACTATAGTTCTGCTACATGGAAATCATATTACTATCAGTAGCTACTTTGTTGAGATAACTTAAGAAATAATTTTCCCAGTGGCATAATATTCATAGACTGCATAAGCAACCTTTTTCATTTTACTGTAAGAGATCCACCTGGGATTCCCAATACCAAAATAGGTGAGTTTAAAATGAGAAAAAGAAGCTTGAAAATAATTAGGAGCATTGGCCCCAAAGTGTCATATATCCCTTCAGCTCACATTTCATTCGGTGAAAAATATTCAAATAGTCATACTTAGATGTAAGGAGATGGGAGTGAGACAATTAGACCTTAGATAGGCAGCTACTTCCAGTGACATGTGTATACCTTGGAAAGGGGAACATTGATTTTGGTACTGAATTAGCACCTCAACTATATGGATATGTAAGTAAAGAGGGAAATAGATAAATGATTTTTTAAAATGTAAAGCAAATATTATATATTATATATTATATTTTTAATGAAAATATATTTATTTGCTTCAAAGTAAAACAAGCAAAAGTAACTGAAGTGAAATTAAAGGATATGCTAAATTCAAGGTAAATATTTTTAATCTACAGTAAACATTACATTAAAAATAAATCTTTAAATTTATTTATAAAAGATTATGGAAGGCCGGGCTTGGTGGCTCATGCCTGTAATCCCAGCACTTTGGGAGGCCGAGGTGGGCAGATCACCTGAGGTCAGGGGATTGAGACTAGACTGGCCAACATGGTGAAACCCCGTCCCTACTAAAAACACAAAAAATTAGCCAGCATGGTTGCATGTTCCTATAATCCCAGCTACTCGGGAGGCTGAGGCAGGAGAATCGCTTGAACCTGGGAAGCAGAGGTTGCAGTGAGCCGAGATCGCGCCACTGCACTCCAGCCTGGGAGACAGAACGAGACTCCGTCTCAAACAAACAAACAAACAAACAAACAAACAAACAAAGATTATGGAAAACATTAAGAGGTTGGAGTCATTTTTAACATTGTTTTAATTTAAAACTATATTGATTGACTCACCTATAGAAAATAATATTAGTATAGTTACATATCCACCTACTTCCCTTTCCTCCACCTTCTGTATTTTTGCTAATGATATTATATTATTAATTTAGTTTGTTGTGGCTGTAGCCTTTAAATTATGGATTATAAACTCAATGTATACAGCAATTTCATTTTGATTCCACACTTAAATGTAATGTTTTTATTCCTTCTTTAACAGGATTCTTCATTTCTGAGTGCTTTATTTGACCAAGTTCTTGGTGTTTGGATTTCATTGCTCAGTAACTTTCTTCCAGAAAGACTTAAAAAAAACAGTGCTGTTTGATTTCTTGCATCTTTGAGGTTGCCTTCATATAGAAGTTCAAGATGTCAAAATATATTCCCTCTGTTACTATGGGAGATTGTATTAGCAATTGTTTGTTGCCCTTGTCTCTAAGAAAAGAGTATTTCCAAGCCCCAGTGACATACTTGACCATGTTACTCACCAATGTAATTGACTGGAAAGATCTTGGCACACATCTGAGCATTAATTTTAAGAGCTCTCTCTTGTTTCTGTCACCGTTCTTTTACAGCTACCATGATTCTAATATATTCTAAATTAGGACTACTTCTTGAGCTTGGATTCTGGACAAAGAGGACATAAGTCAGAGTCTAAGCCACGTTGAGGAGAACATTTAAAGTGCTTGAGAAATAAGTCTTTGTTTTTGAAGTGCTTATTAAGATTTATGAGAAATGCAAATGGAAATAGGGAGTACATGAGATTCACATTCCATTGAATGTATTTGAAGGTAGCTCCTCTACCCTCTTTTATACTGATTTTCCTTTCATCTGGGGAATGAGAGGCTCTTCATTTGGTGGACTCTTACTTTTTAAGTAAATAGCTGCTTGTATCTGAGTCTGGTAATTAAACTAGAGTTCTTATGAAATTTTACTGCACCTAATAACATTGCTACTATATGTATAAGTTGTAATAGAAAGATATACACAATGAAATTGATATTTGAAGTTATTCCTGAATACCCTGTCTGTAGATACTGCACAACATACACGCTTTATGTGCATTTATTTTCTTTTTCAGGTCTTAAATTCAAACTCACTATTCAACAGAAGCAATGTAGAAGGACAAATAGGTTACATGACATGAAAGGTATATTAAGAATGAGAAAAGTAAGTTATCCATGAGATCTTTTATTGTGAGTCTTTGATGACAAAGTGTTTCCAAGTCTCGGTCTGAAGACCCATTCATGTGAAATATTCACTCACTGAAATATTTGTGTAGAGCACTAAATGCTCTCTCTTGTCTCTTTAGATCCCAAATGTGTATCACCAGATAATTGTCTTGAATTTTAAAAGATTATTTTTTTGTTTACCTGAATTCAAAAAATTTTTCAATTATTTCACCTTTTAAATGAAGTAGCATTAAATGTCTTTTTAGCCCCACTCCACCATTAGATAAACAAGTAAAAAAGTTGCAAGACATTAATGCTGAGGGCAAATTTGAGATATGCTATCGTGCTTTGAACAACAAAAAAATATCGAGGAAACAAGGACACATCTGCCTTGCTTACCTCCATATGGAATAATCCTGACAACATCTGTTCTGCAGATGGGAGAGGACCGGGTGACTTGGTTTGTGTTTCTATTTCCAGCAATTTGTATCTTGTTAGATAATAGACATAGATAAATATTGTGGTCTATGACTGGGCTCAATGAGTGAATATCGTGGGCCTGGTTATGCTGCTCTCAGCTGACAAGAGAACACTTAATAGAAAATTTAAAGGAGTAAAGGTGAATGAAAGCTAAGGGTAAGACACATGATGGCTTTCTGAGTCAAAACTTCTGGGTCAGTTCAGGTATTTAAACTGTCAAATACAAACACCTGTAGATACTGGAAACAGGTCTGCTTTTGTAGGGAAGCTCATAAAGTTTGCACAGCATGGTAGATCCAACATGGAGTAGGAGCTTCATGTAAAGGAAGGTGTGTAAACTAATCACATGTGAGTTTGTCTCTAATCATACTGAAAGGAGTTAGTTAGCTTGCCTTAGGTAGATAACAAGGGAAGGGTCTCAGATAGCTCCCCACCGCCACCCATGGGTCAGTGCCTCATCCCACCATAACATGAAAAGCAGCCTGGGAAAAAAATTCAAGCTGCAGGCACGCGTAAGGGAACTAGCACAGGGTGTTGTGCCTGGAGACATGCCCATAGCTGCACAGATAGAAAAACCTCTGGGCCATTTGGAAAAAAACTTGCACAAACCTCCAGCTCACTCAGATAAGGGAACAAGACCTGGCATAGAAATGCCTTTGTCCTTTGGATAGTCAGTGTGCTCCCAGGAAAACTTTCTTCTTTTGTGGGCATGGGCACGGTGGGCTCTGGTGGATTCCGGTGGGGACTCTACTTTCCTTTATTTAGGACTATAAACCCAGCATCTATGAATCATCACCTCAGCCCCTGATTGGTCCCGGGCCAAGCTTTCTCTTCAGCTTCTGATACAACCTGAGCCAGGCTAATGATCTATGAATCATCATTTCAGCTCCTGATGGGTCCGGGGCCAAGGTCCAGCGCCAAGCTGAGTCACGAGTTTGCCAAGACAGCTCGCAGACTAAGCACATTCCTTCCCCTTACCAGCCCATAAAAACCCTGGACCCCAACCTCATAATGGGCATTCCAACTGGGGACCCACTCTCTGCGGGCAGAGAACTTTCTTCTTTTGCTTACTAAACTTTCGCTCTAACCTTACCTTTGTGTCCGTGCTCCTTAATAGTCTTGGAAGTAGGACAAGAACTCGGGCTTCATCTCAGACAATGAAAGACTGTTTGAAAACTTGTAATGTTCAGTCTTTTTTTTTTCTTTTTAGTCACCTGCCTTTTTGCCAGTCATACTAAGTTGTATAAAAGTTCTTTGTCATAACATAACCCATAAATATCCCTGGAGGTTTGCAGGGGCACATTGTCAATGCACAATATCTGAAAATAAAATAGATGTTTGATATGCCATTTTAATTTTTAACCTTCCAAAATCTTACACACACACACACACACACACACACACTCACACACGTCAATAAGGAAATGCAAATGACTTGGCCACTAATCTACTTCTGCTAATTAGACTCTGCTTAATTGATCCTATACTTTCTATTAAGAAAACTAAGAAATATTTTCTATTTTGAAACATCCACTAGATATTAGTGTATTTCTTCAGTTTTTATTTTATGCAGATTTTCTGATTTGTTAAAATGTCACTGGTTTATTTTTCTCTGAGGGATTTTGATCTGTGTCTTTGAAGGCCTTCTCTAATCTTCCACTTTTTGGATAGGTGATATTTGAATTAATGTTACTTTCCTGAACCCTGAGTCCATCATTGTAAAGGGTCTTTAATTCAACCCTTAAAATTGCAAAAAATAAAAAAATTCAAGTCTTGCAGGGAGCTTCTTCCTTTCTGTAGGCTCTCAAACTGTGTAGGAATTAAATTTTAAAATATATATGTCTAGCAAAGATGGTAAAGAAACAATAGAATGATCAGTATTTTCAGATGAGATGTTTATATTACTAGAATAGTCAAGAAAATTAGCCAGAGAATTGCCTGCTCAAAAATAAGATTCTAAAATAAATCCTCAAAACAAACTCTGCTCATACTAGTACCGGACAGCAAATAAATAAATAAATAATAAATTTCAGAAAAAATGCTATTTGAAATAGTAATACAAAGCATTAAATACTTGCATATTTTTGACTTGAGACACAAAAGACTTAAGGAAAATTATAAAACTCTGTTAAGAGAAATAAAAAATAATAACTACTTGAATAAATGGAGTGCTGCTCCCTACTTCAAAAATAAATTTCCAACATCCTCTGAGAGAAAGAGGAGGCGGCAAGGGAACTGGGAATTACAAGGGTCATGGGGATGTGCCCATGGGTTCAGAAGGGTCAGTTGAAGGTATAGAGCTGGTTCATGTGGTAGAGATGAAAATATATATGACTTTGACTTATAAATTAATCCAGTATCTATTAAAGCTTATTGGAACATTTCCTAGATCCTGACAAGTACAGAGTAAAACTCATCTGGAGGAATAGGGAATAATAAATACTCTTTTAAAGAAATTGGGTAGTTCTATCCTACTAGATTGCGAATTCTAAAGCTGTAATTATTAAAATGTAAGGACTTGTATCACTGGGCTGGCATATGCTACAGAAACCATTCAAATTCCTAAAGAAATGTAATAAGTGACCTATGAGAAGCAATAAAAATGTACTATTCTTAAATGACAACTTAAAATTATTTAAAGTCCTGGTGACACAAATTTTTAAAATAAATAAAATATATCTGTCCAAATTTAAGCAGTTGTTACCAACAGTGTATAAGATGTTACTATTAGCAGAGCTTTTTATACAGTCTAAGCAAACTTCTATTTTTTGCAAAGTTATGCTTATATGCGATAATAAAAATTGCCCTTTACTAATAAATTCATTTTTCTTAATTAGTTTGTGCACTCTTTTGGAATAAGATCTGGAAATGTGAGAGGCACTAGGGAAATTTAATGTTTATACCTAAGAGAAACTAGAAAAGTGTAGGACGTTGAAATGTTTTTATAAAATTGTTTTTAATCTTACTTTAGGGAATATGAGTACACACTTGGGAAGCTCAGTAGACAGGTAAATATGTCATACGATGGTGTGCTTTTGCATTCAGCATGATTTCTTGGGGGATTAAGACTATTTTGAAGCACATAAAGACATCATTATATCTAATCCTGGACAATTTCTAAAAAAATGATCATTATTTGTGGTTCAGATGCTCACTCTAAGCAATAAAATTAAATTTTAAAACTCCTAGACTGTTGAAATAAATGAGTTTTTTTCTTTCTCTTTTTCTTGTTTGCTTTTTATTGTTTTATTCTCCATGGCCAAGTATCCTTCTGAAATCTCAGTTGATTCTCATTATCTTAAATTGAGAATAATTTTATCCTGTCTTTAATTTTCCACACATTATTCCTTCAGCATTAGATAAAGTCTACTGTAAAAACTATAGGTGGCAGGTGCATGAATCAAATAGACAAGTAGGGTGACTATAGTTTACAGTTATCTGTTGCATATTTCTGAATATCTAGAAGAGAATGATTTCAATGTTTCTAACATTAAAAAGATAAATACTTAAGGTGATGGATATCTCAATTACACTGCTTTGATCTTTACAAATTATATGAAAGTATATTAAATTATCACATGTATCCCCAAATATGTACATTTATCATGTATCAATATAAAAAATTAAATCAAAAAAGTTATGACATCAAAGGAAATGAGGTGGTTTTGTATCTCCTGAAATCCAAAAGCAGTTTACAGCTTTATCTACCGTAGCACCCTGAATTTGATCACTTAATTACAATGCAGTGTTCTTGTAACAGGTACATTAACCAAGAGAAAAAGGAGTTTCAGTAGTGTTTATCCAAAACTTTAGAGGGTAATTAAAATGAATGAGTCACCATAAATCATTCTAACCCTAAAGTCGCTCAGACTTGACATATTAACTGAGTGGCAGGAAAAACAGTCTGTCTCCAAAGAGACTTTTCCTCTTCTCTTTAGGTTTTCTGTCTACATTTTCATTCTCACTTTTACTTGTCAATTCAAATCAATTAGATATAAATTATAAATGGAACTGTTTTTGTGTTTTGCTCCCAAGAAAGGCTGAGTATGACTTAAAACATGGTGATTGCATTCTATGCTCTGTAATAAAATCAGTTTGAACACTAAATTGATGTGTATTTTCTAAATAAAGTTTTTAGAGGAAAATGTTTTCTTTTTCCTCTAATAAAATTTTCTTAATTTTTCAATAAGATTCTTCCAATTATT
Source organism: Homo sapiens (assembly GCF_000001405.40). Classification (NCBI taxonomy): domain Eukaryota; kingdom Metazoa; phylum Chordata; class Mammalia; order Primates; family Hominidae; genus Homo; species Homo sapiens. The sequence goes on from NC_000004.12 coordinate 66,578,531, forward strand.
GTTCTTCAATTTTATTTGTACAATGAGGAATGGAGTTGCACATATTCAGAAAAATCTATAAATAATAATTTAGCAATTTCTTTTGGAGGTATAGTTCTAATAATGAATTAGGAAACAAAATATTGATATATTATCTGATCCACACTCTTTAATAATGTAACTATTTTACACTTGAGATTTTTATTGACCTCTTTTTAGAAAGATAAAGTATTTATTTTGTTTGTAATGAATACAGAAACTTAGAATGATATTCCAAATAATTAAACATTTCCTTCTTACAGTTGAACTTACTGTTCAGCTGTAAGTTTTTGTATCTGTGACTTCCATTAGATGATTTGCAATCATGCATTAGATGGTTTGCAATATTTAAATAAATATACAATATTTGGAATATTTTATGCTACTTTTTAAATTTTTCTACAAGGATTATTTAAACAATGATTGACAAATGATAGTAATGGATGTCATTCCACATTTTTTGGAGTAAATTGTCAAAGCAGACTTAGAGCAAGTACAACAAACCAGATACCAGCATTTTAGAGCTAAATGGTACATTACTGAACCAGCATCTTACTTTTCAACAGAGTAATACAATGGCCAGATAATTTAATAATTTTATTCAAAATCACCAAACTTTATTATATCTCAGGTTTCTTACCTCTTACTATTTACCAAGGATGAAAACATTTAGCTGCTTGGCTTTAACACCCATTTAGAAACTAGAAATAGCATCCATGTTCCTAATAATATGTTTTCTCTTCTCATGCCTTCTATACATTAAGCAAGTCAGTCATTTGTCAGGGATCCTCCAATTTATAAACAGCATTATAACCTGTAAGATGATACCAATGATGTGTAACACCTACCTCTCTAGGACCTGAAAAATAAAAAAAAACTTACTGATTGAAGAGACAAAAATAAAAGATGTTTAAATGGCATAGCCATAGTCTTCAAAATTTTCATGCTTATTTTTCCTACTTTGAAGAATGCCTTGACAAAGACTAAAAAAACTAGAGTCCAGCAGAGTAAGATTATTTCATATAAAATATTCTAACCTCTGGTGAATTCCTGCGCTCCCGAATAGTATCTAATAAACTAAGATAGTTTGGCTAGAAACCCAGTGTTTAGTATAAGAGGATTTAACCTGACGTGATCTCTTTTTGATCTCAAAAAAAGTTTTACTGAATTATCTGTAAGAGGTAGTGAGTACTTTCTAAGTGGTAGACATTTGTAAAAGAATTGTTCATGTATTAGCTCATTACATTTTCCTAACAAACTTATTGAGTAAGACTACTATTGTTTCCACTTTACAGGTGAGAGAAAACTGAGACACAATTATCTAAGTTCACTTACCACACAGTAGTAACTGTCTTGGACACAGCTAAACTCTGTGTATTTGTTGAACAGATAAATTAATAATTTCTGACACTGATTTCGCCACCATTTACAATGCTCAACAACAGTTACAAGATCATATATGATATAAAAGCTTATTAATTGTTGTTGCTTGTGGAAAAACGTGTTTTTCTTTCTTAATAAAACACTAAAAAAAGGAAAAAAGAAAGGTTGTATCCAGTATACCCAGACTAGCTAATCCTTTTTAGAATATCCTAACTTTTGAAGAACGCATATGGAAATATATAGACAGAGAAATATAGATCTAGATATATAAATAGTTATTCCTATAGATAGATATACATATATGGTTATATGGCAATAGATTTTTATATATTTACATATATATAAAAAATATATAGATACAGATAGGTTTCAATATATAGATACGGATATTCCAAATAGTTTATTTATATCACTGCCTTAGGAGTGAATAATTCAGAATCCTCTGTTCTCTCTCCCTCTATGTCTGACACATTTTGTATTGTTGGATAAGAGATTGATTTGGCTGGAGTTAGACAAACCCAGGTGGTTCTCTGATGCTTATTATGTGCACATATTGCCTAGCACCTGCTGAATATTACTTCATTCTCTTCTTTTCTGTAATAGCCCTTTAACCACAAAATTAATAGTATACTCAGAGGTGGACAAATGGAAATTAATCACACATTATTACAAATTGTTATTTCCCTCAGATTGGCTTGAAGGCATTTCCCCATTTTTGGAATCGGAACTGGTACATTTGTCTAGTAACACGGTCAAGCAGAGTCATCATTCTCTTTTTAATACTAATGTTGTTAGAATTTCCTTATAAAATATGCATGCCTTTGAGTGGAGAAATTCTGAATACCAAATATAAATTTTTTCTCTGTGATTTACTCATCTTATGATTATTTTAAAGTAATCCTATTAATATAGAAACATTAGTATAGTATGGGCCCACAGAAGTGAGACTTAACTGTGCTTCAGAACAAAAAGAAAACTTCTATGGAAAATATAATTGGTATTTAGAATGGTGTTTGTGTATGTAATTTACCACAAATCCACAAAAATATAAGATGTTCAAGAGATTCTGTGTTCGAAATCCCTTCAGTGATTAAGCTAGGTACAATAAAAAAAGAACATACTTAAAATTCAATTTATATAATTTGTTATTTATTAGAAATGAAAATAATATAAATAAAATTATACACTGATATAATTGGCAATAAATTTGTATAATTTGTTATTAATCTTCAAAAATGAGTTTCCTCTACAATTATTCTGATTCTAAATTTTATTGATATATGAAAACATAAAAGGTCGCTGTTCTTGAGAAAATTTTATTCTAGTGGAAAGATGGGGGTACAGAAGAAGATGAAAAGGAAAACATAGAAATTATAATTTGACCCAGTCAATGCAGCAATGCATTACTAGAAAATTACTAGGAATTTCCTAGACTCTTGAGACTATTATGGCCATAATTATAATTTAGAGTAATCAATTTGTGAAAAGAAATTACCAAGAAATGAATGATGTTCAGACAAAGTTAACTAAAATGCCTTATTAACTCTTTCATCAAATTATTAGAAATTTAGGAAGTCATAGCCTCCTAATTTACTTTTGGATTGCTTCTCTGTGAAATGGATTTTTGTGTCTTTGCTTTCCCTATGTGCTACTTTTGCTGATTTTAAGTGAAGTTTTGAAAGAAACAAACACAGTAGTTGTGTGGGTGAATACTAACTTTATTAATAAATATTTGCATTGCATTCCAGTGTTATACTAATTTTCATAAGCACTGAATACCAAATTATTTGACTAAGTTACTAACCAGTCATCCAGCATGATCCTAATTGGTTTGTGAACTTACCTACAACTGAGATGTAACACTTGGGATGGAAGCACTTGCTGAACCCTGTGATGAGGAGGTATCTGTGTTTTGGCACATCTCCAATATTTAATTAACCTGTCATCTTTTATTATGTCTCTGTAAAGCATCTAAATCTTGTACAAGTTTAACACGCTAAAAATATTTCCAAGCCAAACCTATGATTAATTTAAAATTAGTCAAATATGGGCACCTTATAACTTTGTAATTTACACTGTTTTTCAGCTTTGAGATCTGTTTTGTCCCTTTTGTGGTAAAAGTTTTTATGAGTCCAACATACGATACTTTTAAATAGATTAAATCAAGCAAAACTCAGAAGGACATGATTCTAGCTTACCTATGCATTGCACGTGTAATTGTTCCTTTTAATTGGGCCCAAAACTTAGAAGAAGTTTAAGTACTTCATCCAATGTTTTAATTAAAAGAGCCAGAATTGAAATGCAACTGTGTTCAGTATGAAGACACAGCATACTGTGTTCATATAATTTGAAGTTTTGTACAAGGATTCTCTTTCACCAGAATCTTCATCTTTATTTATATGTGTATGTATATTGTAAAATTAGTAGTTAGAATAAATAGCTTATTTTGGAAGTTGTTTATCAGTGTAGGACCCTACAGTAAACTTGGCATTCAGGGTTCTCCACTCTAAGTAACATGATGCTTAACCCACATGTGACACATTCAACTACGTTAAATTCACAAAGCATATGTATATGTATTATTTATTTATTTATTTATTTGAGAGTCTTGTTCTTGTCGCCCAGGCTGTAGTGCAATGGATGCAATCTCGGCTCACTGCAACCTCCACTTTCTGGGTTCAAGTGATTCTCCTGCCTCACCTTCCCAAGTAGCTGGGATTACAGGCACCCACCATCACACCCAGCTACTTTTTGTATTTTCAGTAGAGACGGGGTTTCACCATGTTGGCCAGGCTGGTCTCGAACTCCTGACTTCAGGAGATCCACCCGCTGCGGCCTCCCAAAGTGCTGGGATTATATGTAACTTTTATTAACATCTCTTAATTTGCCTACTTATTTCTGAATGTTAAAAAACAAGGAATAGTATTTATAAAAAATGATATAATTAGTATTTTCTTGGCTAGCATATTTTCTTAGCTGATGTAATTTTTGTTGTTGTTTTAGAGACAGGGTCTCACTTGGCTGCCCTGGCTGGAGTGCTGTGGCATGGTGCTCACTGCTCAGTGCAACCTTCACCTCCCAGGCTCAAGAAATCCTCCCACCTCAGCCTACCAAGTAGCTGGGACTACAGGCACATGCCACCACACGCAGCTAATTTCAGTATTTTTTGTAGACCTGGGTCTCACTATGTTGCCCAGGCTTGGTCTCAAACTCCTGGCTTCAAGTGGTCCTCCTGCCTCGGCCTCCCAAAGTGCTGGCATTACAGGCATGAGCCACCACACCTGGGCCCCCTAATGGCATGTTTTATTCATTGAAATTTCATCAATTGTTTTATCATAGTTGTCACTTGAAAAGAATTAGTTTTCATTTGCTATTCCAGACCTGGTGGTGACAAGGAGAGTAAACTTATTGCAGCTTTTTCTGGAAGATGAGACAGGCAGTCTCAATATTTCAGAGAGGATTGTGCATAACTCATGAATGTGTAAATTTTCCCACTGCAGATACACCTTGTGTTAAATAGAGCAATTGTAGATGACGTTGTGGCAGGTAAAAAGCTCATAACATCTTTCAAAATGCAAAAGGTAACATTATAATCTGATTTTTAAAATCATATATTGTCTGCTTTTCCTTTCCTTAAAGCTAGGATAATAACTGTCATATAACTAAAAATGTATTTAAATGTATGATGTCACCTAAGTTGATATTACATATAAAAAGAAAAAGGTAGAAAAGGATGGATAAATCCATTATCTGTATAAATTTTACAAGAACATAAAATTTCCTAAGTTTCATAAATGCTGGTGAAAACATACTGTAATTGTAAAACATAAATACATTTCTGACTTAGAAGGAATCTGGCTTTTCTATTTGTAAAATGTAGCTCAGTAGGACTGGTGCTCTCAGAAGATACAGTTCAGTATCCAAGCAGTAAATTGCTAGATAACTGCTCCAAAATGACTAGAAAATTATGGAACTATCCTAACTTTAACCTACCACTATAATGAACAATAGCTTTGCTTTTTGACACAATTTTAAACTGTAAATGTACCACCATTCATATGGAATTGTTTGCCTTTGTTTTTAGTATATTTTGTTTAGGGCAGTGGTAGGAGTGAGGTGCCACCACAAGTTAGCATAATGTTTCAGTGTTTCAGAGTGTTTTTGCAAACCAAAATAAATGACACAGTGAGTGAATTTACAATACGAATTACTTGGTTCCAAAAAATATTACTTAAGTATATATAATTTATAACATTTCTGTATTTTCTAGATAATAATGAACAACTCTATTGGGTCCTGAATAAAACAAATCTATTAATCATCAGTTTCACTGGCCTTTCTGAGATGTATAAATTCTCAGCAGATGTTCAAGGTCCTGCAGGTTGAGGCCAAATGGGTGAATAATAAATATTTGAAGGTAAATAAATGCAAGAATTAATAACTAATGCATATTCAGGGTTTACGCATACTCCAGGAACTAATTCATACTAGATTTATTTCACATAGATGATGGACTCTGCTAATATTAGAGGTAGAGATCTCACTTTTTTATAGGCATGCAGGAATAGAAAAGTAACATGGAGCAAATCCAAGAGTTATGCTCAAAACATGTGTAGCCATATTACAACGTTTCCTCACTTTAAAACAATAGATCTCAAAAGTAGACACACATGCCAGTAAATTATGGCTGACCAGAGTGCAATCAACACAGCAATTTTGACTGGAAATTATAATAAAATTTTAATACAAATAATAGAGATTATGGGCCGGGTGCGGTGGCTCCTACCTGTATTCCCAGCAGTTCAGGAGGCTGAAGTGGGAGGATCGCTTCAGCTCAAGAGTTTGAGACCTTCCTGGGCAACATATGGATATCCTGTCTCTACAGAAATAAAAATAAAAATAAATTAGTTGAGTGTGGTGAGTGTCTGTGGTCCAAATTGCTTGGGAGGATGAAGTGGGAGCATTGCTTGAGCCCAGGAGGTCAAGGCTACAGTGAGATATGTTCTGCCACTGTACTCAAACCAGGGCCACAGAGTGAGACCCTGTCTCTATGAAAGAAAAAAAAGTGAGTTTATCAGATTCCCTAGACTAAATCCATTGTTTATGATTCCTCCTGTAATATTAACCTAGCCTTCCCCAATTTTGGTTCCAATTAAACATTTCTCAGAAAACAATTATTTTTGTCTTTTAAATGTAGCCCTTTTTAATTCAATATATTATTGAGGAATAAATAGTATTTGAGATTTTATCTTAGATTTTACATTTCTTATGTGTCAGGTCATGGAGGCATAATAAAATGCATGTTTAATATAACCCTTGGTTGATCAAGATAATATCTGAGAACACAAAATACGTATAATTTAGAAAAAATCAACTATTTTGAACATGATCCAGTGTAATGTTATTTGATGACTGGTGATAATCTGAATTTGGAAATTCCTTTCAAAATGCCAAGCATAATATTCACAAGGAAATATCCATATCTGTATGTATCTTTATCCATATGCATGCAGACACATGGGTTGAAACTACTTTAGAACAAAATATTTTTGTCTTAAAATATTTTAATGATTTAAAAATAGCACTGTCTTTATAGTGCCATCTCAATGCAAATTGTTATTTGAAAGATGAGCAAGCCATCCTAACTTACTTCTAGTCAATAGAGATTGAATGCTTTGTCAGAGCACCAAGATACTTGACTTTGGTATCAAGGCACTTATGACTGCGGTGCCAAGATTATTGGCTCTTGGCACCTCACAATTTAATCCCTTCCAGGGAATTGCCTTCAGTGAAAGGTAAAAGGGAGCACAAGTCCAACGACCCTTCAGAAGTGAGAGGAAAAGGCTCAGGCTCATGCTTTAATCTCAGACAATTCTAATGGTCCAGCCCAACTCCAGAATTCCCTGTGGGATAGCCTGAGGTCTTTGTTGGAACTAGATTGCAGTACTCTTTCCTCTCTGTAATCCTATTTCCTTCCCTCACTCCTCACAGAGGTTATTTTTGAGAGTAGCCTCCACAGTCTTTCTGCATGCAAATCTCTGCCTCAGAGTGTGTCCCCAGGGAGCCCAACCTAAAACACCTGTCTTCTGTGTTGGAATAGAAAAATAGAAGTAGATGTAGAAGCTGATATCTGATTCTCAGACAGAGCATTTCTTACTAGGGAAATGAGTGTGAGGAGAAATGCTGCATTTTTTCCTCAGGCAGAACGATTAAGTTAGAGACAACCATAGAAACAATAGGTAGAATTACTTTATTGCAAAATCAGTGTTCTGAAAGGAACAAAATGTGAGGTAAATGAAGAGATTTTAATGTACCAAATTAAAAGCTTGGTGCAGAAATTCTCCATGTTCATGTGGCTGAGCACCTGGAAGCAAAGTGTTCTTTGCTGAACACCAGGAAATATCGGCATATTGAATTTTATCATTCAGAGTAGAAATCATTTTTACCAGCAGAAAGTGCCAATATTGCATAAAGGCAAATGGAAATCACAATTGGTTTAACAGAATGCTCTATAATTTTGAACGTGCTTTCAGTCTTTCTGTTAGTGTTTGTTACTCTGTCATTCATCATGCAGTTGCAAGCTTTCATAGCAGATGGCAAAAGGTTAAGAAAAAGTAATAGAACTTAAAATTTAGGAAATGTTATATTTTATTTTATTTTCCTCTAGTGAACTTAGAAAAATACTCCTGAGTATAAATTTAATAGCAGAACATATATAGAGAGTAGAAGCATAGTATTAGAGTCCATGGCTTAGTATGTGAAAGCTTTCAAGTAAGAAAAAGCAATAAGAGGATAGCTTGGATGTAAAATGCATATATATATTACATACATATATATGTATGTATACAATGCATAAAGTATGTATCGTGAGGGAGGTATCTTCAACTTTATGGAGTCCATCCCAATTACTGATAGAGTAGATGTAATATATATGTGCATTTTCAAATCTCTCTGATTGTTTTTAACCATACTAATTATTTTCAGACATTTACATTTCTGTATATTGTATAATAGGACAGTTATACAATCAATCTTTATAAATACTCTGTAAACAAACAAGGGTTTTTTTTCTAAAGAAATAATTAACCATAGCAGGAAATGTCCTCAGAGAAAATGTTGATAAAGAAAACAAACAGAAAGAAAAAATTAGTCAGAAAAAGAACATATTAATGTGTTTTTAATTGTTTAAATACATATTTTGTCTTTCACTATTTTATTAATACTTAAATATACTGTACATAGTATAAGGATAATGCTTTATTAATTGCATTGTGATATGTCAGGTGAACACAGTAACGATTTATTTATTTATTTACTTTTTTGAGATGGAGTCTCGCTCTGTCACCCAGGCTGTAGTGCAGTGGCTCGATCTCAGCTCAGTGCAACCTCCGCCTCCTGGGCTCAAGCAATTCTCCTGCCTCAGCTTCTCAAGTGGCTGGGATTACAGGCACCTGCCACCATGCCTGGCTAATTTTTGTATTTTTAGTAGAGATGGGTTTCACCATGTTGGCCAGCCTGGTCTCAAACTCCTGACCTCAAGTGATCCTCCCTCCTCAGCCTCCCAAAGTGCTGGGATTGCAGGCACGAGCCATTGCACCCAGCCAATTTATAATTTTAATGGTAGTAACAGAAACTTTTGGTAGTCTTAAGCCAGACTTTAAAAAAATACCTTTTCTGTGTGTAATACTGGCATTCCTTAAATATTGCCTATAAAATACTGTAATTTCTTTAAAAATAAGTATCTTGGTTCATTTCCTTCTAGTGAATTACTTTTGATGTTGAAACCATCAGTATATTCAGTAGCTATACTATTCAAGGTACTTTTAAGTGAAAATATATATTTTTTAATTTTTACTAAATTTGTCTTAGAGGTTGTGAATTTAATGTTATTCAATCTTAATGTTATTCAGTCTTAATGTTATATTTTATTTTATTTTGGTGAAAAGCTCTTATTTTTCTTTTAAGTAAAGCAAAAGAAAATATTCATGAAGGACCTAAATGGAGAAAATTTACATATGAATCAGAAGCTACTAAAAATAACACTTAAAGGCAACATTTTCAGAAATATTCTTCTGTTTATGTAGCATATTGAAAATATACAAATTGACAAAGAGAAAAAACATATATATAACAAATATCAGAGCAGAAACCATTTTTTATTACCACACTAAACACTAAAATACTTCAATTTACTATAGCTTTTGTATTGCTTTTCCACCTGTATTCATTTTAGAATATATTATGACTATTTACTTAAACCAAGAATACTACTTCACCAAAATAACATACAGAATGGAGCTTTTAAGACTCATTTTATGAAACATTAATGTGTTCTACAGACTGATTCATATACACTAAAAAAGAGGAATTATTTTTGAAACTGTAACGATTATAAACTATTATATTCTATTAAATGATATTATAAAGTTATAGACCCATTATAAGGAAGGGAATTGGGAGGAACCTGGGTTTTCTGAGAAAGTTGAAATTATTCAATGAAAGTCCTATGGAGACATTTCTGAAACTGAGTAAAATAACATCTATGAGTTAGACTGTTAAGGGGCTTATGCAGGGTAAACTGAGGACACAAAAATTAGCTAATGCTACAAAGCATAAGAGCTATGTTTTGCCTGTAATCTGGATTATTTCTCTTCCTGAAAAAAATGTATTAAAAATTTAATAAGGATCCCCATAATGTTAGACCACATAAGGCGTGGTTACATTATTCCTTTAGCAGTTACTTTTAAAAAATTATATACAATTAATTTGTCAGAGCCATTTATTTTATGTTAATTAAATGCCTAGACAATTCTTCTTGTATAAGATGACTATCAGCATTAGTTCAACTCCATTCTAGAAGACTGCAATACGGTGTTTATTACTTATGTAAATTCAGTTAATTATACACCAACTCAGTTATCTTATTTATTGCATTTCAATTAGTATCCTTGTAATAGTCAGTAGCTCTTTAATTAACTCACAAGAATAAGAGATGTCTTGTTAAATGTAAATTAAATAGATTTAAATAGACAATAGATTGCAAATGGTACATCACTGCTAATGCTATAGAAAACTGTTGCTGGAAGTTCTAAACGTACTCAGTACCATCTGCCTTCATCTGAGCAAGAAGATAATTCCACTTTTTTTAGAATTCTTTTTAGGCCAAAAATAAGACCAAGGCAAAACATAAGTATGGCAGGTTTTTGTTTTGAGTGGGTTAAATGTAATTTAGAGTTTTGTCTTATTGTCAATAAAAAATTCTAACAGTGTAAAGAAATGTAAAAGAAAAGTCTACTTCAGTGAGGAATTACTTCTCAAATGAATTTGTTAAAAGCCCTAAAAATAATCCATGACTGCTGATTTATTTGTCCAGGGTAGAAAGGAGCAAAATACTACAGCTCTTCCCTAAGTGCTCCCTTGTGACCTAACAAGAAAATTAATTAGCAGGGCACCAATATGTGGCAACAACATGACTACAGGGGAGCCTGAATGTCAATGGGCTGACACTATAACCCAGTTTTGTTAGCATTAACGTTTCTACTTTAGCCAGTTTATTTCTCAGAGATGAAATAAAGGCTTAGCTTAGCTGTAGAGAGAATCTACTTTCACTTAATAGCAAATTTCATTCCTTGTGAAGGGAATTCAAGAGTATTTCTAGATTCTGTTATTTATATTTGGGGAATGGCAGATTCTGTCACTCTAAACATTAGAAATAGATGGAGTAGGGTCTTATACATATTACTCTGCTACATTCTCCACACTGGCTTGTAGAAGGGAGAAATGGGGAAAAATATTTTAAAATATGTTTAGTCAAGTTTTGGGGTACTTCTTATTTTAATAGAATAATACAATTTAAAGTTATGTTGCCATAAATTTCTGATATTTTAAATCAAAACATTTGGCCTATTTCAAGGTTATAAGAGATTATAAGATTTCAGAAATAACAATAAAATAATAATGCTTTTTTTTTTTTTTTTTGAGACGGAGTCTCGCTGTCGCCGAGGCTGGAGTGCAGTGGCGCCATTTCCGCTCACTGCAGGCTCCGCCCCCCGGGGTTCACAATAATAATGCTTTTAAGGCAACAAGAATATCATCAAAATGTAACATTCTTATTATTATTTGGGTTTGTTATTTTTAATTGGCATATACTAATTTTACATATTTATTCAATAGAGTGTGTTGTGTATACAAGATGTAGTGATAAAATCTGTAATTAGCATATATGTCACCTCAAACATTCATCATTTGTGTTGAAAACATTCAAAATCCACCATTCTAGCTATTTGAAAATATTCAATAAGCTGTTAATTACAGTCACCTTATGGTGCAGTACAACTTTTTCCTCCTACGTAGCTGTACTTTTGTAGCTATGCTTGCCTGTCCCTGCCTTGTCCTCATGTCTAATAACATTTCATTCTCTACTTTTGTAAGACAAACTCTTTTAGCTTCCACATATGAGTGAGAACATGTTGTATTTATCTTTCTGTGCCTGGCTTATTTCGCTTAACATAATGTTCTCCGTGTTCATCCATGTTGTCATGAATGACACAAGAAAATTAATAGAAAATAATTTTAAAAAACTGCAACCCATTCTCATATTTTTGGCAGCCACCAAATTATATTGGTTTAATTTGCATTATCACTAACAACAGAGCACCCTCAGACATTCCCCTTTCCTCCTTTCCCTTTCAACTTTCAAGATACACTGTTTTCCTCCAGGAATGAGTAAACTGGAGTGCATAGTAGAAAAACTTGATTGACAGCAATGTTTTACTGTGGATATCATGTGACATTACTGACTATATTACATCCTTTTCTTTTGATTCTAATTTTTACTCTATATCATTGTAGCTTTTCCAGACAGAAGTTTTCTATCACTCATTCCTTCAAAGTACTTTTTTAAAAAGCAGTTCTCTGTTGAAATACTTTTGAAGAGCTCACTGAGTTTGTAGGTAATTTCTGAACATTTTCTAAGGTAATTAATCTTGGCAATATCCTGAAATGAAAACACATATTGCTTTTCCCATGAAACTCTTTTTCTAGTGATTCATCTTTCAAACCAACATATCTAATGGTGCAATTCTCCTGTTCTGAAGTGATCGGTCAGAATTTGGGCTTTGGCCCAAACACTCAGCAGTTATATGATCTGGGTAAATTTCTTAATCTTTCCAAACTTCAATTCTTCATTTTTTTCAAGGAAATAATAATGATAAGTTTTGTATGAGGATTGATTTTTTATGAAGATTGTTTGGAAGATGTTTAATACAGTGTCTGATACTTAGTGATTACTAAATAAATGGCAGTTGTACCTATTACAGTATTAAAAGATTATTTTGTTTCAGAGACAAAAACATTTTGCTAGATGCAAATGAGAAAATATACCCTACTATGTTTTGTTAACTAATAATTATTTTCCAGGTTGAAAGTAAAATTATTTTCACCTTTGTTTTTCCTCAGATTATGTAGTAAAAACAAAATAAAACAAAAAATTTAGTGCTTGTAGAAACTGTTTCTACAAGTTGTGTCATCAGGGATCTTTATAAACTATTTGTATTATTAACATGGCATCTTCAATAGCTACCTTAGGCAGTTTAATCCCATTGTTATAGACTGTTATATATCTCCCTCAAACTCATATGCTGAAATCTAATTCTAGGAGGGGCCTTTGGTCAAGAGGATAGAGGCTTCATGAATGATATTAGCATTCTTACAAAAGGGACTCTGGGGAGCTCTCTTGCCCCTTCTGCCATGTGAGAACACAACAAGAACACTGTGTATGAATAATAAGTAGGCCCTCAACAGACACCAAATCTGCCAATGCCTTGTTCTTCTCAGCCTCCAGAGTTGTGAGAAATAAATTTCTGTTCCTTATAATCCGCATAGTCTATAGTATTTTGTTATAGCAGCCCAAGCAAAGATACCCACTAACTTAAAAAATTATTTTACTTCCTTGATACCAACACTGTTATATATGCATTCTGTTTTAGGAAAGCACTCTATAGTAGTAACCTGATTTCCTGGAATGCCTCTACCACTAGAATCTTAAAATCCATTCTCCACTGAACATATTCTGGACTTTCAACACTCTTCTGAAAGCAACTACCAATCCATTGTCCCTCTTTCAACAAGTGAAGTTTATATCTGCCTTAGCAGAGGCAATTGCATAATCTTCCAGGCTCCAATAGGCACAGCTTTAAATGTGATTCTCCTCTCACCCCCATCTACTTTTTCAGTTTCAAAGGAAGAGAGTCACCTTAGCTCATCAATGTACAACCCCATCACATGATCTCTTGATTCCATTTCCTCCCTTTTCTTTTGTGAGACCTTGCCTCATTTTTCATACCTGAAAGTACCCCTCCTTATATCTAATATCTTTCACTTTCCTTTTCAATGGAAGTCAACATCAAGATCATCAAGGGTAATATCCACTTAATCATACCCTTTCCTTCAAACTAGCAATCTTGTCCTCCCCTCTTCTCTGATCATCTGATAAAATAAACAGTGTCATCTTTGTTGCTCAATCCAATGGTCAATGCTTCATATCTTTGGCACCTCTCCTTTAGTTGACACTGTGACCATTTCTTCTTTCTTGAAAACACGCATTTTTTAATCTCCAACGACAGCATTCCCCTCTTATTCTTATCTGAATCCTTGAATCCTCCTTTCATTTCTACTCAAGACCATCTGCTATCTCCAGTATTTTTAGAAAAGCCCTTTAATTATGATGTGTTCAAGGGTGCAATTCTTGGATCACTTCTCTTCTGACTTTCTTATATTGATATCATTTCATCTATTCTCATAATCCAGGTACTATTCATGCTAAAAATTATAAAGGGTGTGTTACCAGTGTTTCCCCCAAAATCAAAAATTTTATGTATCACCACACAATGGAACTGTGATTTAGATGTTCAATCATAGGTAAGAATGATAAAATAGAAAATTAAATTTCCCATCTTCTAAAAAATACTCTACCAGTGAACAATGAGAAGCCTGAAAGCACAAAAATCTATACATCATATGTATATTATTTAAAGTATATCCCCAAAAATGTGCAATATGTTTCACCAACATTTCGGGAACTGTTCAAGTTAATAATTGTTATTTAATGGTGTAATTTTAAATGCAAATGTTTCAAGCAAATTATTGGAAAGGAGGTTCCAGACTTTACCCCTTTTTTACAGGTTTCTAAACACTCAAAAATCTTCAGTACAGCATCCTCGCATAGAGAGTTGAAAATAAATGATTTTCTTGTAAATAATCTCTGTGCTAAAAATGCATTTTAAAATGTCTTGATGTACTAATAATAATATTGATGTTAGATCACCAAATATTTACAATTTAAAAATCTTTTGAGTGTTACTTTTCCCCCCATTCAGAACAAACCACTTTTTTTCAAAGTGAATTATTTAATGAGAGGGTGGTGCATGACTATAGACAAATTTTACCTAATAATTTTTATTTCAGATATTTATTTTTACTTGGATTTATTTAGAACAGAATTAGGATAATGGCATTTAAAAATTTTACCACTTATATGATGCTACACTAAGCAAATTTTTTAAGAAAACATTTATGATCAGTTTCTCTCCTAAGATTTTTTTTACCTGAATTGAATGTCTGAATTTTGAATGCCACACCAGTCAATAAAATGCAAGAGTGACTTCCTTAATTATGTAGCCACAAGTCCAGGTAGAAAAGGAGAAAATAGAGTTGTACTGTTTTACTCAGTGAAGGATGAGAAAAGGGAGTTGACTGATACGCAAAAAATAATAAGCAGCCAATTTTGATACTTCTTTATGTAACCGCTTTTTTAAAAAAGGAAACAAACTTATACCATATTTTGCATAATTACAGGGGTATTCTTATGTGTTTTTGCAGGGTCTAAGAAAATGAAGTAGCCCAGAAAGTTATAAAACTACAGAAATCTCTAATGTTGATACATATGCATGAAATGCATGATTCACCTAAGCCGCCTCAATTTGTAAAGTGATAAACACTTTAAGAACTTGCTAAATATCTGTTTCCCAGCTTTTGAAAGTTAATTGATCAAATGAGATAGTGGACTTAGTAAGAAATTTAATAAGTCCCCTTTCCTCCCCTTCCCTCTAGCAGAATCTCAGCATTTTTCTGAAAGGAGGTGCTCCTACTTTCTCAGGTTAGTAATCCTAAAAAGAAATAGAAATTAGAGAGAAATCTGGCTGGCTACCTGACATCTTATTGATTGCTCTGGTTGATTCCCCTGCTCTGTTGAATAAGTGGGCTTCCTTCTTTTTTGAAATGCATCCCTTCTACAGTGTGGGTTCCACATGTCGATGTGGATAAACTTTTGAGATGGAAGAAAAAGGAAGATGCTGAATATTGGCATACATAAATGATGAAGAAGATTAGAATGGTAAAAAAGTGATCTTGTGGAAAAGGATTTTGCTGGAACATATTTTATGAACATAATTATTCATATATCCATTCTTATTTATCAGGTTAGAATTAATGAATAACTGAACAAATCACTACAGTACATTCAAAATAGCTACTATTTTTTTTTATTTTGCCATTTGATTCCATACACATCGAAAGGGCTTGATGTGGGCCTCAATTTTTCCAACTATGAAGTAGATAAATACAAACCACAGATCTATAGGTAAAGGCTAGAATAAATTTGTGATATATTTTATCATGTTTGTCCTTTTCTGATCTTAGTATTTATCAACACTTATTTAGCTACTACACATTTTCTGCTGTTCTACATGGAGACAAAAAGAGACAAAGGTCATGGCTTCACAAAGCATTTCCTCTGATAATTGCTCAATTTTCACAGCTCTCAAGCTGTTACTAGTAAATACATAGGCTACTTCCCCTTAGGCTGTCTAGTATGGATGTTTCCTAATTCATCCATTTCTAAATGACCTTAGAGAAGCTTTAGAAAATTAGAAGCTATGGAAACTTCTGTGGTTTCTATGGTTCATAGGTAAGTGAAATGAAACAGGGGAATTTCTTTAGCATAATATTCATATGGAAATAAAATAATGATCTTAATGATAACTACTGTTTGCTATTTATTTGAGTAAACAATCCCCTGCACAACCCAACGGTATTCTCCTAGCCCAGAGTAATGTGTTTATACACAGGGATTTATTTAATTAAGAATTGTGTCAAAAAATAAAGTTTAGCAAACAAATGATGATAGGAAGTTCCAAAAAAATTCTTTTTTTTCATCTCTGCAAGTGATTATTTTGATACATTCACATGGTTCCTTTAACTTTTCTACACCAACTTACTAGCCATAATTCCTGATACATCTTCATAAATGTAAAATGTCATAGACTTTAAATGTGACATTTGTTTATGGAAAACAAATTATAAAAGCTTCTTTCTGTGCACTCTAGTATATCTGTGGACTTTCTTTTTACCCTTATATGTAACTAAAATGAGAGATATTCACTGGTCACTTCTCAAGGTCAGGCAGGTCTTTCATTGATAAGTAAATTATTTACTTAGTAATGACTCCTAATTTTAAAATGACATAAGAAAGCTAATAGAAAAAGGCCAATTTTTGTTTGAAAATAAATTTGTGTTTGAAAAAAAATATGAGAGCAGTGGAACATTTTCTTCACACCTTAATACTCATTGCAAAATATTAATAACTAGGCCCTGGCTATGAGCTCAAGGTAATAGTTTTGGGTGTATGTTCTTAATTAATATCCCTTATCTGAAATGCTTGTGACAAGAAATGTGTTAGATTTCAGATTGTTCCAGGTTTTATAATATTTGCATATACATAATCAGATATCTTGGGGATGGGGACAAAGTCTAAATGCAAAAATTTATTTATGTTTCATACACACCTTATATACATAGGCTGAAGTTACTTTTATACAATATTTTTAATAATTTTGTACATGAAACAAAGTTTGATTTCAGTACTTAAGTGTGGAATTTTCTACTTGTGGCATCGTGTTGGTGTTCAAGAAGTTTTAAATTTGGGAACATTTTATATTTCAGATTAGGGGTGTTTCACTTGTACCATTGTTTTACTTAAAAATAAATTACCCACAGTAAGGGAACAGTCATTTTTAATTGAGAAAGGTGAAGGCATATAATTTTTAATGTTACATACATTAAATTATTAATATCTGAAAAATCTAACTATGTTGACTATTCTCTATTCAATTTATATTAATATGATAAGATATGTTGTAAGTGAGTGTTATAATACTTGTAGGAACAACATGCATTTTTAACATTTATATCAAATGCTTTTCACTAAGCGATTTTGGTGTACCTTCATACAATCAGTGTTACTAGTTAATTGGACCACTACATCAGAAATTGTTACAGACCTATTCATTTGAATTATTTTTCTTTCAAGTAATTCTTTTATATAAAGGTTTGTTTTTACAACTTTATGGCATTTTTCTTTGACTCTAGCAATGTAATACATTTATCTTTAAATAAACCTGGTGAAATAAAACAAGAAAATTATATAAAATTTCTTTCAGTGAATATTAGAATTGCATTTATTTCAGAAAGGAAAATCTTTTTCATTTCTATTACATTTGTTCTTAAAATTTTAATCAAAAGTTTTAAGATATATGCACTTTTATCATGCTTTTCTTTTTTTATGTGCCAAGTTAAATAAGCCATTTTAAATTTATTTTTATTTTTGTCTTTCAATTTAAATTTAACACAAAAGACATCATCAGGATGGCTTACTTGAGGCACTCAGCACTTGACTTCTGCACAGATGAGAATCAAAACAGCAAATAGATAACCACACACCAAATAGAGTGTCTATGAGAAAACACGAGAATTAAGCATGGAAGTGACAGAGGCCCTCCGAGGCACTAAAGGAGGTGGATGCAAAGCAGCTGGCCTGAGCAGGATCAGCTCAGATCCAGAAGGGACTCTCCATTAAGGGGAAAGGTAAGAGAGAAATCTATAGTGATCCACATTCTCACCATGGATGTCTGCAATTATAGCCATAAGAAAGCCCCTTGCTCCTCACAGGCCCTGGGCCTAGTATTGGAAGCTTCCGGGAATCAGTGTGACTGCATTGTTTCAAAGAAAGAATTCATGCTGATTCCCACACAATCCTGAGAGCTAAGGTGCTGAATCATTTGGGTCCATTTTGGCGCTGTTTTGAGAGCCCAACACACATTACACTACATCCTGCCCTGGGGCTCAACAGCCCTTGCCTCTCTACATGCCTGGAACCTAGCTGACATCCCACCATGTACACTCACAACACTTTAGCATTGTGATGCCAGCTGGACCCAGCAGTACAGTCAGTTCTCCAGAATTCTAACCCACACAGCTTCCTAAGCCCCAGGAAGTAAGCAGTCCAATGCCCCAGAAAGGGTACATGTAGGACAAAGGGAGTCTGAGGACTGACCCAGCCTGTGGGCTACTGAAAGTGCCCACATGCATCATACAGGGATATAAGGAGAGGCCTGCCACACCTACCACCACTGGTATATATGTGCACTACCTGGGGGCCTAAGAACAGGCCTGCTGTTACTGCCTCAATTGCCAGCACCTACCCAAGCACACCAACTGAGGGCACGAGGACCAGCCTGCCAAGCCTACCACTGTCATCATGGCACACACGTGTGTTACTTAGGGGCCCAAAGGCCAGCCTACTACCACTACTGTCACATTAAATGCCATGAGCTCAACACAGAGTCTCAAGAACTGGACTGCTGATGTCACTGCCTCACCCACACATGCCACCTGGGGGCCCAAGAACAAGTCCAACTCGGCCCCCATCTATACTGCCAGTACTGATGCACACATACACTGCCTGTAGGCCTAAGGACTGGCATGCCTAGCCCGCTGTCACCATTGATATTGATTACAGCAGACAATATCACACAGAGACTACCCTATTGAGCCCCGCCAGAATCAAAACCGAAGCACTTTACACAACCAACACTATAGATATATCTACAGGAAAGTATTTTCCTATGAAAGCCAATCCATAAAATTGAAAGAAGCAACTGTTACACCAAATGCATAGATATTATTAAAAGGACATGAGAAATATGAAAAAGCAAGGAAACACGACATCTCCAAAGCTACCTCCAAAGGCACAATAATTCTATAGTACAGATCCTAAAGAAAAGAAAATCTATGAAATAACTGAGAAGAAATGAAAAATAATGATTTAAAAAACAGTGAGATACAAGAAAAGACACATACACAGTACAATAAAATCAGAAAAAATCATTTATGATTTCAATAATAAATTCAACAAAAATGAAGATATTATAAAGAAAGAATCAAACATATATCCTGAAGCTGAAGAATTCAGTGAATTAAATGTTTAAAATGCAATCAAGAGCTTTACCAATAAGTTATGTACAGCAGAAAAAGGGATTTCACAATTTGAAATCTTTTGAAATAACTTAGTCAGAAAAAAAGAAAGAAAGAGAAAAGACCCAAAACGAATGATGAAAGCCTATGTGACATGTAGGACAATATAAAGCAACCAAATATTCAAATGTTGGGAGTTCCAGAAAAATAAGAGATACGAAAAGGTATAGAAAACCTATTATTTAATAATAGCCCTAAATTTCCAAGTCTTGAAAGAGATATAGATATCTACACACAGGGCACCCAAAGATTCCCAAAGAGATAAAATTCAGAGTTCTTCTCTGCAGCACATAATAGTCAACCAAAGACAAAGACAAAGAGAAAATTCTAAAAACAGCAAGAAAAAAGAATCAAGTCACATAAAAGGAAACCCCCATTGTATTAACATCAGACTTCTCAGCAGAAACCTTACAGGCCAGGAGAGAATGGGGTGATATATTCAAAGTACTGGGAAAAAACCCTGCTAGCCAATAATGCTATACCAGGAAGACCTACTCTCCAGAAATTAAGGAGAAATAAAATCCTTCCTAAAGAAACAAAAACTGAAGAAATTAATTATCCCTAGACGAGACCTACAAACTATACTTAACAGAGTCCTACATCTGTAAGTGAAAGGACAGTATCTACCATCATGAAACAGAGAAAGCCACCAAACTAATGCATCCCAAGGAACTACAAAAGCAAGAATAAACCAAACCAAAAATTAGTAGAAGGAAAGAAATAATAAAGACCAGAGCAGAATGAAATGGAATAGAGCACAAAAAATATAAAGAATCAATGAAACAATAAGATGTTTATTTGAAAAAATAAAATTGATAAACTGCTAGACTAACCAAGAAAAAAAGAGAGACTTAAATAAATAAAATCAGAAATAAAAAAGGAGACATTACAAGTGATAACTCAGAAATATAAATAATTATTTGAGACTTCTATGAACAACTATACACCAACAAATTTAAAAACCTAGAGGAAATGGATAAATTCAGGACATGTAAAGATTAAAACAAAGTAAATTTTTTAAAAATTGTTTAAACATTTAAAAAATTTTAATATAATTAAAATTTTTTTAAATGATAAAGATTAAAACAAACTAATTTTAAAAAATAACAGAACAGACCAATGAGTAACAAGATCAAATCAGTAATAAAAAGTATTTCAATAAAGAAAAGCCCAGGAATAGATGGCTATACTGAAACATTTTACCAAACTTTTAAAAAGAATGATACCAATTCTTTTGAGCTATCCCAAAAAATTGAAGACGAGGGAGTTCTTTTTATTATAATTCATTTTATGAGGTCACCATTATCTTCCTCTCAAAACTAGACAAAAACACAACCACAAAAAGAAAACTACAAGACAGTATCCCTTAAAAACACAGTTACAAAAGTCCTCAACAGAATACTAACACAACAGTTCCAACAACATACCAAAAAAAAAAAAAAAAATACATCATCATTGAATGCAATTTATCCAAGGGATTCAAGGATGTTTCAACATACATAAATCAATACATGTGCTACATTACAATAACAAAATGAAGGACAAAAAACATATGATCATTTCAATAGATGCAAAAAAGCATTTGATAAAATTAAGTATCACTTCCTGATAAAAACTCTCAACAAATTAGGAATAAAAGAAACATAGCTCAACATAATAAAGGCCATTTATGCCAAAACCCACACCCCCCAACATACTGAATGGGGAAAACCTTAAAGACTTTCTTTAAAAACTAGACAAGGATGTACACTTTTACCACTATTACTTAACATAGTATTGGAAGTCCTAGCCAGAACAATTAGGCAAGAAAAATAAATAAAAGACATCTAAATCAGAGAAGAGAAGGCCAAAGTGTCCCTCTTTGCTGATGACATAATCTTATATATATATAAAAAAAAAAACTCAAGACTTTACCAAAAAATCTTTTAGAACTGATAAACTAATTCAATAAAGTTGCAGGATACAAAATCAACATAAAAATAATTATCATATGTATACATCAATACTGAACTAGCTGAAAAAGAAATAAAAAAGTAATCCCACTTACTATGTCTATAAAACAAAACAAACAAAAAAAAGAATAAATTTAATCAAGGAGTTGCAAGACTTCTATAAGGAAAACTGCAAAACACTGATGAAAGAAATTAAAAAGGACAAAAACAAAGAGAATGACATTTCATGCTCATGGATTAGAAAAATTAATATTGTAAAAATGACCATAGTACCCAAAACAATTTATAGATTCAATGCAATCCCTATCAAAATACCAGTGACATTCATCACAGAAATAGAAAATAATTCTAAAATTTGTATGGAAGCAAAAAGTCCCCAAATGGCCAAAGCAATACAGAGCAAAAGGCACAAAGCTGGAGGCATTATACCATTTGACTTTGAAATACACTATGAAGTTATAGTAACTAAAATAGCATGGTACTGGTTTCAAAACAGACACACTGGTATAAAACTGGTATAAAAAACAATGAAATATAATAGAGAATCCAGAAATAAATCTAGATATTTATAATCAACTGATTTTCAACAAAAAGACACCAAGAAAATACATTGGGG
Source organism: Homo sapiens (assembly GCF_000001405.40). NCBI lineage: Eukaryota > Metazoa > Chordata > Mammalia > Primates > Hominidae > Homo > Homo sapiens. The sequence continues at coordinate 66,600,869 of NC_000004.12, forward strand.
AAATGATACCGTCTTCAATAAATGGTGCTGGGAAAGCAGGATATCCATATGCAGAAAAATGAAACTGGACCCCTATTACCACATACAAAAATCAACTCAAAGTGGAGTGAAGACTTAAATGTAAGAACCTAAACTACAACACTATTATATGAAAACATAGGGGAAACACTTCAGAATATTGGTCAAGGCAAAGTGGTTTTTTTTTTTTTTTTTTAAGCTGGAGTCTCGCTTTGTCTCCCCCAGCTAATTTTTTGTATTTTTAGTAGAGACGGGGTTTCACCATGATGGCAAGGATGGTCTCGATCTCTGACCTCGTGATCTGCCAGCTTTGGCCTCCCAAAGTGCTGGGATTACAGGCGTGAGCCACCACGCCCAGCCAAGACAAAGATTTTATGGTTAAAACTTCAAAAGCACAGTCAACAAAAACAGACAAATGGAATTGGAATAGAAAAATGCTAAGCTTCTGCATAGCAAAGAAAACAATTAAGAGAGTGAAGAGGCCACCTGCAAACTAGGAAAAAATATTTGGAAACTATTTATCAACAAAAGACTAATACCCAGAATATACAAGGAACTCAAACAACTCAACAGCAAAATCACAAATAATCCAGTTTAAAAATAGGCAAATAATTTGAATAGACATTTTTCAGAAGAAGACATACAAATTGTCAACAAATATATGAAAAAGGCTCCACATCACTAATAGTCAGGGAAATGCAAATTAAAACCGCAATGATATATTATCTCACCTCAGAATGACTATTATCAAAAGACAAAAATAAGAAATGCTGGTGAGGATTTGGAGAAATATGAACTCTTACGCTGTTGGTGAGAATGTAAGTTAGTACAGGTATTGTGGAAAACTATGTGGAGATAGCTATAAAAACTAAAAATAGAACTATCATAAGATTCATAATCCCACTACTTGTATTTATCCAAAGGAAAGAAAATCACTATATCAAAGAGATACCCTCAATCCAGTTTATGACAGCATTACTCACAATAGATATGATGTGGAACCAACCTAAACGTCTATCAATAGAAAAATGGATACAGAAAATGTAGTATATATGCACAAAAGAATACTATTCAGTCATAAAAAAAATCCTATCATTCATGGCACTATGAATAAGCCTGGAGGACATTTTGTTAAGTATTAGGTTTTTTTTTGCAAAAGTAATTGTGTGTTTTGCAATTGTTTTTAATGACAAAAACTGCAATTACTTTTGCACCAACCTAATAAAATAATCCAGGCACAGAAAGATAAATACCCTGGGTTCTCACTCATATGTAGAAGCAAAAAAACAAATAAACAAAACAAAACAAACAAACAAAAAAGAAAAACAAAATTAAAGTCATAAAAGTAGAGAGTAGAATTGTGGATAATAAAGGCTGGAAAGTTTAGGGGAAAGGGAGGATGAGGAGAGATTGACTAACTTATATAAAATTATAACTGATAGGAGAAATAAGTTCTGGTGTTCTGTAGCATTGTGGGGTGAACATGATTAAGTCTAATTTATTGTATATTTTCACAAAGCTAGAAAAGAGGGTTCAAATGTTCACCACACAAAGAAATGATAAATGCTCACGGTGATGGATATGCTAATTATGTTGATTTGGTCATTACTTATTGTATACATGTATCAAAATATCACTCTGTATCCCATAAATATGTACAATACAAAAATTTTAACCACAGCATTCTATTTTTCTCTTCACAGCTGATTAATTATTAGTGAGAAATTATATTGGTGAATCTGCATAACACAAAAAGCTACCCATTAGCATTCATTTTCCCCTCAGTAAATAAGTCTATCAGACTATTCACCTTCAATGTCTGTAACCCTGGCAAGAGAAACATCACCTACTTTCCAATTAAGTTTAACCTTTCACAGCATTAATTATTTATGCAACAATTTCCTTTCTGAGTATTCAAGTACAATATTACTCACATGCTTTGACTTTTGTGACAATGAATAATTACAAAACAGGGACTGAAGGAATGGAACCTTGGTGGTTGAATTGGTTTTAGGGAGTTTCTATTTTAGTTCCTTTAACTAGATGACACTGAAAAAAGTTATATGTTTTCAGCATTAGAAATTTCTAATCAAATGAAGGTTTTGTATAAAAAAATGATAATATAAAATAACAATATATAAAATGTTAATTTGTATTTAATAGATATTTACACGCAGAGTAATCAAATTGAAACAGTAAGTCAAGTGCAAAGTTTATATGTGAAGAAAAACTTGATAGCTTTTAAGATGTAAATTATTACTCTCATTTTTCTCAGAAAAGGAGTAGTTCTGAATTTACTGAAGCTAATTTTCTTATTGTCTCAGAACCACTTCAGTGAAAAGATAGAGGCGTGGTAAAAAAGATAGTGGCATTACAAAATTCTGTATTTCAACTAATTCCCATCCCAAGGGCTCATCCCCAGAGATTCTGAGTAGATTCGTTTGGGGACACAATCAGGCATTGTTACATCATCAACACTCCCAGATGACTATAATGTGCAATCAGGAGAGAAGAAAAAAAAACTTTAATTATCTTTAAGACAGACTTCTAAATCTTATTGAACTTTGGATTTATCTGGGAAGCTTTGAAAAATATAGTTGGCTGGGTCCCACCTTCAGATAGTCCAATTTCATTGTTCTGGGCTGTGGCCTGAGCATCAGGGTTTTTATAGCTCCCACAGATAACTCCATGGGCTGAAATGGTCGCCTGCATCAGTCAACAGCAAATTCTAGCATGATCTTGATGTTCATGGTCAAGATATGTGCCAATTGTTATAATATGCTGTTGCTACTACCTACAGACATTGCTGTCAATCTCTTTTTGGCATCACTTTGTACTCTCTGTCTTATCTTCACAACTTTATTTTATCACTTCTCAGGTGTGATTCACATTCTCCCTTTGAAATCTTTGAGAAATACTCTGTTCTTTTGACCTAGCCTGGGTCCCCCTTTCACGTGACACTTGCCTCCCATATGGCTGCATGGGTAGTAAGCACTACAATCAGATTCTTAAGTTCCCTCTAAATGTAAGAGGAAAAAATTGACTGAGATTGGTCCTAAATTATGACAAGAAAGAAAACCTCAATATGGCAGGCTTAGGACAAAGACATAATTTAGGCTTGATAACACTATATATATATAAAGAGAGAGAGACACACACACACATGTTATCATGTTATCAATATATATGTTATCTATCTATCTATCTATCTATCTATCTATCTATCTATCTATCTATCTAGAAAACAGCCTTATGTAACTTGGCTCCCTAAGATTCCCTGAGTTGACATAAACTCCTAAAAGAAAAGTCTTTCCTTAATTGTTAGTCAAAACTAGATAAACATATGCATGCATTCCATAGACAAAATTCTTCATCTCTCAGTTCTGTAGCTTCCTCTGTCCTGTAGAGAAAAATTACTGTTTAATCTTTCTATTAACCCTGGTATCCACACATGACATTCTGTTTCCTTTATGCAGATATAGATTACAGATTTAACCAACTAGCTGAAACAACTTGGTTTTGTTTCAGTTTTAGTTTATTTAAGCAATACATTACTAGGTTCTTCTTAGTTTCTATTGTTTTCAACTTTTTGTCTGGTTACATTGTGTATAGTTACAGTTGAGAGTACTGAAATTTACTTTCATTAAAGCTTCAAAATCTAATTTCTGAAATGCACTATAGAATAGCACACTCACAATCAAACTGCAAGGGGGTCATTCAACAATGAAATACTCATTAAGTAAGCTTGGTAGGTTCACGCTGAATATGAAATTCTTTGAGATACTGAATTACGCAGCTCTGGATTATAGTCTCTTTTCATTTCTCTCAATGAATGTGAAATTATTGACTCCACCTGGAGTCCTAACTAGATGAGAAAGTAATTCAGTCTTTACAGTGGCAATCTATTAATAAGGTGATTTTTGCTATTTTGTGAAAAATGAAAGTAATAAATCTTGGCTTCTTGATTGTACAGAAAGATAGAGTATATATATTTTTATCCATAAGACTATACACTAAAGAGTGACTTTCAGGCTATTTATATGTTTGATGTTACTCATTAATGATCAAATAAAAAATGTAACAGGCATTTGATAGTTATTTTTTAAAAATCCATTGTAACTAAAATGGCAGCCTTTCAATACACAACTAAACCAATGTATTAAGCTGTATTCAAATTAGTATTACAATTTTTCTAGAAAATTGCAATGGTGTAATATCTTCTTAGCATAACAATCAAGCTTTTTCTTTGCATAAATTTTTCCAATATTTTAATTCCAGATTTCAATAATTTTAATTTGAAATAGAGAATAAACTCATGTAGCCAATTTTGTAAATCATTTGGTAACTAACATAAAAAATGCATGATAAAACTGCACATTGTGTTAGGTATTCATATAGTATGTATTATAGTACAGTTGTATAATATGTAATGCAGCTAGATACCTTTGAAGTACTTTTAAGGGAAGTAAGGAGCATAGCTTTAGAAAGTGGAGTGCTGGTAAATGGATAACAATGGCTCTCAAAACAACTACCTATATATGCACATACATATATCTTTACTAAAATTTTACAGATAAAAATGTTGTGTGACACACTGTACAAATATTAAAATATCCACTATAATTTATTATTAATTTCATATAGACAACTGATTCCAACAATATGCTTTTGTTGATTTTTGCTGAACTCTTATATCCATTAACAACTCTAGTTGTAGGTGATAAATAAATGTAGATCTGACATAAATGTTGGTGGATATTTTTGTTTACCTTCATGAGCAAGGTGCAAGTAAAACAAAGAAGACATATATTGGGACTTCACTCTTTCATCAATGATGTTAGAGATTTCTTTGCTGAATTATCAAAATAATGAAAGAATAGTTTCTAATTCCTTCATGTTATTCATAAAGTAATGGCTAATGATGCCACATACTTTTAAATTTCAGCTGCATTACCAACATGTATCTATTGTTTTCTTCAGCCCAGACAAGGATTTTGCAAAATTCTTAAAGGACCGTACGGTATATACTTTAGGCTTGTCAGCCATATGGTCTTTATTGCGAGTATTCAACTCTGCCATTAGAGTGAAAAGTTCCAATAACACTTTATTAAAACTGGCAGTTGACCCACAGGTGGTAGTTTACTGACTCCTGATTTAGACAACGAATAAAAAAAATATATAAATCAAGTTCCGATGTGTAGAATTTGCTGATTGTAGTGGCGTAAATACTTCTACCATGGTCGACTTCAAGCTACCAAGGTGATTTCACTGAAAGTGATGGTGGGAAGAGATGCTCAATAGCAGAATGTCATATAGTATTTTAAACATACAGATATGATAGCTATTATTATCTTCAAGAACATAGAGAATAGCAACATGCAATGACATAATTAGAAAATAAGATTTAGTATTTATTACTTGTATCTTTAATATGATTGTATATTATGTATATGCATATGAGTGTGTGTATGTTATAATGGCTGTATTGACAACCAGCTTGCATAACTCAAATTTAACAATCTGCTCTCAGAGTTGACACAAGCCAGCTCCAGCAAACCAGTGGTTTTAGATTTTATAATGTATGATTTACAAAACAAGAATTTAAGTATTCCAATCTCTATAAATAATTTAAAACATTCCATAGATATTTTTCTTAAAATTTTTGACAGGGAATTTTACACTAGTCAATCTTTAACAGTTTTTATGTAAACACATAGCATTAGTGTTTATTTAGTTAGTTGTACCAACAGTATCACTAGATATGGACTTTTTTGAAGACAAAAAATGTATACATACAAATAGAGTCAAAGATTAAAAATCACATATCAGTTATAACCTTTACATACCTCCAAATGGAAATATAACTATAATAAAAGAGCATTTATCATATATAAATATTCTTATGTGCTCTATTTTTATTTCGCATGTGATAAAATAATAGGTCTCCTTTCACCTTTGACACCTCTCCCTTTCATAAGGTAAAAATTATGAGCCTTGTCATTTGCCTTCCTCATGAGACTATCATAAGGATAAATGGAATAATATCCAGGCAGCATGCATGGCTATTTAGTGAAAAGGCATTTTGCTAAAAACAAAGAGACTTGCAACTCCATGCACAGTATGACCTAGTGTTACAGTTAAATTGTAGAATTGAATAGGTAAGTTGGTTTATTGTGAACACACAGCAGGAGTGTCAGATCCTTATCTATGCTGGCAATTCCACTGATTCTTCCCCAGCCTCTTAATGGTTTCTTTTTGTGTACAACCATATGGTGACAGTAAGCATGGCTTGACAGAGGGTCCAGCAGGGAAGTTGCATGATCTTTGACTTCTATATGCTAAACTTTGCCTTAGATAATCCTTCATGGACTGACCTTTTAGATTAACTGCTGTAACTTTGGTTTTACAGTGCAAATATAAATGTGCTTCAGCCAACAATAGTCTGAGTTAGGATAATATTCAGTCCACATATGTGGGGAAATAAAAGGATAAACACAATATCCTATGTTTGCTAGCTGAAAAAGAAAAACTACAGCCCAATATGAGTATGTGTAAAATGATCTTTAACTTATTTGAAAATGAATATATAAAAATCAATAAGGCAAAGATGTTTAATTTTCAGATGTGAAGTGAATTTTCAGATAGAGAAAGGCTATTTAGCTTCTAAATAGCTTTGAATCCACTTCTATGTTTAGTGATTTATGGGGGGCTTTCCTCAATTCCAAATTCTTAAGTTTCCCAGTAGAAAATGAAAGATGCAAAGCTGAGACCCTAGAAGGGTTTATATGAGGACTCCAAGTAAGAAATGTACATGGAATAAACACTTTATTAATATTTTTTTCCTTTTTCAAATTCTTTAAGCCCCTGCTAGTAAAACCTTGGCTATGATCTGTCATATATGTGGATTTCCTATATCACCATCACCATCTCAAGAAGTAAATTATTGTTTGAAGGAAATTTAATAGATTCACATTATAATTAAAGTTATTCCATAAATTAAAACAATTAAAAGTTTACAATATACTGGGGCAGTTGGAGATGGGAAAATAGCTTTCAAAAATCCACGGAGGAGTTTGCATAAATCCAATCTAATGTGATCAGTTAGATAGCTTGACATAATGTTAACTTTTTCATTATTTTCCAAAAAAGCAAATACAAATTTTGAGGGCTTTTAATGTTCACGCCAATTGTCAAATACTTGTAAGTGAGAAATTGCTGTCACCATTTTGCTGTTGGTTAGCAGCAATAGCTGTGTTAGTGAAACATCCATTTTTAATGAAGGCCTAGAATAATTTCGTGAGCTTCCTTTCTGCCACCTAGTCAGGAGAAAGTAGTTCTGAGAAACATAAATGATTAATATAATACGACATTGAGTAGAAAACACATCTTAGTCATTTTTAGTGAGGGTAAATTTATGGAACCTCTTTATCCTTAATAACAAAACAAAACTTTGCTTAATCATGTTATTGCTTGAAATAAAGTTTTGCGCTTTCATAGAACTTTAACAGGACTTGTATCTAAAAATTTTTATTGTTCTTGTATAAAATACAAGTGTGATGGTACTTCACTTTTATTATTCAAATTATGCATGTTTTTACCTCTGGATGGACTTCCTTCTTAAGTTTTTATGAAGAAGATCCAGTACATTTTCCATTTCTCTAAATGCGTCCTTATTTCCTGAAGTTGTGATTGTTTTTTATTTACTATTTCACTGAAGATTTCTCCCCTCATATCTTGTATCATTTTTTGGATTTCCATAAGGTGGACTTCACCTTTCTCAGGTGCCTTCTTCATTAGCTTAATAATCAACCCTCTGAATTCTTTTTCTGGCAATTCAGAGATTTCTTTCTGGTTTCGATCCATTACTTCTGAGCTAGTATGATTATATGAGGGTGTTAAAGAACCTTGTTTTGTCATATTACCAGTGTTGTTTTTCTGGTTCCTTCTCATTGTATAGGGTATGTCAAGAGGGAAGATCTGGGGCTCAAGGCTGCTGTTCAGATTCTTTTATCCCACAGGGTTCTCCCTTGATGTAATACTCTCCTCCTTTTACAAAGGATGTGGCTTCCTGAGAGCTGAACTCTAGTGATATTGTTATTTCTCTTCCAGATCTAGTCACCCAGTAAGTAGGGCTAGCAGGCCCTTTGCTGGTACTGAGGGTTTCTGCATAGGGCCTTGTGATGCGGACCCTCTTCAGGTCTCTCAGCCATGGATACCAACACTTTCTCTGATGGAGGTGGCTGGGGAGGTAAAGGGACTCTGTAAAAGCCCTTAGATGTATTATTGTTCTTTATTGTACTAGTTTTGTGCTGGTTGGCCTCCTGCCAGGAGGTGACACTTTCAAGAGCATCAGCTGTGGTAGTATAGGGAGGACCAGGCTGTGGGCTAGGCCCTAGAATTTGTAAGAGAATATTACCTTTGTCTTCAGCTACCAGAGTGGGTAGGGAAGGACCATCAAGTGGGGGTAGAATTAGACATGTCTGAGCTCAGATTCTCCTTGGGCGAGGCTTGCTGCCACCATTGTGGGGTTTGGGGGTGTGGTTCCCAGGTCAATGGAGTTAATGTTCCCAAAGGATTTTAGGTACCTCTGCTGTGCCATGCAGGTTGTCAGAGAAGGGGTGTTGGGGGGCGGGGGAGAAGCCGGAAGTTACAGACCTCACCCAGGTTCCACACAACCAAAAGGGCTGGTTTCACTCCCACTGTGCTCCCCACCGAACAGCACTGACTGAGTCTGTTTCCTGGCAGTGGGCAAGCACGGCTGAGAACTTGCCCCAGGCTCTCAGCCTCCTGGAGAAAGCAAGCAGGGCTTTTGCTTCTCCCACCCTGCCAAGTCTGCACATCAGATTCAAGCCCTCCCCTGGGTTCTGGCCAGGAAACTTCACATTTGGTTGGGATTGTTACAAAGTTCTGCTAGAGGTTTGCTTCTCTCTGTGGTCTTTTTCCAGTTCCTCTGGCAGCCCTCCCCAGGGACCACTGAGACAAATCAGAAATGGCTTCCCTGGGGACCCAGAAGCCCACAGGGCTTTTTCCTGCTGCTTCCTCTAACCTGTATTTTGCTCGGCTCTCTAAGTTGTCTCAGATCCAGGTAAGGTCAAATCTTTCCATTACCTGTACCTTCAGGTTCCCCAGTGAGGGTGTGTGTTGAGGGGCTGATCATCCCCCTTTCCTGCTTTCACAGTTTGAGCACTCCCAATATTTGGGCTGTCCCAGGAGTCCTGCAGGAACAATCTACTTTCTTTAAAGTGTCTGGGGATTTCTGGGTTCATTTGTTTGAAAAAATAAACCTGTATCTTACTTAAGCTACTGATGTTTTGGTTTTCTGTTACATGTGGCAATTTAACCTTTAAGTGATACAGCAGTGGTATAGATGAGTACATGATGCCAAAGGAGCTCAACATTATTTTCAGGGCACACATTCCTTGTACAGCTCTGTTCTTTCATTCCTGAAAGTGGTTTTTATTTGCATGCTTGCAACATAGCAGTTGGTGTTCAAGATATCATATCTGCATCTCAGGCATAAAAAAGAGGAATATAAAGGGAAAAAAGGCAAAGGGGCAAGCCAATGTATCCGTTCTCCTTTACTAGATTTTAAACTTCAATGGCCTAATCTTTATCATGTGGCCACAGTTATCTGCATAAGAGAAAAAGAAATGTTATAATTTAACTGGGCACATGTTCCATTCAAATAAAATTGATTTTTGTTAGTATGAAGAAGGGGAGGGTGAATTCTGGAGAGGTCATTTAACATTCTGTGTCAAATGGCACTTTCTAATATGCATCAAAATATGCAAAAAAGTCCTTTAGGAAGAAATAGTGTGTGTTAATCATTTGTGCATCATCAGCAACTGACAAATGGAATACAACAAAAATAAAATACATGATAATTTTATTTATTAAATTAATAGAATCAGAGGCATCTACATTTGAAGATGCTATAACCATTTACATTTGAAGATGCTATAACCAACTATGAGCTCATGATATTTCTTTACTTTGTATTACAAATTTGCTCTCATACAGTCAGAGATGGTGTCAGAAAGACCCCCTTTTAAATCTGGGTTTAACACTTTTTATATTTATTCTTAGCTGAACAATACAGACAAGTTTAAAAATCTCTCTGAGGTTTATTTTTCTCACTAAAAAAAAATCTGGGTGATAAGATCTCCCTAAAAGGGTTACTGAAATTATTTAAAGTGACAACACCTGTAAAGTTCTGAAGACTATGCCTGACACATTACTATGCTAAGTAAATAGGCACTTTTAAGTATTGCGACCATAGCACAGAGTGAAAGACATTTATCTTTCTCTACTTTAGATTTTTTGACTAAATATTTTTTACTGAAAATAAAATATTTGGCTTTTACTATTATTAAAAATCATGAATGAAAAATGCATTTTTTATTCTTGATATTCCTGTGTTCCATAAAGTCAAATTTTGACAATAGAATAAAGACTAACGTTCAGGATCATATTGTTCATATTCCTTTCTCCAGACAGAAGCTAATTAAATACCTGTGACTGAGAGTAAAATATATAAATTATATAACTAATCAGATAATGAAATAACCACAGCAAAGGCTTATTTTTAAAAGTGTATGCCATGAGAACAATTTATATTTATTTCTTATTTAAATTCCACATGTGTGGAACTTATTTGCCCTTCGTATATTCTCCTTGGAACAAGTAAACAAGTGCCCTCACTGTCAGAGAGTAAAAACAAAAGCATCATTTGGATAACACAAGGAATATTTATATTCTAAAGACCTTAATTTTGTACAAAGAGTTACATAATGTATTAGTAGGGAGATAATATATATCTGCTCCTTATATTTAAATTTTAAAAAGTTTTTAATTACTGACTTCATAAAAATCTGAAGTCACTGAACAAACACCAATAAAAATAGGTTTATGTAGTAGAAAGAGTAGACACAATCTTTCCTAATAGGGTGAGAGAGTCAGCAATCTTTGAAAATTTATTTATCCTCCTGGACTCAGGGGATGCTCAGGTAATTGAAAAAGAACACAATAATACTGAGTTTCTAATGGCATCAGCAATTCTGCATACATGAAAACATTGAAACTGTAGTTAAATAATTATGGTACACGGCTTAGTGAACATAAACATAATGGCAGTGCTTCACAGCTTCTGAAGATATTTTTACTATGCTTTTACACAAAATGATGGAGACTTTTATGTAAAGTTTGGGATTATAATTCACCATTTAATTTATATATTTGCCTACTGCCATAAAATCAAGCTAATCAATTTAGCTTCTAACAAGGTAATCTATTTTCCATATTCTTGCATATTCCCTTTTCTTCTGAAATGCATTTTAATATATGAGTTACATTAATTGAAATCCAGGTGATTCATCACAAGAGATCCCTGAATACTTGCTAGCTTTTTTGACATTCTCTAGCCAAACGATAAGTTTATTCTTGGGTAGTTATTTCTAACCATCATGAGTATTTTCATTTCAAATGCTTTTTAATGGAATTATTGAAAAAAATAATTCACTAGTATCTAAATATAAGAAAAAATGGAGATCTTTGAGAATGATATCTATACACAAAGTTAAGAACCAGGAGGAGAAAGACATAAAATTATGAAAAGATAAGAGGTAAAAATGTGGAAGCAGAAAAGAAAAATACCTAGAAAAGATCTATGTCTATGGGTGATAAGGATGGAAAGTAAGCATAGAAGAAAGTGAGTGAAGACAGACACATACAGATAAACTAAAAGTAATATTGCTCTATGGGATAAGGCTTCAGAGAATGAAGTTGGTCACTATGTATGGAGTTTGGAGAGATTTAGAATGGAGCAGAGTATGCAGAATTGTTTATTAGTATGTTGTTGGTGAACTTTGTGAGGGTGCTTTTGGTAAATGACAATATACTATAGGCCAGTGAACTTAAAACTATACATATTTTAGCTTCCTGTTGGAAGAGTCCTAGAGATGATAATAGAAAATGAAGGCTTGGAAGAAAAGTTGAAGATGATGGGTGGTGACAACAGTAGAGAGATATTGAAAAACACTATTTACCCAGATGAAAAAGAACTTGAAATGTTTATCTGCTCATCATAGAGCTTTTTTCCTTTGACATTGTGTGATGGCTACATTTATTCATGAATTAAAAAAAATTCTATAATTTTAAGTTTTATTTTAGATTCAGTTTCAGATTTGTGGGGTACACGTGCAGGTTTCCTGCATGATGCTGAAGTTTGGAGTACAAATGATCCCATCACCCAGTATTGAGCATAGTGTCCAGTAGTTCACTTTCAACCCTTGCTTTATTTCTTCCTTCCCCCAACTAGTAGTCCCCAGTTTCTATTGTTGCCATCTTTATATCCATGAGGACGCATTGTTTAGCTCCCACTTATAAGCAAGAACATGAATTATTTTACTTTCTGTTTGTTGCTGGTTAATTCACTTGGGATAATGGCCTCCAGCTACATCCATGATGCTGCAAAGGAGATAATTTCATCCTTTTTGTGGCTGCATAGTATTCCATGGTGTATATGTACCATTTTTCTTTATCCAGTCCACTGTTGATGAGCACCTAAATTGATTCCATGACTTTGCCATTGTGAATAGTGCTGCAATGAACATAAATATGCATTTGTCTTTAAGGTAGAACAATTCATATTCCTTTGGGTATATACCCAGTAATGGGATTGCTAGGTTGAATTGTAGTTCAATGTCAAGTTCTTTGAAAAATCTCCAAATTGCTTTACACAGCAGCTGAACTAACTTACATTCTCACCAGCAGTGTATAATCATTCCTTTTTCTCTACAGTCTCACCAGCATCTACTGTTTTTTGACTTTTTAGTATTATATTAGCCGTTATGACTGGTGTGAGATGGTATCTCATTGTGGTTTTGATTTGCATTTATCTGATGCTTAGTAATGCGGGGCATTTTTTCATGTGTTGTTGGAAGCTTGTATATCTTCTCATGAGAAGTGCCTGTTCATTTCCTTTGCCCATTTTTTAATTGGGTTATTTGTTTTTTGCCTGTTGATTTGTGTAAGTTCCTTATAGATTCTGGATATTTGACCTTTGTTGGGTGCACTGTTGGTAGATTTTTTTTTTTTCCATTTTGAAGGTTGTCTGTTTACTCTGTTGATAGTTTCTTCTACTTTGCAGAAGGACTTTAGTTTAATTTGGTCACACTTGTTTATTTCTGCATTTTTTTTTTGCAATTGCTTTTGAAGACATAGTCATAAATTATTTCCCAAGGCCAATGCCCAGAATGGTGTTCTCTAAGTTTTCTTCTAGGACTCTTATAGTTTGAGGTAATCCATTTAAATCTTCAATCCATCTTGAGCTATTTTTTGTATATGGTGAAATATAGAAGTTCAGTTTCCTTCTTCTGCATATGGCCAGCCAGCTTACACAGCACTATTTATTAAGTAGGAAGTCCTTTCTTTCCCCATTGCTTATTTTTGTTGCCTTAGTCAAAGATCAGATGGCTGTAGTTGTGTGGCTTTATTTTTGTGTTCTCTCTTCTGCTCCACTGATCTATTCACCTGTTTTTGTACCAGTACAATGCTGTTTTGATTACTATAGCTTTATAGTATAGTTTCAAGCTTGGTTATGTGATGCTTCCAGCTTTGTTCTTTTTGCTTAGGATTGCTTTGGCTATTTGGGCTCTTTCTTGGTTCCATATAAATTTTAAATAATTTTTTTCTAGTTCTGTGGATAATAATATTGATATCTTCATAGGAATAGCATTGAATCTGTAGATTGCTTTAGACGGTGTGGCTATTTTAGTGATGTTGATTCTTCCAATTCACGAGCAGGGAATGTATTTTCGTTTATCTGTGTCATCTATGATTTATTTCATTAGTGTTTTGAAATTTTGTACAGATATTATACCTACTTGTTTAGATGTATTTGTACAGGGTTTTTTTGAGGTTATTGTAAACAGGACTGCATTCGAGATTTGTCTGTTAGCTTAAGCATTACGGTGTATAGAAATGCTACACATTTTTTGTTCATTGATTTTGTATTCTGAAACTTTACTGAAGTCATTTATCAGTTCTAGGAGTCTTTTAACAGAATCCTTTGGGTGTTCTCACAATAGAATCATATCATCAGTGAAGAGAGATAGTTTGACTTCTTCTTTTCCTATTTGGATACCTTTTATTTCTTTCTCTTACCTGATTGCTCTGGCAAGGGATTTGAATACCGTGTTAAATAGGTGGTGAGACTGGATATCCTTGCCTTGCAGTTCTCAAAGGGAATGGTTCCTGTTTTTTTCTATTCAGTATGATGTTGGCTTTGGTCTTTTCCTAGATGGCTCTTATTATTTTGAGGTATGTTGCTTTGACACCTAGTTTCTTGAGGGCTTTTTTTTTAATCATGAAAGAATGTTAGATTTTATCAAAAGCTTTCTCTTTACCTATTGAGATGATCATATGGTTTTTGCCTTTAATTCTGTTTATGTGGTGAATCGTATTAATTGATTTTGGTATGTTATACCAATGTTGCATCTCAGGAATGAGGCCTACTTGATTATGATGAATTAACTTTGTGATGTATTGCCAAATTCAGTTTGCTAGTATTATGTTGAGGATTTTTATGTCTATGTTTATCAGGGTTACTGGTCTATAGTGTTGTCTTTTCATTGTGTCTTTGCCAGATTTTTATATCAGAGTGATGCTGACTTCCTAGAATGAGTTAGGGAGGAGTTCCTCTTCCACAATTTTTTGGAGTAGTTTCAGTAGAATTGATACCAGCTTTTCTTTGTATGTCTGATGGAAATTGTCTGTTAATCCATCTGATCCAGAGACTTCTTTTTACCATTGGCAAGCTTCTTTCATTACTGATTAAATTTTGTAACTCAACATCTGTCTGTTCAGGGTTTCAATTTCTTTCTGATACAATTGGGAGGTTGTTTCCTTACAAGAATTTATCCATTTCCTGTAGATTTTCTATTTTCTGTGTGTAGAGGTGCTCATAATGGTACCTGAGGATCTTTTGTATTTCTGTGGGATTGGTTTTAATGTCACCTTTGTCATTTCTGATAGCGCTTATTTGGATATTTTCTCTTTTCTCTATGTCAGTCCAGCTGACAGTCCATTGATCTTGCTTATCTTTTTTTAAAAAATAACTTTTGGTTTTGTTGACTCTTTGTATGACTAGTTGGATGTCAATTTTGTTCAGTTCTGCTGTCATTTTAGTTATTTATTTTCTTAGCTTTGGGGTCAGTTTATTATTTTTTAATTTGTTCTAGGTGGAATATTAGGTCATTAATTTGAGATCATTCCAACTTTTTGAGGTAGGTGTTCAGTGCTATAAACTTTCCTCTTAACATTGCTTTTGTGGCATCCTAGAGATCTTAGTTACTGTGTCTCTGTTTTTATTTATTTCAATGAATTTTCTGATTTCTGCCTTAATTTTGTTTACCCAAGAGTCATTCAGGAGCAAGTTGTTTAATTTCCATTTAATTGTGCAATTTTGAGAGATCTTCTTGGTATTGATTTCTATTTTTATTCCATTGTGGTCCAAGAGTATGGGTGGTATAATTTTGATTTTTAAAAATGTACTGAGACTTGCTTTCTAGTCTGGGGTCAATCTTAGAGTATGTTCCTTGTGCAGATGAAAAGAATATATATTCTGTGTTAATGGGGGTTCTGTAGCTTTCTATTAGCTCCAATTGGTGAACTGTCAAAGTTAAGTCCAAAATATATTAGGTCTTCTGCCTCAATGATGTAAGTGTCAGTGGGAAGGTGAAATCCTACACTATGATTAAATAAGTCTTTTTGTAGGTCTAGAAGTACTTGTTTTATGATGCTGGGTACTCTAATGCTAGGTGCATATATATTTAGGATTCTAAAGTCTTCTTGCTGAATTGAAACTTTTAACATTATGTAATGTCCTTCTTTGTCATGTTTCACTGTTATTGGTATAAAGTATGCTTTGTTTGATATAACAAGAGTGCCCCTTGCTTTTTTTTTTCTGCTCGTGTCGTAGATTTGTCTCCAACCTTTTTCATTGAGCTTATGGGTGTCTTTACATATAAGATGGGTCTCTTGAAGACAGCAGACAGATGGGTCTTGGTTTTTATCCAATGTGCCACCCTGTGCCTTTTAAATATGACATTTAAACCATTTACATGTACAGTTAATATTAATGTGTAAGGTTTTAATTCTATCATGAAGGTGTAAGCTGGTTGCTTTGTGGTTTCTATTGTGTGATTTGCTTTATAGGGTCTATGAGCTATGTATCTGTGTTTTTGTGTTAGCAGGCATTGTTCTTTCACTTCCATGTTTAGAATTCTCTCAAGGACCTCTTGTGAGGCTGGTATAGTGGTAACAAATTTCCACAGTGCTTGCTTGTCTGGAAAAGATTTTATTTTTCCTTCACCTATGAAGCTTATTTTTGCAGGATATGAAATTCGTTCTGGAAATTCTTTTATTTAAGAAGGCTAAAAATAGAGACCCAATCTCTCCTTACATTTCAGATTTTCTCCTGATAAGTTCACTGTTAGACTAATGGAGTTGCTTTTGTCCATGATCTAACTTTTTCTCTAGGTGATTTTAGTATTTTTTAATGGAGGTTGACCTTGAGAAGTCTAGTCACTATATGCCTGGGTGATGTTTGTTTTGTATAGTATCTCACAGATGTTCTCTGCATGTTTTGTATCTGGATGACAAGTTCTCTAGCAAGATTAGTGAAACTGTCATGAATAATTCCCTCAAATATTTTTTATAGGTGTTTTATTTTTCTTCTTCTTTACCAGGAATACCAGTGGTTCACAGGTTTTGTCACTTTACATAATCCCATATTCATCAAAGATTTCTCTCATTTTATAAAGTTCTTTTATCTTATTTTTGTCTGACTGGGTTAGTTCAAAAACTCATCTTCAAGCTCTAAAATTGTTTATTCTGCTTGGTCTAGTCTATCATAAAGCTTTCAATTGTATTTTGAAATTCCTTAGTTGAGTTTTTCATTTCTAGATCTGGTTGATTTATTGACTCCTTTTTAAGATGTTTATCTCTTCCTTCATTTCCAAGATTGCATTAGCAGTTTCTTTGTGTTGATTTTCAACTTTTTCTTGGATCTTGTTGAGCTTCCTTGAAATCTATGCTTTGAATTCATCTGTCATTTCTGAGTTTCTATTTTGGTTAGAGACCATTGCTGAAGTGCTAGTGTGATCCTTTGGTGGTGTCACTACATTTAGATTTTTCATGTTTCCAGAATTCTTGCACTGATTCCTTCTCGAACTTCTTAATTATTGTAATTATTTTCATGTAGGTAGAATAACTTCTATTTCTTCCTTTCCCTATAATACTATTATTTTTCTTCTTTCTCTTTCCCTTTCCTCTACTCTCTAAGGGGTGTGACTGTAGATAATGCTGGTAGGTATGGTCTTTTGACTTTGCTTCTATGGAACTATGCACTTCCCTTGGAAGGTTTTGTATTGGACTGTGCAGTTAGAACTATAATCCAGTAGATAGCACTTAGGGGTAAGAGCCAGCTGTGGCCAAGGAAGCTGGGTATGCACTTGATTCCTGTTTACTAAGAGAAGCTGTCTGTTGCCTCAGGCAATGGCCTGATTCCTGGAGTGCACTGTGATCTGAGCTCACTCCTCAGCCCCCAGGTAGTGGGGGCAGGGTGCAAAATGGGCAGATCCAGACTGGGAAGGTCCACATGCAGATCCCTTGATGTCAGCAAAAGCACCAGGGCTGAGGGAGAATCCAGTGGGGGGCCACCAAGCACCCAGGGTTGTGCCTAGAGATGGAACTGGGAAACCTCCTTAGCCCCAAGTCCTCTGCATGAGGATAGGGGGTGACCTAGGCTCCTGTGCCCGGAGAGTGGGTGTTCCAGATGTCTAAAGATCTTCCTAAGCATAAAGAAGCTCCCCCCATATTAGGATCCCTGCATAGAAAGAGTAAGGTGGTTCAGGCTGTTGTTCCAAACAAGTGGGTGTTCTGAATGCCTAGAAATTTGCCTGTATATGGACCAAAAAGGGCCCACTGCATGGCCAGGCACGGTGGCTCATGCCTGTAGTCCCAGCACTTTTGAGGCTGAGGCAGGTGGATCACTTGAGGTAAGGAATTCAAGACCAGCCTAGTCAACATGGTGAAACCCCATCTCTACTAAAAATACAAATGTTAGCCAGGCGTAGTGGTGCATGCCTGTAATTCCAGCTACTAGGGAGGCTGAGGCAGGAGAATCACTTGAACCCGGGAGGTGGAAGTTACAGTGAGCTGAGATTGCACCACTGCACTCCAGCCTGTGCAACAGAGCAAGACTCCATCTCAAAAACAAAAAAAAAGTTAGAGAGCGGGGGCCACTGCACCAAGATCTCTGCACAGGAGGGGTAGGGTGACTCAGATGGCCAATTTGGGCAAGGAGGTGTTTGAATGTCTGGAAATCTGCCTGAGTATGCAGCAAAAAGGGCCTCGCTGCAACACAATTTATGTCCAGGATGGGTGGTGGTGTCTCAGATTGCTGAACCAAAATAATGGGTGATTCAAATGCCTGGATATTTGCCTGGACGTGAAGTGGAGATGGCCTCTTTGCACCAGGATCTCTGCACAGGAAGGGTAGGGCAGGTCAGGTTGCTGATTCAGGTGAATGGGTGCTGCAAATTTCTGAAGATTTGCGTAGGTGTGGAGAAAGGGCCCTGCTACACCATGACGTATGCCCAGGAAGGGTGGGGTACCATAAGCTGCTGAACCAGGGAAGTAAGTGTTTCAAATGCCTGAAGATCTGCTTGGGCATTGAGCAGAGACTTCCCCACTGCACCACAATCTATATTCATAAAGGGTGGGGCAACTCAGGTTTCTGGCCCAGGCAAGCAACTGCTCCAAATGCCTGAATTTCTGCCTGGGGGTGGTGTGCAGAAGGCCCCACTGCATCACAATTTCAGTAGAGCTGGTTAGAGCACTCAGCAATGACACATGCAGACCAATCCCAGATTACCAAGCTGTCCCTGATCACAAGTCTCGTCATCTAATAGAAACTATAGCTGTAGCAGCTCTCCTCACCACCCAGGCTTGTGATAGGGAAAAGAAAAATTTCAGTGCCCACCAATGAGGCACTCTATATATTTCTAACTGTGGAGGCCCCTATCCTGCTTCAGATCATATGACCCAATCTCTGGCCAGAGACTAAGATGGGTACATGGCCACACGGCCATATCAGCTGGCTTTGTATGCACCTTGATTAAAAATTATTACCTACTCTTGGTCTCAGTTCTTTGGAAAATTACTGTAGCTTTTCCTGGTGTCTTTTCTGCACAACATCTCCATTCGTCTCCCCAAGTTAGCTTCAGGGCTTTGGAGAAACAAAGTGCTCTCCCTCAGCCTGGGTTGCTCAGATCCCCAGTGGACCCTCTCTTGTTTACTGGAGCTTTACTCACTTTTATCAGCCAGATGCCATCACAGGGGCTATTTGCCTGCATTTTCATCTTTCATTAATCTTGTGGATTCCCATTTTCCTTCTTGAATTAAAGCTCACAGAGTTAATCTTTATGCACTATCTTGCTACTTTCAAGTGACTGGGGTGTACTGAAAACCACTAATTTTCCATCTTGAAAAAGCAAAAAATAACATATGTGAATTTGACTGAGCCATGAGGTGCTCAGACATTTGGTTAAACATTATTCTGGGCATGTCTGTGAGAATGTTCCTAGATGATATTAATGTTTGTATCAGTAGATTGAGTAAGGCTGATTGTCATCACCAATGTGGTGGGCCTCATGTAATCCACTGAAGATACGAATAGAACAAAATGGGAGAATAAGAGAGAACTTGCTCTTTCTGCTTGACTCAAGCTGTAATATCTGTCTTCTCTTGACTTTGAAATCAGACTGGAAGTATACCAGCAGCTTTCTTAGGTCTCCAGCTTGCCGACTGCAGATCCTGGGACTTCTTAGCCTCTATAGTCACATGAGTCAGTTCTTTCAATTCCTTATAGTAAATCATTATATACTTATGTGTATGTGTATGTATTTCTCTGGGGAACCAAAACTAATATAGATTTTGGTATTGAGAACGACTCCAGAGGAAGAGAATTTTAAAGATGAGTTGTCTGAATTGGTTCTGGGGTTCCTGGAATTGGATCTCTAATCTGATTAGGTTTTAAAATGCCAATGACTCCATTTCTAATAGTAAAGAAAGCAATGATAGTCCATGGTGTGATCTGGCAATAGAGATAAGCAAAATATCTATATTAGATACACTCAAACACATATTAAAAAAGCCAAAAGCTTGATGACTCTTTATATAATACTTCCAAACATTTTTGGAAAACTAATGAATATAATGAGGTTGGATGATTATTCTTAATGTTGCTGGATAAAGTGATGAAAGAAAAGGATGAGCTCAGGGATTTTAATTCCCAGCTCCAGCACTGCAGAAATGAATTGAATGTTTCCATGTGTGCTTAAAAGGAGACCCTTATCTTCTTTAGCTGTGGGGCTAAGACTGCTGAAAGTCAAATTCAGGATCCCATCCTACAACTGCCTGAATTACAATACAAGTTGAACTCCCAGCCTTACAGGATACCTACTGTCTACGTGAGAGCGTTCAGTAGAAAAAAAAAAAAAGAGGTCCTATAAGTTGGAATGGGGATTTGTGGGAAAACCCTGATGAACTAGGGACACTGAGCCCCTAAATTCTGATGAGTCCTCTTTACCAGTGAAGAGATATCCACACCCCCAGTGGAAGCAGCCTTTTCACTCCTGGTGAAAGTGGCATTTTCACTCACATTGGAGAGTATTAACCCTACATTTTTTTGAGGAAACTGTAATGAACTCCACTGAGGCAGTTGCCATGCAAGATAATTCTGACTCTCCCTAGTACCCACCTCTATTACCCCTTTGTGCTTTTAGACCTATATAACTTGACCGAAGTCAAGGCAGGCCCCTAAAGCTGAGGTACAAAGAGTTCGCCATGAGGAGGTATGCTACACTTCCAAAGAACTACAGGAGGTTTTTTTTTTTTTTAATTTATCGAGACAAAAATACAGGAAATATGTGTGGGAATGGATATTAATATCCTGAAGGATGTGAGACAATGATGGAAGGAACATAAAGTTGAAGCAGGATGAATTTGTTGATATGGGTTCACTATGCAGAGATTCTGCATTTAATGTTGCATTTGGGGAGGCAGAAAGGGCTCTAAAGTTCTGGTTGCTTGGTTGGTTAAGACATGGGCCAAAAGGTGGCCCACAGTGAGCAAATTATAAATGGTTGACCTGACTTGGTTTAATTGTAAAGCTTCTAAGGCATAAAGAGATTGAGATGTTAGAGTAGACTTGTTATTTAAGAAATACCCACCAACACTGAGGGTCGGGGAGTGAGGGTGCAGAAGATATACCTTTCACAACTATGTGGGGAGATCCTGGCATCCTTGAACAGCTCTATAATTGCTCCTCTCTCTAGACCAGACCTTACAGTGTGGAACGCAGTCACCAAGTTGGGAAACCTAAATGCAATGGGAATAATTGGATTCAAGAGGGGTATGGGGACAAGCAGCAGTACTCAGCTACCATATGCAAGATGTGGATGATGTCTGTAATGAAGAGCAGGGTCAAAGCAACAATCAGAAGAGCCTGACTTATGCAGACATATGGTGTTGACTAGTTGATCATGGCGTTCGTAGATGTGAAATAGACAGGAAACCTACTAAATTCTTATATAATCTGTAAGCAGAAAATTCTAGGTCATGTGAACCAAAGTCTAATGTAAGTCATAAAAACAGAGAGACACAGACCCTCAATTATTTCCCAAATTTGAGCCGGTTTACCAACCCAGAACCCTTTGATTGAAGGGGAGGCTGTCCTCTTTTGAGAAAGGACACTGGTACACTGCCAAAAAGTTACATTCCTAATGTTTCTCCCAGCCTTCCCCATGGGACCTATGGCCTTTTACCAGGGAAGCTGTGCAATGTGGAAAAAGAAATAATCAGAATTTTTAGGGACTAGTAGAGCCTGGTTGTAACCTGACAGTAACCCCAGGATACCCAAAATATCACTGTGGTCCACCAGTCAGTGTAGAGACTAATGGAGGTTAGATAGCTCAGGTCCATCTCACGCAGTGGGTCCACAAAAGTTTACTGTGGTTATTTCCTTAGTTTCAAAATGGATAATTAGAATGGACCTACTTAGCATGTGGCAGAATCCCTATATTGGTTTCCTTTCCATGGAATAAATGATATTATGGTAAGAAAAGTCAAGTGGAAGCCACTAAGGCTGCCTTTACCTAGTAAAATAGTTAAAAGCAAATCTGCATTCCTTGAGAGATTGCCAAGATTAGTGCCATCATCAAAGACCTGAAAGATGTAGGGATGTATATTCCCACTGTATCCCCATTCAGTTCTCCTGTTTGGCCTGTGCAGAAGTAAGACGAATCTTGGAGAATGATGATGGATTATTGCAAGTTTAACCAAGTGATGACTTCAATTGCTGCTACTATACCAGGTGTAGTTTTATTTCTTGAACAAATTAACACATCCCCTGGTATCTGGTATGCAGCTATTAAGCTAGCAAATGCTTTTTCTTGATATCTGTTAGTAAATACCAGAAGCTATTTTCTTTCAGCTGGCAAGGCCAGTAGCACACTTTCACTGCCCTAGGACCTCACGGATAGATCAACCATCCAGAACTATGTAATAATTTAGTATGGAGGAATCTTTCTCTTTCAAACAATATTACACTGGTAAGAACCTAATGAGAAAGACATAGCAACTACTCTAGAGTTATTGTTAAGGCACGTATGTGTCAGAGGGTGAAAAACAAATCCAAAATAATTCAGCGGCCATTTAACTTAGTGAAATATTGAGGGATCCAGTGATGAGACGGATCCAAGTATTCCTTCTAAGGTAAAGGATAAATTATTGCATCTGGCCTCATCTACAAACAAAAAAAGGCACAACATCTGGTGAGCCTCTTTGGATCTTGGAGGCAGCTTACTTCTTATCTGTGTTTTTTACTCCTGCCCATTAATGTAGCGACCCAAAAAGCTGTTAGTTTGGGGACACAGAACAAAAGAAATCTATGTAATAGGTCCAGTCTTCTGTGCAATCTGCCATGCTTCTTGATCATATGACACAGAAGATCTAATGGTGCTTGAAGTGTCAATGGCAGATAGGGATGTCATTTGGACCTTTTAGTAGACTCCCATAGGCTAATCACAGCACAGGCCCTAAAAAATGTTGGAGCAAAGCCCTACCATTCTGCAGATAACTGCTTACTCTCCTTTTGTAAAACAGCCCTTATCCTGCTACTGGGCCTCAGTAGAGTCTGAATGCTTAACCATAAACCACCAGATTACCCTAAGACCTGAGCTTCCTATCATGGACTGCGTGTTATTTGATCCTCCAAGCTGTAAAGCTGAGCATGCACATCAGTATTCTATTATCAAATGAAAGTGTTATGTATGCAATAGTAACAAATAAGACCCTGAGCCACACATGTAAGTTACATGAGGAAGTGGCCCAAATGTCCATTGGCTTCCACTTCTGCTATACTACCTTCTCTCTCACAGCCTTGGTTTTGCACAATATGCAGGCACCACCCAAAAGTGGACAGCTACATCACTACAGCCCCTTTCTGATGCACCCCTGAAGGACAGTGATGAAAGGAAATCTTCTTCCCAATGGGAGGAATTTTAAACAGTGCTCCTGATTATTTACTTTGCTTGGCAGTAGAAATGGCCAGACTTGCCATTATATACTGATGCATGAGCTGTGGCCTATGGCTTGGCTGGATGGTCAGGGATGTGGAAGGAACATAATTGGAAAATTGGTGATGAGGAAATTTGGAGAAGAGATATGTGGATAAAATCCTATGAATGGGCAAAAAACATGAAGATATTTGTGTCCCATGTGAATTCTCACCAAAAAGGGACATCAGCAGAGGAAGATCTTAATGATCAAGCAGATAAGATGACCCAATCTGTGGACAGCAGTCAGCCTCTTTCTCTAGCCACTGCTGTCATCAGCCATTGGGTTCATGGACAAAGTGGATATTGTGGCCATGGTGATTTTCCGTGGGCTCAGCAACCTGGATTTTTCACTTGCCAAGATTTTGGTCATTGCTGAGTGACCAATCCGCCAGCAGCAGGAACCAACACTGAATCCCCATAAGGCACCATTCCCTGAGGTGATTAGTCAGCTACTTTGTGGCCAGTTAATTACGTTGGTAAATTATGTTAGACCACTTCCATCATGGAAGAAGCAGTATTTTTTATTACTGTAATATATATTTACTTTGGATATGGATTTGCCATCTCTGCATAAAATGCTGTGCCAAAAGTACCATCTATATACTTACAGAATTCCTTGTCCACCATCATGATATTCCACACAGCATTGCTTCTGACTGAGGAACTTACTTCACAGCCAAAATAGTGCAGCAATAAGCCAATGCCTACAGAATTTACTAGTCTTGCTGTGTTCCAAACAATCCTGAAGCAGCTAGTTTAATAGAAATAATAAAATGGGCTTTTGAAGATCCAGTTACAGCACTAGCTAGGTGGCAATGCCTCCCAGGGCTGTGGCAAGGTTCTCCTGTATATGCTCTAAATCAGTTTCCAATATGTGGTGCTATCTTTCCCATAGCCAAAATCTACAGGCCCAGAAATCAAGGGGTGGAATTAGAAATAAAACCAATTACTCTTATGCGTAGTGACTCATCGGCAAAATTTTTGCTTTTGGTTCCCATGACCTTAGGCTTTACTGACCTAGAGGCCTTAGTTCCAGAGGGAGTAATGTTTCCAATAGGAGATATAGTAAGGGTTCCATTGAGTTGGAAATTAAGACTGCCAACCGGCTACTTTGCACTCCTCATACCTCTGAGTCAACCGGCAAAAAAAGGGAGTTATGGTGTTTGCTGAGTTGACTAAGCCTGGCTACCAACGGAAAACTGGAATACTCTTCTACAATGTAGGTAAAGAAGAGTATGTCTGGAGAATAGGAGATCCTTTAGGGTGTTTCCTAGTATTACCATTAAGATCAATAGAAAATGACAACAATCCAATCCAGGCAGGACTACTAGTGGCCAAAGTCATTCCAGAATGAAGGTTTGTGTCATCCCACCAAGTAAAAATCCATAACCCACTGAGTTGCTTACTGATGGCAAAGGGAATACAGAATAAATTAAAAAAGAAAGTAATTATGAATACCAGCTTAGAACATATATATATATATATATATATATATACACACACACACATACACATACATATGTATTGATATGGTTGGCCTCTGTGTCCCCACTCAAATCTCATCTCATATTGTAATTCCTATGTGTGGAGGGAGGGAACTGGTGGGAGGTGACTGGATCATGAGAGCAGTTTCCCCAATGCTGTTCTCGTGATAGTGAGTTCTCATGAGATCTGATGGTTTAAAAGTGGCAGTTCCCCCTTCGCTCTCTCTCTGTCTCCTGTGACCATGTAAAAAGTGCCTTGCTTCCTCCTCATCTTCCTCCATGATTGTAAGTTTCCTGAGGCCTCTTCAGCCATGTGGAACTGTGAGTCATTAAACCTATTTCTTTTATAAATTACCCAGTTTCGGGTATTCTTATAGCAGTGTGAAAACTGACTAAAACATGTATATGTGTAGGAAATATCCTTGTTTTCTCCAGTCTTTCATGCTTTCATCATGTAACGTGTTAATTTTATATCCCAGTATTTGAGTATTGTTATTTTAACACAGGAGTACTCAAGTTATGAGCTATCAAAGAAAAGAATAAACATAACTCCTCTTCTGGAGAAGAGATTAGAGCATGTCCAGTTGAATGCGGGACAGATGTGTCATGTTAGGCAAAGTTATGATCCTGTTTTGTCTTTATTTGCAGATTAAGTATGGTTTAAAAAGTTGTGCATGGGTGATAAGTTGACAAGGGGTGGACATGTAATGTTTAATGTTATGTGTCAACAAGACAGGCCACAGAGTGCCCAGATATTTGGTGAAACATTATTCTAGCATGTCTCTGAGGGTGTTCTAGATGAGATTAACATTTGAATCTGTAGATTGAGTAAAGCATATTGCCCTCCCCCAGGTGGGTGGGCCTTATCTAATCCACTGAATGGCCGAATAGAATTTAAAAGGCAGAATAAAAGAGAATGTGCTTTCTCTGCCTGATTGCCTTCAAGGTGACCCATCTATCTTTTGCTGCCTTCAGACCTGGACTGGAGTATATCTTCAGCTTTCCTAGGTCTGACAGTAGATCCTAGAACTTCTCAGCCTCCATAACCACATAAGCCAATTTCCTACAATAAATTTCTCTCCTCCTCCCCACCCCCTCTATATATGTGTGTGTGCGTGCATGTGTGTCTAAACACATACATATACATACCCATAGATAGATATAGATATATATCTGTTTGTATATATATATCTAGATGTGCATGCACACACACACACACATGCACACACACACATCTTCTACTGATTCTCTTTTTCTAGAGAACCCAGTCTAATACAGACACTCAATGGTAGAAATTACATTTATTAAATAAGCACATTACAATTGTAAAATCATATCTTAATTCATAAGCACTATTCTGAGAGCATAAAAATAAATCTTACAGTCCTAAAATAAAGCAATAAATTATATTTGAACTGTTAATAAAAATAATAATAAAATATGTGTGGCTAGATTAATAACTTTTTCATATATATGCATGTATATGTGTATGTACATATACACATATATACCTTCACATACATATGCATATATATTCTCATTTTTAATCATGGTTAAAAGTAGTTGGTTATTTTACAGGTTGAAATGTTTGATCTTAAATTGCAGGGGTGATAATTTGAAGAACATATTTGCCTGACACATTACATCTAGTTCTCATGCGATTTATAACCTCATTAATTCACTTAACTAAAGAAACTCTAGATTTACCACTTTCTAAGGCGAATTAATAAAAGTCTTTAAAGTATAGTTTATATATTAATTTTATTATATTATCAGAATTTTTGTTTTAAAAATTCTCAAAAAATTATGGCGTATGTTTAAAGTTGCCCTTGTATTTAGAAACAGAATCAATGTATATGACATTTTTTAAACCACAAAGTAATCTTTTTAAATCCTCCATTTGGAAGAAACCTTCAAAAGTGATGACAGATCATAGTGTCTTTTATATTTATTGGATATAAAGTTGGAACCTATATTAAATGCACCTAATGTCATTAATGCATGCATAGCATTTTTTCAGTATGTCACGTATAATTTTTGTGTAGTAGATGATATATGTGGTGACTAAAAATATAAACCACCTGTTCAGATTTTCACTGCTGAGAGTACTGCATTGTTTAGCTTTTTCTACAGTGTGCTGTGTGTGTCAATATTGATTTCAGAAAAAGTAATAAAGGATCCTGTCAAAATAAAATTAAAACCTAAGGCAATTTACTTTGTTGAAGGGGGTCAGCTTTAATAACCATCACCATCTTACCAGAACCGCTGTGAAATTTCATTAACACTGTACTCCAGTCACATATCAGCTAGGTTTACAATTACTACTTGATTATATGACTGTGTAGATCGTTAGGCACAAGCCTCCTTTTTGTGCCCTGTATCATTTGCTGGATGAGGTTTCTTTTCAATTCAGTGAAAATTCTATTCAAAAAAGAAAATGATAATAAAGAAAAGGTTGGTCCTGGAACCGTTTCTCAACTCTGTACAAAATTACTAAACACATAGCAATTTCAGAATATTTGGTGTTTTAATCTATCAAAATTCTTAAGTTAGATATCACTTGAGATCAAAACCAGAGTGATTTTATATGTAAAGATAAAAATATTTAAGAGTTCAGGAGATTCAGGGACTATTTACCAGGAAGCAAATGTAACTGTCTTTATTCCTACCTCTAGGAGGAGGAAAAATCTTTGCTCCATTTATTATTTATTGATACAATTGATATTTATGGATAAATATCAGTTGGCCCACCCAATGTAAGAATAATGAACCCAAATGTATATATAAACTGCATAGGCATTAAAATATAAATATGTGAGCATTTTCATCCAGTAGATAGATGTTTTTATTAATTCTTTTCAGCTATGGAGTAGAAATTTTTATCTTGAATTTTTAGTGAAAATTTTTATAACTTTTAATTGCTTTTTTCTTTCAGCAAATAATAATTGTTTTGCATGGTGTTCAAAGCAGGTCAAAACATTGAATGTTTCTCTGTAACAAATACTATATTGAGGTGAGGTTCTGTCCTACTTACCTATATGTGTATTTGAAAGGCAAGTTACAAATAATCTTGTAGAAGATGTAATCCATGGGCCACACCAACACTGAGATTTAAATTTAAAAATAAAGGTAGACATTTGTCAATTATCTAGGCCTATCACTCAAAGGGATTGTATATAGTCTGATGTCAACGCAATCCTGACCACGTGGGCAGTATGTTAGTAGGCTACATTCACCAGTGGGTGATTTCTAGAAAATCATGTAACTTCAAGCCCAATTTATAGCATCCATCAGACCCCAAAAATCTCTGAGGAACATTGTCTCTCACTAATTCTGTCTTGAATATTCTTAGTTGCTCATTTATACTCCAGTTTTTTTCATGACTAGGATCTTGCATTGAACCCTCATGCTCAGGACTAAGTCTATCACAGCCCTTGTTCTGATGAGCCTGGTCCTACCTAATCTCTTCAGCCTGAGCTTGAGATCAACTACAAGTAGTTGAATCACTTTCCTTTGTCCCTAGATCCATGTGGCTGTACCTGCTTTATAATGACTATCACTGCTTCCTTAAGATTACTATTTTAGTATGTTGACTAAAACCTCTGGACTTGAAGAGAAATAGATCTTGTTTAAAATCTTTTAAACCTATCTTTTGTTAATTGTAGGCAAATATCTTTCTCTGACTCTAAATTTTCTTATCTATTAAAAGAGATAACAATAGGTGCTACCTCATAGAAATTTTGCAATAATTTGATCAGACAATATTCCTAAATTAAAAGAGAGAATAATTGGTGCTACTTCATAGAAATTTTGCAATGATTTGATCAGACAATATTCCTAAATAGTGAGAATATTTCAAAAGCAAATAACAAATGAGGGAAATGTTAACTATGATCTCCTACTTTTATTGGACACTTTGACCATCAGGACTGTTCTAGACTGATATAGAAGGTGGATTTCCCCTTGGATATTGTAAAGTAAATGACCAAACCTTCTTTCTAGTACTAGTCCTACAGCTGGACCCAACTGTCTTTCCTTGTCCATTAGAGCTGACAGTAAACAGGAATTATGATGATTCACTTTCCCTAAGAGTTTTGCCTGCCTTAAATATTTTA
Organism: Homo sapiens; assembly: GCF_000001405.40. NCBI lineage: Eukaryota > Metazoa > Chordata > Mammalia > Primates > Hominidae > Homo > Homo sapiens. The sequence continues at coordinate 66,630,170 of NC_000004.12, forward strand.
TTGGCACTACTAAGAAAATAACTATTCTCTTAACATAATGAACAAGCTTTGCCTCTGTTACTGCTACCATTTTCAGTCTGAAGATGCATGTGCTGATGCAGTGGTAAATACTAACCTTTCATCTCATCCAGCCACTAATGCTGTATACAAAAGAGCACACGATGAACACAAATCTCCCAAGTATTAAAATGACTGGATTACATTCCTTAAAGGGTAAATTTATTCTCCCAACTTTTGGATCAGTCTCTTCTCATAAGACAGCAGTGGGCTGGATTATATTTGAATAATACCACTTTGGTGTCATATGTACAGAACTCTGACACTGGCTTGCTTTTTCCAATAAGAGGCAGTCAGTGCCCAGGTCAGAGTCTGGGTACTTCCACAGTCTTATCTCACATGGATTCCCCATCTGGTAATGAAGTTCTTCAGATCCTTCTGAAAAATAGGATTATTGGTGTCCCTTCCCTATTATTATAGAAATTCTGTGTTAGGCATGAAGGATAGTAATGCTCTGGGCCTTCATAGAGTTTGTATTTTAGGAAGTAAATCTCTCTAGTTTTCTTCTCCCTATATTCAAACTACCTAATTGCACCGTCTGCTTATCTCCTTCCATTCTTTCTCAGAATAAGAGGTATATTTCTTCTTTTTAAGAAATGAAGACTGTGAAAATAGATTGGCTGTGATAGATTCCTGAATTTACTACTTATTAGTTGGGTCAATGTGGGTGAGCTACTTACCCTCTCTAAGCCTAACTCACTGTCATCAAAATAGAGATAATGTATTTTGGATATTATATGATACAACGTTATAAATTACTTGGTTCAAAGTCAGGAATATAGTAAGCAAATAATAAACATAAGCTAGCAATATCATAATTGTTATCACTATTATTATTACTATTGCCACCTATGCCTTCATTTAGGATGGGCCTTAGGCAACTTGATCCATTGCTAAGCAAAACCCTGCACCATAACTTAATGCCCTAGCCCACTTCTGGTTTATAAGAGAAGAACACAGAAGAGAGTTTGTTGACTAATTGTCTTAAATTTCTTATTATCCCTTCGCTTTCCAACACAAATATTCTGTGCTCCACTATAGAAATTGCTCCAGATTACCAAAGAGAATAGTGGTATTGAAGCAATTTGGTCCTCATTTCATTTAAGATATTTCTTCACCCTGCACAGACTATGAATGTTGGTCATTACTTGGGTATCCTGCTAACCAAGACTCTACATCTTGAACTTACTATTGAACGTTGCCTTTTTACTGTTTACAGCAAATGCTTATTAACAAATGTAACCATTATTTTGAATCTGTGAGACTTAGAGGATGAAATACATATTTTTTGTTATTTTCTTATGACTACAACTTCATAGGTACTTTTTGTCCGGCTGCTTCATCATCTCCTTGGAGGAATCAAGGGTAGACTGTGACTTTGGGTCGTTTTCAGATATTAAAAGACCTTGAGTCACATTAAATCTCAAATAGGTAAATATCTAAATGTTCAGTTCCATAAAACAATAATTTTAAAAATATTTTATTTGAAGTTTAACTTCTTCCTTCCTTTGGCTTTGGGAGTCTACAGACAGGAAAGGATGTTATAGTAGTTGGCTTCTTTATTCTTTAATCTCCTGGCACTTTCCTCACATCTCACTAGCTGTACCACTAACACCTCCAGAATTGAAAAGGGAGAGAAGCAGAAGTGTTATGTGTATATGAAGTATGCTTCCTAACAGGCACTTTTTATGAACTGGCTTCAGAGATCCCTGGGCTGGAGAGCTGTGAAAGCTGACTCTTGTTCTCATGCTAACTTTTATATGCTTTTTTTGAGACTGACTTTAATAACTATCACACACAGTTCTCTTGATTAAGAAGAATGTATCACTTCTGGGTACTTTGAGTTCCTCACTTAGCACGTTGGTATTTGGGACTACTACTGGATCCCTTTCCATTGAGTGATGTTAAGTCCTGACAGAGTCCTCGAGGACATGACTTTAAAATAACTTCTGTTTCCAATGCTTGTGTTTCATATTTGATGCAGAGAAAATGAAGTCTTTGACTTGCCACCTGTAGGAATGTATAAATATTCAAATGCAGCCTTTCTGTCTAGTTGACATACTTTTCAGGAATGACTTTTCATCTTCACAGGGGTAAGGTTGAGGAATCCAGGGGTGGCACACTTGGCACACCAAAAACATTCTCAAAAATATATTTCTATAATACCCAACTGACCTTTTCAACCTTACCACTGTATGTTTTTAATATGAGTAAGTAACTGAGACCCATCCTTAAAAGGGTGGCTTGGCACCTTACTTTGAAATGTGGTTGAGTCTTCCAGTTTTAAGACTCAGAATACAATACCAATTAAACAATTACCTTTTATCATCTCATTAACCTAGCCAGGCTTTTGTCACAAATATTATGTCTTCTATCTCCTATATATCTTCTACTATCATTGAAAATTGACTGAGATACATAGTAGTCATACATATATATACATATATGTATATATATATATTTAAAAATTTTTTTTCAACAATAGAAACATTCCTCCTAAAACATAATTCAATAATACTTTATATATATTTATTTTATCACAATCATTTTACTTTTATAGTAATTTATTTAATGTAATCTTTCTCTCTTATAATTCACTAGATTCTTTAGGATGCAGGTCATGTAAAATATCTGCTTTCCTGTTATCCTTCTGTACTAGGGCATTTTTGCATTGCTACTGCTATAAAGAAATACCTGAGGCTGGGTAACTTATAAGATGAAAAATCTAATTGACCCATGGTTCTGCAGGCTGTAAAGGAAGCACAGCACCAGCATCTACTTCTGGGGAGGCCTCAGGAAGCTTACAATCATGGCAGAAGGCAAAAGGGGAGTAAGCATCTCACATGGCAGGAGTGGTAGCAAGGGGAAGGGGAGGTGCCACATACTTTTAAACACTCACATCTAGCAAGAACTCACTCACTATCATGAGAACAGCACCAAGCCATGAGGGATCTGCCCCCATAACCCAATCACCTCCTACCAGGCCCCATCTCCAACATTGAGGGTTACATTTCAACATGAGACGTGGGGGGACAAATATCAAACCATACCGCATCACATTGTCTAACATGTCACAAATGTTTACTGAGAAATTTGAATGTTGAAGTCCTTTCATTTCTTGAAACGGTATATAACAAGATTATGTGCTTGCTATTGTGTTTCACTCAAAAATGTAATTATAGTTGAATATAGTGTAAGGTGGGCATTCAAAAAAAACTTGAATGGAATTTAGTTAGTTATATTTGAGTAAAAGTTTCTTTCGAATTTTACTAATATTTTTATTCTTTTTATTTAAACAGATGATTACATTCTGACTATTCATCATGCTCACTCTAGTGAGTCATCGAAGTTTATTAGAAAAAGAAATTATCTACTGCTTTATGTTGTTTCTATCCTAGAAAGGCAAGTTCTTTTCCTAAAGTAGATTGACAAGGGCTAAAGCAGAGTATCAATATTGGCAGTTCACTATCCTCTAGAGAGCTTGAGTCAGCAGACAAATATTCCCAAATGCACTCATTCTTATTGCAGAAGAAATAAGCTGTAGGAGACTCTTGATTGCAAATAATTCTAGTTTACTGAAGAAAGACTTGGCCATTAGTGAGCATGTTTTATTGAAACCATCATTATGTGGAAGAAGACATTCTGTTTTAAAAAGTTCCACTCAGATGTTAATGTTTCCTAAAGACTTTTTAGAAGTCAAAACGAATCTAGAAAAAATAATGAATTTCTGTTCATGATTTATAAAATTGTGTCTTTCTGAAGGACTTCAAAACATTAGTTTAATATTCTGCCTCAGATAGCTTCTAAAACAATTCTGTAGTTCTCAAATTATTTATTTCAAACTCAATTTCTTAAACAAGTAGTATTTATTACATTCCTTTTAAATAAAAACAAAAATTCCATTGAAATCTAGAGGCAATAAGATGAAATATAAAATAAAATATTTACCCTTGAGAACTCTCAATCATGGAAAAAATATGTAAATGCATAAAATAATTCTAGTGAAATTAAGTAGGTGATTAAGCACTTAATAGGAAAGTTACAGGTATAAAGAGAGATTCAATATGAAGTAGAATAGTAAACAAAGGAAGACTTTGATAACTATGTAAAAATTGAGCCAGAAAGATAAGAATAACTTTAGTAGAAAAATAAGAAGGGTGAGGTATATGTTGCATATAATCATAAAACAATATTTTAATTATCCAATATACACATTATATTTAAAGGAAAATTAATTTCTAGAGAGGTTGGATAGTTTATAACACAGGTAACTGGTAAAATTTTAACTTTTGGCAATGCAAAATTTGTTTAACTTTGTAGTTTAAAAAAATCTCACATGGTCTGTATCACAGCACTTGTTCACAGCCTTTATTATCAGAATTCTAGCACCACCACCTTGCCTGTCATGGCAACAAGCCTCCTAAAGAAAACTGTTCCCCCACAGCCCTTGCTGCAGCTACAAGCCCCTAGGCTCTGAATGATATCCATTTTATGGTCTTCATTTATCCTACCTTCTCCCTAATTACAATTTACGTGAGCATAGAAGGGCATCTGATCCAAGGGCAGCTAATACAAATTTATGACTTGCTTTTGCTGTGAAAAGCTGCAACTGGGGTTTTGGTTATTACTGAAACAATATTGTTTCTTCTTTTAAAAGATTTGTGAAGAGAATGGGCTAGTAAATACAAAGAAGTGAATTAAACAGAGAAGACTAGAAAACATAGTTGAGTTGAAATTGCAGAGCATCTGATTGAATCCTTGTATATTTCTGTCACTTGGTCTCTGGACCTAACTTGGGTCATGGATGATGCTTCTTCATGACCACAATCATGCATGTTTCACAACCAATGAAGTCTGCCTATGATGATTCCTATACTTGGATTTCCATGAATTTACAGTTCACTTACTTCCATGTGTGTACATACGCTGGCTTTATAACATCTCTTTGTTACAGTCAAAGGGTTTATTAAAGCATGTACCAGAGGGCCTTGAGGGCCTTTCTATGTGGTTCTCCTTCTGCTTGAAATACTTTCTGCTTTCCTTATTTTACCTTAAACTTGGTAATATGTACTTATTTATCATTTAAGACTTAGTTCACATACACATTCCTGATGAAGCCTTTCTAACCACTCTAGAGATGCTTAATATACCCTCTTCCAGACTCCTATTACACCCTAGGTCATTTCTTTTCCATCGCATTTATCATCATCTATTTTATGAGCCGGTAATGTCTTTTTGCTGTAGAAAGTAAGCTTTTTGAGAACAATACGATATTAGAGTTATGTTTATATCTCTGGGGCTGATAGAACAGTATCTGGCTCATTGTAGACACTTAAAAATTATTGGGTGAATAAAAATGGCAATGCCTTTAAGCATTTAAATATTTGAAAGCTAGGAAGTAAGTTATAAAACATGACAAACATTGTTTTGACACAGCTGGAGAGGTTACTTACCTTGATCTAGAGGAATTTGACCAACGTAATGCAAAGAGTAATTAAAACCAACATAAATTAAAATTATTAAAATGATTCATCTTGTGAAGTTCATCACATGAGTATTGAGTTAAGGTGGGGGATAACATGAGTTGCTCAAATAACTAGAATAAATTCAGTAATATACAGTTAATGTGATGAAGAAGGTATTTTGAGTTATGTTTTGAAGAATAGAATGTGAACTAAGTTATCACCACAAGTTTACATTCTGCTAGAACTTATGAAAATATAATGTATATTTATGACAGGAAAAGAATAGATAATAGATTCACTAGATTCTCCCAAATGATACATATATCTTTTGCTCATTTCTAAATGGTTCTAAAAATCACATATTTCTGAACCACAGTCTTAAACTATTATATTTTTAAAAATCATATGAAAATATTAAGGCAGTTTAAACTGTTTCTGTGGCTGAAGTATCCATTTTATAAAGAGAAAGAAATTGTTTTAAACATTTTTTAAAAATCATATTTAATATCAAATGTATTCTTTATGACTACCTATAGTAGAGAATTGTGTGGTCTCTTGGTTTTTTTTTTTTTAAACTTAAGAAACCAAAATACTGAATAGTGAGGTTAACATGTGCCTAAAATTCCTTAACTGCTCAGCCCCTTGCAATACTCTCAAAAGCCTTCTTCCTATAACCCTGTCTCATATTCCATTTCCATGCTTGCCAATCAGTTACAGTCTTTGGCCCCATGTCACTTTCATCCCATTGGATGACTGTCATGGGAGCTGCCCAATGGTGCGCTGCTAATGAGGCAGCTTAAAGAGCAGCTGGGGATGTGCAATTGCTGGATTAGGGTCAAGGCCAGGAGAGAAAATGGATGAGAGAGATAGAGCCTGAATGACTGCCAGTAAGCAGGGGTTCTATTATCCTGCTGAAGCAGGACATTCATTACCATCTATTGTAACATAATTTGGGCTCAGTCAAGCTGTCTCTCCCTCTTTTTTGGATTTACAATTCATAAACCACAAATGGTCCAAAGGGTGTATTGTCCCTGTGGCCATGTAACCCTGGGCCGGGGGAGGACTGGCAGAAATGAATGAGCTATGAAGTTCCTGGTGTGAACACCATCAGGGCTGACACCTTGTTTCTTGGAGTTGTGACATAAGTTGTAGGCACAATGCTGACAAAGTTTTGCATCTCTCTGGAGCCAGGTTTGCTCATTAAGCAAAGATAAAATAAAAAGTCCTTGTTTATCCTTTGCAAAAATCAAATCCTAATGCTAACAGCCGGTATTTCCATGCTAATTTCCTCTAGTCACTGATGAGATTACTGCACAGGAACAGAAGTGAAGTTTGTTTTTTCCACAAGCATACAAATGCTTGCTTTTTTTAGATCAAGTTCTTCCAAGTCCCAGAAAATTATCTGTTCTATTTTTTAGTAGGTTTGTGGTATTTCAACACATGAAAAATGTAGAAAATTGTCTCGTGTCTCTTTTATCGAAAAGCTTCCTTTGAAACAGGATAAATGTGTCTCTCCTTCCTCTTCCCTTCTCCTTGGGCCCTTACTGATCTTTTCAATTATACTATTTATTATCTTTTGGATTCAGGGCCAAAACCCACCTGCCATCTGAACTAACGAGACCATAGTGTTATTGTCTCCGTGCTGCACTCAGTTAGGAAGGCAAATGAGTTTGGTGAAAAGCTAGCAAGCACAGAAGCTCGGAGAGAAAAGGATTCAAGGCACAGTGAAAATAGTTAATCACTGTAGTAAAGTAAGGAAAAGAGAACAGACGCATCATCTTTGCTTCAGCCCGATTGATGGGAAACTATGTAACTCAGTTTATGTAGCAGGTGGACCTTGCAGGGCAGCCTCACACCCATACCAAAAGGCCAGCTCTACGAGTCACAGATGAAAGTACTGGAAGTACAACTGTAGTTTTTATAGACTTTATTAATATGACTTTAACACAGCTGAGTTTTAAATTATGCCTGCATTTTCTGAGGTTTGCATGATTCAATCCACATTGGCTTTCTTTTCTCAGGTACTTTTCTCAGGTACTAAAGTTTCCTTTAGTCATATATATATGACTATCTCACATGCCCTACATGCCATCTTCACCTGATATAAATTTGTTACAATTTATCTTCCAATCATTTCCATTTATGCTTCACAGTAAGATTGTTTTATTATTAATCTGAGATTCCAGTGTTTTGACTTTCAATGCTCCACTAGCGTAAGTATTTCAAACTGCCCATACACACCATAGTAAATGATCTATTCACAAAATCTGCCTTTAATTCTTGCAAGAAATCACTTTATACGTGTGTTTCCAAAATTCAAAATATACATTACCTTGTTTAACTCTTAGAAACAGACAGAATGGCTTCTAAGGCACTTAAGTCATTTAATATTATGGCTTAACATATTATCACAATACCTAACAGTAAAAAAATACTGATCAACAATTTCTGCAAACTCTTAACAAAGTCATCTTTACTGAATGCACAAAGGGCTAAAGACTGAAGTTTTTTGTGTTTGAAAATGTATTAAATGTATTAGTGTTCCTGGTAGTTTAAGATAGTTGATTAATTGTAGCAGTTTTCCTTTGCTTAAGATAATATGCTTGATCTGTGTATCATTGATCTAATAAAATGCCTATTTTTGATGCTACCACAACCTATATTATGTTTTCATTATAAGGTGTTTACTCATGAATGTGTTAAGTATATCTTTTGAGGATGTGAACACTAGTTCCTTTACTCAAATTTGTGAAATTTAACCCTATGACATCTTGATTAATACACATGGCTATTAGTAATAATTTTTTTCTCTAATATATTTTAGAAATACAGTAGTACTTTTTTCAAAATTACAAAAATTGCTTTACTGAGTTGAAATTTTCCATTTTCAATTTATTCATGAAACAAATTCCTACTCTGATTCATGTTTGTTTTTGTAAGATATGCGTGATTTATGAATTAAAGGTTGAGGAAATAATGATATTCTTAGAAAATATTTGCTTAAAGTAATTGAATAGAAATAGGAAGGAAGGGAGGGAGGGAGAGAGATTCCTATAATTTCTAAAGGATTTTGCCATTGGAACATTCTTTTGTTGAAGTGCAATGATTGGTAAGGAATGAGAAAATTTAAAGGTTGAATCTGGGTCTGGTCTTAATTACCCAGCATGATGATGATGGGGAGGAGATCCTGGGTCTCTAGGAGTAAATTCAAAGGGAAGGACAAAGTTGCCAAAATTGCCAACCTTTCCTGGAGAAAAGGTTTAAAAATGAGGCTTTGATAAAAAGTAAGCAGAATATTTTAATATGATTCCCCCACAGGACCTTTAAAATCTTTATTAAAATTACTAAATCTATGATATGCTTAGTAAATTTATAGACTCTGAGTGCAGTAACATGCCTTAAGACAGCACCTTTTAGATGTAACCAAACCAAAACACTTAATGCATGATTGGCTGCTGTCCACATGTTGTATGTTTGTCACAGACCATTATGTTTTGGTAATAATAATAGTAGTAATAATAATGGTTCACATTATTTTTTATGGAAGAAGTATTATGCTATGAGATTTCTCACATTTAATCTCCAGCACGTATCTCTTCTGTGAGGAAAGTATTTTCCTATTATTTTTCCAAAGAGAAAACTAAACTTTAAAGAGAGTTTAAGTGACTTGCCTTAAATCACCTACCCATTAAGTTGTGGAGCTGAAATTCAAATCCAGGCAGTCTGGCTCCACAACTCTTGCTCATAACCAACCACTGAACTAGACTAGTAGGGAAGGGAATGTTAATGTGCTCCACTAAGCATTGCATTTCTGCCAGGGAATGACTTTAATCCCAAGAGAGAATTGGTCTTTTGGAATGATGCCATAAGGGATAAAGAACAAATAGAAACTTTCAAATAAAAAGAACAATGACTACAAATAAAAGCATGTGTTAACATTATAATTCTTTCATCAAATATGTTTACCCACTTAGCTTCTAGGAGAGTGACAGTACTACTTTATGGATTCCTGAAAAATTAGCACACTTACTAATTTAGCATATGTTTAAACCAATCTAATCCCATTTTCCATCCCTTTTACTCACCGATTTCCAGTGGATTATCAGGAAATACATACATACAAAGACAAATTATTTTTCTGTACATTCTGGAATCTTCTAGAAATTCATGGTAAGATTTTTCCAGCCTGTAATTGGCTACATATCAAATATCTCTTCATATCAAACTTACTTACATCCAAATACAGGTACGAATCAAATATTGTTTCTTAAAATCATAATTTAGTGTTATGGTTTAGATGATATTTAATGGATCAGGAACAAAAAAGTGTGCATACACATGTACTTTTATCTCTATCACCATTCCACTTCCCTTAACTATGCATGCAATGATCTTTTTTTTGTAGGTAAATGCAAAAGTTTTTATTTTTAAGATACTTATAAATAATTGGAAAAAGCCATTAACCCCCAATAGCTTAGAAAACATACCTTTTATTTCTGTTAGTGAAAAAAAATTGTGTTATTTTAACAGCTATGTTTCTTCTTAGCTCATTATAATATATTCCTGGAATTTTTCAGAATACATTTCATATCTGCAAGTCCCTAAAAAGCCTTCACAAATGGTGACATTAGTGGCACTGGTAATCCGAGCTGGAATGGAGAATGTAACTGACAAGTGCTATGTAAATCAGCTTCGATATTGTTCTGTGGCTTTTATCTGTTCACTGTGAATTGGGTTCATTGTTGCAAGAGCTCATCCTGGCCAGATAAAAACTACAATCAAGTTGCAGACCAAAACAAATGGCACTCACAGGAGTGCCAAAATGGGAATTGTGGAGACTTCCACAGATTGCCTACTTGTGCAAGTCCAAAATTTGCAGTCACATCTTTGATGGCATGTACATGTTTAGTTTGATAAATCCTAGGTCTATACTGCAATCCAGCATCCTCCTGAAATAACAGGCACTCAGCAAGTTAATGCTAACATCCTCTGGTTGGCTTGATTCACCGAATTATTTCCTTACTGGTTCACAGTGTTTGGCTCCAATAGCTTATTGTTTCCCTCTTGTTCTCGAAAAGTTTCTCAGGGGTAAGAATGTGGAAAGATCATCAAAATCCTTAAGAGAAAAGCATCTTGAACAAAAAGCTAAAAGAATGTATAACATCTATTTCCTGAACCATCGTATCACAAAGCTCATTTTTTTTTTTAAGCAATGGAATGAACATGTTCCTTAGGGATTAAGCTATCTGCTTTTTCATAAAATATGTAAATAGTTATGTGTATATAAATATATATATAGCTGCAATTATTCTCTGTCAATAATAATCTCAACTCTGAAGAAAAATTTAAAATAGTATTTCTTTCTGAATTTGTGTATGATGTTTTGTATTTATACATTGAATACTAATAAAATAGCTTACTGGCATTTATTCGACAATTATTTAGATATAGAGAAAGATTAAAATGGATATTCCTAAAGAAGAAATACCATTATTTCTATTTTTATATGAGTGAAACAAGACTTAAAGAATTAGAAAAATTGCTAAAGCCTCACAATGACCTAAGATCTAGCTGTCTGAGTCTAAAGCTTGTGTTCTTCTCCACCATGCTAAAGTGACACAGAATGTATACAAGTCTGGTTGACTGAGGAATTTTATTCAAATTAGAACAGTCAGGAAAATAGTGAATAAAAAAGCAATTACACCATTTGTTTTACTTAACAGATTGCTTACATGGAATTAGCCAATAAATTAAGACCTAACAGTCAGTCTTATAGCTCCATGTACTGACAAAACAAATTATTTCTTCTTCAGAATTTGGTTAAGGTAAGGAGGAAATGCCAAGCAAAACAAAACAAAAAGTGAGAATATGTCAGCATTTATAATTTTCATTGTTGTTTTGGATCTTGGTCTTCATCTGAGATGATTCATTAATTCAAAATGGGGATGATATTTCTGAATGAACTCATTAAGAAATATTTGTTGAGCCCCTATTGTGTGGTCAGCATCAGATTAAAATATAGAAATATTAAGACATGAAGATATGACAACAGCTTTAACTTCTAAGTGGGTAGTATGAAGGGGGCTTTGAAAAATAGGTGAAAGAGTTTAGGAATTATAAGGTAGAAAATACAGACAGTCTAGTCAGACTGTAATTGTCTTAACAAGCTGAATTCTGTCAACTATAACAGGTAAATTTCAAGGGTGAAGCATGCAATGCCGAGCAAGTTGCTGTGATGCTATTGCTGTAATTTGAATGTGAGGTAGTAAAGGGCCTGGCATAGAATAGTGATAGTGCTATTGTTCTTGTTTGATTCCTTATTCTGTTATTTAGTTTTATTTTATTGTGCTTTTTAAAAATGTTAGGCTTTTTCTATTTCTACTCTTACTTTGTTATTTAATACAGTTGTAGAAAGCAAAACAGGACATTTGATTGTAAATTACTCAATCTAATTCTAATCGAAGCTTTGGTACTAATTTGTATAACTTGAGAAGAAACATTGTATGTTCTCTGAGTCAGGTTTCTTGGCTTTCCAATGAAGTTGTAGAAATTCCTTACATGCTGCAAAGGGTCTTCAGACATATCGAATAAAATTATTAAATTAATTCCTGTATTTACCATCTTGCTCTTCTAACACCGGCAAGAAAATACCTCTACTTTTCATTATTTGCCAGTTATTGATTATTGTTTATTTGTTAAAGATTTGCTTGGCAATTCACAAAGTGCTTTTACATGCAGTTCTCTTCAAAACCCTCGCAAGCACACCGTGGTGAAGACATATTTCCTCCATTTTCTAGAAGAATCTTAATTTTCTTGTCTGTTAGCATTTGCTGCTGCCTCACTAGTTTTTAAGAATGTGGAGTAAATTTGTCATGCTTGTGACATATGTAGTCCAGAGCTCAAGGAACCATGCAGACTTATAAAGCAGTTAATGAGTAAAATATATATATGATACAGTTTCCAAGAACAGATTGAACCAGAAAAAAAGGAAGTACTAGATATACAGGATAATTAACACAAGAATACTTAAGTAATTGCCCCCCCAAAAAAACATTTGTCTTTGACCTCTTTCTTTTCTCACTGCACTATACTCAACCACTTTTTGCTGGTATTATCCTAAATGCCCTCTATACCCACATATTCTTTTATACCATTCCCAGAACTACAACTCAAATTAAGACTTGGACCTATTACCATAGTCATATTATTCACCTTATAAGTTTCAATGTATTTTCATTAAGAACAGAGTTCAAACTCCTAATGAAATTTAAGCACCTCCACAGTCAGATCTCAGGATTGTGTTCTGTGGAGTCATGAAGACAATGGGCAGGTAGAAGAACTCACTATGCACATCTCTTCCTCCATGTGCGATGATATCATGTTGGTAGCTTGAAATCTGCCATGATAGGAGTATTTATATCAATAAATTCATCAAGCATTACAAATCAGGTTTTCATTTACCAGGGACCCCGTCATTAAACATCCATCTGCATTGCACTGTCTCTGTTCCAAATCACACTATTACTATATTTCTTTATATGCATATGATACTTTCTAAGGTTGTCCTAAGCATGGCCTCTTACATCATCCTGTAATAGTGATGTAATTCCAGTCCTTTTAACTAGGTTAAAAAAATCATGATGCTTAATGATATGACAATATATTTTATAGATTTTTTCTGTTCTTGAGTTTTATTGAGGAGCATGTCTCAAACCTCTAATAAAAGTGAGAACTGTTTTTCTCAGGCTTGATTGTAATGCCATCTCCTCCCAATACATGCCTTGTTTTTCACAGCTGAAAAATAATGCCACTGTCCTCTGTGCTCTGATAAGGTTTTATTTACATATATTTGCTTTATAAAAACATCTCACATAGCATACATTTTATGAGGGCAAAGTTTGCATCTTGTTCCTATTTACCCCTGCATTGTTTCATTTAATATGTGGCAAACAAAAGGGGCTTAATAAATCATGTTACATAGGTAAAAGCATTGAACGTTTAGCCTCATATTTCCCTAGTTCTTCCGTTTTTTCCATTAAATATGCTAACTTTTATTAAAGAGGTATTCAAAAGGCCTTTGAAAGAGAAATAAAAATATGTTCCACTTATTGTCACTTCATGATTAAATATAAGTATATTAAATGCCAAATGAGTCATAGGCCTTGTGTTAGAATGACACTTAGGAAGGCATTGGACTGAGAACAAAATGCTAAAAAAGCTATTGAATTTCGTTATTTTTTCTAAAGAAAATAACACAAACCAACAAAATTTTTAGGCAAGTGCCTTTAAATGTCAATAGGAGAGAAAACACCACTTGGAAAAACATGTTCTGTAGGAATATTTACTTAAATGTTATTTTTGTGGGGGGAGGAATTTGCATGATAAAATTTCTTTATTAACAGCATACTGGGCCTCAATTTCTTGGTTTGAAACAGAGCCAAATGATCCCAATACTATTTTCCTCTTGTTTTGTTTTCTTACTAACATAAATGTAGACTACTTTAGAATTTGATGAGAAAGTCTATTCCTGCCACACACACTTAAACACATTTCCTCAGATTTGGGACGCTACCTGAGTCAGCTCAGATCAGCAGTTGTAAAGTCACAAAATATTTATCCTCATTCATTATTTCCTTCTGCAAGAAAATTTTGTCACTTCCAACATCTTAATTTCCTTAAAAGATTCCATAAACATTTTCAATCAGCGGCCAATTGAGAAAACGGATTCAGTGGGCAGAAAAGCAAGTGTCACCGACTTCCCATTTGAAAACAGCTGGTTATTTTATTTCAAATGATCTTTGTTATTTCCAATGTTAAATAGTCTGCCAGGGGTACAATGGGCAAGGCTTTGATGTTTCCCTGTTTTGTCCTGTTCCCTGACCACATATTATCCTTAACTTCCATAAGTTATATACATTACACAGGCTCTTCATGACAAAGAAAATTAAGAGGGAGATTCTTAGCTGGATCAGCACCAAAACCCCCACAAAACTGAAAGCTGAAAAGAAAAAAGTAGTCTGAAATGTATGCATATCATACAATTGTGTTTTGTAACACTATCCTTGCATGTGAAGGGCAGTAGTGTCAACACTTATGATTTTTCATAATTGACATGAATAGACCAAAAATATCCTGTGGGTTGCTTTTAGGAGAAGGGGAAGTAGATTTTTAAATTTGGACCAAAACTGTTGATGATATTTGGTTGATGTAATTGCAGAAGAAAAGAAGTTCTAGACACCTGCTCTTTTACTGAAAGGAACAGTCTCCTTAATACAGTCCCAGATTATAAGAGTCACCAGATATTACCTGAATGTTGTGGAAAATCATCCTGGGAAAAGTTCATTTCCCTACAACAATGCAAAGCAGAAAATAATCTGTAGAATTACACAGAGAGAATAGTTTAGGTAATTTATATTCTGCATTCTGTTCCATAGTTTGATGCTGATCATTCCAAGTAGATTATTTAGCTTAAATATAAATATACATAAGAAATTATATGTGTGTGTGTATATATATATATACTTTGTATATGAGAATATATGACCAATAGGAAGAAGCAATTCTATAAATTAAGAGTACCAACATGTTATCCATTAATAGGATGTATAATACTCTGAAAGTAATTATTATAGCAACTATAAAATCAATGATAATAGCAGTAGCTAAATTTTTTGAAGACCTTTATATCAGGCATTTTCTATACATTATTACAATTACAATTAATACATGTAAACATGTAAAGATGTAATGTTTCTTCCATTTTCTCATTTAATTCTCAGAACTACTACACAGAAATAGACATTTCTTCAATTATATAACTAAGGAAATCAAGGCTCAGTGAGACTTAGCACATTTATCAAAAATCCCACAACTTGTAACCAGTGTCACCAGCATTTAAACAGGACTTTCCACCCCTAGAGCTTTGTTTTTTTGGCCACTACACCAAATTAAATGTGGTAAAATATCAAGAAAGTTAAATTACATTAAAATATTTGTAAGATTATAAATATATCCATGCATTTAAGCAATAAGGACAGTCACTTTTTTCATTTAGACATTTGAATATTTAGAACAGAATTTTTCAAAATGTGCTCCATTAAATAGTAAGTGGGCATGCTATTAATACATTTGACAAGAAATCTTTTAAAATAGTCAAATGAACCTGGGTTAGACAAATTTAAATCTAGTTATCTTATTGCAGGATTCGCTCTCAGATCGCAATGTGCATTTTGATTCTCTAGAAAGAGAAAGGAAATAATGACTGTTTACCAATGTTTATTGCCTGCTTATCACGTTTCAGGCATAAGCATTACTGTATTTAAGTTGAACAGGCTTATGAATTTAGTTTATTATTTTTATTTAACGGATAAAAGTAGATGATTATAAATGTGAAATAAATTGTCCGAGATCCAAAACTAGATTGAAACTTGTCTAACCCCAGACCCTCGCTATCTTAGCTGCTATGACATGTAATGTTGTTGTCTTTTCTATTGAGAGTTCTTTACAATTTTTTAAAATCTAGAATACATTTGGAATCACCAATTAAGATAGTTAAACCATAGCCTTGAAACTCCTAACACATTATGTATAATTTATATTTTGTCAAAATCTGCTTCCCCCCACCCTCTGGTTTGTGGGCTTCTTGGAGGTGAAATTTATCATATTTGTACTCTCAGTTCCTAAGAAGAGTGTCTGATACATAATGGGTATTCAATAAATATTTGTTGAATAAATTAATTTGTCTGTAGATTGACTTTATTCTTCTTGAATTGTTAAATCTACATAGACAATGTTGTTGTTAATCCTCAGGGTCAACCCTTAGTGTTGGAAATGAGAAAGCAGGTAAAAGTAAAAGAAAATCACAGTGCTGTTATATCCAGAATACTGAGAATATATTTAGTAGGCTACAATGATTAGCGAACATGTAAACAGGGACTACAAAATAAAAAATATGCATTGCCTTTCCTAACAATAACTTATTTCAAAATTATGCTTATGGTCAAAATAAATGAATCAATATTTATTACTTAGCAATGTGAGAAAGTGAGGAGGCCATGATTAGCTTGAGGTTAATTATGGCAGGTTGGTATTCTGCCACTTCAAATTTACCTCTTTGGCAACTGTTCACAGTCCTGAGGCTTCACTTTACTGATTTCTAAATGGTTCTGTTACCTTTATTGCAGGATGTTGCAAAAATTAAATGAGATAAACTACCCAAGATAGTGTCTGGAACATAAGCATCAACAAATAAATAGTAATAATTATGTTTTCTTCAGCTGACTTTAAAATCAATTCAGATTGTTGATTTTTGATGAACTAATTTACTTGTAAGGGAATTGGATCTCTGTAAATAGATCTAGTCATAATCTGCTACATGAAGTTTACTTCTGAACCTGCCCATTTCTAAGAGGTTCATTTCTCATTTTTAAAACCTGCTGATGTTAGAAAGAAAAGTGGTTGCATTTTGAGACAGTACTATGGTACACTGACCATTCATCAAGACACTCACTAACTTCTCTAACAATCTAAAAATTGACTCCAGAAGTTTCCTTCATCTAGATATAAATTTAAGCATGTTGAGATGTATTAGATTGTCATATATGGGACAAAAGAGACTAGCAATTCTGCATAAACCAGATAAATGCTGGAATAAATCTGCTGCTATTTCTAATAGAGCATAGGCCTTTCTGACATGTCATTGCTAAATGTTCTACTTTACAAGATTGAAATTGTCCAAAGTCACTCACTATTCTAAACAGGATCAATACTAAAACGGATTTACTACTCAGCTCAGTGCATAAATCTGCTGTGATTAAATCTAGTTCTAGAGAAAACTAACACTGGAAATTTTCCTTTTGTTCTTCAGAGGAAATAATGAAATGCATTCATTTTAAGGGTGACAGAAAATAATTTGTTTTTTCATCATGACTATCAATGTTATTCACTCATTTATTTATTCATTGATTCATTGCTCAAATATGCATTGAGTGTTCACTATGTACAAGTCACTTTGGGAGCTGCAAGTTTAGCTTATACATGAATTTTTCCCTTGGGGAGCTTACAATCTATCAGAAAAAGACAAATGTGAACATAAGTTAATTTTAGTGTTGAAACTGTTAGGTGTAATAAGTACATTAAGACAGAGTTTTAGAGAGAACTCACATTTGGCTTAAAAATCATCAAAAACACATTATAGAAGTTTTCTACACTTGAATGGGGTCTTGAAGAATGCATATAATTTAAATGTGTAGATATGGAATAGAATCTACATATTTTACATTTTTCACTATACATCTTAAACTTCCACAATAGAATAAGCGATAGTAGACAGTCATCAAATATTGGCATTAAATCATTTAGCTAGATTTTTCTAGCAAAACACAATATGAATGTCAACTGCAAGACTGCTTTGCACCTTCCAAACATCTCAATCACTTCCTAGTGTAAATATTTTGAGAGATGAGAATTTTCCCTGGTCTACAGGGAAACATTTTATGCATCTTCTGCCAAAGAGTAGCCTGCATACTCAGATTGGAGCGTTGTAACTATTTTTTTCTTGAGTTTATCTCTTGCTTATTAATATGGATGAATATTAAAATTTTAACGACTTCCATGTGGCATCTGGTTAGAGTATAAAAACATAATTATATGAGAAAGTATAATTAATATTTGTATATTTAGAAATAAGTGTATAAATAACCCATAGAGGCAGGAAATGCTATTTAAAGCATTTAAAACCTTTCCCATTAGTAAATAGTGTCTATGATGAAAACTATGAGAAATACTATCACCTGGGTAATTTTAACACTTTGTATTCTGGAAAACTTTACTTCTGTAGGATACTAAGAGGTTTTACTGCCTTTCTACAAAGATTATATTGTCAAGTAAGTGTGGGTTAAAACAAAGTTAACCAAGCTTCTTTATTGCAGGGTTTTGCTCTGGAGTCTTACATACGTTAAAGTGTAACATGAATTCCTCACATAATACCTAGAAAACAATATCTCACAAACTAAATTTAAATGAAACACCATTTTTAAGAAGGCCTTAGCTCATCATTTTCACGTATTTGATTCCAATACTTGAAATAGATTATTCAACTAAAGATGAAACTTTAATGAATATTGGACATATTGATTTGTACATTTATTCAATTCAATAAAGAAAAAAAGTGTCTTGAGTCCCTAGAAATAAGGGCCTATGTTAGAGAAGCAACAAAGCATAGTGCTAAGAACACAAGGTGTGGAGACAGTGTGTATGTTCTGAGCCAACTGCTGATTAACAAGTTTCTTAAACACTCTGTGCCTTCTTGTTTTCTCATCAGTAATGGAGATGAGACTATAACAGAATCTACTCCACAAAGTTGTTATGAGGACAAAATAATTGAATAAACAAATTTTTAAAGTAGTTCCAGCCACATAGTATTATACATGTATTAGCTAATATAATAATCACCATTATAAATATAAAGTAAAATTTTTCAAATATTACCTTTGGCTTCTCATAAGCTAAATATTGATTAAACATATGTGAAGTTGTAATCATGGTTTCATTATTTGACAGCTGTATCTCTTTGAGTGAGTTATTTGAATTCTCTGTGCCGTAGTTTCCTAATCTGTTATTGGCTGGTGGGGAAGGTGATAATGATTGCATCATGTTGGTAACACTACCTCTGCTTTCCCCACTACCTCCCTTTAAAACACAAGCACATTTCTCAATGAAAGTGACACTTTAGTCCTTCCTGTTAGACACAGCCTTCAGAGAAATTTATGACAGCCTTGTCAAATCTGACAAATGCATAAGATTATTTCACGCTGAGTCTCAGAATCAAGATCATATGAATCCACACTAGAAGGACAAATATTTGAAATCTTTTTTTCTTGTGTTTTTCTAAATAGGAAAAATTAAACCAAGTCAAAAATTTTGACTGCTAGACCATTTTTTAAATAACAACTTTATTGAGCTATAATTGTCAGAACAACTAACTCCTTTGAAGTGTAAAAATCAAAGGATTTAAGTATATTCACAGAGTTCTGTAACCATCACCGCTATGTAATTGAGGACATTTTCATCACTCCAAAAGAAACCCCGTACCCACTAACAGTCACATGTTATTTCACCCTATCCCAGGCCCTGGCAACCACTCATCTATTAGAGAGACAGACGTCTCTATGGATTTGCCTATTCTGGAAATGTTATATGAATGAAATGATAAAATATGTGTTCTTTGTGACTGGCTGTTACTTAGCACAGCATTTTCAGGCATCAATCATGTTGTAGTATACATCAATAATTCACTCCTTTTTCCTGCCAGATAATATTCCATTGCATGGATCTACTATATTGAGTTTATCTATCCATGGGTATTTGAGTTGTTTTCACTTTTTGGCTACTATGAATAATTCTGCTATAAACATGTAAATATATATATATATATATATATATATATATATATATATATGTACATGTACAAATGTTTGTGTGAGTATATGTTTTCAGATCTCTTGGGTATATACCTGGCAGTGAGATGGCTGGTTATGTGGTAACTCTATGTTTATTATCTTGAGGACTACCAAGTTATTTTCCGATGTGGCTGTGCCATTTTACAATTCCACTGTCAATGCACGAAGGTTTCAATCTGGGTTTTCTCTACTTGTAATTGTCTATTTTCTATATTTTAGTCATCCTAATGGGTGTGAAGTGGTCTTTTATTGTACTTTCAGACCATTTTTACAGGATTGAAAATAGAAATGGAATTTTTTGGGGAAGCAGTAATATCATCAAATAATGTAACTATAATATAGAATGAGAAGACGAAATAAACATCTTGTCAATCACAAGCCATGAATATATATATTGCTCTTTTGAAGCATGCTCAAGAATATATTCAGTTCCATGAAGACATATTGAAACCACAGATAACTAAAGAAAGCTCTGAAATGGTGCCATTTTCTTTTTATTTTAAAAACTAGAAAAACTATAGGTCTAGCTGGGCAAAAGTACATTTTTCAATACATTTGAAAATATGAACTGTTTAACAGACTTATAATTTTACATTGGCAATAGTTTTAAAAGCAATTACATCAAATATGTTTCCAAAAAATCTCTCATGTTTACAGTTAGAAAAATTGAATTAAAAAAATGTTTGTGTCTTGGGAGGCCGAGGTGGGTGGATCACCTGAGGTCAGGAGTTTGAGACCAGCCTGACCAACGTGGAGAAACCCCGTCTCTACTAAAAATACAAAATTAGCCGGGCCTGGTGGCGCATGCCAGTAATCCCAGCTACTCAGGAGGCTGAGGCAGGAGAATCGCTTGAACCTGGGAGGCAGAGGTTGCCGTGAGCCGAGCGCACACCATTGCACTCTAGCCTGGCCAACAAGAGTGAAACTCCATCTCAAAAAAAAAAAAGTCTGTGTCTGACTCAGCTTTAAGTTATCATTTCCTAACCAAAATGCTGTAATTTTTGCATGTTAAAAATAATTTTTCTGCTGGGTGCGCTGGCTCACGCCTGTAATCCCACTACTTTGGGAGGGTGAGGCGGGTGGATCACCTGAGTTCAGGAGCTCGAGACCAGCCTGGCCAACATGGTGAAACCTCGTTTCTACTAAAAATACAAAATGATCCAGGCGTGGTGGCGGGCGCCTATAATCCCAGCTACTCGGGAGACTGAGGCAGGAGAATCACTTGAACCAGAGAGGCAGAGGTTGCAGTGAGCCGAGGTTGCACCATTGCACTCCAGCCTGGGCAACCAGAGCGAAACTCTGTCTCAAAAAATATACATATATATATTTTCTTAGTTTGTATAGTGTACAGAATTTTATTTATCCATAATTGTATTGGTTTCTTGTGGTTGCTGTAACAAACTACCACAAATTTGGTGGCTTAAAAAAACATTTATTCTCTTCAAGTTCTGAAGCTCAGAAGCTGAAATCAGTTTCATTAAATCAATAATCGGTGTGTCATTAGAGCCACATTCCCTCCAGAGACTTTAGAGAAGAATCTATTCCTTAGCTCCATCAGCATCTGGTGGCTGCCAGCATTTCTTGGCTTGTGGCCACATCTCTCTACTTCTGTGGCTGCATTTAACTATCTACAGATCTGCTGATTCAGATACATTATTTTATAGCTAGAGATAAAATTGTTGTTTTTTAAACCTAAGTGGTAATGATAAACCATTTCATATTTCTATGATACAGTTTTCTGTCTCAACAAACCTTTTGCTAGATCTTCAATAAATGTCTATAGAAGTTATTATAAACCTTTATGAAAGAGTATACAAAACTATAGTCAGTGCTGATGACTTAAGCTTACTTGTAAATTAGTGCCCAATGGAGAGCCAGACATAGAAACAGGTAAGTAGACTACAATGTAACAAGCATTATAAGGAACACCTGGGTAATCTGAAAGTGGCTAAAATAAGCTTGAGTAGAAATTTTAGAAGCTGGCACCTGGCCTGACACTTTGTACACAGGCAGCAAATATTTAGTGAGTGAATAAATGGAAAATTCACACTTCAAGAAAGATTCTTGAAAATTTGTCTAAAAGGAATATGATTTTGCATCACTGATAAACTTCAGGCAGAATTATAAGAAAAAGAAAAATATTTGCAAGTTGACAATAGTTCCATTCAAATAGATGAAATAATTAGATATTTTATTTCAATCAATTAAATAGCTTTATGCAACTAAGACACCTCAAGAGCCTTAACAATTATTTAGAGCCCAAAACAACTTTTGCTTTTACAGGTTATAGCTACACATATTTACTGTATTAGAAATTAAAACTAAGAACTTTAAAAAATAGTCATTCGATTTTTAAAAAGTAAATAATATACCAGTGCATGTTAACATAAATAACATTTTGATTTTAAAAAGGGTTATATTTTCCAGATGAAAATAAGTTAGTGAGAAGAGTGACATTGTTTTACTTTGGCAAATCTCTTTTATATACGACTTAAGATGGCGGAATTCTTATTTTTGTTTCTGCATTCACTCTGCTGTGATTTTTTTAACTGAAGTATGTGAAGGAAATCTAGCCTCATCCAACTACTTAGTTGGAAAATAATTCTAAAATATTATTTCATATCATTGTGAAATTGTTGATAGTACACTCAAATGTGACAAGTAGCATTTTTTTTAAAGATTAACTGTGAGGCTAGTGGCTAGTTCAGCTGGCAAATTAAACAAATACGCAAGTGCTTTTCTTCCAGACAAGCCTTACACTTTCTACTCAGTTGAATTGCTTTGTTGTGTCCTTTCTATTTTATTATGAAGAATATTAGAAAGAAGCATATTTGGCCGGGCGCGGTGGCTCACACCTGTAATGCCAGCATTTTGGGAGGCCGAGGCAGGTGCATCACTTGAGGTCAGGAGTTCAAGACCAGCCTGGCCAACATGGTGAAACCCCATCTCTACTAAAAACACAAAAATTAGCCCAGCATAGTGGCGAGCACCTGTAATCCCAGTTACTTGGGAGGCTAAGCCAGGAGAATTGCTTGAACCTGGGAGGCGGAGGTTGCAGTGAGCCAAGATCGTGCCACTGCACTGCAGCCTGGGCAACAGAACAAGACTCTGTTTCAAAAAAAAAAAGCATATTTAAGAGTTGAGATTCAATAAAATGAATCATTTTCAATACTTCATTCATATTTTAGTGAACTAGCTTTTTATTTTCTGCAAGTGCATGGCAGTGAAGAATACAGTAACTGTTATACAGTATGCTGCCACATTTCTTGTACTTAAAAAGTACTTGTAGTGGCACCTCTTCTACCAAGAAAAGACTTGTTTTAACATCCCCCAAAATCTATGTTGCTAGAGTAATGCCTATACTCCTAGAAGAAGCCACAGAAACTTGCAATCCATTCCAGATTAAAAAAAAATCTCCCACATACTAACAATTCAATAAATACAGTTGAATTCATGAAAATATGAAATTAACAGGAATGTCAAATTAGAATTCAGAAATGAGCTAGTAGACAAGGCAACTGACAAAATTGTGAAATTACATCTGATAAATCTAAAAACAGGAAAGAAAGAGAAAAGCTATTTCAGAAATAGCCAAAGAATTTTAAAAGTATGGCTTATATTCTTTTAGGTTTTGTTGTAGATAGGAACTTTGTAGGACAAGTTTTATTATAGCAGAATAATCCTTATTATCACTCTGGATACCTTGTTGTCAAAAATTACTAAACATTTCCCACTGTACTGAAAATATTTTTATTTAAAATGGTTTAAATTGAAGGAAATACACATATTAGTGTCCAAAGAAATGTGTTAAAAATGGGAAAATTCATTTTGAGGATTCAAGGTAACTGAAACATAACTTGATATCTCATTTCTCACTCTACTAATTCCCTGCATAGCCCATAGCTCTGTAAGGAATTCCTCTGAAATCTGAACGTTTAGCTGTCAGTGCTATTTTACTTCTCCAGGGAAGTTTTCAGGGAAAAAAAATCTTCATAAGTTAGTGTTTTGCTTGGTATGTATTCAAATATTTGGGGCACAAAATTGTTGAACATGTGCAGGAAAAGGAAACTAGATTTTTTTCTTTATTAGAGAGTTGTTTCAGTACTTTGAAATGAATCATAACTTCATATCAAAATGTAAAATACAAAAACACGTTTAAAACATTATGTTTTATGATAACTTGCCATTTTAAAATACCGTGTCCATTCTCAAATCAACTTAATAAGAATAGTTAAAAGCTGATATTAATAATCTGAGGGTTGATATAAATAAAGGCCATTAAAATCACCTACCATTAAAGTCAATATTAGAAACCATATTGAATTTTACAACTGAGACCCAGATCTAAGTGCAAATTATTAAACTATAAAAAGTATCTCTGTTTGGTTTAGAGCTCAGTGGTCTTCCTTATATTATCTTAATTTAATCTACCTTCTCTGAATTATCAAAAGATTTGTATGTTTCCTCCCTCAATTTCTACAAGAAAAATTATTAACATGCCCATTACGGTATATATCAATATAATTTAAATTCAAATATAATACAAACTAAATATTGAGCATTAATATTTAGAGTGTTGGCCGGGCATGGTGGACTGGCACCTGTAATCCTAGCACTTTTGGGAGGCCGAGGCAGGTGGATCACCTGATGTCAGGAGTTTGAGACCAGCTTAAACAACACGGTGAAACCCCATCTATACTAAAAATACAAAACGTTAGCCAGGCATGGTGGCGGGCACTTGTAATACCAGATACTTGGGAGGCTGAGGCAGGAGAATTGCTTGAACCCGGGAGGAGGAGGTTGCAGTAAGCCGAGATCACGCCATTGCACTCCAGCCTGGGCAACAAGAGCAAAACTCTGTCTCCAACAAAAAAAAAAAAAAAAAAAAAAAAAAAAAAAAAGGATTTAAAGCGTCAATACAAATCATGTTGAAATTGCCAAATTAAGACCCAATGATAGCTCAAATATCAAAAATACTAAATTAATATCTTCTAGTAAGAAACATACTTTTTATAATTGCTTAATATTATTCAGTTAGCATTATGAACAGGATCAATTTGGGATGATTGCAAATGCAAGAAGTAAAAGCCTAGAAAAAATATCTTTTTTTTTGGTAGAGGGGAGAGTGCTCCAAATATTATACATCAGAAAAGAGAAAACTAGGGTTCTTTGCAAAAGCTGTTACTTGAATGTTATCTGTACTATTTCACATTTCTATATATCTTCTCCCAGTTAAATTTAATTTACTGAATGTTTTCCACAAATATTTCTTAGAAATGGAACTTTTACCATTATAAATCTTCATCTCATAAAACGTGAAAGTGATAATAACAACATGACATTTCTTTCTTATGTGATGTAGATTGGATATTTTGTATGTTTACAATTAGCAGAATGAGATATCCCAGAAATTGAAAATTAATTCCAAGTCAACATTAAAATTTAACCTCCTAAACATCCCTGTGGAAAATATGCTCAAGCATTCTTTTTGGAGGACATTGAAGATAGGGCTTAGTTTTACTTTAATCATGTTGGTCATAAAGAGTGTCTCATCAGCAAAATCTGGTTCAAAAGTACAGTTTTCTGCAAACAGCAATTTGCAGTTTATCAGTAAGAACGCTCAAGGTGACTTTCCCTGAAGAGCTTTTAGGAACATGAGAAAAGGCATGAGAATCTCAGCAAGAGCGTTTCAGCCTGATGTGTCCAATCCCTTGAAGCATATTGGAAACAATATATACAAATATTCATTCTGGCTATTGTCTTTTCACTCCTTTTCCCCTGAGACAACATGCCGTGTTATTCCTTATTCTCCGACTCTCCAGCCCATTTGTGAGACAACATATGATCATATAAAAATGTGTTCTGGATTAGCTAAACTGGCTCATGCTTGTAATCTCAGCACTTTGGGAGGCAGAGAATGGCTGTTCACGTGAGGTCAGGAGTTCGAGACAAGCCTGGCCAACACGGCAAAACCTCGTCTCTACTAACCTATTTAACTTTGTAAAAATACAAAAATTAGCCCGTCGTGGTGGCGCAGGCTTGTAATCCCAGCTACTCTGGAGGCTGAGGCAGGAGAATCACTTGAACTTAGGAGGTGAAGGTTGCAGTGAGCCAAGATCGTTCCACTGCACTCCAGCCTGGACAACAGAGTGAGACTCTGTCTCAAAAAATTAATTAATTAATTAATTAATTAAAAATGTGCTCTATAGCTAACAGAAACACAATAATAACAAATTTTAAGACCAGTTTAAAGGACCATAATCTTAAGAATCTCAAAATTCTTAAACAAACAAATAAGCTTTAATTTTATTCTAAAGTGCCATTGCTGCAGCTGATGACAATGCCTGGCACCCACTGAGAGTTTAAATGTACCAGGGACTTGGTTGCTTTTATCAAATTTTCTTACGTAATCCCTAACATACACAATAACAAAAGTTAAGTGCTCACCTTAATAAAAAAAAAATTAGGCTTAGAGTTTAAACTATGTGTGCAAGTTCTCACAATTGACAAAATATTCCAGTGCTTAAGAATTCATGCTAAACAAGCACAGTTTGTAATGGGCCAGCATGAATTCAGTGATCTAGATCATCATGAGGAATGAAAATGATGATATATTACAAAAATGACATAACTGTCTATGTTATGATGTAAAACAAGTTATAATAATCTTCGATAGATAATTAACAAAGCTACAGTCTACAAACTGGGATTTATTAGCTAATAGAAAAGATTGGACGCAGTGGATCATGCCTGTAATCCCAAAACTGGGAGGCTGAGGCGAGCGGATCACTTAAGTTCAGGAGATCGAGACCAGACTGGCCAACATGGTAAAACCTCATCTCTCCTAAAATTACAAAATTAGCTTGACATGGTGGCACATGCCTGTAATCCCAGCTACTCCTGCGGCTGAGGCAGGAGAATCGCTTGAACCCAAGAGGTGGAGGTTGCAGTGAGCAGAGGTCGTGCCACTGCACTGCAGTCTGGGCAACAGAGTAAAACTCCACGTCGGAAAAAAAAAAAAAAAAAAAAAAAAAAAAAAAAAAAAAAAAAAAAAAAAAAAAAACGGGCCGGACGCGGTAGCTCACGCCTGTAATCCCAGCACTTTGGGAGGCTAAGGCAGGGGGATCATGAGGTCAGGAGATAGAGACCATGCTGGCTAACACAGTGAAACCCCGTCTCTACTAAAAATATAAAAAATTAGCCGGGCTTGGTGGCGGGCGCCTGTAGTCCCAGCTACTCGGAAGACTGAGTCAGGAGAATGGCGTGAACCCGGGAGGCGGAGCTTGCAGTGAGCCGAGATCGCGCCACTGCACTACAGCATCTCAAAAAGAAGAAAAAAAAAAAAAAGAAGAAGAAAGAAAATATTTATTTTCTGCCAGACGTAATTACTTGTTTAGAACACACTGCTAAGCAAAATATGGACAATTATTGCATTTATGGAATTTGCTGTATAGAGAAGTCTTCAGTCCGGTGTAAACTGTAATTAGAAAGAATTTAAAAACAGATTATCTGTGGATTAGTAGAAAAGGCAAGTTTAAATATTCTCCAACGTGTTACTTTCCTGGAGCCATGTGCATTTGTATGCATGGCTATTACTGATCATTAACTGCCCAAGTTCAGTGAAGTCCTTGTGATTGAAGGGCCAGTTTTTCCATTTATATATCATGAGGGTCAATTCGTTCCTTACTCAGCAACTACCTGCCTTTAGGCAGTTTTCATGATAATGTTTACCTACAACAGAAAAGAAATTGAAAGTCAATTGTCTTCTTTTTTGACAGTTCCTATGACACACTGATGGAAAAGAGAATTAAGTATATTACTTGAAAGAGTTTGAGAATTTTTAACTTTTTATACATTGCACTTATCCACATTATCCCTGTTTTTCTTGCCACCTTTAAGAAACCATTGGATAAAGAGAAGGGGCATTCCCTATTCAAGAGAAAAGACAGTCTGTCCAATTCTGTGTACTCAAAAGGTCATCAAGTGAAAATTAAGATCTAATTCCTAGCTGTATAAGCTACTCGGAAAAAAAAGGAGTGCTCAGAAGAATGTCAATTGGTATAACCTGGCCAATCTTGTATCACCACCTCCCCGCAAAAAAAACCCTGTGTATTATGCTCATTCAACAAAATTATGTTCACAGGGACTAATGGGTACTTAGTAGGCACCCAGAAGGCTGTGGTAAAACCAAATCCACATTTGCGTGAAATATTACATTTATAGTTACGACATAACAAGTGAAAAAAAAAAAACAAATGAGACACAGGTGTCAGAATTTCTGTGACTCTTGCTGATTGTGTCATATTGACATGGGTTAGTGCTTAGCATTGTGCTGGTGATAAACATAGTTTATACACTTTCCTATATTTAACTTGCAATTTCTTCTGTAATAGCTATAATTTTGAGTACATCGCGCGCTATTCAAGTGACAAGAGGATTGTGAGTAGAAGCCTCCACTTTTCTAAAATGATGCCAGATTTTTTTTTAACCTTTACAGTTTTCAAGTGTTTAGGAGCACACAGTGTTTATAAACCCACTGAAATAAGTTAAATGCCTTAATTGCTTCTGATAACACTGCTAATCTGAAGCACCCACCAAGTCTGCTACAGGTATGCTTTCCACCATAGTTTCCTCAGCAACAATACAAAACTCTACAAGGTCCTGAGGATTAGAATGTGATAGAATCTTTGAAAAAAAGAGTCTGAAGCCAGTAAAATCTAAACGTTTTCCAGCAAAACTTTATGGATATATTTAGGGACAAAAAGAAGACTTTCTCATGAATCTTTTCAATAGAATAATAGTATTCTCTTTCGATTTCTAAACCAACAACCTACATCTCAAAGTAGATGTTCCACTGATGTCAGCAAAATTTGGCATTTATGAGGATATTCATAATGTCTATTCAATTTTTCAACATAAACAATTTGCTTTCTGTACATTTAATTCTACTAACATTATATGGTAAAATTACAGCAAATGGAAATTTCTTTTGCTCCTAGAAGGCATTCTTGATTCCTCTATTTCTCACATACTGTACAATCAATTTATCAAATCCTGTCTAGTCTACCTTTAAATGGTATCTCTAATCTACCTCCTCTCATCATTCCCCCCGAACCCCTAGTCTAAGCCACCATTATCATACCAAGATACTTGGGTAACTTCATTGCCATCTTTTCATTCTTGCCCTGCTCTTACTCTTATTAATAAGGAGGGTGATTTTATAAAAATAAATCACATTATGCACACCTGCTTAAAGTCTTTACTTTTTATCCATATACCTAGAATAAATACAAGCTTTTAAGATACAAAAAAAAATCCCTACACGATGTCACTCTAGCTTTCTGTAAAAAAACTAAACTTCTATTATCTGATAGTCTTCGAACTCATATTCCAAACAACTAGCCTTCTGAAACGTCTTAGAACAATCAATCAACCCCAGTTTCATCTCTTATAGAATTGACCTATTTATCATCATATAGTGGCCCTCCTTGTCTTTCTTTTTTACAGTTTGTAATTTGTAGTACATTTTGTCTCACATGCATATATCTACTCCCTGTCCTCTTTTGGATTTTGGTTTCTGGTTGGAGGGTCTATCCCTTCCCACCCCTTCACTTTCCGTCTATGTGTGTCTTTATAGGTGAAGTGGGTTTCTTGAAGGTAATGACATTCAGCCACTCTATGTCCTTTCAAGGTATAAAACCCACTGGTAAAATTAAGAACCTCCATTCTTGAGCCTTTGAATACCCCAGCAAACAGGTTAACTCTCAGATATCTAGAACACTTTTCTCATTAATAATTTTGGACCAATGAGGCTAAAGATTTATAACCTACTATGAAAAGAAAATCGTGTACTTTTCATAAAAAGTGCATAACTTGCATCATATTGGCAGTTCTTCTGTGAAATCTGATCATTTGCTGTAGAGAAGAACTGATGATCACATAAAAGTTAATAATGTCCACTGATATATAGAAATTATATTTTATTTCACAGAAAGTTTGAGTTTTTGTTTTTACCTTTCTAATTAACCTCTTCACTAATTGACAGTACACATGCAAGAACAGATCTATATTTCTAACATAATATTAAATATCTTTCCTGATATATGTTGGACATCAAATTATGAGTTTTTAATTTATCATTCACACTAATAATTTTAAAATTATAGAATAGAATAAAAATTACTGATTTTATTGTGAAACATTCTGTTTGTAGTTTTACACATTATGAGTATCTGAAATATATCCAAAAGAATAATGTCCACAACTTCATAAAACTATAAGCCTAGTTTTAAAATACCTTTATAAATAAGTATAAGATATATTTCTGTGCATGATATATTGTATTGATATACCTTTTTTTTCTGGAAGACACTTTTAAAATATTGTTTTAGAATTTGAATCTACTGCCCACAATATAAAATTACAAGTGAATCATTAAAAACTACACATCCCAAATGACAACACAAGGGTGTTTCATCATGTTATATATGTCTACTTTACAAATGAGAGGTCTTTGGGGAAATTTATTGTCAGATTTTTTTATGGAAGACTCTTCTGGGCTATTTCACTCTCTGCAATAAAGTAAATTAAGATACTAATTAGCTGTGCAAAGCCCATGTGATGATGTGACTGCACAGAGGTAACAGACTACAGTCTTTTGACATGGTTCTTCAGTTTTTGAATGAAATAAGTCAATAATCATTTCTCTTTATTTAAATGCAGCTTCAAAATTAGCTATGTTTGTTCTTTAAATAAAAATTAGTTTAAAACTAAACCCAAGGCTTCAGCAAGGTCTATTTGTATCCTTGACCAGTGAGCAATCAACATGCCAGCCAGTGGTGAGGAGGTCAAAAGCAAAGAGTATTTCTGGGAAATATCTGTCTGCCATTAATGTGAAAGCAACTTTGCTTTTGCCAATAAATAAATAAAATCAATTTTCTACCATGTCTGCCACTGGTATGGATGGAGTCACTGCATCCATTTAGTCCATCAACTGCTTATCTCACAGGAATACTGAGCTTAATGCTTTTGTTCAAAAGAAAACAAGAAATGAAAGCACAGCTACTGCTTAAAAAGTCTGAAGTTTAAAAATCCTGAATCTAGCCCTAAGCAGAACTGATAAGGAAACTCTTCAATTAGAAATATTTCTCATTGATTTAATTATTATACGTAAGTCTTTCTGAAAGTTTGGAAAGTCCAGCTTCTCCTTCCAATAGGGTGAATCAAACTTCTCCAAATTTGTTTTCAAAATTCATGGAATATACATCACTTAATTTGGTGCTGCTTTAGTAATTGCTTTGTTATATCAACTCAATGCTTATTCAAGTTAGGATAAAAGTGAATACATTTTATTTCTGCTTTTTTATATTTTGAGGACATCATGCCACACAAACAATAATAATTTTTTCAATCTAATTGACTTTTTAAACAAAAGACAAAACCAGAGCTAACCTGTTTTACTCAATTCTTTACACACGTGTTCTTATTTTGTCTTTTTATTAGTTGAGTAAGAATATAAGTAAATCTGAAGAGATTTGGCCTAAAGAACTCTCACCTGTATTTCTGAGTTGCTTTGCTTCACTTATGCTTTAGTAGCTTTACAATAAACAAAAATCCAGTCATAATAGATGGAGCAAATAGGGAATTCACTAGAAAGCTCAGGAAGGGTAAGAAGAAGGAATGAAGCATCATTGGAAATCAGGATAACTTTGCCTTTTATTATTGTCATTTGTGTGCTATATGATAATTTTTTTTTCAGTTTCTTTCTATTTTCCTATTTTCTTTTTCTAATTGAGCTGAAATTTACCCATAATTCCCCCTCAAAATATTCTCAACACCTAAGTCTTCTTGCTGAAAGTTCAGTTATCACATGGAATTAGCTCCATGTCCTACTTATAAATTTCCAGAAAGAATGTCTAATTGTCTTACTCAAAACTCAGGATCTTCCAGGGGGCAAAGGAATACCCCTGTCAATTGTCACCTCTCATTCAGTTAGCGGTGACTATGGTGTCAACTTGAGATATCAAAAGTGTTGACTAGAATTTTCAATGCAGATATTTATTAAATACTCTATATAGTACTGTGCAATATGTTACAGGAGATATAACGTATAAAAGGTGAACCCATCCAATAAGAATCTTACTATTAGAGGGTGAGTTTAAAAATATATATATTGCATATAAAAATGGTAATACACAGTAGTATTTATGACAAGATTTTGTCAGTATTTCACTTTATAATAATAAATATTTGGCTATGATATTAAAATCATCTCTTTTGGGGGGAAAGTAAACAATGAAAGAACTTTTATTAGAAATATGAGATTGCATCTCATATACTAGTTTAAATTTTTTGTCGACCTTGCTTTATGACATGGTGTAGGCACTGGATTTCCTTAAAATTCCAAGTCTGTTACTTTACCGAGAGAATGCATTCCTACCAAAATTTAATGAATGCTGCTGATATGTATGCTTAGATGGAAATATTATGTCAGACTTGCAAAAAGAATTTAATTCTCAAATTAATCAGACAGCTGTGTGAAAGATTCTTGGGGCTCCCAAATCACTAAGCTAAAGGGAAATGTCAAGCTGGGAACTGCTTAGGGCCAACCTGCCTCTCATTCTATTCACAGTCACCCCTCTGCTCACTGAGATAGATGCATACCTGATGGCCTCCTTTGAAAAGACTAATCAGAAACTCAAAGGAATGCAACCGTTTCTCTCACCTATCTATAACCAGGAGGTCAGTCAGCTTCAAGTCTTCTTGCATTTGCTTCAAGTTGTCCCACCTTTCCAGACCCAACCGATGTATTTCTTACATATATTGATTGATATCTCATGTCTCCCTAAAATGTATAAAGCTAAACGGTGCCCCAACCACCTTGGGCGTATGTCGTCAGGACTTCCTGAGGCTGTGTCATGGAAGCGCATCCTCAACCTTGGCAGAATAAACTCTCTAAATTAACTGAGACGTGTCTCAAGTTTTCGGGGTTCACAACTGTAACAAGAAAATATCTTGAAGTAAAACAGCTACAGCAAATGTATTAAAATATAAACCAGACTTATGCCTGACATTTCAGCACTTTTGGAGGCTGAGGTAGGAGGACTGCTTGAGGCCAGGAGTTCTAGACCAGCCTGGGCACCATGGCAAAACCTTGTCTCCACAAAAAAATAGGAAAGTTAGCCACACATGGTGGCATACACCTGTAGTCCCAGCTACTTGGGTGAGACCCTGTCTCAAAATAAGTAAATAAATAAAATATTTTATATAATAATATACAATTATGGACAAAATGTATTCTTCATAATCCTTCACAAGGATCAAAAACTTGTCTCATCTTTTCTTAAATGATATAAAAGGCATATAGTTTATTGATTTAAACTATACATAAAATTGTAGATATACAAGCTACTCAAGTGAAGCATGATGATTCTCATGCCCTGGGTCCTAAGAATAACTTCCTTGCATTCTCAGAAAACATACAAGTAATGAATATGAATGTAATGAATATTCTCAAAAAGATCCTCACAGTGACTATAGTAAGGAGAAACATAGGGCAGCTTCTTTTTTCACACCTCAGTGCAGGATGATGCATCATGCCAAAATACAATCTATTAAAAGCAATTGGATTCTGGGGGAAGGCAGAGAAGTAAAAGGTCCCAAGGACAAAAGATTATGGTTCCATTTTGCAGCAATACGATTTTAAAATTAAATCCAAGAATAGATATATTGTAGGGTATTAAAGAACTGTTTACCAATTTGCTATAACTCATTGTTTATTAGTTTTTTATTGTACGTAAGTGTGGTACACAAGCATCATAGTCCATTTTGTGCTGTTATCACAGACTACCTAAGACCAGGTACTTTATAAAGAACAGATTTATTTTCTCACAGTTCTGTGGAGTGGGAAGTCCAATATCAAGGTGCCAGCAGGTTCACTTGTCAGGTGAGGGCTGAATCTTCTGAAGGGGAGGAACACTGTGTTCTCATATGTTGGAAGACAGAACGGCAAAATAGCCTAGCACTGCATGAAGCCACTACCATAAGCATCTTAATCCCATTCACAAGGGAGGAGCCCTCATGGTCTAATAACTCATAAGGGCCCCACTGCTTAATAATACTATCACATTGGCAACACATCCAAGAGGGGACACATCCGAAGCATAGCAAGTATAATTTAGTACACATAAATAAATTTGAGAGTTTTTCTTAGAAAAAATATCTCTTGAGTAGACATTTTCAGATTAACTGTCAAATAGAGGTCCATATTCTTCTACTGTCATGTCAACAAGGAATAGGGTTGACATATTTGATGAAAGACCAGGAGCCTGATAGCTATGCATGCCTGGAAAGAATATCACCACATGGAGGTTGGTCCCGGTTAAAAACACGAAGTTCTTCTCTAATGTAGTTAAATGATAAATCATCAACCACCTTCTCTTCCCAAGGAAGAATACATTTCTATAACTTGTCCTACTATCATAAAAATATTAATACATGGAATATAATTTTATTTTTTACTATTAATAGATTTTCTACTAACTTTTTGTTAATATAAAAACTCACGTTACCTATGATGATATGTTTATTCAATCAACATTTAATATGAGGGCACATAATGTAGAAGGCTTTGTATAAGTTCCAAAGTTTGCTTATGATACAACAGAAGATAAAGAGTAATTAAATAGAATTGCAACTATGAAATAATAAGTGTTACAGAAGCATAAAAAAGGATAACTACTGATAAGTTACATTTATTGAGTGGCTGCTATATGTTAGAAACTATTATATGTATTTTATGGGTATTATTTCACATAATACTTTCATTTTACAGATGAAACCAAGTATGATATGCTATATAATTTGCCTGAGGGTCTGTTAACTCTGAGAGTCTTGGTGATATTAGAAGTGATTTTGAATGCTAAAGGTGTTTGAATGTAAGGCAGAAAGTAAGATAAATCCAGGCAGAGGGAATAACAGCAGCAGAGTCATGGAGACTTAACTTCCATGGTGAGTTTATCGAACGGAATAGACACATGTTGAAGGGGCATAAGGTAATTGGCAGTAGTATGATCCAAAGATGAAAGGTTTTGCAAGTGAGAGCAAGAGATTTGAGATCTTGTTGGTAATGCAAGAAATCAAATTTTTAGCAGTGAAGTGGCATGAGGAGATCCAAGAGAATGGGTAATATTTCTTATAATTTTCTTCCATGTAGTTTTTTTTTAAAATTATAAAATCGTTGCTCCTAAAAATAAAAGTATATAAATACATTATCTTATTTGTATATATCAATTGTACCTTCTACTATATATTTCACAAAAATGGAATAATTATTTATATATTTGCCATTTCTTTTTAACCTCTCCCAACCACTTAAATATATATTATAGACCCTTTAAATATGTAAAAACTTCAGCATTCTTATTTATTCTTATATTTGAAAATTGCATCCTGGTATGCCTTACCATGAACTTTTCCATTCTTCACAGACATCTGGGTATTTTTGGATAATACACATATAAGAAAAATACTTACAAATAAAATTGGCGGGTTATAATTGGAAAATGTTAAATGTAGGTAGATACTGTCAGTTTACACTCCAATAAATAGTTTGCATTTCTACAAACAATAACAGTTTTACCACATCCTTACAATATTATTATTAATCTTTTAAGCTTCTACCAAATTGTTTTGTGATAAATGTGGTATCATTTTGCATTTTTCCAACATTTCTTCTCTTATTAACAGTGTCTTTTGCCATACAAAAGATTCACTTTTAATACCTTACCTTATTATTATAAGATATCTTCTGTTATATTTTATTCTCACTCACTCATAATTTTAAATCTTATATTTATACTGAACATACGACTGAAACATTATGATTAATAAAAGATATGAATATTTTATGATATTTTCCATATGGATACCAAATTGTATTAAAGCAATTTATTGAAGAACTATATTTCTGCAGCTCTGAAACACAAGTTTTATGATATATCAAACATTCATATATGCACAATCTGTATTCACATCTAATTTGTTTATCAGTCTGTTATTTCTGTACTAAATAACATTTCATTTCAGTCATTGTAGTTTCCAAGTACAATTTCATATCTAGCAGAGCAGGTAGAATTTTGTTAGCTACTTTCCAAAATTTGTTCTACCACGTGAGGTGTAGAAATGATTGGCCAAGTGTTTCTAGTATACTATTGAACTATTAATCAAAATTTTTAGCTGGATAACGCGATGTGTTACTTTCATTCAAGACTTGTTTTGTACTACTCAGTGTCAGCTTATAATTATTTTATATAGTTTGTTATTCCTTTTAGAAGTCTTATAGTTTTGTTGACATTGTGAACAACTATTATATTTTAATTGATTATTACTAAAATTTAGGAAATATTTATCACTATTTATCTATAAGTGGACAAATTACTGAAACATAAGTACTATTCCAGTTTATTCTGATTTTGTGGGATAAAAATAAGTTGCCTTGAAGTAATGCTATTCCGTGACTGCATTTCTAGTATCTTCTCCTTGACTTATCTCATGAGTTGGACCATTAGGACAGTACCAGATAATATATAAAAGCTTTGCTTCTACTTTGGTAATGCTTGTAGTATTTTATTCTAAAATATGTTTAGTGATATTTTCTAATATGTTACTAGTTAAGGAAGCTATTGTCATCATTACTGTTTTCTTTTTTAAGTCAACAGCGTATTTCAAAATTTGTTAGAACTGAATAACACCCTCTATGTCACATCTTTTTGTAGAAAATAAGTTGACCATATTTCCATTTTATTCTACAATTAGCTTATGGCATATATTATTATATAGGTCAATACTTTAAGTTATCATTTGTCAAAATTTTATAGTATTTTAGGGTTATCACCACATAGTTTAACATACTGTTATGAGAATAGAATATCATGATATACTTTTTAAAAAAACCTCTGGGACTCTTGTTCTTTACAAACTTGTTTATCTTATCTAACCTCCCATCTACTTCCTGTGCTGCAAACAACGACAATCATCAGACTTTACTTGGCAGGGTAAAAAAAGACAGTTTTTGACTGAAACACTGCCATTTATTAACGTGCCAACTAATATAATATTATAACAGCAAATAAAATCTCTTCTTGACCAGTCATTGGAATTAGAACTCAAGCATCAATTTTGGAATGTTTATTACTTGCCTTCTCTAATGGCCCATTTATATCTAAAATATTTTTAGAGCAAAATGAAGTAGAGCTATGTAGAAGACTTATCAGTCAGTGGAGGATGGGTGCAGCCTCTGAGGACTATGAGAAGATTACAATCCACAGAGTGTAATGAGAATGCAGTTGGTTATGTTCATACCAATTCTCATTACAATCTTTGTCACTGCAATGAATTCACGGTGTATCATTTTCCATCCTTGTTATATTCTTTGTCAGAAAAATGATACATCATTCATGCTATCTGCCTCTCTTCCTCACACCCCTCCCCTTATACTTTATTGTATTTTTCACAGATTGAATTAGAGGAATAAATTGTGTAGCTCATACAAAGTCCGTGGAAGAGTCTTGATAAATATCAGAAAAAGTCCCAAATCATAAATCCACAGGCCATATAATGGAAGTGTAAAACAAAATAATTATAGATAAATATACTGCTCTGAAATTAAAGTATATGCAAATGTGTTTCTTGTGTAAATGACATAAGCAAATTTCTATAAGGTACTAGAGTAGATTGGCATGGAAATAATGTGAATATAATTAGTAAATCATCCAGTTTCTATCCTCATTCCACAACTCCCCCTTTTCCAATAGGGCACACATACAGTGGGCTGATGGAGTGTGCTTATGTATGTATGTATTTGATTTGGTTTTGCTTTTTTGTTTACACTTACATTAAATGGTTTTTTTGTTATCATGATTAAAGGCTATTTAAGGGCAGTTTGAAATTCACAGAAAAATTGAGAAAAAACTTCAGAGAGTTCCCATATCCTCCCTATCCCCACACATGTATAGCATCTCCCATTATCATTATCCCCTATCAGAGTGGTATATTTTTTATAATTGATGAACCTACATGGACACATCATAATCACCCAAGTCCATGATTTGCATTAGGATTCACTTGATGTACATTCTGTGGGTTTGGACAAATGTATACAGGCATATAGGCATAATTACAGTAACATATATAGTACTCTTACTACCCTAAACATCTTATGTGATCTGCCTATTCATTCCTCTCCCCTAATCCCTGGCAACCAGAGATCTTTTCACTGTCTCCATAGTTTTGCCTTTTCCAGAATGTCACGTAGTTGGAATAATATATGATGTGGCCTTTCAAGATTAGCTTATTTTACTTAGTGGTATGCACCTACAATTCCTTCATGTAATGGCTTAAGAGCCACAAAAGTGCTGAATAATATCCCATTGTCTGGATTTAGCATAGTATATTTATACACCTACTGAATAACATCTTGGTACTTCCAAGTTTTGGTCATTATGAATAAAGCTACTACAAACATCTATGTGCAGGTATTTGTGTGGACATAATTTTTTCACTCTTTTGGGTAAAAACAAAGGAGCTTGATTGCTGTGTCATATAGTAAGATTATGTTTAGTTTTGTAAAAAAACCACCAAACTCTCTGCCAAAGTGGCTATACCACTTTGTATTCCCAACAGCAATGAATGAAAGGTACCATTGTTCCACATTCTCACCAATATTTGGTGTTGTCAGTGTTCTGGATTTTGGTCATTCTAATAGGTGTATAATGACATCTCATCATTTTAATTTGCATTTCCCTAATGATATATGATGTGGACATCTATGCCTTTTTGCCATCTGTACATCTTCTTTGGTGATGTATCTGGTAAGGTTTTTGGACTGTTTGTTGAGTTGTTCCTTTTCTATTCTGAAGTTTTAATAGTTGTTTGTATATTTTGGGAAACGGTCCTTTATTAGATGTGTATTTTATAAATATTTTCTTCCAGTCTGTGAAGTTTGAATTTTAATGAAGTCCAGCTTAGCAATTCTTTCTCTCATGCATTGTGCCTTTGGTATTATATTTAAACAGTTTATTGCCATTCCCAAGGTCTCTCTGTTTTTTTGTTCTTCAATCAAAAGACTAAATCTGAGAATTCTGAGGAGTTTTAGGGGAAAAAAAAAATCTTTACTTCTACTCTCTTCTGATCTCCAGATGGACCTGAGAATTAATTTGGCATAAAATAGACTAATAGATGAGAAGCACACAGATTTTTACATCTACATAGGTGCCTCCAATGGAAAATAAATACCCCAAAATCTGGCCAAACTGAAATGCTTTTATACTAAGTTGAACCAAGAAAGACAATTATGGAAAATTAAAATATATTGGGAGGCTAAATGGTGATAAAAATGACTTTAAGAAGGTCTCTTTATGCAGAATTATCTTGTTTTTAACACTGTCCTTGATAAGAATGCTTCTTTTCTCCTTGTATGGGGAGGGAAGCACTGACATGGGAACTTCATCTCGTCTTTAAGAAAAAAAGGGGAATCAGAATGTTCTTCTTACACATTTTCTTTTTCCGATAGTTAATATGCCACAGCAACATACTTTTGGAGTGGCATGTTCTGAAAACTTTCAAACCTTACAGTTACTTCTAAAATCTTGATATGCTAAACACAACAGAGAAAACATATTTTCTCTGAATTTCCCAACAACAAAAAAATTCAACGAAAATTTACAACATTGCTATATTCTGATTTTCTCCTAAAGTTTCCGTTTGAAACCTATTTTCCAAGGAAATCCCAAAGTTGCAAGAAGAATTTCATTTTACCTGTTACCTTAGCATAACTGTTTTTTTATCTACTCTCTTAGCAATTTAAATATATATAGTTATTAAATATGAGATCATAATGTACAATAGATCTCTTGAACTTATTTCTCTGTTAAACTGAAATTTTGTGTCCTTGACCAACATCTCCCCAATTCCTCACTCTTCCCAGGCTTCTGGTAACTACCATTCTACGCTGTTTTTATGAGTTTAACTTTTTCAGATTCTACATGCAAGTCAGATCATGCAGTATTTGTCTTTTTGTGTCTGACTTATTTTATTTAACATAATGTTCTCCAGATTCATCCATGTTGTCACAAATAACAGAATTCTGTTCTATTTTAAGGCTGAATAGGATTATGTTGTTTATACATGCCACATTTTCTTGATCCATTTATTCGGTGATGAACACTTAGGTTGCTTCCATTGTTTGGCTACTGTGTATACTACTGCAATGAATGCGGGAGTACAGATATTTTATCACTATTATACAAATTTCATTTATATGGATACATACCCACCAGCTGAATCATATGGCAGTTTCCATTTTTAATTTGGGGAACCTCTATGCTGTTTTCCATATGGCTGTACTAATTTACATTCCCACCAATGATTTATAAAAGTTCTGTTTTCTCCATATCATCTCCAACATTTGTTACCTTTCATCTTTTTGA
This sequence comes from Homo sapiens, assembly GCF_000001405.40. Taxonomy (NCBI): domain Eukaryota; kingdom Metazoa; phylum Chordata; class Mammalia; order Primates; family Hominidae; genus Homo; species Homo sapiens. Next base: position 66,670,637 of record NC_000004.12, read on the forward strand.
TAAGGGGTTAATATCCAAAATATTTAAGGATCTCAAGCAAATTAATAGTAAGTAAAGAAATTACTCAATTGGAGAACAAAGGATATGAATATTTTTACAGAGAAGACATTTAAATGGTCAACGGGAACTTTTTTAAAAAAAGCTCAGCAGGGAGCGGTGGCTCATGCCTGTAATCCCAGCACTTTGGGCGGCCGAGGTGGGCGTATCACTTGAGGTCAGTCGTTCAAGAACAGCCTGGCCAACATGATGGAACCCTGTCTCTACTAAAAATACAAAAAAATGAGCCAGGCGTGGTGGCTGGTACTTGTAGTCCCAGCTACTTGGGAGGCTAAGGCAGGAGAATTGCTTTAACCCAGGAGGTGGAGGTTGCAGTGAGTCGAGATCACGCCACTGCACTCCAGCCTGGGTGACAGAATGAGACTCCATCTCAAACAAAAACAAAAATAGAAAAACATAATAAGATATCACCCCACACCTGTTAGAGCAGCTATTATTAAAAAAAAAAAGACTGACATTAATAGTACTCCTCCCATTTTCATAAATGTTCTTGATGGCACTATCAATTAGACAATTATACAGTCATTTTATTTTTAGGCGCTTACGAGCCACCTCCCCCCATAAAAAAATCTACTACCCTATTCAAAACATTTTTTATATTCACACTCACAGTGCCTTTCTTAGGCTAATTGTTACAATGTGGTTGATCCAGGTGTCTCAGGCTCATCTTACTGATAAGAGAGTAGAAATCCAGCACTTCAAGTTTCTCTGTGGTCAGTCCAGACACTGCAATTCTTAATAATAGTTTGCAATAATAGGACCCATTATGAAAATTATTTCGATTATGATAATATTTATATTAATTTTATCTGTAGTTGAATGTTCTTAAAAACTATACCTATTGCTTTTGCTATTTGTAATTGTTTTTAATTTGTACCCACCCCGCCGCCCCTCCCTTCAACCTACAATTTGGGAAGCTTAGTAATAAACTAGAAACCAGATAATGTTTTGTTGCTTTGAGATATAAGCATGTTACTCTAAGGTAAATGTGTGTTTGATCAAATAAGGTCAAATGTGTTCCTTCTTAAAGTTTTAGAATGAGTATTAAAATATTAAAGTGTAGGCCGGGCACGGTGGCTCACATAACCCCACGTAATCCTGGCACTTTGGGAGGCTGAGGCAGGTGAATCACAAGGTCAAGAGATCAAGACCATCCTGGCCAACACGGTGAAGCCCTGTCTCTACTAAAAATACAAAAATTAGCTGGGTGTGGTGGCATGCACCTGTAGTCCCAACTACTCAGGAGGCTGAGGCAGGAGAATTGCTTGAACCTGTGAGGTGGAGGTTGCCGTGAGTCGAGGTCACGCCACTGCACTCCAGCCTGCTGACAGAGTGAGACTCTATCTCAAAAAAAAAAAAAAAAATTAATGTGTAAGTGAAGTCCTTTAGTAAAGTCTTTAGTAAAGTGACTTGTTCAATTTTGTTTAATCCAGTAGTTCTCAAAATTACTTTATTATGAAGAACTATGTTACATTACACCTTTTAACAACCCACAGATCAGGACATTGAAGCGTAGTTTTAAAAATGCCATTAAATTGGCCGGGCGCGGTGGCTCACGCCTGTAATCCCAGCACTTTGGGAGGCCGAGGCGGGCGGATCACGAGGTCAGGAGATCGAGACCATCCCGGCTAAAACGGTGAAACCCCGTCTCTACTAAAAATACAAAAAATTAGCCGGGCGTAGTGGCGGGCGCCTGTAGTCCCAGCTACTTGGGAGGCTGAGGCGGGAGAATGGCGTGAACCCGGGAGGCGGAGCTTGCAGTGAGCCGAGATCCCGCCACTGCACTCCAGCCTGGGCGACAGAGCGAGACTCCGTCTCAAAAAAAAAAAAAAAAAAAAAAAATGCCATTAAATTGTATTTATTCTGATACATATGTTTAAAAAGAAATTGAAGATGCTATTAAAGGAAATAAAATTCATAAACTAAATTGTCCCTATGGTTCATCTTTGTTTGATGCTTTTTATTAAAAAACAAACAATAAGGCAATAGGTACCTTTTATGTCACAGAGAACATTTTCAACTCAAAGAAGTCTACACAATGTAAAAATTTTTTGCAGCAGTCTCAGATAGGAGTATGCATTAGAACTAGGTCAGTAACAAAATTTTTCCAAAGATTTGGGACAACCAAGGAAAAGTCCTGTTTGGAAATGAATTTTTGTGTTGTTTGAGGCAGAATGAAGAACTCTCATAGGCCCTAAAACCAAAACAAAATTATTAAAGAAAATGAATATGAACTGTATAGGTTGACCCTATAGTTCTATAAAAACAAATAAAATCCCATTGTTACCAAGGAGTTCATCCAAAATAGAAGTTGATGCTGCATAAATGTGGTTATCAAATTGAGGGCATACTTTTTTCTCAACAATCTAAAGTCGGGTTTTAAAGAAGCCACTAAATTTAAGGAAAATTAGTAGTTTTTACTGGACTTCTGTGCCATGAGATGACGTACAATTTCTTACCGTAAATATATTTTTAATACAAAGGTTTAAGGTATGTTTTATGTTCATTATAACATATTAATAAATCTAATTTTGTCTAGTGTCATCGTTTAGCAATATGGCAAACTAGATAACCAGCACAACTGTAGAACCTTTTAAAATAATATACACTGCTGATCTAGAACAACAGAAAAAATATGCAGAGAATAAAATGAGGAGGAAACAAAACACACTCCAGATAAATAGAAAAGCACAAAAGCAAGCTTTCATCCTAAAGGTTTAAGCCACAATGTGAAGTAACTGAACATCTTCTGTAATAGTTACACAGGATTTGAGAGCAAGAGAGAACACAGGACCTTCTCACGGTCAGGAGCCTAATGAGAGACTTCTACATGAACTTGGGACATGAAAAGGAGAAAGTAAAGAGAGATACTGGTCTTATTCTTGGCTTTGGTAGACTGGGAAAATGTTTCTTTCAAATACGTTCAAAGAAGAGAATGTGAAATACATGTTTAATTAAAAAACATAATTCTTTTTTATTTCAAATATTTTATTATTTCTATATCTCTCCACAATGTAAAAGTAAAAGTAAAAATGAAAATGCTCTCCATTATGTTTTATTAGTCTAGCATAATTTCATATAAGAGCATAAAAACAAAAAATTAGAGACCACTGTCATGCATGAACAGATACTTTTACAATTTTACAATTTCTTTTTTTTATTATACTTTAAGTTTTAGGGTACATGTGCACAATGTGCAGGTTTGTTACATATGTATACATGTGCCATGTTGGTGTGCTGCACCCATTAACTCATCATTCCCATTAAGTGTATCTCCTAATGCTATGCCTCCCTCCTCCCCCCACCCCACAACAGGCCCTGGTGTGTGATGTTCCCCTTCCTGTGTCCATGTGTTCTCATTGTTCAATTCCCACTTATGAGTGAAAACATGCAGTGTTTGGTTTTTTGTCCTTGCGGTAGTTTGCTGAGAATGATGGTTTCCAGCTTCATCCATGTCCCTACAAAGGACATGAACTCATCATTTTTTATGGCTGCATAGTATTCCCTGGTGTATATGTGCCACATTTTCTTAATCTAGTCTATCACTGTTGGACATTTGGGTTGGTTCCAAGTCTTTGCTATTGTGAATAGTGCCGCAATAAACATACGTGTGCATGTGTCTTTACAGCAGCATGATTTATAATCCTTTGGGTATATACCCAGTAATGGGATGGCTGGGTCAAATGGTATTTCTAGTTCTAGATCCCTGAGGAATCACCACACTGACTTTCACAATGGTTTAACTAGTTTACAGTCCCACCAACAGTGTAAAAGTGTTCCTATTTCTCCACATCCTCTCCAGCACCTGTTGTTTCCTGACTTTTCAATATAAAAAGCAGTTATAATAAGAATTGAAAAATAGGAATAAATAAAAATGAAATTCACTTATTAATGTGTGGATGTTTCTAAAGTGGTAGAAGGGAATTTCTAGGCATAAATACAATAAAAACGAAAGGCTTAAAATGCATGCAAATCTGGAGGATGAAGTACAATGAATAAAAAAAGAAGTAAAAGAAAATAAATAATAAACATTCAATCATAAATCAATCTAATTATAGAATCAAAAATATAGAATAAAGATAAAATTAAAATATTAAAAAATTAACAGTGAGTTCTCTAAGGAAACTAACAAAACAGTTGAAGCTCTAGGAAAATTTAAAAATGAGGAAAACACAGATAAATTAAGATGGAAATAAGAAAACTAACTCTATATGTTGAGGGAAATAAACAAAAAATAAGGACATTTGCTAATAAATTTACGTTATTTAAAAATTTAAAAGAATTATATAATATCTAGAAATAGATAATTTCTCAAATGGATATAAGAAACTGAAAACTTCAATAGTCATAAAATCATTAAACTAATTGAATCAGTTTTCAAAATCTTTCTGCAGAGAAAACAGTAGGCCAAACTGTATCTATAGAAAAAAATCTTATCAAATACTTAAAAAAAACAAATAATTTTAAACGTTTATGTGGTGATTTTCTGAAGAAAAGTAAAAATGAAAATGCTCTCCATTATGTTTTATTAGTCTAGCATAATTTCATATAAGAGCATAAAAACAAAAAATTAGAGACCACTGTCATGCATGAACAGATACTTTTAAAATTGTATAAAATTATTAGCAAACTTAATCCAAAAATGTTTTAAAATTACTATGACCATATAGCATTTATTTCAGGAATACCTGAATGGTTTAGTATGATAAAATTTATTAATGTAAGTCACATATTTTTAAAGGTATGTTACTATCTCTATCTATGCAGGAAAGGCATTTGATAAGTTTCAATATTCAAGGGGAAAAAAAAACACTTGTTAAATTTACAGAGGATAACTCTGTCCTAATAAATTATATCTATAAAAACTTTCACATGGTGGAGCATAGTGGCTCATGCCTGTAATCCCAGTGCTTCAGGAAGCCAAGTTTGGAGGAATACTTGAGGTCAGAAGTTCAAGGCCAGCCTGGACAACGTGGCAAGACACTATCTCTACTTCAAAAAAATTAAAAATTAGTTTGGTGTGGTGACACACCTCTGTAGTCCTAGCTTACTCAGGAGGCTAAGGTGAGAGGATTGCTTAAGCTCAGGAGTTCAATGTTAGAATGACCTATGATTGTGCCCTGCACTCTATCCTGAATGACATAGCAAGATCCTGTCTCAAAACAAAACAAAACAGAATTATAGCAGATAAAATACTAAGAATTTCCCTTTTGGATAAAGTACAAGTGGAAGCATTATTACATAGTGGACTTACAAGTCAGATGTCTGAATTTGAATCTTAATTCTTTCATTTACTAATGAAGTAAACTTGAGACCACTTAGTAAAGTGTCTATGTTTCATTTTCCTCATCTATTAAATAACAGCATAACAGTAATGCCCAACTCAAGGAATTTATGACATTAAAATTAGCTAAAACTGTAAGGTTTAGAACACTTCTTGGTTTATAGTAAGCATGATAAAAATGTGTGTTATATGAATAGAAAAATTCCCCATTCATCACTCTTTCAATATTGTACTGAAGGACCAGTAGAGTCTTGCATAAGACAAAAATAGTACACACTCACATACTCACACATACACGAATTCACCTATATTAATTTCAAGCAGCAAGATTCTCATTATTTGCAGATAGTATGATTATCTGCATAGAAAAATCATTTTCAATAGTAAAATAGAATATAAAGTATCAAGGGATACATCTAAAATAATGATGTGCAAGCATTTTATGGGGCAACTCATAAAACTTTACTGGCTGACTATAAAGAACACATAGTGACACTAGGGTCTTAAACAGAAAGTCTCAATATCATGAAGATAAAAGTTGCCCCAAAAGCAATTTATGTAGTCAATGTATTCCCAGTAAAAATTTCAATGTGTTTGTTGTCTTCTGTGGAAGTCAATTAATAAATTGATCACAAGACATAGATATAAGAGCAGTAATCATAAGACATATATCTTAGAACAGAAGGACAAAGTTGGAATACATTTTTGCTACAACGTATCTACCCTTCAAATTTAGCTATGGTAATTAAAACAAGATGGTAGTGTTAAAAGTTAGACACACCAACTAACAAAAGGAAATAGAAAGACCAGAAACATACCTTCTGATGTAGAAATGATTGACAGTAAACCTGACATTACAAATCAGTAGGAAAGGAAACCATTTGATAATGATACTGGGCCAATTGGTTATTTGTGTTGAAAACGTTTAAAAGGATACCCACCACACATCATACCAATAAAGAGAGTCTAAGTGGATTCAAAACTTAATGCAGGAAATACCTTAAATATTTATAAAAGATAATATATGATATTTTTATGACATTGGGTTTATATTGACAATAAAGTAACAATTGATAAATTTGAATATTTTAGATTTAAGAATATCTATTTATCAAAAGCAGTGCTTATTAATCTTTTTCTGATTATCACTGTCCTAAGAATAAAATTTACTACCATTTATCAAGATAAATTAAACAACAAAGAGTAAGATTTTACTACGCAGGATTGAATTTTGGATGTTCAGAAACCACTGTATTATCTAAGTTTTTTTTTTTATCTCTAAAGAAGAAAAACATTGAGAAGGAGAGAAACCTCCCTAACTCCCTACAAAGCCAGTATCATCCTGAGACCAAAGCCAAGAAAAGACACACACACACACACACACACACACACACACACACACACTATAGGCCAATATTCCTGATGAACATAGATTCCAAAAATCCTCAATAAAATACTAGCAAACCGAATCCTACAACACCTCAAAAAGATAATACACCACAATCAAGTGTGTTTTATTCAAGGAATATAAGGATGGTTCAATATATGCAAATCAGTATATGTGATTCACCACATAAACAGAATTAAATACAAAATTATATGATAATCTCAATGAATTCAGAGAAAGGACTCAATAAAATCCAGTCTCCCTTCATGAAGAGAATCCTCAAACTAAGCACAGAAGGGGCACACCTCAAAATAATAAAGGCAATGATAAACTCACAACCAACATCCTATTGTACAGGGAAAAGTTGAAAGCATTCCCCTGAAGAACTGGAACATGACAAGTATGTCAATTTTCACTACTCCTATTCAACATAGTACTGAAAGTCCTAGATAGATCAGATAAGAGAAAGAAATAAAACACACCAGAATTGGAAAAGAGGATGCAAATTATCTCTGTTTGCTGATGATATAATCTTAGCAAACACGGAGAAATCGAAGATCCCCTCCAAAAGACTCCTAGACTTGATAAATAGCTTCAACAAAGCTTCAGAATACAAAAACCAACATACAAAATCAGTAATATTTCTATATACCAATAAAGTTCAAGCTGAGAACCAAATCAAGAACTCAATCCTATTTACAATAGCCGCAAAAAAATAAAATACCTACGAACCCATTTAACTAAGGAGGTAAAAGATATCTACACGGAGATACAAAACGCTGATGAAAGAAATCATAGATGGCACACACAAATAGAAAAACATCCCATGTTCATTGACTGGAAGAATCAATATTGTTAAAATGATGACACTACTCAAAGCAAGCTCCAGATTCAATGCAGTCTCTATCAAATTACCAATGTCAGTTTTTTCACAGAATTAGAAAATACAATTCTAAAGTTCATATAGAACGAAGAAAAAAAAGACTGAGTAGACAAATCAATACTATGCAAAAAGAAGAAGGTGGGAAACATTACATTACCCAACTTCAATATATACTACAAGGCTATAGTAACCAAAACACATGGTATTGGTATAAAAATAGACACATAAATCAATGCAACAGAATAGAAACCCCCAAAATAAAGTCATCTACCTACACCAACTGATCATTGGTAAAGTCAAAAAAAAATATAGTGGAAAGGACACACTATTTAATAAATGGTGCTGAGAAAACTGTATAGCCACAAGCAGAAGAATAAAACTGGACTCCTATCTCTCACCATTACAAAAGTTAAGTCAACATGGATTAAAGACAACTATAAGTTCTAAAACTATAAAACTCCTGAAAGAAAACCTAGGAAAAACTTCTGTGGGCATTGGCATAGGCAAAAAATGTCTGACTAAGACATCACAAGCAAATGCAAATCAAACCAAAAATAGACAAAAGAAACTTAATTAAACCAAACATCTTCTGCACAGCAACAGAAGTAATCAATAGAGTAAAGAGAAAACCTACAGAATGGGAGAAAATATTTGCAAACTATGGATCCATCAGAGAACTAATATCCAGAATCTACAAGGAACTCAAAAAACTCAAGATGAAAAAATAACCCCATAGAAATTGTGCAAAAGACATGAACAGACATTTTTCAAAAGAAGATATAGAAGCAGCCAATAAATATGAAAAAGTGCTCTACATGGCCAATCAAAGAAATGCAAATCAAATCCAAATGAGAAACCATCTTACACCACTCAGAATGGCTATTATTAAAAAGTAAAAAACTACAGATGTTAGAGAGAAAAGAGAATACTTATACACTGTTGGTGGGAATGTAAAATTAGTACAACTCTATGGAAAGAGTATGGAGATTTCTCAAAGAGATAAAAATAGAACTACCATTGGATCTAGCAGTTCTACTACTGGATATATATCCAAAGGAAAACAAATTATTATATTTTAAAAAAGACCTCTTCCCTTATATGTTTATAGCATCGCAATTGACAACACCAAAGTCATGTAATCAATCTAAGTGTTCATCAACAGATGATCTGATAAAGAAAATGTAGTGTGTGTGTGTATATATATATATGTATGTGTGTATATATACGTATATATACGTATATATATTTGTGTGTGTATATATATATACATGGTGTGTGTGTATGTATATATGTACATATACGTACATATATACATACACACACACATATCATGGAATACTACTCATTCATAAAAATGAATGAAATCATGCATTTTGCAGCAACATGGATGGAACTAGAGGCCATTATCCTGAGTGAAATAATTCAAACAGAAAGCCAAATACCACATGTTCTCACAAATGGGAACTAAACAATGGGTACACATGGACGTGCAAAATGGAATAATTGACCTGGAAGACTCCAAAAGGTAGGAAGTTGAAGGGAATGAGTGATGAAAAATTACCTGTTGGGTACAATATACACTATTTGAGTGATGGGTACACTAAAATCCCAGACTTTGCCGCTACACAATATATCCATGTAACAAAACATACTTCTACCCCCTAAATTTATAAAAATATAAATAAATAAAGGTACCTTAGAGATAGCCAGAGGTAAAATCATAAACAGGGGCTGAGCACGATGGCTCACGCCTGTAATCCTAGCACTTTGGGAGGCCAAGGCAGGTGGATCACAAGGTCAGGAGTTCGACCCCAGCCTCGCCAATGTGGTGAAATCCCATCTCTACTAAAAATACAAAAATTAACTGGGCGTGGTGGTGGATGCCTGTAGTCTCAGCTACTCGGGAGGCTGAGGCAGGAGAATCACTTGAACCCAGGAGGCAGAGGTTGCAGTGAGCCAAGGTCACACCACTGCACTCCAACCTGGGCGACAGGGAGGCTGAGACTCTGTCTCAAAAAAAAAAAAAATCATAAACAGGCAAATTGTGATTTCAGCACATAAAACCAACATATTTACATAAATAATTCCTATGAGTCAATAAAAAATAACCCAGTAGAAAAATCGTAAAAGAATATGAAGAGACATTACACAGAAGAAACAATAAGAAACTTGTAAGCCATCAATCAGATAACATTCAACATGATTATACTTTAGAAATATATATCACACAGCTGCATGCTCAGTGATTTGATTTCATTTTCTCTACTTATCAGTATTTGTATTAGTCCGTTCTCACACTGCTATAAAAAACTACCTGAGGCTGGGTAATTTATGAAGAAAACAGGTTTAATTGACTCACAGTACCTCAGGCTTAACGGCAAGTGTGACTGGGAGGCCTCAGGAAACTTACAGTCATGGCAGAAGGGGAAGGGGAAGTAGGTACCATCTTAATATGGTGGAGCAGGAAAGAGAGAGGGCAAGGGGGGAACTGCCACACACGTTTAAACCATCAGATCTCATGAGAACTCACAATGAAGAGATCAGCATGGGGAAACTGCCCCCACGATCCAATCACCTTCCACCAGGTCCCTCCCCCAACACATGGGGATTACAATTTGACCTGAGATTTGGGTAGGGACATAAAGACAAGCTATATCTGCTTACAAAACCAAAACTTTAATTTCTGTAATAGAATTCTTCCCAAATAAGACAGAAATATTTTCCACATATGTGTAATCTTGGGGATATATACAATAAGAAAATTTCCCATGTATTACAACTCTTATAAAATTTACTACATACAACTAAAATGAATATTTGAGATGGTTAAAGTTAAATGGGTGTCTGGACTTCTTTATTGTTTTGATGCAACAATTTTAACTTTTAGACCTACAGTCCCAATATGACATAAAATTTATTTAAAATTTAGAACGAAGGCAAAATAAGATTGGAAGCATGTCCATTAAAAGAAATGTAGGGACAATGGCCATTCAAAAGTTATGTAATGAAAATATGAAGTTCCTAAGTTTTACTCATTATTAAATGTTCTAAACTTAGTAAAATTATTTGTTAACTTACACACTTTTTTATGATAAAGATATACATGATTTCTGTGTGGAACACATAAACCCAAAGGCTTATGGCTCTTTTAATCAGCTTTGATTCTAACTCAACAATTTTCTCCTTTTATAAATATGCTAGTTTCTCAAATACTTTTTGAACCAGTTATAAATTTCTACTTGTTTTCTCATCCATTAATAAATTGAATGAAATCTTTGCCATGTCTTTGTTTTATATTTGCATGAGAGTTGTAATTTTACTCTTTTGAAAATTGTACTTTTACAAAGACCAAGTTTGTCAAGGACTACGGTCTTCTACCTGAGTCTGTTATATTACGGCAGGTAGTCTTCTTCTACCACTAAGTTCTCAAGATGTTTGGATAAACTGTTTTCCCTTGATCTGGGCTCATTTTGAGTAGATGGACTTAATACCTAGTATTTCTAAAGCATCTCTTTATAAGGCATTGGGAAAAGAGTAATAGGCCATATGTCATACCCAGAGGGAACTTAAAGTCTTAAAAGAAGGAAAGATATTTAAGGCATAACTTATTTTTAGATGACTCAACTTGTTGATAGTACAAGTTTTAAAATATAATAATTTGGAACTATAAAGATACACCACTATGATATCCTGCTCTGGGGAAAAGCGTTGATTGATTGCCCCACTGGATCCACCACCCTGTTTTCAATAATGCCTCACTTCCTTCCAGCTTTCTCCCAGTTGATAATTGAGCATGGTTGAGGATATTAGTGTAGGGCCATTACTGCAGTATATGGAATCCCCTAACAGGAAACTTTGGTTAAAGGACTTCCCAGCAGGCTTACAACACTTTCTTTGGAATGATGCCACAGTCTAAGACTTCCCACTCATTTCTTCTTCCCTCCTCCCACCTTGCTCTCCCATGTATCATGCCTGAAATGTGGTCTGGAAGCTCACACTGCCTATTTATCCTCTTCACAAACATTCCTCCCAATAAGTTGTTTGCACATATAATCCTGTCTTGACTCTGCTTCTTCAAGTACCTAAATTGGCAGGAAACTGAGCTGAAATTTTCCTGACTTCAAAGGCTTTGTTTCTATCCCTATACAGTTACACCTTTGTTGAAGGGAGGTTGTGTTATAATAGTATCCCATTAATTATTTCTGAAGAAAAGAAGCTGCTATTAAAGAGAGAAAAAATAGTAATTTCACAGTAGCTTAATATGGTCAATGTCAATATGATTCTGACTTAACAAATAATTGCTAAGCAAGACATTGGTTGACCATTATGCAGAGAACACCTCAGAGATTTTGTTCTGATGTGGACTGCTGAAAATCTAGTACTGTGTCATTCAACCATAAAATTCACTGCTATGGTCTGAATGTTTGACTCGCTCCAAATTTCATTTTGAAACCTAATCCCCATTATGGTGGTATTAAGAAATTTAGGAAGTGATTAGGTATGGGGGCTCTGCCTTCATGAATGAGATCAGTGACCTTATAAAAGAGATTTCAGGGAGCTTCTTGCCCCTTCTGCCATTAGACAGACCCAGTGAGAGGTGCCATTTCTGAAACAGAGTAAGTTTCACTGAACATCAAATCTGCTGGCACCTTAATCTTGAATTTCCCAGCCTCCAGAACTATAAGCAATAAATTTTTATATTTATTTATTTATTTATTTATTTTTATTTATTTATTTTTTATTATTTTGAGATGGAGTCTCGCTCTGTAGCCCAGGCTGGAGTACAGTGGCATGATCTCGGCTCACTGCAAGCTCCGCCTCCCGAGTTCACGCCATTCTCCTGCCTCAGCCTCCCGAGTAGCTGGGACTACAGGCACCCGCCACCACGCCTGGCTAATTTTTTGTATTTTTAGTAGAGACGGGGTTTCACCGTGTTAGCCAGGATGGTCTCGATCTCCTGACCTCATGATCCGCCCACCTCGGCCTCCCAAAGTGCTAGGATTACAGGTGTGAGCCCCTGCGCCAGGCCTAAATTTTTATTTTTAAAAATTACCCAATCTAAGGTTGTTTCTTTTTTCAGAGACACGGTCTCACCATGCTGCTCAGGCTGGCCTCCAACTCCTGGGCTCAAATGATCCTCCCACCTCAGGCTCACAACTAGCTGGTACTACAGGTACATTCCATCACACCTGGCTTAAGGTACTTTGTTGTAACAGTGGAAATGGACTAAGACATTGACTATCTTAATGTATTTAGTTGGGGTTCTGAATAGTTAGCCATCTTCTTACCCTCCTTTCATATACTCTAAGTTCAAAAAACATTCGGGAGCTTGAACAAAGTAAAATGAAAGTAGGGAATAACAAAACCCTTCCTTCTATTGATTGTAGAAAAGAGAAAATGCCAGATTGACAAAGAATTGCAGAGACCAAGTCAAGTCACAGACAGGAAAAGCAGTGCAGAACACTTCAACATTTCTGGCACCATCAATCACTGAAAATATGTCATCAGAACAAGGTCATCTTTAACTTGGAATGCTGTAACTGTAATAGGTTGTTTAGGTAGGGGAACCAGTATATCAGCTAATATAGCCATTACCACTCATTTTCAGATTTCAAGGGAAAAAAATACCAGGAAACCAGGGCACAAATTTATTTTGCAATCAGTTTTTCTTCCTGAATGTAATTTTAGTCTCCTGATTTAACCAGTTGAAATTCTTCTTTACTATTAGTAAATTTAAGATAGTTTGTTAAATGTGAAATCTATATTCCATAAAAATATGGAACATTTCTCCAAATAGGGTTTTCCCCTACAGTAAAATCTGTATTATTATTATTATTATTTAGATTAACAAGTTGAGTGGTATGAAAAGTGAGTACACTGGAAACAGGAAAGACATAACTTGACTTCTAGACCACTGGTGTAACTGTAGCAAGGAACCCTACAGAAACTGAATTGTACATTTTAAATGATGAAATGGAGCTAGCATACTGAAATATACTTTCAAGCTGGCAGTCTAGAAATTACCCTATATATTCTCCTTAGCTATCTGTTAAGCACCCACACATAATTCTGTAGAAACATGTAATAGTAGTTTGGATTTAATGAGTACTTAAGGTTAGATGTTAAAGTATAGAGCTAAGCTTTACTCCCTGAGACATCTGTTTGCATGCAAGAATTTCAGCAGGGGCTTAGTTATTACCTGGTTGAAATGAGATAGGAATTCTGCATTCTGGTCTCTGAAGTTCAAGAAATGTCAAACGGATTGGTGACACTCAAGGTCCTGATAGCTGGGAAGAATAACCAGAGACTCTGAGAAGTAAGAAAATAGAAAACCAGAGATAATTGACTGGACATGCAAATGCCAAGACTGAAACACTTTGGAGAAATAGCATTAGATAATTTTGCTTTAAAATACTGACCTTGACATAGTAAAGCTGTATCAGCAGGAGTCAGGGTTAGGGTCAGCAGAATAAGGTGACCCAATAAGGCCTTAAGAGGCCAAGACAGCCCAGGTTTCAGCATGGCTTTCAATGGCTTCCAATAATATCACTGTTTCCACAGTGAAACCTTGTGACTGCCTAAAGGCTCCCGTCCTCAAAGACTTACCTATGTGTGTTCTGTCTTGCCAGGCAGAGAATAGCAAATAAGCAATAGAAAAGACTGAGTCATAAAAAGTGTAAAATCCCTGAAATTATTCATAAATGAAGTTGCAGGAAATAAATATAGCCAGAAAGTGGGAAATTTTAAAGAAAATTTTAAGTGCAAAGATGAAAGGTAATTCTGTAAAACAAACTTGTTCAAAATCATAAATTCCTTTTGTTCCCTTCATCTGTCATATGTTTTGTTTTAAGATTAATATTACCTTGCTGAAAAAAAGTGAACCTTTGTTTCACTTCTTCACCCACTTTTTATTGAAATATGCTAGTGTCTCATTTTATTCATTTGCAATTTCTTTCATTTGTCCGTTACTAACAACAACAAAACAATCCTTGCCATTACAAATTGAAAAAAGATTATTGATGTCATAAATATTTCATAACACCTAGTACATGCTTTGCAAACATAGGCATGCAGATAGCTAAATTTTACATTTCTTATTAAGTAGATCAACATTAGATTTTATATTGGGAGCTCGTTAATTTGGAATATTGGTAATTCTGATGTTCTATGTTCAGTGTCTCAATCGTTCAACCTCTAAAATCATAGAACTATTTCCCATTTCCATTTTCCATCCTCATAGGTATGTTTTTAGAACTAATGAGATAACATTTATAATCTGAGGGAGTAGATTACTTTCTTTCTCAAGACATTAGTGTGCAATTTAGTGCTTATGAAGAAGCAATTTACTGAATGGCACCCTAGTGGTATAAGAAATATTTCAAGGACTATTCCATTTCGAGAAAGTGAAAAATTGGTGGATTCTGCCTAGCAGAGCTTGACAATATGTGTAAGTTAAAAGGTTTTCAATGATTAAAAAAAAAACAAAACTGAAACTAAAATGGATCAGGGTTGTGTACAGTGGCTGATACCTGTAATCACAGCACTTTGGGAGGCCGAGGCAGGTGGATCATCTGCGTTCAGGAGTTCGAGACCAGCCTGGCCAACATGATGAAACCCAGTCTCTACAAAAATACAAAAATTAGCCAGGCGTGGTGGCGCACTCCTGTAGTCTCAGCTACTCAAGATACCGAAGCAGGACAATCGCTTGAACCCAGGAGGCAGAGTTTGCAGTGAGCCGAGATTGCACCACTGCACTCCAGCCTGGGTGACAGAGTGTGACTCTGTGTCAATAAATAAATAAAAAAACAAACAAAACTGATCAGCATGCCTTCTGTCATATTTTTCTTGATTTTATATTTTCCTAATTAGTTTTCATTTCTCCCGAAGACAAATGTTTTCTTTTACTTAACTCATAATTTTTCCTGTACTCTTCACCTTTCTCAAATGTTTTCTTTCATTATTAATATTATCCTGTGAAAAAGTCAGTTTTTAAGTTTTATATTTAACTCATTCTTGTTTTTAAATCTTACTGCTTCATCTCATCCATTTATCATTTTCTCAAATGCCCACTATTACTATAAAATGCAGACATATGTATAATCATTTTTAAAAATATTTAATATGAGAAGAGATTTTAAATACAGAACCATGACTAAACACATATTATGTATTGAGAATATTTGAAAACCAAAAACAATAAATTTTCTCAATGAAAATTATCATGGTGACAAATTTTCTCTTGCCTGTGCCACAAACACCCTGGGGCACTTAGGGTTTATATTGTGATTATTTACTGTAAATCTTCTTAGTTTTTACTTTAAAATTCTTTGTTTATCTATGCGACATATTTTCAAACTTGATTTTAAAAAGCAAAAAAAAAAAAAAGAAATAGGAATAAGAAAGCCATGCATTTTATTAAGTTGAATAATTGTAATAAGAAAAAGAACTATACTGACTCAGCTGCATGGTGGCAAAAGAATAGGCTGAATGAAATAATACAATTCTGAAATAATTTTTAATGACTAACATGTACAATTAAATTATTAGAAAGGATACTATTAGCTATCACATGAAATTTGGGAGCAAGAAGTTCTTTGAAAACCAGAAAATGGAAAATGGAAATTTCATATCTAAGAGCAAAAAATTATTGACAATGCCAATCTACTTAAGCTGATTTAATGGAATAAGTATTTGGATAAATTTCAATAAATACAAAATTCCTAGGAGTCAGAATTAATTAAACACACCTCAGAAGATCTACCAGCACCTCAGAGATGTTGGTGTTTGTATTTTTCACTCAATACATTTTTCACTCAATACATTTCATTGTTTAGTGTGTTAACTCTAAAAAGGGGAAATGTAATTCCAGAATACCAAAAGAAAGGTAAAGAAGAGACTAATTATTCAATTGTTTTAGGGCTGGAATAATGCTTTATATTTTCTCTAGCCTTCATAAATGCCTTCAAGAAGAGGTGTTTACAAAATATTCAATGAATGGATAAAAACATAATTCTATCACTAACCTTGCGTAAAAGTAACAACAACTTTCTTTAAAGGCCACCAGTGTTTACCTAAACACCGTAAAATAGATTTATTTCAGTATATATTACCCAACTCTAAAATGTGCTCATATGCTTCTTAGATTGAAATTGGACCCTGGTTTACTGTTTTTAAAATAAGCCAGATTAGTTGTGCACATATAAATGTTTCAATTCTTCCACAAGTTATACAAGCAATGTGGACCTGCATAATGTTCCCATGAAGACTTTTAGACCAATGAAATGAGAGGGAATTAACAACTTTGAATAAATGTGAAATTTATATGCCTGTATTTGGGTGGAAATACCTAATTGTTTTATTATTCTCCTACTGAGATATCCTTTTCCGTGGAAGGCAGTAAAGCACAGTAGTTAAGATTGCAGGCTCCAGACTCAACACTTGGATTTGTGCCTAGCTTCTCAACAAACTACAACCTATAAAGTCTCAATTTACACATGGATAAAATGTATGTGATGATAGCTCCCATTCCATAAATGCATTGTGAGCGTTAAATGAGATAATAAAGATAAAATATTTTATCTAGCACATAGTAAGTGCTTAAAAATTAACTGATAATTATAACTATCCATCTGCTGTATTTGAGGCAGCAAAGTTAGAATATATAATGAAAGATAAACTTTGCCTGTTTTAGAATAAAATGTTGCAGTTGAAAACATGCAGTTCTGTTTTTACTATGTTCAGTTTCTCTGCCTTCATATCTTGTATCTTTCCCCCATTTTAGTTTGACATTTTTGGTTGTTGTATTTTTTAATTTTGAGGGGACAGAAAATTGATAATTAAATTCACTTATTTTTAAATTCATTCACTCATTATTCTAACCAACTTTCTTTCTAAATATATTTATAGCATTTTATAATGAGAACACACATACAATAAAAGCAGTGTTTAGATACAAAAGTATTTTTAAAAATTTACTCTGAAGTATGAAAATCAGAATTGCAATTACTAAAAAGTGTTGCTTTCTTTTCCCTTAATTCCAGTAGAAGAGGTTGTCAATTACTGACTCCCATTTGAAACTTTCTTTCTCCTTTTCATTTTAATTTTTAATTTTTTTTTTATTTTTTTTGTAGAGATGAGGGGGTGTCTCACTTTGCTGCACATACTGGTCTTGAACTCCTCACTTCAAGCAATCTTCCCATTGTGGCCTCCCAAAGTGCTGAGATTACAGGCATGAGCCACCATGCTCACCCCTTCTTGTTTTTTAAGCCTAAGCAGTGATGAGATGAGCCCATGTAATACAAGGTATAGGAAAAAAAACGAAACAAAACAAGCTATATTGGTGGGGCACTCAGTACAGAAAAAAAAGCGATTGTGCTACCCTCCAGTCATTGATGCAAATGTTTGAGAGATTAAAAAAAATAAAAATGAGTCCATTTTTTATTACTTTCTAGATTTTATATTTTTATGATTGTGTGCATGACTTTCAGGGAATAATAGCCATGTCTACTTGAGTTTTACAAAAATTAAAGAGAAAAGCCTTAAGATGTCACTAGGTAGGTAGATACTCCTCTGTATCTACAAACAGTTCTGTGATATGTAATTGTTAAAAAGTATAGCATACGATGCCCTCTAGTGATTCGTATGAACATAGAAAAAGTCATGTAGACTGTCTCAGCTATCCAGATCTGTATATGGATTTCTTTTGTCATCATGCAAAATCTGTATACTGTTTTCCATTATTTCATTATTTAGATTATTTAATAGCCTCGATGTTTACACTTTGGTTTATTATTGCACAAGTCCAAGTCAAACTCTGTTCTCTATTCTTTATAAAAACAAACAAGCAAGCAAAAACAAACCTTAACAAAATGTAATAACATATGAAATTCTCAGATGAGAAAAAGAAATATTTCACTTTATTTTAGTTACTTGTAACTATATTTTTGTGGAGTGCTTTTAACCAAAGAAGTCATTAATCCAAATGTATGTCTATTAAAAGTTAATCAACTTTTCTTAACTTAGTATTTACTGAATATAAGAAGTGACAAGTGAAATTGAATACATCTTGAAAAGGTCTAAAATAATACATACTGGTAATATACAGTTACTATATCTAGCAGAATTGCCAGAGATGTTTGCTAAAAGCATCTTTGTCCCCAAATCTGACTCAGGATATCTGGGAATGATGACAAGTAAGGTACATTTTTATTTGGTTCCCAAGTGATTCTTGACCATTTCAAATACTGCCCTGCTCTGGGCCTTTCCAATGCCTTTTCGTATCATCTCACATTTCCCTTTGCTAGATTAACATTTCCTATCTTTAGGCATCACAGTTTTTTATGTATGGCCTTCAAGTAAAAATACTTTGAACATATAATTTTATCACCGTTCATGATTTTTCTTAGGCAACATTGTCTCTTAGAATTTTATCTTAATTTTATGTAACAATTTAGGCTCTACATTATGAGATTTCATTCAAAGTAATTAGGTTTCTAAAGAAACAGGAGGCCTTCCTAACTTACAGTATATCACAAGGAAAAATGTTCTACCATATCAAGCTAGTGAAGATATTATTTTAAAAGATTTAAAAGTTATAATTATTTATTAGTTGGCACTAGAGAAATGAAAGATGCAAAATATTTCAGGGTAAAGTTTCATTTAAAATTATTTCAGTAGTATTTACTTTTATGTTTGATAAATTATTTTGAAAACATGATTGATAAAGTTGCTGACCTACGAAAATCAAAGCCTAACAAATATTTACTCGTCATTTAAATTAGGAATAAAACCATGTAAGAAACCTGTAAAACCTGAGTTTTAGCTAAGAGCTTACTAAAATCAGAGCCGGAATTAAATACTGTATTTGGAAATTGTTAAGGTGAAATA
Source organism: Homo sapiens (assembly GCF_000001405.40). NCBI lineage: Eukaryota > Metazoa > Chordata > Mammalia > Primates > Hominidae > Homo > Homo sapiens. The sequence goes on from NC_000004.12 coordinate 66,690,134, forward strand.
AAAAAAGAAAAATGAATCATATTTCCCATGGCATTGTTGCCAGTTTTCCTATGATGATCTTAAAATATCTTCTATTATAAAATAACATAGTAAGAGGAAACATTTTAAAACCAAGTCTAACATTTAACTTGAAATTCCCATTCTATACATGGGAAATTATAAAATACTGAAGATACCTTGTGACTGAATAAGCTTGGCAATTTTGTCTCAAAGTGAGGCTCCATCTACTGATGCTAAAACAAGCCATTTATGACATTTATAAGCAGTTAATTCGATGAAAACCTAATCATTTACGTTAGAAGCTTGTAAACCAATAAACCATAGCTAATCTTACTAAAATGTTGTTTTCTCACACTGCTCATGCAAAAATCAACACAACTAGCAGAAGCAGTCCTCATTATAAACTCCAGTAGGACAGTTTTGTTAGCACCACCTAACTTTCTTACTACCCACCCTCAGGCTCTCTGAAAGACCATTTTACTCTCTTTCCCTCACATCGTAACACAAACATACTAAATACCTGCTAAGTATGGGAGAATTCTGCAAGACTCTGCAGTAGATTTCAAGGTAATACGCATATTAGCCTCAGGTCATCAAAAAGTTTTCAACCTCAGATGAGAAGTGACAAAATAAAAGAACTAAATATAATAGAAAACCAAAAAATAAAGAGTATTGAGAATGAGAAAATAATATTGTTGATAGTTTGAAAAGAGGCATATCACCATTTTGTTAAAATGATTAGAGATGATTCCATAAAAAGATAACATTTGAATGAATTGACAAAGAATAATTGGATATTAACAAGTAGAGATATAGAGAAAGCTTTCAGCATGTTCTTGAGAAACATCAATATAGTCATGGAGTCAGGAATGTGAGGGCAGGGTCCAGGAAAAGTATTCTGGTTTGTTCCTTTAAGTCTTAGTGTTGTGGGTTTTTTCCCTCTCTTTACTTCATGCCTTTGTTTGCTTGTACTGCTATAACAAAAACAAAAACAAAAAAGAAGCAAACAAACAAAAAACGGAGACTGGGTAATTTATAAAGAAATGAGCCTTATTTTCTCGTGGTTCTAAAGGCTGGGAAGTCAAAGATCAAGGTGCTGACAAGTTTGGTGTCTGGTGATAGCAGCTCTGCTTCCAAGATAGCAATTTGAAAGCTGCTCCCTCTGCAGGGAGTTACGCTGTATCTTCACATGGCTGAGATCTGATAAACCAAACACCTCCTAAAAGAGGTTTCACCTCCCAACGTTGTTGCATTGGCTATTAAGTTTGCAACACATGAATTTTGGGAGACACATTCAGACCATAGCACTTGACATCTGGTACCTGTACAGTCTCTTGATTTACCCACTTTGGTTCCTTCTCAGTATTTGTTACTCTTCTTTCGCTCTTTTGATGTTGGAGCTACCCAGACCTCTCTGATCCTAGGTGTTCAATGTATATTATCTCCATCTATAATTTCAATTTATGGTTTCACCTACTGTCTACATGATCCTGTTTACCAACTCTAAATCTTTAAACCTCAAAAATGATAAGTATCTAGAGTAGATGCTGGGCTGTGCCATTGAGATCCCTCTTTGAGGACTGAGGAACTAATTCGCCCAGCTGCTTGGAGTGTTGTAGCTCTCATCTAAATTCTTTCCAAGAATTACATTCATTAGAAAAAATCTGCTTTGTCCCAGGTCATACTTGCTCCCTGGGGAAGCCTGCCTCCAACAACTTCTGAATATAGAAATACAAAGGTCTAACTTATTATTGGCAATATTGGACAATTCCGAAGAGCCATTCCAAATCCAGAGCTTTCCTGAGATGGGGTAAGGTCTATTTTGAAAATGTACCTCAGTTCAATACTTCAATTGCATAACTTTACTTCCTCCAACCCCTTAGTATATTTTGATCCCAAGGGTATTCCCTGATAATTTGTCTGCATGCAAACCTTCACCTCAGAGTCCACTTTGGAGAGAATCTGACCTTTTGCAATGTCTTGTTGTACTATATCCCCTTCTACTTTGGTAACATAAGGGCTTATTAAAATTAAGATACTAAAAATTAAGCTCATTATCTATTTACCTAAAATATTCTTACCCATTTGTTTTGTTTTGGAATATTATGTACCATACATGCCAGTGGTGCCATCCTCATGTATACCCTTGTTTTTAAAACATCTACTTTATCTACAGTCTGAAAGGGGCTGTCCTATGTACTCCAAGGACTGACGTTAACTCAACCAGGAGTAGTCACCTGATTCAATCAATCAGGAATTTGAGATAGAACATAAGACAGAGACACTGGGTTAGTCGAATACTGTTTGGCTCTAGAGTGTAAGTAACATTGGAGCCAGATTTTATTTCATGCCAAGCCCAAATCAAAAAACATCTAACTTTATGGAAGAGACAATAATATAAACCTTGCTGAAGAAGCCAGACTACAAAGGGAGCAATAAAATAAATTGGTGGAGGAAACATAAATGAGAACTCACTTAACCTAAGAAATAGTGACGGGTAAGATAGAAGCCTGATTAAAGCTCCCCTGTATGCAGACTTACATTTTAGAAATTGGTTTTCTAAAATTACCTTGAAACCTTACAATACATTTCCCATCAAATAAAGCATTATAAGACATATCCCCTGCTTGGTAAACAGCACCACAATCTATCCATTTGTTTCCATCAGAAACCTGAGAGGGATTGAGGCCCTTTACTTATAACACAGAGCAGAATAGCTGAAAGAAAAAAAATCCTTCCATTTTTGTTGCCACTGTTCTGTCTCTTTCTCTCAAATCCTATTACAATTACCTAAGCTCAGAATTTTCCTATTCTTTGTCTGTCAATACAAATACACTGCCTAAGATTCTGATTCTGGTCTTGACCTTCTCCAATCTGTCCTTCATATTTATGAGTGTTTTCACTTACGTAGTAATCTGATGGCATCATTCCCTTATTATAATAAAAAATTCTTTCAACTTCATTTCTGATATAAAACACAAACTGCTGTAATAGTTTACAATGCACTTTCTTATGTGACTCTATCCTATCTGCCTAGCAACATCTCCTATTACAAAGATTGCTTGAATTTCTAATCCACCATTAGCCATTCCATAGTTTCAAAAACTTGCCATACTTTCTCAAGTTTTCCTTCCTTGTGCATTCTTCCCACTGCTCAGAACATTCTCCATCATGCTTGTGGAAAACTTCTATTTATCCTTAATCTGTCCAATTAAAAGTTTTGTCATTTTTTTAGCCAACTAGGAATTGTGCTGACCTTTTAGTCACTGCTGCCTCTGCACATAGCAGAGTACGATAAATATAGCAGATCTATATCTTTATGAATTCACTGAAGCATCTTTTGCATTATGTAGACAGATTTGGGTATTGATTTTTATTTTGCAGCTTTTTGTGCATAATTCCATTATTGGAATTAATTTATTGCATTGTCATTTTTATGTGCATAACTCTTTTCAACAAGAATGAAAATGTTTTGAGGGTACAGTCCATAAACTTTCATATTGGCAAATGTTCCCCAGGAACTAACAAAGTATTTGGCATACTTAACTCAGAAATATTTGCCACATGAATGAGTGAATGCTCATAGGGTAGCAATAGAAGATAAGGCTCCACATTTTGACAAAGCTTTTAGCTCTCAATAGGAAGGCAAAACTTCTGAGGAATAAGATCCCAAAATTCCTTCTTTAGAAGAACAGAAACAATGTGCGTGGGCTAAGGGTGAGAATTTCCCCTGAAACCAGATTGTATGAAGAAGTGTGGAACACCACAAGTAAGCTATGTTTACAGAAAACAGTCTGTTCATTTAGGAGGAGGGAGTGAAAGAGACTCTGCATTATCAGCAGCTGTGCTGCCAAACAGGGGGCCAGGAGTAAGGAAATGCTAAAGGAATGTCCTCTCACACTCAATGCTGCTCCATGAAAATTATTCCTGCAAGCTGGAAGTAGAGTTCTGATTCCTCCTTCTCTAACCAACTCCCACAACCCTCCTTCCCCCACACAAACAACACTTCCTACAAACAACAGACTCAAGAGGAAATAAAGAATCAGCAATGATAAAAAAAGAAGAGGCAAAGAATCTATGCAAAACATTGCAAAAAGAATAAAAGAAGCAGGCAACACAAGAGGCAGATGAAGACAACATAGAAAAAAATAGTGCAAAGACATTGTGATGACATCAAACTTAAACAACCAATTTCATAAGACCTCAAACGGGAAGTATAGCAGCTCAGGAAGAGTATAATAAAAAAAAATCAGATAGAATGTGAGCTAGAGAAAATTTTTAAAAAACTAGATAAAGAAAATTACCACAGGAAAACCATATTAGTTGCACCAGAAAGACACAGCTTGAAACAGTACGTTTCAAACCCAGAAACAAATAGTTTTAAATGTAATTTTAAAACATATTTTTAATAGGAACAAAAATAAGCAGACAATATTATGAATTCCATATTAAAGATTTCTCAGAAAGTCAAATAAAAAAGTGAAATGGTAAAATGTATTTTGGAAATCAGATTACAAAATAAACAAAAGTGAATGGTGAGTTAAGAAATCTAATTTGAATAAAAGCGTTACTTCTATCTTAGCAGGCTGGAATGTTCTGAAATGCTATTTTCTTCATTGCAAAGGATACGAAGCATGGTTCCTCCCTAAGGATTCTTACCAGATAGGAGCGACACTAAAATAATTTTACTATACAGTTGTTTATAAGCCTAAAGAAGGCAGGATGGAAAGGCAGCCAATGACCTTATCCCACAAGGCTATGAGAATGTATTGTTATACTGCCAGGTGGACCTGGCAGAGTGTCTGAAATTACATAGGTAAACAATAAATGTTAACTTTCAACTAAGCTGTGGGAGTGCTTTTTGCTTGTGTATATGCAATACACATGCACATAAATACATGTAAATACATAATGTCCATGTGTCCGTGATTGCATTTTGATACAGAGAGTATTGGATAATGATGTTGATTGCAAGCAACAGAATCATTATGATTAATTTAAGCAGAATAATAATTTATTAAAGGATTTAGCCAACTCATAGAATCATTGAGGTCTGGAAAAAGATTCTGGAGGCAAGCCTTACAGAGACATAATCACATTCCAGAATTTGTGTAGTAAAGAAACTGCGGCCGAGCGCGGTGGCTCACGCCTGTAATCTCAGCACTTTGGGAGGCCAAGGCAGGCAGATCACGAGGTCAGGAGATCGAGACCATCCTGGCTACGGTGAAACCCTGTCTCTACTAAAAATACAAAAAATTAGCCGGGCTTAGTGGCAGGCGCCTGTAGTCCCAGCTACTCGGGAGGATGAGGCAGGAGAATGGCGTGAACCCGGGAGGCGGAGCTTGCAATGAGCCCAGATCGTGCCACTGCACTCCAGCCTGAGTGACAAAGTGAGACTCCGTCTCGGAAAAAAAAAAAAAAAAAAAAAAAAAAACTGTCACCCCTGCGGCTGTGATCACCAAGTATCAAATGTCAGGAATTCAACTTTTCTCTTACAAATATTACAGAACTGGGGACACATTTGCATCAAGAACTTGGCCAGGCACTCACTGCCAGCCCAAAAGAATTAAGTTAATCTAAATTGAGACTTACATGGAAACATCTGCATCTTTACTGAAAGACATACTGTTTACTTGAGGTTTTAATTCTATATTAGAGATGATGATTTTATTTTGTTTGCTTGTTTTGAGACAGGGTCTCTCTCTGTCACCCAGGCAGGAGTGCAGTGGTGCAATCTTGGCTGACTGCATCCTCGACCTCCTGGGTTCAAGTGATCCCCCGCCTCAGCCTCGTGAATAGCTGGGACCACAGGCATGTGCCACCATGCCCGGCTAATTTTTTAAAAAAAATGTTTGTACTGATGAAGGTCTCCCTATGTTGCCCAGGCCGGTCTTGAACTCCTGGGCTCAAGCGATCCTCCCACCTCTGCCGTCCAAAGTGCAGGGATTACTGGCCTGAGCCACTGCACCCAGCCAAGATGCTTGAGCATTTTATAATGTTGAGAATTCACTACATATAGAAAGGCAATAAAAAAAAAAAGAGTAGAGAGTGTTTGATAAGTGTCCACTGTATGCATGCATACCCGTCCTCCAGTTTTCTCCTAATGTTATATTAATAACTAACTCACAGGGTTGCTGTGAATATTACAATATATTTTATATGTAGTCTTTAGAAGTGTGCCCTGCACATAAATACTACCTAAGTGTTCACTATCTTTCCTTCCGTCTACTTCCTTTTCTTCCTTTTTGCTTGGACCAATAAAGTAAATGGGTAAATGTTAATGTTGTTATTAAGAAAAATATTGAATGAGAATTATAATGGAGGTTTTTTAACCTGCAGCATCTTATAGATCATCTTCAGCTTTGTGTCCATTTTGGCATTGATTTCTCTTTAAATTGTTGACATCAAAATCCAACAATGAGCCAACTAGTGTTTCAGAAGGAGGCAAATTCAACTTTCTTTTTCTTATCCAATGCTTAGAGAAACTCTAGACAAATGTTCTATTATAGTTTATTGGAAAATAAAACTCTATACTGAGAGTATAAAAATTCTCTCACTTCTACCAAACAAACAACAACAACACCACAAACCCACAAAACAAACAAAAAGTCCTAATTCAATTAGGATTCTCATCAGACATTACTCCAGGCACAGTGTAACTAACATGTGCTTTGGAACTTGAGAGTAGGAGTTACCCTGCTGTCATAAATACTAGCAGTGCTACTCTGAGCAGTTATCTAACTCTCCATCTCAGTTTGCTTGAGGATAAAATTGGATTCATAAAACCTTACAGATAAATAAAAATGCAGACAATATATGATATTCACAGAGTGGCTAGCTTTGTGACCTCTTTTATCAGAAGCATAATGACTATTGGTTTCATGTACTATTATTTTCATAATATTCTACACCACTGTTTCATGAAATTCATTAGAATTATTTCAGATGTTACAGTAGAGAAATATCATCTCTAGAAAAGTCAACAGTATTTAAAGAAATGGTCAGAGCGTTCACAAGTAAGAATTCAATAGCAAACTGTCTTGCTAAGTGGCAATGACAAACCATAAGTTCATAGAGTCAGGAGGGACCTTCAAATATGTCACAAATTCTCCAATTTTCACAAATGATGATTCAGAAGATACAGAGTTTTTACAAGTATAAACCTTAGACTAAATTCCAGATCCACAATTTTCACAATAGTGTTATTTCCATTCTTACTCTCTAGATTTTCAATGTAAAACAGGGAGAATCTCAGATAGAATTGTTTTTCCCTTACTTTATATTCAGGCATACCTCAGAAACATTGTGGATTGCTTCCAGACCGCAGCAACAAAGCAAATTTGCAATAGAATCATACAAACTTTTTGGTTTTCTAACACATATGAAAGTTATGTTTACATTATATTATAGCCTATTAAGTATGTAATAGAATTATGTCTACAAAATGTACAGGGCTTAATTTAAAAAGTAGTTTATTGCTAAAAAATTCTAACTATCACCTGGGCCTTCAGTGAGTTAATCTTTTTGCTGGTGGAGTGTGTTGCCTTAGTATTGATGGTTGCTGACTGATCAGGGTAGTAGTTGCTAGAGGTTGGGGTGACTGTAGCAATTTCTTAACATAAAATAACAATGAAGTTTGCCACGTCAGTTGATTCTTCCTTTCATGACAGATTTCTCTATAACATACAATGCTGTTTTATGTCATTGGGTCCACAGTAGAACTTCTTTCAAAATTAGAGTCAAGCCTCTCAAATTCTGCTATTGCTTTACTAACTAAATTTATGTAATATGCTGAGTTCTTTATTGTCATTTCAAAAATGTTTACAGCATCTTCACCAGGAATACATTCTCAAGACATCACTTTCTCTGCTTATCCCTAAGAAGCAACTCCTCAACTGCTCATTTTATTATGAAATTGCAGCAATTCAGTCACATCTTCAGGCTACACTTTTAGTTCTCATTCTCTTGCTACTTCCACATCTGCAGTTACTCCACTGAGGTCTTGACTCCCTCAAAGTCATCCATGATGTTTAGAACTTCTTCCAAACTGCTATTAATGTTGATATTTTGACCTTCTTTCATGAATCGTGAATGTTCTTAATGACATCTAGAATAGTGAATCTTTCCAGAATATCTTTCCTTACCTAGATTCATGAGGGAATCACTATCTATGACACCTATAGTCTTCCAAAATGTATTTCCTAAATAAGACTTGAAAGTTTAAATGACCCTTTGATCCATGGGCTGCAGAATTAATATTGTGTCAGCAGGCATGAAAATAACATTAATCTCCTTGCGCATCTCCATCAAAGCTCTTGGGTGATCAGATGCCTTGCCAATGAACAGTGATGTTTTAAAAGGAATCTTTTATTCCTGAATAGTAGGTCTTAAAAGTGAACTTAAAATATACAGTAAACTATGTTATAAACAGATGTGCTGTCATCCAGGTTTTGTTGTTCCAGGCATAGGCAGGGTATATTTACTATAATTATTAAAGGCTTTAAGATTTTCAGAATGGTGAATGAACATTGGCTTCAACTTAAAGGTACTAGCTGCACCAGTCCCTATGAAGAGAATCAGCCTGTCCTTTGAAGCTTTGAAGCCAAGCATTGACTTCTCCTCTCCAGCTATGAAAATCCTAGACAGCATCTTCTTCCAATAGAAGCATTATTTTGTCTACATTGGCAACCTGTTGTGAAGTGTCACCACTTTCAATTATCTTAGCTCAACAACTTAGTCTGGGTAAGTTGTTGCAGTTTCTACATCATACTTTCACCATACACTTTTATGTTCTGGAAACAGCTTCTTTCCTTAAACCTCATAAACTAACCTCTGCTAGCTTTCAACTTTTCACCTATCTTGGCGTTCATGGAACTGAAGAGAGTTAGGATCTTGCTCTGGATTAGGCTTTGGCTTAAGAAAATGTTGTGGCTGGTTTGATCTTCTATCTATACCACTCAAACTTTCTCCATATCAGCAATGAGGCCATTTTACTTATCATTCATGTGTTCACTGAAATGGCACTTTTAATTTCCTTAAGAAACTTTTCCTTTGCATTTACAACTTAGCTAACTGTTGGTGAAAGAGGCCCAGATTTTTGCCTGTTTCTTGTTGTGACATATCTTCTCATTACGTTTAATCATTTCTAGCTTTTAATGTAATGTGAGATACGTGTGACTCTTCCTTTCAATTGAACAGTTGGCCATTGTGAGGTTATTAATTGGCCTAACTTCAATATGGTTGTGTCTCAGGGAATAACGAAGCCCTGGAAAAGGGAGAGAGATGGGGAGGTTGGTCAATGGCGAAGTCAGAACACACACACAATCTTTACTGATTAACTTTGCCATCTTGAATGGGTGTGGTTTGTGATGTCCCAAAAACTATGATGACAATAACAAAGACCACTGATCCAAGATCACCATAACAGATATAATAATGAAAACATTTTAAATATTGTGATAATTGGGAAAATGTGACATAGAGACAAAAAGTGAGCACATGCTGCTGGAAAAATGGTGCTGATGACTTACTCAGTGCAGGATTTTCACAAACCTATTTGAAAAAGTACACTCCATGCTGCACAGTAAAGTGAAGCACAACAAAATGATGCATGACAGTAGTCTATGCAACATTTTCCAGGGCTTTATTGAAATTCTGTACATGCCTGCAGACAGAAAGAAACAAAGGAGTGTGATTCTTAAGCTTACCAACCAATAGTTAATATAACACAGTTAAAGAAAAACAATAATGCAAACTGAATTTCATAAACTACAACATTGAGGGAAGATGTAAAATAACCTGTCATAAATTCTCTTCTAAAAATTCTCATAACTTATTTTTTGTAAAGAAGTATGGTATTTAAAATACAGGTTATTATTAACTAGTATTATTAAATATGATTGTGAATGTATTAACAGTAAATATATTTTCAAATATGTTTTGTACTTTAATTACACCTTTAGAAGTTGTGACATTTTAACTCTAGACCTTTTAATCTTACTTACACATTTCCCTATTGTAAAGTTTCACAACATTTACATTAATTATATTGTTTCTGCTTCCACATAAGCTAACATATGTGCTAGAAGATCACATGCTTTAGAGACTTACAGTAACTTCATTTTGAATGAGTAGTACCAACTAAAAAATTCCTTGATGGAGAAGAGTGATAAATGTATATACAAAAATTAGATATGTTTCCTTTCTTTTAAGGCACAAATATATCCACAAGTGTTCCTGAACTTTTATTTAATTTTGAATGAAGAACAGAAAATTCACTAAATGTTTCCTCTAAGCAAAAATTTAATTCAATAAGATAAAGATACATGGCTTAGAAGATGACAATAGATATATAACCAAAAATTATTGATAATAATGATAATCTTTTACCCCTCAAAACTGGATATACTATGTGAATTTTTAAAACATCTATTTCATAAATAAAAATGACCTATAAGAATATCTGTTTGGTTAGGTATATACTGACCATAAATAAGTATTACAGTGAAAAAATAAAGTAGTTCGGTATTACACTAATTTACCGTAATGTTAGGGCCATTAGAAATTCCTTTGCAATTTTGGGGGAAAATACTTATTGCTTATATATCCTAACATGCATAGAATTGTGGTATAATATTGATACAGTATTTATATTTACCTAATCCACAAAAGATCTTTTGCTGTCTGGCCATGTTTTATGTAACAAGAAGGCATCTCTCATATACATAAAAAACTTAGAATACTAAGCTAGCACTTACTAAATTATTTATAAGTACCCATTTCTCCTTTGTGTTGGAGGAAAAGAGTCTTGTATTTATTTTGACAAGAAGACCTATCATTTTCATTTGTTCAAAAGAAAAGCCATTATAATCTGACACTGAAATCAAGGGCACTTCCATCAGGACAGGTTTGAAAATTTACTTCCAAGTTGCAACATCAGTGCATAATTTCTGTTTCTTTTCAATTTGGCATACACTATGCTAACATGTTGACCTCTGCCTCTTTGGATCCTATGAAATATTTCTCTGATTTTGTTATTTCCTTCCCATTTTCTTTTAAGACAATTCCATTTTAAGACAATTGTCTTACTTCTCCTTAAAACTTTGTCTTTTCAGTCTTTCTTTCTTTCTTTCTTTCCTTATTCCTCTTCCTTCTTACTTACTCATTTGTTCATTCATTCCCAAAATTATCATACTTTTTCTGTACTGCAGCACCAAAACTATGGTAGATGCTCAGAATGGGTGTGGTTGGTAAGAGAAAAAAGAGCTTAGCCTTATAGCTTAGAGTCTACTCGGGGTACAGAAAGGTAAGCACACATCATTAACCTATGATACGGCTGGAATACTACTGTGGTGTGCAATGGGAGCTCACAGGGTTTCTTAACTCAGATGCAAGTGTGTTTCAGAGGCCTGGGGTGTTATGCAATGCACATCAGCTGAAATAACATTTAAATGGATCATTGAAGCATGAAGGAGGGTTCAGTAAAGAAATGAACAAACAATATCCAGAAGAGATAAATTATTATTTGTGACTACTCAAAGGTGAGAGACAACATAGTGTATTGGATTAACAAATAGAAATAGAAAATAACACATAGAAAATACATATTTCAGAAAGGCTAAAGAGGCTCATATGATTAAGGATCAAGAATGGGGCTGGTGTTGGATTTGCTGCTTAGAGTGAATATTGGTGTGAAATGAGACAGGAGGCACAGTAGGGTCAGATCAATATGGGATGCTGTAAAATATATTAAAAGATATGCTTTTATACAAAGAAAAGTGAGCATCCATTTTGCCCTTTATGCAGAAGCCATAAAATGATGACATTCATGTGTACAACCCTGAGAACAGTTCCTTTAACCTATGTCTCCTTCTCGAAACTCTCTTTAACTCTGCATCCTTACATCCACTATCCTAAGAAACTATCTTACTGGAAAGCCCCACACACATAGCTATATTAACATGTCCAGATGTGTCTTCATCTTTCTCATACCACAAAACCCACTCTTTCTTGTGTACTAAACTCCATACCTTAGGGAAGACAATAATCTTTCACTTATATACCAAAGTCAGAAAAATGAAAGTGCTCTTTAACGTTTGCATTTCTCTTAGCCTCACACTTAATCACTTGCTAAGTGCTATTAATTTTGCTTCCTTAAAGTATTAAAAAAAAGTTTCCACTCTTTATTATCTCAACAGCAATTACTTTTAGGTAAGAACATGAGTATTTTTTCACATTGGTTATCCCAATAGCCTCTAACTGATGTCCGTGTCTTTTGACTTTTCCTGCATTAGTGCATCATTCACATTCCCACAGAGTAACCCTTCAAAAAAAAGTAAACCAAATTGTGCCAGGTCAGAATCATGGTTAAGCAAGCTGTCTCTTGAATCAGATGGTCTGGCTTCTAGGACGGTGTAAACATTTTAAGTCTCTCTCTTTATAGATAAGTAGATAGATAGATATATCTCCACATATATATATATATATAGAGAGAGAGAGAGAGAGAGAGAAATGATAGATAGACAGATAGACAGACAGACAGACAGACAGACAGATAGATAGATGTGCAAAATAGAAAAAAAACACCCAGTAGCAACTACTTTATAAAACTGATTAAATGAGGCAGTATATGTAAAGTTCTTCGTATAGAGCCTGGAACATATTATTATTCTCAAGACCACTTAAAATAGTTCAACTGTTTTCATTTACAGACTAAAACTGTGGTATATGAGATACTTCATAATTTCAAATAGTCTCATCAGACTGTATTCCCACATGGGCTGCAGCAATGCAAACAGATGACAGCTCTCTAAATACACTGTGCTTGTTTATACCTGTGTGCCTTCACACACAGTTCTCTGTGCTTGGATTAACACATGTCCCTGCTCTCCTTCTCTTCCTGGTTGACTCCTAATTATCCTTATTTATTCAGATTAGGAATCACCATCTCTAAGCAGCCTACCATACATCTCCATCATAGCCCAAGGAGAACAGGTACCTCTCCACTGGAGTTCCACAGACCCCTATCATAGAACTTATCACACTGTAGCCATGTATTATGGTTTCCAGTCTGTAATCTTGATACTCAGCAGAGTTACTGACATATAACAAGTGTTTTATAAATGCTCATGAAAGAAAGGCAGGAAGGAAGTACAGACTGCATCTTTCATTACATAAGTAACTCATTGTTTAAGAAGTTGTTTCTGCTGATCATGTACCAAGTCTCCCTGCCGCAAAATACTTTATCATTGTAACTCAGTAATTAAAAGTCCTATATAAAGTTTAGATTAAAGGATCATATTTTAAAATTCTGTTAAATGCACTCATGTGACTCATATTCTATGTTCTCATCATTCTGATGTACTGGAATTCTCTGAACACTCCCTGTTATTACTCCTCATCTTTACATATATCCTTCCTTGTGATGAACAATATAATTCACCTGAAATACAACCTCTCTCTCTCCCTCTGCTTTTCTCAACACCCCACCCCTCTCCCCACCAAAAACATTCCAACTTCCACAGAGGTCATTTTCTAGATTTCAAATGGGCTCTTACTGTGGTCTCTTATAGCACACTGTACTTCGTTTATCACTTAAGTTATTCCTTTGTCTGGCTCTGTATCAAGCCACCTGGTACAATAAACCATGTTCTTGCTCCTTCATCATAGGCCGTAAGAAATTCTCTCTGTGGGTGAAGTGTTTCTTTGTAGTTGTAACAAATCACAGGAGAGATGCTAAAGAAAGCTGATTATACATCCCAGAATACCTCAATATTCTTTTCATACATTTGTACATATTTCTTCTACTTATTAAAAAAAAAAAAACTTAACTGTAAAACAGCCTCAGGCAGGTGCTTCGGGAGACATTCCAGAAGAAAGCATTGTTATCATAGGAGATGACAACTCTAAGCATGTTATTGTCCGAAAGACCTTTCAGTGGCACAGATGTGGAGGTGGAAGACAGTGATATTGATGATCCTGACCCTGTGTAGGCTTAGTCTAATGTGTGTGTTCATGTCTTCATTTTTAGTGAAAAATTTTAAAAAGTAAAAAGAAAATTAAAAATAGAAAAAGCTTATAGAATAATAAAAGTGTTTATGTATAGCTCTATATATTTGTTTTAACATAAGTTATTACAAAAGAGTGAAAAAAATTAAAAAGTTTATAAAGTAAAAGTTACAGTAGGCTAAGATTAATTCATTATTGAAGGGAAAAATATTTTATTAATTTACTGTAGCCTAGGTGTATAGTGTCTTTAAAGTCTATAGTAGCATACCGTAATGTCCTATTGACTCACCACTCACTCATTGACTCACTCAGACCAACTTCCAGTCCTGCAACCTCCACGCATAGTAAGTGCTATTTAGTGGTGTACCTTTTAAAAAATGTGTTAGACCATATTTTTACTATACTTTTTCTGTGTTTAGATATGTTTAGATACACAAATACTTACCATTGTGTTACAATTGCTTACAGAATTCAGTGTAGTAACATCCTGTAGAGGTTTGCAGCCTAAGAGTAATAGGCAATACCATATAGCCTAAATGTGTAGTAGGCTATACATCTAGATCTGTGTAAGTACACTCTGCAACATTTGCACAACAATGAAATCACCTAACAGTGTATGTTCCAGAATGAATCCATATTATTAAGCTACGTATGATCAGATTAACTCAACTATATTCTAGATTTTAGGCTCTGTAGAGACACACATTTGTTTTATTGCTACTATTCTCTCATTGTCAAATAAAGATCTTCACAGAAAATAAATGCCTGGTACATATTGACTCAGGGAATAAATAAATATCTTATTTAGAATCAATTATAATATTTATATCAATTATTCCTTAGTTGAAAGACAATACATTGAAGAAATATCTAGAGGAAAGAAACTTTTTCTTACTTTACAATATCACTTAGATACTTCTCCATGACTCTATAGAACACTCTTGTTTCTACTTGAGCTTATGTTGTGAATATCTTCCATGAGCCCCATCCAGAACCACCGTTCACTCTTCTTTATCAGTTCTGTGCCCCAGGAGGCTCATCACATGGACTTCATGAACACTTTGGCTTCTGGTTGAGTTCAGCCGTGAGACTCATGGCAGGAAATATAGAGGATGGATTAGATTGAAGTCAAAGTAATTATTCCCCCAGCTCCTTCTGTGCCAAATGGTATAGGCTGGTTGGATTTTTCACCAACACCACCACTCTGGTGGTCCTGGTAATAGATACTACATTTTGTCTCATTATTGCCCTTTTCATGTTATCCCTATGGGTGATAAAAGCTTCCTGCTGTTACTAGCCATGAGGGCGCAGTACTGTCACACCTTGATAATCATTTATTAACTCTAGAAGTACTGAATTTGAGTGTGTTATTTAATTTCTGCCAAGCATCTGAATAAGCACAGTTACACTTGATAATCATTTATTAACTCTAGCAGTGCTGAAGTTGAATGTGTTATTTAATTTCTGCCAAGTGTCTGAATAAGCACAGTACTATTCCCATCATACTATGAGCTTGAACTTCTCTCCCCCTACCTTGGCTTTAAGTATCTGAGGGAAAGTAACTTTCATAAGGACTTTTAGAAACATATCTAATCCTTGCTCATCTATTCTTCCTGGCAATTAAGTGTGGCCTTGTTCTTAAGTTCCAACCCAATAGAATGTGACCAAAAGTGATGAGTGCCTCTTTGGGATCTGAACCATTGAAACCTCCCACAAACATGTCTTCATTCCATTTTCCACTTCCACAGACTAATGGAGATGAGTCCCAGGGAGATCTTGAATATACATGTTAAAAGTGACAATACATCAAGTATCGCTTAGCAAATTAGAAAATTCTATTGCATTCAAGCCATTATGCATTTTATTCCTCTTAATAATACAGAAATCATGTTTGATTATACTGGAATAGTGTTGGGAACATAGGACTTATCTACAGTCAAATTGAATATGAACTGCATATGATTGTCATATTCACCTACATGTTCATTTATTTTAAAAATTTTGTTATGTTTCTATTGCATGCCAGGCATTGTTCTGTATACTGGAAATAAATCACTGAACAAAAGACAAATCCCTTATCCTCATGGATCTTACATTCTAGTAGGGGAAACAGATTTTTAAAATGTAGATACATAAGATAATGCTGCACAATAAGTATTATGAAAAAAATAGAAGGAATGGAAAGAAATAGAAAGTGCCAGGTGGTCAGGAAATGGTTCACCAGAAAGAAGAAATTTGAGCACAGTGAATACTTGCTCATCAGGAAACACACTATCTGGATTTTATGTTCTAATTTGGCCAACTTGGCACAAGTGTATCTAACCTTAGGCAGGTAACCTCTTGTGGTCTTAGTTTTCTCATGGTAGAAAGATTATAGCAGTGCCTACAATATTTTGCTAATGTGAAGATTACATTAAATAAATTTAAGTTATTTAGCCTATTTATTAGTATATTATAAAGTCATATTTTTAAAAAGTAGTTCTTTTTGTACTATTGTTAAAGGCTCAGAAGCCAGGAACAAGCATGAAGACCCTACAAACTTGAAAATTCTTCAAAATGAGAAAAAGAGGTAGCTATTGATAAGGTAAAAAAAAAAAACAAAGAGAAATTTCCCATAGTAAGTTTGCCTCAGGGTAGGCAATGCCTTTCTTAAGCTATTTTCTTTAGAGCTTCTAATTCAATAGAAGAAAAATTTTCTGTTGATAATTCTGGAATGGATGGGCTCCACAAGAGCCATTTCTCACTTTTTTAAAAAAAGCAACAACAAACAAACAAATAAGCAAACAAGACCAGATCAACAATTTAGATTATTTATAGGAAGGGAAGCAAATAATGTGGACCTTCCCAAGAGTGTAGCTTGGAATTGGACATGGTATAAGAATTAACACTCATTAGCTCACAAGTAACTGATACCATTGGTGCTTTTCTTTACTATTAGTCTATTACTTTCCTATTGCTGCCACAACAAATGACCACAAGTTTAGCAGCTTAAAACAACACAAGTTTATTATCTTACAGTCCTGTAGGTCAGAAGTCTTAACATGGGTCTTACTGGGCTCAAATTAAGTTGTCAACAGGGCTAGATTTTTTCTGGAGGCTCTCAGGGAGAATCCATTTGCTTACTCATTGTTGACAATTTAATTATTTGCAGTGGTACGACTGGGATCCTTTTTCCTCACTGGCTGTCAGCTAAGACCTGTTCCTAGATTGTAGGGGTTTCTTGCATTCCTTGGCTCAGGTCCCTTCTTCTTCCATCTTCAAAATTAGCAGCAATGTATTGAATCTCTCCTTTCTCCTTCTATCCTCCCGTTGGATTGACTCTCTTGACTATCTCTTCCACTTTTAAGAGTCTTATGTAGTTAAATTAGCACCCCTGGATAATCTGGGTAATCTCCCTGTTGTATAATCCTTGATCTTAATTCCATCTGCAAAGTTACTTTTGCCATTAAGGTAGTATATTCTCAGATTACAAAGGTTAGGATGTGGGTATCTTTGGAAGCCATCGTTCTGCCTACCACAGATTACATATTAAATAATATTTTTCAGCTGATTTTGAAAATTAATCGGAGTCAGTTTAATTAATATTTTAATTTGTGACTTTAATAACTAATTTAAAGAATTTGCCTTTCAAGGTAACCAGAGATGTTTTTGTATTTTTACTTGTAAATTCTGAACTTTACTCAGCTAAATTTTGAACCTTAATTCATGTGTATTATTAATTAAATTACATCACTTAATTAATTAATACAATATCATGCATTACCCAATGAATCTGTGTTTCATTCATTATTGAATTCTAACTAAGGAAGAAAGTTATAGGCTATTTAATGAAAATTATGATGGCCACTGGTTTAATATATAGATACATTTTAAAGTAATATAAATAAAACATAACTTTTATTTGTTTTATATTTGACACATATATATTTTATATTCGATAGACCTTGTTTTTGAGCATAAGAAATAAGCATAATATATTTTTTATTTATAAGCGAGTGTGATAGCTGTTGTAAAATAGATTCTATCAATCTCTTGGGAGGGTGTTTCAGTTCCAGTAAAACTTGCCCTTTCACTGTCAAGATATTGAGCGAATAGTAATTATTGAAATTCTAAGTAGAATTGTTGAGCACAGGAATGGGTGTCAGGGAATAATAATTTCATGTCCCCCATATAGCCATTAGCCTCCAAGGTTCTTAGTACCTTTACTCATGGAAAATCAGGAGGTTACCTTGTATAAATGCTTTTAAATTTATATGACTATGATTGCTTTCAAGTCATTTCTTTAATGAATATCTAGCTACAGGTGAAATGAAGAGATAAAGATATTAACGAAATTGTTCCCATTACAGAAAGAAAAAATACACAAGAAAAGAATCTCATAAGTTTAATAAGTGATGACAATTTATTTGATCTAAATATGTTGTTTATAGTGAGGTTAACTCCTAGAGACTGACTCTAAATCTCACACTATGCAGAAGTTGCTTGGTGTTACGGTTTGTCTGCATTCATTTGATGCTTGCTTTTCCTATTATTTTTTTCCACATGGGCTATTATATTGATAAATCAAAAGAAAAAAGATCAAATAGACAAAGCAACAAAGCATTAAAGTGCTCACTTCAGGGTTGCAGCCAATCTAATTAATTTTTCATTTGGTTCTCATGTATTGGACACCAATCAATTTGGGATTATGTTTACAGAGTTATAAAAGGAGAGGAGATCGGTCCCTCAATTTGTTGTCTAGCTGTCCAAATTAGTCAGTTAAATGATCCTGGGGGACATTATAAACTGTATGAATAGTTTCTTGTAAGTACCTTTTCTTTTAATTACAGACCAAGTCATCAACACTTCCTGCAGATCTCGACTCTGATAGAAGGGAAAAGTTTTAAAATCAAACGATGGGGTTTTAGTGTTTAAGGTATTTTTGTTTCATTTTCCCTGACATATTTTAGTTGAAATGTCTTTAGAGGAGGACAATTTTAGCATGTGAGGAGATTTGGAGTGCAGGAACTATCACTCAATGAAGAGTTTTCTGTCAGATAAAAAGTGATATTAAGATTAATGACTTTATTCAATAAGAATTTGTTACTGGTAGGGATATACTGAATCACTGCAAAAAAAAATGAATTGTATGAAATAATGAGAACGAGCATTATATTTCATGGAAATAATCCCCACCCCAAAATGGTGTATTCTGGAATAGGAATGCTAAGGTGGAATAAAAATTAAATTATGTGTTGATAAAAGCTTTGTGGCACACCTGTGCAAAGTTTGAGGTACATCGATAAGCTCTGAAACCATTGTTTAAAAAAAATCACTGCTCTAGCATTTGGCAGTTTAAGGCAATTGACAATACTTAGGAACTTTTGGAATCCTTCTTACATTCTATCTCTCTGTATATTCAAGTGATCGCCAAGTCCCTACAGGTTGTCTTCCAAATCTATTTGCACTGATTCTGCATCATTGCTCATCTGGCTGATTGCAATGTATTCTAACCATTTTAGCTTACTCCAGTCAGAACTATTTTAATACCTCCTGTCCTGTGTTGACACATCCTCTATACAACCATTAAGGTTACTTCCAAAAATAAAATCATACTCTACTCCTATAAACTCTTATATTTTTATAACTCAAAAAATGTGGCTGTTGGCCGGGCGCTGTGGCTCATGCCTGTAATCCCAGCGCTTTGGGAGGCTCAGGCGGGCGGATCACGAGGTCACGAGATCAAGACCATCCCGGCTAACACGGTGAAACCCCGTCTCTACTAAAAATACAAAAAATTAGCCGGGCGTGGTGGTGGGCGCCTGTAGTCCCAGCTACTCAGGAGGCTGAGGCAGGAGAATGGCGTGAACCCAGGAGGCGGAGCTTGCAGTGAGCCGAGCCGAGATAGCGCCCCTGCACTCCAGCCTGGGCGACAGAGCGAGACTCCATCTCAAAAAAAAAAAAAAAGTGACTGTTTCTGTGAAAGTCTTTGAAAACTTCATTCCTTTCTACTCAAGAAATTAGAAAATATCATATAAATAGTCACTTCACACCATAAGCTGACAGTGAATATCTGTAACTATTCAGACTCCTTCTGAAGTCCCTGACCCCATTCTCAGTGTTTGGCTTATAAGACCCTCATAGATTTTAGTGCAACACCTCATTAGACTACTGTGTGCCAGAAATATTTGGTACAAAGAAATAGATGCTAGAGGAGAGAAATGGTGAAATGAGAATCCAAAAATATATAAGTATGTTTTGTGCAGCACCTCAGGCTTTTGTAAAACCCAGAAGCCACTAAGAAGAAGCCCTAGCCCTTTATGTGATATAAGACAAATTTTAGTAACTTCATAAGTGACAATTTTATTTAAAACTCAGTCAATGCATAGTTTTACAAGAGACAAGAACCTTCTCCATTTTTTAACAAGAACTTTTTTAAATGTAAGCATTCTTGGAAAAGGAAATGAACTGTCTCGTACTACAAAACCAGGTAGATTCACTGCAGAAAAACATAACTTCTAAGTTTCCTTTACAATATTCTGGAATTTCAGCTCATTTTGGAGAAGATTAGTTGGGGCAGGATACTCTTTATCTCTAAGCACACAATGACCTGAAATTCATGATTCCCTTAGGAGGCAGTTTGAAAACTAGATAAGCGTTGAATCCTTTCAGAGCCTCATGAGAATTCCTATTATTTTATTCTCACTGGGATTTTATGGTTTAATTAGTACTCCGTTAAAAGTCAAGTGAAAGAATTTGGTTTTCATTTCTTATTCTAAAATTCTTTAACTGAATGTTTCCTAACTTCTGTGAGATGGTTGTTTTTATTTGACTAAAAAGTTTATTCCAGTTTTAAGTTTGTCAAAGACTAAGACAATTAAAGAGATTTCTGTATTAAACTAGGCTTACTAAGGTATCATGTATATATAACAAAGTTCACCTTCTTCAATTACAAAGTTCAATGAGTTTAGACAAATATATACTGTCTCATAACTACCATCGCAGATAAGATATCATAGCTCACTGCAGCCTGGAACATCTGGGCTCAAGGGATCCTCCTGCCTCAGCCTCCCAAGTAGGAGGGACTAAGATGCATGCCACTGTGTCCGGAATTGGTGGGTTCTTGGTCTCACTGACTTCAAGAATGAAGCCGCAGACCCTCGGGGTGAGTGTTACAGTTCTTAAAGGCAGCATGTCCGGAGTTTGTTCCTTCTGATGTTCAGATGTGTTCAGAGTTTCTTCCTTCTGGTGGGGTTCATGGTCTCGCTGGCTCAGGAGTGAAGCTGCGGACCTTTGAGGTGAGTGTTACAGCTCTTAAGGCAGCACGTCTGGAGTTGTTCGTTCCTCCTGGTGGGTTCATGGTCTCGCTGGCTTCAGGAGTGAAGCTGCAGACCTTCGTGGTGAGTGTTACAGCTCATAAAGGCAGTGGGGACCCAAACAGTGAGCAGCAGCAGGATTTACTGCAAGGAGCGAAAGAACAAAACTTCCACAGTGTGGAACGGGACCCCAGTGGGTTGCCACTGCTGGCTCTGGCAGCCTGCTTTTATTCTCTTATCTGGCCCCACCCACATCCTGCTGATTGGTCCACTTTAGAGAGAGCCCAGTGGTCTGTTTTGACAGGGTGCTGATTGGTGCATTTGCAATCCCTGAGCTAGACACAAAGGTTCTCCACATCCCCACTAGATTAGCTAGATACAGAGTGTGACACAAAGGTTCTCCAAGTCCCCACCAGAGTACCTAGATACAGAGTGTCGATTGGTGCATTCACAAACCCTGAGCTAGACACAGGGTGCTGATTGGTGTGTTTACAAACCTTGAGCTAGATACAAAGTGCCAATTGGTGTATTTACAATCCCTGAGCTAGACATAAAGGTTCTCTGAGGCCCCACCAGAGTAGCTAGATACAGAGTGTCGATTGGTGCATTCACAAACCCTGAGCTAGACACAGGGTGCTGATTGGTGTGTTTACAAACCTTGAGCTAGATACAAAGTGCCAATTGGTGTATTTACAATCCCTGAGCTAGACATAAAGGTTCTCTGAGGCCCCACCAGAGTAGCTAGATACAGAGTGTCGATTGGTGCATTCACAAACCCTGAGCTAGACACAGGGTGCTGATTGGTGTGTTTACAAACCTTGAGCTAGATACAGAGTGCCGATTGGTGTATTTACAATCCCTTAGCTAGACATAAAGGTTCTCCATGTCCCCACCAGACTCAGGAGCCCAGCTGGCTCCACCCAGTGGATCCCGCACTGGGGCGCAGGTGGAACTGCGTGCCAGTCCCGTGCCCTGTGCCCGCACTCCTCAGCCCTTGGGTGGTCAATGGGACTGGGCGCTGTACAGCAGGGGGTGGTGCTGGTCGGGGAGGCTCGGGCCCCACAGGAGCCGACGGAGAGGGGGTGCACAGGCATGGCGGGCTGCAGGTCCCGAGCCCTGTCCCGCAGGGAGGCAGCTAAGGCCCGGTGAGAAATTGAGCACAGTGTCGGTGGACCGGCACTGCTGGGGGACCCAGTACACCCTCTGCAGCCACTGGCCCGGGTGCTAAGCCCCTCATTGCCTGGGCCAGCAGGGCCGGCCGGCTGCTCCGCGTGTGGGGCCTGCCAAGCCTACACCCACCCGGAACTCCAGTTGGCCTGCAAGCGCCTCACACAGCCATGGTTCCCGCTCGCGCCTCTCCCTCCACACCTCCCCGCAAGCTAAGGGAGCCGGCTCCAGCCTTGGCCAGCCCAGAAAGGGGCTCCCACAGTGCAGCGGCAGGCTGAAGGGCTTCTCAAGTGCCGCCAAAGTGGGAGCCCAGGCAGAGGAGGTGCTGAGAGCAAGCCAGGGCTGTGAGGACTGCCAGCACGCTGTCACCTCTCCACCACTGCACCTTGCTAATTTTTTTTTTTTTTTTTTTTTTTTTTTTGTCTAAACAAATCTTGCTTTGTTGCCCAGGCTGGTCTCAAACTCCCAGCTTCAAGTGGTCCTCCACCTCAGTCTCCCAAACTACTGGGATTACAGGCCTGTGCCACCATACCTGGCCAAGATATAGATCATTTTAATCACCCTAGAAAACTCCTCATTATGCTTTGCAATTAATCTTCTCCCTCTATCCCCAGCCTCTGGCAATCTTGAACTGATTTTTGTCCCCTTTTTTTACTTTTGCCTTTTTTAGAATATCCTATAATTGAAAACATACTATATGTTACTTTTTGTGTCTAATTTATTTAATTTTTGCATTAATGATTTTGAGATTCATGCATGTCACTGCATTTCTCAGTACTTTTTAACTCTTTTTGAGAAGTACTCATTGTATGGGTATACCACAATCGAGTTACTTAGCAGATGATGGATATTTGAGTTGTTTTCAAGGCTAAACCATTTGCCAAAGCAACCATGTCATTTTGTATCCCCGTCACAATCCTGTTTCAGAATTTCAGAATCAGAATTATTGAGGTAAATATTATGAATCAGCATTTAAAAACAAAAACCAGAATGGAGTTCAAGATCGCTGAATAGAAACAGCTCTGGTCTGCAGCTCCCTGTGAGATCCACACAGAAGGAGGGTGATTTCTGCATTTCCAACTGAGGTACTCAGTTCATCTCACTGGGACTGGTTGGACACTGGGTGCGGCCCACAGAGGGCAAGCCGAAGCAGGGTGGGATGTCGCCTCACTGGGAAAGCACAAGGGGTCAAGGAATTCTCTCTCCTACCCAAGGGAAGCCATGAGGGACTGTGCCTAAGAAACAGTGCACTTTGGCCCAGATACTGTGCTTTTTCCACAGTCTTTGCAACCTACAGACCAGGAGATTCCCTCCGGTGCCTACACCAACAGGGCCCTGAGTTTCAAGCACAAAACTGGGCAGCTGTTTGGGCAGACACTGAGCTAGCTGCAGGATTTTTTTTTTCCCATGCCCCATTAGTACCTGGAATGCCAGTGAGACAGAACCTTTCACTCCCCTGGAAAGCAGGTTGAAGCCAGGTTGCCAAGTGGTCTGGCTCTGTGGGTCCCACCCCCAGGGAGCCCAGCAAGCTGAGATCCATTGACTTGAAATTTTCACTGCCAGCACAGCAGTCTGAGGTTGACCTGGGATGCTCAAGCTTGCTGAGGGGAGGGGTGTCCACCATTGCTGAGGCTTGAGTAGGAAGTTTTACCCTCACAGTGTAAACAAAGCCCCCAGTAAGGTTGAACTGGGCAGAGCCTGCCACAGCACAGCAAGGCCCCTGTGGCCAGAATGCTTCTCTAGATTCCTCCTCTCTTGGCAGGGCATCTCTGAAAAAAAAAGGCAGCAGCCCCAGTCAGGTGCTTATAGATAAAACCTCCATCTCCCTGGGACAGAGCACCTAGGGGAAGGGGCGACTGTGGGCGCAGCTTCAGCAGACTTAAATGTCCCTGCCTGACAGTTCTGAAAAGAGCAGCGGTTCTCCCAGCACAGCATTTAAGCTCTGCTAAGGGTCAGAATGCCTCAAGTGGGTCCTGGAACCCCATGTATCCTGACTGGGAATCACCTCCCAGTAGGAGCCCACAGGAGAGAGGGGGTCCACATATAGGAGAGCTCTGTCTGGCGTCTGGCAGGTGCCCCTCTGGGACGAAGCTTCCAGAGGAAGGAACAGGAAGCAATCTTTGTTGTTCTGCAGCCTCTGCTAGTGATGCCCAGGCAAAGAGGATCTGGAGTGGAGCTCTAGCAAACTCTAGCAGACCTGCAACAGAGGGGCCTGACTGTTAGAAGGAAAACTAACAAACAGAAAGGAAAGGAATCAATATCAAAAAAAGGATGTCCACTCAGAGACCCCATCCAAAGGTCACCACGTCAAAGAACAAAGGTAGATAAATCCACAAAGATGGGGAGAAACCAGCACAAAAAGGCTGAGAATTCCAAAAAACAGAATACCTCTTCTCCTGCAAAGGATCACAACTCCTCACCAGCAAAGGAGAAAAACTAGATGGAGAATGAGTTTGACAAATTGACAGAAGTAGGCTTCAGAAGGTGGGTAATAACAAACTCCTCTGAGCTAAAGGAGCATGTTCTAACCCAATGCAAGGAAGCTAAAAACCTTGAAAAAAGGTTAGATAAATTGCTAACTAGAATAACCAGTTTAGAGAAGAACTTAAATGACCTGATGGAGCTGAAAAACACAGCACAAGAACTTTGTGAAGCATACACAAGTATCAATAGCCAAATCTATCAAGCAGAAGAAAGGATAGCAGAGATTGAAGATCAGCTTAATGAAATAAAATGAGAAGAAAAGATTAGACAAAAAAGAATAAAAGGGAAGGAACAAAGCCTCCAAGGAATATGAGACTATGTGAAAAGACCAAATCTAAGTTTGATTGATGAACTTGAAAGTGATGGGGAGAATGGAACCAAGATGGAAAACACTCTTCAGGATATTATCCAGGAGAACTTCCCCAACCTAGCAAGACAGGCAAACATTCAAATTCAGGAAATATGGAGAACACCACAAAGATACTCCTCGAGAAGAGCAACCCCAAGACACATAATCATCAGATTGACCAAGGTTGAAATGAAGGAAAAAATGTTAAAAGCAACCAGAGGGAAAGGTCGGGTTACCCACAATGGGAAGCCCATCAGACTAACAGTGGATCTCTCTGCAGAAACCCTACAAGCCATAAGAGAGTTAGGGCCAATATTCAGCATTCTTAAAGAAAAGAATTTTCAACCCAGAATTTCATATGCAGCCAAACTAAGTTTCATAAGCGAAGGAGAAATAAAATCCTTTACAGACAAGCAAATGCTGAGAGATTTTTGTCACTGCCAGGCCTGCCTTGCAAGAGCTCCTGAAGGGAGCACTAAACATGGAAAGGAACAACTGGTACCAGACACTGCAAAAAATACCATATTGTAAAGGCCATCAACACTATGAAGAAACTGCATCAACTAACAGGCAAAATAACAAGCTAGCATCATAATGCCAGGATCAAATTCACACATAACAATATTAACCTTAAATGTAAACAGGCGAAATGCCCCAATTGAAAGACACAGACTGGCAAACTGGATAAATAGTCAAGACCCATCAACGTGTTGTATTCAGGAGACCTATCTCACATGCAAAGACAAACATAGGCTCAAAATGAAGGGATGGAGGAATATTTACTAAAGAAATGGAAAGCAAAAAAAAAAAAAAAAGCAGGGATTATAATCACAGTCTCTGATAGAACAGACTTAAAACCAACAAAGATCAAAAGAGACAAAGAAGGACATTATGTAATGGTAAAGGGACCAATGCAACAAGAGGAGCTAACTATCCTAAATATATATGAATCCAATACAGGAGCACCCAGATTCATAAAGCAAGTTCTCAGAGACCTAAAAAGAGAATTAGACTCCTACACAATAATAGTGGGAGATTTAAAACCCCACTGTCAATATTAGACAGATCAACAAGATAGAAAATTAACAAGGATATTCAGGACTTGAACTCAGCTCTGGACCAAGCAGACCTAATAGACATCTACAGAACTCTTCACCCCAAATCAACAGACTATACATTGTTCTCAGCACCTCATCACACTTATTCTAAAATTGACCACCTAATTGGAAGTAAAACCGTCCCCAGCAAATGCAAAAGAATGGAAATATAACAAACCATCCCTCAGACCACAGTGCAATCAAATTAGATCTCAGGATTAAGAAACTCACTCAAAACCACACAACTACATGGAAACTGCACAACTTGCTCCTGAATGACTACTGGGTAAATAATGAAATTAAGGCAGAAATAAAGATGTTCTTTGAAACCAATGAAAACGAAGACACAGAGTACCAGAATCTCTGGGACACATTTAAAGCAGCGTTTAGAAGCAAATTTATGGCACTAAATGCCCACAAGAGAAAACCTGAAAGATCTAAAATCGATACCCTAACATCACAATTTAAAGAACTAGAGAAGCAAGAGCAAACAAATTCAAAAGCTAGCAGAAGACAATAAATAACTAAGATCAGAGCAGAACTGAAGGTGATAGGGACACAAAAAACCCTTCAAAAAATCAGTGAACCCAGAAACTGGTTTTTTGAAAAGATCAACAAAAAAGATAGACCACTAGCCAGACTAATAAAGAAGAAAAGAGAGAAGAATCAAATACATGCAATAAAAAAAGATAAAAGGCATATAACCACTGATCCCACAGAAATACAAACCACCATCAGAGAATACTATAAACACCTCTATGCAAATAAACTAGAAAATCTAGAAAAAGTGGATAAATTCCTGGACACATACACCCTCCCAAGTATAAACCAGGAAGAAGTTGAATCCCTGAATAGACCAGTAACAAGTCCTAAAATTGAGGCAGTAATTAATAGCCTACAAAACAAAAAAGTCAAGGACAAGAATGATTTACAGCCAAATTCTATCAGAGGTACAAAGAGGAGCTGGTACCATTCCTTCTGAAGTTATTCCAAACAATAGAAAAAGAGAGAATCCTCCCTAACTCATTTTATGAGGCCAACATCATCCTTATACCAAAACATGGCAGAGACACAACCAAAAAAGAAAATTTCAGGCCAATATCCCTGATGAACATTGATGTGAAAATCCTCAATAAAATACTGGCAAACTGAATGAAGCAGCACATCAAAAAGCTTATCTGCCATGATCAACTTGTCTTCATCCCTGGGATGCAAGGCTGGTTCAATATATACAAATCCATAAAAGTAATCCATCACATAAACAGAATCAATGACAAACATACATTATTATTTCAATAGATGCAGAAAAGTGTTCAATAAAATTCAACACCCCTTCATGCTAAAAACTCTCAATAAGCGAGGTATTGATGGAACGTATCTCAAAATAATAAGAGCTATTTGTGACAAACCCACAGCCAATATCGTACTGAATGGGCAAAAACTGGAAGCATTCCCTTTGAAAACCGGCACAAGACAAGGATGCCCTCTCCCACTACTCCTATTCAGCATAGTGTTGGAAGTTCTGGCCAGGGAAATCAGGCACAAGAAAGAAATAAAGTGTATTCAGATAGGAAAAGAGGAAGTAAAATTGTCTCTGTTTGCAGATGACATGATTGTATATTAGAAAACCCCATCGTCTCAGCCCAAAATCTCTTTAAGCTGACAAGCAACTTCAGCAAAGTCTCAGGATACAAAATTATTGTGCAAAAATCACAAACATTCCTATACACCAATAGTAGACAAACAGAGAGCCAAATCATGAGTGAATTTGTATTCACAATTTCTACAAAGAGAATAAAATACCTAGGAATACAACTTACAAGGGATGTGAAGGACCTCTTCAAGGAGAACTACAAACCGCTGCTCAAGGAAATAAGAAAGGACACAAATAGAAAAACATTCCATGCTCATGGATAGG
Organism: Homo sapiens; assembly: GCF_000001405.40. Lineage (NCBI taxonomy): Eukaryota > Metazoa > Chordata > Mammalia > Primates > Hominidae > Homo > Homo sapiens. Next base: position 66,718,451 of record NC_000004.12, read on the forward strand.
AAGAATCGACATCATGAAAATGGCCATACTGCCCAAAGTAATTTATAGATTCAATGCTATCCCCATCAAGCTACCACTGACTTTCTTAACAGAAATGGAAAAAACTACTTTAAAGTTCATATGGAACCAATAAAGAGTCCACATAGCTAAGACAATCCTAACCAAAAAGAACAAAGCTGGAGGCATCACACTACCTGACTTCAAACTATACTGCAAGTCCACAGTAACCAAAACCTCATGGTACTGTTACCAAAACAGATATATAGACCAATGGAACAGAACAGAGGCCTCAGAAATAACACCACACATCTGCAACCATCTGATCTTTGACAAATGTGATAGAAACAAGCAATGGGGAAATGATTCCCTATTTAATAAATGGTGTTGGGAAAACTGGTTAGGCATATGTAGAAAACTGAAACTGGATCCCTTCCTTACACCTTATACAAAAATTAACTCAAGATGGATTAAAGATTTAAATGTAAGACCTAGAACCATAACAACCCTAGAAGAAAACCTAGGCCATAGCATTCAGGACGTAGGCATGGGCAAAGACTTCATGAGTAAAACACCAAAAGCAATGGCAACAAAAGCCAAAATTGACAAGTGGGATCTAATTAAACTAAAGAGCTTCTGCACAGCAAAAGAAACCAACATCAGATTGAAGAGGCAACCTACAGAATGGGAGAAAATTTTGCAATCTATCCATCTGACAAAGGGCTAACAACCAGAATCTATAAAGAAGTTAAACAAATTTACAGGAAAAAAACACCCCCATCAAAAAGTGGGTGAAGGATATGAACAGACACGTCTCAAAAGAAGACATTTATGCGCCACCAAACATGAAAAAAAGCTCATCATCACTGGTCATTAGAGAAATGCAAATCAAAACCACAATGAGATACCATCTCACGCCAGTTGGAATGGCGATCATTAAAAAGTCAGGAAACCACAGATGCTGGAGAGGATGTGGAGAAATAGGAACGCTTTTACACTGTTGGTGGGAGTGTAAATTAGTTCAACCATTGTGGAAGACAGTGTGGCGATTCCTCAAGTATCTAGAACCAGAAATACCATTTGACCCAGCGATCCCATTACTGGGTATATACCGAAAGGATTATAAATCATGCTACCATAAAGACACATGCACACGTATGTTTACTGCAGCACTATTCGTAATAGCAAAGACTTGGAACCAACCCAAATGCCCATCAATGATAGACTGGATAAACAAAATGTGGCACATATACACTATGGAACACTGTGCAGCCATGAAGAAAGAATGATTTCATGTCCTTTGCAGGGACATCGATGAATCTGGAAACCATCATTCTCAGCAAACTAACACAGGAACAGAAAACCAAACACCACATGTTTTCACTTAAGTGGGAGTTGAACAATGGGAAAACATGGACACAGGGAGGGGAACATTACACACTGGGGCCTGTCAGGGGGTGTGGGGGCTAGGAGAGGGATAGTATTAGGAGAAATACCTAATGTAGATGACGGGTTGATGGGTGCAGCAAACCACCATGGCACATGTATATCTATGTAACAAAACTGCACCTTCTGCACATGTACCCCAGAACTTAAAGTATGAAAAAAAAGAAAGAAAAAAGAAAAAAAAATAAGTTGACTTTTGTGCACATATAAGTGTCAGATGCCAGGTCTCCTAACCCCAAATCTGATATTGTTTGTCTCAACTATAACTATCATAATAATTAATATGCACTGTAACAAATTATCACCAACTTGTTGGCTTAAAACATAAAATTGTATTTAGGAATTTTGCAGCTTAGAAGCCCAACACAGGTTTCCCTAGGCTAAAATTAAGGTGTTGACAGGTTTATCATCCTTCCTGGATGCTTTAAGAGTCTGTTTCTGTACCTTTTCCAGCTTCTAGATGCTGCCTACATTTCTTGGATCATAACTCTCTTCCCCAACTTTAACCCAGAAATCTTGCCTCTCTCTGACTACTCCTTCATATTCATAGTTCCTTCTGACCACAGCTTGCAAAAGTTCTCTTCTTTTAAGAACTCATGTGATTAGATGTGGCCCACTTATATAATCCAAACTACTCTCCCTACTCTCCAGGTCTTTAACTTATTTCCATCCGCAAAATCCTTTTTGCCATACAAAGTATAAATAACATATTCACAGATTTCAGAGATTAGGATGTGGACATTTGGGGGGCCATTTTTCTACCTACTATAGACCACAAGCTTCTGATATATTAGAAATCATTGACAGTTTTGCTTTCTTACTGAAAGTATAGATTTTGTTTCCATTTCATTTATTTAATAAAATTGGGAGTAAATTACCTAACCTCTTTGAATTTCTATTTTGGCCAGGCACAGTTGCTCATGCCTGTAATCCCAGCACTTTGGGAGGCAGAGGTGGGCAGATCACTTGAGGTCAGGGGTTTAAGACCACCCTGGCCAACATGGCGAAGGCTCTTCTCTACTAAAAATACAAAAATGATCCGGGTGTGGTGGCGTGTGCCTGTAATCCCAGCTACTTGGGAGGCTGAGGCAGGATAACTGCTTGAACCTGGAGGCAGAGGTTGCAGTGAGCCGAGATCATCCCACGGCACTCCAGCCTGGGTGACAGAGTGAGACTCCATCTCAAGGAAAAAAAAAAAAAAAAAAGAATTTCTATTATATCTACAATGAATACATAACAAAAGATGTTTTTAATCTCAAAACGTTGATGTCCATAAATATGAAACAATCTCAGAAACTTTGTATTTGCAAATATTAGGAATAAAAATGTTTGCATTATTGCTTACTCTTTATTTGTGGACTGGTGTCAGTAAAGAGGAAACACAGTCAATCAACTGATCAGGCTTGGAGTCATGCAGTGAGGAGATAGCATATCTGCATCTGGTCCCATTACCTAAATGCAAATTGTCACTTATTTTAAGATATAGTATATTCCTAGTTAAGAAACACAGTATACATTTTACCCCTTTTCTTGAAGTATTCAGAGTGTTCATACATGTTTCCTAAACAATTTGCTGAACATGAGAAAATCTTTTTGTTAAGAAGATGATTTAGAACATGCAATACCAAAATTGCTTAAATTAATTCCTCTTAATTTAAAAGATCTTGCCTTTATATTAATTTAGGAGTTTAATAAAAGCAAAAAATCTGGGGTTTGAATTTTAAAAATTCAGGTTTTAATCCTGGATCTATCATGTACTGAGAGACTTGAAATAAGCATATAATCTCTTTAAACCTAGGTTTCCTCATCTGAAAAATGTAAATAATGATATCTCCTCCAAAGGATGTAATATGGGTCAAATGAGAACATGAGTAAAAGAACATTGCTTGTCAAAACTAGAATCATCATCAGTATTATCATTATTTGTATAGTACCTACCTAATAATATTTTGGGATCAGAAAATGAAATATTATATATAAATCATTCAAGACTACAACCTGAAAATGTAAAACTGTCAATAAATGTCATCATCATTATCATTGCCAACATAGCTAAAAGGCTTAAGTTCCCACTTCCACTCCAAATATTATCCAACAAATAAATAACAGACAATGTATATACAACCCACAATATAGAAATTTCACTGCTAGATATGAATCCTAGAGAAACTGCTGAATATCCACATAAGGAAACAAGAAAGTTCATAGCAGCATTGTTTATAATTGTAAAAAGTTAAACATGGCATTTAAGGCCACCAGAAAAATGTGTAATTAATTTTTGGAGTAGTCATCCAATGGACTATTGTATGGGATTGAAAATAAATTAATTAGAACTCCATGAACAAACATGAATAACTTAAAAGCATGCTATTGGGTAAAAACCAGTTGCAAAGATAGGTAGGTAGGCCAGGCGTGGTGGCTCACCCCTGTAATCCCAGCACTTTGGGAGGACAAGGTGGGTGGATCACGAGGTCAGGAGTTCAAGACCAGCCTGGCCAAGATGGTGAAACCCCGTCTCTACTAAAACTACAAAAATTAGCCGGGCATGGTGGCAGGCGCCTGTAATCCCAGCTACTCGGGAGGCTGAGGCAGGAGAATCGCTTGAACCTGGGTGGCAGAGATTGCAATAAGCCAAGAACACACCACTGCACTCCTGCACTCCTGCACTCCAGCCTGGGCAACAGAGTAAGACTCCGTCCCCACTCCCCCAAAAAAGATAGGTGGGTAATATATACAGCCATCACTCAGTATCTGTGATTGTATTGTACTTGATTTTGTTATTATTAATACCTTTTATTTATATGGCATTTACTTATTTGCAAATCACTAACCTGAGATGAGACTCTTAATTACAGAATTCAATCTAGAATTAAAAATGTAGATTTTATGTTTTCTAAGACTGCAATATCAGGTATATGGCAATCAATAAAATTGTATTTGGCCACAGGTAAGAATAATAATAAATAAAATGTTTAAATCTATAAGACAAATTGCAAAAAGTTGGCCATTGATTATTTTAAGGCTTGATGAAAAAAATAGATAAAAGACAATAATGAGATCCACCTACACTTCTCCAGTCAAAATTATTTTGCCCAATCATGGATGCACATAAAAATCACACAGAGAGTTTTAAAAATACATATGCTTGGCACTCACCACACGCAAATTTAATTTAACCAGTCTGCAGTAGGAACCAGTCATTGGTCATTGTTAAAACTTCCCAGGTGATTCTAATATATGGTCAAGGTTGAGGCCCATAGCCCTAAAACTTAGAAAGTCCACACTACATGGGTGATAGTGCAAAACCAAAATGCTTGCCCTATGAATATGACTTGGCTCCTTAGAGAACAGATTGAAAAATCATCTGACTCCTCCATTGGCTTTATAGCAAGGGTTTGATATAAGTGCCAGAAAGAATTACAATACATTGCACATAGCGCTAAATAACAGATATTCACTGAAATCACTGAAATATATAAATACCTTAAAAGGTAATGGCATTTGTAACTTACATAGTAACCCTTGAAAACTATCAGTGAAATAGTAAAACACTGAGAGAAAAGATCTAATTTCAAAATGTAGAGAATAAACATTTGCTTTTTAATCTTGGAATGAAAATACTCCAGTGTCTCCCAGCAACCCTCTGTCTTTACCACAATTAGATGGATTTAAGTCAGTTTTTATTTCTACTTGAGTAACATGAAATTTGGTTTACAGCTCTTTTTTCAACCCCTACATTCATAATTAAATGACTAAATCCCATCCACAGCATTACCCACAGAACAAGATTGGAGAAAGATTATCCATTAAAGAGAGAGGGCATTGCTATTATGGCTTTTGAAGACTATAGCCATGCACTCTCTTAGGAATCCTATTATGGCTGAGCATTTATGTTATTGGTATTGCAACTCAATTCACATATATCAAACTATAAACTCCATTTACAGTCAATCCATATTTCTAGGTTTTCTCTAATAACTTATTTATTTGTGTGTTTCACATTGGAAGAAGTTATGTGCTTCAGAATATCTTCTGTGCCAGTGACTGTGGAGATGGCTTTTGTAGCACAATAAGGCATCTTATTCCTATTAACTACAATCTAAACATTTGCTGTTTTACCTTTGATTTTAGTTAGAGCATCATAAAACCTTATCATGATGATTCATGTGGTTTCAGATACTGTATCTATTTTTAGTTCAAATGAGCAATAATACTACAAGCAATTGTTTCCGCTGGTGAAAAAGCTGATCAGGATCAATCCCATAAATCAGGATAAACAGACACAATGTACAAATAAGTTTCATACTTATTTCCCTTTATAATTAAAACAATTATATCAATAATGTGTATTGATGTCTTTAAATTCAGCTCTTGAAAAAATAGGTCATTTTCAGCAGACAATCACACGTGTCAGCCAACGATAGAGCTCAACCATAAAATACATTTCTTTGACAGAATAGCTTGAAATGTTTCATGAGCCTTTTTTCCCTCTCCACCATGTTTTCCTAGTGCAAGATTTTTCCTTTTCGCATATTTAAATTCATTTCATTGACAACAGGCATTGCAAACTCAATGATTTCTCTGTGCCAAATGAATGTCTGTCAAAAGGCTCAGGTGAAATCTGTCTACTCCTGGTTGACCAAATTGATCCAGCTGCAGTAAATGATGAAACAGATCATTCATCTAAGGTTGGCCATGCCAAAAGGTTATTCCTTTCCACTTATCCACGGCTGCTAAAAAGTGGGCAACTGATTTTATCTTACAACCAGAGCTTAGGGTAGTTGAGTGTTTTCAGTACCTGTGAACATCAATGGCTTTGGACATAATTAATCGTGCTGAAATCACTTCATTATTTTAATGAGCTTTTCTCTTTCCTCTAGCTATGATAATAAGTACATGGGAAAGAATTTTTTCTCATTATTTCTGAAACTAAAGGAGAGCAAAGGGAGCGAAATGGAAACATGCAGAAAACCTGCAAAACGGAGACAGTTGTGCCTTCTGCTGCTGATTTCTCCACCTGCATCAACAAAGAAAAGTGTGATGAGAAGGAAGCTTTGTGGATGCTCAGCTGCCAGGGTCTTGAACGTGAAGCAAAACAATTTCATCTCAACCTCTTCAGAAGTCTTGTTTACCCTGAATATTTGAAAGCGTATTTTTAAAAAGCTGGGAAAGAGAAAAGATACACGTACCTAAGTTAATAACTGGTAAAAATAAATGGACTTAGTGCTCTTCAAATCAACCTGCTTCACTGTTCTTCTCTCATAAAGGTATAGAATAATTCCCATTTATAAAGTGGAAGAATACAGGACATTCTTTGAGCATGTGAGCATTTATACTTTATATATATATATATATATATGGGTAAACAGACACCATGTATAAACTATATATGTATATATATATGTGTATAACTATATATATATATCTATATATATCTATATCTATATCTATATATATATATAATTGAGATAGCCCTGAGAAAGAACTTTATTGAGTGTAATTCTGAACTGTGGCTATATTAACCACAGTTCAGAATTACACTCTGAATTCAGAAGGTTCAGAAGGTTCAGAAGATGAGTCAGAATTTAAGATTTTGTTCTCCTGAAATTATTCTCAAACTTTAGTGTCCATCAGATGTACTTGGATCACGATTGCTGGATCCCAGCCACAGAGTTTCTGATTCAGAAGGTCTGAAGTGGTCCCTGAGAATATTCACTTCTCACAAGTTTCCAGCTGTTGCTCGTGCTACCGGTCCAGGGACCACACTTTGAGGACCACTGCTTTAAAGTCACCATGTGGTACAGTAGCTATTGATTTTTTAATAGAAGAAGTATCCAAGGCATAAGCCCTTCACCATGAAGAGATTCCCAAGAGGAAAGTACTGACTTCTAGTAAGTCTGAAATGTTAAACTGATACACTGTCTCATTTTCCACTATCCAAAATGAATTACTTGTCATTCAACAAATGAGTGCAGCCATTGTGGTGGGTGTCTTTCAAGGATCTCTTACTCTTTTTCATTTTTTATTTTATTTTATTTTTTTATTATACTTTAAGTTCTAGGGTGCATGTGCACAACATGCAGGTTTGTTACATATGTATACATGTGCCATGTTGGTGTGCTGCACCCATTAACTCATCATTTACATTAGGTATATCTCCTATTGCCATCCCTCCCCCCTCCCCCGACCCCACAACAGGCCCTGGTGTGTGATGTTCCCCTTCCTGTGTCCAAATTTTCTCATTGTTCAATTCCCACCTATGAGTGAGAACATGCGGTGTTTGGTTTTTTGTCCTTGCGATAGTTTGCTGAGAATGATGGTTTCCAGCTTCATCCATGTCCCTACAAAGGACATGAACTCGTCCTTTTTTATGGCTGCATAGCATTCCATGGTGTATATGTGCCACATTTTCTTAATCCAGTCTATCATTGATGGACATTTGGGTTGGTTCCAAGTCTTTGCTATTGTGAATAGTGCCACAATAAACATACGTGTGCATGTGTCTTTATAGCAGCATGATTTATAATCCTTTGGGTATATACCCAGTAATGGGATGGCTGGGTCAAATGGTATTTCTAGTTCTAGAAGGGATCTCTTACTCTTTTGCATTCCCTCTTACCAACCCTTACAGTGTTAGAGAAAACTACATGTACCATGGCTTCTTTGTATTACTGAAAAGTGGGATTTCATATCAATCAAAAACTGTAGAGTTTGTATCATGCCTTTTAAACCTAGAAGAATCGTTATATATAAATAGTTTATCCAACTCCTTTGCAATTCCTTCTTTACAGTGGCAGACAGTAGGGCCCATAGAAGCAGAATACATTCTCAAGGTCACACAGCTAGATAGTTGAAGTCAAAGACAGCATTAGAACCAAAATCTCTGACTTTCGTCCAATGCTCAGTTTCACTCACATATACACTCACTTACTTCTTCATAGATTCTCTTACTCATGAAACAAATGGTATTACACATGAAATATGTACTAAAAATTGCTAGGGACTGGCCATGATAAAGAAGAAAAGAGTGAGACTAACATCTGCTTAGTCACTACTCTGTGCCAAGCACTGTGCCAAGGTAGAATACATAATATGGTTTCTTATTGAATCTTCATAGCCACCTTGAGAAATATTATCATTTCCATCTTGACTAGTGAAAAAACATATTGGTCGAACATAAAAATTTCAACCTCAAATTTAGTGCTCTGAATAAACACATGGTCCTTGTCCAAGAGAATCAAAACCCAAACAGACTTGAACACAAATAATTTCAATGAAGTGTCATAAGAATCCTAATGGAAATAGAACAAAGGAAGGAGTGGTAAGCTCTGCCTATGAAATAATATTAGCAAAGCTAAGAGTAGTCACATATTGTATTCTAGGAAATTAACTTATTCCAAATTCATTTGATTCTTATAATGACCCTGTGCGGAAAGTACTATTATTTCTACTTTACAAATGGAAAATAGAAAAGATTGTGTCTAGAACCACAAAGCAGATCTCTATTTTAAGGTAGATGTGTCCAATTCCAAAGCCCATGCCTTTCTCAGATGTTCTACTTTATATCCTACACATCATGGATGTTACATTAAGTTCCACCTTTCACTTTCCTGTCTTTTTTTTTTTTTTTTTTGGCACGGTTTCCTGCTAAAACTGCTCCAGTATGTGGATTGTTCTGCTTATCACCAGCACCAGCACATTATTGATAAACACCCCCCCACCCTTCTCTAGGAGTGAATCCTATAACTCCAAAAAATTTGCTTCAGGGCCCTCTGATAGTGAAAGCTGAAAACTTGCTTGCACAGTAATACGAGAGTTGTTGCTGGCAAATTTTTACCCTACCTCAATGCTTCAGTTCGTTATCATAAGATATTTTTCTTTTTCTGACAATCATATCATTATGAGATTTACTCTTAATGGAGCAGACTAAGCAGAGAGAACATTCTCTCCTTGGAGAACCACAAACAAAATAGTGTTCCAAAAGGATTATTTTGATAAAGAAATGTATTCAATCAGAAGATGAATATAGTCGATAAGCTCAGTATCTCTAAAGACTTTCCCAAACTTGCACTTTCAAAAAATAAGTAATACAAAGGACAGTGCTTTAGGAAACAAGTGGTACAGTAACTACATTCTGTTTTATTGGAGAAAGATAGGTTTCCTTCCCAGGGTAACAAGGTTCTTCACAGCTATCGGCCCCTTAGACTGATTAGATCTATTTAAAACCATCATGGCCAGGAAGCATCTGTTGGTTCCTTGGCGGAATGTGGAACTCTGGAGGCGAACAGCCCTGTGCACAGGGACAGCATTATCCTGGGCAGCTGAATGATGCCTGACTGCTGACTGCTTCCCTGTCACTTTGCTATTCTGACAATGCCATGGGGGACTCTGAGCTTGAAGAACCTCCAGAGACTGATAATGCAAGTGCTAATCGTTAGCACCTTCCAGAATTCTTGTAGTTCTCATCTCCTCCAGTTTTTCTGGCTGCTGTTTGTGTAATTGAAGAAAACAACACAGCCAAAGGGAGGCAATTTATCTTGTGAGCCTCCCTGTAGTAGAGCAAACTAGCTGGGTTGCATAACAAAAATCCAGGCAAAGAAAATAATTGATCATCAGGGGCCTATGGGTGTGGTCTCTCCTGTTATATAACAGACCTCAATTGTAAGATTTTTTTAAAAGTAGTTTTAAGAGGAATTAAATTTCTTTGGACTTTAAGGCAGTCTTGAAGAGGCGTCTTCCTGCCAGAAAAAGCAACCTCAGCAGAGAGACCTGCAGGAAGATCTGCATTTATTATTCAAAGCCCAGTAAACATTGGGGAATGACATCTTAAGCCAAATAGTCTATCTTGTGCTCACTGGCTTTGAATCATTAAGTTGAAAGGGTACTGAAAGATTATTAGTGTAACATAACCAGTTACATGCAGAGTATAAAGTATAATACAAGCGTGTTGACAGCATCTTGATATTTAGTCTGCTATTATTTTCTTGCCTATCACAATAAACATATACTCGTAATACCGCAATCCAGAGAACAAAAGTCAAGTCATTTAACTGCCAGACTAAAGGCCACCACAAATTTACAGGTCAGACATTCTTTTACAAAACTCTCTAGGTATTCAGTTAAAAATGCAAGTGATCTCAAAATCTCTTTAGGGTTTTCAGTTCATCTGGTAGCTTGCAGGGCCACTAAATATACAAAAGCAACAAGAAAAGAGTGGGCCTAACATCTACTTAGCAATATTAACATTTTCAGCATCACCTGGAAAGGTGTTAGAAAGCTCAACCTTGAGCCCAGCCCCAAACTTACTGAATCAGAATCTGCATTCTAACCTGGGCATACACAATTTACGTGGTGCTCTTAATTAATTTCCACTAGTTAGCCTTCTAAAAACTTTACTTCTGTCAGCCATGCCAGAAGTAAGAATCATAATAAAAGTATACAAGTGTACATTAAGGATAAATGGGATCTGAAATATTATAGAAAGACATCACAAAATCTTTTTGGTCAGTTTAGAGGCTTATTTTTAAGTTTTTAATATGTATATAATTTTTAGCCCTGATTTATTTTTCTCTTTCAGCTTTACCTTCTGCATGTAGACTAAATTCTGGCACCATCATCCCAACTTGCCCTTTTTTGCATGGGGGCTGAGGAGCTGATGCTCACCTGGGGTACAATGGCTTCGTGGTTATTAAGCTTCCACTGATGGAGTTACACCTCACCCAAGCCACTTATTATAAGGTCTCACTTAGCAAATCTCCCTTTATCTGATATTACTTCAATTCACCCTCTTACTAGTACTTCCTTCCCTAATGTTTTATTAGGTCTGTCCTCCCCTGGGCGAAGGTGACCCCTGAGATGAGACTATATCTGTGTGATTAAGGTAATCATGCTAGACAATTAAATGACTGGAGAGGAAGCTAATCAAAAGTGGGCTCTTAATATGGTCCTCTGAAAGCAAATATGTTATCAAGGCCATAAAAGTGCTAAATACATTATCTCTATCCCCCATATACCTTGGTCAGAGTAAAAGATTGGAAACAGTAGGAAGTCTTTAAGGCTATTTTCAACTAATTGGCACTAACAACCATATGCATTTACAATCTTAACAATATCAAATAAAAGCTCAAAGCTAAGGTACTAAAGAATTCTTATGCAGCCCTTTATGGGAGTTGCTTTCTCATGAATTGCCAAAGAAAAGGGACCAAAAAATTAATAACCCAGAAAAAAAGTTAATTATAAACAAAGTCCTACTAATACAAATTTCAGTGGGGTATTTGGGTAAAAGGAGGCAGGCTGGGCTCTAAACAATATAAGTGAAACCAATGACTATGAGAATAAGGTGGAAGAAGCGGCAGGATACTGATGATAGGATCCAAAAGATGAGAGTTCCTCCTATGAAACCAGTTTACTGATTAAAAGAAAAAAAATTCTGGCAAAATTCACAAGAAATGGCAAATTAGTGAATTGTTGCCCATGTTTTTATTTCTTTTTTTTTTTTCTGAGATGGAGTTTTGCTCTTGTTGCCCAGGCTGGAGTAGAGTGCTGCAATCTCAGCTCACTGCAACCTCTGTCTCCTGGAATCCAGCGACTCTCTTGCCTCAGCCTCCTGAGTAGCTAGGATTACAGGTGCCTACCACAATGCCCAGCTAATTTTTTGTATTTTTAGCGGAGACAAGGTTTCACCATGTTGGCCAGACTGATCTCAAACTCTTGAGCTCAGGTGATCCTCCCGCCTTGGCCTTCCCAAAGTGCTGGGATTACAGGCATGAGCCACTGCACCCAGCCCAATGTTCTTATTTGTAATGTAAGTGCATTATATCATGTATTTGTTTGTATTATTGAAACTCCCATATTGGAGAATATTCAAACCAAGATTTAAGTAAGCAAATGCATACTATGTGCTGTTCTATTGTTCAAGCCTTTAGAAGCTGCAGATGAATGGCTGCAGTTGCCAGTTAAACAAGTTGATGATTAATTTTAGCTGTGCATACACTCAGATCTATGTTTGGAGTTGGAACATTTTATGTGTTGAGCATAATATCAACTTAGAACACTCTCTTTACCAGATATTCTGAAACAAAATACAGTAACTTCTTAATCATAGCAAAATAGCTGTTTCTGTAGATTGCAGCTGATTTTCAAGAATTTATTTAACTTGTTGAAAAAAGGATTCTTACTTAAAAATAATTAAAGTTAGAGTTGTTCACTGATCTTCTCAAATCTACTATTTTTTTCTAACACTTGGCAAGAAGGACCACTTCCTGGGATATCTCTTTCACGAAGAAAGGATTCAATCCCAAGATTTCAGATTCAGATACCTCCCTGTTTGATTACAACCATCTGTTGCTTCTTGATTCCTTGCTCATGTACTTCCATTTTGACCTTCCTCTAGCTTCATTCTGAACTCTCTATCCCTGGCTTCTCTATATCCCCTCAGATAGAAGTTTCATTGGCTTCCATATGTAGACTGCAGCCCCCACCAATTATTTGCTCATTCCTAAAATCTTTCAGAGGTTTGTCCTAGTGCCAATCCTCAATCATGAGTAAGTCCTAGCACCTCCTTGACTAATTAGTGAAAAAGAGAGGTCTCCCAGTCAGTGCCCAGCACAGTAATTTCTGGTTTATTTTTTTCTTTCCTCTCAGCCAGGTCCTCAGAATTATTAGGAATTAATTCATTTTCTTTACATTGATTTCTTTCATGCTTCTGATAGAAACTATCCCTATTATTCTCCCCTTTTACCCTTGCTCTCCACAGTTTACCCCCTTTCTTCCATGATTGGTGCCAGGTCAGAGATAACCAAGTCCACACATGTTTGTGTCTTTCCACAATGTCAGACATTTATTGATGCCATTTCAAACACAAAAGCTAGGAGCTACATGGAGCTCCCAAGGAGGCAAATCCCCGCATTACTTCCAGATCACTCGGTAGTCACAGCCACAGGCATACAGGCTCAAGCCACTCTACAAGTCAGTCCATACTGCAAACCATGAAGAGGAGAGTAAATCAATATATTAATATTATAGACTAAACATTCCACCACAAACAAGGTAACATTTAACATCAAGAGAAAGCGGATAGGAAAAAGGGTTAATGATCCCAGTCCGAGGAGAGTAGTATACACAAAAGGAATCCCTTGGTCTGGGCCAGGCGTTCTGAGAGTCATGCAAGGAACGGTCTTTGATGTGGGCAGAGCCTTTGCTGATAGATATTAAGTGGCTTAACAAAAATCACAGAAGACAGTGTCAGTTAAGATGACCATTTTGAGCTGAAGTCCCTCTTTTTATGGCCCCCAGGCCCCCTGGTGGGCAGTGTTAGTGGAAGAATGTGCTTGTTTATGCCCTTATCTGCTAGGATGTAGTATTTATTTATTTATTTATTTATTTATTTATTTATTTATTTATTTTTCTTTTTTTTTTTTTGAGACAGAGTCTCGCTCTGTCGCCCAGGCCAGAGTGCAGTGGCGTGATCTTGGCTCACTGCAAGCTCCACCTCCCAGGTTCACGCCATTCTCCTGCCTCAGCCTCCCCAGGAACTGGGACTACAGGTGCCTGCCACCACGCCCAGCTAATTTTTTTTTTTTTTTTTTTTTTTTTTTTTTGTAGTAGAGACGTGGTTTCACCGTGTTAGCAAGGATGGTCTCCATCTCCTGACCTCGTGATCCGCCCACCTCAGCCTCCCAAATTGCTGGAATTACAGGCATGAGCCACCACGCCTGAAGCACAGTCTTTATTAAGCAAAGCATCTGGTCCCTGTTGGCAAAGTGCCTTAGGAAACGTAAGGTAGAATCTATTTTGGCAAAGTGCCTTAGGAAACGTAAGGTAGAATCTATTTCTAAGACGAAGTTATTTATGTCAAAGATGCTATATACACTTTCTAAGAAAACTCCATCTATTTCACATGAGCTCCTTTGACTTCTGTTCTACGTCTTTGGGAATCTTCCAGTATCCTCCTTGGTAAAGCAAATCCTTCTACTTATTTCTTGAGTCCCATGACCACAAGACTCCCTGGCACCCTCTTCTTTCCATTATTCTCATGCCTTCAAGTTGTTCCTTTGTATTGGTCTTCGTTCTTTCTTTCCAAATATGATTGAATCTCCTGCCCTAAAAGGATGATACGGTTATCTTCCTGAAGACATAAATTTATTCTCCACCTGGAACAAATTAATTTTGCATCCTGTCTCACAAATAGTTCTCTCAGAAGAATCACATACACTTACCAGTCTATATGCACTTTTCATATGTCATTACTGCAACAGAATTAAAAAAAAATTAACCTACACATCTTAATTCCTTGAACTTAATTTACATTCAGTAGCAAAGAAGGATGTGATAGAACTCACTATAACTTGGACAAATCTCTGAAACAATAGGTTGATCACAAAGTCTAACCATATGCAGCTGCTCTAAAAGGAAAATGAAGCTACAAAGGCCCAGACCAAGAAGATACAGAGAAATCCAGAGAGTAGAAGTCAAGACAAGCCTGTAAGTGCTATTTCTTTAATTTCTTAGTGCTTAATTTATAGGAGGATCAACTGAAAAGTAAGATATTTTTGATGAGTTTTTGAATATTTAATGCATAAATTTACTTAAATTTAACTAATATTTAACACATAAAATCCCATAAGTCTTTACAAAGAGTTCTGAAAAATAAAAATATTGAAATAGCCATTGGCTCATTATCAACAATGGCAGATATGGAACCAATAAGATATAATGTTATACTTATTTTTTATATTGGCATATTTTTTAACAGAGCAGATTAACTGAAGTTTGAGTAAAATAAAATTAAGCCTTTTCATTTCAAAAATGATTTCCTCAGCACATTTTTTCTAGCTTATATTGCTTATTAAAAGAAATACTAGAAAACCTAAAAAGAAATTTAAACATAAAGTAATATGTGATCTGCAAAAAGACGATTCTTTGTTCAGATGATTTCTGACCAATAATAACATATGTTAGGAAGCTTTCACATTATGTGATAACACTTTACCCTGACATATTATAAAACAACCAAATCTCTCCTATTAGGCTTCAGCAAAATGTGGATGGAGAGTATATCCATGAGCCTTCTGTTCTTGAAACAATATGTAGAGCACCCTCACACACATTTTTTCTCATCTCATTCAGTACAGAATCACTCTTCAAGAATATGCCTCAGGTAGTTATTTGCTGTTTTAAAAGACAGAGTGATGTGGGTGTTCAGGTCTTTAGTTTTCACTCCAAGGACAACCACAGAATTAGCTCTTACACAACCTTCAGATATAAAAATTTTATGAAATTATAACAGGGACCCAAAATTCTCACAGTGTCTTTTCTTACCCATCTGTCATCCTTCAGAAAGCTACTAAACATAATACCTTTCCACATTTCGGCTCTAAATATATTAATCTAAAATATTTTAAGCTCCGGGTGATCTATCCATGAAGCAAATGTGTAAACTCTTTATTTTTAAATAATCAAACTGTTAGTTTTAAATGAGAATTACTGTGAAAAGTAAATTCAGTTGAAATGATTTTTCATGTTCAGAGCACAAATATCGCAAGCACAAAGGTAAAATAAGGTGTAGAATTTGAGACTGAATGTTCAGAATTATTATCCTTGTTTTAGCAAAGTATATAGAGGCTCATTTTATTGCAAATACTCCCCATGTAAAAATATTTTTTTCTTAATTAGTGGGCTTCGAAATTCTTTAGTGGGCTTTATGTTGTTTAAAGCAGCAATACTGACTGCACATATGTTAAAATAGCTGCCAGATGATGGCTGTTCTAGGACACTCCCACAGTGTGTAGGAATAGGGTGGGAGAGAGAGAAGGACCAATGCAGAACTGATGGTCCTGATAGGAGCAGATGGTGGTGAATACTCAAAAAGCTTTTTAATACATACCATTCCTTATTCCAAGCAATTGTATGGGGACTTCCTGTATGCCAGAGTTTTCAAAGCTAATTGCCTTTGTATCTGCTGCCATAACTGTGTTTGACTAAGGGGAAAGCAGGGGGTAGGGGACAGAAGATAATATCATGTGAACTTTTTGGCACTCTACTACTTATTTTTCAACTATCAATTATGTAATTTCACAGTTCATAGATTTCAGAAGGTGCAGCAGGAATAGATCAGATGTCCTTTGGGGCTAGAGAGTGGAAAAAAAAAGAATGGAGAAGGGCAAAGATTGGAAATGGCTATGTTTAATTTTATTAGAAAACCATAAAATCAAACGCAGTATTGGGAAAAAGCTATCTTGATGAAAAATAAAGTTTATTCAAAGAAAAGGTAGGAGAGATTGAAGGTTGCTCCTGTAACTAGTTGAGAGTTTCTGAAGACATATTCTTTCTGTACATTTTCTGTGGGAAAGGTTTCGTTTCCATAGATCATCTTTAAAGCACTTTCTGTCCATCATTTTTACTTATAGAGCAACCATTCCATGCTGTTTGGGAACTACAAAGGATGGCAAACACACCATGTATTAGTGTTTTCCAGAGAAACAAACCAATTGTTTGCGTTCTGCAGACTAGAGTAAGCTGGCAGGCTGGAGACCCAGGGAAGAGTTGATTGGTGTTGCAGATTGAGTCTGAAGACCACCTGGAGGAAGACAGAATTCTCTCTTCCTTGGGGATCTCAGTAATTGTTCTCTTAAGATCTTCACCTGATTAGATAAGACCCACTCAAATTATGGAGGGTAATATGCTTTTACTCAATGTCTACAGATGTACATGTTTATCTTATTTTAAAAATACCTTTACAGCAATATCTAGACTGGTATTTAACTAAATATCTGAGTACCATAACATAAAGTTAACACATAAAATTAACCTTTACTCACCTTCCTCGATTAACTAAAAATGGAATAATCTCCAGAAAGATGCTCCTCAAGGACCCATCTCACATTCCTTTACATAAAAATGTCCGTCCACAGGGAAGATCTGTTTAGGAATATGAAACTTTGTTAACCCAGTTTCCTATGGACATTATTTAAATATTGTTTTATTTTTAAAAATAAAAATTCTGAAACATCAAAAAATTCATCAGTTTTTTTTCTCCTGATATTCAAAAATATCTTTCTCAACCCACTTCTCAGTTGTACATAATTGACTTAAAAGCAAAAAATATTGCCGTTTCATAAACTTTGGGGCTTCCAAAGACCTGGATAGCCTGAGGCTTAATGTTTTAGTTCTGGTTATCAAAAAATCATTACGATTGGTATAATGTGTGTGGAAGAGGTAGAGGGAAGAGAAGAAGAGACAGGCAGATTTCCTGGTTATTTCAATTCATGTCACTGACTGAAATGCCATTGGGTATAATACATTAAAATTTTCAATCTCTGCAAATTCTGAGTGAGAAAGAAATAAGGCTATGTACCTTTAACTAAGAATGTGTGAATAATAAATGTAAAAGTGCAATTTATTTTACGTGCTGCTTCATTGTTGACAAAATGTGTTATCTAGTTACAATTTGCTCATTTGGCCTCACCAAGCTTTTTTTAGGCCATGCAGGGCAGCTACTGTTGGATCCCTGTTTCAGAATTGGCAGCTGAGGGTGAGAGCAATCATGAAACTTGCTTTTAGCCACTTAGCTGGTAAGCGGCAAAAACAGGATTTAAATCATGTTTATCTCATTCTAAATTTAAAGAGACTTAAGGGCTGGTCAGCTGCATATTAAGCTCTAGGTATGTGCCTTGCTTTCTTCATCTATTGAATGGGAATAAAATAACACATCACAGAATTGCTTTGAAGACTACGTAAGGTAGAGCAGGAAAAGTGGTAAGTGCAGTTTTTGGCCAAAGAAAATATTCCATTCTTGCTATTCTTTGGAATTCTTAATTGGCAATAGCTACAACTTTGTCAATGAGCCACTCAACCCCAGCAGCTAAACAAGAGACTGCTTGTTCTGCACTATAGGGTTGCTCAACTGCAGGGATCCCCCATTGTGGAGAATACAATGTATTCAGTGTGAAAGGTGGCCCTTGGAGTTGAGCAGTCTCTGGTTATTATGGCAGTACAGAAGCAGCTGCCACTTTACTGTCAGTAGTCAAAATGTTATCAAATGTAAGAATAGCAGCTTGGAAAAAAAAGAACTGGGCGAGAGATGGCCAATTGAAGCAACACCCACCGGGGCTGAGTACTTTAAGGTTTCTTGTGGCTGACAGCAAGGAGAGCTGCATGAGGCCAAATTTTGTAATGTTCTCTACCCCACCACACCCTAGTGATATGATGTCTTTCATGTGCCTCATTCTTATCTCTTTGTATAATTTTAGAGATGGAAGTTTATAAGCAAAATTAAATTTTTCATTACTTAAAATTTGTGGTTAAGTACAAAAATCAAATTAAACCTTCTTTTCTAACAAATTACTTTATAATCCCATATTTTAAAATGGAGGATAAATGAATGCACTTGGTATATAACGAAACTGAGAAATGTAGAACTTAATTAGAATGTACTTAGATTTATAAATCAGTGAAAAAACCCAGAATGAAATTCAATTTTTTTTATTTATATTGTGTATTCAAAGAATCAACTGGCATCACTTACATTTCAGAAAGAACAGTAAATCAACCTAAATTTCTTTCTCAAACCCTAGATAATATAACTCTACTATTCCAAAATTAAAATAGCATCTTAGATTAAAATTTCAATATAACTGTCTTCAGAGGAATAAAATAAAATATTAAATCTAAAAGAAGTTTGTTTATACTGACAGGCTCAGTGAAAAATATCAGTTTTTCTAAGCAATAAACCTATGAAAATCAAGCTGCCAGACATAAATGCTTATGGGCAACATTGTCTGTCGTTATGGTCCTAAACAAATATTGAAGACAGCAAGACAATACATCTTGAGCATGTAAGACAATGATTTACCATTCTAATTTTTTCTGCTACCTTCTTTTAAACATATTTTTGAATAGCAAAACTTGAGGAAGACTGACTGCTGAGAAAGAGACCAGTCTTAATTTAGAACTTCCTGATTCACTGAGCAGCTAACAATTCTTGCTATTTCTCCATTTTTTTCGTGCAGCATCTTAAATGTGTTTAGCTTTGAGCATGGTTAATGGAAGGAAAAGATGTTCAGTTCTAGCTTCTGGCTTGCAATGGGTTTTTGCAGATGCTACACTGTGAGACTAAGATTTACCTGCAAGTAATCTGGGTGATAATCCCAGAAGAGTGAAGAAGTGGGACATGGAAGGGAAAGAAGCCTAGGAAGCCAAAATAGGGTGCTTAATAAGCAAGCTACTCTTGTGGAACCTAGGTGAGGTACTTTTGATAGATGGTGAGAAATATGGCCAATGCTTTTACAATGGGAGGGGAGAGAGAGCTGGGGTATTTATGCACCAATTCCTATTTGTCATTTGTGGGCTGCTGGTGGTTAGGGGTCTTGGTGGTTAACTCCCTGGCACTTCCAGTCTACCCTTCCTCAAGACCCTGTAGCCATAAAAAACCTTTGGAGTAAAACCTGAAAGTATTTGCCTTCTCAAGGCATTGAGTGCCAAGGGGATATAGTTTGAAAACTCACAGTACCTGTTATCAGTTCTTAGTCCTAGACATAGACTGGATTCATAAATATCATGTGCCCATCAATCTTTGACACTTCTGGTGCACAGTCTCTCTTCAATTTACCTAAGCGGTAGCCTGGGAAAGGAATTCTCAATTACCCTGATAGAATCATATGTCATGAGATATGCAGCACTAACATATGACTGGTAAGAGTTCAGATATCAAAATTTAAAAATTTTAAAGTTTCAAACCTTTGTTATTTTTGAAACGGAGTCTCCCTCTACCACCCAGGCTGGGGTGCAGTGGCGTGATCTCGGCTCACTGCAACCTCCGCCTCCCAGGTTCAAGCAATTATCTGCTTCAGCCTCCCGAGTAGCTGGAATTACAGGCACCCACCACCACGCTCGGCTAATTTTTGTATTTTTAGTAGAGATGGGGTTTCACCATCTTGGTCAGGCTGGTCTTGAACTCCTGACCTCATGATCCACCAACCTCGGCCTCCCAAAGTGCTGGGATTACAAGCGTGAGCCACCGCGCCCAGCCCAACCTTTTCAATGCATTAAATAAAACCAAAAGTTATTCTTTGAAAATACTTGTTTTACTCCCTGGATTGATATTAAGTGAAACAGTGAGATTAGAATGAGAGCTTGTGTTCTGAAATGCTTATAAACAAGAGTCCATTTGTCCTATACCACAAACTATAGTGTCTTTTTTATGGAAAAACATTTATTTTGTAGTTTATGTATTAAAAGTGTTGAGAGTCACTGGTATAGTGTCTTTTTTATGGAAAAACATTTATTTTGTAGTTTATGTATTAAGTGTTGAGAGTCACTGGTAAAGGCAATAATTCATCTCATATACATTCTCTCTGAGTCACATACTTGCAAAGAAACTGTCATGCAAAAATCCACAAAGAGTTTGAGGCAAATTCTATTTTTGTGAAAAAGTTTAACTTTTATGAGAAATTTAGTTTGACATCAGATCAAGTACTTTTCAGAGGGCAAGCAATTATCAAGATTGCAAATAGCATTCAAAATGGGAAAAGATTACCATGTTATTACATGCTAGTTAAACTGGTCATAGAGAAGTATAGTGCATTATAATTTTTAGCCACTTGGAAGAACAAAGAAAAAATATATACACTTAATAATATTTAATAAAATTTCTCAAAGGAGAATTTGTTGAAATTTTTAAGATGTTCCAGAGATCCTATAAGAATGGACAGCATGTATTTTGGTGTTATTTGTGAAACAGAATCAGAGTAAAAATTGTTTGAGAGACCATCATTAGGAAAGATACTAAACATTAATTCAAAACTTTGAAAATTTAGTACTATGCTAATAAAATGAACTTGCCCTTACAGAGTTTAATTCATGTGAAGAAGTCTGAATATGCATATCAAAATTTAAATGATAGTAAAAGCATCAGACAACTGTGTATAATTATTTGGAAATGACAGATTGAGACAATAAGTGCTAGAAGTTCATAGGAGGGCCTTATCACTAGTGATGACTGTGGAAAAGATGAAGATTGAACTGCACCTGAAAAATTGGTAAAGCTTGGATAAGGTCAAACAATCATGAGGTTAAGGTCAAAAGGAAAAAAAAAACAGTAAGTATAAAGGCCTTAAAAAAGTACTACTTAGAACAGCATCTCACATAATGATTATTGATATAGTAGATATTTAATAACACAATATTCAATATCTCAATATTATTTTTAAGCATTTAACAATCATCAAAAGGACAGAGCCATGAGTTTGAGATCCATTTTAGAGATATAATACATCTCTGCCTTCTGTTTAATATTTATATCAATCCTTCTCAAGCATCAGGCTGTAGGTCACCAATTAAAGGATTTAATGCTACCATATTTTGAAAAGTGTTTCTTAGAGACAGGAGGAAAAAATGTCCTTGTTAAAGACAACTGTAAATAATCTTTAACCTGCATTATTAAAGGCTTCATTTTCAAGTCTATCCAGATTGTGGTCCTCTGATAAAAATAGTGAATAAATTACATAGACAACAATAAAAACCTTGGCCCCTCTATCACTGATTTTGCCTTTTTAATAAGAAGCAATAGACAAATTTTTTTTTATCTTTAGGGACATTAGGTAGCTATCTAGACAATATAAGTTGGGCAAAATTATCTCAAAAGGAATAATACCTAAATGTCATATATTCATTATTTTCTAGATGCCACACTGATAACGTCCCTGAAATCTTCCTTGATAACCTGAGTTACCTGACACCATAAATATAGCTAAAATTTAATGGGGTTCAAAAATTAGATACCAGGAACATTTTTTATGATATGCTGTATCTATATTCCCATTTATTCTTTACAATTACCTTAGGTAATATTATTATATCTATTTTACAAATGAGGAAAAATAAACTATAAAAAGGCTAAGAAATTTTCCCAAGGTTTTAAAGGTAGTAAGATTTGAACCCAAGATGTTTGAGAAATATGCCTGAATTTAGTTTTAATAATATTAACTTTCTTTACTGTAACTAATTTTGTCTGCCTTTGTCCTGTCATTGATTAATCTGACAAAATTTTCAACAATAATCACATATATTACACCCAAAATGTATCACCTCTATCATAAAATGTTCACCATTTTTCTTCTCTTGTTCGGATTATCCTTCTGCTGCTGAGGTCTCTGGTACCTGTGAAGCCTCAAAAGGGCTCTTAACATGACGATTGCTGATACTGTTTATCATTATGATTAAATGTAAATGGGGCTGTTCTGTCTGAACATATTGTCATGCTGTAACAAATTAGTGGAATGAGTGACACTGCTATGTAGCACCCAACACTGTACGCTGGATGCCACTATATTCATGACTGGGTACTAAACCAGCTACTAGGACATGTTACTACAGGAGAAAATGATCCTAGTAATATTTGCTGCCAAGCACTTAAATCATGCTGTATTCTGTGACTAATTGAAGAAAATTCCTGTTTGTTATGTTATTCTTGTGTTGGCTCCAAAGCAATAAATTTTATGTAACTTAGTATGTCATAGGAATTTATATACAAATAGCACTTTTTTTTCACTTTATTTTAGGTTCAGGGTTACATATGCAGGTCTGTGATATAGGTAAATTATGTGTCATAGGGGTTTGGTATACAGATTATTTTATCACCCAGGTAATAAGCATAGTATCTGATAGGCAGTTTTTTTATTCTCTCCATCCTCTTACCCTCCATCCTTTATGTGTCCCTTTATGTGCCCACGTGTACTCACTGTTTAGCTCCCACTTGTAAGTGAGAACATGCAGTATCTGGTTTTCTGTTTCTACATTATTTCACTTAGGAAAATGGCCTCCAGCTCCATTCATATTACTGCAAAGGACATGATCTCATTCTTTTTAATGACTGCATAGTATTTCATGGCATATATGTACCATATTTTATTTATCCAGTCTACCATTGAGGGGCATTTAGGTTGATTCCATGTCTTTACTATTGTGAATAGTGCTGCAATGAACATACATGTGTATGTGTCTTTATGGTAGAATGATTTATCTTCCTTTGGGTATATGGCTGATAATGGAATTGCTGGGTCAAATGGTAGTTCTGTTTTATATTCTTTGAGAAATTCCCACGTTGCTTTCCACAAGAGATGAACTAATTTACATTCTCACCGGCAGTGTGTAAGTGTTCCCTTTCCTCTGCAACCTCGCCAGGATCCGTTATTTCCTGACTTTTTTTTTTTTTTTTTTTTTTTGAGAGGTAGTTTTGCTCTTGTTGTCCAGGTTGGAGTGCAGTAGCGTGATCTCGGCTCACTACAACCTCCACCTCTCTGGTTCAAGCAATTCTCTTGCCTCAGCCTCCCTAGTAGCTGGGATTACAGGCACCCGCCACCACACCCAGCTAATTTTTTGTATTTTTAGTAGAGATGGGTTTCACCACATTGGCCAGGCTGGTCTGAAACTCCTGACCTCAGGTGATCCGCCCACCTTGGCCTCCCAAAGTGCTGGGATTACAGGTGTGAGCCACCATGCTGGCCTTCCTGACTTTTTAGTAATAGCCATTCTGACTGGTGTAAGAGGTTATCACATTGTGGTTTTCATTTGCATTTCTCTAATGATTCGTAATGTTGACCATTTTTTCATAGGTTTCTTGGCCATGTGTATGTCATCTTTTGAAAAATATCAGTCCAAGGTGGGGATAGTGTGAGGAGAAATACTTAATGTAAATGACGAGTTGATGGGTGCAGCAAACCAACATGGCACATGTATACCTATGTAACAAACCTGCGCATTGCACACATGTACCCTAGAACTTAAAGTATAATAATAATAATAATAAAAGAAAATCAACACAAAACAATAAAAAGAGCTGAGATCACGGCATTGCACTTCAGCCTGGGAGACAAGAGTGAAACTCCATCTCAAAAAAAAAAAAAAGAGAAAGATCTCCAAAAAAGAAATTCCCAGGCCAAAATGGCTTTACTGGAAAATTAATAAAAACAACACAAAACAATAAAAAGAGTCTATTCATGGATTTAAGTAGGAGGGGTAAGGAGGTTGATACAAATAAAAACTCATAACAAAAAAAAAGAAAAATGTCTGTCCATGTCCTCTGCCCACTTTTCAATGAGGTTGTTTGTTTTTTCCTTGTTAATTTGTTATAGATTCTGGAAATTAGGCCTTTGTCAGATGCAAAAGTTGCAAATATTATCTCTGATTCTGTAAGTTTTCTGTTTAGTCTGGGGATAGTTTATTTTGCTGAAAAATAGCAGTCTTTATGTGGGCCTGAACCAGAATCTATGTGTACTAGGCTGGAGGGAGTCAAATTGGTGTGACTGACACAGCACTGATTTCAAAATTGCCTCCTCTTGTTCAGAGACTTGAGCACATGACTTCTCAAGCATGAGTTTTTTCCTCACAGCCTTTTCAGTTCCCTTGCACCTGAAACTCCAGTTCTGGGCATTATATAGATCCCCAAATACATTGAAAAGTGTAGAAATTAGACAAGTCCAATGGAGAAAATATGCAACTATCTTATAATTCACCTGCATTTTTGAAATAGATTTTTTCTAGGTATAAAATTCTAGGTTGATGGGCTGTTGTTTTGTTTTTCACTTTGTTTTTTCTTTCCTTGTATTAAAAACACTGCTTCACTGTCATTAGGCTTGAATTGTTTCTAATGGAATGTCTTCAATTTCACTTATCTTTGTTCCTCTGTAGGTGCATCTTTTATTCTATGGCTGTTTCTAAAAAGGTTTTATATATATATATATCATTGGTTTTAACCAATTTGATTATGATGTGTCTTGGTGTGTTTGGCATGAGACCTACTGAATTTCTTGGATCTATAGGTCTACAGTTTTCTTTAAATTTGGAAAATGCTCAGCCATTATCTCTTCAAATATTTTTTCTTCCTGCCTCACATTGAAATTCCAATTTTATGCATATCAGGTCACTTAAGATTGTCCCACAGCTGTTTTTCTCTGCAGGCTTTATTCTGAATTGATTCTATTGCTGTATCTTCAAGTTTACTAATCTTTTCTTCTGTAGGATCTCATCGCACCAGTATAATTTTTATCTCAGACACAGATTTTTTCATCTCTAGAAATTTGATGTGTGTATTTTTTGTATGTTTTCTGTCTTTCCTTAACATACTCATGCTTTCTTCTAACTCCATGAACACATGTAATATAGTTATAATAACTTTTTATATCAGTGACTACTAATTCTATAATCTGTGTCATTTATAGACCTGTTTATTTTGACTAATTTTTTTCCTCATTATGAATCATGTTTTTCAGCTTCTTTGCATGCCTGATAATTTTTGGTTGGATATCCAACATCATGGATTTGGTCTTGATAATGATTTTTTGTATTCCTTTAATTCTAGAGCCTCATTGTGAGATTCAGTTAAGTTTCCTGAAAATAGTTGGAGACTTTTGATGCTTGCTTTGAAGTTTTTTTAGGCAGGACCAGGGTCACCATTAAGGCAGAGATAATTTTCCCCATTATTGCTGCAATGCCCTTAGGACTACTCCACTCTATTCCATGTATTATGGGATTTTTTTTTTTTACTTTGGCTAGTTGAGAACATAAAATATTTCCAGTCCTGTATGAGAACTGAATATTGTTCTATTTGTTTCTTTTTCTTGGTGCCCCACCCACCTCCACACACACACACACACACACACACACACACACACACACCATCAGATGCATGCCCTAATTAATACTCATTTGAAAACTTGAGGAGAACCCTCTGCTTGTCTCCAGAATTCATACTCTATGTAGCTGTTTCTTCCCACTATTATACCCTCCAAATTCTAGCCACTTTGGCCTGCCCGAATTCTTAGCTCTGTCTTCTCAATTCAGGAAGACTAATAGGCTCTCTTTGGGGTTTGCATACCTGTACTGGCACCCGAAAAATCTCCTCAAACATTAAGGGAGAGCAATTTTAAGGACCCCTTTGTTTGTGTCCCTTTTCTCAGAGATTCTTGTCCTATGGTACTTGTTGCACAAAGTCTGTAAACCAATGTTTTCTTTTCTTTTCTTTCTTTCTTTTCTTTCTTTCTTCTTTTGTGCTCTCTCTCTTTCTTTTACTTTCTTGCTTTTTTTTCCCTTTCTGCCTTGCTTTTCTTTTTCTTCTTCAGAATTTTAGTTACTTAATTCAAACAGATTGAGCCAGCCCTTATTACTCTATCTTAAATAAAAATAGAAAGACTGCTGGAGATACACATTTCCAGAGCTCTAATTCCAGGCATCTATCTACTAGCGGTAAGCATTACATGAACATTAACTGGTAGGGTTCAAAATTGTTATAAACCTTCTTAGAAGTCAAGTTATGAGCAGGAAACAAATAATTTGATAATCTGAAGAGAACTTAATAAAGATGATTTAGTAAAGTATAAATATTGTTTATAAAAAGCAACAATAAATGGTTCAGTACCTCAAAACTAGTAGTAGCAGGGAAACTGTTGTCACTATACATCTGAAAGTTGAAGAATAAGGAGTACTTATAGAATACAGAAAATAACTGTCCCTGAGATTTCTCAATAGAGAGATGCAGCTGACCTAAACTTACCTAGCAAAAAAAAAAAAAAAACAGAATTAGGTAAATATAAATGCCCTCCTCACAATAATCCCACCTTCAAGATCTCCTGCCAGTACATTCTCTAGATACCAATCAGAAGCTTAAAGTTAAAGGAGTCATTTAATCTGTTCTAACTGTCAGTTTCCAGCTTGGAGAATAGAGACTTGAGCTGGAAGGACAAATAAAAAATATCAAGGACACTCCATCAAGATAAATTGGAATGATGATGTGTACATTATTACCAACTCTAGGAATTAATGGAGATGAGCTGAAGGGAATAGTCTGTCACATCAAATATAACTACAGTAAAAAATGGTGACCATGTTAGCAAGTCTAAATAAACAGTATCTTAATAAAGCATCCACAGCACAGATAATTATATACAAGGAAATTGGAATAGGCATTGTGTCTACTCACAGCCAACTTAACTACTTAATCTTTTGTTTTAACAGTGATTTAGTAATTAGTTGTTAATCTATCAGTCAGCAAATACTTAAATACTCAACATTATACCAAGTAGGATTATATAAAGAAGCAAAATGCATGGTTGGTGTCAAGGACTCTACAATATACTTGGGAGAATAAAATACACAAGCAACTAAATAATCAATTAATTACACATACATGGCTGCTTGCAGCGGTTCATGCCTCTAATCCCAGCACTTAGGGAGGTGGAGGCAGGGGGATCGCTTAAGCCCAGGAGATTGAGACCAGTCTGGGCAACATAGCAAGATTCTGTCTCTACAGAAAAAATATAGCCAGGCACAGAGAATCATGCCTATAATCCTAGAGCTTTTGGAGGCTGAAGTGGGCGGATCACTTGAGCCCAAGAGTTGGAGACCAGCCTGGGCAACATGGCGACATCCCATCTCTACAAAAAATACAAAAAAATTAGCTGGCCATGTTGGCACATGCCTGTAGTCCAAGCTACCCGGGAGGCTGAGTTGGGAGGGTCCCTTGAGCCTGGGAGCAGAGGTTGCAGTGAGCTGTGATTGCACCACTGCACTCCAGCCTGGGCAACAGAGAGAGACTCCATCTAAAAAATGATAATAATCAATAAATAATATATAAAATAAATATCTGTGAAGGTCAAATTAGAATCCATTAAAAGCTGAATTCTTAGTTTCATAAGCCTCTGAGGCATCTGGAAAGTTTGCTTTTTAATGATAGCTCTTCATACAGATTTCACAATGCAATGGATTAGATCAGAATTTCCAAATTGGTACTGGCTGAACATTTCTGAAATAGCCCTTCATTTTGTAGATAGTGCCTGATATTTACATTATGTCTGATTGAAAAAGAGTTCCAATAGCTTCAGATCAACTTTGTGTTAATAAAGAGAAAGTTGGCTGGGGTGGTGGCTCACACCTGTAATCCCAGCAGTTTGGGAGGCCCAGGTAGGCAGATCACTTAAGGTCAGGAGTTTGAGACCAGCCTGGCTAACACAGCAAAACCCCGTCTCTACTAAAAATACAAAATTTGCCGGATGTGGTGACGTGAGCCTGTAGTCCCAGCTACTCGGGAGGTTGAAGCAGGAGAATCACTTGAACCCAGGAGGCAGAGGTTGCAGTGAGCCAAGATCGCACCACTGCATTCCAGCCTGGGTGACAGAGCCAGACTCCTCAGTCTCAAAAAAATAAATAAATAAATAAATAAATAAATAAATAAATAAATAAATAAATAGAAAGTTAAATGACAATTTAGTAGCTCTGGGTTGATTCAGTCAAAGAACTCCTAAAGTATCTGAGAGAGAGCTTTATATCATTAATAAAAAAATCTTTATTACAGGTGATAGAGACATCTGTCTATCTATTGGAAAACAAAACAACAAGAGGAGTATCAGAAGGTAGCTCTAGGTGGAAGCTGATCATTTACATCTCGATTGATTATACAAATTACATTACCACATTTATTGAATGACTGCATGGCTCTAAATCATGTATGTGAAAATCAGGTTTTAGTCTCTGCCAAGTAAATCAGGATAGCTACTTGATAAGGGAATAACATGCTTTATCAAAACAATATTCCCATTTGGACTTTTGGGACCCTTTAATAAAAGAACAAGTTTAAAACATAATTTTTAAATTTGATTTTAGATATTTTACCTCTGAATCATTTATTAAACTAAGATCCCTTTGGCCTTACTTTTCTGATTTGTAGTATCTATTTGTTTTTATATTAGAAGCATAATAAAAACTGATAGATTTAACATCCATTGACATTTTTCTATTTGTCTTATAATTTAGACTCTAGCAGCTGTTCATACGCATGTCACTAGTTAGTATTCATTGATATTAATGTTCTGGGAATAGCCAAGTAAGAGGACATTGTTGCTGAGTTGGGACCACAGGAGCACACCACCACACCCGGCTAATTTTTTAATATTTTGTAAAGATGGGGATCTTGCTATGTTGCCCAGACTAGTCTCAAAATCCTGGCAACATAGATACGCCTGCCTTTGCCTCCCAAAATGCTGGGATTATAGGCATGAGCCACTGCACCTGGCCTTTACAGATACTTGATTTAAAAAGGGTTGAGCAATTTGTGAAATCTGTATTTTCTGTTTTGTAATATTAGAAAAAACATTTGAATTCTTCCCAGAACCAAATTATTTGGCTTTTCAGTTGCACGGAAGGTAAGTAGCTTGCTTATGGGCATAGAGAGTACCACTAAAAAATCAGGAAAAAAATTGTATTCCCTAGTGTAAGTTTATTACAGTTTGTTTTCTATTGTTTCCCTTTATTTTGGAAAATATAGAATAGATAAAACCTTCTCTTACAAATACCATCACTCAGAAATTCTAATAACAGACAAACTGAGTGACAAAGGAGGAATAAAGAACATATGCTACCATAATTCTTTAAAATTTCGCCTAAAATTTCTTAGCTAAGAAGTTATTTAAAATGAAATAAGTGAGTCTTCATCGTTTAAAAAATAAAATTAGATTCAAATATTTCCCAGAGGAAGTTGTTTCTTTACAAGATACCAGTAGTTCATTGGATCTGACTCAAGCAGATCAAAGTTTTTTTCCTAAATATTTTAATTTTTCCTGTTTATATTTTAAAATTAAAGAGCCCTTTTGTGGTGACAATCCACATTTTCTCTTCAATCTCTACTTTTTCATATAAAGTTTTATCAGAAAAAGGTAGAAAAGATGTATGAGTAGAGATAGTAAACTGAATTAAACCATATTTAATCTGTTTTCAATTACTGTAAGCCTCTTTAAAAGGTAATTATTAAATGTTAAGACCACATACATTTTTTTAAAGAATTCATTTTATTCCATTTGATAAAAAGCTTTAAGGTTCACCAGAAACTCAAAGCCGTATGTTTCATAAGATTAAAAGCAAGTGGTAAGTGTTTCTATATCACTATAAATGATCTGTTTCAGGGGAAAAAAGATGATAAAAAGGGAAAAAAAAATACTACCAGCAATGAGCTTGAGTAATGGACTCTTAGAAAAAGAAAATCAGACTCTAGTTAAAACTATAAATTGGGATGCTGCATGATTCACTTTCTGTGCAACTACATATAAATTTGAACTGCTATTTATAAGTGGGTGGTTCCATAGCGAGGCCATGTAATGTGCAAAGATATTTAAGCAATTTATCAGTGATATTAAGAAGTATTATATAATGTGCTGCAGAATACTATACATTGTACATGGTGACACTCTTAGAAATTGGACTTAGAACAATAATCTCTGTTCAAATGACACAGTGACTTTTTAAGGGAAAGGAGAGGACTGTGATAAACTCCATCAGTCTTAAGACCTCAGCCTCCACAGGGAGCTTATTATACACTGCTTTTAAAATTATGTGTATAATCTTGAAACAACAGCAGGAAAGAAAAGTAGCCAATGCTAAACAAAGTTTGAAATCTATACTAAATACATAAACAAGGCAGATACCATTTATGAAAATCAGGAGATGGTGAGTTTTCAGCATATTTCTCAATGGTGAGCCCAGCCAGCAAGAGAGCCAATCATAGCATGTCTCTTTCTTCTGAAAAACTCATCTAACTTCCCCCCTACAACCCTATTACTTGAGACATCTCTCACCTAAACAAATTTTTAAGGATTTTATGTTGCATCAGTGATTGTTTTCACAGTGGCATCTCCCCAGTGAGTTATGAAAAAATGCAGGGAGAAAGATATGCTTAGAAGGTACAAAATGCCACAGCACACATGGCCATAGAAAGAACAAGCAATTGAAGACTTTATGCAGACTTAAACTTCTTAATTCTGCAAAATTCTTAATTTTGCATAATTTTATATCATTCTTAAATTAATTTTCAAATAAACGTGGATTAAGTGGTATTCTTCCTCCCACTAAATCTACATTTATCTGAAAATTCACTAGAACTTAGGAGAGAAGCTTTTAATTTTTTTCCTCTTCTTTCTTAAGAGAGAAAGAAGATTAGGTTTATAGGCTATCTAGTATGATTGTTACACTTTTGATCCATTCCAAATAAAAAATCCAAAGGGTGTGAACTATAATTCTACATATCTAAAATCAAGACTATCGAAAGAGAAAGAAAAATGAAAGACAGCTTGGAGATCTTAGCTGTTGAGAAAAGCATGGGATCTGAGCGAAATCAACTTAATAAAAGCTGAATGCAAATATTAGGCTATCTTCTGCATAATTTTCTGTTCAGGTTAATTTTCATGTTCACGTGAAATTCTAATTTCTTAGACATTGAAATTCTTGTGAACTCAGTAGGACAGTGTTCCAGATGTCATACTTTGGTGAGTCATTTAAATGCACTAAGCTAATGATAGCATTCTCCAATGTTACCAAGAAAATAAGATATGTTACAAATTGTGGTAGAATTCCAGATGAAATTGCTGGGGGAATCTGCTATTGTATGAAATAAATTATTGAACCTTTTTGTTTTGTTTTGTTTTGAATACCAGCCCTAAGGATGTGCATGTTTTGAAGGCAGGGACCTGGAGCCAAAGCCCATCTAAATCAGTGTGGACAGTGCAACTGGGACTTTGTAATTCAACAGGTTTTACTGCCTTCCACTCACATTGCAAAGTGAATAATGTAAATACCACAGGAATGAGCTTCCTTTTCCCTGGCTTTATATTTCAGCTTAGACGACATCATTTAGTGTACCTCTCTTGTCACGCATTCATTCACTTCTTCCTAGGAGAGAAGTACATTTTCTCTTTGGTAGGGTTAGAAACACACCCTGAGAATGTTCAACTCAACCTGTTCTCTTCCCTTTATTTCTTGAGAATCTGCCAGCACATGGGAAAAATGTTCTCTGGTATGCCCCAAGCTAAAGAAAATGTTTAGCAGAAAAGGCTCTCCTTCTGCCTGGGAAACCGATGAATTATCCATCACTGCCTTGGATAAGCCTGTTTATGTGTGTGGTTCAGTAATAGAAAGCACATATAAGACAGACACCATATGTCACCAGTAAATGATTAAAATATTAAGTTCATGTGACTCAAAAATAAATAACCTACATGATAAGTGATCAGTGATTCTGGTTTACTGTTGGAAAATAATATATATTAAATATATAGTTATTTGATATATAGTGTGAGGAGTTTTATTGAACACAGAAGAACCAAACAATTTTAACACAAGGAAAAAAAAGTTTACAGGAAATTACGTATAAACTAAATCATAAAAGATAATTTAAAGTATCCTGGTTGAGCAGTTTATGTAGCATAGTACACTGGAGTGGTGGTGGAAAAGTGACAGAAGAGTCATCCCAGATATATCATGATAAAAAACATGGATACGAAATTTCAAGTACTCTTAGGAAAGCAAAAAATGGAGTTGAGAAGCAAAGTGTATGGGAGATAAAATATAAGATGATACTGTGCATGTAGGGATTGTAGCCTGGAGGAAATGAAAGCTCATCAAAGTTTTCTCATATGGGCAGGAATATAACCAAATCTATAGTTTAGATATATTATGATAAGTAGTGAGTATAAACTTAATTTTTTGAGTTAAAAGTCTGAATATAGGTGCAAATTTGGCAGTTAAAGAGACTAGAGGCAGGTAGACAAGAGGCTTTTATAATCATCCATGCATGAGATAATAAGGGTTTAGAGATGGTGGAAGATAGTAAATGAGGAAAGAGGTTAAAGAGATATTTTAAGGGAAGAATCAACACAGCATTGATTTGATTATTATATAAAGGGGAAAAATAAAAGAACAGAAAATAAATTAATTTTTGACAACAATAAAAATGATAATTATAACTACTATAATAGCTATTACTTATGTGGCATTTGTGTGTAAAGCAATGTCTTATAGGCTTTGCACAGATTAATTTGCTTACTCCTCCAAATAAGGTAGATACTATTATTAGCTCCATTTACAGATAGAGGAAGACACTGGAGCATAAAAAATGGTTATTTAACTAGTCGCTTGTCTAAAGTCAAAGACCTAGTAAGTGGCAGAGTTAAGATCTCAATACAAGTGATCTAGTTTCAGCGTCTACATTGGTAATTACAATAGTATGCTAGGCTTTAGTTAGTATTCCACTTGAATAATCTCTCATAGCATTTCAATCAGCACAATTCTAAACATCCTAAAATATGTGAAAAATCAATACAACTCCTAGTCATAAATACCATAAAATATAATGGAAAAAAATTTGGTCATAATAGCAATAAACTTGAAAGATGTAAGAAGAAACCTAATTTTTTTAAAATGTAAAAAAAAAAAAGGAAAATTATAAAGTTATTATAGTACTTTGGACTGCGATAACAAAATACCATAAGCTGGGTGGCTTAAATCAACAAAAATTTATTTCTCACAGTTCTGGAGGTTGAAAATCTGAGATCAGAGTGAAAGCAGGATCACGTTCTTGATTAGGGCCTCCTTCCTGATTTTATTCCTGGTGTAAAGACAGCCATGTTCTTGCTGTGTCTTCCTACAGTGGAAAGAGAGCTAGGTGGCTCTCTGGCCTCTTCTTATAATGGCATGAATCCCATTCATAAGGGCCAAACCTTCATGACATAATTATCTCCCAAAGGCTTTACCTCAAATAGTATCACAATGGAATTAGGATTTTAACATATGAATTGTGGCAATACACAAATACTCAGTCCTTCTCAAAAATGTTAATGGAAAATATAAAAGAGAAATGGAATAAGTGGAGATACACTGTTTATAAACAAAATATAATAAATTTAGTATTAAAATGCCATTTTTCTCAAAATGAATCTATAAATTCCATTCAATGTCAATGAAAATCCTAGAAGAATTTTCCTTACTGACTTCAAAAGACTGATACTAAAATGTATATAGTTAGGTAGTAACATTAGGAATACCAAAAAAATTCTAAAAAGTAAACTAAGGTGGGGAAATTACCCTACCAACCACCAAGGCTTATTATAAAACCATGAAATTAAAAGAGTGATGGTGAACTTTAAGTAAGCCCAAGAATATTCTACATTTAATAACAGAAACATTTAAGATAATGGTGAGGGAGGGGAATAGAGAAAGTTTAAGAATTATAGATAGTATTTATACTGAGTAAAGTTTACACCAAATAATTTTAATTTGGCTGGGCGTGGTGGCTCACACCTGTAATCCCAGCATTTTGGGAGGCCGAGGCAGGTGGATCACCTGAGGTCGGGAGTTCGAGACCAGCCTGAACAACATGGAGAAACGCCATCTCTCCTAGAAATACAAAATTAGCCAGGCGTGGTGGCACATGCCTGTAATCCCAGCTACTTGGGAGGCTGAGGCAGGAGGATCGCTTGAACCTGGGAGGCGGAGGTTGCAGTGAGCTGAGATTGCACCATTGCACTACAGCCTGGGCAACAAGAGTGAAACTCTGTCTCAAAAAAAATAAAATAAAATAAATAAAATAATAATTTTAATTCTTTATTATTTGACATGTGTATAGCCTTACAATAACACATTATATGTGCATATTTCATAATAAACTTTAACCTAATCAAAAATATTAAAAATAGAAAAATCCTGTATTGACACAGAAAGTGACAAATAGATCAACAGAAAAAAAATAAATCATATAATATGGAAATCTGAAACATAGTATGATATTCAAATTATTTGATAAAGGCTTTTGATACAATTGGGGAACCACATAGAAAATAATATATTAAATGACTGAATATACAACAGACAAAATAAATTTCTGAGAAAAGACTTCAAAACTATTTAAATATAAGATATATCTGTATAATATTTTGTTCAGGTAGTATTTCTTAAACAAGATACAAAAAGCATTACCATAGGATAAATTATTATTAAATTTGATTAACTCAATTTTGTTTCGTTTAGAGAAAAATGATAAACAAATAAAAGGACAATAATAAAATTGAAACAATCTAAGAGAATTGTAGAAGAAAATAACTACAAAACAACAAGGAATTGTTATCCAGAAATTTTTTTTAAAACATACACACAAAAATAACAAAATGTCATAGACACTATTGCCTGAAAGAAACAGACTGGTTAACTCAGAAAAAAAAAAAAAATAGCTAAAAATAGCAGAGAAACAAACAATGGGTAAACAAAGAAATTTTTAAAAAATAAAAAGAGTAAAAATATCTGAATAAAAATGACAATGAACACACAATGTCCCCAAATTTACGATATAGAAATATGTGCCTACATTAAAAAAGGAGAAAGATCCAAAATAAACAACCTAATATTATATCTCAAAGAACCAGGAAAACAAGATCCAACTAACCCCAAAGTTAATGAAAGGAAAGAAATATTAAAGATTTCAGAGCAGAAATAGGTAAAATAGAAAGCAGGAAAACAATAGAAAAATCAACAAACTAAGAGTTTATTTTTCCAAAAGGTCAACACAATTATAGCTAGACCAAAAAAAAAAAAAACACACCAGAAGATTCAAATATAATAAAAAAAAAAAGAGACATTGAAACTGATACCACAGAAATGGAAAGGATCATAACAGATGATTATAAACCAGTATGCATGAATAAACTGGACAATCTAGAAGAAATGAACAAATTCCTAAACACATACAACCTACTGAGAATGAATCCCAGAGAAATTAAAATCTGAACTGACTAATAATGAGTGGTAAGGAGGTTGAATCAGAAATAAAATGTCTCCCACCAAAGAAAAGCCAAGAACCAGATGGCTTCACTGATGAATTCTACCAAACATTTAAAGAAGAAATATTATCTTTTTTTCCCAAACTCTTCAAAAAATTAAAAAAAGATGAAGTACTTCCAAACATATCATACAAGGCCAGCATTACCTTAATAGCAAAGCAAGGCAAGGACACTAAATGAAAAGAAAATTACAAGTCAATATCCCTCACGAACATAAATGCAAAAATCCTCAGCAAAAAAAGAAAACAAATTTAACAGTACATTTAAAAGGATCATTCACCATGATCAACTGAAATGTATCCCAGGGATATAAGAATTGTTCAGCATATGCAAATCTATAAATATGGTACACATAATTAAAAGAATGAAGGGCAAAAAAAAACATGTAATCGTCTCAATAGATGCAGAAAAAGCATTTGACAAAATTCAGTATTTTTTCATGATAAAAACTCTCAACAAATGATGTATAGAATGAATGTACCTCAATACCATAAAGACCAAGTATGGCAAAACCACAGCTAACATTATACTCATCAGTAAAAAGTTGAAAGCTTTTCTTCTAAGATCCAGAACAAGACAAAGGTACACATTCTCACCATTCTATTTGGCACAGTACGAGAAGTCCTAGCCAGAGCAATTATGCAGGAGAAAGAAATAAAGCATCCAAATTGGAAAGAAAGAAGATAATTCAACCTTAGTTGTGATGACATGATTTTATACATAGAAAACCCTAAAAACAGTTTCAAAAAGCTGTTAGAAACAATAAACAAAATCAGTAAAATTACAGGATGCCAATTCAACATGCAAAAATCAGTAGCATTTCTATACACTAAAAACACAGTATTCGAAAATGAAATCAAGAAAGCAATTCCACTTATAATAGCTACAAAAGATAATCAAATACTTAGGAATAAATTTCATCAAAGAGAATAAAGACCTGTACACTGAAAACTACAAAGCATTGATGAAAGAAATTGGGGGAGACACAAATAAATGAAAAGATATCCCATGTTTATTGATTGGAAGAATTAATATTGTGAAAATGTTCATATTACTTGCTGTGGTTTGAATGACACATTCAGCATACATTGAAAAATTAATGCCAAATGCAATAGTGTAGACAAGTGGAGCCTAATGAGAAGAGATTAGCCATGAGGGCTCTTGTGAATGGATTAATGTCATTATATTAGGAATGGGTTTAGTATTGCAAGAGTGGATTTTTTATAAAAGAATGAGTTCAGCCCCCTTTGGCTCTCTCCTCCTCTCTTTCCCCTTTCACCTTCTGCCATGGGATGACACTGTAAGAAGGCCTTCACCAGATGCTAGCTCCTCAATCTGGAACTTCCCAGCTTCCAGAACTGTGAGGAAATAAACTTCTGATATTGATAAATTACCCTGTTGGTAGTATTCTGTTATAGCAGCATAAAATGAACTAAGACACTATCCAAAGCAATCTACAAACTCAATGCAGCTGCTATCAAAATTCAAGTGACATTTTTCACTGAAATAGAAAACAATGCTAAAATTCATATGGAATCACAAAAGACCCTGAATAGCCAAAGCAATCTTCAGTAAAAAGAACAAAGCTGGAAGCATCATACTACCTTGCTTCAAAATATACTACAAAAATATAGTAAACCAAACAGCATGATACTGGTATAAAAAATGAACACATAGAACAGTGGGACAAAATAGAGAGCCCAGAAATAAGTTCACATATTTACAGTCAATTGATTTTTTTTTTTTTTTATGGAGAGAGGATCTCGCTTTGTTGCCCAGGCTAGAATGCAGTGGCACAATCACAGCTCTCTCTACCTCCTGGGCTCAAGCAATCTTCCAATCTCAGCCTCTTGAGTACCTGGGACCACAGGTGTACCTCCATACCCAGATAATAATTTTTATTTTTTTGTGCAGGTGAGATCTCTCTACGTTGCCCAGGCTGATCTTGAACATCTAGGCCCAGGTGATGAATTGATTTTTTATGAAAGTGCCAAGAACACATACTGAGGAAAGCACAGTCCCCTTGATAAATGGTGTTGAGACAACTAAATATCCACATGCCAAAGAAGGAAATTAGACCCTTATCTTGTACTATATTAAAAAATCAAAATGTAAGACCTGAAATTGTAAGAATATTGGAAGAAAACATAGTGTAAAATATTCATGATGTGGGCTAGGCAATGATTTTTTGGATATAAATCCAAAAACAAAAACAAAAGGAACAATAGACAAATGGGAATTCATCAAACTACGAAGTTTCTACACAGCCAAGGAAACAATCAACAAAGTGAAGACACAACCCACAGAATGGGAGAACATATTTGCAAACCAAAAATCTGAAAAAGGGTTAATATCCAAAAGATACAATGAACTCAAGCCAATAGAAGAAGACAAATTAATTATATTAAAAATCAGTGGGCTGGGCATGATAGCTCATGTCTGTAAGCCCAACATTTTGGGAGGCTGCAGCAGGAGGATCACTTGAGCCCAGGAATTCGGGACTGGACTGGATAACATAGAGAAACCTCATCTGTATATAAATTTTTAAAATAAAATAAGTAAATAAATAGGCTGGTATCTGACTAGATATTTCCCAAACAAGACATAGAAATGGCCAACATATTTAAGAAAAAATACTTAAAATAACTAATCTTAAGAGAAATGTAAATTAAACCACCATGAGATATTACTTCATATCTGTTAGCATGGCTATTATCAAAAAGACAGAAGATAATAAGTGTTAGCCAGAATATGGGGAAAAACGAATCTTTGTACACTGTTGATAGAAATGTACGCTGGTGCAGCCATTATGAAAAACAGTATAGAGTTTCCTCAAAAATTAAAAATAAAACTATGATATGATTCATTTATTCCTCACTGGGTATATAAACTAAATTAAATCTGTATATCAAAGAAATATCTGTACTCCCATGTTCATTGCAGCATTATTCATGATAGCCAAAATATGGAAAAAAATTTAGGCTCCATCAACAGATGAATAGATTTCTAAAAACCTTGGCATATATGCACAATAGAATACTATTCAGACTTAAAAAAGAAAGGAATCTTGTCCCCTGTGACAACATGGATGACCCTTGAAAACATTGTGTTGAATAAAATAAGCCAGGCCCCAAAAGATAAATGAAATGATTTCATTTGTATGAGAAATCTAAACAAGCTGGATTCATAGAAGTAGAGAGTAGAATAGTCTGGAGGATGGGGGATTAGAGAGATGTTAAAGTATATAAAATTTTAGTTACATCGGAATAAATTGACAATATCTATTGCACAACATGGTGACTATAGTTAATAGCAATGTATTGTATCCTTGTCAGTTGCTCAGAGAGTAGATTTTGTGTTCTCAACACACAAAAAAAATAAGTGTGTGAGATAATGTATATGTTAATTAGCTCAATTTAGCCATTCCATAATGTATTCATATTGCAAAAAACATATTGTACACAACAAATCAGTGCAATTTTTGTTAATTATAAAAAATAACATGAGAAAGTATGCCATAAATATCTATAACTCAAAAACTTCTTATAATACTAGCCCCTTTATCATCCCTCTAGATCAAGCCACCCTTTTTTTTTGCAAAATAATAGCAGTAGCCTTTTAATTCATAAACCAGCTTCTATTTTTCTCTTCTTCAGTCTACTCTTAAAACAACATTTAATCTCATTAAATCAGGAATTAGATTACAACAAATCTGAAATAAGTGTTTGTTTCATCTCAATTTGAGCCAATTCCATAGAATATAGGGTAATTATAAATCCAAGTTTGCCCACAAGACTACTGATTTACGTTTTTTGTCCTAATCCATATATTAAAAATGCTGCTTTTCATTATATCAAATGTTCTATTAGATGATAAATGTATAGTTATTTGGTGAAATCCAATTACTGCTAATTTTCTCATCTTGTACCACTTTCTACCCCAACTATTCAGCATCAGCACCATTCCCTACATGTCCTTGCCTCAAAGATTTTTACTTGCATCTTCCATTTTCTCTGCCTGGAACCCAAACATCTCTTGTCTGCATCTCTCATTTCCTCAAGATTTTTGATAAAATTTCAACTTATAAGTGAAAGGTTGTTTTATTTATAGTAACACTCTTTTCCTCACACTTCCACGCAATACACTCCATTCTCTAACTCTGCTTTATTTTTCCATGACAGATTATACTACCTTTTGACATGTAAAATGTTTGCTTATTTTTTCTCTTTACTCATCCTACTAGAATAGAATTACATTGAGAGCAGGAATTTGTACTTGTTCATTCAACTCCATTGGTGCCTGTCACATAATACATACTCAATAGAAATATGTTTAATAAAAAAAAAGGCCAACTATATCGAAGAATATTATGCATGAATGATAAAATTTATGTAAAATATTAATACATAAGGAAATGGTACTACATGCTAGTCCACACACAGCAAACTTTTGATGATAGTTTTTGAGGAAGAAGAAAAAAAGAAAAATATGACTGGGAGTGGTGTCAATGGTCATTTCAGCATTATCTGAAATATCTTTATTAACCTTTATTAACAAAAGATAGGGTAAGTATGAGCAGCTTGACAGTTTTAAATTCACGACAGTGGAAAAACTAATATTTTCTTATCATTCTTTGCACTTTTCTTTATTTTGATTTCTTGAAGATGTTATATGTATCAATTATTATCCCTCTTATAAATTGAAAAGCAGAGAATTGTGATTTTTTTCTCATTCACTAGTTAATCATTTATAAAGTCTTTGAGAAGATGCAAACTGATTTGAAGAAAATGTTTATTAAACCAACATACCCTTTTGGATATTGCATTTAGTGAAAAATATTGAAGCTAAAATCATAAACTAGAAGTAAACAAATAAGGTTCCAGGGTGTTATTTTTCTCTGTAATTGAAAAAGTACCTTTTATTTTAAATTACATTAGCAATTCTTACTAAATTGCTCTCCTAGTGTTTGCTCCTGGCATAGCTCTTGCTAGCTCCTTACTTTCACCCATGTCTCTCTAACCCTTACTCAATAAGCTCCTTCTGTCATTTTCCTGAGCATGAAAGGAAAATCATATATTACTGAAGTCATTTAACTTCCAAGTCTTTTCCTCATGAAGGCAATAAACGTAAGACTCTGTTCCACCAATCTCACAGAACTGACATTCTGTTTGTGAAAAGAATTTTATGAATTCTAAATCATTATATGCTCATTAGGTCTCATCATTATTCTCTAGGAAAATAACAATTCTGCTAAAATTTAGTGATAATTTTTATAGGGGAGAAGATGTGAAAGAAAATTAAAGATAAATACAGGGGTTAATAGAGGTAGATTTTTCCATTGACCCTAAATTAGTAATTAAACTAGTAACAGGAAATCCTCAGCGGAAGCTCCTCTACAGGTCTTTGACACAAACTTCTCTTTTATTCGCTTTCTTTGGTAGTAATGTAAGATAAATATGTTTCAGGTGACTCACAGAAAGTACTATATTTTAAATGTTTGTTTTTAATAACAATAATAAGGTATTTAAAAGGTTCCATTGATGGGAACTTTACTTGAAAACAAATAATATAGAACCACAACTGGATACCATGTCATTGCCAATAAAAATAATTTCAGCAAACCTAGAAATGGTTTGGGATTTTTATCTTTTTATCTTTCTGATACTGAAGAATCTATAAAAATCAATCAAGCAACTCAAAAGAAATGAAAACTTTAAAGAAATTGTTTTTCAAGTATACACAGAAATAATGAAAGATACCAAATTACATAGAAACATGTACATTGTAATCAGAAATACTTCAATTGGAGGCTACATTTTCAACAAATTACATTCTATGAAGAAAGGCTAAAATTATCACTAGATATGGTGATAATATCATTCTATCCAAAAAATAAAGCAGAATCTACTCTTTCAATGATTATTTTTTCTTTTTATGATTTAGTTTCTTTCTAGAATAAAAAAATATTTTGAATAGAATGAAGCAGTGATATGAAACAGAATGATAGCACACTAGCAGAAAACTGATTTTTATGCATGAAGATAGCCTGTGTAGTATTTTTGTCTTCATTTACAATCAATTCCACTCAAATAGCTGCATAGAATGACTACCATGTGCAAGACACATCATTACAAATAAAAGATTTCCTTGTCTTCAACTTTAAGATATCTTGTGACTAAAACTTTCCACAATTAGAATCTATGTTTTCAACATTCAATAATTAGCTATAGTTATTCCAAAACTATTTCTAGAACTTGCCATATTGAAGCTTTAAAGTTCAAATGAAGTATTTGAACTTCATTGTCACCCAGTTTATGTCTTCAGTATATGGAGTGATTTATCATTTGATATTAGTGAAAAATAATTTTTTTGTTTTTATCATCTGGTTTATAAGGCATCTACTACAAGGGGCTTGAAGTGCAGAGATTTGTCAGTTTGTCATTACATCCAAGGTGCCTATCATAGCACCAGATAGTAAGAAGGCACACTGAATTAATAAATGAACAAAGTACATTCCAAACTTTTATTGAAGTATTTAAAATACTTGATAAACGGAAAGATGATCCTTTCCAAGTTAATTTAGAGATTCCATCTAATTGTAATCTACTTTCCCATGAGGTCTTTCTAGAATTTTCCAAAGATTCTAAAAGTTATACAAAAAGAAAATAATAATTGCCAAGACATTTTAAAAAAGGATGACTAGCGGCAGGGTGAGGTGGCTCATGCCTGTAATCCCAGCACTTTGGGAGGCTGAGGCGGGTGGATCACCTGAGGTCAGGAGTTTGAGACCAGCCTGGCCAACATGGTGAACCCAGTCTCTACTAAAAATATAAAAAAAATAGCCAGGCTTGGTGGTGCACTCCCGTAATCCCAGCTACTCAGGAGGCTGAGGCACGAGAATCGCTTGAACCCAGGAGGTGGAGATTGAAGTAAGCCAAGACTGTGCCATTGCACTCCAGCTTGGGCTACAGAGCAAGACTCTGTCTCAAAACAACAACAACAAAAACAACAACAACAGAAACAACAACAGAAACAACAACAACAAAAACAACAAAAACAAACAAACAAAAAGCTTGACTAATGGTGAGATATTTCTTCTATATTAAAAGCTAAATTTACAATTATCCAAAAAAGTTATGGTAGATATATATTAATAGCATAGAATAGTTAGCCTGATATATTAGAAATTATATATACAATAAAAGTAGCATCACTAGAGTAAAAAAAAAGTTTGACTTTTAAATATATTGTACTGAAACAATTGGTTAACCACTTAGAAAAGATTAAATACTTTCTTCATACTTTATCTCAAAATATATTTCAAGTGGACTAAACAAATGCAACAAATAGAAACATTAAAACCTGCAGGCAAGTATTTGTTGAACTCTCAGAATGGACAGTAACTTTCGATTAATTTGTAAAGGAAGAAGGTCACCTGGTTTTAGTACATACAATTTTAACACATCTATATGTCAAACTAATTAATAAAATTAAAAACAAATGACAAAGGTGAGGAAGACAACTTTAACAACTATGAAAGTTAACATATCCTTAATAAATATTGAGATATAAAATTAATTTTAAAAATAACTTTTCCACACCCAGTTAATCTACAATGACCATGATCAAATCACTCTCAAATGGGAAGTAAGTGATGAAGGCAACTATAAAAAATATCCAACATCACTAATGAAGAAATGTAAAATAAAATACCAGATATGATTTTCCACCTACTAAGTTTATAAACTTTTTTGCAAAATGATAATATTTCATTGTTCTGTGAAATCAGTGATACAAGCATTCTTATATCAGGCTAATGAAGAGACCACATTAACCTTACCCTTTGAGAAAGCACTTTTAACAGGGATAAGAGGATAGCGACATTTCCTTACATATGTGTAGAGCTTATGAAACCATGACATAATGTCATAGCTAAATATGCGCTGTCTGCAATCACAAAATAATTTCAAAACAAAACAATTTCTTCTATTTCTATAACATTTTTATGGAGTTATCTTAGACCAGATTAATATTTCTTTATTTTTTTATTTTATTTATTTATTTTTTTTAGACAGAGTCTTGCTCGTTCACCCAGGCTGGAGTGCAGAGTGCAGTGGCACAATCTCAGCTCACTGCAAGCTCCGCCTCTTGGATTCACGCCATTCTCCTGCCTCAGCCTCTGGAGTAGCTGGGACTACAAGTGCCCACCACCACGCCCGCCTAATTTTTTTGTATTTTTTTATTAGAGACAGGGTTTCACCGTGTTAGCCAGGATGGTAGATTAATATTTCTTAAAATTCTCCTTTTTTTCCC
Source organism: Homo sapiens (assembly GCF_000001405.40). NCBI lineage: Eukaryota > Metazoa > Chordata > Mammalia > Primates > Hominidae > Homo > Homo sapiens. The sequence goes on from NC_000004.12 coordinate 66,762,850, forward strand.
ACTATCTGATCCCTTACTCTGAAAGGGAAAGCTGCCCTCTCCAACACATCATGAAAGAACTCACTATACCAGCCCAGCAGTATGTCCCTCTACACTTTCTTGCTGCCACCCTCCAATTCTGCACCAACAAAATAAAAAAAAATTAATGGATCTGGCAAATCAGGACATTAGGGAGAAGAGAGTGAGTCAAGAGAATTAAAGGAATAGAACTAGAATTTTCTTTCATTAGCTGGGTGGATGAAAGACTTAGGAACACTCCTAAATTAATACTTTGTTCTATCACACAAAGGAAGCAATCAATATACTCCACAAGATTCTTGTACCAAGAAGGATCCACATGCAGCATTTAAAGTCTGTCACATGCATCCGTGTGAAGAGACCACCAAAAAGGCCTTGTGTGAGCAATAAAGCTGTTTATTTCACCTGAGTGCAGATGGGCTGAGTCCAAAATGAGAGTCAGTGAAGGGAGATAGGGGTGGAGCTGTTTTATAGGATTTGAGTAGGTAGTAGAAAATTACCATCAAAGGGGGTTGTTCTCTGGCAGACAGGGGTGGGGATCACAAGGTACTCAATGGGGGAGCTTCTGAGCCAGGAGAAGAAATTTCACAAGATAATGTCATCAGTAAAGGCAGAAATTGGCCATTTTCACTTCTTTTGTGATTCTTCGCTTGCTTCAGGCCATCTGGATGTATATGTGCAGGTCACAGGGGATATGATGGCTTAGCTTGGGCTCAGAGGCCTGACAACGTCTATGTCTATCAGTAGGTTAGAGATTAAGTAAATTATAAATCGTTCGCACAGAAAATATTATACAGTGATTAAAATGTATGTATTTGAAGAATAATTAATTACATGAGAAAAATCTAAGTAGAAAAAAACCAGAATAGAAAATGTATTTCCAATATGACAATATTTTTACAGGGAGAAAACTAAAAGAGGTACACCAAAAATGTTGCTATCATATTCTAGGCTTTTTCTTCTGATTCCTTGTACATTATGTATTTTCTAATGCTCTGGAAGTAAATGTATTTTATTTTAATATTTTAAAGGTAAAATGAAAATATAGATAAATGATACTTTTGAATACTGGGTTTTATTTTCATCTCTGTATCCATACTGATATAAAAAAGGTGGCTAACTGCCAGTCAATCCAAGTTACGAAGAAGTTAAAGCAGTAAATTTTCTTCCATTACATACAGTTAAGCATTAACATTCCTGTTGTTTTAATCTCTGCTATTAGTACAGCAGTGAGAGGAAACAGCATAATCATGAATCTAAACTCAGGATGATGACTGACAATCTGTTGGTTAAAGAAACTAATTTACCTAGCATAAGTCTAAAGAGGGACCAAAGAACTAATTTATCTTTTGATATGGTCCCAATTCTAAATGAGAGGAGAAATGGCAATGCATTAGTCTATGTCTCTGATGTCACAGTTCTAATTTAACATATTACTGAGAAGATAAATCTTTGAATACGTCTTGCATAAATAACATATTGTTGTAAGTCCGTTAATAAACCATGAACAATTAGCCTGGGAACCTCTAGCACTCTTTTTTTTTTCATTTTATTCTTACAAAATATTAAGTATATGCAAATATTTAAAGAGTATATTTAGGGAATAAAAAAATAGTGATGCATGGATGCTGACTTTTAAAGTCTCTGTGTAACCTTCTCTATTTAGCTGTAAATACGTTCCTAAATTTTGTATTAATTATGTGCTTACTTTTCTTTCTTGATTTACTAGATGTTTGTATCTCTAAAATTATTCTGTTTAGTTCTGAATGTTTTGAACTTTATATAATGAAATGTACTGTATTTATCTTTCTGTAATTTTTTCCTTGACTTGATTTTATGCCCCAGAGAGACTTCTTTGTTCACATATTGATAAAATAAATACAATATTTCTTTTCATTGGGTAGATATTATTCCATTTTAAGAACACAGCACATGTAATGTATCTTTTTTATTATTATCTTTCCTATTATTGATGGATTTGATTGGCGGATCTGAGTAATTTACTTTTTTTCTCTTTTTTTTTTTTTTTTTGCTGTGACAAGCAATGTTGCTTTGACATCCTTTACATGCTTCATGGCACCCAGGAAAAATAGTTCCTAGCATATATATCTAGCATATATATCTAGAAGTGGAATTGTTGGGTCATAGGATAATTGATGTTTTCTAGAGGATTTTTACCTAAAAAATACTTGATTTATTTTATACATTGCTAGACTTTATTTGCTGACATTTTTAAATTTTGATTCTAGGTTCATATCTCAAGTTAGCCTGTATGTTATCTATCTGTAATGTTCTTCTTAGGTTTTGATATCAATATTATATTAATATTACAAAAATGATCAGAAAAGTAATTGCTGTTTTTTTCCTTAAAAAAGCATTAAGGTGATCATTATCTGTTCTTGAATATTTTGTGGATATATTTAATTAAACTACATGGACCTAAGGAGATTATAGTTTTAAAGTTTTAAACTAATAATTTACATTTTAACTGTCATAGGAATATTTTACCACCCAGGTACAATATTTAATTGTAATAGGATTAATTTTTATAGAATTATATTATATAATTACTATTTATTATTATAGATTATTATAGTCTTTATGTTTCTTGAACACTTTAAGTTTTAAAATTATTGGAATTGATTTTTAATGGCAATGTATTTTTGTAAACTATTGTATCTCTAGTTACTTTAACATTTCATTCTTAACGTTTTTGTGCTTCTTTGCTTTTCCCATGATCAAACTTTTCAGAGAATCACCAATACAGTAAAGGGTACCAATCATTTTTTGGTACCCTTTACTGTATTTATGTTTTATGTCTTACTATATTTTTGATTAGTTTTCTTCCTTCTTCTATAACTTTTGGATTTACAACCAATATGGTTTGGCTGTGTCCCCATCCAAATCTCATCTTCAATTCCCACATGTTGTGGGAGGGACTTGATGGGAGATAACTGAATCTTAGGGGCAGCCTTTCCTGTGCTGTTCTTCTGATAGTAAGTCTCATGAGATTTGATGGTTTTAAAAATGGGAGTTTCCATGCACAAGCTACCTCTCTGCCTGCTGCCATCCACGTAAGATGTGACTTCCTCCTCCTTGCCTTCTGCCATGATTGTGAGGCTTCCCCAGCCACGTGGAACTGTAAGTCCAATTAAACCTCTTTCTTTTGTGAATTGCCTAGTCTCAGGTATGTCTTTATCAGCGGCATGAAAACAGACTACTACAGTAAATCGGTACCAGTGGAGCGAGGCACTGCCGGAAAGATACCCAAAAATGTGGAAGTGACTTTGGAACTAAGTAAAAGGCAGAGGTTTGAACAGTTTGGAGGGCTCAGAAGACAGGAAAATGTGGGAAAGTTTGGAACTTCCTAGAGACTTGTTGAATAGCTACCAAAAGCCTGATAATGATATGGACAATAAAGTCCAGGCTGAGGTGGTCTCAGATAGGGATGAGGAATTGTTGGGAACCGGAGCAAAGGTGACTCTTGTTATGTTTTAGCAAAGAGACTGGCAGCATCTTGCCCCTGCCCTAGAGATCTGTGGAAGTTTGAACTTGAAGAAAATGATTTAGGGTATCTGGAGGAAGAAATTTCTAAGCAACAAAGTATTCAAGGGGTGACTTCGGTGCTATTAAAGGCATTCAGTTTTATAAGAAAAGTAGAGCATAAAAAGTCAGAAAACTTGCACCCTGACAATGTGATAGGGAATAAAAAAACCATTTTCTGAGGAGAAATTCAAGCTGGCTGCAGATATTTGCCTAAGTAATGAGGAGCCAAATGTTAATCCCAAATACAATGAGGAAAATGTCTCCAGGGCATTTCAGAGGTCTTCACAGCAGGCCCTCTCACTACAGGCCCAGCGGCCTAGGAGAAAATGGTTTTGTGGGCTGGGCCCAAGGTCTCCCTGCTGTGTGCAGTCTAGGGATTTGGGGCCCTGTGTCCCAGCCACTGTTGATTCAGAGGGTAGAAGTCTCAAGCCTTGGCAGCTTCCATGTGCTGTTGAGCCTGCAGATGCACAGAAGTCAAGAATTGAGGTTTGGGAACCTCTGCCTAGATTTCAGAAGATGTGTGGAAATGCCTGGATGCCTAGGCAAAGTTTGCTGCAGGGGTGGGACCCTCATGGAGAACCACTGCTAGGGCAGTGCAGAAGGGAAACGTGGGGTCAGAGCCCCACACAGAGTCCCTACTGGGGCACTGCCTAGTGGAGCTGTGAGAAGAGGGCCACCATCCTCCAGACCCCAGAATGGTAGACAGCTTGCACCATACACCTGGAAAAGCCAGACACTCAATGCCAGCCAGTGAAAGCAGCCAGGAAGAGGGCTATACCCTGCCAAGTCACGGGGTGGAGCTGCCCAGTGGACCATGGAAACCCACCTCTTGCGTCAGTGTGAGATGTGAGACATGGAGTCAAAGGTGATCATTTTGGAGCTTTAAGAATTTGACTGCCCTTCTGGATTTGGACTTGCATGGGGCCTGCGGCCCCTTTGTTTTGGCCAATGTCTTCCATTTGGAATGGCTGTATTTATCCATTGCCTGTACCTCCAGTGAATCTAGGAAGTAACTAACTTGCTTTTGATCTTACAAGCTCATAGGTGGAAGGGACTTGCCTTTTCTCTGATGAGACTTTGGACTGTAGACTTTTGAGTTAATGCTGAAATGAGTTAAGACTTTGGGAGACAGTTGGGAAGGCATGATTTTTTGAAATGTGAAGACATAAATTTAGGAGGGGCTGGGGTGGAATGATATGGTTTGGCTCTGTCCTCACCCACATGTCATCTTGAATTCCCCCACGTGTTGTGGGAGGGACCAAGAGGGAGGTAACTGAATCACTGGGGCAGATCTTTCCCATGCTGTTCTGGTGGTTGTAAGTCTCACAAGATCTGATGGTTATTATAAGGGGGAGTTTTCCTGCACAAGCTCTCTCTTTGCCTGCCATCTATATAAGATGTGACTTGCTCCTCCTTGCCTCCTGCCATGATTGTGAGGCTTCCCCAGCCGCGTGGAACTGTAAGTCCAATTAAACTTCTTTCTTCTGTAAATTGCCCAGTCTCAGGTATGTCTTTATTGGCAGTGTGAAAATGCACTCATACAACAACTTTGGTTTTTAACTTTTTAAATTGATACCTGCTTTATTCCTTTCCACCTTCTATTTTTCCTAATAGATATAACCAATGCTAATAACAATTTTTCCTTAGTTGTACACAAATTTTAATACTATGTGCTGTTTTGTTGTTGTTTACAGTTTTATATTTTTTTCTTAATTTGCATTTTAGGATTTTTTTCTTTGAACCGTAAGTTATCTATTTTCTGACACATATGTGTGTGTATGTGTATATCCATATGCGTGTGTGTATATGTAATATATATATATATCCAAAACTGTTAGTTGTATTGGTCAAATCTTCTACGTTTTTAAAATTTATTATCTGCTTAACCTATTAGTTATTAATAGAAGTGAATTAAAACTAATGCTGGATTTTTAAACTTATCTTTATAATTTCTGCCAGTATTTGCTTTAAATATTTTTGAACCTATATTATTAGGTGATTAAGTTTATTATTATTATTTTGGGGTGAAGTGAATACGAATATGGTCTAGAGGTATCTTTATGCTTTTTAATACTTACTGTTTTGCTTTAAAGTCTATTTTGCCACATATGTTTATGTCAGCTTTTCTTTGGTTAATATTTACTTTGTGTATCATTTTTGCTATTTTTCTACTTTCAGTTTTTCTGTAGTTGTGATTTAGACTAAATAGCATTGTAATATATTCTGACAGTCCTTGTGTACCAAATAAAGAATTTACTCATTTTATATCTGAAATAATATTCTAAGACTATTTTCTAACATTTTATTTTGGCACTTCAATTTCTTTCATCTTTTCTGTATTCTTTTTGCCCTTTTCTTTCATTTGAATTAATTATTTTCTTCTCCCATTTATATTTGTCTACTAGATTGAATGTTATGCAATCTGTTTTTAGTTTTTAATAATTTACTTATACATGTTAACATGAGTAAAGTCTAAAGCTCTAAATGTAAAAAATAATAAAGAATCACAAATTAGTTAACATGGGAACATCTAAATAAATACTGACAGTAAAATACTAATTTATTTCAGGTTTTAAAATATACATATGTAATAAAATACACATATGTAATATGTAATAAAATACTGGAAAACAATAGCATACAAGTTGGGAAGATGGAATTATATGGAATTAGGTGTTCTGATTCTAACACATATATTATGAATTATGTATTATTTAAATATAAATTACATAACAGTATATAAGTCAAGATATCTCTGCGTAACCGTCTACCCACAGTTAGTCAAATTCAAAGTTAAGGGCAAAATTCTCCACAAGACTGCCTTCACTTTAAATACTAGCCACAAGCTCAAAGATTCTCATGGCCACACTCACTTCTAACCAGTGGCTACAAAATAGGGATTCCAACAGCACTCTTAGTTTTAGTAATTCACTAGACCAATTCATAGAACTCAGCAAAGCTCCATACTTTTAATTACAGTTTTATTATAGAAAAAAGAATCAAGTTAGAACTAGTCCGAATAAAGATAGATAAGGAGAAATCTGGAAGCGTTTCAAAAGTGAAACTACTATAGTCCTTGGGGACATGTTTGCCCTTCCAGCATTGAAGTATCATTATAAACAAAGAGGACTGTCAACCAGGAAGGTCATGTGAATTTTGGTCTATAACTTTTATTAGAGTTTCCTTACCTAGACATAATAGAATAATTGCCCATATGACTCAGGTTCAGCCTGCTAACTTGCCTGGAGATTGGGCTGATATTACATAACCTAAACTTCTAATCACATGGTTTGTCTTTCTGGCGTGGCTAGACTTTATCCTAAGTCGTCTCATTAACATAAACCATCTAGGGCTCACCATGGGTCACCTCATAAGCATAAGCTATCATTTGTGGTCTGAGAGGTCCAACATAAATAATAACGACACTCCTATCACCCAGGAAATTCCAAGAACTCAGAGATTACCAATAACTGAAGACAAAAGCCAGCCAAATTATTTATTATATACTAAGAGAATTTTTAAAAAATGTATAACTACTCAAAAAGAAAACAACATAAATAAAAATATAACATTAATAAATTAAAAAGTAGAAGACAAAGGACACAAAATGAGAACACAGAAAAGGTAACACAAAAAGCAAAACTGCACTATGCTAGATTTGAACTTATATTTTCTAAATACTCAAATTGAGTGACAAAAAATGATATACCTAGACTTAAAAGAAAACTAACATGCAGTTTATAGGAGACATACATATAATGTAAGAATAGAGGAGAACTAAGAGTAAAAGAATAAAAAGAATTCTAACACTAATCAAAAGAATGTTTGTGTAGCTATATTAATATCAGGCAAACTTGTGTCATGGGGAGTTATTGTACAGATTATTTCATCACCAAGCTATTAAGCCTAGTGTCCATCAGTTATTTTTTCTGATCCTCTCCCACCTCCTGCCCTCTACCCTCTGATAGCCCCCAGTGTGTGTTCTTCCCCTCTTTGTGTTCATGTATTCCATGGTGTATATGTACCACATTTTCTTAATCCAGCCTGTCATTGATGGACATTTAGGTTGCTTCCATGTCTTTGCTATGTGAATAGTGCTGCAGTGAACATACATGTGTATATGTCTTTAAGGTAGAATGATTTATATTCCTCTGGGTATATACCCAGTAATGGGATTGCTGGGTTGAATGGTAGTTCTGTTTTTAGGTGTTTGAGGAATCACCACACTGGCTTCCACATGGTTGAACTAATTTACACTGTCACCAAAAGTGTATAAGCATCACTTTTTCTCCAAAACAACACCAGCATCTGTTTTTGACTCCTTAATAATAGCCATTCTGACTAGTGTGAGATGGCATTTCATTGCAGTTTGCATTTCTCTAATGATCAATGATGTTGAACTTTTTTTTATGATCATTTGCTGCATGTATGTCTTCTTTTGAAAAGTGTTCATGTCCTTTGTCCACTTTTTAAAAGGGTTAATTTTTTTGTAAATGTGTTTGTTTCTTAAAGATGCTGAATATTAGACCTCTGTCAGATGCACAGTTTGCAAAAATTCTCTCCCATTCTCTAGGTTGTCTGTTCACTCTGTTGATAGTTTATTTTGCTGTGCAGAAGCTCCTTTGTTTAATTAGATCCTATTTGTCAATTTTTGTTTTGGTTGCAATCGCTTTTGGCATCTTCTTTGTGAAATATTTGCCCGTGCCTATGTCCTGAATGGTATTGCTAAGGTTGTCTTCCAGGGTTTTTATAAATTTTGGGTTTTACACTGAAGTATTTAATCTATCTTGAGTTAATTTTCGTATATGGTGTAATGAAGGGGTCCAGTTTCAATCTTCTGCACATGGCTAGCCAGTTATCCCAGCACCATTTAATGAATAGGGAATCTTTTCCCCGCTGCTTGTTTTTGTCAAGTTTGTCAAAGATAAAATAGTCGTAGGTGTGCAGCCTTATTTCTGGGTTCTCTATTGTCTTCCATTGGTCTGTTTGTCTGTTTTCCTACCAGTACCATGCTGTTTGGGTTACTATAGCCCTGAAGTGTAGTTTAAAATTGGGTAGCATAATGCCTACAGCTTTGTTCATTTTGCTTAGGATTGTCTTGGCTATTCAAACTCTTTTTTGGTTATATATGAATTTTAAAATAGTTTTTTTTCTGGTTCTGTGAAGAATGTGAATGGCAGTTTAGTAGGAATAGCATTGAATCTATAAATTTCTCTCAGCAGTATGGTCATTTTTAAGATGATGATTCTTCCTATCCATGAGCATGGAATGTTTTTCCATTTGTTTTTGTCATCTCTGATTTCTTTGAGCGGTGGTTTGCAGTTCTTGTAGGGGTAGTTCACCTTCCTGGTTAGCTGTAACCCTAGGTATTTTATTCCTTTTGTGGAATTATGAATGGGAGCTTGTTCCTGATTTGGCTTTAGGCTTGCCTGTTGTTGGTGCGTAGGAATGCTAGTAATTTTTGTACATTGATTTTATACCTTGAGACTTTGCTAAAGTTGTTAATCAGGTAAAAAGCCTTGGGGCTGAAACTATGGGGTTTTCTAGATATAGGATCATGTCATCTGCAAACAGGGATAGTTTGACTTCCTCTCTTCCTATTTGTATGCTCTTTATTTCTTTCTCTTGCCTGATTATTCTGGCTAGGACTTTCAATACTATGTTGAATAGGAGTGGTGAGACAGAGCATTTGTGTTTTGTGCCATCTTTCAAGGGGAATGCTTCCAGCTTTTGCCCATTCAGTATGATGTTGGCTGTGGCTTTATCATAGACGGCTCTTATTATTTTAAGGTGTGTTCCTTCAGTACCTTGTTTATTGAGAGTTTTTTTAACATGAAGCCATGTTGAATTTTAGTGAAAGCCTTTTCTGCATCTATTGAGATAGTCATGTGATTTTTGTCTTTAGTTCTATTTATGTGATGAATCACACTTATTGATTTGCATATGTTGACCTAACGTTGCATCTGAGGCATAAAGTGTACTTGATTGTGGTGGATAAACTTTTTGATGTGCTGCTGGATTCAGTTTGCCATTATTTTGCTAAGGATTTTTGCATCAGTGTTCATCAGGGATATTTGCCTGAAGTTTTCTCTTTTTTATTGTGTGTTACTTCCAATTATGTGATCGATTTCAGAGTATCATGTGGCAATGAGAAGGATATATATGCTGCTGTTTTGGGGTGGAGAGTTCTGTAGATATCAGGTCAATTTGACCCAGTGCTGAGTTCAGGTTCTGAATATTTTTGCTAATTCTCTGTCTTGATTATCTGTCTAATATTGTCAGTGGGGTGTTAAAGTCTCCCAATATAATTGTGTGGGAGTCTAAGTCTCTCTGAAGGTCTCTAAGAACTTGCTTTATGAACCTGGGTGCTTCTGTGTTGGGTGCATATATATTTAGGACAATTAGATCTTCTCATTGAATTGAACCCTTTACATTATGTAATGCCCTTCCTTGTCTTTTTTTTTTTAATCTTTGTTAATTTAAAGGTCATTTTGTCAGAAATTAGGATTGCAACCACTACTTTTTTTTCTGTTTTCCATTTGCTTGGTAGATTTTTCTCCAACCCTTTGTTTTGAGCCTATGTGTGTCATTACATGTGAGATGGGTCTTCTGAAGACAGCATAGCAATGGGTCTTGTTTCTTCATCCAGCTTGCCACTCTGTGTCTTTTAATTGGAACATTTAGCCCATTTACATTTAAAGTTAGTATTGATATGTTTGGATTTGATCCTGTCCTCATGATGTTAACTGGTTATTTTACAGAGTTGTTTATATTGTTGCTTTATAGTGTCACTGGTCTGTGTATTTCAGTGTGTTTTTGTAGTGGCTGGTGATGATCTTTCCTTTCCATATTTACTGCTTCCTAATTAGGAGCTCTTGTAAGACAGGCCCGGTGATAACAAATTCCCTAAGCATTTACTTGTGTGAAAAGAATCTTATTTCTCCTTCACTTATGAAGCTTAGTTTGACTGATATGAAATTCTGTGTTGAAATTGCTTTTCTTTAAGAATGTTGAATATTGGCTCCCTCTGGAGCTCTTGGGCCTATCGAAGGTTGGAGAATCAGATGGGGAAGCAGGAAAAATAACTAATGGGTGTTGGCTTAATGCATGGATGATAAAATAATCTAAACAACAAACCCCTATGACACAAGTTTACTTATATAACAAACCTGCACATGTACCCCAGAACTTAAAATTAAAATGTAAAAAATTCACACACACACACACACACACACACACACACGAAAACCAAAAAGGGTCTCCATAGCTTCTATTAAAAAATATTACTTAAATAATTGATAACTCAGTTAAAAACTCAGGTACCAATCCAATGGTTCTCAAAGTGTTGTCCAATGACCCATGGGGTCTCTAAAACCCTTTTAGTGGCAAAAAAAAAAAAAAACTACTAAAAGTTTTGCTTTTCACTGCCATGTATTTATGAGGGGGAAAAAAGCTATTTTCATTTAAAAAATGTCCTTACTGTGCAAAAAAATCCCATTAATTTCATTAAATCTTATCTGCTGAGCACACATTTTTAAATATTCTATTTTATAAAACATGAATTATGCATAAAAAATTTCTGCTCCAAAGAAAAGTATGGTAATTTTCTAAAGAATAAACACTTGTGCTATTCTTTGGCTTGTGAGCTGAACAAAACATAAAGAACCATTTACTTGAAAAATTGACTGACAAAATATTGTTATTTAGACTTGAGTAGGTGACAGACATTGTTTATTTCAAAAACAAATTATATGAGTCTATTATTTCAAGGAAAACAACTGCCAGTATTTTTTGTGAATGGAAAACTTGTATCTGCCACCATGATCTCGAATGCTTCTCAGTACTAAAAGGCTTTTATTATAAGTTTGGTGATGATATTAACAGATGTGATGAGGGATACTGTATAATGAAATGTATCAATATTTAGAAGATCTTCATATCGCTATTATTATCAAATTACCAATGTATAGTATTATAAAATCATGCATGGATAAAGATACATTTGAAGTGCAAAAGAGACCAATGAATTTTAACATAACTGAATAAAAGTTTTATGGATATGTTTTTAAATTCCACATTGTAACTAACCCTTATGGAACTACCACTTGTCAAATTGTAGAATGCTTTAAAAGAAAGATTTTCTACAGTTATCTGAAAATGCTACTAAAGTACCTTTTCCTTCTTACACTACACATTCATATAAATTTAGATTTATTTTTCCCAACCTCATCTAAAACAGTAGAGCCCAACAGATTTAATTCAGAGGCATATGTGAGACTACTTAATCATTAAACCACACACTAAAGAGATTTGCAAAATTGTAAAGCAATGCCACTCTTCTCTCTAAATTCTTTTATTTTGGAAGATAGGGGACACTTTTTTATTAAAATATGCTATTTGTTTTTATATGTAACCCTTTAATATTTTAAATAATTTAATACATATTTTTACATTTTTGAGTTTTAATTTCTAAGGTAGGTATTGATAGACATAACTCACGTAAACAAAATTTCTTTGTGTTCTCAATAATTGTAAAGAGTTTAAAGAGGCCTCAAAAGTTCTCTGCTGTAGACCAACTTAACAAACAGTTAAAAAGTCTAGTCAAATTGACTTATTTAACAAAGTACCTAACCTAATACTACACATTCTTTAAAAGTATATACATTTAGAAAAATTAATGAAATGGTGGGTCATAAAGGAACTCTCAACAAATCTCAAGGTACAGAGTACCTTGAACTACAGAGTAGGTTCTTTGATCATGGGAGATTTAAACTAAAAATTCATTAGACAATAACCATCATATGTTTAGAAATTAGGAAATGTACTTTACAATAATGTGTGAGTTAGAGGAGAAATCAAATGTTGCTTACAAATTATTTAGAACTAAATGGCAATGAAAACAGGGTATATCAAATCTTAGGAGATGCAGCTAAAGCCATAGTGACAGAGGAAATTATAGCCTTAATGCATATATTAGAAAAGAAGAAAAGCTAAAAATTGATGTTAAGCATTAATCTCCAAGTAAGATTAAAAAATAAGGGCAAATCAAAACCCTAACATTTTAGAATGGGAAAATTAATAGTTTTTTAAAAATTAAAAACAAAATACACAAAGAACTACCTTTGCTCATAAAGCCAAAGGTAGTTTTTTAAGTGTAAAGTCTGTCGAGGCATAATTTGCATACAGTAAAAGCCACCCTTTTCGAGAAGCAAATTCTATAAATTCTGACAAATACATAGTTATGTAACTAAGCACCTTATTCCCTTACCTCCCCACCCCCCCAAATTCCGTTATACGCCTTTATGGTCAGTTTCTTCCCCTTACCAGAGTCCATGACAATCACTCATTTGTTTCCTGTATCTATAACTATAAATGGAATCATACAATATGCAGACATTCGTGTTTAGCTTCTCAGCACAATGAATTTTAGATCCTTCCATGCTGCTGAATTTATCAATAATTTATTTTTATTGCTGAGTTGTATTCCACACTACAGAATGCACCATAGGTTGTTCATCTATTCAGTAGTAGTTAGATATATAAGTAGTTTCCGTATTTTGTTGGTTATGAATATAGCCAGGACTGACCTCATGGGCATGTGACCTGTGCAGTTGCAGGATGCCTGCAATCTGAAGAGCCTTATGCCTGGTTTAATGCTCTGCTGTTGCCATCTTGAAATTCTTAATAGTTTTATGTTTAAACTTGTGTTTTGTAAATGAAGTCTGATGAGACAACAGAGCATGCGGTAGAGCAGAAGAGATATGTGCAATGTGTATATCCACTGTCCTTGCTACCTGACTCATGTCCACAATGCCCCATAAGCACAGAATTCTGGTGGGCCTTGATGCTTCGGCATTCAGTGAAACTCAAAGCAAGTACAACTGTATGTCTACCACTGAAGCAGTGGTGCTGACTGTCCTGCCAAAACTAATATAAGAAATAGAAAACCTGAAAAATTTATTTTTAAAGAAATGTATAACAAAAATACTTTTCAGTGAAAATGTCAAATGGCTGTATTCCTGAATTACTCTAAACAGTTAAACAGACATTAATTCCAATCTTGCACATACTCTTTCAGGAAAAAAAAGTGGAAATACTGTCAAATTCCTTGTATTAGACCAGAATAACATTGACATCTAAACTTAACTATGACTTTTCAAGAAGCGAAAAACTGCATGCCAGTCTTACGAACATAAATTTAGAGATCCTAAATAGCATTTAAAAACTGAATCCAGCAATATACAAAAGGAAACTTATGACCTGGTTAGCTTTATTTCAGTAATGTAAAGCTGGTATGTCAATTCAATAATTAATCAATATAATTCACTATATAAGAAAATTATATAATCATTCCGTTGATGCAAATAGAGCATTAATAAAATTTAAAATTAATGGAATAAAAATTCAGCAAATTAGGAATTGAAGAAAACTTTCTTAACCTAAAAACACTATCTACAAAAAAAAAGAAAAACACATATATTATACCTAATTGTGAAATGTTGAAAGAATTTCTTCTGAGATTAAAAATTAGAAATGGATTATTACCACAATTACCCTTTACAGTCAACATTGTATGGAGGTAAGAATATTGAATTAAAATAAAATTGCAAAGATTATAATCTATGAAGCAATCTGTCATTATTTGTAAGCTATGTAATTGTTCATGTAAAAAAATCCAGAAGAATACACATTATTAGAATAATTGAGTACAACATAGCTGCTGGATATTAAGTCAATATGGAAACATACTAAAAGTATAAAATTTAAACAACAGTATTTATGAGAACTTCAAAACGTATTTAATGCTAAATCTGTGAATGACATTAGCAAGAGGGCAGAATATAAATTCTCCAGATTGACTTGCTCACCACGAGAGGGCATGGGAAGCTGTTGATCAAAGAGTACAAAGTTTTGGATAGACAAGGGAAACAGGTTTTGAGATGTATTGCACAGGAAGGTGACTGTAGTCAATAATAATGCATTGTATATTTCAAAATAACTAATGGAATAAATTTCAAATATCTCACCATAAAAAATGATAGGTAAGAGGGCTGATAAATATGTCAGTTAGCTTGATTTAATCATTCCACATTGTATACATACATCAAAACATCACAGTGTCCCCCATAAATGTATATTATCATGATTTTTAATAAAAATATTAATAAAAATAAAATACAAAAATAGCTATTATTTCTTGACAAAAAATGCTAAACCTATGAAAATATTTTCAACAGGTTTACTCAGAATACTGTAAGTCCATTTTGAGATAACTAAAAGAAGACCTTAATAGAGTAATAAAGTAAGTTCAAGGATCAGCAGGCTCAATATTATACTGACATTAATTCTCTATGGTATGTTTACTAGTTTTCTATTGCTAAGTAACACATTATGACAAACAACAGATTAAAACAATACCCATTTATTATCTCACAATACTATAGGTTAGAAGTTTGGGCTGGGCTCAACTATGTTCTCTGTTCAGGATCTTTTGAGACCAAAATTAAATTGTCAGCTACATTCTGAGCTAAAACTCACACAGTTGTTGATATATTTTAGTTTCTTGATGTTATAAGACCAAGATCCCTGCTGGCTGCTGGCCATAGTTGCTCTCAGCTCCTACAAGATGATTCTTAGGTCCTAATAGTATGCTATTCTCACAGCATAGCAACTTGCTTCTTTAAATCCAGCATGTAATTTGCACTATGCTACAATGAAGTCTTACTTAATGTAATGTAAACACGTGTGACTATCCTATCGCATTGCTCATAGAACATAACTGAATCAAGGGAGAAACTGTAGCATAATATTCACAAGTCCTGCACATATTCAAGGGGAGAAAATTATACAAGGCATGTATATTAGGAGGTGGTAATCTTGGGAGCCATCACGGAGTCCAGGAGCAAAGACATCTGCTTACCACAGCATACAACCCCAATATAAATCCTAAACGTTTCTGAATAAAACACAGGGCCAGGCACGGTGGCTTACGCCTGTAATCCCAGCCCTTTGGGAGGCTGAGGGGTGCGTATCACTTGAGGCCAGGAGATTGAGACCAGTCTGGCTAACATGGTGAAACCCCGACTCTACTTAAAAAAAAAACAAAAAAAAAATTAGCCGGGCATGGTGGCACATGTCTGTAATCCCAGCTACTCAGGAGGCTGAGGTGAAAGAATTGCTTGAACCCAGGAGGTGGAGGTTGCAGTGCGCTTAGATCACACTGCTGCACTCCAACCTGGACGACAGAGCAAGACTCCATCTCAAAAAATAAAGAAAGAAAAACAGAATCTAAAGTTAAAATGGAAATACAAAAATTGTGAAAAAAGAGACAAAAATGGTAGGATTAATGTTACTAAACATCAAAACATATTATAAAGCAGAAATTTTTCCATAAAAGGGCACTCATTTACTGAAGCAATAAGAAATTCACTAATGAAAGGGACATGAGCATCATCAAGACTCTCAGGGGCAGCTGCCGTCTATTGGCCAGGACTCTGATAGGAGACAATATTACAGAACTAGGTTCCTAGATATCAAGGGTGAGGATGGAATAATAATAATAAAAAAAAAAGCACGGTGCAAAAAAAAAAAAAGGTGCAATTATTCTAATGACTGTTAAGGATGGAGTAAAATTCAAGAATACAGATATGACTTAAAAATGGAGTAGTTTAGCAAAAATAAATCGGAAGGAAAAGATGCGGGACATTCTCAGCCTATGCATATTGAAAAGATTGAGAAAGCCTGTTTGGGAGAGAGTACTAGGGTTCTGGCTAAATGACCACTTGATAAGGTGAGCCAACCATGTCAGCAAAAGCCAGGGGTCAGAGATTATCAGGGCTGTCTTTCCCAACACAGGCCCAAACTGCAAGGGCATGGAGGACACAGAGGTCTCAAAGTATGGGGTCATGTCTTCAGTTCAAGCAGACTAGGATGCTACTGCCCAGTGCCACAGGGGTAAACACATTCTTTTCTGTCACTCTAAAGAAGTTGGATCAGAAGTGGTTCACATTCACAAGGTATAGGCAACTGTATGCAATTACGGTTTTATCCCAGGTATATTAACTCTTTCACTCTATGTTTAATATACTTTTAAAAGGCTTAAACCATTGATTATTCCACATAATATCACATTGGTTCAATATGTTGATCCTTTATGATGATCAGGGTGGATGAACAAAAAATGGAAAGCATGCGGTGGGTCATTATAAGACATATGTTCTCCAGGCCGGGTGCGGTGGCTCACGCCTGTAATCCCAGCACTTTGGGAGGCCGAGGTGGGCAGATCACGAGGTTAGGAGCCAGGACCAGGTTAGGAGCGAGGAGGTTAGCCAGGACCTTCCTGGCTAACACCGTGAAACCCCGTCTTTACTAAAAATACAAAAAGAAATTAGCCGGGCATGGTGGCGGCCGCCTGTAATCCCAGCTACTCCGGAGGCTGAGGCAGGAGAATGGCGTGAACCTGGGAGGCGGAGCTTGCAGTGAGCCGAGATCGCGCCACTGCACTCCAGCCTGGGCGATAGAGCAAGACTCTGTCTCAAAAAACAAAACAAAACAAACAAAAAACAAACAAGACATATGTTCTCCAGAGGATAAGAGATAAACCCAAAGAAGATTCAGGGTCCTACCATATCAGTGAAGGTTTGTAATAGTCCAAAAGTAACAGAATGCAGAGACATGCTTGCAAAAGTCGAGGAAAAGTCATCGTGTCATTTACCTTCCACTAATTAAGAAGGAAGCACAACCCCTGGTTAGATTCTTTGGGTTACAGAGGCAAATACCATTTTGACCCATTTACCTACTGATGTGGAAGGCAGCAGGTTTGAGTGGGACCAGAGTAGGAAAGGACTATTCAGCAAGTCAAGATTATGACAAATGCCCCTCTTCTACTTGGGCCAAATAACACAATAGGTCCTGTGATAGGTATCTGTGATTGGCCGGGCATTGTGGCTCACACCTGTAATCCCAGCACTTTGGGAGGAGGAGGCAGGCAGATCACTGGAGGTCAGGAGTTTGAGACCAGCCTGGCCAACGTGGTGAAAGCCCTTCTGTACTAAAATATACAAAAATTAGCCAGGCATGGTGGCGTGCACCTGTAGTCCCAGCTACTTGGGAGGCTGAGGCAGGAGAATCACTTGAACCAGGGACGTGGAGGTTGCAGTGAGCCAAGATTGCGCCACTACACTCCAGCCTGGGTGCTAGAGTGAGACTTCATCTCAAAAAAAAAAAAAAAAAAAAAAGTACTGTGGTTGCAAATGACACTTTTGGACTTTATGACAAGCCCTAATAAGAGAATCTTAATGTCAGCCCTAGGTTTCTGGAGGAAGGTCCTGCTTTTGGTAGTGGAGAATACACCATTCAAATAACTGCTGGCATGCTACTACTAACCCTGGTAGAGATGAAATATCTGGTCATAGGATATCAATTGACTATGAGTCCAGAGGGGTCCACCATGTGGTGAGTTCTATTAGATCTACCACCAAATCATAAATTTGGGTAAGCTTGGCCACAACCCACTGTAAAACGGAAAAGATACATTCAGGATCAAGAAGGCACAGAGAACACGAGTAAGCTACATCATGAAATGGCCCATTCACCTCCAACTCACTCACCTTTGGGCCACCCATGCCTCTCTCTCAACTCAAAATATAGCCACATGTGGGGTGCCTAAAGAGTTTCTGTTTTTACTTAGATTTGGCTTCTAAGTAGCCTTTACTTCCTGTAAACTCATCAATGTAGTTTAAAGTATGTATTTCATATTTTATGTATTATTTTATTCATATTTATTGAGACAGTCAGTAAGGGAATGTTCTCTGGCACACTGCTAAAAGTGGAATACCATTATCTCTCTATAATGCTAAATATAAACAATTAGATTATTAGATTACTATATCATGATAATCTAACATGACTGACAAACCAGCATTTTATGTACTGCTTAGTTTATTTTCTTTTCAGTTATGCCTTTTGGCCTGCAGCACTGACAATCTTGAAAGGTGAATTAAAAGATCTGGAAAGGGAATAATGATATATATGACAAAAGAGAGGGAGAACACTTAGATTAGTTTGTTCTTATTTCAGGGCTCCATAATTCAACAAAACAATCCGTCAGTGTTTGGATAATTAAATCTTTCAAACTAATTTTTGCAAACATAGTTGAAATGTGCTATTAAACATATTCATCTTTTGCTTTTATTTCTACCTGAAATATGGAAAAGCCATGGCACAATTTTTTGTTTGTTTTTGAGAACCTGTTGCCCAGATTCAAGTGCAATGGCTCTATCTCAGCTCACTGTAACCTCCTCATCCCTGGTTCAAGCGATTCTCCTGACTCAGCCTCCCAGGTAGCTGGGACTACAGGTGCGTGCCACCACGCCCAGCTAATTTTTGTATTTTTAGTAGAGATGGGGTTTCACCATGTTGGCCAGGATGGTCTCCATCTCTTGACCTTGTTATCCACCTGCCTCGGCCTCCCAAAGTGCTGGGATTACAGGCGTGACCCACTGGTCCCAGCCAGCACAATTTTAAAACATGGAATAGGCATTTACATTTTAAAATTCTATCTGGAAAAATAATGCATTATTCGATATGTTAAAATATATGTGTATATATGTACATATTTTTCCATATTTCTATATATTTTATAAGCAAAAAAATGTGAGAATTCACCTACTTATTTTGAAGTTTCTGAGAAAAGGTAGGTGGCAAGAAATCCAAAGCAAAGCTTAAAACATACTTTTCCTGGTTTTAATAACATTTACAACAGATCCATATTTTAGGCTATGAAATAAAATTATCATCGCATGAAACAAGTACTTAAAGTTAATATGTTTCTAAGTGTTTTGCAATTATTTTTATTCTAGTAATTTACATAAATAATGGGATAACTTAATAAAGGATTATCAAATACTCTATTGCAAATTGATGAGAGGGCAAAGAAATAACTAAAATTCTGACTCACTAAATGTACTTTGTATATTACCCTGGATGCTAGATTTAACAAATGAATGTCTTTTTAAAAGCATAATTAAGGGCCAGGCAGGGTGGCTCATGCCTATAATCTCAGCATTTTGGGAGGACGAGGCGGGCGGATCACGAGGTCAGGAGTTCGAGATCAGCCTGGCCAACATGGCGAAACCCCGTCTCTATCAAAAATAGAAATATTAGCCAGACATGGTGGCGGGCACCTGTAATCCCAGCTACTCGGGAGCCTGAGGCAGGAGAATCACTTGAAACCAGAAGGCGGAAGTTGCAGTGAGCGGAGATCCTGCCACTGCACTCCAGCCTAGGCGAAAGAGTGAAACTCTGTCTAAAACAAAAAAAAGTGTAATTAAGAGCTGAAATAATGTGTGTGGGAAGCGGAGGAGCCACAATGGCCGAATAGGAACAGCTCCAGTCTACAGCTCCCAGCGTGAGCCACGCAGAAGACGGGTGATTTCTGCATTTCCATCTGAGGTACTGGGTCCATCTCACTAGGGAGTGCCAGACAGTGGGCGCAGGTCAGTGGGTGCAGCGCACTGTGCACGAGCGGAAGCAGGGCAAGGCATTGCCTCACTCGGGAAGCGCAAGGGGTCAGGGAGTTCCCTTTCCTAGTCAAAGAAAGGGGTGACAGACAGCACCTGGAAAATCAGGTCACTCCCACCCAAATACTGCGCTTTTCTGACAGGCTTAAAAAACGGCGCACCAGGAGATTATATTCCGCACCTGGCTGGGAGGGTCCTACGCCCACGGAGTCTCGCTGATTGCTAGCACAGCTGTCTGAGATCAAACTGCAAGGTGGCAGCAAGGCTGGGGGAGGGGCGCCCACCATTGCCCAGGCTTGCTTAGGTAAACAAAGCAGCCGGGAAGCTCGAACTGGGTGGAGACCACCACAGCTCAAGGAGGCCTGCCTGCCTCTGTAGGCTCCACCTCTGGGGGCAGGGCACAGACAAACAAAAAGACAGCAGTAACCTCTGCAGACTTAAATGTCCCTGTCTGACAGCTTTGAAGAGAGCAGTGGTTCTCCCAGCATGCAGCTGGAGATCTGAGAACGGGCAGACTGCCTCAAAATCAATGTACAAAAATCACAAGCATTCTTATACACCAATAACAGACAAACAGCCAAATCATGAGTGAACTCCCATTCACAATTGCTTCAAAGAGAATAAAATACCTAGGAATCCACCTTACAAGGGACACAAAGGACCTCTTCAAGGAGAACTACAAACCACTGCTCAATGAAATAAAAGAGGATACAAACAAATGGAAGAACATTCCATGCTCATGGGTAGGAAGAATCAATATTGTGAAAATGGCCATACTGCCCAAGGTAATTGATAGATTCAATGCCATCCCCATCAAGCTACCAATGACTTTCTTCACAGTATTGGAAAAAACTACTTTAAAGTTCATATGGAACCAAAAAAGAGCCCGCATCGCCAAGTCAATCCTAAGCCAAAAGAACAAAGCTGGAGGCATCACACTACCTGACCTCAAACTATACTACAAGGCTACAGTAACCAAAACAGCATGGTACTGGTACCAAAACAGAGATATAGATCAATGGAACAGAACAGAGCCCTCAGAAATAATGCCGCATATCTACAACTATCCGATCTTTGACAAACCTGAGAAAAACAAGCAATGGGGAAAGGATTCCCTATTTAATAAATGGTGCTGGGCAAACTGGCTAGCCATATGTAGAAAGCTGAAACTGGATCCCTTCCTTACACCTTATACAAAAATCAATTCAAGATGGATTAAAGACTTAAACGTTAGACCTAAAACCATAAAAACCCTAGAAGAAAACCTAGGCATTACCATTCAGGACATAGGCACGGGCAAGGACTTCATGTCTAAAACACCAAAAGCAATGGCAACAAAAGCCAGAATTGACAAATGGGATCTAATTAAACTAAAGAGCTTCTGCACAGCAAAAGAAACCACCATCAGAGTGAACAGGCAACTCACAAAATGGGAAAAAATTTTCACAACCTACTCATCTGACAAAGGGCTAATATCCAGAATCTACAATGAACTCAAACAAATTTACAAGGAAAAAACAACCCCATCAAAAAGTGGGCAAAGGACATGAACAGACACTTCTCAAAGGAAGACATTTATGCAGCCAAAAAACACATGAAAAAATGCTCACCATCACTGGCCATCAGAGAAATGCAAATCAAAACCACAATGAGATATGATCTCACACCAGTTAGAATAGCAATCATTAAAAAGTCAGGAAACAACAGGTGTTGGAGAGGATGTGGAGAAATAGGAACACTTTTACACTGTTGGTGGGACTGTAAACTAGTTCAACCATTGTGGAAGTCAGTGTGGTGATTCCTCAGCGATCTAGAACTAGAAATACCATTTGACCCAGCCATCCCATTACTGGGTATATACCCAAAGGACTATAAATCAGGCTGCTATAAAGACACATGCACACGTATGTTTATTGCGGCACTATTCACAATAGCAAAGACTTGGAACCAACCCAAATGTCCAACAATGATAGACTGGATTAAGAAAATGTGGCACATATACACCATGGAATACTATGCAGCCGTAAAAAAGGATGAGTTCATGTCCTTTGTAGGGACATGGATGAAATTGGAAATCATCATTCTCAGTAAACTATCGCAAGAACAAAAAACCAAACACCACATGTTCTCACTCATAGGTGGGAATCGAACAATGAGAACACATGGACACAGGAAGGGGAACATCACACTCTGGGGACTGTTGTGGGGTAGGGGGAGAGGGGAGGGATAGCATTGGGAGATATACCTAACGCTAGATGATGAGTTAGTGGGTGCAGCGCACCAGCATGTCACATGTATACATATGTAACTAACCTGCACATTGTGCACATGTACCCTAAAACTTAAAGTATAACAAAAAAAAAAGAATAAAAATAAGACTAGAGTCAAAACATTTTACAAAAAAAATATATATATATATATAAATGTATGGCACAGTGAACTGGAAAACATACATGTCTTCTTTTATTTTTGTGAACCCAATGTAAAGTCATCAAATTTTAATAAAGCTGAAAAATCTGAAAAAAAAATGTATATGGGAAGCAAGAGTGATGCAATCAGATAGATTCTTCATGCTTCATAAAACAATTGTGAATCTTTATTATTTAATGGCCACATAGTACTAGACCAACTGAGGTTACGTCTGCATAAAAGTGTTTAATTTCACAGTGCTGATAATTGAAATAAATCAAATTTACATGTATAGTTTCTGTCCTCATTTTTTGTGGATTCTGTTTTTGTGAATTTGCTGACACACTAAAATTTACTTATAAACCCAAAATCAATATGTACTTTGTTTACAGATTATTCCCTAATATGTTCAGTGCTAGAAAAATTTGAGTTGTGTAATGCACATATTCCCCGCTGAGGTCCCACAAGTCCATTCTCTGCCTTGTTTCAGCTTTCATACAGAGATGACCAGAGAATGGAGATGGCAGGAGGCAGTGCAAAGCAGTGCAAGAAGACCAGGCTCTAGGGGCCGGTTGGAGAGTCTGAATCTTAACTCTGGCACCTACCTGTCAGTTGAGCAGCCTGAGGTAAGTCACACAACATTTCTGAACCTCATTTCCTTTTTGTAAAATAAATAAAACAGAATGTACCAGGAAGAGTTAGTTTTAGGTTTTTAAGATTTAAATCATAATCTATGTCAGTCATGTTAATATACCACACACACACACATTTACTTCCCCTAGGAGCAATGATTTAATATTTACTAATTTAGTATTCACAGAAACTTTATAGAATATAACTACCATGTGCAACTAGGTTTGACTGATTTTACATATATATATATATATTTATATATGCATATATATATATATATATATATACACAAACACATGCACATATATGTATATATAAACTTCTAGAATTTAACTCTGACTTATACATAAAGATATAGCCTAAAATAGTCTTAAATTGCATTTTCTTCTACAAGTAATAATGACACGCTCTTGTATGAGCAGAGCCACAATGCTCATATTATTTAGTATTTAAAGTGAATAAAAATAATGTACCAATGATAAAATAAATCAGACTCATGGTTAATATTTTGCTGAATTACAAATGTAAAAGTGAACAACAAATTAAAAATGTAAAAGCAAACAACAAATCTAAGTGCCTTTTAAAATATGAAAAGAATACCAGAAAAAATATATTGCCTATCACAACAATTTACTAATGATAGCTTTAAACAGCAAATTTAAATTTGCTCTTCAAAAGCAAATTTTATGAGGCCAAAAAGAGATTAATATCTAATTAATTTAGTTTTTAATGTAATGGAAATTATAGTTTTCAATTTTATTTTCACATAATCAGAGGAGTGATGTCTTTTATTCTATATTTATATTTTGTTACTTTTATTCCACTGTTTATAATAGATATTATTGATAATAGATATGATGAATGATGGAACTACATTACAAAGACATGACATAAATCAATCTCTGTTTTATGCACTATCTCCACTGGCAGCAAACATCACCTATGGCCTATTGCCACTTTAGAAAAAGAAAAGAAAAGAAAGTATTCTCAGTTTCTTTTAGAGTATAATGATGTAAAATCCATATTTTTGACTAATAATGGAACTAAAATTTCTTAAACTGGTAAAAACAAAACACAATTTTAAAAACTATTATTTAAAATTGTGACCAATATCTGCCTTCTAAGATGCATCAGTCTTGAAATTGCCTTTGCAATAGACTCCCTTCTGTTGTGGAAAAACACTACAACATGTCTTACAATTATACTAATACAGACAGAAAACTATCTATTTTTCTTGGGGAACATCTGAATGCAGTGGTTTGAACATAAAAACTTGAGTCATGGTTTTTATACTATTGTTTGAGATTTGGAAATGGTTAACAGAGTGTACTGGGTATTCTTTCATTGGAATGCTTGGTGTTTTCTAGTAGATCTTCTGGATATTACCTCATTCTTAAATGATATGTGTCTCTGATTAAATTTCTGTTATATTATTTTGTTTACTGCAATGAAAATTATTCCTGCTCTTAGCAATGAAATAAATTCAATGTGGTAGATCATATAAGTATCCATATCAAAATTATAATTTCAACTTGTTTTAACAACTTACTGGTTTCCATATCAATGAATAAGTTGAATAAAGTCTTTAGTACACATTAATTTTATATTTGCATGAATCATAATTTTATATGGAATAATTATACCTTAAAACTATGAAGAGGATTTTTTATGTAGACATATGCAGCAAGTTTTACTGTTTTTTTTTTTCCTAAATAGAAGACTATCTCACCATATACCCCATGAATATCTCTGATTCTCATAGAATTTTTGTGCAGGGTATCTGGAAATGCAATATGGAGATCAATAGAAAAATACAGATAGGCTGTTGCCCTTCAAGTAATAATGAGAAAAGTCTGAAAAAACTGAACTAAATTATCTCATTAACCTCTTAATTGCAACTTTTAATTTGGAATTAATTAATTTTAAAAGTGGAAACAGGGAATGATCATAAGACAGGAAAAAACAAAACAAAGTGACTAGTGCAGAGTACATACACAAAAAAATATGGGAGATTTGGTTGAAACATATAAGGGAGCAGTCTGACAACGGCTGAATATCACAGGCTGAGTAAATTTCACTAATCTGTAAAAAGTACAAAGCCACTGGGCATAAGGCCTATTGGAGTGAAAGAATCAGAGTTAGAAACAAACAAAAAATCAAATTCAAATCTAAGTTCCATGCTTTTTCTGCTGTGTTACATTGAGGAAGTTGTCTAAAATCTCATATCCTTGAAGGACCTCCGAATGTGCCTCTCAGGATTATTATGAGAATGAAGTGAGAAAGAGTATAGAAAAGCACTTTGTGAACTACTCAATGCCACACAAATGTCAGTTTTTGTGTTCATAAAAGCCACAAGAATAACTTTTTGAACTAAAATAGCTGTTCGTTCTAATGGAGGATTTTTGAGATGTTCTCATTTTCCCTTTAGTTATATGTATGCTAAAATTAAATAATGCATCTGTGTATTTCTGCTCTTTCCATAAATTAGGTTGACCTTTTCCCCATAATATTATTGCATTTTTTTCTGTTACATTAAAGAACCGCATATTCTGAAAGTACTTTATTCTCTACCACATAAATCTAGCTAATAATTTCAGCTCCATATTATCTAACTAGCTATGGCTACACTATACCTTTTAACTTCACTGATATTTTTTTCCCAATTTATTAAATCACTCTCATTTAGAAGTAAAAGCAGTCTTATATTTCCACCTATTGATTTTCATACTCAGAAGAAAAACATTTGAACATGAAAGGTGTTGATGTATATATATGGCCAACTCACTTTTTTTAGTGGGTTGTGATAATACCTAATGCCTACTTTGAAAATATTAGGTCTACTTGCAAAATCTTGTTAGAGAATTTGACAGATGAATGTTTCTTGGACAATACTGCAGTTCTATCTCCTCCTCATAAGCAGGCTCTCTCTGTGGCTCAACCATCCAGAAATGTTGGTGTTATCGTTCTTTGAAGGGCCACAAGTTTTTGGAAGTGACTTTCTGACATTGTCTTTAACAAATTTCATTTCTTAGATATTTTCAAAGAAGTCATTTTCTCTGAATATCCAGAATATTGTTATACTTTTTTTTCAGACAAGTGTTAACTTGAATGTATTATTTCCTCCAGAACAGTATTGCAATTGCACGACTTGTTATTTCTCTATCCAGTTAGGCTGTGGTTTTCATCACATAGTACTTGTCTAGTCTACTTTCATTTATATTCTCTTTCTTTAAAATATATTTTCTAGGAATAGTGCAAAAACACTTTTAGCAACAATTTAATCTTTTTTGATTTTTTGGGGTATTTTATTATTACTCCTTAATATATTTACTATTCATTTAAACAGAAACAATATGTCTTTGAAAACTTATCAAACCTAAACATCTCTATCTGGTTCTTTTCTCCTGAATTTTCAATATCTTTTTAATTAATTATAGTTCATTGGTGTTTACAGTGTTATTACACTGTTTGAAAGTTCTACTCCGATAGTAAACTGAATTCATATACTTCAAAGTAGCATTTATCAGGGGGTGTCTCATTTCTACCTCCTGAGAGGTGGCTATGGAGAGCTAGCCACTATGTATACACAAAGACTCACACACTAAGCAAGCCATTTTCATGCTGTAAAGACTCTTATCCATTGACACTGGTTCTCAGAATGCATAGTTTTTATCTTAGCATATGTGAAAAGCCTGATAAAAATTGTGCCAATTAATATTTAGTTCACATAATTATTTCTTATAGAGATTTGAGCTTTGTGAAACAAACCTTTAGGCTTGAAAATTCTGAATCTGCCATTGTAACTCCAATATGTGTATGATCTTAAGTTACATAAATTCTCTGTTTCTTAATTTAGAAAATAGGAATAATAATAGTGGCTGTTTCACAGAGTTGTGAGGCATCAATGACATGATGTACCTGAGAGCATTATAAACAGTGTGATATTGCATGAAAATGTGCTCATTCCTTTATGTTATTTCTAGTCATAACACCCTCACTTGCAGGTTTAGGTAGTATGGCATTAAACAAAAGGGTGCATACTTAAAAAGATGATTATTCCTATATTTCCCAGTATATGATCACCAGATAAATAAAATAAATTAAAAGATAAAAAAAATTTGGCTGGGCGCAGTGGCTCACACCTATAATCCCAGCACTCTGGGAGGCCGAGGCGGGTGGATCATGAGGTCAGGAGTCTGAGACCAGCCTGGCCAGCATGGTGAAACCCTGTCTCTACTAAAAATACAAAAAAAAAAAATTAGCCAGGCATGGTGGCATCTGTAATCCTAGCTACTTAGGAGGCTGAGAGGCAGGAGAATTGATTGAACCCAGGAGGCAGATGTTGCAGCGAGCCGAGATTGCACCACTGCCCTTCAGCCTGGGTGACAGAGCGATACTCCGTCTCAAGAAAAAATAAATAAATAAATAAAATTGTAAATATAATAGGCAAATATATTTTATTTGATGTCACAACAATGTGAATGAATATTTTCTTGTCATTTTTAGTTGATAAACAACTAAATTAGTTTTATATGGGTATTGTCTTACAATATTATATCAATATTATAGAAGTTAAAAGAACATATTAAATGTGTAAGGGTTTTATCAAATAAGGATACATTTTATTGGCTTTGGCTACACTCCTATCCCATTCACTCCTCTCTTTCTGCTTGCAAGTTTTCTGATCAAAGTCAGAATTCTTAACCTTGTTCGTCATTAGTAAGATGCCTTTTTCCTCTTGTTTCCCTCCAGGTGCTCTCTTTGTCTTTGGTTTTATGTAGTTTACATATAGTCTAGGTATTCTTTTTATCTATTTGTTTTATTTTACGTTATTGGTATTTTATCTCTCTTTCCATTCTTATTCTTTCTTTGTATTCTTTCTTAGTATTCTTTGTATTTGTATTCATATTTTATCTTTCTTCAAATATGATGAGGACTGTTGTTTGGTGTCTTTAATTTTGGAAAGTACTCAGCTATTATTTCTTCAAATATTTCTTCTGCCTCATTCTTTCTCTCTTTTTTCTCTTCTGGTATTCCAATTACGAGTATCTATACATTTTCATATTTCTCCACAGTTCTTGGATGCTCTGTTTATTTTTTAAATTCCTTTCACATTTCTATTTGAAAAGTTTCTATTGAGCTATCTTTAAGCTCACTGAGGTTTTTCTTTGTCTCTTCAGACTGTATTCTTTCTTGCCTTTGGTATTTGTTTTATCGTTTTGTTGAAAGTAGCACATGTTGTATAGGATAAAATATACTGAACTAAATAAGCTTTTAGTGAGAAGATTTGCTTGAATCTGACTGGCATTTGGGCTGTGTTTAATGTTTGCTGTAGTTATAGGTACCAGAAACTTCAAATTTCTCTAGTTTCTTTGTTTTTGTATTTCCTCTTGGCTTTGTGGCTTCTTGTTATACTTCTCAGAGAGCATTCACATTTAGTAGCTCTTCTAGTTGTAATCCACTAAAAAACACTACAGGCTCACTGGTGTAGTGGTAGGCTGTGG
This sequence comes from Homo sapiens, assembly GCF_000001405.40. Lineage (NCBI taxonomy): Eukaryota > Metazoa > Chordata > Mammalia > Primates > Hominidae > Homo > Homo sapiens. Next base: position 66,791,480 of record NC_000004.12, read on the forward strand.
TAGAGGAAAGTCATCTATAGTCTCCCAATTAAGTCTCCTCTCTTAGTAGAACCATGTCTGGGAGGTGTTTCACACTTCACAAGTGTTTCTGTCCCTCCTACACAAATACAGAGGTTTTTTTTTTTTCCTTTCTCATCTTTTACTCTTTTCCCTGGATAATGTTCCAGATTTACTTTCTTGCATCCTGGTGACTACATTTCAATGTTTCCCCTCCACCTCTTAGGTATGACAGAAAGGCTAGAAGAACACAGGTAGAAAAATATTTCAGCATTGCCCTATGAGAAGCCTTTTTCTCAGAGTTGCCCTTTGTTATAGAGAAGAATCTGGGAGGATTATATCAACACTTTGGCTACTCTCCCAATACCCCTGCCAAAGGCTTGAGGGCATTTCTATCAGATCTTCACTGTAAAAGTCTGATGAGGTTCATGGAAAAAAACTCCATGACAGTGTGGAAACTCCCGTGATTGAAGCCCCCAGGTATTTCTTATTCTTAGCTTATACATGCTCCACCTCCGGCAATTCACTCAAATTATTAATGAAGTTGTCCTACTGCTATGGCTTCCAGTGGCTTCCACTCCATCTAAGCAGAGTTCAAGTACTGTATCTCTCTCAATGTGCCTGTCTCTTCAGATTTTGTCGTGGCAGTTTTCTAGGATCTCAGTCCTTTGTGAGTCCATGAAAAGTTGAAGGATTTCAATTTGTCTAGCCTTTATTTGTTGACATTCTATGCTATTCACACTACCTGGTTCACCATATTATATGATTTCAGATGTGCCAATATTTTAAAACAAATTGCCTTTAATTGACAGAATTATCACTTGCAATTTCATTCTTTGCATAACTATAAAGCTTTACTTTTGCAGCATACAAACCACTAACAGGTCACTGAATTAACACAACTCTTGATTTGTTTTCTTTTTCTATTTTAACTTTCTTTCCTCATATCATCCAACATTTAAAAAAGAAAAAAAAGCATGACAGTCAATTCCTGTTACTCCTGAATCTTTTACTTACTAAAATTGAAGTGATGTCTTCTATTATTTCCTATCAAAATGAATGATGAATACAAAATTGGCTTTGAAACTGATGTCTGGCCAACACAATCATTGGTAATACAAAAGCATTAATATGATACATGCCTAGGGCTGCAAGTTCATCTAAAATACAATGTTCCAGAAGACGGATTAGAGAAGGAGAAGAACCATTCCATGTGGGCTCTGTCATCATAATTCATCATGCTGTCCTGGACAATTGAAGGACATTTCTGTTATTTCTTGCTACTTGCATTTAAATCCAAGTCAACAAGTCTGTTTCTCTGGAGCGCATTCTGATAAATCTTCCCCAATAATTCCAACTTACTTATCTCCACTAAACCAGGAAAATGTGTACAACCCAGAAAACGAGGGGTTAAAAAGATGGTGAGCACAATGGCCTCTGGGTGACACTTCAGAGTGCAGGATTAATAGAAATTAATTCTAATTTCTATTGTTTAGTAATGATTGGAGTTAACGGATGGGGTGGGTTGGAAATAATTAAAAGTTTAACTGGGAAGTGATTTGCATCACCTCCACCTCAGCAAAAGATTTAAATTAACTTTAAAAATCACTGAACGATTCCGAAATGCCTTTTAGGAATGGTCTCACTATGGCTTTAACCAATTTTCAGAACGTCTACAGCTCTCTAGTTTTGTAGTTGACAGTTATATCTTCTTTTTGTTCCTTGTTGGATAATTGGAGCATATTCATTATATTTTTATTGCTGTCTGGCTTTTAGTGGTCTTCTCACTTGAGTCACTGTTCTTTCCTTTTAGAAAGCCAAAAGATAGCAGAAACATACTATTTCAGACCCACATAACAATAGTAAAGTAATCGCATATGTGAGAAAAATGTTCTGGATTTGTGACTCACCCAGTTTACACATAGGTATTCTGAGTAAGCCCCCACTTGACAAGCCCATCATGGTTAAATGATACATGGTATCTTATTAAGGAAAGTCTATGAATTATCTAGTGAAATTAAGTTAGAGAAACAATAACTTTAGGCAGATCTGATGTTAAATCTAGCCATTTTCTAGACTATCAAATTAAGATACACGTTTACACATTAAGGTAAGACTCATCCAACAATAAGATTCATCCCTTACATAAAATAAATCTGTAGATCAAATTCTACTTTAGAGAATTATAGCCTTCATTTCTATTAACCCCTTCTAATATCCTCTTCTGAGACAATTGCCTTCTCTCTCTGACACCCAAAATCACTCTAAACTTCCTTCCTGAATACTCACATCCACAGGCTAAGTCTGTGAAAATACATTTTTTTTAGTTTAACTGAACACTCATGAAGTGCTAGATGCTTTACATGCTTTAGTTCATTTAAGCTTTACTACCTAGTAGCTTAATGATGAAGAAAGTGAGAAACAGAAATTTTGGGTAACCTGAAACAGGCACACATCTAATGAGCAGTTTATCTACAATTAAAATGGAGGTATTCTGCCATATCCTGATGCCCTCTTCAACCTTCCTCGGCTATCCTGTTTCATGGATGGATACTCAGGATATGAAAAGTCATAAACCAAGAAAGAAATAGGTAGGTTTTGAATATAAAGTAACTATATTTCTGTGCAATTTCTTACTGTTCATAGTAAGAGAGTTATAAGACATTCAGTTTGGAAGAAGTATACCACTGGATTTCTTTGCATGGTGAAAGTAGAAAGTTTTGTTTTGCGTTAGTAGAAAATTGCATTAAAAATATACAAACAAATAAAAAGTGTCTTAAGTGTTAATTGAGTGATGCTGCCATGACAACTTTATAATCTTTGCAAAGCTTTTTTATTAGAAGCCTCTCTAAATTGCATATCATGGTAGAAATAAACTAAGCAAATAAATTATTTCTCTTATTACAGGAATGTATGATATCGAGGACTCATTTTCACTTTGAGATTTTAAAGTAAGCATATAGATAGCATTAAGATATGAATAAACATGAGTGATAGATTGAGTTGTCTAACAGCCAGCCTCAAGTAGAAAAACCAACTGACTTGAACAAAGGATCTCAGCAGAGGGAGATTTATGTTATTCAGCTGAATTACATTCCTTTATAGACTGTTGCAGATGGGCTGCAGGAAAAGCAGCCATCTATCCGATTTAAATAGACTGTGTGCTAGTACTATAGATATACCATTAATTCATTGCTGGGTTGCTGTAGGCATGGAACTGGCTTTGTTCTTTGACAGTCTCCCTCAGATTAAATAGAAATGCTATTTACCAGAGTGTCAAATAAATAGGGTCCATATAACACTCTAATCAAGTTGCAATGACATTACATATTTAAGCCTCAATATTGAAAATGGTCAAGTCAGCAGATACTTACACTCTGCAGAACTCTGTCGACCACTGAAAGCTACTTGTCATTTTCCACATAGCTATTATCTTCTATATGTAAATAATAATATTGATACCTTTAATCTTTAATCTGTGCTGCATATTGTAGTTATGATGCTGATTCTCTTTTGTATAGACTCTCTTCTTTAATTTTTTACAAGTTTCTGAAGTATTATTATCTTAGATTTAGGGATAATAAAATTGCATAAGAGAAATTAAGCAAGTTGTCCGAGGTTATAAAACTAAGAAGTGAAAACCTAGAATTCAAACACAAATATATTGTCTCTAATTCCAATATTCTTTCCATGGCATGTTGTTATGTGTTCTGGAATGGGGTTACTATAAATGAAGTATATTATGTTCTAAGTTGTGAGTAAAGCATACGTAAAAGTAACTATAATAGGAAAGTTGTAAGTTGTGAGTAAAGCATACATACAAGTAACTATAATAGGAAAAAATTACTGCAGGCATTAAGTATAGCTACATTCTTGAAGCATTTCTAGTGTCTCACTTACCCATGAAGTCATAACATAAAAGGATAGTGTTGCCTTAAAGTAACTCATGGGCAAACCGCTCTCAATAGCTTGGAATAATTAGAAACCTGGACTTAATTTTGAATACTAATAGAGATTGTTGTCTTCAATCCTATGTTACTAAACATACTTGCTTACAGGCAGGCCACACAATCTATATGAAAGTACTTTCGGTCTCTTTTACACATATGGGTCTGAGAGGAGTGGGAACATATTGAGCTAATGTGATCAAGCACTGAAGTTAGTTACTAATTGGAATTATTCTGATATTAAGACCAAAAGGTAAAAACTTAAACAGTTTTGATGTTAGAAGAGATACAGAGTTCACTGAAATGTTTTCAAAGAGTGGATATGACAGTCTGATATTTATAAAAGCATGTATTTCCTGAATTAGATCCGACACTTTACAATTTAAAGCATTAATGATTCAGTATCTGCATTTCCAATTCAACTGGCAGCACATTGTCTTCACTCCGCATTCCCATTACAGGGAGATGATCTGTCAACATTTAACGCTACACACAGACAAATCTTCACCTGCAATTTCATTCTCAAATGACTTCATACTAATGAGTAAGTATCAACACTTCAATGCAAAACCTCATTTAGGATGCATGGTGACCAGAATGATGAAATCATTCTTTTGTAGGTAATCAGTGGATTTGATAGAAAAAAAAATACTTGTTCTGCCCAGTTAAGCCAGACCCTAGGTAACCAGATGTTTGGCATACCAATTGACATTCTAGTGCCTAATAAATATATATAGCCTGGTTAGAATTTCATGGAAATGACTTCATTTTAAAAAAGAGATGACTGGAACAAGTTTTAAAATAGGCTTATCAGAGGGCACAAGCTATTCAGTTTCCTCCTTCCCACAGGGTTCTTATATGTAGTTCATTGCAAAACATAATACATATTTTTGATATTCTCTTTGTTATCAACAAAGCACAACATACTAAATAAAGCATTACTATATTATTTAAAATAAATGTATTTCTCAAAAATGTGAAAAAATTAATTTTTTTACATTAGAAAAAATATACATTTCTTCTTCATTTTAATTGACCTTTGTCATCTCTTCAATTCTTGTACTGACACGTAAGGCCAGACCCAAGCAATTTACTCATGTTTTGTAATTTTGAATTGAAAAAGTATTTATCAAATATTTGTATATGCCTAGCATTGTGCCAAATATTTGAGAAACTTAAAAAAGAATACAATTTTCTAGGCCCTCTAGAAGTTCACAATATTGTGTTAAGACATATGTCTATCATATAACACAGGGAAAAATGTTATCATATCTCAAATTTGTGACAGAAACAGTTAAGTGCAATGAAAATTACCTAGGAGGAAGATGGGATGGAGAACACTGAAGTTCAATTTTACTCCTAAATTGACTAAATTCCTCTTACTATTTTCTAAACAAACTCTTTTTACCACCCATATTATGTATGCATTTAAGGAAAGTTAAAAAAAAATACAAAGTCTTTTTTTGACAATGAAAAGGTAACTGAGTGGTTTATATATTCACCCCCAACACACACATATGATCCCATAATCAAATCCATACAAATCAATACGTCTTTTTACCAATTATAATCACAAAGTTAATCCTGAAAATAGTGTGTGAGATGTAATTTTCATTATAATAAAACATAACATAAAAACACTTTATTTCATGAAGATGTGCACACTTACATGAAATATACCATTTGAATATGTGTGTTTACATACACACATATGTATAAATCTAATGTGTGTGTGTGTGTGTGTGTTTGCATATCTGCGGGCATGTTGGTTTATTCTGAGACACTAATTCTCCACTTTACCTTACAGATCAAAACATTATATAGATGCCTTGATGAAACTTAAGCCAAAAAAGCATAACAAAGTGGTAGCAAATTAATGATTGGCAAAAAGTCATGAGGAATATTTTACGACAATTAATTTTTGAATTATTACAATTGTAACTAACAGTACTATTTTCTATATCAGCTTCACTGAAATGAACCTCAGAAGTAAAAACAAAACCCTCTTTTCTTTTCTCTGGTGTAAGCAACTCCTTGGAAATGGATTAAGTAAACATGAGCCCTGTGCATTTGATAAATATGTATGTCTTATTTCTCCTTTCCCACTGCTTTCCATCCAGCTGCAGCTGGGAACCAAGCAATAAATACTATTTATTTATTTTAATAGTATGCTTAGTGGAAGTATTACCAATATTTCCTATGCTTAAAAACATCCCCAAATGCATTTTGTGTTAGGCTCAGCATTTTCATCGTAATTTACAACTTAAAAGGGTAAATTCTATTACTCTATGTCAAACCAACAACTGGGTAAGTGCAGAATGTTACCCTGTGAACTATGACCAAATTTATTGCTGCAGTCATTAGTACATATTGATTCTGCTTATAACAACCCAAAGGGAATAGTAAAGCTATTATGCTGGTGTTTGGTCTCTCTCTCTCTGAGAGGAGCCAGGCTTGGCACAGCCAAGTTTCAAGAAACATCCAATTAGTTCAGCAATCAATGCTGCTCCTTTTCTTTTGGCTATTATTAATACAACTAGTCAGTGACATAAACTTCTAGATCTCGGACTGTCTTACAATCAAATCTGAGCAACACTACTGCTTTTTTGCAAAGGCAAATTTATTCTATCACTTTTGAAGTCATACTTTTTTTTTATGGTAGGATGAACAATTTTTTTATTATCTACATTGTCATTGACAAACAATATCTAACTGAATTTCTTTTTTGTTTTCCTCTTAAGATGTGCTTTCCCTTCTGCTATATCTGTTATCTTTGTTACCATCACCTTAGCTTCCAGTTATTGAGAACTTACTATGTGCCAGATACTGCTTACAACTCCAGTCTTTGCTCAATCAAATCCACCCAGTTGCTTTTATTCATTCCATGAATATGTAGGATAGCATGATGGTTTTGCAGTCTCTGTAGGCATTATTATAGGTGGAACCTTTTGCAAAGCCTGCATTTTAAAAGATTCTGAAATACTTTTGTGGGTGTCCTGTTTCAGATGCTAGAAAGATGCTAATGGACCCTTCTGACTTTCTTTTTGGTGCTTCTCTTAGGCAGCATTTTCAAAAGATCACTAACTCATACATGGGCTTTACCTCTCTAGATGAAGTTGCACGATGTCAAGGTAAGCAAATGACCCTTGCTTCTTTTCAGGGTGAGAGATGACATGCATTGATTTCCAAAGAAGTTCCCAGATGATGGCTGAAACGCAGACTTTGAATTGTTTTTGCAATTATTAAAATAAGAAAAACCAATAATATATGAAGTCTTTATTTTTTTTTTAAATAGTTTCTCTGGTATCTTTAGTAAGTTGGTTCTGACCTACACAAATGTCATTTGTTCGTAAGGGCTGTATATGAATTACTTCATTTAATCCTTCTAAGGATTTTATGAGGTAAGTCTTAATATTATCTCCATTTAACACATTAAAAAAATGATGCCTAGAGGAGCTAACCAATCTGCCCATAGTTAGGTACCTAATAGGCCACAGGGCCAGGTGTGATTCTCCTTTCAGGGCCTATGTGCTCAACAAGTGTACATATTTCCATTGGTTTCCATTCTGAGGCCATGGTGGAACCATAAATTTACCTTGCATCCTTTGGCAGTTGCAGATAGAAATTTCCTTAAATAAGTTTCTTGTAATGCTAGAACTGCTTTGGCAATATTGGCCCAATATTTCCAGAGGGATGTTGTCTAAGAAAGCCTTTCTAAATGCAACTTGCAATCTCCTGTTCTTCAGGTCATACGAGGACAGCTCTTCACCTGTATGACCACCTTGAACTTTTCACAATAGGACATGAAGGTGTTTGTTTTGTTTTGTGGCTTGCAGTCCCCACAGCGTGTCACAGAGGAAGTGATATGGAACTATTATCAAAAGCAGCTTTTGTGTCCCATCCGCATGAGTGGGGAATGAAGGGCTTTGCAGCGCATTTCTTTTTTTTTTTTTGTTTGTTTGTTTTTAAATGACTATAAATCATGCTGCTATAAAGACACATGCACACGTATGTTTATTGCGGCATTATTCACAATAGCAAAGACTTGGAACCAACCCAAATGTCCAACAATGATAGACTGCATTAAGAAAATGTGGCACATATACACCATGGAATACTATGCAGCCATAAAAAATGATGAGTTCATGTCCTTTGTAGGGACATGGATGAAATTGGAAATCATCATTCTCAGTAAACTATCGCAAGAACAAAAAACCAAACACCACATGTTCTCACTCATAGGTGGGAATCGAACAATGAGAACACATGGACACAGGAAGGGGAACATCACACTCTGGGGACTGTGGTGGGGTGGGGGGAGGTGGGAGGGATAGCATTGGGAGATATACCTAATGCTAGATGACGAGTTAATGGGTGCAGCGCACCAGCATGGCACATGTATACATACGTAACTAACCTGCACAATGTGCACATGTACCCTAAAACTTAAAGTATAATAAAAAGAAGTCATACTTTTTCTATGTGAAATCATTTGATAATTTGTTTTCTGTAAAAAAAAAAAAAAGGCATTCAAATTCACAATACAATACTGCTATGCACTAGGTAGTTTCTCATAAGCTCTTTTATTTCTACATCTTAGGCATCAACATTTTACATTCATGTTAACCTGGATGGGCTCCCACTGAATCCTGGTAAATATATTTGGAAGTCAATTTGCAGAATCTAACTTTTGTTTTTATAATAGAAAATCAAATTGTAGGCCTTTTAAAAAGAGAAAACTCCTGCTATCACTCCCACACCAAACACAAGCCTCTCTTTTACTATTCTTGCTTGTTCTTTTCCAGAAAGAGTAGATTTTTCTGGTTGGTAAGATTATAGAATACTGATCCACCTATACTAGTGATCCACCTGTACTAGTGATCCACCTGTACTAGTGACCCACCTACAGTAGAGGTCACAGAGCTGAGTTTGCTTAGTTGTGGTTAAATGTGAGCTTTGAGCTTTCACTTCCATCAGTGAAAAATTAACAATCTCAACATTTAGATGTAGAGTTAAGGGAGTGCAGAGTCACCCATATCTCTTTGGGCTGTGACATGTGCATCAAATCCAGTTTTACAGAGCTCTGTACTAAGTACACACTTGCCTCCCAGCTGGCATTGTTTCTTGTGTACAAAGAATCCACAAGATTCACATAACACATGATTGACTTCGCTAAGGCAAAATTTTGTTATTTTGTGAGGACTCCTGTTTAATAAAATCCAATATGCATCATATAATTAAAACCTAATCTTTCTGCCCCAACAAAACAAAACCTATAACCTGCAGTTGAGAAAACAATTTGAATGTAAGAAATGTAGTGACTTTTATCCAGGTCTATGACAATATTTCAAATCACTATCAACTAGAATATACCTGATGGACAAACAATGGGCTGCAGGACAAATCCCGCTGTGCTTGTTTTTGTAAATAAAGTTTTATTTGAACACAGCCATGCTCTTTAGTTTACTATTTTTTTTTGCTGCTTTTGCATTACAAAGGCACAATTGAGACAGAAACTACATGTTCTGCAAAGCCAAAAATATTTACCATTTGGTCCTTAACAGAAAAGTTTGCTGACTCCTGGACTATGTCATACTTTATATAATGCTGCATATTAAAGTTCCTAGAACAGTCCATAACACATAATAGCTACTCGTTAAGTTTCGTTGTATGAATGAATGAATATAATATAAATCTTTTTTGTGCATTTTACAGATTTGTAGGAAAAAGCTCTGCCTTAGAGATTGTATTAGTCCATTTTCACACTGCTATAAAGGCATACTTGAGACTGAGTAATTTATAAACAAAAGAGGTTTAACTGACTTACAGTTCCACATGGCTGGGGAAGCCTGAGGAAACTTACAGTCATGGTGGAAGATGAAGGGGAAGCAGTCACCTTCTTCACAAGGCAGCAGGAGAGAGAGCATAGGGAGAATGCGCTCTCCAGGAACTTATCAAACAACCAGATCTCGACAGAACCCCCTCAGGATCACAAGAAGAGCATGGGGGAAACCATCTCCATGATCCACTCACCTCCCACCAGGTCCCTCCCTCAACACATGGCGATTACAACTGGAGATGAGATTTGGGGGAGGGGAGACATGAAGCCAAACCATATCATAGGTGGACTTAAATCTATCTTTCTTTTTGCTCTCCTTCCCTGGGTTTTTCCTTCCTTCCCTCCTACCTGCCTGCCTCTTTTTTCCCTTTTCCTAGCTGAAGAAAGAGAAAAGAGATTAGCAGTGTCTATTTTTGGGACTAAAAAAGGTAACCCAAAATGGAGGACTCAGAAACTGCCTCAGAAAGCAGAAGTTTTCTCTTACCTTCTCCTGCCCTCCTGTCTCTCATTCCAATTCTCCCCTGAGGCTAGCCATAGAAATTAGAATCCCTCTTCCCCAGAGTGGGTCATAAAACCCAGAACCACTTTTTCCCCAAAGCCAGCCATAAAACCTAAAAATATTACCCTAACTTACCCTCTGCTTTTCTGTGTAAAAACTGGCCATAAAGAAATTATCTGACCTACCTTGTTTTACTGTAAGTCCTAAGACTCCCATTCCAGAGAGGGTCCTGCCAATACCCAGAAGGAAGGAGTGCATGCTCCCAGAGGCCAAGAAGAATCTAGACAGACAGGCCTTGCTGGGTTTCCCCACTCAGTCTGTAGCATTAGGTCATGTGCTTTTCATCCAATCATATTTCTACATAGCTGTTTGTAGTTTGTTAAACCTGTTACCAATACACCAGGATCTTTGGTCTAGGCCTTGCTGCTCACCACACAGAAAGCCAATGACTAAGATTGCGAGTATTGCCAGGGAAGAAGGCTTTAATCAGGTGCTTCAACTGGCGATAGAAAGCTCAGTTTCAAACCCATCTCCCAAAACAACTAAAACCAGAGGTTTACATAGCAAGGAAGAAATGTAACAACGTGTAAGAAAACAGGAACTAGGGAGGGGCAAGGAAGCAATCATGATGAATGAAGGGTCTGGCATCTCATTGGATGTGGTGATCTGGTGAGTTTCAGTTAGGCAATAATTTTTTTGAGAGGCCTGAAGGCCATTTCCTAAGGAAGGAACTCAGATGAAATAAATGTAAGCTTCAAGTTTTAAGACCAGAAAGTTTCATTTCTAAGGCTATCCAAAAAGCAAAAACAAAACAAACAAACAAAAAAACAAGATTATTGGGTCAGTTTCAAACCTAAGCATAAAAATAGACAATGTCCCCTATGTCTTTGGTTCTTCATTCTGAAGGCCACCATATACACTTAATGAATATGTATACCTTTTATTTGATTAATCTGTCTCTTGTCAGTGATTTTCAGCAAACCTTTAGAGGGCAAAGGGGAAGTTTTCGCTTGGGCCCTACACTATCCTGCTTGAAATTCAGAGAAATGAACGTGTACCACACAGGCAGAGCCTACCTGCCTCAAGCATGCCAGCAGACTCATCACCCTGGGAATACCTCAGGGAGCCAGTGTCAGATGATTCCCCACACACTCTTATGTATACTCGGCACATGCCCTTAGATGCCCTCTTCTACCATTCTAGTCACTAGACCATTTGTGTCATAAAATGCCTAAACAAAAGCTTATTTAATTAGAAGTCTCAAAAAAAAATTAGAAGTCCCTGCCATTGTCATTTGTCACAGACTCATGTGACGGCTAATTTGCCAACTTAAATGTTATATAGGTGATCATACTTAATTGCAACTTTGCTTCATGTTCAGTTTAGCATTTCACATTACACAGCCTTAATGTTTTTCATGGGAGAAGTAATAAAAGATAAAGAGAGCTAGGAGGAAATAAAAAGGATGAGAGGTGGGAAGAATAAGATTAATAAGAATGCTATAGCTATAGTTTTTTTGAACTGTCTGCAAATATAAAAGAGATAATCACTTCTCCCCAAAATGCTACATCATTTTTTTAGCTTTCAAAATAAATTAAATCATAAGCAATTTATCTTTTCTCTGCTGCATCATTTGGATGTTTATTTTCCTACATGGTTATATTCAGTTCTTGAATCATTTAATTTTGAATCAACTCATTATGTCAGTTTTCATTACAGTGGTGTATATGCACAACAAATGGAACTAAAATTAAACTAAGGAACCCAGACATAATGCCAAGTAATAGTCCTGACAGAGCTGATTGGAAGTTTGGCTATAAACATTTACCACGTGAAAGGGCACAGAAGTTGTTAAACACAAACTCCATAAGTTCGGTCAAAGCTTATTTATTTAACCATATTCTTCCTCAACTTACTCGGACTTTGATTTTTACAACATTGAAGGAGGAATTTTCAATATGTAAAAATTGTCCCTAGAGTTTATAACCCTTGTTATAAACTGTTATAAGTGGTAGGAATTGGCTAAATAACTTCTGAAGAACAGAAACAAAAAATGACTCTTAAATTTTAAAAGTCATTTGGAAAGTGTTTAAATGCTATCTTTAATAGCTCTTTGAAAATTGATATATGACTATTATAATTTAAAACATTCTCTAATGCACAGTCCAAACATGACCCTGAGACCATGTTTATCATTTAAATGACAAAAGGTATGTACTATGTACACTGCTTTAAATTTAGTTATTGGCTTCTAAAGGGATAGAGTGAGGCGGGTGAAGCGGAAAGGAATTATCACTTAATTGATTATCAATATATTTGTTAATATGTAAAATGTTGGAATTCAGAGTCAATTTATTTCTACCATGCACCTGAACACTATCATGCTTTTGGTATATATGTTTTCAGTGCAAAATAAAGGTTGGTATGTTAGAACAACATAACTATATATCCCATTTCCCAATTATTCCTTTATTATACCTCTATAATATACTATTTTTCTGAAAAAAAAAGAAAAAATATTTATTAAGATCATATGTCTCATGACATTTTTAATGGAATATGAATTTACAAATAAAAAGTTGGTGTGAAAAATGTACAAATTCTGAACAGTTTTTAAACTTAGTTTTTAAAAGTCACTTTTTAAAGCCCCTTGAACACATCCATCTGTCAGTTCAAGATGGCATCCTCTAGGACTCTCGCATAACATTTACATCATTTCAATTTTATGTCTAAATATGTTGATTGTGCCTCTTAAAAGGACACCAGTATACAGTGTCCTTGTATTTTATCTGCCTGGATTTCTGTTCCCCAGGAAATATATTATATGACCTCTGATTAGCAGAACCTTTGATGACTCGTCTTATTTATTTGTTCCTCCAACCACATAAAAAAATGTTTATGGAGGATCTGCTTCATTCTGGGCACTATTATACACACTGAAACAGAAATAAATGAGACAAATCAGTCTAGTAGAGATGTATAAATGATAATAATAATGCAGACAGCTAATGGCAAAATTAAAAATATATGCAAAGAACAATGGCAACACCATGAATGAGGAATTAAATACGTGGGGACTACTTTTTTGTTCAGCCCCTTTTAATGCTAGCTTCCCAAATTTACCTTCCAGTAATGGGATTCTTCTGGCACTGCTAAGTAGCAAATCTGAGGCCTATTACTATTAATGCTTGTTTCCTTACATCTCCAAACATACTGCATTTTGTATAAGGTAAATACTCAAAAAATATTCATTGCTATTGATACTCATTTAAATGATTTACTGAAACAATGTTGGTAAATAAAGAAACGTATCAGCATAAGAAACGGACAATATGTGAAGGAGCTGTCCAGGATTAACTGCCTAGACTCAATCACTGCCTTCCTAGCTCATAACATGTAGCAGATTCTTCCTGCCTGGCTAGACTTCCCCAATTCTGCCTTCACTTGGCCAGATTTGCTCTGCTGGTATGTTTCAGTCCCTCTCTAGTTTCTGAGCCAGTTACTGGCATGTTTAAAATCCTTATTTTAAGTTATACGTGTCTTGAAATTGAAAGATAAGACTTCTGGAGGATACTTAAGTAAATTTAATTTATGTCCTGCCTTTTGAAACCCCAAACAACTCTAAATTAACATCTTATTTGGCAGGCCTATAATTACAGAGGAAAGTCAGCTTTCAAAGGCATTGCTCTTAAAAATATACATCCAACCACTTAAGTAATGACTTGCCTTGAGAAAGTAAGAATTGCTGAGCTGTCCTTGAACCACATTGACAATTTCTCTCAGCAATGACCTGAAGACAAGATGTGCACTCTGAAAGGGGATTGCCACAATTTTTAATCTGCCTGGGTTTCTGATCAGGCAAAATATAAATCATTTAATCAGCTCCCAACTGAGCATCAGGTACAACTAGTATAAATTTTCCTTCATAAAAGTTTCATCAAAGCTGGGGATGGCTGCACTGCCTTACCTTTTGCTAGAGAAATTATAGCCTGCAAAGATTGGCTGGTAGTCATATGTGATTGATAGGCTTGGGGTGGATGGCCTTCATGCATAGGAGTTCAAGTCTAAATGGCCTTTGCAGCTACTTTCATCTTTCCCTTAAAATAATGCTTTGCTTCACTTACTGCAAAGGAAAAGGCTGCTAACAATCGTTTTTCTTTTTTTCTTTTTTCTGAAAATGCTCTCACTTCCATCAATTTACAGCTAGAGAAAAATTGGCAGGCACAATCTTCAATATGGTAATTGTTTCTTATAAGCCAGCACACCTATAGGAAAAGCTAGAAGATTGAAGAGAATCATCACTCTCTACCTAGCTTTAACTGAGATTTCTGAGATGAATATTATTAAATTATATGGGTTCTCGTTAGCCATTTTATACATCTGGTATAATATCTGTGTGATTTTAAGATGGAAAGTAACTCCAACCAAATGAAGAAAATGTGAAGTCAGAAACTTTCTTAATTAGATCACTAATTCTCTTTACTTTTTAACTTTTGTGATATTAGAACTTATACCATTTCAAATGGAAAACATCATCTAAAATATCACAAATGCTACTCAGAATGAGAGTGCAGAGTGATAAATTCCTGAATAACAAGAGTCCTAATTATGAAATATTGAAAGCCAAGTGATATATCTTTCAAGTATTGGTCACAGCAAGAACTAAGACATAAATCAGTGCTAATAAGTAAACACGTAAGTTAATTTTAAGGAGTCTAATTTTCAGGAGACTTACATCACTCATAATGTATTTCAACTTAAAAGCCCTATCATTTCATGCTTTCAAATCAAGTGTATGAATTGCCTTACATTCCAATCCCATGTCATTTAATTTAATGTGTTCTTGCTAAATTATAGTAAGACTCAAAGTAGGGCAAATAGGTATAGAAATATTTAATTCAAATATTAAAAGTTAAATATAAAAGACTGGTGATAAGGTAAATGTTAAAGAATGTATTTCCCTGGAAACAAGATTTCTATATTCTGCAAGGTATCAGCAATCAATCAATTAAAATTCACTAACACAAATGAATGAAGTGCCTCAAGTATCCCCAGCCACAGATGAACTGTTGCATCAGAACAATTATTCTAGCTGGTAACAGAATTAAATGTCCCCTCAGATGGAAAAGTGGAAAAACATGTTATTACACATTTGGCCAAAAAGAAAAAAAAAAAGGAATCTCTGATGATGATGTTAAGCAGGTGGGGCTAAAATTTCTCTTAAAACCAAGAACAGGGCAAGTTCTAATCCCAGAATCCTCAGAAAGTCAATCACGATCAACTTTTCAATTATAAATTCAATCAATTGTAGATCACTTGCAGGGCAACTGTTGCCTTCACATACTGTACACCACAGCTAAACCCTTGAAATTTCATTAAGTCCTAAAAACAATAGAATTCTGGAAGCTTCCAAAGGCAACTTTATCTCAAAGTCTTAAATGTGAGTAGTAACTTCATTCAGGACTCCCTAATCCAGAAAACCAATATTCAAATATTTATCCACAGGGTCTTTCTTAGTTTTCTCCAACTTTAGTGTAAACAAAAATTACCCACAGATTAATTCAAATCTCTTCCCAGAGACATGAATAAGTTGGCCTGGCCTGGGCCGCTGTCACACAACTCTTCAAAGACGCCTGACAGAGATGTGTTGATGCTGTTATAAATCTATATAAAAATAACAATAAAATAAAACAAAGGATCGTCAACATAATATAGTCATGCCTTGCTTAACAGCAGGGATACATTATGAGAAGTGCATCCTTAGGTGATTTTGTCATGTGAATATTGTGTTAGTGACTCTTTGAGGCTAGCACACATGGTAAAGAATTTACCAAGACAGGAATGAGTTTAGACAGGCATATTTATTAAAGAAAGGGGAGATACATTGCAAGGATGCAACTGACAAGACAGCAGAAGGAAGGCTGTCAGTTGTCTCAAAGAGGCAGGGACTGGATGGGGAGTTCTATAAGGCTATGCTGCTTTAGCTGAATGCTACAAACAGGATGCTTGGATGCAGGGTGCTGGGAGCTGAGTGCTTATAACAGAATGCTTAGATGTTAGTGAGCTGCTTATGGTTCACCCCATTTCTCAAACATTCATTCATCTCTTCCTGTTTCTGTTTTTCCCAGCTAAGCTCATTTTTCAATTTTCTTTTAACTCCTTGGGGCACCACAAACATCGCAGAATGTACTTAAAGCAACCTAGATGGTATAACCTACTACACACCTCAGCTATATGGTACAGCCCATTGCTTTAAGATTACAAACCTGTACAGCATGTAACTATACTGAATACTGTAGGCAATTGTAATACAATGGTAAGTATTTTTGTATCTAAACATATCTAAACAGAAAATATACAGTAAAATTACTGTAAAATCCTATGGGTCCACTGTCATCTATGAGGTCTGTTGTTGACCACGTCATTTTGCAGTGCATGACTATACATTCTAGATGTTCATTCTTGTAGAATAGTGAATAAGGAAGAAAATAATTGATTTGATGGAGAAAATGTACATCTGATCTCCGGTATGATTGGCCACAGTGAATGGGCAAAAAAGAGTAAATCTAGAAATCTAAAAACAATGGATATCAAAACCAGTTTGAGCTTGATTCACTTATGACCTTCATATCCTCCATGCTCCCTCCTTCCACAGAGCCTGTCCATATCTATGTCCTCTCCCTATAATGCTCTTTCCACTCATCATCACATGAGCACTTGTATATACTTCATTTTTTTTAAGTGTAATTTCCCATGGGGAATGATTCCTGTCCTTACTTCTAAGGCCAAATCAAAATATTATAGACAGGCATAAACCATATAGCTTTTCTTCCTAGCTTGCCATGGGTAAATTTTACATTTTTAGTGATTACTTGATTAAAATTATTTTTTATATAACATAACGAAATCCATTTAATTTACTTCCAGTATTCTTAGCTCTCAGCACAATACTGGACACATAGTATTTCTGGGATATATGAATTGAGAGGAAGTATGCTCATGTATGGGGAAATAAAACTCTATGACCCCAAAGAGAGAAACTGAAGTAAACCCAAACTGGTAATTGAAATGATACGAGGAAAAACGTAACTTTCCAGTAACATAACTTTTCAGTCTCAGGAGGCTTTTACATTCTTAACTATTACTGAGGACCTCAAAGGGCTGATGTTTATATAGGTTATATTTATGAATATTTACCCTGTTTGACATTAAAACTGAGCATGAAAATATATATTTATTTATAAATTTACTTAAAATAATACAAATAAAATAGACCCAGCTTATGATAACATAAACAACATACTTTAATGAAAAATAAAGATATTTTCCAAAATGAACAAAAAAAAACTACTAAGAGTAGTGGCTTTATGTTCATGCAATCTCTTTAATATTTGGCTGAACAGAAGACAGTTGGATTCTCAGATCTCCCTCTACATTCACTTAGCTGCAACATCACACTTCACGTAGCCTTTGGAAAACTCCACTCATAAGAAAATTAGAGGAGAAAAAGAAAAACAGTTTTGTAATATATTATAAAAATAATTTTGATCTTGCTGGCTCAAGAAAATATCTCAGATACCCCCAGAGATCCCTAGACCACACTTTAAGAACTACTGATACAATTCATCCTCCAAATGGAGACACTTTTGAAAATGAAAGTATATTATAATAATCATTGTAGAATATCAATCATAAACAAGGGATATTGCTAATATGTATTAATTAATGGTTATATAAATATGCTAATTAAAATATCTTAAAATTCAAAACAAATATAGACTATATGGTGTATAATTTCTTACTACTAAACTATAAACTTCTTTAAAGTTGGATACATTTTTGTGTACCTACAGGAGCTAGCATAGTGTCTTCTACAAATTTGCTTTTCAATAACTATTTAATGAATGAAAGAATAAATGATTGTGTAAAGAAACAACTAAATGATAACTGTTATTACATGTTTCCCAGTCCTTATAGTCTGTTTTGAAATGGACAGGTGAGAGTGGTTTTAGAGTATTGTAGTGATTCTATCATAATATTCCCTACTTCCTCCACGTCAGTCAACTTTTCGAGTTATTTCAAACCAGTAAAGATAGAAGGTATGAAGCAGAATACAAAATCTCCAACACAGTATGATTGGAGAGGCACAGAGAACTTCAACCTGAATAATTATTACTCACTCTAAAAATGCTTGAAATATATTAGCCGTAGTCGATACGAATTATCATTCTTCCTTGTCTAAGCCAATTTTTAAATTGAATTATGCTTGCAAGAAACATTACATTTTTTTAAGTGAAGTAGACACTCAACCTTAACCTCAAATGTATTTAATATTTTTCTAGAATTTGTCCAAACATATATTTGTACACATGTACAGAAAATACATAGACATAATTCACCTAAATATAATCCTTTATTTAATCAACATAGAAAACTTCCTGAGTGTAAGATGGCCTTACATATTTTCTCTTCCCCAAAGATAATCTTAAACATAAAAGAATTCTTGGGTACTACATAGACTTAGGATGATAAGAAATGTTGGGTTCAGAGGTAGGTGATTTAATAAGTTGATAAAAACTAACTCAGCAAATAGAATTTCTTTACTAAGAAGAAAGCTGAAGAATATTAATGGTAGAATGTTTCTTAAATTTTATAATATATTTTTTCATATGCCCTCTTTAAAAAACACTGCTATAATCCTTTTGCAGGCCCAAGTCAATGAAGAACAAAGGTAAATGTGTCTCTTCATGAGTGTTTGGAATTTATTACTAGCTTTTGCTATATCATATAAATTAATAAGGATCATTTTCAGTTATTTACAAGCAGTTTCTAATTGAAACATTAAAATTATAAATAATATAGAAAAATAATTTTTAAATTTTTAATTTATGTTATTAATTTAATATGGGTGAAAATGGCTTATTCAATTTCTAAATAGTAACTGGGCATCTTAATTACCCTTTGGTTACAAGGAATTCACATGTACATCAAAGCTAGCTTTGAGCTGGGTGCAGTATTTCACACCTGTAATCCCAGTGTTTTGGGAGGCCAATGTGGGAGAATTGCTTAAGGCAGGAGGTCAAGTCCAGCCTAGGCAATATAGTGAGACCTTTTATCTACAAAAACTTTTTTTTAAGCTAGCTTTGAATATAAGTGACATAAGACATACACACAAAAAGCTAAAATGTAAGGCAGCAATCCAAAGTTTTGATTATTTCTGGAGAAAGGTGATATTACTTCTGGGTTTGGTCATCTAGGGAGAAGAGACATAGATTTAAGTCTTTGTTAGGAATCAAAAGAGAGTAGAGTAGCTGAATTATTCCCTTGAATGAAATGAACCAGGTAAAAAAATTATCTTTGGAGCAGTACCTGAATACAAATTTAATGGAAGGCTAACTTTGGGAGGATGGATTGTCAAAGTCAGTTTTTTCAGTTGTCTGGGTAGGAAATAGAGGTGTAAATATAGAGTAGCATAAGTGACAAAGAAAGATGGCAACATGAAAGGTGAAAGAATAAGAGAATTCACAGAGTTGTTGGTGGTCAGAATTTGGAGACAGAAAGAGATTCTAGCAAGGAAGGTATTCAGCATCAGATCTATTTATGAATATAATACATGGAAGGGAACCATGTTAGGTTGAAGATGTAGCCAGAATTTCAACTATGTGACAATATAACATGAATTTGTAGTAGACAGAAAGAAAAGTTTTATTCTTGTTTATATCTCTGGAATCTAGGATAGTTCTAGCAACTTAGCATACGCTTGAGAAATGGTTATTGATTGAGGACTAAATGTATGCTGTTTAGTCCCCAGCTCATGCTGGGTAGCAAGGGGTGTAAGTTTATAAAAACAAGTTAGAGTTAGACTACAGGAGCCTTGAATGTCCAGACAGATTATATTTTATTCAATTTCAATATAGCCTCTGTACTAGTCAAGGTTCTTAGACAGAACAGGTAGAAAGATTATACAGATAGGGCCGGGCACGGTGGCTCACACCGGTAGTCCCAGCACTTTAGAGGGCGAGGCGGGTGGATCACCTGAGGTCAGGAGTTCAAGACCAGCCTGGCCAACATGGTGAAACCCCATCTCTACTAAAAATACAAAAAAAAATTAGCCAAGCGTGGTGGCAGGCCCCTATAATCCCAGCTACTCAGGAGGCTGAGGCATGAGAATTGCTTGAACCCTGGAGGCAGAGGTTGCAGTGAGCCAAGATCGTGCCATTGCACTCCAGCCTGGGCAACAAGAGTGAAACTCTGCCTCAAAAAAGAAAAATAATTAATGAATTAAAAATTTTAAAAATATAGATAGCTGGAAGAGCAGGGACTTATTAGGGGAATTGGCTCACATGATTATGAAGGTTGAGCAGCCCCACACCGGGACATCTGTAAGCTGGAGAACCAGGGGAGCTGGTTGTATAGCTCAGTCCAATTCTAAAAGCCTCAGAACCAGGGAAGCCAATGATGTCAACTCAGTCCAGGGCTGAGAGAGCAGAGAGAGAGAGAGAGAGAGACAGAGAGAGCTAATTCATATTTCCTTTTTGTTCTATCCAGGCCCTCAGCCAATTGGATCATGCCTGCCCACAGTGAGGGAAATCTTCCCTACTCAGTCCACTGATTAAAATGCCAATCTCTTCCAAAAACACTCTCACTAATATACCCTGAAATAATGCTTCACCAGCTATCTGTGTATCCCTTAATCCAGTCATGTTTACATATAAAATTAACCATCACAATGTCATAAAACATTTTGAAAAATGAGTGACAGTTTAAAGAAATGCTTCAGGAAAATTCCTTCAACCACAAGTTGCATGCAGGATAGATTGGGGCAAGAGTTTTTAAGCCATAGGTGTCATTTCTATTGGGGAAAACTACTCATCTGGGAGGAAAGCACAAGGAGGAGACTAGAGAAATGAAATTTACTGAATTTCTTTGTGCCAGGCACTGCATGAAATACATTTGAAATATTTTCTGATTTCCTTGCCTTCCTCCAAAATGTTGTCATCCAAATTTTTTAATGAGGAATTTAAGGTTCAGATATATTAAGTAACAAAAGTTATGCAGAGAGTAAGAAGAAGATGTCATTTAATCCCAGTTTTACTCTAAAGCACATGCTATTTCTGCTGTAACAAAAGTTACAATCTTGGAAGTAGTTACTTCAAGGAAGCTAATTAGAAGACTTTATGGAAGAGCAAGAGTTTGAGCATCAGTTTTGTAGATGAAGATTGCCAGGAATTTTAGCTATGCTTGCCATTAAGATATGGAGTCTACTTATCCTCTCTTGGAACCTGTGTTGGGCCTGTGCCTCCTTTTAACAAATGGGATGTGACAGAAGTGATACTCTACAAGGCTAGATCATGAGCCCTGCAGCATCTGTCCAGGTCTCTTGGCTCATTCTGGGGAAGTCAGCCACCAAGTAAAAGTCTGACTCTCCTGAGATGACCATGTTATGAGAATCCGAGGCCACATAGAAAGAACTTGTAAAATCAGATAGATGCCATATGAGGAGATAGAAAGGCCATAAGGAGCAATGCTGAGACATGCAAGTGAGGACACATGTTTGCCAGTAGAACATCCAGCCCCAGCCACCCCAACTAGTCTCATGAGGATCAGGCAAAAATGGCCTGATAGAGTCCATCTCCCATTCTTGATTTCCTCAAATTGTAATAAAAATAAAATAGTTGTTTTGAGCTTCTATGTTTTAGAGTAAGTGGTTAAGCAGTATTAGGTAATGGGAAGAACTAGAGATAGTAAAAGTCACACTATGATTATTGACTTTTTAAAATAACATACCAAATGATGCTGAAGATCCCTGTAAACATTGAACTTCATTTTGATAATGTAATGATGGATAAAATGTTAAAACAAATTACTTCAATATGGTATAATCACACACACACACGCACACACACCAAGCAAGCTAAAAGAAGGAAGAAACAGCAGATGTAAACGAAATGTGAGGATAGAGGAAAATTCCAGTAGTCAGCAGTGAGCTGTCAAATAGGACTCACCCTGATATTTGCAGTGCTTTATCTCAAAGGGTCATTTTTTTAAATCCTTCTCACCTCTGTGGGAATCCTATAGCCCAAGTGACCCATATTTAGTGGCCTACCCCACAGCTAGGTCAGTGAAAATCAATTCTCAGTTAAAAATCAACCAACAAGGAAAGACTTAAAGGAAAAGAGGAAAAGATTTGACAAGGGTTTTACTGAAACCTCTTTGCACTTTACACATTTTGGGCCTAGAAATGGAATAAGCATTTGCTAGTTATCGTGGGAAAAGCTATTTTCTCTCCTCTCAGCAAGACGAAAAGAATGAGGCTAGAATGCTTTGTCTAAAAATCTTTTTCAAAGAAACTAATATTATAGTATAAACTAAGAAAGGTGCTGTGCTTTCAGAAAGCAGTTCTACCAAACTCATTGATTGTTTCCTGCCCATAGATAATCCTGAGTAAGTATGCTCATTGATTTATGTCAGTTTTAAAAGCCCCAATTCTCCTGAATTATTCTAGTGCATGTTAAGCCAACCAATTCTAATTTGGTTCTTTAATCTATAGACTGCATAAGAAATTTTCAGTCATTTCAATAGGATTTTTCAAATGAATTTGTCTGAGACACATTTTTAAATGTCCGTATCTTCTCTAAATAGTTTACGTTTCAAAATGATCTGTTTATGGGATCCATGATACTTTAAGTGGCATTAAATATATGTGCGCTTGGCTCATGTACGAGATCTGTCAAAGACCTTTCGTGTCTCTGACAGCACTTAATGGTTTGATCTAGGCATTTGTTTCTATGCTGTCTTCAGTGGGAACACTCAATCAGCATAGGTTCTAGTAGCCATTTGACTTAAAATAATAACAGGTGTAAATCATAATTGCAGCACATGCTGGGAAATGCGATCTTCTTCTTTAAGTTGGTGTGATAACTTATTTTCCTTTTTAATAGTTTATCATAAATATTAGCAATTGACAGGTCTTGCTTTTCCATAGATTTACTACAGCCAAATATTGAAATATGATGACCCATAGAACATTTCTGGAGGTGATATTGCACATTAATTCAAATAAAATGACTTTTATAATTCTTCACTTCTACATCTCTCTATATGTTACATGTAAATGAATTTATCATGTTAAAAGGTTTCAAATCCATAAGCTTAGGCTACTTGGAAAAAAAAAAAAAAAAGATGCCTTCTTTACCTATGTCAAACCCAAAGATAGTAGACAAAGAGAAGACAAGGTCTCAGGCTGACTTGTTCACCCCTGTATCCCCTGCACCTAACAGTATCTGGCACATAGTGGATGCTCACAAATAGTTGTTGAATTCATTAAGAATTATGTAGGCATCTTAATTTTCTACAAGTGATTACTAGAAGGCAGATTTTAAAAATGTCGTTACCAGAACGCATCCTCCATTTCTCAGTAAACAGGTTTAAGTCCTGCTTTTCATCCCTGAAAGAATTAAAACCCTCGACTACAGGAGACAATCTGGTCACAAATAAAATATTTATAATTGACAACTATGCATGTATTTAACAAGATATTTTATATTAAAATTATAGCACTACATAGGGGGGAAGATCTTTAAGGTTCACCTATCTCCTTTATTTGAAAGGTAAGAAAAAGAAGGCCCAAAAGATTTAGAGCCTCCTAAACCAATAATGGCATGGCTGAGGCTAGAGAACAAGTCCCCAGATTCCCCACCCAGTGCTCTCATTATCTAGACTGCTAACCTCTGTTCTTCCACATATAGATACCCCCTCCATTCTCTTTATTGAGGCATTTCCTTGCTTTGTATTCAAAAGGATTGGGAGAGAGTGGAAAGCAAGGGTTGATCTTCATCACATGTCAGTGTGGAACTCATTTTCTCTTCTAGTCCTTATATAACCTCTAGCATGCCTTCAGGTGTTGTTGGTAGGTTTCTGAAAGAAGCAAGAGAAGCTGCCTGAAATCAGACCTTTTTCTGAGAGACAAATGCTGTCTTTATAAAAATAAGAAATTAAGTTTATCAGGAGTAAGGGGACGCTAAAAACCCATTTTTTAAATTTGTCTTTTCACTTGTAGCAGTATTCCAATGTTATGCCATTAGACTCCCTGTATTTTAGATAATTGTTCACAACCATATCAGACATTATTTAGCATGAATAAACTGCCAGGAAAGCACTAAATGTCACTGAAGCCTTTTGTTGATTTTCTCCCTTATCTATGTTCTCAACCTCATGTCCCTTTTTTTCTCTATTTCACTCTTAACAAGGCTTGTTTGGTTTAAGCTGATAGCTAACGAATTCCACGAATGGTGATAATTGATAAGGACTTACCTTCCCACGTGTATTTCAACTTTAATATGAAATTCTTGAGGGTCTAGAGTTGCTTTGAAACCAAATAAAAACCTACCGACCACTTTTGTAACCATCACAACGTTGCCTCCCAGCACACCCAGCACCCAATCTTTTTAACCCTACTCTATTTTCTTTCTTCCAGGACATTTTTTTGAACCTACTATAAACATATTTTTATATCATGTTTATATTTTATTGTCTTTGTCTCCCTGCTAGAATGTAAACTCGAGTGGGAAGGGATATTGGTTTTGTTCATTGACATATTTCAAGTATCTAAACAGTAGCTGCCATTGTAGTTATTCAATACATATTTGTTGAAAATATAATAGAAATATATCTCTGTAACTGTATCTATAAATATAGATATGTACATGTTTGTGAATATCAGTGTTGTTTTTCTTATAATGACAGGGATGGGAGTGTGCTTTATTCTATGTAAAGTTCCTCAATCATCAAATGTTTGAAGTCGATAATTATACATTTTGTCTGAGTCTGTTCAAAAATATTCTTGCCAGGCCATATGGAGTCAGATTTGTTCAAGGTCATGAAACAAATCTTATAATTTCTTTATAATTAAAATTATAATTATAATTAAATTTTAATTATAAATATATAATTATAATTAAAATTAAAATTATAAGCTTTGTTTCAGCTTATAATGAAACAAAGGTTCATGTAATATTTTAAAATTTTATACAATTTTTTAAAATGCACTGAATGTTAAGGGCAAAATAATATTTATAATATATATGTAAATTATAAAGATGTATGCATTTTAAAGAATAAAAAGAAACATCTAGTTACTTGACACCAACTTAAGAAGTAGATCATTAGAAAAACATTTGAAGTTCCATATGTTCTCCCCCAAAATTTCATCCTATTTCCCACCTCTGTCCCAGAGGACATCATATCTAGACTTGCTATTCTTTCTTCTTTCTTTTTTTTCTGTTTTTCTTTTCTTTTTTTTTTTTTATTTATGATGGGTTCTTGCTGTTGTCCAGGCTGGAGTGCAGTGGTGATCATAGCTCACTGCAGCCTGGAACTCTAGGGCTCAAGGGATCCTCCCTGATAGTTAGGACTACAGGTGCACAGCACTGCACCTGGCTAATTTTTTAATTTTTTTGTAGAGACAACATCTGGCTACTTTTCCCAGACTGGTCTTAAACTCATGGGCTCAAGCAATCCTCCCGCCTCAGCCTCCCAAACTGCTGGGATTATAGGCATGAGCCACCATGTTTGCCCCCTAGACTTGCTATTCTTTTGATATTTTTGCCGCATATATTTGTGTTCTTTATTAGCCTTGCTTCGTTTTGTCTACTTTTGACCTTTATATGATGGAAATTGTAAAGTATATAGTCTACGGGAAATATTTTTAAATTTTTCTCTCTTATATTGTTAAGTTCATTATGATCATTCATTTTTGCTGCACTGTATTATTCATTGATTAAATATAAAACAATTTATATATCCCATGTTCTATTGATGGCCTTTGCACTGTTTTAAGTTTTGGCTTGTTTTAAATGCTTTTTTATATGTTTCTGTTTTAGTGTCTATGTGTCATAGTTTCTCAAGGGTATTCAAGTTAGTGCTTTAATAAGATATACTGCTAGGAGTAGAATTGTTGGTTATACATTGTATGTATTTTCACCTTTCACAAATAATACCATATTGTTTTCCACAGTGATTGTACAAATATTCATCGTTAACACTATTGCATAAACGTTCCAGCTGGTTCCATCTTCATTAATACTTGATGTTATAATATTTTAAGTAAAACACATTTCCTTTTAAGATATTGAGTCAGTTCTGAGAAATTAAAAAACAAACTAAAATATCAGCTTTTTACTCCTAGAAAGGTAGTAAAAAGCCAATTAACAGAAAAATTGCTATATTCCTAGGTATTTTATTCTCTTTGTAGCAATTGTGAATGGGAGTTTATTCATGATTTGGCTCTCTGCTTGTCTGTTGTTGGTTTATAGGAATGCTTGCGATTTTTACACGTTGATTTTGTATCCTGAAATGCAAATAAAAACCACAATGAGATACCATCTCACCCAAGTCAGAATGGCCATTATTAAAAAGTCAAGAAACAACAGATGCTGGCGAGGCTGCAGAGAGATAGGAACGCTTTTACACTGTTGGTGGGAATGTAAATTAGTTCAGCCATTGTGGATGACGGTGTGGCAATTTCTCAAGGACCTAGAAATAGAAATACCATTTGACCCAGCAATCTTATTACTGGGTATATACCCAAAGTAATATAAATCATTCTATTATAAAGAAACATCATCTGTATGTTCACTGCAGCACTATTCACAATAGCAAAGACATGGAATCAACCCAAATGCCCATCAATGATAGACTGAATAAAGACAATGTGGCACATATACACCATGGAACACTATACAGCCATAAAAAGAAACGAGTTTGTGTTGTTTGCAGGGACATGGATGGATCTGGAAGCCATTATCCTTAGCAAACTAACACAGGAACAGAAAACCAAACACCGCATGTTCTCTCTCATAAGTGGGAGCTGAACAACGAGAACATGTGGACACAAGGAGGGGAACAGCACACACTAGGGCCTGTCGGGAGTGGGAGGTGGGGGGAGCCAGAACATCAGGAAAAATAGGTAATGCATGCTGGGCTTAATACTCAGGTGATGGGTCGGCAGGTGCAGCAAACCACCATGGCATATGTTTACCTATGTAACGAACCTGCACATCCTACACATGTACCCCATAACTTAAAATAAAAAATAAAAATTAAAAAAATTTTTAAAAAATCTTACTATCCAAAGTACATAAGAAACTCGAACATCTCAATAGCAAGAAAACAAAAAAAACCCAGTTTAAAAAATGGGCAGAGAACCTGAACAAACATCGCTTAAAAGAATGAGGGTTTGGATTAACATACTACTTATATTAGGGGGTGAAAGTGGATGGGTAAGAAATAGGTATCCTGCTCACCAGGATTTGCAAGTGCAAATCTTCTTTTAAGAAATGTTAATGTTTAAAAAATGCTCAGCATCACTAGTCATCAAATAAAAATAAAAATCACAATGAACTATTACCTTACACTTGTTAGGATGGTTATTATCAAAGGGACAAAAGATGATAAATGTTAGCTAGGATTTGGAGGTAAGGGAACCCTTGTACACTGTTGATGGGAATGTAAACTGATGCAACCATTATAGAAAACAATATAAATATTACTCAAAAAATTAAAAATAGAATTACTACATAATCTATAAATTCTACTTCTGGGTACATATCTACAGGGAATGAAATCAGTATCTTAAAAAGACATCTGCACTGACATGTCCATTGCAGCATTGTTTACAATAGCCACGATATGGAGTTAACTTAAGTATCCATTGATGGATGAATAAATAAAGAAAATGTGGTGTATATCTGTACAATGAAATGTTATTTAGCTTTTAAAAAGTAAGGTAATTCTGTCTTTGGGGACATCATGAATGAACCTGGAAGACCCACTAAGCAAAACAAGCCAGGCCCAGAAAGACAAACACTGCATGATCTAACTTACATGTAGAATTTTAAAAAGTCAAACTCATAGAAGCAGAGAGTAGGATGGTGGTTGTCAGGGGTTGGGGAGTGGGATAAATGGAGAGACGTTGGTCAGTGTTACAAAGTATCATTTGCGCAGGATGAATACATTCTGAATATCTAATGTACAGCATGACAACTCTAGTTAATAATACATACTGTATACCTGAAATTTTCTAGGAAAATAGAGCTTAAATGTTCTCACCCACAAACCATAACAAATGATGGCTATGTTAATTAGGTTGATTATGATAATTATTTCACAAGGGGTATGTGTGTATGTGTATATATATATATAATATATATATATACATAAATGCCATGTTATACCACTTAAATATATACAATTTATTTGTCAATTATATCTCAAGAAGGCTGGAAAAACATGACCCCTCAAAAAAGAAACATTCTGTCTGTACATCACAGAGGAGCATGTCAAGATTTTCAAGTTGGAGTTTTATCACAAATTGAAATCTTAGGAAATTTTTAAATAAAATTCTGTAGAAGCTAAGCAAATATTATACAGTGTGCATTCTTCACTATATGTTATGTACTATATACTCTTTACTGTGTGCTCTATACAGTATGATATGTTCTATATTATACATAATATGCAGTGTTTATTAGAATGATCCACTGGCATTTTAATACACCCAGTATTGGAATGGTCTTCCCTGCATACACGGGTGAACTGATTTTCATATGAACAAGAGAAACATTCCAGATTTGCAATTCCACATTTTTTCCTTCTTAGTCATTTGCAACATGTACGTATTAATTCATGCTAATTTCTTTTGAAATGACAAAAATATAAATTTGAGAATTTTTCTACATCTAAAAATGAAAAGAAACTAGGAAAAGCAGTGTGAAAGAAAGAAAATATATTTATATGTTCATAAATATTTTATTATCTTCCATTTATATTTCGACGTACTTTTCAATTTGTAATTAGAAGAAGGCAAGAGGGAAGATAAGGTTCATGACTATTTGTATTTCATTTGAATTTGTGTGTATTTGTTCATCCATGAATAGGAGCCCTTGACTTCTCTGATCTTAAGTTTTCCTTTCTGTCTTTACTGGTTTTAAAAGGGTCTATGAACCTACTGTTAAAATCACAGTAAAGAAAGGGGATACAGCTTTACAAGATTCTGCAAATTCTTAGAAACCAGCATGACAATTGCAGCTAAGTGTAGGATTATTATAATCAGTGCTATACTGTATGTAACTCATAAATGTCCCCATCTGGATAGAAGTTCACATAATAAAGCATTGAAAAACCTTGTCAAAAGCACCAAAGAATACTAACCACTGAGTAGTAAGTAAGTAAATTTGTGAGGTTTCCCTATGTATATGCATGCCTTTCTCAGCTCACTTCAAATAGATACTTTTATGTAATACTTATAAGAACTATATGAAGTATTGGTTTTCTACTGGTTTTGAACAAGAAACAAAATGTACCTTTTTTATAAACTCATTTTGTTTTTAGACTCTAAGAAAGGCACTACACGATGATATCTTCCCATAGTACAAAGAGGTAGCACAACATCTTTAAAGCAGAATTTATGGCTGGATTTGAAACCTCTTCAGGTCCTTCAAAAAGATAATATGGTTGAACAGAAAAGAATTGCTAATATCTCCACTCTACAGCAAGAAAGATAGCTAGATAGATGGAGAGATATATAGATAGAAAGATAGCCAGACAGATTAGATAGATGATAGATAATAGACAGATAATAGCATATGTACATATAATACTTGCATGTTTGATACGCAGTAATGACATCATTATTGTAGTCTTCACATCAGAAATAGAAACAATTCAATTCAACAATAATTGTAAGACCTAAGATCTTTGATGAAATGCTAAACACGAATATAGAGAGATTCAGAGGGTTAGAAGTTTTAACTTTGTAATTCATAGCAATTCCCAAACTTTTCTCAAACTGTAGAAGAATGACAAGTTTTTTGTTTCTTTTTTTTTTTTTTAAACTATTTTAAGGTCTGGACTTAACCTCCCACTCATAAAATGTTATCCATCAAAATAACAAATACATGATTAAATATAATGATCAATGGTTGGCTATATTTGATTATTTATTTTGGACAGGTGACATAGCCAGTAATGTATCAGACCTTCATCAGAAGGAAAATAATTTATAGCACCCTTGGTTACATATAATTTCAGATACTTAGTCTAATGACTTTTTCAGAAATTAGAACAAGATAACTTTTATTCAATTCACACTCCTGTGTTATTCTGAAGATAGCACATTTTCATATTGATATATTGTGAAAATCATCTACTGGCACAATCATGAAATAATCATTTGCTTTTATTCAACTAAAAATTTCCCTTTTAAAAATATTCATTATCCTAGAAAAATCAATTGACATTTGACAGAGGCTTATTTACAAAAATTTAACTCAGTAGCAATGTAATTTAGAAGCTGGCCACTGGGCGTACCTAGTAATAAATCAAATCCATGTTTTATTCAAACTCAGACAAAAACATTACATTTAAATAACAATATTGTAATAACATGACAAAGACCAAGGTGTCCAATGTTAAAGCTACTATTCATTTTTACCTCGATTCAATTAGAGAAGTAAAAGAATAGAACATTTTGAGTTTTGTACAGATTTAGAACTAAAAAGAAATGTAGGTTATATTAGAGACCTTTTTAAACTGGCTTTTTGGTACATATTTTTAGAGTAGGCCTAAAGTGGGCCAGATTTTTTCCGAGATGTAAAATATATCTTCACTGAGTCTTACACTAGTAGCTTCACTTTTTCCAATAGGAAAATTTCTTAATAACTCTGAAAGAAGTAATTTTATTTTGAAGAAGACCAACTTACGTTAGATATTTTAAATCACAGTTATAAAAGTTAGAAATTCAAATCACAACAGCAAATCAAAATGTTGCACATTTCTTTATTCTTTTAGTCTTTTTTTTTTTTTTAATTTTTTGGGGTGGGTCCAGGGTCCAGGGTTTTTCTTCAATAGTTTTTTGGGGAACAGGTGGTGTTTTGTTACATGGTGAGTTCCCTAGAGGTGATTTGTGAGATTTTGGTGCACCCATCACCCTAGCAGTATATACTGAACCCAATATGTAGTCTTTGTTTTTTTTTTTTTTTTGAGATGGAGTCTCGCTCTGTCACCCAGGCTAGAGTGCAGTGGTGCGATCTCTGCTCACTGCAAGCTCCGCCTCCCGGGTTCACTCCATTCTCCTGCCTCAGCCTCCAGACTAGCTGGGAATACAGGTGCCCGCCACCACACCCAGCTAATTTTTTTTTTGTATGTTTTAGTAGAGACGGGGTTTCACCGTGTTAGCCAGGATGGTCTCTATCTCCTGACCTCGTGATCCACCCGACTCGGCCTCCCGAGGTGCTGGGATTACGGGCGTGAGCCACTGTGCCTGGCCCCCAGTGTATAGTCTTTTATCCCTCACCCCCTTCTCACCCTTTGCCCCAAGGACCCAAAGTCCCTAGTATCATTCTTATGCCTTTTGCTTCCTCATAGCTTAGATCTCACTTACGAGTGAGACATGTGATATTTGATTTTCCATTCCTGAGTTAACTTCACTTAAAATAATAGTCTCCAATTCCACCAGGGTTGCTGCAACTATCATTATTTCATTCCTTTCTATGGCTAAATAGTATTCCCATGGTGTATACACACACACACACACACACACACACCATATATATATATTCCATATATATGTGGCATATATATATATATATGCCACATATATATGCCACAATTTCTTTATCCACTCATTGATTGATGGGCATTTGGGCCGGTTCCATATTTTTGCAAGTGTGAATTGTGCTGCTGTATCTTTTTTGTATAATGACTTCTTTTCCTCTGGGTAGATATCCCAAATAGTGAGACTGCTGGATGAAATGGTAGTTCTGCTTTTAGTTCTTTAAGGAATCTTCACACTGTTTTTCATAGAGGTTGTACTAATTTACATTCCCACCAGCAGCATAGAAGTGTTCCCTTTTCAGCACATCCACACCAGCATCTAGGTTTTTTTTATTTTTTAATTATGGCCATTCTCGCAGGAGTAAAGTGGTATCACATTGAGGTTTTGATTTGTATTTCCCTGATTATTAGTGACGTTGAGCATTTTTTCATATGTTTGTTGGCCATTTGTATATCTTCTTTTGAGAATTGTCTATTCATGTCCTTATACCAGTTTTTTGATGGGGCTGTTTGTTTCTTTCTTGCTAATTTATTTGAGTTCCTTATAGATTCTGGATATTAGTCTTTTGTCAGATGTATAGATTGTGAAGACTTTCTCCTGCTCTGTGGGTTGTCTATTTACTCTGCTAATTGTTTCATTTGCTGTGCAGAAACTTTGCTGAATTCATTTATCAGTTCTAGGAGCTTTTTGAAGGAGTCTTTAGGGTTTTCTAGGTATACGATCATATCATCAGCAAACAGCGAGAGTTTGAATTCCTCTTTACTGATTTGGATGTTCTTTATTTCTTTCTCTTGTCTGATTGCTCTGGCTAGGACTTCCAGTACTATGCTGAATAAAAGTGATGAGGGGCCAGGCACAGTGGCTCATGCCTGTAATTGCAGCACTTTGGGAGGCTGAGGTGGTGGATCACCTGAGGTCAGGAGTTCGAAACCAGCCTGGCCAACATGGTGAAACCCCATCTCTACTAAAAATACAAAAATTAGCTGGGCATGGTGGTGGGCACCTGTAATCCCAGGTATTCGGGAGGCTGAGGCAGGAGAATCACTTGAACCTGGGATGCAGAGATGGTAGTAAGCTGAGATCACCCTACTGCACTCCATCCTGGACAACAGAGTGAAACTCCGTCTCAAAAAAAGAAAAAAAAAGTGGTGAGACTGGCCATCCTTTTCTTGTTCCAGTTCTCAGAGGAAATGCTTTTAACTTTTCCCCATTCAGTATTATATTGTCTGTGGGTTTGTCATAGATGGCTTTTATTACATTAAGGTATGTCCCTTCTATGAAGGTTTACTGAGGGTTTTAATCGTAAAGAGACCCTTGGTTTTGTCAAATGTTTTTTCTGCATCTATTGAGATGATCATATGATTTTTGTTTTTAATTCTGTTTATCTGGTGTATCACATTTATTGACCTGCATCTGTTAAACCATCCCTGCATCCCTGGTATGAAACCCACTTGATCATGGTGGATTATCTGCTTGATATGCTATTGGATTGTTTAGCTAGTATTTTGTTTAGGATTTTTGCGTCTATGTTAATCAGGAATATTGGTTTGTAATTTCTTTTTTTGTTATGGTATTAGGGTGATGTTATTAGGGTGATGTTGGCTTTTATCCCTATCTTGTGGAATAGTGTCAACAGGATTGGTACCAATTCTTCCTCGAATGTCTGATAGAATTCAGCTGTGAATCCATCTGGTCCTGGCTTTTTTTTTTTTTCTTGGCAATTTTTTAATATCCATTTCAATCTCGCTGCTTGTTGTTGGTCTGTTCAGGGTTTTTAATTCCTCCTAATGTAAGCTAGGAGAGTTGTATATTTCCAGAAATGTATACATCTCTTCTACATTTTCTAGTTTATGTGCATAAAGGTGTTCATAGGACCGTTGAGTGATCTTTTGTATTTCTGTGGTGTCAGTTGTAAAACCTCCTGTTTTGTTTCTAGTTGAGCTTATTTGGATCTTCTTTCTTCTTTTCTTGGTTAATCTCACCAATGTTCTATCAATTTTGTTTACCTTTTCGAAGAACTAGCTTTTTGTTTCATTTATTTTTTGTATTTTTTTGGTTTCAGTTTCATTTATTTCTGCTCTAATCTTGGTTATTTCTTTTCTTCTGCTGGGTTTAGATTTGCTTTGCTCTTATTTCTCTAGTTCCTTGAGATGCAACCTTAGATTGTCTATTTGTGCTCTTTCAGACTTTTTGATGTAGGCATCTAAGGCTATGAACCTTCCTCTTAGTATAGAGGTTTTGATGGTTTGTGTCCCTATTATTGTTCAGTTAAAGGAATTTTTAAATTTCCATCTTGATTTCATTGTTGGCCCAATGATCATTCGGAAGCAAGTTATTTAATTTCCATGTATTTTCATGGTTTTGTAGGTTCCTTTTGGAGTTGATTTTCAATTTTATTCTACTGTGGTCAAAGAGAGTACATGATATAATTTCAATTTTCTTAAATGTACTGAGACTTGTTTTATGACCTATCATATAGTTTATCTTAGAGATAGTTCTATGCACTGATGAATAGAATGTATATTCTGCGGTTGTTGGATAGATGTTCTGTAAATATCTGTTAAGTTCATTTGTTCTAGGGTATAGTTTAAATCCATTGTCTCTTCATTGACTTTCTGTCTTGATGACCTGTCTAGTGTTGTCAGTGGAGTACTGAGGGCCCCCATTATTATTACGTAGCTATCTGTTTTATTTCTTATGTCTAGTAGTAATCGTTTCATAAATTTGGTGCATATATATTTAGAATTGTAATACTTTACTGTTGGACAAGGTCTTTTATTATTATATAATGTCTCTCTTTGTCTTTTTTAACTGCTGTTCCTTTAAATTTTGTTTTGTCTGATATAAGAATAGCTACTCCTGCTCACATTTGGTGTCTATTTGCATGGAATATATTTTTCCACCCCTTTAAGTTTATGTGAGTCCTTAGGTGTTAGATGAGTCAAATGAAGGCAGCAGATACTTAGTTGGTAAATTCTTATCCATTCTGCCATTCTGTAGTTTTTAGGTGGAGCATTTAGGCCATTTACATTCAGCATTAGTATTGAGATGTAGGGTACAATTCTATTATTCTACATGCATCGTGTTATTTGTTGCCTGAATACCTTGCTTTTTTTTAATGTATTGTGTTGTTGTTTTATAGGTCTTATGAGATTTATGTGTTAAGAAAGTTCTGTTTTGATGTATTTCAAGGATTTGTTTCAAGATTTAGGGCCCTTAAATCAGCAATTTTAGCAGTTCTTGTAGTGCTGGCTTGGTAGTGGCATATTCTCTCAGCATTTGTTTATCTGAGAAAGACTATTATTTCTTCATTTATGCAGCTAAGTTTTGCTGAATACAAAATTCTTGGCTGATAATTGTTCTGTTTAAGGAGGCTGAAGATAGGGCCCAATTCCTTCTAGCTTGTAGGGTTTCTGCTGAGAAATCTGCTGTTGATCTGATAGGTTTTCCTTTATAGGTTACCTTGTGCTTTTGCCTCACAGCTCTTCATATTCCTTCTTTCATCTTGACTTTAGATAACCTGATGACTATGTGCCTAGGCAATGATCATTTTGGGATGAATTTCCCAGGTGTTCTTTGAGTTTCTTGTATTTGGATGTCTAGATCTCAAGCAAGGCCAGGGAACATTTTCCTTGATTATTCCCGCAAATATGTTTTCCAAATTTTATATTTCTCTTCTTACTCAGGAACACCAATTATTCTTAGGTTTGGTCACTTAGCACAGTCACAAACTTCTTGGCAGGTTTGTTCATTTTTTAAAAAATCATTTTTTCTTTGTCTTTGTTGGATTGGGTTAATTTGAAAACCTTGTCTTCGAGCTCTGAAGTTCTTTCTTCTGCTTGTTTGATTCTATTGCTGAGATTTTCCAGTGCATTTTGCATTTCTCTAAGTGTGTCCTTGATTTCCAGAAGTTGTGACTGTTTTTTATTTATGCTACCTATTTCACTGATGATTTCTCCCCCTTCATATCTTGCATCACTTTTTTATTTCATTAACTTGGACCTCACCTTTCTCTGGTACCTCCTTGATTAGCTTAATAATTGGCCTTCTGTATTCTTTTTCTGGCAAATCAGGGATTTCTTCTTGGTTTGGATCTGCTGCTTGTGAGCTAGTGTGATTTTTCAAGGGTGTTAAATAACCTTGTTTTGTCATATTACCAGAATTGTTTTTCTGGTTCCTTCTTATTCAGTTAGGCTATGACAGAGGGAAGTTCTGGGGCTCAATGGCTGTTGTTCAGATTCTTTTGTCCCACGCGGTGCTTCCTTGATGTAGTACTCTCCTCCTTTCCTAGGGATGTGGCTTACTGAGAGCGAAACTGTGGTGATTATTATTTCTCTTCTGGATCTAGCCACCCAGCAGGGCTACTGGGTTCCGGTCTCATACTGGTGGGGTGGGGGCGGGGTGGGGGATAGGGATGTCTGCACAGAGTCCCGTGATGTGAACTGTCTTCAGGTCTCTCAGCCATGGATACCAGCACCTGCTCTGGTGGAGGTGGCAGGGGAGTGAAATGGACTCTGTAAGGATCGTTAGTTGTATTATTATTATTTATTGCACTTAGTTTTGTGCTGGTTGGCCTCCTGCCAGGAGGTGGCACTTTCAAGAGAGCATCAGCTGTGGTATTTTAGGGAGGATCAGGTGGTATGTGAAGCCCTAGAACTCCCAAGATAATATAACCTTTGTCTTTACCTACCAGAGTGGGTAGAGAAAGAACATTAAGTGAGGGCAGGGTTAAGCGTGTCTGAGCTCAGATTCTCTTTGGGCAGGGCTTTCTGTGGCCTCTGTGGGGAATGAGGATATGATTCCCAGGTCAATAGAGTTATGTTCCCAGGAGAATTACGGCTACCTCTGCTGTATCCTGCAGGTTGCCAGGAAAGCCAGCAGTTACAGGCCTCACCCAGCTCCCATGCAACCCAAAAGGCCGGTCTCACTCCCACTGTGCCCCCACCGACAACACCAAGTTTGTTTCCAGGCAGTGGGCAAGCAGGGCTGAGAACTTGCCCCATGTTACCAGCCTCCTGGCTGAGAAAGTAAGCAGGACTTTCAAGTTTTGCACCTGCCCACCTGCCCATGTCTGCACTCTGCATTCACCCCCTCCCCTGAGTTCTGTCCAGGAAATGTCTCATTTTGTTGGAATTGTTACAGAGTTCAGCTGGAGGTTTCCTTCTCCCCATGGTCTTTTCCCAGTTCCTCTGGAAGCCCTCCCCGAGGACCCCTGTGAGACAAAGTTGGGAATGGTTTCCCTGGGGACAAAGTGAGCCCACAAGGCTCTTCCTGCTACTTCCTCTACTCCTGTATTTTGCTCACCTTTCCAAATTATCTCAACTCCAGGTAAGGTCAAGTCCTTCTCCCATGATCTGGACCTGCAGGTTTCCCCAGTGAGGGTGTGTGTTCAGGGGCAGACAATCCCTCTTTCTTAGTTTCACCCTTTGGGCACTCACAGAATTTGAGTTGTCTCCAGGTCCTGCAGGAGCTATCCACCTCCTTCAAAGGGTCTGTGGATTCTATTGGCTTTCCTGGTATGTTCCTGCAGTAGTTCTTAGAGCAAAAGTTCAGGATGTGAGTCTCCACACATTGCTCTGTCCATCAATTTAGTCCTCCCTCCTATCTGCTATTTTCTTCAATCCTCGCATTTCCCTTTATTCTGATGGCCAACTAGAGAAAGCCACTGAGGGTGGCCAACTAGAGAAAGCATAAAGATTATTACACTAAATTTTTTATTTAAAAAATTCAACTGTACTAAAAATCCTCATTTGAATGGACTAATGAGATCAAAGGAATAGTAAAAAGATGAAGATAAAAATAGATGCACAGTACTTGGATTCTGGTCTCAATTTTCCCACTGACCAGTTACAGAATTTTGGAAAGGTCACTTCAAGTATTATACTTCCTCCCTTAAATGAAAGAGTGAGGATCTAAGGACCTTTCAAGCTCTAAAATTTTATGAATTTATATTTTTAAAAGCAGCAAGTATATGTAAATTGGGGCTGTCTCTTGATCTGAATTTTTCCTACTTGCCTGTCATGCAAAGGTATGGTTAAGAACAATAAAAACAAGGGAACTTTGAAATTTAATATCATGTTGCCCTTCATAGGTAAATAGCCTCAGTCTTACTCATAGGAATATATATGTCTAACCTTTATACAGTGAAAGTTTTTGCTTATTTTCCTACCTCTTCTTTTCTCTTCATTTGTCAACCTTAGAGAGAAATTCAGGTATGACAGAACACAGGAAATGATTTGGCTTATGAGAGCAAACCTCTATGACTTTTGACTTTATTGGTAAATGAGCTTGCCTCTATGCTTCCCTAAGGACAAGGGGAATGCATATCTATGTTCAAAAGCTAATCAGTTTTTATGTATGTATGTATTTATTTATTTATTTATTTTTGCATTTCAGAGTATTTCTCTTATGTCTGTTTTCTTTTTTTTAAATTATACTTTAAGTTCTAGGGTACATGTGCACAAAGTGCAGGTTTGTTACATATCTATACATGTGCCATGTTGGTGTGCTGCACACATTAACTCGTCATTTACATTAGGTATACCTCCTAATGCTATCCCTCCCCCTCCCCCCACCCCACAACAGGCCCCGGTGTGTGATGTTCCCCACCCTGTGTCCAAATGTTCTTGTCGTTCAATTCCCACCTATGAGTGAGAACGTGCGGTGTTTGGTTTTCTGTCCTTGTGATAGTTTGCTCAGAATGATAGTTTCCAACTTCATCCATGTCCCTACACGGGACATGAACTCATCCTTTTTTATGGCTGCATAGTATTCCATGGTGTATACGTGCCACATTTTCATTATCCAGTCTATCATTGATGGACATTTGGGCTGGTTCCAAGTCTTTGCTATTGTGAATAGTGCTGCAATAAACATATGTGTGCATGTGTCTTTATAGCAGCATGATTTATAATCCTTTGGGTATATACTCAGTAATGGGATGGCTGGGTCAAATGGTATTTCTACCTCTAGATCCTTGAGGAATTGCCTCATTGTCTTCCACAATGGTTGAACTAGTTTACAGTCCCACCAACAGTATTAAGTGACAAGTAGGTGCATGCATGCATGTAGATAATGGTTAAACATGCTGATAAAAATCTGGAGAGCAAATTTTAGGAATCTCTGTAATTAGCAACCAACATTAACTAGATGAGACCATTTTCCAGTTTTCTAGCTCTGAAGCAGACATTCTAAAACTGATGAAAAACAGCTGGCTGGAATTTATCTGGCTTCCACTAAAGTGGTGTTTTTCTAATGTTGTATTAAAGTGTTGTATAGAAAATGCAATGCAATGAACACAATCCATCCCCTTAATCTTTATATGTGGCAGTGTATAATTATTATAAATTTTTGAAACAGAAACATAGAAAAATAAAACATTAACTGATATTATATGCTATTGAGTGAAGGAATTGTAGGCATCTCTTCTTTTTCCAGATCAATTTATAACCCCTAGCCTATACTATTATGCTCTACAATGTGCCAGAACTCAGAAAAATATCATGAATATAATTTTTAGTTTCATACTATGAACAGAGACTTATATTTGAGTATCTCATTAACTTAATAACACTTTACCAACTGAAGCATATACACCTGATCAGGAATGCTATACCATACCACTGAATTACATTCACTGTATATGGACTTATCACAAAGATGGACTAACAAAACTATCACTGTGCAAGACTATCTACTTCTCTTAAATCCAATAGCTCAAATTATTGTTTCTTTGTTTTGAAATAACAGGAAGCATGGACAAACAGGTATTTAATTCTTCATTGGGATTAAACACCAAAGCAGTTAATTGCATCTGTCATATAGAAGGTGAGAGAACCAGAAGATTATAGTTTGACATGAATAATCACTTCTCATAATAAAACAACAAGCCTTGAAATTAGAATTTCATGAAATTATGTGATGTGGCAGCCCCAGAATGGCTCAAATTTTTGCAAATAAATTGGTGTACAGTATTTTTTAAAAATCTATTCTTGGCCAGGCATGGTGGCTCATGCCTGTAATCCCAGCAATTAGGGAGGCTGAGGCGGGTAGATCACGAGGCCAAGAGATCGAGACTATGCTGGCCAACATGCTGAAACCCCATCTCTACTAAAAATACAAAAATTAGCTGGGCATGTTAGTGCATGCCTGTAGTCCCAGCTACTTGGGAGACTGAGGCAGAACAACCACTTGAACCCAGGAGGCAGAGGTTGCAGTGAGCCGAGATCATGCCACTGCACTCCAGCCTGGCAACACAGCTGTCTAAAAAAAAAA
The DNA here is from genome assembly GCF_000001405.40 of Homo sapiens. Lineage (NCBI taxonomy): Eukaryota > Metazoa > Chordata > Mammalia > Primates > Hominidae > Homo > Homo sapiens. Next base: position 66,831,649 of record NC_000004.12, read on the forward strand.
AAAAAAAAACTATTCTCAAAGAATTTTTAAACTCTTTTCCACGTTGAATTGTGCAACTCAAAAAATTCTATATATTCCAAAAACCATTGACTTTATGGTAAAATATTTAATTATATTGTAAACCAAAGTAATCACTCTGAAAGTCATGTTATATCATTCATTCAATAAAATTTCTATAATGCATAATGCCTCAATCACACTATTGTTTATTTCTTAATTAAGCAAAACTCAAAACTTATTCTCTTGTTTGGTGAGAAGCTCTTCAAAGTGGTAATTTGGGGACCTGAACTCATTCTATTTGATATGTCCACAATGTTTAACATTTGCTTGGGTAATCACTACGATCTTCTGCATGAAGCCAATAGAAGGAAAAGAGTACACAAAGATATACATTTTTAAACCACTTCATCACATTCCATTAGAAAGAATTAGTAATGTGTTCCCATATCGATACAAAGAGTACTGGGAAATTCCTGTTATCCCTGTATAAGTAACTCCGTTCTCAGCTAAAATCCTGTATAATAAAATCGTGGCCAACAACGGCTCATTTTATTTAAAAAGCAACTGTGAAAAGTTTTTATTCTATTCCTATATATTGTATGTTTAACACAGTGAAATAAAAAAGCTGCTTTTGTTCCTTATTTTATCAAGAAAGTGTCCTGACATAACGGGAGATATGAAAGTATTGTTTGACAACGTTGGAGATATAAATGTTTTATCTGTGAATTTTTAATGAATTCTCTCTTCAGATGATTAAAACCACGGACTCTCCCTTCTTTTCACTATTCCAAGGAATCTCTAGAATGTAGAATAAGCACATAGATATAGGACGACATTTAATTATCAGAAACACACCACATAGCACATAGAGCCAATATTAAGGGATCACACTGCAAAAGAAACTGAATTGCTGAACAACCTGAGTCTGAAAAACCTTTTCCACATCTATGGACATTTTATTCCTTTTCAAAAAGGGCAATATGAGATTACAAGGAAAGCAATTGATGTGGTGTTCTTTCAAATAATTTTATTCTTTGTACTGAGTATGGGAAATTTATGAGTTGAATAGTGTCCCTCCAGAATGTGACCCAATTTGTAAATAGGTTCTTTGCAGATGTAATTAGTTAATTTAAAATGCCATCACATTCTATTTGGGTGAGCCCTATATCCAATGACTGGTATCCTTAGTAAGAAGAGGAAAATCCAGACACAGAGACACACACAGAGAAGAAAGCTGTATGTAAAACACACAGAGGGAAGAAGGCCCTATGATGATAAAGGGGGGAGATTGGCACGATGCAACTACAAGGCAAGAAATGCCAAGAATTTTCAGTAACCACCAGAAACTAGGAGAGAGGTTGTGGGACAGATTCTTCCTGAGAGACTCCAGAAAGAAGCAACCTGCTTACATCTTGATTTTGGACTCTGGCCTCCAGAACTGTGAGAGAAAAATTTTCTCTTGCTTTAAGTAACCCAGTTTGTGGTAATTATTACAGCAATACTAGTAAACTAACACAGGAAATATCCCAACATTATGTTTCAGGGTTACCTCAGTTGAATGATCATCACTCGTTCTATGGACATTAGGTTCCCTTCTGGTGAGTTAGCCTGTAGTATCTTCACTTTTTACCTTCAGAAGGCCATAGACTACAAAGTAACTATCGCAGCATAAAAATCATGAACATTCTCCCCTTGACCCCAAAGAAACATAAACCTAATTACTTTTATCAGCATTTGCCCTTTCCTCTTTAACTTCTCTCTCTCGCTTGTTTAGGCCAGAGAGTAATTTTCTCTCACCATTGGATAACCCCAGTGTCTTTCATTCTATGCAGTCATCCAACCTCACTTGTTTGTGTGTGACACACTTTGGAAAAGAAGTTAGTTGTTAGAGAATGAATCTTGGAATCCACCACGTGGGTTTAAAAACAACAGAAACAAAAATTCCTTCAGAGTATTTTATATTCTGACCTCTGTGTTACTTTTATGACAGTCAACCAAAAATTCTACTCACTAATTTATCAAGCTCATATTGTTCAGTCATGGATAAGGGCACCTTTTGGAAAACATAACTTCTACTTTCAACTGCTCTTGATTAGGTCAATGAATAAAAACTCTCTTAGTGCATTGTAATGACTCTCAGGGAACCTCTGGAATAAATAGCATGGATTTACTCGGCAGTTTAACAGAGTAACTGTTTTTAGCATTGCCTTTTCAGAACAACACTGGCCTAATGTCTCCAGGGTTAAAAGTCGTTTTAGAAGCAGAATGCATGTGAAGCAAAGAATGTTATAGGTAAATGGGATTTTAGAGATCATGTTCATTTAATGCTTTCTACTACTAATCTTTTGTTCCACTTTTGATCAAATTAGTGAGCCACTCAATGGTACTCCAGGCATAACATAGATATTGAAATTCTAGGTATTAAAAAAAAAAAGAACAGCACAGACATAGGTTATAGTAATCCATTTAGCTTGTTATCTGAAAAGGTATTTGTGGTTCTTCTTGAGGTTCTTTAATCTATACTTCCTTGACTATAAATAGCTGATGTTCAATGAGTTATGAAAAAAGTGCTAATTATGAAAATTTATTACTACAAAGAATGCTACCCATGAGTCTGATATTACCATCATCACTGTCCCAAATCCTTGAAGCTTTAAAAACACCACCTTAATGAAAATGCCTCTGCAAGAGCAGAAGTCACCTTCTCATGATGGCTAATCCAGATATCTGTCTTTATCCTTTCGATCTTTTAATGTCTGCCACAATTAGTATTTTGGAAAATCTCCCAATTCCTAACATGAATCTTGCTGTCTTATGAATTGAGATATTTGGTGATATTTGGAGATATTACCTTTGCAATAATGTGTTGGAGAATCTCTCTTCTATACAATACATTTTATATATCACCAACAACATAAAACACATGCTTTCTTACATAATCACAAGAGCTAAACTCTTTGAAGTGAAATTTCAGTTACTCAGAGTATATTGTAAAAACCTTATTCAGACTTCTATTAATCAGTATTTAATACTATATACTACAGGCGGGATAATAATTTACAGAGAAATCCAAGCTTTATACAATTAACTTAATCTTAATTAATTTTTCAATACCTAAAAGGAATGGAATCATTCAGTTGCCCTCTCAAGAGCTGACAGCACTTCAGATTATCAGAAAAAAAGTGATTTCTGTCTTGCTTACAATAAAGCAAAAGGGGAAAAATCAAGAAAAAGGAAAATCAAGAACTTAGCAAGAAAATGAGAGCCAAGATTATAAATTGTGTGAATTTCTGTGAATCTCTGTGAACTAAATGGCTATATGTCTCAACTCTAAAAACCATTTTTTAGGCAATGTATACACATATTTCTTATTTCTTTCCTTCCTTCCTTTTTCTTTTCTTTTCTTTTCCTTCCTTCCTTCCTTCCTTCCTTCCCTCCCTCCCTTCCTTCTTTCCTTCCTTCCTTTCTCTTTCTTTCTTTCTTTCTCTCTCTCTCTCTTTCTTTCTTTCTTTCTTTTTTGACAGAGCCTCACTCTGTCCCTCATGCTGGAGTGCAGTGGCATGGATCATGGCTCACTGCAGTCTCAACCTCCTCAGGCTCAGGTGATCCTCTCACCTCAGCCTCTCAAGTAGCTGGGACTACAGGCATATGCCACGATGCCTGGCTAATTTTTCTATTTTTTGTAGAGATGGTATTTCACCATGTTGCCCAGGCTGGTTTTGAACTCCTGGGCTCAAGCAATCAACCCACCTTGCACTTTCAAAGTACTTGGATAACAAGCATGAGCCACTGAGCCCAGCCTTAAAAATTTTTCATAAGGAATACAGTCATGGCATTTTGAAATAAATAATGAATCAGTGTCTTATAAAAAGCAAATAAAGGCTTGAGGAATATTAGTTGCCATTAAAGAAATCATGGTATTCTAATTCTACATCCTGTTTTAATCTTGAGAAAAATTATTTTTTGAGCTTTATATCTTATTAGATATTATTTATGTCATAAGTCAAATAGTATAAGGAAAAATAGATGACTTTAAAGGTTAAAACCAGGTGAGAATCTTTGAAATGATCAATAAATAGTTTGCCAATTAAATAAAAATTATATTGGCATGGGTTATTTCTGAAAATTATTTAATTAGCAAAGTAATTCATCAATTTTAATAATCAAACTACATTTTAGTAATCAAACTACATTTTAATAAACTTCCACGATAACACATTTTCATAGTTGCCATGTTTTGAAGAACCTCAATGCTTGGAAAATCCATATGGCTTCATGTAGGAAAGCAACTAAGAGGCATGTTTTTCTGGGACATTTTTGTAGAATTCTCATATTGGATTTTGTTTTGTGTTAGTTCTGTATTCTTTAAGAAATGATGTTTTTTTCCTGAGGCTCAGGTGCTTTATAAAATGAAGTTAATATTATCTATGTAAAGAGGTTAGGGAATCAAATGAGACAATTTATATAAAAAATATTTTATACTGTGCTCTTGCTGGATCTTTTTAAATGCTTAACCCACAGAATTTACTCACAATATTTGTAAAAGAAAAAAAATGAAAAAAGAGAGGAAAAAAATGAAAGGGATAGAGAAGGAGGTTGGAAAGCAATGGGAAAAATATAACATTATTTTAAAAATTAAAAATTACATTAAAAATAAGGGGATGGAAGAAATATGAAGAGTTTCTGTATGTGAGGGGAGGTAGAGACAGTTTTAAAGGAAAGGGCTTGGAGGAAAATAAAGTGTAGACAGTGATTCTATAGAAGGCTTGCTGTTGGGATGCTAAATGCCTGGATTCTTTGACCCTAGTTCTTTCATCAATTACATGAGCTTTTGTTGTAATAATTTTTATGTAATAATATGATCAATAATTTAATAAATATAATAACAATTATGGTGTGAAATAGAAGGGCAATAGATGCACATTGAGAAATAACAGATAAAGAGAAGTCAAAATGTATTGCCAAGCAAGATGAGCCACACTTTCTCTAGATTGTTTTATTTCTACCTATATCCCCAGCACCTAAAACAATGTCTGACATATAGTAGAAGTTCAATAAATATGTAATGGATCCCATAATGAATAATAAAAATAATTTATTCTATTTATTTGGCAGAGATTGATGATAACCTATTATTGAATTCTAAATGATTTCCCGAACTTTCTTAGGGCTCACTAATACAAGCAAAAAAAGCAGGTTCTTCTATGAACAACTAATTATACATTTTATTTGGAATACATATATTTCTTTCAATATCCCCAGCCACTGCATCCTGCAAGGGTTTGTTTGTCCACTTTTCACCAGAGATTTATCTATAATGATAACAAATCTTGCCAACAGGAAAATGTTCCATTCAGGGCAAATAGTAGGTAAAATAAAACTTAAAAGAAACATTGTATATAACCATACAAATGGACTACTCACAAACAAAGCCAATCTTATAATCCTATAGGGTAAATAAAAGGAAATATCAGTTAGCTCTTTTAAATTTTTCTCTTAGTATTGAACATACATTTCTTCAGGCTGTCCGTAAAACAACCATTGCCAAAGTATTAAGATAGGGTCAGATTACTAAAAAGATTTGTGAACTGGGAGACATTTGAATCTATGTAAAAAGGCTCCTATTCATACTATGAATAACTATACAAAAATTAGCAGAAATAAATATAACACTGCAGCCATATGATGTGTTAAAGTAAGTCCTACATCATGATACATTTGGTGTCATGATAAGGAAGAATTTCAAATTAAAACACTGGCAGCATGTCATCCAGTAACATCAAACACATGACACAGGCTTTCCTGGAATTCTGTAATTATTCTGAACTTCCTTCTACATTTTTCATTGTGTTCACAGTTCACATGTTTTATTCAGATCAATTAGTGTCTACTGGATAGCCATACATCACATGACACTAAACTAGGTGTTTTGGGCACAGGACTAGGAATGTGGCAAACCATTTCACAGTGGTGGTCTAAGCTACATAACGTTTTTTATCCAATAGGGGATGTAAAAGCAAGCATCTGAAGTCTGTCTTTGCCTCTGTCCCAGAGTGTATTACATAAAGTCAGCTGACGTCTTCCTGCTCCAAGCACTATTTCCGAAATTCTGGGCTTCTTGGCAACATGTCTTAGAAAAACAGTTTTTCTAAGGCTTTGATCCATGTGGCCAGGAGGCAGGCATGCAAAAAGTTTAGATTTCCTTGTCTTGCACTCTATAAAATATGATAATAATAATCGTTAAGATATCGTAAAATGTCATTTTTTATTGTTGTTGTTTTTTGTGGGGGGACAGAGTCTCACCATCTTGGCTCTCTGCAACCTCTGCCTTCTGGATTCAAGAGATTCTCCTGCCTCAGCCGCCAAGTAGCTGGGATTATAGGCATGCACCACCACGCCCAGCTAACTTCTGTATTTTTAGTAGAGACAGGGTTTCGCCATGTTAGCCAGGCTGGTCTAGAACTCCTGACTTCAGGTGATCTGCCTGCCACGGCCTCCCAAAGTGCTGGGGATTATAGCTGTGAGCCACCACACTGGCCATGTCATGTATACTTTTGTTACAAAAACAATCTGTGCAGGTTTTTATTATCTAGAAATATTTATTTCTTACTTTCAAATATTTTTAAGTCACTGTATGTATTTAACTTTTCACTGTATCTGATAAGAGTCAAATAATAGAAGATAGTTTATAACTGTGTAGTTTGTAGCTTTCTAATTTTATTTGTAAAATTATGACTTTTGACAGTTTGAGAAATCAGTCAGCTGAACAAATTAGCCATGACAACTAGAATAAATTTATTTAAGATCTTTTGTATATGTGGCTTAAGTAAGGATTGGTAGGCCCTGTGGGGTTGTTTAATGAACTGCAGAGAAACTCAAGTAAAACCCAAAGGCTCAGCCCAATCCACTGCTACATTACGGTTGAATATATTCATTTATTAATTCTGGGCTCCTGAAAACAAAACCTGTTTTTAAGGCCATTTAATAACTTCCATACTACAACATGTGCACCACTTAAAGTCATACTGAAGAAAAAATATATTTCCATAGGTCATTATTAATATCTAAGTGCTCATTAAACTGTTCTAAAATTACTTATCATTAACATTTTATTTATTTCTTCTATAAAATGCTGTGGTGTTGTAGTTCATTTTAGAATGATCTATTTTAGGGAAGTTTGTCTTCAGTGATATAGTAGAAATTTATTTAAATGAAAGACTTAAGAAAACTCTCTTTTAACCAGAGCTTTCATTGCATTTTTTCTTAGGATACAGATAAGAATGGTAGAAAAAGTTAAATTTAAAGATTTAATTTAAATAGGTCTTCTATTCAGATTCTGTTTTATTGTTTAATTTCTACATTTGCATTCCTGGTGTATTTGTGAAAGATATTGCAAAAGCCCTAGAGTCTTACATGCATGAATTCAAGTCCTGGGTTTACTACTTTTCTGGGTTAGCACAGACGAGTTGTTAAATCTCATAGTGCCCATTTCTGCACTTTAACCTTGATTTTAACAAAGTCATATTTATTTTTTCCTAAGTAAATCTTTGCCCTCTCTTCATACTATTCCTGTCTCTATTCTTGGAAGTAATAACAAAATTTCTCTGACCAATAAACTTGAGGAAGATAATGTGCACTCTAGGCTCAGCTCTATCCTTCCTTCTCTTGAGAGCAAGCTGTCTTCAAGGAGTATAGCTGCTGCTTCTCCCCCAATGCTAGTCATGTGAAGGACTTTTGGCCTTTTTACAACCAGACAGTAAATTTTCCCTAAATCTAGGCTTTGGTTTTAGCAAATCCAATTGCCTAATAGGCTTAAAGGCACATGCTCCAGCCTGGTCTTTGTCGTTCTCCATCTTTATTTTTTATTTCTCCACTTGTGAATCAAAGGATGGAAGAAGAGTGCTTTAAATTGGAAGTTGATTTTTCTTGCTGGTTGATCACCTACTACTCACCAGTCATTATCATCAATGCTTTCCAGAGACTCATTTCGGACAGGCACACTTAGCTTCATTTTAAAAAAGCAAACGTAAGGCTTACCAAAGTTAAACAAATTGTCTAATATAAAGAAGTTAGTAAAAGAGAGAAGTATATTTAACTTAAGTTTGTTTTACTTCAAACCACACTCTGTTTTTCATGGTGCACTGCATTTCATATATATGGATGGCCCTATATAATGTTTGATATTAAAGAGTGGTCAACAAGCCTTAGAACTCTGTATTAACTTTCTACTGATATGTACCAAATTACCATAAAATTAGTGGTATAAAAAGACACCCACTTATTAGTTCACAGTGCTGTAGAACAGAAGTCTGGATAGGCTCTGCCAAGTTCTGTACTCGGAGTACCACAAGACCAAAACCAATGTGTTAGCTTGGATGAGCTGTTATCCATAGGCTCTGGGAAGGAATCTGCTTCCAAACTCACATACTTGCAGAGTTTGGTTCCTTGTGGCTCTAGGACTGAAGTCCTCATTTCCTTGCTGCTGTCAGCCAGAGCCAGACCTCAGCTTCTAAAGACCATTCACATTCTTTCTTACATAGCTTATTCTAATTCTAAACCAGCAATGGGGAGTTGAGTCCCTGTATTTCCAATCTCTTTGTTTTCCCTTCTACTGAACAGGAAAACTCTCTCTTTTTTAAAGAACTCCAGTGATTATATTAGACACACCCAGACAACCCATTATAATCTCATAAATTTTTAAGGCCAACTGATCTTAATTGAATCTGCAGAATCTCTTTTGCTAAGTACCTTAACATATTCAAGAGTATGATGAGTCATCATATTTAGAGTCTGGAGGATTAGGGAAGTAAATCTTTTGGAGGGAAGGGATGATTATGCTTAGAATTTCCCTACCACAAATTCTCTACCATGAGAAATATATATTAGATTTCTATCACTGCCATAACAAATTATCACAAGTTTAGTGTCTTAAAATGTGTAAATTTATTATTTTACTGTTCTGTAGATTAGAAGGTTGACATTGGTGTCACCAGACTAAAATCAAGGTGGTGGAAGAATTGTGATTCCTCCTTGAGGCTCTCTGGGGTAAAACCATTTTTTGCCTTTTCCAAATCCTAAAGGACACACACATTCCTTGGCTCTGGCTCTTTTTCTCCATCTTCAAATCCAAAAACTGTTGTATCTCTCTGATCATTCTTTTTTCAGTCACATCTCCCTCTTCTTCTGATAAGAGGAAAGGGTTCCATAACTGGAAAATGTTATCTGATTTAGGGATCAATGCAATTAGATTAGACCCACCTATTAATCCAGAATAACCTCTTTATCTCAGGGTTTTAATTTAATCATATCACAAATCCATTTCATATGTAAATTAACATAGTCATAGATTTTAGGAATTAGAATGTAGATATCTTTGGGGGACAGAAAGGAGCATTTTTCTGCTCCCAAAAACAATATTGGTGCAGATAAATTTTAATACAAGATCTTGAGTCATAAATGAGATTTAATTATATTATGTTTATGACAACAATTTTCAATTTGTTATTATGAATACAAAAATATTCCTATTTAGAAAGACTTTTAATAGTTTTAATGACTTTCTGAGTGATATGGTTTGGCTGTGTTTTCACCCAAATCTCATCTTGAATTCCCATGTGTTGTGGGAGGGACCCAGTGGAGGGTAATTGAATCATGGGGACAAGACTTTGCCATCTCTTCTCCTGATAGTGAATAAGTCTCACAAGATGTGATGGTTTTAAAAATGGGAGTTTCCCTGCACAAGCTCTCTCCTCTTGTTGGCTGCCGTGTGAGATGTGCTTTGACTTTCTGCCATGATTGTGAGACCTTCCCAGCCACATGGAACTGTACGTTCCTTAAACCTCTTTCCTTTGTAAATTGCTCAGTCTCTGGCATGTCTTTAACAGCAGTGAGAAAATGGACTAATACACTGAGTTAATTATTTTCATTAAAGCATCAATTTTTCGAGTGTCATTGCTTATATGCTCATAAACTCCAAAAGATTGACTCACCTTAACTTTATAATCTGATAGTTTCAAATAATATTCCTTATTGCAGTTTTAAGGCTTACAATAGACAAGACTTGAAATTTGAATTAGTCATTCAAGGTATCCCTCTTTCCTTCTTGACTGCCTTTTACATTATTCACAATAATTCTGAAAATTTCCCTTTCTTTGTCTCAATAGTGCATTCAAGAATCAGGCAGCAATTTAACGGAGAGCTCGAACCAGAAATTATTTTTAACACTGAAGCCCCACAGACTTTCTCATAAACTCTTACATGAAACTCACATCCAGTATAAAGAGCTCACAGCCAGTCAAAAGTGAAATACAACACTACACTTGTCATGCTTTTCTTGGTTGCAGAAATTTGAACATAGTTGAAAGTTAAGCCCCATCTGGCTTGCACTTCAAGTTGCACTTCTAAGTTCACAGGGAACCCTGTCTTTCCTGAATTCCTCCAAATGTCCTGCCACTTCCACTTATTCAGTTCTGATTCTTCACTGCCTCACTTTTAGCTACCCTTTACATTGATGTCTTCCCTCTTCTATTACACTGGACACGTCTCTCCTCTTTTATAATGTCCCAAGCAGTAATCCCAGATTGTTTATCCCCCTTAGTGAGTGTTCAATGCTTTTATGACTAATTAATCAAAAGCCCAGGCATGTATAAGCTACTGATAATTCACATGATTTAAACTACTGAAATTCTAATTTGTAGTAATGGCAGTAGATTCTAATGCCAACATTTAATAGATTTAATAGAATCAGTGAGAATTTTTGAATCAGTTCTTTCCAATTTCGAGTATACCAGACATCTTTAGCCTGTAGATGCTGTTAGTCTTAGCACAGGGTTATTTTTGAGGGAAAGCAGCATAATGTCATTTGTATGTGCTCCTTGTATTAAAGGAGTGATAATCAGGCTTAAAAAATAATGACTTGTTTTTCTCATTAGCTGAATGAATGTGGAAAATGACTCATCCGTTCATAAATTTGTCATAATGCTGTCTTTAGTGTCAGCCAGCAGTAAGATCCGGATTAGCAAAGTAATAGCAGGAGGCTCAAAAGATTATAGAAAATTGCTGTTAAAAAAATGACTTGACAACATTTTAAGTTTGTTATTCTTTAGCAAAACAATGTAGTCAGCCAGTTTCTGAATTCTCAGCACACTGTTTGCCACTTCTTGAATTATATCCCATTTGTAGAAACATGGTGCATTTTTGTTCTACATGGGCAGGACAGAAGGTTTACCAGCTTGAACTGGTTTTTCTGTGAAAAACTGTCCAGCACCCCACGGATGCTAAATGTGTCATTAACCTTCTACCTGGGGTGTAACTTAGAGACAATATTCACAAATGCCCTTATCAACATAATGAGGTCAAGGCAGCAATCAATGTCTGCTGTGTTGTTTCTTCTTTCTTGAAAATGCAACTACTTTTTAAATCAAAATCTATCATCTAGGTTAAAAAGAGACAGAGAGCTAAAGAGTTTCATGGTGCCAAAAAATCAGTATTCATCTTTCTTTAAAAAGGGTGCAAAAGTTGGGTGACCATATAATTATGGACACTTTTTTTAGAATGAATGGGGGTTCTACTAAGAGTTACACTGAAACAGCTATGTGTAGACAGGAATTTTCTTGGGCAAACTGGTCTATATGATTAGTCTATATGAAAGGAACAGTGAAGACAGTATTTTCTTCTTTGCAGTTTGACAATCTTCAGAAGTTTCAAATCAGGCTTTCGGTTAAAACTTTGAGTGTAACGGACCTCCTGAAGCATATCCACATTGGTACATACTGCTTTTAAAAATTTCAAAGCCTAAAATCAACCACACCCAAAAACAATTGAAGTAAATAACTTGGGAAGATTAACTTAATCTTACAGGTTTTTTTCCCCAGTCATTACCATCATTTAAAATTTTGTTTTTAGCTTCTTTGCTTGAATTTGCAAGCAGTATCTCAAAGACTAGAAATATTTCCTCATCAAAATTTCATGTAAATCGACTGGGTAAGATACCACATTTTACCACTTGGGGCTCTTCATGATTTCATTTTGAAAGCAAAATATCTCATCCACAGGAACTTTTGAAAAGAAATAATTTCCATTTCAGTTTTAAAAGTCTTTGCCCTTGATTTGGGCATTGACCGCATGGAAATTTTATATATATACACCTTGCCAAAACATTTCAAACTGGACAATTAAGATTTGCACCTTGATGAAATATAATTATACCTTATTTAAAAACTCTTGTTGCCCTGAGAAGACTTATATCATTTAGTCCTTAACAAATACTTTTTGGATCTGTTGTGTGTTTTAATCTGTGTCAAATTTTAGTAACTGAGGATACAGTAGGAGACCTGAGAGCCAAAGACCTTGCTTCAAGAAACTTACATTCTAGTGGGATAAAAGAGAAAAGAAACAACAGAAATAAGTAAATAAGATAATATTATGTAGTTATTAATCTCATGAAGAAAAGCCCTGAAGAGTTGACATTTTAATCAAGAGCTTAATGAAGAGAAATAGAGAGCAGTATTGCAAACAATAGGATAGCAGGGCCCTTGGAAGGTAATATACTTAGTGTTTTCAAGGGACAAAAAGTAGATTGATTGGGACAAAGAGAGTGGAGGAAGATGAGCTTGGAGAGATGGGCAAGGGCCAAATCACACATGACTGGGCATTGGTCTAGAATTAAATGAGTTTAAACCAGGCGTCTATAATTTCATTATATTTTCACTAATATTTATAGATTAACAAAATTTGTATGCCATGATTAAATATATTAAAATATAATTTTTCCCCAAAGAAATCTATGCGAATAGAAACCTAGTAACCTCTTTCTTTCTCTTTCTTTCTTTCTTTTTTTTTTTTTTTTTTTTTTTTTTTTTTTTGACAGTGTCTGGCTCTGTCGCCCAGGCTGGAATGCAGTGGCATGATCTCGGCTCACTGCTACCTCCGCTTCCCAGGTTCAAGCGATTCTCCTGCCTCGGCCTCCTGAGTAGCTGGGACTATAGGCACATGCCACCACGCCAAGAAATTTTTTTTTATTTTTAGTAGAGACAAGGTTTTACCATGTTGGCCAGGATGGTCTCGATCTCTGACCTCATGATCTGCCTGCCTCGGCCTCCCAATGAGCTGGGGTTTCATATTTTTCTAACACACAGCTGAAAGGATAAAAAATGTTGGCCAAAAAAAAGTTACTGTGGCTTTGTTGCCTTATTTCCATCTTTTTAACCCCTCGTTTGAAGCTAATAGTATTATTGTATGTACTAGTCTCTTTCCAAAAGCTCCAGGAATCATGGATTCATGACGTACATATGGACCTGTATGTCATATGGTCTTACACCCTGTAAGACCACTTTATTGCCTCAGCCTTTCCATGATCATTCAAAATAGATCCTGAAGAATAATAAAATGATTTATCCTCCAAATAAGATGGTAAAACATTGCTTGCAGTCTACTTGTGTTTCCTACATGGTTGAGAGGATAGCTATTACATCAAAGTTAACATTTTTCCGTTGACATCAGCATTTTAATAGCCATTTATTTATGTCATTTTCAGAATCTTTTAAAGAACAAAAATTAACACTATAGGAGATTGTATTTTGTTATTTTCCTGTTTTGTTGTGTTTTATCAATGTATTATAATCTGCGAGTCTAATTTTCATATGAAGGTTTAAAAACTGAGTACCTATCAGCTCATTTTAGGAAAATGATACTGCATTTCCTTTAAAAATGCCAATGTTTCAATGCTCATGCATATTACAGATGTTCATTTGGAAACGTCAATATGTTATTAACTTGCTAATGGCATCTACATAATGTAATGTGACAATATTTCTTGAATGATTGAATGAATGGATGTGGCAAGGGAAAGTGTGTGTATCTGGAAGGGCTTGTAATTTGAGTGGGTTTGTTTACCAGTATTGGTAGGAATGGCTCTCTGCAAGGGAATGCACTGAAAATTGTGCTGTGGGATTATCCTTTTCAACAGTGATGATAAATAATTTTCAATGCAAATGTTTCACAAAGGAGGCTAATGTTGTTCTATTTGCTGTTTATATTTCACCATTTTGGGCTGCCAAAACTACTTGAAGCCTCACAGGATTCTGTTTGTGATAGGCCAATGCAAATTTGATGATCCATCCAAATATACAGAGATGTCGCTTTAATGGTGCCATCATTATTGGAGCTGTCCTCTACACAGAAATTTTAGCCACTAGTAGTAAATGACAGATGTGTTAATTAAGAGACTGAGGCAAAGCCAAGGTTGATGTTCTAATAAACAGGTCATTAACTTTGGTAATGACCAATTTGAGAAGATGATTGTTATTACAAACTATATTCCATGAGTTATGAGAGCAACAGTATTACTTTGAAGTACATCTAATGGTCAGATGATAATGGGAAGTATTCTAAAACAATGGATATTTCTCATATGTCACCTTGCCTATTTATCACTTTACACATTTGCAAAACGTGATTTTATATAAAGCAAAACTCATTAAATGCTTAATTAGATTCAAAAAATAATTGGCCTTTTCTTTGAGAGTCAAGTAAAAAACCTTGTCAATGATAGTTTTAAGACTCTACCTAATGTAAACTTGATGCTATATTAGAAACTTTTTCCAGAGTTCACAAATGATGTTTCAATTTGTTGAAGACATGTAAGGGAGATTAGAAGCAGATCATAAATATATTGGAAACAAACTTAAAAGTAAATAGATCCTCTCCTTGAACTAACATAAGAATCCCCTCTGCAATATCTATAGTAGATTATTTAAAAATTTTCCACCTAAAACTCAAACTTCAGAATGTTCTTCCACTTTGGAGAATCCATCATATCTGGAACAGCTGTTTCTGCTGCAAACTTCTCCCTGATAGAGAACTAATGTATACAGAAAATGTGAGTAAACTTTATTTCACAAAATCTAAATTTAAAAGTCTAGAAATAGTTTTATGGCTTTTCTAAATCTTCCTTCTTCTAACTAAACATGCTATGCAGTTGTCCTGAAATTTGCAATTATTTCTCAGGTGACATGGTCTGCAGATCCCTAATTGTGGCAACTACATTTTGTTTTATGGAATAACAGGCCTTTAAAACCGTTTTTCTTTGTCTGCTTCTGCTATAAAATCTAGAAAAGCTAAATATCCACTTTCCCACCCAATGTTGCAAGTGGAAGTGACAACTGTTAGTCATGCTGGACAATGAGATGTAAACAAAAGTCTACAGAGAGTTCCTGGGTAATATGTGCTTCCTTCCAAAGGCTCCATGGTACTGGTTCTCCCATTCTTACCTTCTTCAATAAGAACAAGATACCTGCATCTGAAGGTGCTATGCTGCCTGTATAAGAACAAAATCCCATATGTCAAACATGTACATAACCATGGCATGCTGGAAAGATAGAAAAATCCTAGGTCCTTGAAAATATTATGAAATGGATAAGCCCATGTGAACAACCTCAAAATTTGATAAGATGTGAGCCAAAAATCCATATATACTGAAGAGGCTGCACAAAGTTTTAGATTCATTTCATGGAGATTAAGAGAATTGAGTAGTTTTTCTTCTTGGCATTTTCTTTGGCTTCTCTCAATCTTTATTCACTCACAAAAGGAAAAGTTTTCTCCTGTCATAAGCCACAAAGAGCATTCCCATCAAACCATAGGTGGGGTGGCCCCTCTATGTAGGTATTATGTCCTGCAGGCATCTCCCTTTCTCTCTCTTTTAACCTCACTGTGCCTTTCCCAAGTTGAAGCAATAGTCTTAAAATATTCTCCACTTACATGCTACTGAGAATCACCCACTGGGGTCTTTGCACACTTTTCTAAACTTTCGGACTCACATGACCACCGTAGGCAACATGTGGCATCAGTGGGCCCAGAAAGATATAAAACAGAAACCAACAATTTCGGCCTTGCAGTGCTTGGCATTCCCCTCCAAAGGGCATCCTTGCAGCACCCAGCTGCCAGTTCCAGATGCGTGAGACAATATCCTTATGAATTGGGTGCAGGAGCCACCCTTGCTTAAAAGTTTCCCCTAAAGGATCCTTCTGGAAAGAGTTTAAAATGTGAATAGTTGAGCCTTTTAGGAAAGTTTCCAGAAGCCCATATAGCTCAAACTGTTCTTTTCTACATGAGAAAAATAAGGGACAAAGAGATAAAAATGACTTTCCCAAGAACAGGTTACTTAAAAGCAGGCACTAGACTAGAACACAGGCCTCCTAACGTCCCAATCTAGTGTTCTAAACAAGATTCTTAATGTTTCTTAAGATTTAGTTAACAATTCTATTGTTATTTTCACTTTAATTTGGTTGGTCAATTGTTTTTTTTTCTTTTTCCTCTGGAGTGAAAGTCAAAAATATAAACACATTAAATTGACCTCTACATTTATAGAAATGTAACCAATAGTTTAACGTAAGAACTCTAGTATTTTAGAATACATAAAAAGGGATGTACAGCTGTTATTAAATAATGTACTAAAATTAAAGAGAATGAAGTCACTTATCTGCTTATAGCACTTATTGATTTAAAAAAACTATTTTAAACATATTTTGTTTTTTATTTGTAAAAAAGATATATGATTTATGATTATGGGCAAGATTTATGATTATGGGCAAGAACTGAAGAGATAATCACAGATATGTATAAGTATCAGTGTAGTATAGTGTAATGAAAAAAAACCCTGGAATTATGAATAAGTATAATTAAATTTATTATTGCCTATTGAATGTTTACCATATGCCAAGAGCTATTTGAAAATCTTTATACGTATAAACCAATTTAATCCTCACAAGTAGTTAAAATTGTGTCCCTCACTTTATAGATAAAGAAAGGTACATGAAAAAAGGACTAGTTGATCCAATGTCACACAACTAATAATTGGTAGAGATAAGATTTAAATAGAACGATGCTTTAATTGTCTAAATTTTAACAGTATGAAAAGTATAGTCCTCAAATTCCTACAACACAGTGTCACCGTTGACTCAGACAAATAAATGTATCTTAATGAAAATTATTTCTAATTAGATTATTTTAGTCCCACCATTAGAGCTCTGCTTCTGATACACTTCTTATCTATTTAAATGACAAACAAGAATAGATGTTAATAACAAATGGGACAGCAGAATGTTGGCAACAAAATTAGAATCATGCTTCCAAGATACTAAAAATATGGTATTTGGTTTATTTTCAAACAGAATTAGATGTAATTCAATAAAAGTGGCCTCTTCTTATGAAGCCTCCATGGCATATATAAAGCAATACAACAGCAAAAATCCCATATTTAACAGGTTATATTGTTTATTTTCCTTATTTTTTCTATGTCTACGCAACATCAAATCCATGTTGAGAGTGAAACCATTTCATTAATTAACCAGTTGCTTTTTTGATATGATTCCAAAGCATTAGTGTGTCGAACTACTATACTAAGTTGTCCATTTTAAATTAAATTGGCTGAATATTTTGTTTTTATGGAATTTGTGTGTCTATGTGAAACTTGTCAGTATCACTGGAAAATCCTGGCTAATTGATTCCAAGTATGGAAGATGCTCTTTTGGAAGATATAAAAAATCAATACTGCATAAGATAAAAAATCTGCATAAATGTTTATGGTCATATGAAATATGATAATTTCTGAAAGAATAGTGCTACATGCAAAAGAAATTTAAATGAAGTAGAGATTAATTCTGGTTTGTATTGAAGGTTGGATTTTAAATGCTTTTTGTTAAAAAATATATAACTGAAAATGATTTTGGCTATCCTTACATAAAAGTCAAGACTTTCATTGGAAGAGAAGGAGGAAAAATGAGCCTACATGAAAACACATAGTAAGTGAGGCAGAGTAGTGAAAGATACAGTTAGAGAAATATATTAGTAAAAAATAAGAAATGCTTATTTGTAAGAGAGTGAAATTATTGGAACTGTCTTATTTGTAGAACTATGCCATATGTATTCTGGTACTTAGTAGATCAGCTGGAAGATCAGATTATTGTTGCAAATAATCCAAGTAGAAAGTAGCCAGTGATGAGCCATGGTGGTGTCAGAAGAAATAAAAGATTAACATGGTAGGTACCTGTGTGTTTGTGTGAGTGGTGATAGAAGTGCAGCAGCTATGACAGCTCCTTAGAAAGGATGAATCAATAGGACTTATTAGATATTATGGGGTGGGGAATGTCAGACACACACATAAAAGTTAACAGTAATATTTGTAGGTCAGCTCTTGGTTTCTGTGGATTATGATGCCATTAATCACAGGCATCAGACATCAGCACGAATTCAGCTTGAATGCATTGTTTCCTGAGAAATGGTGAGGATTTTTTTAACATAATTGTTGCATCCTGGTAGAGATCTCATATAAGCAATATGAATTATAATTCTAGATGTTTGAAAGGCAATTAATGCTAAGTAGACACACTTGGAATCATTCTCATAGAAAATAATCTTGAAAAAAAAGAAAATAAACTTGAAAAGATGTTAGTTGCTAAAACTATTAAGAACACATATTGAGAGGAAACAAAAGAAAAAAATAGAACTTTACATGACATTTGCATTAGGGAATGAAGACAAAAATAATGTGCTTTTGATGAAAGGAAAAAAGATTATATATGAAAAAAGGAAGGAGCATCAAAAAAACTGTCTGCGGAAATAGAAGGAGTAAAATACATTATCCAGCTCCACCCAGCTCACTAGAGCTAAGCAGGGTCTCAGATCCTACCTAATCTAAGGAGAACTGATTCTAGAGCAGGGCTCTAATCCCTGTGGGAAACCAAATTGAGCTGAGAAATTATGTTATAGAAGGTTCTTAGAAAAGCAAATACAGAACAGAGTGGCAATAAGATATAGTGAAATGAATTGTTGAGCAACAATGAGGATTAAATACTGTCCTGATATATAACTATCACCATCTACCAAGAATTGATAGCAAACAGGGATTTTTATTTTGGAGTAAATACGCTATATTAGAAAGTCAAAGAGGCCAGTTGCTGTAGATACTATCTGGGGATGATCTGGGTTTAGAATCAGGAAAAATCAATAAGGGGAAACTCAACTGCAATACAATATAGACCATGATAGAAGAAGCACTTTCAATAGAAGAGGTAGTGGAAGAGATAAAGGACTATGAGGTTGTGATTAAGGAGGAAAGATAAAAGCTTTAAAGATATGGAGTGATCCCAAGTAAGAGCGAGATCTGATGGAATTGGCCAAGTTGGTAGGTGGCAGATATGGAGGAAAGACAAGGACCAAAATGTTGAGGACACAGGAAGAAGTCAGACTGGTGAGATTTTAACATCAATAGAGAAATCACTAAGGATGATAGCAGAGAATCCGAGTGGGATAGCAATACTTGACTTCTGGTTTCAGAACTCATTGAGGGGTATAACATGAAGGGTTAAAATAAAAGCTTTGTTAAGATTTATTAACAGATTTGTCTGAACATAGCAAACAGGAGAAAGTGCATACACTGGAAAGGCAATTAGCAATCCATGAAAACTTTGTACAAGCACATGTGAGAACATAGTCATATACTCTGACTTGGCACCATCAAGGCACATTATCTTTGTTCAATTCCTTCTTCCTTGCAAAACAAAACAAAAAGCCCCAAACCCAGCAGTTTAGCTGTTCCAAATCTGTGTTTTAAAATTTCTACCCCATTAACTTTACCTACTTTGTCCCTTCTCCATTTCCCAATTCTTATTCTTTAAATATGACTAAGAATAAACACTGTAGGCCAGAGGTTAAAAGATGGAAAGAAGTTATTCTAGAGTTAGAGATAATTATGTTGAGAAACAGGAAAAGGTTTATTCAGGAGACAAGGTGTTGTTTTGTGATGATAGTGAACGAATATATAATCATAAAATAGTTGTAGATTTCAGTAATTTTATCAATGTACTTTTTGAATGTATGAGTTGAGGCAATTAGGGGAAAGCATGATTCCTTCTGTAGGGGGTGAAGGTTTTGCTCTAAAGCTTGAAGAGAAGTTGAAATCATGGAAGAAATGTTCAAGTAAAAGGCCAAGGATGCAGGGAATGATTCACCATAGAAATGGGCATCCAAAGAGCACAGTGAAGGGAACTGACAGATGGGCTGATATTTGGAGTTGGATTTGGAGAAAGATAAAGGCTTGATCAGGCTCAAAGTAGTTGAGATCAGGGAGAAATTAATACTCACAGTGTTTGACCCAGAGCAGTGATCACGTATAACCTGGAAAGGGGCTAAGAGTCCAGAGTGGGCCTGAATGATGGCAGAACACTATCAAAGGATGGCCAGAAAGAGTAAAATGAAAATCCTAGGAAACAAACAAAGCCAAACATGACTTTGGAATTATAAGTGAAATAGAAAGACTGAATTTTTTCAAGACCGGGCAAACAATTATGAAATCACTTGTAGTTCATTGATTGCATTTGCTAAGGTGTTTTCTTTAGTCTCATTTTCATTTTTACTATTTAGAAAACAGTGGCATTTATTCCATGACTTAATTCTCTATTATATTAAAAAACTTTGAAAGATATCAAGGATATCATTCATTTGCATAGTACATCCATTATGTAGCCTTTAGTCTATTCTTTGCAAAGAAGAAAAAAGCTTATACAAGTACACATGCACACAAGGCTGGCAAAAATTGAAACACTAAGCATTAGTATATGGAGCATTAGGAATCTTCACACCATATTAGTGAGAAAGTAAATTGTTATAACCATTTTGCAAAGGTTTGGCATTATTTTTTAAAGTCAAAGATGTGCAAATCTTAAAATCCAATAATTTGATTGATAAGAATATACCCCCAGAGAAATTCTTGCAAAGGTGCAGTACACCAGTAGTATAATAGGCAAATAGGCAAATAAATGTTGGTATATTTCCACGATAAAATAAAATATACTTATCACAACATAAATGAATCTCAAAACCTAATATTATATATATAAAAGAATATTTCAGGATAATTCCACATACACAAGTAAAATTTGAGAATACATGAAAAGTCCACATTATTGAGTGAATACATATGTAGAAAGTAAAACTATAAAGAAGAGCAAGAAGATAATTATCACACAATATGGATGGGCATTGTTTCTGGGAAAAGGAGGAAATTGTGATCGGGGAAAAGTATATACAGAGGCACATGAGGTGCTAAAAATATTCTATTTCCTGTCTTTGTGATTTCACTGGTGATTGCTTTAAAATTATTCTTCATTCTCTACATTTTAAAATGTATATTATATAGTTTAAAAAAATAAAAAAGAGAAACAAGGAGAGAGAGAGTCAAGGAGAAAAGGAGAAAGAAGGAGAGGGAAGAGAGGAAAAAGAGGAGAGGAAGGGAAGAGAAAAAAGAAATGAAAGCAGTCACCCCACAGATCTGAATAAAGCAGATGCCGTCCTGCCTGAAGCATCCTGAAGTTGTGTGACCACAGTGCAGAAGTGGAATCATTGTAAATGTGAGACAAGAAAGCAAGCAGGAAGTCAGGGTTCTGTTCTAATGCAAGAAGCAGCATGAGGTCAGAAAAAGCCAAATCGCCTCACATGTTAGTTAGTTTCCATGAATGTTGAAATCTTAATGAACTACAGTGGAGAAAGAGGTTAAGGAGAGCAAATTGGAACTTAAACTGTGAATATATGTGCAGTAGTCCTGTTATCTGTGGTAGACACATTCCAAGGCCCCCCGTGGATGCCTGAAACCTCAGACAGTAATGAACCCTATATACACTATGTTCTCTCCTATATGTACATATCTATGGTAAAGTTTAATTTATAAGTTAGGTACAATAAGAGATTAACAACAATGATTAATAATAGAATAGGATAATTATCACAGTCAATCTGACAACCAAGACAGCTACTGAGCGACTAATGGGTGGGTATCATAGTCAGTGTGGATATGCTGGACAAAGGAATAATTAAGACTCAAATTATAGCCCAAATTTCTAAATTAACTTCTTCTTTCTAACTGAAAGTTTCAATAAGTATAATAAGAAGATAATCACTAGTAACAAGAATTAATGGAGAACTTACTCTATGTCAGAAATATTGCTAAATATTTGCTCCACATCCTTCTTTCATAAAAGAGTAAAAAAATCTCTATGAGATACTTAACTATCATTAGTCCATTTAGACCAGGAGATCCAGAGCAAGATAACTATGAGTGATAACTATGTTATAGCCACTGTACTAAGTGTTTTACATTGAACCTTTTCTAACCTGTGGTACGTATGGTTCCCATTTTATAGATGGAGAAACTGAGACTAAGCCAGTTACACGTGCTCAATACATATGACTACCAGTCAGTTAGCCTGTGTTCTAACCCAGGCCGTATGTCTTCAGCACTCAAGCTTGTAAACATTTAGGTGTACTACTTTGTATTCAAAATGAATAAACCAAAGAATATTCTGAATATTTTTATTTTATTTATATTATTTTATTATATATTATATTTATTTATTATATTAATATAATACATTATATTATTATTTATTTATATTACAATAAAATAAATGTATATGGTTT
This sequence comes from Homo sapiens, assembly GCF_000001405.40. Taxonomy (NCBI): domain Eukaryota; kingdom Metazoa; phylum Chordata; class Mammalia; order Primates; family Hominidae; genus Homo; species Homo sapiens. Next base: position 66,854,119 of record NC_000004.12, read on the forward strand.
ACACTGAGTGATTTACGCTACAGTTTAAACTACTCTGGATAAGTCTACTCTAACATCATCTTTTCAGAATTAATATAAAGAGCTATGCAAAACAAAAGTAATAAATTGGTGGGAGACAGTGAAGTTTCTTGAAATGTCTCTTCTTTCTACACTCGGTCATTCTGTCCTGATGCTCCCTCTACATGTCTCAGGATGTAGTCTCTATGTTATTATTTGCTCTTATTTTCATGTTTGCTTCTTATGAAGACTGAATTCTGTCTTTATCCATCTTCTTTTCTTTCTCTGAACACAACTCTGAGAGGTTTCATGTACATCCGTTGCTTCAACATTGACATTTTCAAATTTATAGCTACAACTCCAATTTATCATTTTTCCAAGCTCCCAACCATGGTTCCAAATGCTTACTAAATATCCACTGGCCCATAGGCCTCTAACAGTTCCATAACTGGAATTGTTCTTTATTCAGCTACAACCTCAACCTGAAAAACCCATTACTTCACATTTCCCTTATCTTATTTACATGGCATACACTCAGTTGCTCAAGCCAGAAGACAGAAATCCCTGAGACGTCTGCCTCTTTCTCATACTGACATCTAGTTACTAAATTATTTTTTTATTGCTATTTACTTTAAAGTCAAGGTTTCTTTTGGTTCTCTCCCCTCTTCAACGCTGCCCTGTGAGGCCCTCTGGTTTTTCTTGCTTAGACCATCAGCTGCTCTCTCCACCTTCAGTCTCTCATCTCCATCACTCCCTGCCCCACTATTCCCTGCGTTGTTCTCAGAGAGATGATTCTAAAACTCAGATCCCATCTCACTTTTCCCCTGGTTAGAATCCTTCTGTAATTCCTGAAGATGAAAGTCCAAAGAGCACCTTCATAATCTGACTTTCACCTGCCACAAGCCACTCCACGATGAATATCCAGTTGCTTGAACAATCCTCTTTACCCTCTGTGTTGATCTATTTTCCCAACAGGAATCCTTACTGGCTTGTAAGTCTATACAATGTCTAAACATCCTGTAGGACCCAATTAAAATATTGTCTCTTTCAAAAGATTTTCTTGAAGAGAGCAGAATTAAGCATTTTCTTGTTTTTCTTCCCACAGTCCTTTATACGAGTCTTTACTGTAGCAAATGGAATTCATTTTTATCTGTCTCTACCACTGGACTCTAAGCTCTGTTTTATTGTCTTATTCCTGAAATACAAAGGCATTGCCTATAATAGCCTTTAATATTTGTTGGATGTACTGATGAATGAGTATAGAAGTAGAAAATAGAGGAAAAAAGCCATCTAAACTTTTGTCTACGGACAGAATTGCATCTCATACTGGAAGTACAGCTTAGTGAAAAACAGAATAACCTCTTAAGCCAAATGTATTAGTTATCTATTACTGCACAACAAATTACCACAACCTTAGTGGGTTAAAACAATACACATTTGTTATCATACACTTACTGTAGGTCACGAGTGTAATCATGGCTTACTGTGTCTTCTCTTTCAGGAACTCTCACAAGGATGCAGTTAATGTGTTGGGCAGGAAAGGGGGCTCAACACTTGCCTGAGGAAGGACCCATTTGTAAATTCATGTGGTTGTTGGCAGAATTAAGTTCCATGTAGATGTTGGACTAAAGTCCTCAATTCTTTGCTAATTACAGTCCAGAGTCCACCTTTAGTTCTTTGCTGGTTGGACCTCCCAGACATGGCAACTGACATTATCAAAGTCAGCTAGAACTGAGCCAGGAGGAAGAGAGGTTGGCAAGTATTGAAAAGGTACCTATCGGATACTATGCTCGCTACCTGGGTGATGGGTTCCATCCTACTTCAAACCTCAGTATCATGCAATATATCCATGTAACAAACCTGTACATGTGCCCCCTGAATCTAAAACAAAAAATTGAAATGATTAAAAAGTAAAATACAGATAATAAAGAAACAAAAAGTCAGCTAGAAAGAGTCTGCTAGCAAGACGTAAGTCACAATCTTATGTAATTTAATCAGGGAAGTGGCATTCCACCACATATGCTAAATTTGGTCAGATGCCAGTTGCTAGGCCAGCTCACCCTCAAGAAACTGAGATTACACAAGGGAATGTGTGATGGACAGAATTCTAAACATGATCCCCACAAGATTCTCATTCTCCAGTTATTCAATCAAACACTAATCTAGGCACTACTGTGAAGAGACTTCAAAGATGGAATTAAAATCACTAATCAGCTGGCATGATTAATAATAGAAAGGTTATCCACCCGGATTATCTGGAGAGGCCCAATCTAATGACATAAACCCTTAAAATCCAAGCATTTTCTCTGGCTGTTATCAAAGACCTGAGGTAAAAGAGGAAAGCAAAGAAGAGGTGAGGCAGAAGAAGAGGCCAAAAACATTTCACCTGCTAGTGCTGGCTTTTAAAACTGAGAAAGGGAGCCACGAAATGGGGAATGTAGACAGCCACTGGAAACTCAAAATGACCCTAACCTACAGCCAACAAGGAAACTCGGACCTCAGTCCTATAGCCACGGAAACTGAATCCAGCCCACAACTGCAAGGAGCATAGAAATGGTTTCTCCCTTGGAGCCTCCAAAAAGAACATAGCCCTGCTGACTACTTAATTTCAAACTTATGATGCTCTAAGCAGAGCCACATGATACACACTTTTGTCCCTGCAAAATTATAAGATAATCCATTTGTGCTGTTTAAGCTGCTGAACTCATGGTAATTTGTTAAGGCATCAATAGAAAACTAACATGGCCTACATATTGGTAAGATTATTTGGAGCCATCTTAGAGTCTGCTGCTAGACCAGACTACCTGGGTTTTGAGACTTACTGTATAACCAGAGTAAGCCACTTCTTTGGGCTTCAGCTTTCTCATCTGTAAAATGAAGATAATATAATAGCAGTACTTAACTCAGGGTTGGTGTGAAGAATAAGTTAGTTTGTATATGAAGAGAAGAGTAACAGGCAGAATGTAAGTGCTATATTTATTGGTTTTTAGTATTATTTCTAGAAAATGATTATTTCTGTTTTTCTTAAAACCTCTAGGTACAGTCATTTTAGAAATAAAAGAGTTGGCCGGGCGTGGTGGCTCACGCCTGTAATCCCAGCACTTTGGGAGGCCGAGGTGGGCGGATCACAAGGCCAGGGGATGGAAACCATCCTGGCTAACAACGGTGAAACCCCGTCTCTACTAAAAATACAAAAAATTAGCCGGGTGTGGTGGCAGGCGCCTGTAGTCCCAACTAGTCAGGAGGCTGAGGCAGGAGAATGGCGTGAACCCAGGAGGCGGAGCTTGCAGTGAGCTGAGATCATGCCACCACTGCACTGCAGCCTGGCCAACAGAGCAAGAATCCGTCTCAAAAAAAAAAAAAAAAGAAAGAGAGAAAGAAAAGAGTTAAAGGTATTATCAAAATACAATTCTTTATTTTTCTTCATCCAAAAGAGTGGGGGAGCAACATAAAATCATACAGGAAAACATTCCTTATCTGAACAAATCAGGCAATAAATGTGCAACAAATCAGACACTAGATGTGTGGTTCCTTTATTTAGTTATTTATTTATTTATTTAGAGTTGGGGTCTCGCTTTGTTACCCAGGCTGGAGTGCAGTGGTACAATCATGGCTCCTGCTGCGTCCCTCGAACTCCTGGGCTCAAGCAATCCTTCCACCTTAGCCTCCCTAAATAGCTGTGACCACAGGCACATGCCACCACGCCTGGCTAGATGTGCAGCTCTTGATGGTAATCAGCTAATGACATTCATTAGGGCAAATCAGTAAAAATGCAATCAGATGTTTCATTTACTACTTCTAAAATTGATTCAGTTCAACCAACATGTTCTCTCAGATGAAAAGCTTAGCATTGAACCAATGCTTTATGTTTTGGATTTATATTTAACTTTCAGATGGTTTTGATAATTACGCTATAGGAAAAATGTAATATATCTTGCCATCTCCAATTGTTCTCAGGTTATATTGAGTGTCCTCAGCTTCTCCCGCCTGCATTTGGTCTTTAACATTAGAGGTTTGAAATGTGTTTTAAACTGTTTTTCATGAATTTGTCTTGTCAGCCTGTCATAAATTACTTTCTTTCCTATTTTTCTTTCTGAATCTAATTCTTTATTGGACATTATAGCTCATTTCTTAAGGGACTTGAAACAAGGATGAGCAATTAATTTGTGTGGAATTTAAATATTACTCTAGTTGAACTTGTTTTTTATATTGAACTTTAGTTTGAAACTGATGATTCACACTCAGGGATTTACATTTCTCTGTTGGGAGTAAGTTACATATTATTTTAAGTTGTCTAAACTCTTTCAGGTCATTAGATCATTGTTCTGGAGCCATAATTAATATATGGTAACTCTCATCATGGGAGAACTTTTCTCTTCTTGTAATTAATTCTCAGTTATTACCCATCCCTTCTTAACTACTCCTTAACAATTGATTTTTGGAAATTATTTTATATAATTTATAGCAAAACGAAATTTCTGTCTTATTTCTTATTTATTAAAAAGTAAAATAAAATAAAGATAAAGAAACAAAACAGTTGCTAGAGAGAATCTGACCTTTGACAAACCTGACAAAAACAAGCAATGAGGAAAGGATCCCCTATTTAATAAATGGTGTTGGGAAAACTGGCTAGCCATATGCAGGAAACTGAAATGGACCCCTTCCTTATACCTTATACAAAAATTTACTCAAGATGGATTAAAGATTTAAATGTAAGACCTAAAACCATAAATACCCTAGAAGAAAACTTAGGCAATACCATTCAGGACATAGGCACGGGCAAAGACTTCATGACTAAAACACCAAAAGCAATTGCCACAAAAGCCAAAATTGACAATTGGGATCTAATTAAACTACAGAATGCTTTTACACTGCTGGTGGGAGTGTAATTAGTTCAATCATTGTGGAAGACAATGTGGCAGTTCCTTAAGGATCTAGAACCAGAAATCCCATTTGACCCAGCAATCCCATTACTGGGTATATACCCAAAAAATTATAAATCATTCTACTATAAAGACACATGCACACGTATGTTTAGTGCAACACTATTCCCAAGCAAAGTCTTGGAGCCAACCCAAATGACCATATATGTGGCACATATATACCATGGAATACTATGTAGCCATAAAAAAGAATGAGTTCATGTCCTTTGCAGGGACATGGATGAAGCTGGAAACCATCATTCTCATCATAAGAACATGTTCTCACTCGTAAGTGGGAGTTGAACAATGAGAATATATGGGCACAGGGAGGGAAACATCACACACCAGGGCTTGTAGGGGGTTGGGAGAGGGATTGCATTAGGAGAAATACCTAATGTAGATGATGGGTTGATAGGTGCAGCAAACCACCATGGCACACATATACCTACGTAACAAATCTGCACGTTCTGCATATGTATCCCAGAACTTCAAGTATAATAAAAAGTTAAAAAATTCTGCTTTATCATTATGACTATCATCCTAATCATTATTATTATTTTACTGCCTCTCTCGGGATGCAAATAGCTATGGTTGATGATTTGCCTGTTTTACTAATTCTTCTTTAATTCTACCATATCTGCTCACCTTAACCTTTTCCCAAAGTTATAACTTTATTATAAATAATACATGAATAAGTAAAACCGTAAACCTACCATAAACCAAAAACTCTCAAACCTACACAGTTTGAGATGTGAAGGGAATCTCTGAATAAATATATCCTTCTTCTCTGTTTGTCTTTCCAGCCTTGCCATTTCTTGAGTCTGGGAATTTCCTCTCCTTTCAGATAAGAGCAAATCTAAGTGATCATCCTGCTTCCACTGGGGAAAGAAAGAGATAATGCTGCCAGGTAGTGACCAGGAAAGCTGCAATGGGTTGTGGGTGGTCACATTGAGAGGTGACAGCGTGCTGGCAGTCCTCAGAGCCCTCGCTTGCTCTCGGCACCTCCTTTGCCTGGGCTCCCACTTTGGCGGCATTTGAGGAGCCCTTCAGCCCACCAATGCACTGTGGGAGCCCCTTTCTGGGCTGGCCAAGGCCAGAGCCGGCTCCCTCAGCTTGCAGGGAGGTGTGGAGGGAGAGGCTCGAGCGGGAACCAGGGCTGTGTGCGGCGCTTGCGGGCCAGCTGGAGTTCTGGGTGGGCGTGGGCTTGGCGGGCCCCGCACTCGGAGCAGCCGGCCGGCCCTGCCGGCCCCAGGCAGTGAGGGGCTTAGCACCCGGGCCAGTGGCTGCGGAGGGTGTACTGGGTCTCCCAGCAGTGCCAGCCCACCGGTGCTGCACTCGATTTCTCACCGGGCCTTAGCTGCCCTCCCGCGGGGCAGGGCTCTGGACCTGCAGCCTGCCATGCCTGAGCCTCCCACCCACTCCATGGGCTCCTGTGCGGCCCGAGCCTCCCCGACGAGCACCACCCCCTGCTCCACAGCGCCCAGTCCCATCGACCACCCAAGGGCTGAGGAGTGCGGGCACACGGGGCGGGACTGGCAAGCAGCTCCACCTGCAGCCCCGGTGCGGGATCCACTGGGTGAAGGCAGCTGGGCTCCTGAGTCTGGTGGGGCCTTGGAGAACCTTTATGTCTACCTCAGGGATTGTAAATACACCAATCGGCACTCGTATCTAGCTCAAGGTTTGTAAACACACCAATCAGCACCCTGTGTCTAGCTCAGCGTTTGTGAGTGCACCAATGGACACTCTGTAACTAGCTGCTCTGGTGGGGCCTTGGAGAACCTGTGTGTGGAAATTCTGTATCTAACTAATCTAATGGGGACGTGGAGAACCTTTGTATCTAGCTCAGGGATTGTAAACTCACCAATCAGCACCCTGTCAAAACAGGCCACTGGGCTCTACCAATCAGCAGGATGTGGGTGGGGCCAGATAAGAGAATAAAAGCAGGCTGCCTGAGCCAGCATTGGCAACCCGCTTGGGTCCCCTTCCACACGGTGGAAGCTTTGTTCTTTAACTCTTTGCAATAAATCTTGCTACTGCTCACTCTTTGGGTCCACACTGCTTTTAAGAGCTGCAACACTCACTGCGAAGGTCTGCAGCTTCACTCCTGAGCCAGCCAGACCATGAACCCACCAGAAGGAAGAAACTCCGAACACATGGGAATATCAGAAGGAAAAAACTCCAGAGGCGCCACCTTAAGAGCTGTTACACTCACCGCGAGGGTCCGCGGCTTCATTCTTGAAGTCAGTGAGACCAAGAACCCACCAATTCTGGACACAACATGGTTGTAGTTTCTTTTTGGTACCAAACAACCGTGGTTGGTCCTTTCTTTTTTTGACTCTTGTTTTTTTTTTTTTTTTTTTTTTTTTTTGAGATGAAGTCTCAGTCTCTCCCCCAGGCTGGAGTGCAGTGGCACAACCATGGCTCACTGCAAGCTCCGCCTCCCGGGTTCACACCATTCTCCCACCTCAGCCTCCCCAGTAGCTGGAACTACAGGCATCCGCCACGATACCCAGATAATTTTTGTTTTTGTATTTTTAGTAGAGACAGGGTTTCACCGCGTTAGCAAGGATGGTCTCGATCTCTTGACCTCGTTATCCGCCCGCCTTGCCTCCCAAAGTGCTGGGCTTACAGGCGTGGTGAGCGACCTCGCCCGGCCTGACTTTTGTTTCTTAAGCCACCTTTGCAGCCAGGAGTCTAGAAAGGCATTGTGAAGCTCTAACATTCTAAGGAGCATCACTTTATCATTAATTTAGAAGTCATTCCAAGAACCAAGAGAATCTCTCTATGTATTCTGTGATTACTCAATGAATTCTTGGTTTACCCAATAGCAATCTGAAGGTAAATTATACACATAACGTTAGAGGAGAATTTTAAATTTGAGTCAATTATTCCAATGAGCAAATAAAATTCAACACAGAGACTATGGGCTTCTCTAATAGTGAGCCATCCATCACTAATGTACACCACTCTATTTATTATTTGTATTCATCTGCTTCAGTTGAGACAACAAAGTACCACAGACTGAGTTGCTTAAACAACAGAAATTCATTTCTCATAGTTCTGGAGACTGGAAGTCCAAGATCAAGGTGTCCACAAGGTAGGTTTTATTCTGAGGACTCTTTTCTTGGATTATAGGTGGCTTCTATCTCACTGTGTACTCAGATGACCTCTTTTTTTGTGATAATTTCTCTTCCTCTCTCTCTCCTTTTCTCTCTCTCTCTCTCTCTCTCTATCACATTATGAAGACACTAATCCCGTCATGAGGACTATACCTTCATGATCTCATCTAACCTGAATTACCTTCCAAAGGTCCATCTCCAAATACCATCACATGGGGTGTATAGTTAGGTCTATAAATTTAAAGAGAATATAAGTCAGTTCATAGTATTATTGATTTCTTAAATATAGTATTTTCATCAAAAAGAATTATTCTTAGTATCAAACAACTTTGCTGTCATATTGAAATGAAGAACAAAATTTAAAACTAACCTTGAAATTTAGACTGGGTCTTAAAGGGGAAAGACTATTTATTCTAGTACATCCTTATTTATACAAATGACTGGAAAATGTAAACACATTAAAGAAAGAAATGAACACAAAACAAGCAGCCAGAACAATCTGAAAGGGTTCAAGAGACTTTGTAAACAGAGTTATATGATAATAAAGTATGTTTTGACAGATGTGTAATATGCTATTTGGCCTACAGAAGATATCTGTGGTCATTTCAAAAAAAATTAGAAGGCATAAGGGAGAATTACAATATTAAAAAATGGAATTGTGAAATGAATCATACACAGCTAAATAACCTTTGCTGACTTTTAGAACATATTATAAAACGTTTTGTTTAATGTGCAACACATATAATTTGGTTCTAAATATTCTTTGTTTTTAATTGTGACAATCAAGAGTAATCTTTAAAACAGTGAACTGGCATAGTCCAGGCATCAGCCAATCTGTACACATTGGAAAAGAATCCTACAGGCCCTGCCATGCCAGTGGACCCTGTAGTTTCTGGATTCTGTTGATGTCTACTGGGGTTTTGGGGAGAGGGGATGGTGGCAGCTGAAATGGCGAAGGAACCTAGAAGAGAGAAGAATCAGAGTTTTAGCAACCAATATAGAATTATTTAAATATTATAACTGCACCAGTGTGTACCAGCTATACATCAGTCCTAATAATAATTTATGAGTAATTGAAAGGCAACTTCGAATATAAATGCTTTCTCCCAGTATGATCAAAATATGTCTCTTGACAATAATCACTACATAAAATTTATTTTTTTAATTAATATATTTTAGCACTTTACAGCTGAAAAAGGGATATTGGAGTTAATTTCATCAAAATTGTTACATTTCAATAGTGGGTTAATAAAAAAATTGATGGATGAATTTTATGTCTGTGCATGACTACTACATATGTATATACATATTACTATGGCATATGATATACACATGTACATATAGAGCTGATATATATATGTGTGTATACACACACACACACACACACACACACACATGCTTTAAATAAAAGTTGCTATGTATTTACTTTAAATCAAAATTGTATTTTCTGCATTGGTTTCAGCCTACTTAGCTTTAAGAAAAAAATGATTTCTCACTTCTCATTTCCTATTTTCATTTTTAATAATTTCTCATTTAAAACTAGTCAGAACCTGTTGGGAGAAAAAAACAAATCAGAATACATTTATTAGCATATTTTACACAAAGCTGTACAGTGAATACTATTTTAAAGTTTCTCAAATTTAAAACATGTCAATGGAATTTTACCAGTGATAGTATAATACTGTGAAACATAAGAGAAGAAAACAAGGTTTTGTCTAAGCAAGTAAAGGCAAGACATAGAAATAATATTTGCTTAACAGTATTCTTAGTAATTTGAACACCAAAAGAAGTGAAAAATGCATGAGGATGAGAAGTTTCTTACCATAGGTAAACAAAATTATATTTTATATTTTGAAATGCATAATATTATTTTTTAAAACTACGAATAAATAGGAAAAATTCTATGTCATGTTATACGGGAGTAACATAGACCTGGGGTCACATTATATATTTTGTTTCTTTCTTTCAGATCCCCAGATGTCATTAGGAATTCCATCAAAACAACCAAAATGGAATAATTTTAATACTTAATAATGTGTGTAATGAAGTGGGATATTTTTGTCACCATTTCTTGTTTTCCTTAATTTTTAATCAGTGCCTATATTTTCTAAGTTACCTAAATATTGCTTATAACTGTCATATTGACCATACAATGTGCACAATGTAATCAAATGCAACTATATTTTTACATCTCATTCTCTCTTTAAATTTTTTTCAGTGGAGGTGATCTTCTCTTGGCCCAAAATGAAAATTCAATTCAGTGTCATGAGTTTTATTCCCACTCTTAGGTAATGGAAAGTTCGAGGCGACTTTAGGTCACAAAGCAGTCTCAATCTAATAATTCTAAAATAAGATATTAATCTATGCTCTAATTTTTATCTGAAGGTAACACTCCTCTTCACTCTGCCGACTTTGTCCTGTGAATGACTGCTGCCTGAATTAGGAGAAGAGATGTGGTCAGCTTTACCCCAGTAACTTCTTTACCCCAGTAACTTCTTTCCCCATTAAGTACATGATATTTTAAATCCCGCCATAGTGGAATCAGGGCAAAGGAGTATCAGGGCAAAATATGGATACAACTGTTTTAATTTGGATAGGTGCTTTTGAGATTTCTAGGCTGACTCTCTCATGGAGGACTTTTGTAGATCCTTCAAAGAGTTCCATCACTAAAGCCTTTCATTTGCTTTCTCATGTCATAGGCAAAGTACCGATTTACCAACCTGCCATGCCCACTCCATTACTCTGTCCCTGGTTTACTGAAAGTACCATGTAATAGTTAAGACTCTCAATGTTTTTTATTTATTTGTTTATTCATTTATCTAGTATAAATTTAAGGGGTACAATGGAAGCTTTTTCACATGGCTACATTGCATCATGGTGAAGTCTGTGCTTTTAGTGTAACCATCACCTGAATAATGTACATTATTACCCGTGAAGAAATTTCTCATCCCTCACACCCCTGCCAAACTCTTACCCTTGAGTCTCCAGTATCGATTATTCCACACTCTACACGCATGTGCAGACATTATTTAGCCCCCACTCATAAGTGAAAACATGCAGGTTTGTGACTTTCTGTTTTCAATTTGTTTCACATAATATTATGGCCACCAATTCCATCCATATTGCTGCAAAAGATGATTTTATTCGTTTTAATGGCTGAATAGTATTCCTGTGTGTGTGTGTGTGTTTGTGTGTGTGTGTGTGTGTGTGTGTACAGACAACATTTTCTTTATCCAATAAACCATTGATGAACATTTAGGCTGATCCCGTATCTTTGCTATTGTAAATAATGCTATGATAAATATATAATTGAGTGCAGGTATCTTTTGATATAATGATTTCTTTTAAGACCATAAGTTTTTATGTTAAATAAACTTGGTTTTAAATCAGCACCTGTTATTTGTCAATGAAAATCTTAATATAAATTAATTTACTAAGCTTCAAGATGTGTCTGTGCGTGTGTCTGTCTGTCTGTCTCTGTGTGTGTGTGTGTGTGTGTGTGTGTGTGTTCAGTATTTTTCCATCAATATTGAACACTAAACTCTTTCTTCAGGGACAAGTAGCCTAGAAAATAAATTCCTCAGGCACAGTTGCCATCAGGAGTCAAGTTCACATTCAAATCAATGAGATAACTAGTACAAGAATTTTAAGGAAGAAGAGGAGAGGCTATTATTCTGCTCTAACAGTAGCAGGTTCATGTGGAGACAGAAGGTAACTATGAAGATTTTAGTACCTTCCAGGAGAGCTCCTGAAAATTACCTGTGTTGGTATAGGAGGCAATAGTGATAATTAGCATTTCCCTGTAATTTCAATAATTCCCAGTGTCCTCAAATCCAGTAGTGGTTCTCTCTGGACCATACTCATCAGTCCTATCAAAGTTTTGTAAGCATGTAATATATCACACTCCTTACTAAAATATCTAAATGGCTTCTATACTCTAACTTGATTAATACATGTGTAGGCTGAAAAAAATGTGTATATCTCAGGATTACACTGGGAAACATATGAGATAAAGCTTTTAGCACAGTGTCCTGCCATCATCACTGTTTTTTTGTTGTTGCTTTTTACTGTTGGTTCAATGTTCTTCCTGACCCTAATCTCCCTGATGACTATAGTGTAAATACTATGCATCTCATAATTAGCCACTGTGCATAAAAGAAAAAGCTAACTTCCAAACTCAAGATTTCCAACAGTGAATTCAGCATTTGCAACTGAAAACCTTCTTGAAATATTATTTTGAACACTGGACATGAAACTTCAGAATTATTTTTGACTAATTTCTTTAACTTGTTATATTAAATCAATTATGTTCACTCTCTCCCTGCAGCATCGTTCTCATATATTTGTCTCCATTTCTAAGGGAGCTACCATAATACAGGGATGATGAAATGTAAATTATATAATCCATTCAATCATCCAGTACACCCAGTAGAGTGCTGATCCATAGTAGGCTTTCAATTCTCATTACCTTCTGTTTCCCATAAGGCTTTCAATACTATTGTAAGTATCTCTAATTGCTGTCCTTGTAAGTGTCCACTTGGTAACTTTGCCTCTGGTATCTCCCAGTTCTCATCTATATAACATTCGATTGCCAAATTAATCTTCCTAAAAGAGCCTTCTGAGCATGGCATTGCAATTGTCAGAAAACTTCAATTACCAACAGAATAAATTTGTATATTTGTGCCTTTCTCCCTAGGAATTCAGTTTTCCGTACTCTATCTGTGTGTAACTGCCTAATGTTAACCTCTCACTGCTTCTCTCTTTATGCCTCATTTTCTAGTAAGACTGAATTAGTTACTCTTCCCAGTTAATCCTATTTTGTATTTCTGTTTTTACTGTCTGTCCTTCTGTCTAAAATGCCTTTCTTCCCATGTTTATCTACCGTAATTGTACTGATCTTTTAAGGTGCTATTCAAATCTCATGTTGCAAACAGAGCCATGCCTAAGTGAACTTTCCCTCTTTTGTGACTTTGTTATGGCTAAATTGACTATAGTCTGCCTTATATTTGGTATATTTTCATGTATACTAGTTAATTTTCTTGGCTTTTCTACCATAAGACAGAGATTGGAGCTACCTTCTAATCCTGGTACAAGAAAATGCAGGATAATGAAAACTTGTTAAGACCATTGGCTAAAAGTTCAGACCTAAGTAAAACGTCACCTCTTCTATTTCCTAGCAGCATGACTATGTAACATAGGTTAATCTAAATCTTCACTGTTATCTTTAAAAAAATGATAAAATCGTATTTTACTTTTAAAGTCCTGTGTGCCACTTAATCAATCAATCAATATTTCATTTTCCTTACCTATTTTTGAAAACATATGATAAAAACGTATCTCTTTTATTAGGAGTATAGTTTATAACCTACAAGATGCTTTGACACTGGTGACTATTAATATTTGTTGCATCAATATACATAAATTGCAGCCTCTATAATATATTTACAATGAGTTTTACAGCAGCTCAACTGCTTAGAGTAGAATGACTTCTTTAGTATTTATAAAAGTAGAAAATTTTCTCTGTTTCCAAAATATTTTACATTGGCCTCTATTATTTTCATTTTTCCAATGAAAATCTTTCTCTCATACCTCATGGGTCAACAGATTACTCATTTCTCCTGTTTTCATACTCCCTGGGTTAGATTATCCTGCTGTTTACTTTCCTATATTCAAAAAGGTAATCTTAACATCCTGATTGACCAAAGGATCACCTTGGTACATGTTTACCAACAGAACATTAACTATGGCTTCAAAATGGAAAGTGCATCATTTCCCTAAAGGGAAGAGATGCTTTCAATCACACATGAGCAGTCTGGATTTTGCTTGGGTAGGGATTGTACATCTAGAGGAACCTGAAAGGGCAAAGTATTTCTCATGCCAAATTTTATAGGATGCAACTGACCAATTAAAAAACAAAGGAGTCAGCATTTGTGTGTGTCCCTTCAGGAGGTATCATGTCAGCAAGTTATTCTTCATTGCAGCGTTTTAACACACCATTAAGCAGCATTCGTGGTCAAACTGATGTTGCTGTGGCTTTTCTTTGCTGCTCCCAGTACCCTTGAACGCTACAGAAAAAAAAAGTCAATGATCTGATAATCATAGGAATCAACAAGGTTTATTTGGAGGAGTACTGGATGTGGAATTAGATTATTCAATTTTTCGACATGGTTAATCAAATAATATATGATAGCCATTGGAGAAATTCCAATTCAAGATTGTGAAATAGTGATAACATAGGCAGAAGGAAGAGACAGACATAAAAACAAGTGATTACAACCACATGCAGAAAGTGAGATATGGCAATATACTACAAATTGATCAGATTGTCAAAGGTATTTATGGATCTATATTGTATCTGATTGGCTGTTGAAGTTTTTCCACTTACTTAACTATTATTACTCTAGAGCTTTTCTGCTAGTTGTCAACCAGATCAAAGTCTTTCTTTTTCTTTGCACATCTTATCCTGCACAAAACTAAGTTCTTACATCACTTATAAAGCCTTTATCTTAATTTATATTATAGTACTCTTAGTAAATGCTATTACAGTAGCACTGAGGGAGCAAATTTTAGCTGACAGAATTGTTATCTGGAGCAATTTTCTAAGCAAGTCGTGTGTGTGTGTGTATTTTATATATGAAATTAGGACAAATACAAAGTTTTACCATAGGTTGTAATTGGACTACATTTTGTATCCACTTCAATTCAGACTCAAATAATTAAGTCTGCTCAAGAAATCCCAAAATTAGCACTAAAGGCAAGCAAGCTGTTACTATTCCTAATAATCGCTACAGACTAATTGCTGCAAAAAAAAAGTTAAAATGTAACATCCAAATAAAAGTATCAGTAAACGATATTAAAAAGACAATTTTTAAACAAGTATGAGAGCATAATGAGCATTTTTTTTTCTACAGAGACAGGGTCTTGTTATTTTGCCCAGGCTGGTCTTCTATTCCTGAGCTCAAATGATGCTCCCACCTTGGCCTCCCAAAGTACTGGGATTACAGGTGTGAACCACTGCACTCAGCCAAATAATAAGCACATTTTTAAAGGTACCATCAGTTTCTACTATTTGTGAGCATACACTGCCTCTAGGAGCATTGGTACATTTCTAGGGAACCTTTATAAAGGAACCTTCATATAGTAAATTTCTGATTTTAGAAATTTATCTAAAAGAAAATTTGGAGATGCAGAAAACATTTTATACATGAATACTCTTTCAAAATAATATGAAATAATAATAATAGTGTAATAGGGGCAGCTGCTATTTATTAGATGCCTGTGGTATTGTATGATGTACTTTATAAAATCTAATTCTGATTGTTAAACCCTGGCAACCATTATAATAGAATGATTTATATTCCTTTGGGGATATACTCCGTAATGGGATTTTTAGGTCAAATAGTATTTCTGGTTCTAGATCTTTGAGGTCATGTCCTTTGCAGGGACATGGAGGGAGCTGGAAGCCATTATCCTCAGCTAACTAACACAGGAACAGAAAACCAAACACGCATGTTCTCACTTATAAGTAAGTGGGAGCTGAACAATGAGAACAAATGGACGGAGGGAGGGGAACATCACACATTGGGGCCTGTCGGGAATGAGGTGGAAGGGAGAGCATCAAGATAAATAGATAAGTTTTCAAGGGCTTAATACCTAGGTGATGGTTTGATAGGTGCAGCAACCACAGTGACACACGTTTACTTATGTAACAAATCTGCATGTCCTGCACATGTACTCCAAAACTTTAAAAAAAAAAAAAAAAACCTGGCCAGGCACGGTGGCTCATGCCTGTAATCACAGCACTTTGGGAGGCTGAGGCGGGTGGATCATAAGGTCAGGAGTTTGAGACCAGCCTGGCCAACATGGTGAAACCCCCTCTCTAAAAATACAAAAATACACAATACTAAAAATACAAAAATTAGTCAGGTGTGGTGGCGAGCGCCTGTAATCCCAGCTACTCGGGAGGCTAAGGCAGGAGAATCACTTGAACCGGGAGGCAGATGTTGCAGTGAGCCGAGATCGTGCCACTGCACTCCAGCCTAGACAACAAGAGCAAGACTCCATCTCAAAAAAATAAAAAAAGAAAAAGAAAAACCCTGGAAATCAAGTATAGGTAACCACATGTAAGCAATAAAGGAGTGCATTGTACGTAGAAAACATACAAATCATAAAATGTACTAACATTTATTTTTTTTTTTAACCACAGTACCATCAGTTCTAAATTTCATTGACAAAAATACTCCTTGCAAAATTCTTTTGTAAGTTTATGTTTTAAACAATCGCTGTGATTGAGATTTAATAACATAGATGTAATTTTCAAATTAGTTTTAAAATAATGTATTATTTAATATTTATTCTATTATTATAATACATAAAGTTAATTTTGTCAGTTTCCAGTTATATAGCTAGCCCCCAAAATACATGAATTCAGTGATGAGCATTTATTTAGAGAATAACTAACCTAATGATTTCAAATGGTTGAACTCAATTCAGGTTACCATTGGGTCTGCAGCCCTTGTGGTGCTACATATTCCTGTCTTTATGCACTAGATTAGAAATAAACAATGATACAGTGATTGTAAAGAGAAAAAAAACAGAAGTAGACTTACTTTAATTCTGGCATTTTATATGTCTGTTGGAAATTCTTTCTTTTTTTTAAGTACACGCATTTGAAAGCTGCTAGAATTGATTCTGAAATAACAAAGGCATGGCCAGTTTTTAATTTCTAGAATTGATTGTGCAAAGGAATTTTTATAATTTCTGCCAAATTTTTTCTTATGTTTAAATTTCTTCCTACATATTTGTGTATCCTTTCATATGAGATAAAAATTTTAAATTAATATAAATAAAAGGTGTTATTTGATAAATTATCAATAAAGATAACCTGACCAACTTGGCTATACTGTCTACTGAATATGATGTCTTCTAATGAGAAGACAATTAAGCCTGAAACAAAATAATTAACATATTTGAAAAAGTTAAGGGTTAGAAACTTTAATGCTATGATTCATATTAATAGTCATCACTTATAATACCAGGCAAATAAGTAGCTCTGAGTTTTTTCCCTCTTTTCAAAAGCTATACAAAATATACCAAATTAATTATAAAATATTAATATATAACAAAAAATTTCTTTATACAGAAATTTTCATCTTTATACAGAAAATTTTAAAAATTTATTTACTGACAAAATTATGCACACACACATGAAGTACAATTAGGAAAAGTTTCACTGTCTGATTTTTTTTCTGAACATGATTATTTGTTTCATTTCCTGTTTATTTTTGAAAACAATTCTGCCATATGAAAAGGGGGTATTAAAAATGATCCACTCCAGGTGACACATGTAGCAGGTACATGACTGCCTAGTAGGTCAAAGAGTAATTGAGGAATTGAGAAGTTACATGCTTGATTATCAATCAAGTTATATCAAATTTCATGCTTATAAAATGTAACAAGAATATTTATTTCACTGTGCTCATGTTAATGAAAGAAAAAGTTCTATAAACAAATGATTTGAAGTCTTCAAAGCAAATAAAGACAATATAAAATATATTTAACACTTCGATCTGCCATAAGAAAATACCAGAGACCAGGTAGCTTCATTCACAAAAATTTATCTTCCATGGTTCTAGAGTTCAAGATCCATGTGGCAGCAAGGTAGCTTTTATTTTGATGCCTCTTCTCTTGGCTTGTAGGTGGTCACCATCTTGCTGTGTGCTCAGTGTCCTCTGCTTTGTGCAAGTGTGAGCAGAGAGGGAGAGAAGAGAGCAAGCCCCCTAGTATCTCCTCTTACAAGGACACCAATCCCTTAATGAGGGCAGCCACCTCATGATCCCATCTAACCCTAACTACCTTCCAAAGGCCTTGTCTATAAATACCATCATATTGGGGGCTAGGGTTTTAACATATACATTTGATGGGGTAGGGGAGCCCAAACATTCAGTCCATAACATAAAATAATTCAGGAAAAACAGATTTATAATATACTTGTTCTGTAGTCAAAAGTATATTTTCAGCTTCAGTGAGGCAAATTAATATGCTATCCATTGTGGTTTCTGCAGAGGTCTTTGCTGATTAAAAAGAACACTCATACCTCTTTCTCAATCTAACAGTTTTCTGTAAACTTGATGTCTGTACCACATTGCTTTTTCACTCTGTTGTCTGAGGATATTGATTATACATGGCATGGCATGCTTAGTCATTATACTGAGGTTGAAAGAAAATTATGTTCAAAAATGACATAGCACATTACATATTCTTTACATTTGGTCAAGTATATTTGAGAATTAATTCTTCACAGATAATGCCCAAGGGCTTTGACAAAAGGAAATTGAATCATTGATGTTTTCTTCATTGTGGGGTGAATGCAATTCAAGCCGGTGGAGAAAACCACGTTAGTCATGGAAAGCTCCCTAGGGTTGCCTATGTCAAAAGATATGTGACATATATGTACATTACTAAAGATATTTTATACTACTTATTTACAGCATAAAAATCAAACTACAATTATTGGAATCAGAGTTTTAAGCAAAAGAGTTACTCTGTGACATCACTTTTCTGTCACTAATTTTGACAGTTCTGAACTTCTGAAACCAAATACAGCTGATCATGGAAAAAGCCCAAAGGCTTTTCAATCAAATGAAATTAGGCCTCAACACTGCTGGGAAGTAGATGCGTCTTAATGTTTTAGATTAGAAAAGAGTAACATGGAGGCTAAAACATGTTAAATGAATTGCTCAAGGCCACTCATTAAAAGCATCACTGGCCTTTCTGAGGTATTTTATCAGATGAAAGCCAGACTAATTCTGTGATTTTATTACACCCATTGTGCTTAGCTGGTTAGTAGATACTTTCTTTTATCTGGAAAAACTGTAGATTTATTACCTTTTGTGTGCAGTCTTGAGGGGATGGAGCATGACAAAGGGGCACAAGGTTTTGCCTTACAATATTTGAAATGTCTAGAAACCCCAGATTTTTGTCTGGCTTTTCCTGATACTAATAGTATGTCTTCCAAATTAATGTACTTATATTTATTGAAAATAAAACGATACTACAGAAAAAGTATGCAATGTGTTACTTTGTGGTGGGTTCCCCTCTTCCCTTTATTTTGAAAAGCAGTTAGCTCTTTTCCTATAAGCCAAGAAATATTTTCATTCCTGTAATACATGAGAGAGGAATCGGGCCTAGCTAAGTTTTCATATTGCTCTTTGAGTGTATTTAAGTATGCTAGTAGTCAACTTTTATTAAAGTAATTTCTATTGGGTGTATTTTACGGCTTAGCAAAGAGGCAGTATTGGGGTTTTATTCATTGTGGCTTATAATAAAAGGAACTTGAGTGACATACCATAGAGAGGCGTCCCATGATAAACTGGTACTTAGAAAACTAGACTAAATGTCTTGGAACACATTAGGAAACAATTTCCTATTAAATTTTGAAATCTTTCTCTAGGTTTAGTGTCTATAAAAATAATCATCAGAGTTCTTCAAGGTTATTTTTTTTAAAGACTTTGAAAGAGTTCCAAATAGGATGTATGTTTTTTTAATATTTTTATTTTGTAGCACCTGAATTCATTTTTCAGTTTTCCTAGTCCAAAGTTAGTCATTATTGCCTTGCTAAATATAATCATGTTTGCTTGGACAATATTACAAATAGATTTTCAGAAAATTCCAGTGAAATATCAAGTATTTTGACTGACACACAGAACTCGCTGTAACATTATTATGAAAGGGACAGAAAGGTATGTTTTTTTAGCAGTGTAGTGGCAGTAAATCTCAATTCCTACAAAATTGGCCTTCCATTTCAAGTCTTAATGTTAGAATTATTCTAATAATTTCTCCCATAGAACAATGCAGACTCAAAGGTATGATTAGAAATTTTACCATAATTTACAAGAATTAATATAATCTAATAATGTGTAACAATTTTGTATATTTCTACTCTGGGGCATAATATTCCTAGGGAATATATCAGTCAAGCAGATTTATATATATCCTATTTCCAGTTTCCTAAGTGTCACCTAATTCTATCTGCCCCACCAAATTGGCCTTGGAAGCATTATAGTAACACAATATGTATGCAAAAATGCAATATACCAGCAATTTTACTCTTATAATACATCAGATTTAATGCCTCATCAGATTCCATCTTTACTTTTTGTTATTGCAGATGTTCCACTTTTAAGAAATGTTTTATGTAATTAAAAAACACCAACTAGACATCCCCATTTAGCAAATATTTACATTAAAGAAAACAGAAAACTTTATTTGAGCATCTCTTATAGGAAAGATAATAGTTTTTTGGAACTGAAGCAAGTATTTTGAATTAATCTCATACATTGAAAGTAAAAATTCTTGTTAATTGTATTTTCTGTATTTTTGAGTCATATAATATTGAAATATTATGATAGCAAATATTAATCAAATCTCAGCCAGGCATGGTGGCTCACTGTAATCCCAGCAGTTTGCGAGGCCAAGGCAGGTGAATTGCTTAAGTCCAGGAGTTCGAGACCAACCGGGGTAACATGGCGAAACACAATCTCTACCAAAAATACAAAAAAAGATTAGCCAGGCCTGGTGGCATGTCCCTCTAGTCCCAGCTACTAGCGAGGCTGAAGTGGGAGAATTGCTTGAGCCCGGAAGGTCAAGGCTGCAGTGAGCAGTGATCATGCAACTGCATTTCAGCCTGGGCGACAGAATAAGACCCTGTCTCAAAAATAAATAAATAAATAGTCTCATTTAATGCACAGAATGTGAAGCATTGTGAACTGGACAGAAAATTATCTTCAACTTTTCATTATTTTAAAGTTGGTAGACCAGGTGATTTGTAAGCCATGTTTTAACTGTGGTAATTTGCCAAAGGACTTTATAAATTAAATGGAAAGAATTTCGTCTTTTGTCAGTAAACTTTGAACCATATTTTGATTATACAGTTGATTATCATTATTTGTGGTAGTTGGGTTCTGTAAAGCAAACAGTAGAAGCATTGCTCACAGAGAAAAAATAAGATTAGGTTCCTATGAGCTTCTGATCATAACATTTCAGCAACTGAGCAATATATAACCTTGTTTTATATGTATTTCTATTTAATACCACCTCATTGAATATATATTGTCAATTTTGAACTTTGAACTCATGGCCAGCTTTAACTCATGTCTGAAGTTACTTTCTCCATAAGGCACATCACAGCCTTCTTGCACTTAGGAACACTTTGTAGAACTTCAGCACTATCACTGTTTTAAACACAAAAATCACTGACAAAAAGCACAAAGATGCAAAAAACATGACACCAAATAGACTGCAAAAAGGTCATTTACATATAGTAGGAGAGCTGAAACAAAAAGACTGAGCATTCTTTTGTTCTACCTTAGTTGGAACATGTGTCTTAGGCAACTCAAATTTTCTGCCACTCTGCATATGTACAAGTCCACAGATGCTCATTAAAGCACGGCAATATTGATTTTGGGGTTACAAATAAATTTTAGTAAGCATGACATTCTAAATACAGAATATGAGAATAATAAGCATTGATTAGATATACTTTGGAAGTTATGCGAGTGATTTTAGTGACTTTTGTCCTTTTTTTAAACGTTCATGTTAATTGAATGCATTTTTACATTCTATAACGATGTGATTCAAACCCTTATGAAGTGCTCTTGCTGATGCTAGTGCTAGTAGTGAAAAAACTAACCCACGATCAATAATTTTGGAGTAAATGTTAAATGTTATAAAATACAAAGCCAAAGGCCACCTTGCTGCTCATTTGGAGAAAGAACCCTTTAATAATAGAAATGATAATAGTTAAAAAGAAGTATTTAAGCAACAACTTGCTATCATTATTGTATAACTGTGTGCTCTAAGACTGTCAATCCAATTTTATACTAATATCTATATAAAACTAATCTTGAATAATTTATTTTTTCACCTATGGGGGTTATTCTGAAGTGCATGCCTAACATAAAATGCAACAACATTGGCCGGGCACAGTGGCTCACGTGTGCAATCCCAGCACTTTGGGAAGCCAAGGCAGGTGGATTACCTGAGATCAGGAGTTCAAGACCAACCTGACCAACATGGTAAAACCCCATCTCTACTAAAAATACAAAAATTAGCCAGGCGTGGTGGTGCATGCCTGTAATCGCAGCTACTTGGGAGGCAAAGGCAGGAGAATCGCTTGAACCCAGGAGGCAGAGGTTGCAGTGAGCTGAGATAGCACCACTGCACTCCAGCCTGGGCAACAGAGCAAAACTCCAGCTAAAAAAAAATGCAAAAACATTATAAATGCAAAAACAAAAAAAATGCAAAAACACGATATATATATATATATAATTATATATATCACTAAGTCATTTCTACGCTCTATAGCATATACATTTTGTCATTTTTTCATTTATTCATTCAGTAAATTTTTATGGGTTGTCAACTGTATTTCAACTATTACACAAGGCCTAGAAGATACAATGACAAATGAGACAGCATACCTGTTTTTGTGAAGCACATAATCTAGTGATAAAGTCAAATAAGAAGCAAAAAATAATAAAAAGGTATTATGTACTTGTTTGCACAGGGATTCACAGAAGAGATACCTATTTCGGACTTGGTAGGAATAGAGTGAGAAGGGCAGAGGCAGACGTTTTGGAAATGTTTCCAGAAGAACAGACATCTGAGCCAAGCACTGAAGAATGAGTAGAAGTTAGAGAGGCAATGATGATGTAATAGGGGTAAAGGAATGGCATGTTCTGAGCCAGAGGCTATGAAAAGACCAGAAGAACAAAAGAAGGTGAGTGCAAAACAGGGAAGCAGAAACAAATGAGGCCGCGGGAATAAACTGTCTAAAGATCATAAACAATTGTGCTTTCCTGATTGGTCAAAATACTTAAAATAATACAGAGAGGCATTGCTGAATTTGAAACAGAGAAGTGACATGTTGAGTGTGACAGTTTTAAAATATGGCCACAAAATTCTTTGGCACTTGTCCCTTTGAGTCTAGGCTTTATAACTGCTGGGCCAACAGAATATACAGCAGACATAATGCTGTGCCAGTTTCCAGGAAGTTGCCCATCTGGGAAACTTCTTTCTTTTGGTATAGATGCTCTTAGAAACCAGCCACTGTCTTGAAAGAGTTCTAAGCAATCCTGGAAAGCCCATATAGAAAGAGGCTTAAAGTTCCTGGCCCTGAGCTGAGCTTCCAATCAGAACCAACTTGCCAGCCATGTAAATTAGCCATCTTGGAAGTTCTTCTTTAGCCTTCGAGTGTTTCTTTTGACTCCGCATATAGTAGAGATGGTCCTTTCCCCCAAATTCTGGTCCAACTAGCAGACTTGGGGCTTAATAAATTATTATTGAGTTAAACCCCTGAACTTTGAGGTGGTTTGTCATGTAGCAATGGATGACTAGGACAATGGGACTGGTTTTTGTAAAGGTGACTGACATAGTTGTATTATGGAAGTATGATTGGAAAAAGCAAAACTAGAGATAGAGAAGTCACCTGGAAGTCCACTGAAAGATCCAGAAGAAAAAAGATGATGGCTAAAACTTAGGTAACTAGAGTTGGGAACACTTCCAATGTTGAACTGCACACATACCATGGGTAAATTCTATGGTAGGTAATTACACATTAATAAAATGTCTAAAAAATAAAAGTAAAACACAATGTTCAGGTTATGGCTTGAACGATTACATATATATGATTTTAATGTTCATGTGAGAATTCTATAAAGAAATCTATTCCTCCTTGCACTTTTGCTTATTTCCATGACATTGCAAATGGTTATCTTGCCAGTAAAAATCTTAGCTAGGCTCCTTAATTAATTACCAATGTTACATACAATATTCCCACCCAACTTACCTGCATTTAAGGATAACCATTCCACACAAAATTGAATTGTCTCATGTTTTACTTTTATAGAAGTATCAGTTTGAGAGAATTATGTTGGTAGGAGGTATTTTATAGCATATGCAAACCATTAACTGCTCTATTTATCCTAGGCTTTATTCTTCAGCCATGCTGCTAATGTGTGCTGAATTGTATCAGCCTCTCAGTTTCTTTCACTCAGTTGACTAAATTTGTTTTAGTCACAACTTACATTGAATGCCTTAAGCACTTCAACAAAGCGTAACATTTAATTTATTTTAAAGATTTATTGAAAACATTATTTAATACATCATTCCAGTATTACCTATTTGCAAAATAAAACTTATATATCAAGAAAAGTTATTTACCTGATAAATCAGTTTGCATTTGTATATGTATAATACAAATTATGCATTTGACTAGATTTTCTTTGGCCACCAGGAAGTTTAGAGTGAAATTTGTGGCTCAGATCTTATAATTACATAGAAACTTATGATTTGCATGACTACATCCTCACTTTCAACCTGGTCTTGAGCTGCCATTTTAGGTATTATTTACCTAATTCTGATTTTTGTTTACTTTTCTTCATGTTATTGGGTTATGTTAGAATTTTTGTGTTAGTTATTAAAAAACAAATATTGCTAGCATCAGTAGAAAAGGATAATTTATAATAAAAAACTCAGGTAAGTATGGAATCTTTTAATTTGTTAAGCTTATTTATTTATTTATTTATTTATTTGGTCTCTTATTCCTGCTCCTCTCTATGTATTTGCTGAATTTTGCCTAGCTGTGGCAGGAAGAATATGCCCCCCTCATAAAGCCAAAACATTCATGCTACAGGTCTTATCATGTGAAAAATGCATCATTTTGTCTACTTGTGTTGTTTGTCTTTCTCTCTTTCTCTCTCTCTCCCTTACCTACCCTTGCTTCACACTTACTTACTCACTTTTACTCTCTCTACCAATTCCTAGATTTCTAACAGAGACTTGACTTGGATCAGCTTGGGGAAATTGCTCACCTCTGGTGCTAAATACAAAGGCCAGAAGTTTGTGGGTCAACCAGGAAGCTCAGTGGGCAGATGGGCATTTCAGAGCCAGGCAGACATGCCAGATGATGTCTACCTCAGCATTTAATAAGGTCCTTCAAACTCTTTGCAGAAAAGCTTATCATTATAAGGAGGCATTGGTCCCCTTACAACCTAGGAGGTATATAACTTTTATCATTGCCATTTTGCAGATAAGGCATGAGGAGTTTGTGACTTGATATATACAGGAATTAAGTAGCAAAGCTGGAATTTTAACTGAGATGATCTTGTTCAAGTCTGAGATTTAGCCGCTATACGACACTTGTTTCTATGGAAGGGAAGAAGAATGAGGAAGTTCTACATAGTGCACTGCCCTCCTCATAATGCATTATCTGGAAGAGTTGACAGTTACATTTAGATAATTAAATATCCAACACAGGGCTTTCATACATCCATTGTTTCAAAATTAAATTGTTAGTGCTGCAATACTTGTACTTTCCCAAGAAAATACATTTAATATATGAAATTATTTTAAGAGATATGGCCACATTTTTCTAAACTTTTATTTTTCGTAAGATGCAGTCAGAATCAACATTGTTCCTCCCCCCATTTCCACCCCCCAAATTAATGTTTTACAAAAATAATCTAACACTTAATACATATTTGTATAATGTTTACATAACTGTTAGTAACTAAAAATAGAAGAAACACTCCAAACTGAGGTACAGAATTTAATTTTAATATAAAATTTTGACATGTTTGGTATCTCATGATAAGGTCACCATAATAAATGAGAAGGAATTATACATTTTACCTTAGTTCCTTTTTACTTTGCATTTAAATAAATGATTCAAGAATCAATATTCATTCATAATTTCTGAGGGCCTATTATGTGCCAGGTTCTAAACTAAGAGCAGAATAGTTACACATGCTATACATTTTGAAATAATAAAGAATCTTTCAAAATAGAGATTAAGATTCAATTTTTCAGATGAGGCAAAATTACGCAGAAAATTCAAGTTGCTTCTGAAAATCATAGACCAGAATCTGAGTTTCCTTCATCCTAACAAACATTTTATTCTACAGTGCTCCATGAAAATCTAAAAGCTGCCTTTCTAAAAGTCTTCTTGGTAATTAGAGCCTGATCAAAATTGTCATTATTATAAACTGTCTACCTCTCAAAAGAGCTATATATGTGTGAAGGCTGACCAACTGTTCACTACTTCACTTAGGACAGGCTGGGTCAAAACTATGATAATTGATAGATACAGGATGAGGCTGCATACCTAATGGAAATGTTAAGCACAAAGCAAATTCTGTCAACATAAATGATTGGTTCTTTAAATGGCAGCACAGTTTAAGGATGACATACTGAATCAATCCCTAACTAATTGAAAAATTAATTAGTGCCTGTCACTTTAACTCTGAGTATTTTTAAGCTTGAGTGTGAATATAGTTAACCAGCTTCCTGCAAGAAGCCAGTTTGAAAATGCAGTGCAACTGTTGCCTAAATTTTTCACAAGAAAAGATATCATCCTTTGTGGTCTTACATACCTTAAGGCTTAAAAATCCATCAACCCACTAATATCTATCAATGACACACTAGTAAATTGTGTCATTGTTATTATATCTCTTTTATTGTATGTCTTGTAAATTTAGCTATTGCTGCTGGCCTCATTAGGGTCTATTAGATTTATTAATCCTAGAAAGATAATAAAATGTGTTTAAATGTGTTTATGTTTACTATTTTCCCTAAAGCTAAATGTTGAGTATTTTAATATATTGAATATGCTAAAGGATCAAAAATAATAATAATGACTTCTTTAAAAGACACAATTTATACATCTATTACTTATTATTATAGCTCCTTTAGTCATCATGGAAGTGAAGTCCAAGAGTCATTCTATCAGAGATAAGGACTCAACATCTACTGAGTACCTACTAGTATCCATGCTGTATATTGACGTTCTGTGCTTATCCTTCAATACGGCCTTATGAAGTGGATATTATTATCTCCATCCAGCAGATAACAAATAGATAACCTAAGAGGCAAAGCTTTTTATTAAAGGCCCCATAGCCAATGGGGTATTAAGTATATGCAAGTCTGTGTTCTTTCTATACACTAGACTCTATCCCATTTGTAGATGAAATATGAGAACAGACAATTCAGAAATATGGAAACATAATTAGTAAATAAACAGAAAATAAAATGCTTATTCGTGGGAATGGAATAAATGTAAATCTAAACAATCATAATATATCATGTGTATTTGTAAAAGAAATATTGACTTAAAATGTTAATACGCAAAGCTGATGAAAATATGATAACACATGCCCAATCCTACTCTGCTTGAGCAACGGTAACATATTACAGTATTTTAGAAAAGTGTTTGGAATTATGTACCACTAGTCAAAACATGTTTATTCATCTTAATTCTATGATCTATTTCTGAAAATTTAGGCTGAGAAAATAATACAAAATAGGAAATCTGTCTTTATATAAAGATATTAATCATCACATATGGAAATGGTCATGTAGATTATTATACATCCATTGGATAGAATATTATGCAAAATAATATGGTTTGGCTCTGTGTCTCCACCCAAATATCACCCTGAATTGTAATACAAATTGTAAGGCCAATCGTAATTTGCATTTGTAATCTGAATTGTTATTGTTGAGGGATGGACCTGGTGGGAGGTGATTGGATCCTGGGAGTGGTTTTCCTCATGCTGTTCTTGTGATAGTGAGTGAATTCTCACAAGATCTGATGGTTTTATAAATGGCAGTTTTTTCTGCTCTCTCTCTCTCTCTCTCCTGCTGCCATATAAGATGTGCCTTGCTTTCCCTTCACCTTCTATCAGAATTGTAAGTTTCCTGAGCCCCCGCCCCAGACATGTAGAGCTGTGAGTCAATTAAGACTCTTCCCTTTACAAATCACCCAGTCTCTGGTTGTATCTTTATAACAGTGTGAGAATGGACTAATACAGAGAATTGGTACTGGGAGTTGGGGCACTGATGTAAAAATAACCTGAAAATGTGGAAGCAACTTTAAAACTGGGTAATGGGCAGAGGTTGGAACTGTTTGGAGGGTTCAGAAGACAATAGGAAGATGTGGGAAAGTTTGGAACTCCCTAGAGGCATGTTGAATGGTTTTGACCAAAATGCTGATAGTGATATAGACAATGAAGTTCTGGCTGAAGTTGTCTCAGATGGAAATAATAAATTTATTGAGAACCGGAGTAAAGGTCATTCTTGCTATGCTTTAGCAAAAAGGTCAGTGACATTTTGCCCTTTCTCTAGATATCTATGGAACTTTCAACTTGAGAGAGATGGTCTGAAATTGGAACTTATGTTTCAAAGGGAAGCAGGTCATAAAAGTTTGGAAATTTTGCAGCCTGACCATGTGATAGAAAAGAAAAACCCATTTTCTGGGGAGAAATTCAAGCCAGGTGCAGAAATTTGCATAAGTAATGAGGATCCAAATGTTAATCACCAGGACAATTGGGAAAATAGCTCCAAGGCATGTCAGAGACCTTAATGGCAGCCCCTCCCATCAGAGGCCCAGAGTCCTAGGAGGGAAAATGGTTTTGTGGGCCAGGCCCAGGGGCATGTCGCTCTGTGCAGCCTCAGGACTTGATTCCCTTATCTTAGCTACTCTAGCTCCAGCCATGGCTAAAAGGGGCTAACATACAGCTCAGGCCATTGCTTCAGAGGGTGCAAGACACAGACTTTGGTGGCTTGCAGGTGTTGGGCCTATAGCTACACAGAAGAGAAAAGTTGAGCTTTAGGAACCTCCACCTAGATTTCAGAGGATGTATGGAAATGCCTGGATGTCCAGGCAGAAGTTTGCTGCAGGGACGGATCCTTCATGGAGAACCTCTGGTGGGGCAGGGCAGAAGGGAAATATGGGGTTAGAGCCCTCACACAAAGTCCCCACTGGGGCACTGCCTGGTGGAGCTGTGAGAAGAGGGCCACCATCCTCCAGACCACAAAATGGTAGATCCACTGACAGCTTGCACCATACATTTGGAAAAACCTCAGGCACTCAATGCCAGCCCATAAAGGCAGCTGTGGGGGTTGTACCATGCAAAGCCACAGGGGTGGAGCTGCCCAAAACCATGAGAGCCCACCCCTTGCATCAGTGTGCCATGGGTGTTACAGGTGGAGTCAAAAAAATTTTGGAGCTTTAAGATTTACTGACTGCCAGCTGGATTTGGACTGGGTTTGGACTTCCATGAGGCCTGAAGCACCTTTGTTTTGGCCAATTTCTCCCACTGTGTCCCCATTGTATCTTGGATGTAACTAACTTGTTTTTGATTTTATAGACTCATAGGCAGAAGAGATTTGTCTCAGATGAGACTTTGGATTTGGACTTTTGAGTTAATGCTAGAATTAGTTAATACTTTGGAGAACTATTGGGAGGGCATGATTGTGTTTTGAAATGTGAGTACCGAGATTTGGGAGGAGTCAGGAGCAGAATGATATGGTTTGATGGTGTCCCCACCCAAACCTCATCTTGAATTGTAATTGGAATTGTAATCTCCAGGTGTCAAGGTAGGGACCTGGTGGGAGGTGATTGGATCATGGGTGGTTTTCCTCATGCTGTTCTTGTGACAGTGAGTGAATTCTCACAAGATCTGATGGTTTTATAAATGAGTTTCCCCTCTTCTCTCTCCCTTTCCTACTGCCATGTAAGGGGTGCCTTGCTTCCCCTTTGCCTTCTGCCATGATTGTAAGTTTCCTAAGGCCTCCACAGCCATGCAAAACTGTGAATCAATTAAACCTCTTTCCTGTAAAAATCATTTAGTCTCTGGTAGTATCTTCATAGCAATGTGAGAACGGACTAATATACAGGTCTTACAATTATTACAAAAGGTATCTTATTATTATCTTTAAAATATTATAAAGTAAAAACATCTAGATAAAATATTATATAAGAATTGTTATCAAAATTGTATAAATATAGATAAAGGAAAAAAGATTGTATGGAAGCAACCAAAATTTCAACCAGGGTTGATGTTACCATGAATTGTATGTTTCCTGTATATACTATACACTTTATTAAAAAAAAATGCTAAAAGAAAGAATACCAGAAGTCTGTAACTAAGCCTGCAAATCAAAGTGTAGAATAATATTAGGGTGCAGTCAATTCCTAAAAACAATAAGACAGTATCAATTATTTTGGAGAATGTATATATTTGACATCAGCAGCAATGGTTTTCTTATGATGATAAAGCTTGACAAGATCAATCTAGAAGGAATATTTCCATCAATTAGTGGGTTTTGTTCACCAGCAATTGTCTACCAAATGAGATCATGTATAGAAAAGGGCTTGATTAGCTCTGGCATGTACATATTATATTAATTTTGCTATTATCAAGAAAAGAATATATGGACAATATATACCTTTTGGGATCCAGATCTACTCAAGCTTGTTATCAGGGTGCTGTTCTATAAACTAGATTTTTTTTTTCTTATTATACTCAGTGAACACATGTCCTTCTGTATGCTTGTGTCATATTTTTTCTCCTCTATACATTATTCTTGAAATAATCACACTGAGGGAGGACATGGAAACTCACTTTTGTATTAGGTTGGTGCAAAAGTAATTGCAGTTTTTGCCATTGTATTAATTTTGCGAATAGTAAGAATCAGCAAGAATCTGTAAAAGATTTAGAGTGAAATACTAAGTATTAATTACTTACTATTATAAAATCTAATAGTCACAGGATATTCATACAGAAATAAGTTCAAAATGCAATCATGTCCAGGTGCAGTGGCTCACACCTGTAATCCCAACACTTTGGGACACCAAGGTGGGCAGATCACTTGAGGTGAGGCATTCAAGACCAGCCTGGCCAACATGGTGAAAATCCATCTCTACTGAAAATATAAAAAATTGGCTGGGCATGGTTGTGCATGCTTATAATCCCAACTACTCAGGAGGCTGAGGCAGGAGAATCATTTGAACCCAGGAGGCGGAGGTTGCAGTGAGCTGAGATGGCGCCATTGCACTCCAGTCTGGGTGACAAGAGTGAAACTCCTCTAAAAAAAAAATGCAATCAGGTCTTTAAATATTGTATTAAAGTGCAGTTTTTATATAACAATTATTTTGTCAATTTAAAAAGTGTTTAAATCATTTTCTGCTTCAAAATATTTAATGTAGTTTTAAATTACTACACCAAGTATTTCCCATATCAATACTGTTCATTGATATATCATCTACATATTTCATAATGGATATCAGGTAAAATATTAAGCATCTTTAATCAACTAAATTTAAGACTTCAAATGTTTTCATTGAGATTCATTAAACTGACAAAATTTAATAAACAGAATGCAATAAATAGTACTTTCCAATATAATATAAATGGGAGGAGCTTTTGCATAACATTTACTGTTTATCTCATAATGACTTCCACTTTTCTTGCTTGTTTTTCAATCAGATTTATTCTGCTTTCTCAGGTGAGTTAATTTGCCCCTTCAAATTCACAGACCATGTCTACTATCTCCAGACTTCCCACCATCTTTCCCCACCTTTGTTCCTTTTGTCTAAAGGGATAATAGGCTTCTTGGAAAAACATTTTTTAGGTGACATGGGTTTTACATGAAATTGCTGGGGAACTAGGGAAAGGTGGCATATGTGGGCATATGTTGGTTTTGAAATGATTTCAAGACTGTAAAGCAGAAGGAAATCTAGCACTTTCAGAAATAGCAAAGGAGAGAGATTTCTGTAGATATCTGTAACTGTTCATATAATTTTGAATTTTCTATTTTTCACACTTTACAGGGATCTCAAATTTGTACATGATTGTCTTTTTGTGGCATTTGTTGCAGCCCAAAGAAGTGCTCATTGTTATCTCAGTACATAACATCCTTGATAATTCTTTAGAGATGCATCACTCAGTAGGAATCAGTTACCATTGGACACTAATAAGCACATAGCAGTCTGAAACAGAGGAACGTTAACACAACAGCTTAGGAAATGTAAGGCAGCCTGATTCATAATATATCTGATTCAAGCTATTGATGCATAATGGGCACAAAAATAAAATCTATGCCCTTTACTATTAAGAACAGAAGCCTGGCAAACCCCTTCCAAATAGCCACTCTATGTAGAATGTACACATGCTGTTGCTTTTTCTCACATGCATATGAAGAGTGAGAAGTTTAAAAGACTAGAGGGAAAAAAAGCAATACCTCAAAATTATGTATGTGACAATATGTCCTTTGGTAAATCTACTTGTGAAAGATAAAAGAGATGTTTTAGAAAAACAAAGCCCATGCCTGGCTAAACAAAGCAATGATCCTGAAAGATCATTGCCTCATTTCCCTTTGTGTTTCTACTGTGCTAATGCATGTCAAGCATTTAGAAGAGTTTCTAGCACATAGAAACTTCTTTTTTTTTTTTTTTCGGAGAGACAAGGTCTCACTATGTTGCCCAGGCTTGTCTCAAACTCCTGGGTTCAAGTAATCCTTCTTCCTCAGTCTCCCAAAGTGCTGAGATTACAAGTGTAAGCCATCACACCCAGCCCAGAAATATTTAATAAATATTTGCTACTACTACGGTGGCTGTGGCTACTGTTGCTGATGCTATGGCTAGTACTACTATTGACTACAAAATTGTAATCTCTAGTGCAAAGTAACAAAATAATCCACCTTTGAAATCAGGAAATCAAAACAAGACTTCGATCTATATCATTTACTAGTTGTGTGGCCTTGGGAAATTAAAATAACTTTTGGAACCTCCCTTCCAAAAGTTATTTTGGAACGTCCTCCTCCCTGTCTTGTCCTTCAAATAAAGGTATTAATAATAATAATTCATGGAATTGTTATTAGAATGTCATGAAATTAAGTGTGATATATAAATACAATCAGTTATTAACATTCTACATATTACGTTGCAGATTTAAAATTAAATGGTTCTTTCTGTCTTTTATTGGGGCTAATTTTGATGTGACAATTTCTAAATTATTACCACATGAGTATAAGTCACAGGATACAATATAGTCTTTCTAGCATCACACTGTATGAACTTGAAAATAAATTCCATCTGTTCTCCTCCAGCCCCCTCTCCTTCACAAACAGCAATGTACTTACTCATTTGTGCTACCTGGCTGCTTGGTTACCAAAATAAATGTATTAGCAACATCAGATTTGGTTAAAATACTTCCCTTCTCAGGGAATGTATAAATGAATTTGCATAAAAATAGAACTGGCATACAACAGTTTCACAAC
The DNA here is from genome assembly GCF_000001405.40 of Homo sapiens. Classification (NCBI taxonomy): domain Eukaryota; kingdom Metazoa; phylum Chordata; class Mammalia; order Primates; family Hominidae; genus Homo; species Homo sapiens. The sequence goes on from NC_000004.12 coordinate 66,887,276, forward strand.
AATAGATACTCTTCTATCCACTTATCATAAACTCTGGAGGTCTTTGCCTTGCATTCAGCAATTCCAGCAGTTAATCCCTTAGGCAAAATGCATTTGCTGCACATCTATTATATACTCAAACATAGTTTTAGCAACAGTATGAATATGAAATTAAAATGTTCCTGCCTGCCCAGGCGTGGTGGCTCACACCTGTAATTCCAGCACTTTTGGAGGCCGAGGCAGGCAGATCACGAGGTCAGGAGTTCGAGACCAGCCTGGCCAATATAGTGAAACCCGTCTCTACTAAAAACACAAAAAATTAGCCAGGTGTGGTGGTGGGCACCTGTAATCCCAGCTACCCCAGATGCTGAGGCAGGACAATTGCTTGAATCCGGGAGGCGGAGGTTGCAGTGAGCCAAGATCATGCCATTGCACTCCAGCCTGGGCAACAGAGCGAGACTCTGTCTCAAAAAAAAAAAAATGTTCCTGCCCTTGAGGACCTTACAGCTCCATTGTTAAAGCAAGGTATATTTTCACAACAACAACAACAACAACAACAACAACAACAAAAAAATTAAAATGAATTTTGTTAATTTCATAGAGCACAGAAGGCAAAGCCAATTATATGAATTGATGGAGGAATAAATCATCAGTAAATTGATGAAGCAGAATAAATCTGAAGTATTCTGAAAGTTTTGAAAATATTCACAAAGATCTAAATCTAAATTTAAAGCCTGAATCACTACTTTGAAAAGTCTGTCTTCTTTCTCCTCTTTTCTTTTTCTCTTTGACCACTTTACTTCAAAAACATTACCACCAGGCAACTGCTCAAATTGGATAAATTGCTATAGAGACATTTGATATGTGGCCCCAAAATGCTGTTTCCTACTTCATTTGATGATGCTTAGCATTTGGTTTTCAGTTGAGATTCCTTCTAAGTTCATACCTTCAGCATCAAAACTAATACTTTTATTCCAGCAAGTAGACAGATAAATATGTTCACCTAAGTATAGCTGGCTCTATATAAATAGACTCTTTATATATATATGACCCTATAACCTAAACACCCTCTTAGTATTAATAGTTATCTTTCTTTGTGATTTCTCCTCTTTGAGGATTTCTTGCTTTGCTTTTTGGTGCCCCAGAAGACTCCCTTGGGATTTTCTCTCAGTAAATAATTATGTCAAAATTCTCTGACTGTGAGATTATTTATTCATTGGAGATTATTTACGCTCTCATGGCCAAACAGAGTATGGCTAGAATGCAGGGAGGTCTTATTTCCTTACTGTTCTTTCCACGCCATTGTGATTTTTCCTTCTCTCAGTAAGCCTTTATCTTTTGAGATGCCTGCCATCTTAGGCTACCTTTTCCACAATTCTTTACATTATCTACCAATTTTTAGATCATAACTCCACATTTAGCATTTTTCTCAACTAACTCACACCCTTTCTTTCATTACAACTCAGCTAATTTCAAGATCTAAGTGAATTTTAACAACTACCTATAGGTGAATGATGCTAAATCCATATTCTAGCATCCTTCTTTCTCTTAAACTCAGGAATAATTCCTCCTCTTGGATCTATTCATTCCGAACCATTCTGGAACTCTGAACTGTAGATTTTCTTGCCTTCTTCTTGTATCTGAGTTTAAAAAATATCTGTGTGTGTTTTTCCCCTGTAGCATGTAAACATTGTCAATTATCTGATATTTTCCCCAGAAAAGTTTTTAATCAATTTCCCTTCATAATTTGCTGCTTCCTTCTGTCCTCTTTACTAGCAACTTCTTTAAGAAAGAAGTTTCTAGGTCTACTTCTTCACCACATTGCAATTTGTCTCCTAATAGTAAACTGTACTGAAATTTCTGGAATGAAAGTCAGCAGTGGCTTCTTATTGGTCAAATTCACACCTATCTTATGTTCTTATCTGTTTCTACATCTGGTTCATCACTGCCTCCTCTTCCTTTCAATTCTTATGTATCAATTTTACCCAGGAGGGGTTGAACACCATTAGTTACTAAACAGTCATTTCCTGTCTCCTTACCCTCACTGCAAATCCCATTGCCTATAACAAAGGCTGAAAATGAATGTCATTCTCTTTCCTGAAGCTCCCTTAAGATTTTTGTGGCTTATGGTGAGTTCCTTCCAATGAGGCAAAGAAAAATCTTCTACCAAGTCTTCTCAAAAACACTTACTCCACAAATAGAAAGGGAGATGAAAGATTAAAACTCATATCCATTCTATTGTTCCTTGCTATATGTGGACTGCTTGTACAAGTAAATGATGCTTGCAGCTTTGGGAACCATTTTTTGACAATAAGGTCATAGGTTAAAAAAAAAGGTGAAAAGACCCTTAGTCCTTGATGACAGTGAGAGTGACCAAATCAACCCTGCAATTGCTGACCTGCTGATTTCTTGTTCTAAAAGAATAAATACATTTTTTGGTAACTCACTTTTAATTTTTTGTTACCAGTCCTCTTCTCAATTCATCTCACCTTTAATCCCATTTAATCTTTTGGCTCCAACTATAATACACTGCATGTGACACAGAAAGCACGCAGTGACCTGGCACACAGTTGTCTTATCTTCAAGATACCTTTCTATTTTCTTCTGGATAAAATACAAGCTCTTTCGCATGGCAGAAAGGTTCTGTCTCAAGTTGACCCTGTATTTTGACCACATAAACTTTGTGTGTCTTTGTCTATGCTGATAGCCTTGGGTTGTTCTTCCTGCCCCTTCCTGTTTAGCTTTGTGAAGTCTTGTTACAAGTCAAGTGCCAGCTACTCTGATAAACCTTGCTTTCTGCTGGAGGCACTTAAACACTCCCTCCTCCATGTTTGTGGCATCTGTTCATACCTTTATTATAGCATTTATCAACTTATATGGCAATGATTTGTTTACCTGTCTCTCTTTACACTGTGTGTGCCATGAGAAGAAGAACTGTTTCTTATCTAAGTGCGCCCAGATCCCAGCTCACTGTCTGGCACAGAGTGGAAACCCAATTAATTATTCTGTTATGAGTAATGACTCTTGCTCATTAGTTCCTCAGGAGCAAAAGTCAGATAATAGCCTGATTTTTATTTCCTTTTAAATTCTGAAAAGATGACAGTCCTAAAAAGCATATATTGTGAGATAACAACAAGAACATTGGCTGAAATTGTGCCACATATGTATTAGAAAACATTAAACATAGCCAATGTTTCAATACATCATGTTAATTAATTACAACAGCCATATTTTTACAATGTCAGTAAGGGATATTGCTCATACTTTACTATCTCATTGCAAATATGTAAGCAAGGCAAACATCTATCAGAGGATAATTTCAATTATATCATTAACTTTCTATGTTAATATAGTTTTTCCTCTGGGAATCTCTCAAATAGAATCCCTAACTTTTCTCTGGCAAAACCAGAGCCACCCCTCTTCTTGTGGCATTATTTTGCTTCACAACTCTTGCAATATGCCACTGGAGGAGGACGTGGTCATCATTTCTTTCTTCCCTGGCCAGTCAAAAGGTATACCCATCATATGCCCCCATGTTTTCCTGCAGATGCCTCCTCTGATTTAGAGGGAAGATGGCAGGGTAGAAAGAGGGATGCTCACTTAGCTCTAGTACCATGTTTTGTGGGTAAAGCAAGACTTTGAGTCATGCTTTAACGTTCAAATGAAAGAGTCTTCTCATGATTATCTGGATCCCTAACAAAGCTTAACAATTTTCATGCACTTCCATCACTGAACCCCTGTTTTTGAAGTGAGTTTTTGTACTTTCCCACAAAGTCAGGTCATTTCTCATGAAGCCAATTAGTCATCTTTCTCGACTTCATTGTGTAAAGTACAAATGATATTGGCTCCCATAATTGTCACTTAACAGCTTTATTCCTTTGAGGAATGTGAAAAGTGATTTCCAAGCTTTGACTAACCTATGCCTGCACTACTCACAAGAGCAGTAAGAGAGGTTTATCTCCTATTTTCTATGTAAGATGAAAACAAATTGAATATCTGATGATAGACCACACTGAAATTTCACTGCAGAGCACAGAGCTAGAACCAGGCACCACAACTATCAGCTCAAGATAGTTTGGACAGAAAAAAACAAGCCAAACCAAACCAACCAAACAAACAAACCAAAAACCACTCTAGGTAAACATAAATACCTCCACAAACAAAATTTTCAGAATGTTGCAACAAAGCCTGAAATATAAACAATGAATAAATGCTTGTTGAATGGATGCATAAATGAATGGGATTTTTTTTTTTTACTTTTTAAAAATAACCATTCTGATTGGTGTTAGATGGTATCTCATTGTGGTTTTCCACAAAGACCTAAAAACAGAAATACCATTTAACCCAGCAATCCCATTACTGGATATATACCCAAAGGAATATAAATCATTCTATTATAAAGACACATGCATGCATATGTTCATTACAGCCCTATTCACAACAGCAAAGACATAGAATCAACCTAAATGCCCATCAGTGATAGACTGGATAAAGAAAATGTGGTATGTCTACACCATGGAATACTAAACAGTCATAAAAAATAATGAGATCATGTCCTTTGCAAGGACATGGATCTGGAGACCATTATCCTTAGAACATTAACACAGGAATAGAAAATCAAACAGTGCATGTTCTCACCTCTAAGTGGCAGCTAAATGATAAGAACCCATGGTCACATAGAGGGGAACTATACACACTGAGGCCTTTCAGAGGGTGGGAGGCGGGAGAGGATCAGAAAAAACAACTAATGGGTACTAGGCTTAATACCTGGGTAATGAAATAATCTGTACAATAAACCCTCATGACACAAGTTTACCTATATAACAAATCTGCACTTGTACCCCTAAACTGAAAATGAAAGGTGAAAATGTAAATAAATTAAAAAATTAAATTAAAAATTTAAATAGCTAACAGGTAATAGGAAGATACTTGTCAACCAGTACAAAGTTTCAGTTAGACCAGAGGAATAAGTTCTGGGGTTCTATTACACAGCAAGGTGAGTATAGTTAATAATAATGTATTATATATTCCAAAAGAGCTAAAAGAGAAGATTTTATGTGTTCTTACCACAAATAAATGATAAATAAGTGAGGTGATGGATATGCTAATTATCCTGGTTTGATAATTTCATGATGTATACATGTATTGACACATCACATTGTACCCCATAAATCTACACAATTATTATTTGTCAGTTAAAAAATCTGAAAAAATAATGTATTATGGTTTTTCTCTCTTGGTAAAATCTTGGTTAAATCTAAAAAGTAAATAGTTTCATTCCAAACCTGCTCAATATTAAGGAATGTTCAATTTGGATTTTCAAAAAAATGGGCATCCAGGATAATATTAACTAACAATCTACATATGAAGTTAAATACTTGAGAATATTTTATGAGACCGTTCTTCATTAATAATGTTAGTCTGAGAGAAGTCCAGAAGCACCACATCTTTTATTCCTCATGTAAAATTCTCACTAATTTGTGCCAAATAGCAAATACATAATGAAGATTCCTCCCCATCCCCCAGTGTTTGGCATACAATTTAAGAGAAAAGTCCAAAACAGGCCTTCCTTTATTTTTTGCATATACATCCAGACTCATAGGCATCTCAAAGAACACTACATAAACAAATAAAATTTAAAACAATAAACCTGAAAAGATATAAAATATGCTTTTCATCCTTCAAAGGAATCTAAATTCATTTAGAGGAAACATGAATCAGGCTAGAGAATACTTGGGATGACAAATACTTGGTGACACATGGGAGCATTTCTCAGTTCGCTACCATGATTGAACTAACAAATGAGATACTTAGCAGAGTGGAACAAAATTAATGTAAACTTTATAATATAATGGATAAAGAATATTTTTATTGATATGATAATATCAAAATGCATTTGCTTATTATTGTAAACTAAGAAAGGCAGATTTATATTAGAAATTTGTCCAAGGTATCTAGAAACCTAGCCGTGGTAGGGGGACATTCTCTTAATGGAATATGAATTCACTTATACTTTTAAAAAATACATATATGTAGTTTGACGGGAAATGTCTGAAGAAAGAGAAATTTCAATATCACAAACATTCATTTTTCTATCTTCTCACCATAGCAACTTGACAAAACACCTGCCCTGTTTTCAATCATGATTTTTTTGCTCTGTGAAAGTGAGGTAAGAGAGCTTTAGCAAATCATGTGGAGATTGCTTTTTATCTGCAGGGATTGGGATGAAAGACCACTGTAACAGCTCATTTTTATGAGCATACACGGTCTTTTAAGCAAGCACCCGTTTTCACTTCTTTGCCTTCTAATTTGGATCATTTCACAGCACTCAAAGAGTTACCTGTGTAAGCCTTCCCTTATCTAGAAATGGTTGCCACTAATGTCATGAATAGGCCAATAGTCTCCTATAGCCTACAACAAACACCCCACCTCTAAGGAAATGAATTACCCCCAAATTAGTGCAATGTTTTCATTTTTATTCTTTTTATATTTCCACCATCTGAGAAAAACTGGCCTTTAAAATACCTTGAACTTGACTGTTTGAAGGAAAATCTGAGCCTGCAATTGTTCTACACAGCTTTTTCCAAATAAAATTATCTTTCATCGTGGAAATTTATTACTGTGAAACTTTTATCATTATATTACTAGCAAAAGAAAATAATTTGCTACTTACTGAAAGGCAAAACTCATCAAATTATGTCAAGATGGACTCAGGTCTCCTATAAAAAACCACTAAGGGTTTCAGGTTAGGTGCCTGAAACTGTTAGTGGTAATTTTAGGTAACACTTAGGTAATTTTCACTTTAGAATATTAACATCTATGTATGTGTCATGGGACCCATTTTATATTAAAGAGAGTTTGCTGGGTCATCAATATCAACAGCACATATTAAGAACTACAGAGGAGAGAGGATTCTGGGAAGATGGCAGGGGAGGTGGTGTAGTTATTTAATTTCTCCAAATCCCCACATAAAAAAGAGCATTTAAATAACAAAACCAATAAACCAGGGTCAGCATTTAAAACAAACTAGATGGATAGTTAACTCATGAACCCCAGAATACGTGGGGTGCAGACAAAGGGCCAATAGACTTTAAAATGCATGATATCTCTATATCTGCAGGAGGAAGAGGAAGAAAGCAACAGGGTGGGGTCTTCGGGGACTGAGAGCAGGAGAAAGTTAAAATCATCAGTGGAGCTCACTGGAAAGCAGGGACCGGTAAGGGCAAAGCCGATGAAACTGCGGCGAGTTTGTGAGTGCCACCCTTCCCTGACAGGAGGACCAAACAATCTGGAACCAAAAACACCTGTTAAATCTCAGAACTCACCTACCAGGCCTCCCCTCCCAAAGAGGAATGCACATTAAAGAAAAATAGCTGGGAGGGAATCAAAATTCAACAAGATAGAGAAAACAAAAAGAAAGGGCGGGGTGGGGGAAAAGCCCAGACCAAATCTCAGAAAGCACCTTCCCCAATTTTTAAACACAACATAAGACAACAGAAGAAGCTCTGTAGGTTCCATAAGCTTTCCTAAACCCCACCTTAGGAAAATCCACTTCACATAAACATGAGCAACAGAAAACAATTAAGGCCATATTTCTCAAGGGGTTATAATAACAAAAAAGGGAAAAAAGTGAAATAATGTACATGTAGATAATAAAAGCATGCCAAAAAGTATACCCACAAAACAGAACAAAACTGTAACCTACTGTTTCAAAACTAGCTAAGAAACATTAAGAAAATGTTACAATACATCAAAGAATAACATAAATTAGAACTAGAAAAGCTTAAAAGTAATATCCCAAAATTTTGGAAATAATTAAAAATTAGAGAAAAATTCCAAAAATAAAAAATAAACTAGAAATAACACAATAGAGAATAAACACAACAGATGATGTTTTGGTAAAAGATGAAAAGAGAGTAACTTTAAAAATCAAAAAGTAATGAAGGAAAAGAAAAAAGGATTCAGAAAACAGCAAAAACTTTGAAGACAGGCAAAAAAGTTTGAGCATATGGATAACAGCAGATGAAAGCCAAAATAAAGAAACAGAACAATTACTAAATCCAGTAATCCCAGAATATTTTCATGAAGTAAAAGATTTTAAATTGCATATTGACATTGTACACATTAAAGAATCTCAACCCATAACAACTAACACAAATACATATTCCAGTAAAGTTACATGATGTTTCTTATAAAAGAAAGAAAGAAGGAAAAAATCTTTGGGCACCTAGAAAATAAAGAGCATATGACTTACAAAGAAAAGAAAATTATATTATCATCAGACTTTTCAACTGTAATACTTTGTGCCAGAAGAAAATGCAGTAACATATTAAGATATTCAAGATAATGCAATTGTGTGCCAAGGATTTTTTTTTTATCCAACCAAAGAGATTTTCAAGTTCAAAGGACATAGGCAAACTCTTATTAGTATGCAAGAACTATAGAAATGTTGTTCCCATGAGCCCTTACTAAGGAATCTATAAGAAAACAACCTTTAGACAAGCAAAGTGACTAGAGAGACATTGACATAAGGACTGCGGGTACATAAATATATAGTTACTTGTGGCACTGAGACTAAATAAAGGCCAAGGGGGAGAGAAAATAGTGTGAAATGACTATATCCTCAGGCAATGTAGGTATAGAACAACTCTAAAAAACAGAGAATAGAGAGAACAAAAGCACTACAATGCTAACAGTTTCAGAAATCAAATTGGTGGTTGTATTAGCACTGCTACTCTGAGACTATTGAATGTGCAGTATTTGATAAAATAAATGAGCAATGATAAAATTTTCTATCATTGCCCATGCCCATGAGAACCAGTATTTTCAGTAAGAAATAAAGGAGACACAGATGCAATAAAAAAGAGGTTAAGGAAATGCCCTGTAGTTTTGAATTTGAGTAGGACACATCAATCTGAACTTAAGGTAGATGGTCATCAGTGCAAGAGAGAAAAACATGAGTGAGGAATATGAAATGAAGAGAGGATTACTATTTTAAATAGGAGGGCCTAGGAAGATGACTCTTAAAGAGAGCTGAATGATGTGAGGATGTGAGCCATTTCATATCTGGTGCAAAGCAATCTCAGGTGAAGAGATCCACAGGTAAACCATCCTGAAGCACAATGTTGGTACATTTGTCCTGGGAATTTCTGTTCCCTTTTAGTGTGCCCAAAAGTATAAAAGTTCAGAATTCACATGGAAAAAATTCATTCTTATAATGTGATTGACAAGATACATAGAAAAATCTCCCCAGAAAGTTATGAAAACTTTTTCTTCCTATTCTTTCTATTGTTCCCTTGTATTCTAGAAGGAAAGTTCTAAGAAGGATCCCAGTCTTTGCTGCCTCCCTTGGTAGACAGTGGATACTAACAGAGATAATGTGAAGCAAACACAATGGTGAACTCTGGAACCAGGGTCCCAATTATGCCACCTATCGTTTTTATGATCATTGTCAGGATGCCTGCCTTCACTGAACCTCAATTTCCTCATCTATGCACTACTGGAAATAATAGCATTTGCCTCATAGAGTTCTTATAAGGACCAAATGAAATACCACATGTAAAGAACTTAGAATAGTACTTGGCTTATATAAGACCTCAATAAATATTATCTATTCTTAGTTTATGAATTATCATTGGATACAGAACCTTCTATCTCAATGTGATGTGGGTTAGAAAATGACAGATCATATCCCAGTTCTAAAATGTACCAGTCATGTTCCTCAGTCAAGCTCCTTAAATTTGCCGAAATTCTTTCCTTCACTTATAAAGTAGAGATAACAACTATATTCCTAGAACTAATATGAAGGTTCGGTAAATTTTAGTTGAATGTGAATACTTATCTCATCGCTTAATACATATTACCATAAATGCTTCCAAAACAAATATTTAATACACAAATATATACATATACCATATCCATCATAAGAAAATTAAGTTATCCTTCTTTCTATGTTCCTGAAAAAAACAGTAGATGGTACTTTCCCATCCAAAATTAAAATTCCAAGAGTGCCTGACTTGGAAGTACATATTGGAATAAAAATTGGAACAACTTGATGAAGATTAGCATGACCCTACACAAGAATGACATGGAAATACATCAAGTGTTCTCTGTTTTTAAAACTCTTTGAACTGTACACTTACAATGGAGAATTTTTATTGTGGAAATTATTACTCAACAAACATGTTTTCAAAATGTATAACTTACTAGAACCTGAGAAAAACTTTTCTTTTTATTGATTTTCCAAACTGAGGACTTTTCCTTAGGCCTATTACCTACTCCCCAAAATCTCCACAATTTTTTAAAGATGCTATACATGTAATTATGGGCATGTATTCTTCTTTAAGAATACACTCTGGGTAACGTAAGCAGTGAAGATCTGTGTCTAATTAGATGTTCAGTCTTCTATATACAAGAGCATCAAAGATGCAATCTTTTTTTTTTTTTTTGAGACAAAGTCTCACTCTGTTGCCCAGGCTGGAGTGCAGTGGCACGATCTCAGCTCACTGCAAGCTCCGCCTCCTGGGTTCACGCCATTCTCCTGCCTCAGCCTCCCCAGTAGCTTGGACTACAGGTGCCCGCCACCATACCAGGCTAACTTTTTGTATTTTTAGTGGGGACAGGGTTTCACCGCGTTAGCCAGGATGGTCTCGATCTCCTGACTTCGTGATCCACCCACCTCTGCCTCCCAAAGTGCGGGGATTACAGGCTTGAGCCACCGCGCTAGCCTGAAGATGCAATCTTTAGTGGTTGCTTGACTGATAAGGTACAAGGGGAATTGGAAATCTTTCTTTTCTATTGCCTTCCTGAGCTGCACATAAACAGGTAAGCTAGATTCCACCTACCATATTTCTTACTAGTGTAAATAAGTTAATAATTTGTACTTTAAGGTTCACCCAACTAAGATTATTTATTATCTTTTAAACCTTACTCCTATTGTGTCCAGAATTGGTGAGTTCTTGGTCTCACTGACTTCAAGAATGAAGCCGCGGACCCTCACGGTGAGTGTTATAGTTCTTAAAGATGGTGTGTCCAGTTTGTTCCTTCTGATGTTCAGACGTGTTCTGAGTTTCTTCCTTCTGGTAGGTTCATGGTCTTGCTGGCTTCAGGAGTGAAGCTGCAGACCTTCGCAGTGAGCATTACAGCTCTCAAGGCGGCGCACCTGGAGTTGTTCGTTCCTCCGGTCCGGAGTTGTTCATTCCTCCAGGTGCGTTCGTGGTCTCGCGGGCCTCAGGAGTGAAGCTGCAGACTTTCGTGGTGAGTGTTACACCTCATAAAGGCAGTGTGGACCCAAAGAGTGAGCAGCAGCAGATTTATTGCAAAGAGTGAAAGAACAAAGGGCACCTGAGCAGGTTGCGTCTGCTGGCTCAGGCAGCCTGCTTTTATTCCCTTATCTGACCCCACCCACATCCTGCTGATTGGTCCATTTTACAGAAAGCTGATTGGTTCATTTTGACAGGGTGCTGATTGGTGTGTTTACAAACCTTGAGCTAGACACAGAGTGCTGATTGGTGCATTTACAATCCTCTAGCTAGACATAAAAGTTCTCCAAGTCCTCACCAGATTAGCTAGATACAGAGTGCTGATTGGTGCATCCACAAACCCCAAGCTAGACACAGAGTGCTGATTGGTGCATTTACCATCCCTGAGCTAGACACAGAGTGCTGATTGGTGTATTTACAATCCCTTAGCTAGACATAAAAGTTCTCCAAGTCCTCATTAGATTAGCTAGACACAGAGCACTGATTGGTGCATTTACAAACCTTGAGCTAGACACAGAGTGCTGATTGGTGCATTTACAATCCTTGAGCTAGATACAGAGTGCTGATTGGTGCATTTTCAATCCTCTAGCTAGACACAAAAGTTCTCCAAGTCCCCACTAGATAAGCTAGACACAGAACACTGATTGGTGTGTTTACAAACCTTGAGCTAGACACAGAGTGCTGATTAGTGTATTTACAATCCCTTAGCTAGACATAAAGGTTCTCCAAGTCCCCACCAGATTAGCTAGATACAGAGTGCTGATTGGTGCATTTACAAACCTTGAACTAGACACAGAGTGCTGATTGATGTGTATACAATCCTCCAGCTAGACATAAAAGTTCTCCAAGTCACCACTAGACTCAGGAGCCCAGCTGGCTTCACCTAGTGGATCCCGCACCAAGGCCACAGGCAGAGCTGCCCACCAGTCCCGCGCCGTGTGCCTGCGCCCCTCAGCCCTTGGGTGGTCAATGGGACCAGGTGCTGCGGAGCAGGGGGTGGTGTTCATTGGGGAGGCTCGGGCCGCACAGGAGCCCATGGCAGAGGGGAGGCTTGGGCGTGGCAGGCTGCAGGTCCTGAGCCCTGCCCTGCGGGGAGGCAGCTGAGGCCTGGCTAGAATTCGAGCACAGCGCCAGCGGGCCAGCACTGCTGGAAGACCTGGCGCACCCTCCACAGCTGCTGGCCCAGGTACTAAGCCCCTCACTGCCCGGGGCTGGCCGTGCCAGCCAGCTGCTCAAGTGTGGGGCCCGCAGAGCCCACACCCACTGGGAACTTGCACTGGTCCACAAGCACCAGGGCGCAGCCCCAGTTCCCGCCCACGCCTCTCCCTCCACACCTCCCCACAAGCAGAGGGAGCCAGCTCCGGCCTCGGCCAACCCAGAGAGGGGCTCCCACAGTGCAGCAGCGGGCTGAAGGGCTCCTCAAGCGCAGCCAGAGTGGGCGCTCAGGCCAAGGAGGCAGCGAGAGCAAGCGAGGGCTGCCAGCACATTGTCACCTGTCACTATTATTTAAAAAATGAGCCACTGGGCACATTTTCATGAAGAAATAAATTAAGTACAAAAGCCTGAAACCAATTTGTTCAACTTAGTAAAGGCAGTTCTTATTTTGTACTGTTATTTCAGTTACCATGGTTTAGTTAAATAACACTAGACTCCCGACAATATGGTTCAAATTTCAGTTACCAGGGTACATTAACTGTGAGTGACTGCAAAGAACAAAGTTTGCTGCTACCTCTTCAATTAACACATCACTATACAAATAGAAAGTGCACATCATGATCAGTGACAAGTCACGTCACTTCTTTTCAAAGTCTATTAGTGTCTGGTCCCTGTACATTTGTTACTCACGCATAGACAACAAAACATGTAGCTGTTATGCCTCCTTATCTCCTGGTGATACAGAGATGCTTTAGGTAGAATAATTTAATTTTTAAAATATTACTACTAGTAGATAATACTCCAGTTGATTCTGCTGGGTACATGAATGAAAATATAAAACTATGCTTTTTACCACCGAACGATTTCATTAATCCAGCCACTGAACCAATAAGTTATTTCAACTTTTGAAAAGCATATTTTCTTAGATGGATTTCTCAGACAGGCTACTGATGCTACAACTGAAGAACATGCCATTTCTTTAGCTGAGTTTGGGAAGAAATATAACATAGCATGCAACTGAGAATATCCAAACATCATGGCAAGTAGTAAAATGCATGCATCATGGCAGAAACTTTATGGCACTGTGCAAATAACTGCAGGATTTGAATTGTCTGTAAATAGAGGAATGAACGAAATAGCTGACCATGGAATGTTGACAATGATGCTACCAGAGAGACTCCAGGTACACAGTCAGAAGAACTTACTGAAGGGAAACCTACCAGAATAAGAAGTGACACTGTCAAATAAACTCCATATTAAAGAAACTCTCTAGATATTTCATGACATTGAAAATGCAAAGGATGAAGCCTTAAAACCTGATGCAATCTTAGAAAACCGTATAAAAATTTATCAAGCCATAGAAAAAAAATACTCACTTCATATCAAAATTCACATGACACAAAGAAGGCAAGCACTGGTAAACTATTCTTGACAAGATTTTTTTTTACAAAGAAACAAAACACTTTAATGTTCTATATTTCTAATTTTTAAATTACACTGCCACTGAATCAATATTGGTTTCAATATTCTGTTCATTTTTCTGCATGTTTATAACCAAATGAGAGTCCTCAATATTTTTGCAAAAATACTTGTAAAGTTTATGGAACAATCATATCTTTCCACTGATTATTAAGGTCACTTTTCATGGTTTTAGCTTGCACAATCATATTTTATGGCCCCTCACTACTGTGCAAAGTGAGGACTACCTGTGTATTCTTCAAGTACTTGGTATTCAGGAGCAAATATTTATATTCAGGACTGATATCATCTACACAAAACTAAGTTTAAGTGTCATCAAGATACTAAAGCATTTTCATCAATTTTGGAAGTCTAGAAAAGTAATTAATAGAGCAGTATGACCTAACATGGAAATATGTTCTGCTGAAGGAACTCTTGGTCTTTCACCAAAAGCCTTATTCTGAATTTCACCAAAGAGGGTTGACTAAATAAGCTTTCCCAGATTTCACTACAGGGCATTTGATATGCACTTTGTGCTCACTACTACACCGCAAATTTAATTGGAGCCTTTTTTGTTTTTCTTCTCTACCCAGTGGCTCTAATTTAGCTACCATAACGTGTTAGTGTGCATTAATACTGTTTCTATTTACTTGCTAGGTTTATTCCTATTTAGTTAAGTGAGAACAATCCTCTCCAGGAGCATTTCACATTTCTTTGATATTTAAATTCTACAATGTTCTGATAAAAATGATGAGTAGATGTGGTCCTACTTCACAGGAACAAAAAAGTTGGAGTTAGCAGAGTTTAAATGAAATCAGGAGGCTTTTTAAATAGATTAAAGGAAGAATTTGAAAACAGTAGTATTTTAAACTTTGGAGAAAGTTATAAAATAAATATCGCTGAAAATGTTTAAAGAAAAGTTTCTGAAAACACATTTATTTGTTGATCAATGAGTTTGTAAGCACCTGTTCAGTATCAAGTATCATTTAGAAATTTCTCTTGGTATTAAGCTCTCTCTTCTAAAAACTAACGGGTAGTTCAAATGCAACAATTTTAAGGTAGAACTAGCAATATGATTTTAAATTTTAATTGCCTTTTACATTTCAAGCATTCTGGTTTTACTTCCTCACATTAACTAAAAATAGTTTGCTCATTTCCATGGCTAAATGTGGAGACCACTAGGATTAACAAGAATATATTCCCATATGTTCTAAGGGGAGGAAAAAATCACTTCTTTAATCTCCTTCAGCCACTTAAACCTGTTTTTTATGCTGGACCAGAGTAGGACCTGAGTCTCCAGACTCTATAGATGGACAACTGTTACTAACACAAACCAGTTAGAATAATAATCAAAAGTGAAAAATAATTAGTACTGTTACTGGGGTGTGTTCGTGTGTGTGTGTGTGTGTGTACGTGTGGGTGTGTTTGTATGTTTGGGGGGTAGGACTGCAAACAACTGATTACATCACTGAATTCATCAGTATTACGATGTAACTGTGTTGATTTTTGTTGCTGCTCTTTTTATGAGGAGGTATCAGATAATTTGTTGAAAATTGTTTTCTTCAGTGATGCTGGAAAAATTGATGAAAAGTAAAAAATCCAAACAGATATATGTGGCTTTGATTTGTAACAGAGTATGAAAATGATGTATGTGTTCTTGAACAAACATGTGACCTGATTTGATTTAATTTATTGGTTCTTTTACTTTTAAACTCAGCGCTTATATAAATATGTTTTAGATTCCAAACTCAAGATGCAGGAAAATTATTTTTATTATGTATCTATCTGCCAACATCCAAAAGGAGCTGAGACAATTATTTTTAAAATTAATATCTGTATCATATCAACTACAATTTGAACCAATATTCATATGAACTTATCTGAACTACCTTGAATCAAGGATGATCTATAAATATTTGCCATTAGTGAAGTAATAAGAAACAGTACAATACCTTTTATTTGTACTTTCATTTAAATTAAATAAGTAAACTGATTCTGTGATTTTATGTACATTAGAATCACTAGTGGCACAACAGATGTACTAAATGAGAATGTCTAGAAGCAAGATCTGGGCATAGATACTTTGACAAAACTCCACAGAGTTGATTCTGATGTGTGGCAAAACTTGGGAATTTCTGTTCAAATGTCTAACATTCCAAAAACATTAGGCAGAATAAAACTGAAGTAAATGACATGGGCTCACTCTCAAGAAGTTTAGAATTTTACTGGAGAAAAAGATCTTAAAACATAAAAGTTTACCAGGCCATATGAAAACATATAAATACGCTATATTGACTCACTGAGAGATACATTTTAAAGCCATTAAAAATAACACTCAATGAAATAAATTTCTTCATAATCACTTTTGATAACTTTTTCTTATTAAGAAATGATCATTAAAATATGTAAATAGACTAAAAACCAATAAACAAATAAATTACACTGGAAATAAAGAATGTTAATGTGTTGCCCCTTCAGTTCAGCATTTCTAGAAATACATTTGTGGTGGTTTGGTTTGTTTGCGAAATTTGTCTCAACATGATATTATTATATCAAGAAATATGATAGTATTAATTAGTCTTCAAAATCATGGTTTTTAAACAGTGCATTTATCCATCATATGAAAGAAACAAATTATTGAACTGTTTTCATACTGGTACTCACTTATATTTCTATGCTTTAGTATTGTAAATAACACTATAATAATTTTTTTATGAATATTTGTACATATCTGATTATTTCCTCATAACACTTTTTGAATGGGTTGAATCAAATAATATATGCTATATGCTGCAAAATTGTCTTCTAAATATTTTGCCAATTTACACTCATATTAGCAGTGTTTATGAATGGCAACATTGGCTATTATATTTTATATATCACTGACAATGTGAAAGGACGGAATGTAATTTAATTGATAATTTAGTATGCATTTTTTTCTTGCTGATGATGATTAATCCCTTTTTTATGGATTTCTTGGCTAAAAGTATTCCTATAGTCATTAGAAAAAGTACATTTAAAGAAAAATATTAAAGAAAATCTATCAAGATTATAGAGAGTTTCAAGTTTGGCAAAGCTTAGAACACAGCTGATACGCATAGATTTGTTTCTCTGAATCAAAATCAAAGAAAACATAAAATTTTCAGTCATGTGTTTAGTATTTGGCATGTTAAAAGAAACTCATACATTAATTCTCATAAAACATTAAAAGTCTCTTCAATTGGCTAAAGAGACATCTCAGAGTTTTAAATTTTATGTGGCACCTACACAGAACATTTTAATTAGTCAAGGCTAAGTGACACAGAAACATATGGAACTGGCAGTAATCTGGTTGCAGAATGATTGAGCAGTTGTGGGTGAAACAAGTTAAAGAGGATAATCAACATTAATGTTAATTTTTTTTAAGCATTAATGGCTCCTTAGTTCAAAGCTTCACAGCTTCCAGGTGTCCACCCAGATGCCACACATTAAAATGGTCCTTAGGTGCACACTGAGTCACTCATGCAGGGCATAAAATGGCAACTGGCATGGAAAATTATTCTGAAAATGAAGTCACTGATGGGACATTTTTCAATTTCCACATCTTTAACACTCATAAGGATCAGTCCTTGCTCCAACTTCAGAATTTTTTGAAATTGGAAAACCCATTAAATATGATTAAATTTTTTTAAGAAAAAAAACACTTTTGCTCTTTTATTCCACAATCTTCTTTAGACACATAGACTGATCCTATAAATATTGCAACAATAACATTGCAACTTATTACACACACATTCCACAGTGCAAATGACAACTCATCACTTAAAACTACAAACATAAAGCACCTGATGTTAAGCTGATTAGGTTTTTACAATAAAATCCAAATGCCCTATGACCTAGCAATCTCCCCTACTCACCTGGCTCAGACAGGCTGGCCTTCTGCGGATCAGATGTGGTCTTGCCTTGGAGCCAGGGCCCTGCCTTGTATTTGCTTCCTTTCTAATTAGGACACCTTTCCCTTAGACATTCACATGACTAAATGAATTTTATTCGGTCTTCAGCACCTTAGAAAAGACATCCTTGACTATGCTCTCTAAGGAAGCTTCTTCCCCTAGTGTGTACTAATGTCTTTTTGTCTCACTACTCTCTTGCATTTTCCTACAGCATTTAGAACTGTAAAATTATTTATTTCTGTTCCCAGTTGGCCCATATTGGATTTTATTGACATTCCCACTTAGTTAAGAGCAATGAGACTTTTCAACTGTGTAGGTAACCTGCATATGTTGTATCTGTTACTATTTTTCACATGATAAAACAAGCTTTCTTTATAACCCCATAGAATGCATGCTAAACAGAACTTAAGGAGAATAGTGTCCATGTAATAGAAATGATTTTCCAAGGTACACTATATATTTTGGACTAGATAGAGAAAAATACGCTTTTTATCAATAAAAATATGAAAGGGAAATATGCTTTTTATCAATAATCAGTATCCTCTGAATCCTTATTCTAAAGAAGCAAAAAGAAAACTAATATATTGTCATTGGAACATAGTCTACTGGAAACAATGTATAGAAAAAGATTCTCAACACAGAAAGAAGGTCTGGACTTGGAAACTAAGAAAGATATACTTTTTTAGGGCCAGGAGGGACACCCATTGTTATGGACAAGAAAACATTCAGAATCAGAGATAGGCATGTTGCTACAGAGATGACTTAGGGTGACAGAGAAAGGAGGAACAGAGGAGTTATGGGATAGAAATTGAGTTGAGGGATAGAAATTGAAGAAAGAAGCTAAAGAAAAATAGGTGTTGAAATGTATCAACCTCATGATTGTTTCAAATAAAATATCATTCCCAACACTTAGTGAAAAATACAGTGATTGTTCAGCAGAGTACTGTCCATGTTAAAGGGTTGTTGTTATACTAATTGACCATATTTCTATTCTAAATTATAAAATGAATCAAAATAATTTTGAAGCCAACATTGTTTACTTTCTTTTTGTCTTTCCATATTATTTAAAATTATAATAATTTTTAATTTTTAATAATGGGATATTATTATGGCATAAAGAATTCCTTAGATCAGTTACCTGTGCCATAATATTTTCATTAAAGAATTATGCAGGACAAACTAAGTATATTCAAATATGAGTACATGTATTTTATCTCAAAGACAGCAGCTATTCGTACCTGGATTAAGTCTCTTTGTAGGTGCTTAGTCAAACTTTCAGCCACTAGAACTTCAGTCAGTTACAGAAGAAAATAGCCAGCATCCAATAAGCTCCTTTGTAAATTCACCTTACATAAAGAGATAACCAAAGGCTTGTCTGTTATCACATTTGTCCTCACAGTAATGGATAAGGCTCCATATCACTATTAAACCTCGAGGGACACTGAACAATAGAAAGTTAAATTACCCTTCTCGGATTACACACCTTCTGGAGTGACTAGTCTCCAGGGATGTTGAACTGAAAGCTGATGTCAAGCCTCTTAAACTGGTGTGTCAAACCTCTTAAACTGGTGTTTATGCTTTGTAGGTATATCATCAGCATACTTCATTTATTGCTACAAACACCTTGTTTTTGTTAAAATTTAATTTCACTGTAGGGAAAAAACATATTTAAAGAAAAATTTTGCAAGGTCCTTTTGCTTAAATTTACTTATTTTTATGAGGAAAAAAACATTTTTTAAAACCGAAATGGTAAAAGCATGAAAGTTTAGTGGATTATTGGTTATAATAAATATAATCCTAAATATTTTTCTTCTTTTATATTTGACCATCAAAGCAAAGGAAAATGCTTTAAATTTAAACATTGATTATTTCATTTTAAACAGTATACAATAGACATAATTGGCACAGAGTAAACTGCATATATCTAAAGTCTACAGTTTGATCAGACTTGTAAATCTATCACCATAATCGAGGTAATGAATATATTCACCACCCTCAACTTTCTGTATTATTTTATAGTCCTCCTTCCTGCCATTCCTAGTCCCACCTCCTTTTCCAGTCAAACCCTGCCCTACTTTATGCCATTATAGGTTAGCTTGCATTTTATAGAACCTTAAATGAATGACATAATATAGCATGCACTCTTTTGTGTCTAGCTTTTAAAATTCTACATTTTTTTTATTTATCCATATAGTTGCATGTACCAATAATTTATCTTTTTTTTAATGCTGAGTAATATTCCACTGCTTGGAAATACCACAACTTATTTAAGCATTCACCTGTTGTGAATGTATATTTGGGTTGTTTCCAGGGTTTTGTCTATTACAAGTAAAGTTCCTGTGAATGTTTGTGTACATGCCTTTGGATGGATATACACCCCCATTTATCTTGAGTAAATATTTAGGAATGCAATGGGTGGATCATATGATAGGTGCATATTTAACTTTTAGAAAGTGTCATAGTGTTCTCTAGAGTGCCTGTACCAGTCTACATTCCCATCAGCAGTGTATAAGAGGTCCTGTTCCTTCACATCTTTGCCAACAGTTGATATGTCTTTTTAATTTTAGTATGCTTGTAAATTTGTGGTGGTATCTCATTGTGATTTTAATTTTCACCTTTTTTAATGACTGTTGTTAAACATCTATTCATGTGCTTTTTACCATCTGTATATGTTCTTTGGTGAAATGCCTATTCAGACCTTTGGCCCATATTTTTATTGGTTTTCTTATTACCCTATTACTAATTTTAAAAGCTCTTTGTATAATCTGGATGTGAGCTTTATTTTTTTTTAAATCAGATATATTCTTTCTAAATATTTCCTCCATGTGTATGGTTTGACTTTTCATTCTCCTAACAGTGGCTTTCAAAAACAGAAAGTTTTAATTTTGATGAAGTCCAGTTTTTATCATTATGGATTGTTATCCAGTATGTAAGATTAACCTAAGAACACAAATATTTTCTCGTAAGTTTTCTTCTAGAATCTTTTAGTTGTAGATCCTGTGTTAAGATACATGAGTCAATTTCAGTTAATTTTTGTATATAGTGTGAGGTATACATTAATGTTATTTTTTAGATGTTGATATCTAAATGTTCCAGCATCATTTGTTGAAAACATTATCACTTATCCATTTAATTACTTGTCCATCTTTATCAAAAATCGGTTGTCCCTATATTTATATGAAACTATTTCTGGAATCTCTTCTCTGTTCTCTTGGTCTATTTGCCTATCTTTATGCCAATTTCATACTGTCTTGATTAATGTAGCTTTATAATGAGTCTTGAAATCAGGTAGTGTTACTCCTCCAACTTTGATATCTGTTTCCGAATTTGTTCTGGCATTCTATATCCCTACATTATTTTATGATGTTACAATCAACTTGTCAATTTATACCCTCCCAAAAATGTCTTCTGGGATTTTGATAGGGATTGTGTTAAATCTAAATATGGAGTTGGAGAGAATTCACATTTTGACAGTGTCGAGTCTTCTGAACTATGAACAATGTATGTCTCTCCTCCTTTTATTTATTTTTCTTTGATTTCTCTCAGGAATATTTTGCAGTGCTCAGTGTAAACATATTTCACACGTTTTGCCAGATTCTTCCTTAATATATTTTATATTTTGAGGCTATGATGAATGAAAATATATCTAATTGTTCATTGCTAGTAGATAGAAATGCAATTGATTGTTGTACATTGCTTTTATGTCTTGCAATCTTGCTAAAATTAATTATTAGTTCTAATAGCTTCTTTGTAGATTCCAGTAGTATTTTTATATATATGATCATGACATCTGCAAATAAAAGCATTTTTTAAATTTCTTTCTCTCCAATCTGGATGCCTTTTATTCTTTTTCTTGGATGATTTCACAGACTAGACTTCCAGTGTAACGTTAAATAGAAGTGTTGAGATCAGGATTCCCCACCTTCCTTGGTCTTAAAAGGAAAACATTTAGGTTTTTACCATTAAGAGTAATTTAGCTATAGGTTTTTCATTACTGTCTTTCATTAGCTGTAGAAACACAACTTCTTTTATTAGCTCTTTCCTTCTGCTACTAGTTTATTGAGTATTTTTTTAATCAGGAATAGACATATTTTATCAAATACTTTTCTGCATCTATTGAATTGATCATATGGTCTTACTCTTTAATTTTATTAATCTGATGAGTTATATTGACTGATTTTTAAAAAAATGTTAAACCCACCTTGCATTTCAGGGATAAATCCCATTTGGTCATTAGTTAATACCCTTTCATATACCATTGGATTTAATTTCCTAAAATTTGGTTTAGGATATTTCATCTGTGTTTTGAAATGTATTGGTCTATAGTTATCTTTTTTCTTATAATGTCTTTATCTGGTTTTCATATCAAGGTAATGTTAACTCATAGAAGGAGCTGGGATGTATTCTGTCCCCTTTGATTTTCAGGGAGAGTATTGGTAGTATTGGTATTACCACTTCCTTAAATATTTTGTAGAAGTCACACACAAAAAAGCCATTTGGGCCTTGAGTTTTCTTGGGGAGAAAGATTTTAAAGGCAAATGCAATTTATTTAATTGATATAAGACTATTCAGGTTATACATTTCTTCTTGGGTGAGCTTTTATAGTTTACCCATTGTCAAGATGAAATGGTCTACTTCACCTTTGTTGTCAAATGTATATTACATGATTATTCATAACATTCTTAATATATTTTAATATCCTCTTAATATCTGTACAATCAATAGTTAAATCACCTCTCTCATTTCTAATACTTATAATTGTCTTCATTGTTGTTGCTCTTTTTTTCTGATAGTCTGGCCAAAGGTTAATCAATGCATTAATGGTATCAAAGAACCACTTATTGGTTTCTTTGATTTTATCTATTATTTTTCCATTTCTAGTTCACATATATGAAAACTTTACAATGGTATACTTCCAGTTCTCCTCTCCTCATCTTTGTGTGGCTGTTACACATTTCTTTTGTACATAATTTATTTTTACATAATATTGATAACTATATTATGTACAAAGATAACAATATACATAACTATATATATAGATAACTATATTGTTATCTTTGTTTAAACAGTCAATTATCTTTTAAAGAGATTGAAGTAATACTTTCAACTTTCATATGCTTATTTACATCTTCACCTACTACAAATCCCTTCTTTCTTTATGTAGACATATATTTCCATTTGGTTTCATCTTCCTTGTGCCTGAAGAACTGCCTTCAATATTTCTTATAATGAGTGTCAGCTAGTGATAAAATTTTCAACTACTGTATTTCTAAGAGTCTATTTTGCCTTTGTTTTTGAAACATATGTTCACAGGATATAGAATTTTAGATTCATATTTATGCTTTCTCTCTCCTTTATCTCTTTCTTTCCTTCAATAGTTTAGAAATGCTTGCCATACTTTATTCTATCTCATGCCTTATTTCCAATGAGAAATCTGTTGTGATTTTTATCATTGTTCCTCTGTATTTATGTTTTCCCTCAAACCTTCTCCCTCAGTGCTTTCAGAATGTTCTCCCTCAGTGCTTTCAGAATGTTCTCTTTGTCACCAGTTTTGAATCATTTAATTATAACATACCTTGATGTAGTTTTCTCACATTTCTTGTGCGTGGGCGTCAATAAACTTCTAAGATCTATGGACCATAGTTTTCATCAAACTTCAAAAACTGATCCCATGTGTATTAGTCCTGGACATTTTTATCAAAAGATTTTTTTGTTCATAAAACATGTCAGGCACCTACTACTCATCCATTTATTGAACAAATATTTCTTGAATAATTGCTACACATTGGGAACTCTTTGAATCACTAGGAATACAACAGTCAACAAGAGAGCAGAAGTCCCTGCCCTCATGAAGATTACATATCATATGAGAGAGACAGATTACAAAAAATGGGTAAATAATGTGTTAAATGTCAAAAACTGCTTTAGGGGAAAATTAAGGTATTAATAATGTGACATTTGAATAGACACTTGAAACAAGGATATAAGCCATAAATGGAGCATGGAGAATTATTTTAGATAAATGGAAGAAAATACAAATGCAATGAGACAGGAGCAAGCCAATTAATATTTTTCAAGGATTTCAAGAATGCCACAGTGCCTGTAGCTGAGTCAGTGGGAGATGAACTCTTTTACTTAGTGATGGCCCAAATTATGTGTAGGTCATTATACAAACGTTAACTTTTACTTTGAGAAAATAGGGAATCCATTGCAGAATTTTTTAGAAGAAAAGTACATGATCTTCCTTATGTTTTAAAACATTCATTTCACAGCTTTTGGAAGGATATACTATAAAGGAAAAATGATGTATAAAGGCAGATAAGTAGGGAGGTTACTGTAACAATCCAGATGATAGATGATGGGGCTTAGAAAAGATTGGTGAAAATGAATGGGTGAGACATAGATTCTGGTTACATGTTTAAAGCAGAGAAAAAAAAATTTGCTTGTTGAGTGGATGTAGAGTATAAGAAAAATACAGAAGTCAAAGATAGAGTCGTTGTTTGTGACATGAGTGGTATAAATAAAGTAGCTAACATAGAGTGAGAAAGTGTGCAAAAAGGGTACATTGTGGCATTATGACTGGGATTTCTATTCAGTATTAATTTGAGATGTCAAATACATAGTTCGTTATAAGAGTCTAGAGTTAGGACTTAGATTTAATTCAAAGTATTAATAGATATATGAATTTAGCCAGTAGATGGTTTATAAAACAATGAAACTTGATGATATCTCATCTGGACAAGATCATAAGGAGTGATATAGACATAGAAAAGAAGAGGTCTGAAGATCTGTCTCAAATGTGTAGAAAAGTCCAAACACATTGTGAGAGTTTTTCATATGTTATTTTGTGGTCATTGATAGTATTTTAATATGTAGCTTGAGATTGTATTAACAATACATCAAAGTTGATTCAGAAGATACCAAAGAAATAAGTTGACATTTTAGATATCTTTGCTTTCGTCAGGAATTATTTTTGTTCACAGATGCACTGCGTATGTGTCATGCACTACATTTAGATTTTGGACACCTGGCAGTGTTGTTGGCTGAATACCAAGAATGAGAGTTTTTGTTAACTTGTGACTCATCAAGATATTTCTGATTAAATGTGGTCTTTTAAGAAAAGATCTTGCCTTTCTTCAGGACTGATGTCATATTATCTGGGTTTTCATTACCAAGATAGGTCACTGAACAAGATAAATAATTCTAGCAGATGAATGAAAATGGAAGTATCATTTAATTTTAATAAATGTTTTCTAAATCACATACACATACAATAACACCTATTGTAGTGAGCAAGCCTCTTTATATCATAATAAGAACATAGAAATAGAGAGAGCAGATTTTTAAAGTTTCCGGCAGTCTTCAAGTTACACAATCATTTTAAAAGAGGAAACAGACCAACAAACTCCATCACTTTGTTGGTATGTCTGAAAGATGCCCAATAAAGACCTCTTTTTCTTCCATTCACTTGACCTGAACCCTATATACCTATCAAAGTATCGCACAATTTCAGAAGAGCAATATTTACATTATTGTCTAAGTAGATGGAGACATTAGGAGAATTACTTACAAGTAGATAAATAAATATTTTAAAGAAAGTACATGGGCACTAATGTTTAAAATGAAAAGTAATAATATTTACTAGTAAGAGATGACTACAGGAATAAGAATAATTAGCCACAATGCTCTTCTTTACTACATTTGACTTATCTTTCTACGTCAGTGGCTTTCAAAGTGTTGTCTCTGAACCACACTATTAATATGACCTGGAAACTTCTTAGAAATAAGATTTTCAACCTTACCCAAAACCTGCTGAATCAGTAACTCTGAGAGTGGGGCCCCACAATCTATGTTTTGCAAGTCCTTTAAATGAATCTGGTTTACATTAAAGTTTGAGAACCATCGATCTATGTCAAACGTAATAATAATAATATCACCTAGTATTAAATAAAACCTATGTGTACTAGACACTCCATTAGGTACCTCACATATATTTTTAATTTTATAACTTTTCAAGGTAGCTATTTTTCTCCCACTTTAACAATGAGAAAATAAAGGCTCACAGAGGTTAGAATAAACATTTTAAAATTGTTTCGCTATTCTGAAAATAGTGATGTTTTTCTTATTTTAAAGTGCTTTAACTTTCAAGGGGAAAATGATAAATGAGCTTCAAATATCTAAAAGATAAGAAAATCAGTAGTATTTGATAATGCTAATGTATTCTCAGAAGGACTTTTCTGGGCTGTTAAATTTTTGTAATCAAGTGTCAACTTAATTCAATGATATGTAGTTCTAAAGGACACTACTAAAATTAAAAGTCAAACTGAAGTAATGTATAAAAATCAGAAGCCAATAGCAATAATATTTGCTTGACATGATTATCTTTGCAGTTAAAGAAAAGAAAACTAAAGGAAGTGAAAATACATTAACAAATCTATCAGGAACAGAAAAAAATCAGACTTTTTAAGCATTTTTTTTCTTTATTTTCAGACAAGCATAGTAGATGAAGATTAACTTTTTCCTGGAAAGAGTGCATGAAGAAAAAGTGTAAGACTATGCACTTACAAAAGAACCCTCACTTGGAAGAGAAGGAGAGAAAATGGAGACATAGAACGTCCATTGCATCTAAAAATGCCACAAACTTTCCAAAATCTTTTTTGTTCCAATTTATTAATGTCAGTATTTGACTTGATCCTATAGCACATAATCCCATTCAGAAAGGCAACATTGTTATAAATTTTCTGCCTACGAAATATTTCCTGGTACTCCACAGCTAATTTACCCCTGGAAGGGGCAGATTTTAAAATGTGCTAATGTAACTACAACTTCAGGGCAGCTCTTTGGAGACAAGAATTTATTTGAGTCATAAATATATTTTTCTTTTGTGACTTATTTTCCAAAATAATAAGAAGAAATCATCATTAGGGGTTTCTCCGCTCACCAACTGCTACTAAAAAAATTATAGAAAGACATTCTACGTAAATATAGGTCATGACTTGAACTAGAATGCAGAAATGAAAAATCATGTGGACTGATGACAGAGGATTGACATCTAAGAAAAAGAGATATTTTGGCAGAAAAGTTGTATTGTATTTAATTGTGCCAGAAATATTTGGAAACATTGTTCACAGTTTTTCGACTTGCATATGTTGGCTTGGAGAAGTAAAACAAATCAAAGATTATTAAATACATAAAAATGCACTGAGGAAACCAACACTTCATTACAGGTTAAACATGTGTTTTTACTCTTATGCCTTGGTTTTTGTGCTCTCAACTTGATATAAGTCCTCAAGCCCAAGAAATAAATGTTCATCAGTTTCTGTCTTTTGAAAAGTAATTGAAAACAAAAGTATGAAGTAAAGAATTTTTATGTAAAATAATTATGTTTTGATAATATCGACATTTTACATATTTTCCACCTCTTTAAAAATGTGTGCATATAAATTCAGTAATCCCCCAAATAACATGTTTAAAGCAAAAAAAAATGCTTGGTACATATGCTATGTCAAGTATCATCCAAGGTACTAATGATGCATTGATGAATTAGACACAGCCACAGCTACGGTGAAGCTAATATATTTGTAGATGTCAAACAGAAAACAGTGGGCAAATGTTGGCTTCAACAGCTTTTAGTTTGCTTATTTTGTTTTGTTTTAAGCGTATTCAAGGCATGTCGCTTGGATGTATTAATTACATAAGATAGTAGACATTCTTTCTCACAGATTTCTTTCCCTATTTTACCCCTTAAATTCTAGCGTTCTACAGGTTTCCATTCTAAACCTTCTTTGAATGATCTCATTACACTGCATTAAATTTTACTACCTTTCAAATGCTTTCAGAACCATCTCTCCAGGCAACATCTACCTTAGACTGAAGAAAGTATGTTGGGTCTTCCCAACACCTGTATGCCCTTGGCACAGCTGCTTACTGGCAGTATCTGCAACTTTCTGTCTGATTGCTTTCTTTGATGGCAGGAGCATGCTAGGGACCTGCATGTAAATTAGGCCACAAGTGTGCTGACCTTGTTCCCAGGAAGCAGCTTCAATCAATGACAGACCAGAGTTGGTGGATAATCCCTCTAGCCCCCTCACTTTTCAGTGGATCCACTCTGAAGCATGCTCTACAGAGTCTTTTACAGATACAAATGGAAGAAAAAAAAAAAAAAAACCCAGTTACCCACACAGGTAACTTGTGAATAGCACTCCCTGTGTTGGCTTACTTCTCCCTTTTTTTTTCTCACTTCTCTATTACCCTTCCAGTGCTTCCCAGGATGAACTTTCAAATAAACTATTTGTGTTCAAATCCAAGTCTTGCCTTAATCATCCATCTATTGGGTCTTTATATCTGTATGTTTCATAGACAACTGAAGTTAAACATACGTGAAATCAATCTCACCTTTTTCAGATATATAGCTTGGATATTCCTTATATCAACAAACAGTGCCACCATTCACCTTGGAAAACAAATGCTCAAGCACATTTTTAATTTTATTATTTCCCTTATCCTCTATGACCTGCCACAAAGCCTCTCAATTCTAACTTTTCAACATTTCCCAAATACGCCAATTTTCTACATTACCATGATCTATACTTTTATGTAGGTTCTAATTGTGTATTATCTGCATTGAAGCAATTGATTTTCACTAAAGTCGTATCTCCCTCAATCTTACATAACCAGCAACAATTAATTTTATGTATCAACTTGACTGGGCCATGAGGTATCCAGACATTTGTCAAACAGTATTCTTGATATAACTGTGAGGGTGTCTTTGGATGAGTAAGATTTGAAGTGGTGGACTGGGTAAAGCAAAATGTCCTCTCTATGTTGATGGCCCTCATGTAATCGGATGTAAAGCCTTGATATGGTTTGGCTGTGTCCCCACCCAAATCTTGAATTGTAGCTCCCATAATTCCCATGTGTTGTAGAAGGGACCTGGTGGGAGGTAATTGACTCATGGGTTGAATCATGCGGACGGGTGTTTCCTGTGCTGTTCTTGCGATAGTGAATAAGTCTCACAAGATCTGATGGTTTTATAAAGAGGAGTTCCCCTGCACATGTTCTCTTCCCTGCTGCCATACAAGACGTGCCTTCGATCCTTCTTTGACCCCTGTCATGACTGTAAGGCCTTCCCAGCTTCGTAAAACTGTGAAACTGTGAGTCCATTAAAACTCTTTTCTTTATAAATTACCCAATCTCGGGTATGTCTTTATCAGCAGCCTGAAAGTAGACTAATGCAAGCCTGAATAAAGCAGAAAGGCTGACTCTCTCACAAGTGAGAAGAAATATCTGCCTCATTGCCTTGAGTTGGGTCTTTGCACTGCTAACTGCAGCCTCTATAATCACATGAGCCAATTCTTTTTTTTTTTTTTTTTTTGAGACAGAGTCTCCCTCTGTCAACCAGGCTGGAGTGCAGTGGTGCAATCTCGACTCACTGCAACCTCTGCCTCCCAGGCTCAAGAGATTCTTCTGCCTCAGCCTCCCGAGTAGCTGGGACTACAGGCACACGCTACCACACCTGGCTAATTTTTGTATTTTTAGTAGAGACGGGGTTTCACCATATTGGCCAGGCTGGTCTTGAACTCCTGACCTTGTGATCTGCCCGTCTCAGCCTCCCAGAGTGCTGGGATTACAGGCATGAGCCACTGCTCCCAGCCCACATGAGCCAATTCTTAACAATAAATCTTTATCTGTTTATCTATCTACCGCCTATTGATTCTGCTTCTCTGGAGAACCCTGACTAATACACAGCCACTATATGCATACCCTGCCATCATGTTGGTTATTAAAAAAGAAAGAAAAAAGGAAAAAAGAAAAGAAGGAAGAAAGGGTCACAGGAAGAAAAGAAGAAAGAGACTCTATATCACCAATCTGCTTAAAATGGAAACAGTGACTGTACATAGCTTTCAGGATAATATTCAAATCCCATGAGCATGGCATAAAAATGTCTGAAATCTTCCTTCAATGAATATTTCAATCCTCATCCACTTGACGTCACAATAATATTGAATGCTTTGTAATTCACAGAACACTCCATACTCTCCTTTACCTTAATGCTCTCAAATAGTTTATCTTTATTGCCTAAAATATGCTCCCATAATCTCCTTCTTTAGGCTAACTCATTAATTAATATTGAATCCTAGTGCAACCTACTCCAGCATATCTTCACTGATCCACTTCAACCCCCAAATCTGTCTTAGTGCACTTTCTATCTGTTCCCATTTTGTACCATGTGCTAAACACTGAACTAAATGTTGGGGGAAATATGAAGTCTAAAATATCATTTCTGCTTCCAAGGAACCTACAGTCTAGCATAGCCTGGCATACAAATTTAAGAAATTTATTTGAAATGAGTAGAAGAAAAAAGTGACAGAAAAGTATAAAATGTCATGATTTCTTCCAACATAAATCCAGAAATTTTAAACTGGAAAAAAAGTGACTTGGAATTACAACTTGACATTTATGTTCTCTCATTAGTTTTTTATTCATGTAAAATATAAGCCACTAATTAATTAATTTTCTGTTTTCAGCTTCCTCCTTAAAAGCAAAAAAAAATAAACTTTCAATATGTTACTGGTATATATTAAAATTCTGAAAAATAAACTATTTAAACTTAAAAATCATTGTATCAGTTCTAAATTATTGATTATTGAAGGGTAATAAGAGTACAGATAAGAATTGCAAGTTTATCTCTGAATTACTTTAAAGGAGAGGAATTTACTTTCTGGTTCATGGTTAATTAAAATTTTAAAAGAGAGAAAATAAAATAATTGACCATTAAAAATGGCACTAAAGTAAATTTAAGGCAGGTTAAAGATAAAAACACAATATCTGCAAACTATAGAAAGAAAGGTTGGCAAATGAAATACGTGTGTGGTACTATGGAGGAACCAATTGACGTAACTGAAATTGCTATTTCTCATGTTTCTAAGCATCAAATAGGAGTTGACCTTGTGCTCTCAATAGTCTTTGTCCCTGTCTTCCATTCGAGTTAATGAAGATCTGTATAAATTTGCCAACATGAGCTGGAGCTTAAAGCCCTGGTGTAATTAGTTGATGTATTAATTTGCCAGCTAGACGTGAATTGAACATTACTATGGTGGATTACCATGCCAAACCCTTACAGTAAAAGCCCTAAAGGAAGTAAAGAATATAGGTCATTTCCAGTTTCAAACTACTGACTGAAAATTTAACACAGAAAACAAATCATTTTCTAAGAGGAGAGTAAAGCTTCTTTACCAGCAGAGGATTCAGCATCTAACCGCATAAACAAATATGCTTAAAGAATTACAAGTCAGCATCTTCATTACTATCATAGAAACAAAAGAAAAAAAATGCCAATATTAAAACTATCTCACAACAATTTAATTCAAACATCCAATGTGTTACTGATGTATTATTAAAATTCTGTTTAGCTAAATATTAAGTCTATGAAAAGGGAATACGTGAACTGCATTTACGTTTCATCTTCATGTTTGTATCTTCTTATAATGAAAGTATTATTCTATGTAGATCAGAAATAATAAGTATGTCCATTAACATTATAAACCATAATTTACTTAGATACATGCGAGTCATCCATAAACCCACTGTAAGTTTGAAACATGAATTAAAAACCATAAACACAACTTGGAAAGTACCTTTAGCAGTGAACTTCATAGAAAAAGGGATGAGAAATGTCTCAATCTATTCCTTTGTGTCTTTCTAATTTGCCACTATATCTTCAGTACCCACTTTAATTTTATTCATGCCTGTATTATCACATAGGCATGAATAGAATAGTGCTTCAGACACAGTAGGCACTCACTACATATTTTGGAAAGAATATTTAAGTGAAAGAGGTTAGAGTTCCAGCACTGTTTATAAGAAGCTAATACAATGATACAATTGTGTATTAAACACAGACAGGTGATCCTGTAAATGTGTTGTCTAAACTCATTGCCAGAAATAATTAAATGTTCTATTTCAGGCTATCTAATTAATACACACACCTGGGAAACATACAGTCAAAACTTGTCATACTGGACTGACAAAACTCAACAGGAAAACATTCTTTCCACCTCACCCCAATCCATCAAGCCAAAGACAAAGAACAAAGTAACTAGAAAAAAATAAGCAACTGAACATTTTTCTAGTCAAAGTTTACTAATAGTGTGAAAATCTATTAATAAAGACATGTAAGATATCCATAATAATCAGCTTCAACAAGCCTGTTGATTTTTTCAATTTGGATTAAATTGTTTCCCATGGAGACTATCGCCTGGGGACCCTATTTGAGTTCATAATTCTCACAGGATTCTTACCCTCTTATTTAAGAATAAACAAATTTTGCTTGTAAATAGTCATTTAATTTACAGAGGATTGTGATATCTAGGAAAAGTTGTAGCACTTAAGTAATCCAGCACCATGTTAGATAAATGCTGTTCTAACCCGCAATTTGCCAAAAGGTGAGATTCCACCAAATCATGATTTTGTTCATTCCCTATATCTAAATTTGTTATGGTTTCATTTTTCTCAATTTCTGCATCTATAAGCTGTATCTGCCTAGTGCTAACTTAGGTACAAGGCTCAATCTTGGCTAGATTTATAGAAATAATCCCCTAACACCAAAATTTTCAGAAATTTCATGTCCTACTAATGACTTGAGGAAATATGGCAGGATGTGAGACAGGCAATTGTATAGTTTTTCATTATTATATTGATTCTGTATCCCTTTCTCTTTTCCTCCGTTTTCCTACTATCATTACTTGTAGCAAATAAGTTCTCGGCTTTATAAGTAAATTTTACTGAAGTCAAAGGCAATAGTCATTTTTGTAGCTATTTTTCTCATACCAAGAAATAGGAGTAAAATAACTCTATGTCATAGTTATTCTCAATTTACCATCTCTTCACTCCAAATTTTTTCCAGATATTTCTTTTGCTCATTTCTCTCTGTCTTCTTCTGGTATTCCCATTACACATATGTTACATCTTTTACAGTTGTCCCAAAGGTCTTGGATATTCTGTTCCTTTTCATCAGTCCTTTTCTCTGTTTTTCAGTTTTGGAAGTTTCTATTGACATATCCTCAAGTTCAGAGATTCTTTCCTCAGCCATAGTCAGTCTAAGAAATTAGCCATTTCTGTTAGTATTTTGATCTCTATCATTTCCTTTTTATTCATTCTTAGAATTTCTATCCCTCTGCTTATTGTATCCGTCTGTTCTCACATATTGTCTCCTTTTTTTCTTTAGAATATTTTTCATATCAGTCATAGCTGTTTTAAATTCCTGGTCTGATATTTCTAATACTCCTTCCATATCTGAGCATAGTTCTGAGACTTGCTCTGTCCCTTCACAATGTACATCTTTCATTTTAGTGTCCTTTGTAATTTATTATTGAAAACTAGACAAGATGTATGGCAGTGGTCCCCAACCGTTTTGGCACCAGGGACTGGTTTCACGAAAGACAGTTTTTCCAGGGATGTGATCATCAGGCAGCATTAGATTATCATAAG
Organism: Homo sapiens; assembly: GCF_000001405.40. Taxonomy (NCBI): domain Eukaryota; kingdom Metazoa; phylum Chordata; class Mammalia; order Primates; family Hominidae; genus Homo; species Homo sapiens. The sequence goes on from NC_000004.12 coordinate 66,920,550, forward strand.
GAGCACACAACCTACATCTCTCACATGTGCTTGTCGCAATAGGGTTCGCACTCCTATAAGAATCTAATGTCACGGCTTATCTGACAGGAGGTGGAGCTCAGGTGGTACTGCTTGCTCGCCGGTCGCTCAACTCCTTGCTGTGCCTCCTGGTATCTAACAGGTCACAGACAACTAGTGGGCTGTGGCCCGGGAGTTGGGGGCCACAGATGTATGGGGTAAAAGGAATTGCAGCAAATAGACTTTTAGTAATGCAGTGGTAAGATGTGGGGGGGAGGGCAAGCATCGTATAATATTATGACTAGGACTCAGTCTTAACGAGCCTGTGCCCCTGGACTGTTCACTTCACGTGTTTGTTTTATCATCCCTCCTTCCTCCATGGGACAGGATGGCTAGAGGGGGCTAGAGTTGGGGATATTTCCTCTCCTATGTGAAGGCTAGAGAAGGTGAGAGTTGAGTGTTTTCCTTCTCTCAGTTCAGTTAGGTTCTGGTAAAATCGTTTCTTTTGAGGGCAAGCCTTGTTAAGAACAGAACATTCTCACATATCTCAAATGACTACTTCCACTCCCAAACACCCCGCATCCCGACACTTAGAAACCGGAGAGGATTTTTCTCTGATCTTCACTGTGATAACCTGGTCAAGCAAACTAGAATTCACAAAAATGTAGGCATGTCTCCCTGATACTGGGCTCCTCTGCAGTTTCTAACTCTCAGATTTTCCTGTATTAAGCCTTCAACAATTTGTCAGTTACAGTTTAGGTTTTCTTAGTAAATACCAGCAGTATTTCTCATAGCCGTTTCTGCTTATGGGTTCCTGCTTTGGCAAGTTGTGATTCTCTATGTCCATCTGTCTGTCTCTCCAGTGTTTCAGGCAACAGTTATTCCTGTGATCTCAATTCCCCGATTGATCAAAGAAAAATTGTTGATTTTCAGTTTTTTCAGCGTTTTACTTACGGTTAGGATGGGGTGATGAATTCTAAGGTTCTAACATGTTGGACCAGAACCTGGAATTCTCCCAATCCTTTTTCTACTTTTCTCCCTTTTGCTCTGAATCCTGTGTGGCTGATCTCTGCAGTCTATACCAGCAGCACACTTTGCTGGCTGGTGTCTGCTTCCATTTAGTCATGAGAGTTACAGGCAGGAGATAGGGGAGGAGACAAGAGACAGGAAGGGCTATTTCTTTCCTAGCTCCTTCTTCCTCCGCTTCATTGCAATGCCTCTGGAAATAACTAAATATTTCAGGACCACTGTTTCCGCTCAGCAGTCCTCCACAGTACCAGCCCTCTGGGCTCCAGTAACACCCTCTTTTGGTTGTCCCATCCACTGTAGGGGTAGCAGTAGTTTCTTATTGTTGCAGATCTCTTTGTGTCTCACCATTAATATGTGTTTCCTTCAAGTAATCAGCTCATTTTAACTCTCTTCAATCGAATCACTTGGGATACATTCTGCTTCTAGTTGCAACTATGTAAATAGAAACAGGACACACAAAAATAACCCAACCAAGTGTTGGCTGTTTCTTGACTCTTTGCCATCCCATCTAAGACCTATCAGAGGTATCAGCATGGTATTACTAATAATCTCAAATATTTTAGTAAACAAATTAGGAAAACATTCATGAGTTTAGAGAAATTTAGTCAAAATATTACACATTGTTTTTATCCAGATTTATGAAATGAAACTTTTGAATATAAAGACTTTTGTTTAGGAATAGAGGATGAGTCAATTAGGATTAGAGCTGTGTTCAAATAAAGGAAAGTCTATTTTTCTTTCACGCAAAAGCAAAACTGTAGCTCCCCATAGCAATTCCACATGCATATCTGAGGTTACTATTTGCTCTTCTTTTTAATAAGGAGATGACTGGAGCTGGCTTGGTAGAATGACAAAGATACATGCATTGGCAGGCTCAGTGGCTCACGCCTATAATCCCAGAACTTTGGGAGGCCGAGGCGGGCGATAACCTGAGGTCAGGAGTTCGAGACCAGCCTGGCCAACATGGTGAAACCCTGTCTGTACTAAAAATACAAAAATTAACCGGGCGTGGTGGCATGCACCTATAATCCCAGCTACTTAGGAGGCTGAGGCAGGAGAATCGCTTGAAACCGGGAGGTGGAAGTTGCAGTGAGCCAAGATTGCACCACTGCACTCCAGCCTGGGCGACAGAGGGAGACTGTCTCAAAAAAAAAAAAAAAAAAAAAAAAAAGATACATGGCACCAAAACAGCTCTTGTCAAAATCATTTTCATGTTGCCAAACTCTCTTCATCTTACTTGCCTTGTCTGCAGCCTTCAACAGAGACGAGCACCACTTCCTTCTTGAAATAATCTGTTCTCATGGCTTTCATGGCACCACTTCTTCATCAATTTCTTTTCCTACACTTCCTTTTGTGATTCAGCCTCATTTGCTAGTTCTTGCTCCTCAACGATGGGAAGCCCTTGATCCTGGACTTTCTTCTCTTTTTCTGTTAGAGTCCTCCTTCAGTGAATGTATTCATTTCCAATTTCTAAACAAACTCATTCACTGAGATCAGATTTGTAGATTTAATCTCTTTGTTTACCTTCTATATCTCAAACCTAACAGGCCTCCAATAGTTTTTTATTCTTCCCTTCTTAAAACCTATCCCTCAATATTCTCACAATTTTGTGATTTCATTTGACAGCCTAATGTTTAATTCACCCTTGGTTCCTCTTTTCAGGTTTCACTCTCTTTGTGCCACACCCTACACATCAATTTCTATTTATGATTCTGATTCTAAAACATATCTCAATTGCCTGCTCTTCTATCTCCAGTGACACCTCCCTGGTATAGACTACTGATGTCTCTGGCCTGAGTTTCAGCAAATGCTTTAAATGAAATCTACACTTCTGTTCTTATTCTTCTCAAATTTATTTTCCACAGAGTAGAAGGAATGTTCCTAAAACACAAATTGGATAATGTTACTTCCCTTTAATGTCTTTGCATTGCACTTAGCATTAAAGCCCAAAGTTTTCTCTATGGTCTGTAGGACAAACCTATCTATTCTAGTCATTATTCTGTCTTCAGTCTTCAACCCCCTAGCATTTCACTTTGTTTTTTCCACTTCAGCTACATGCTTCTCTCTGTAGCTGAAACATTCCAAGCTCTTTCCAAGCTTAAATTCTTTGAACATGATGCTTTTTCTATCAGAAATGCTTTCCCTTTCTCTTTGCATTACCAGTTCCATTTTATCAATCTTTGTTGAAATGTCACTGCCAAAGATAGGTCTTTCTTATCCCTGTCTAAAGTCAGTGTCACCTGCTAATAAAGAAGAATAAAACATTCTTTTCATTGTCTTCCATCACAGTACCACATTTATTTTCTTAATGGCCCTTGATCATAATTTACAATTCATTAAAAACGTTTTGGTTTCCGCATTTTAATTGTGTTTACTCCACTAGAATGTGACCAAAAAAAGCAAGAGAGCATGTCTATTTTGTACACTCTTTAAGCCATAATAGAATGACTAACCTTAGAAGCTCATAATTAAATATTTCAGAATGAATTTTCAATATTTAGACACCTATTCTTTCCCTTTGTTTTAATGTGTGTATGTATTAATCTGTTATCTTGTATTTTTCATGTTAAATAACTGTTTTTAACCTTCTCCCTCAGAAAAATCTACTCAGTGCTGGCACCAACATAACTATTTTCTACCTTGCTACTCACTCAGTATGATGACTAGTATATTTGGTGAAAAAGTTTAGGGCAACTGGCTTTGAGGAGATTGGAATAACTTCCTTTGACCATTGTTTCTTCTTCCAATAAGTGCAGCCCGTTGAAGTTATAAAATATGCACAAATCACACTTAAATACAAAGTTTTGTTCTAATCTATATCTGATAAATCATTTTTTCTTAAACAGGCAGCCTTCTGTAATCTCATGTTCAACCAACCATGGATTGAAAATATTTAAAAATATAAAAAAACAATAAAAATCATATAAATAAAAAATACGATGTAACAACTATTTACATAGTATTTACATATATTAGGTATTATAAGTAGTCTAGAGATGATTTAAGGTACACAAGAGGATGTGTGTAGGTTATATGCAAATACTACATCATTTTATGTATGGCACTTGGACATTCACTGATTTTGGTAATCACTAGGGTCCTGGAACCAATCCCCCACAGATAACAAGGAACAACTGCACTATGTTTTCTAAATAACTCACTTAAAATATTTTAAGAACCTGTAATGATGTAAGAATATGTTCTTTAGTGCATTCTCATTACAGAAGATAACAATAAAATTAATTTGCTTCCTTAAGTATAGGGGGTTTATATCAATGAATTTATACTATAAAGCTACAAGCCTGATGGAATTCTGACATAATAATATATATTTCATCTAAAGATAGCTGATATTAGCAAGAAAAGATAGACAAGGAAATCATAAGACACCAGAGTATCTTAAAATTAAAATGGTACCAACCACTAATGAATTTTTTGGTTAGGAATTAGTTACTAATTAAAAGATCTTGTATGCTGCATCAACAGTGGAAAGGGAAGGCTTAGGAATGCAGAATTAATCAAAACAGACAGATTTGATCACTTTTGGCAAAAAAAAATAATTAAAGGAAAAGGAAATAAGTATTTCCTAAGCAATGATAGATTCTTATTTTTGTAACAGATACTTCTAGATAGAGTCCAATGTCATTTGTAAGATCTCCAACAGTGTTAGTCCCCCGAATAATCCATAACCTTAGAGCCTACAATAGAAGTCAACTACACATCATCTTCTTCCATTTCAGTTTCTACCTGTAACTCAGATATTCAACAGCCAAAAATTTCAGTAGCTTCAGATACCCCTGACCTAAAGGACCATTAAGATTGCCAGGGAAAATACAAGATTACCCATTTATTTTGAACTATATTATTTGAAAGTAATATTCTGTAAACTTCAAAGCAGCAGCAAACAATTGAAAGAGTTCCTAGTGTTAGTATAATTCACTGATAGTTGTTACAGGTTATGGTATGCATTTCTAGGCACTCCACGGCTCTAAGAAAAATGCTGAACATAATTGATGATAAAAAATTGCATAATCGATAATTAGAAAATCTCAGGTTTTATCTAAGGCATTTAATACAAAGTAGTTCAACTTTGAATATGCTGTATCATGTAGATTCCTTTAAAAAAAAGTCAATCCAAACTTTAACTTAAGTAACCATTATAAGGGTACTACCTATATTTTGATGGATGTATATCTGATGAATAGTATTGCAACTTTAGCTCTGTAATATCAGGTGAGGTAAACCAGATGAGTTTCACTCCAAGTAAATTTTACCCCCAAATCTAGAGTTCATGATTCTAACATCTAATTGAAGTCATAATGGCCAACATGCTTCTCTCCCCAAGGAGTACCTTTATGTTGAATTGTGTCTGACAAAAACCATCTGAGCATTATTTTTATTTGAATTATTAGCATCTTTTGTTTAATGGTTCATTATTTACCTAAAAACATTACTTTAAAAAAGGTAATAGGAGAGGTACTTTTTTAGTACAGAATTAGTTTTCACTAACATATAAGGTCACATTGTACATTACGTGCATCATTCTCACAAGTACATTTCAGTAGTTTAAAGTACATCTTATCCAATAAAATTTATTTTGCAATATTTTATATCATGTAAAGTTCTAATAAAATTAAGCTTTAGTCCACATTTCTCAATATAATGTCTAGATGAAAAATGTATGAAACAATCATTGCTTGCATATTAATAATTTCTACAGGCCGGGTGCGGTGGCTCACGCCTGCAATCCCAGCACTTTGGGAGCCCAAGGCGGGCGGATCACGAGGTCAAGAGATTGAGAACATCCTGGCCCACATGGTGAAACCGCATCTCTACTGAAAATACAAAACTTAGCTGGGTGTGGTGGCACATGCCTGTAGTCCCAGCTACTCAGGAGGCTGAGACAGGAGAATCGCTTGAACCTGGGAGACAGAGGTTGCAGTGAGCTGAAATCGTGCCACTGCTCTCCAGCCTGGCAACAGAGAGAGATTTCGTCTCAAAATAAATAAATAAATAATAATCATAACAACTTCTACAAGGTGAGGAACAAAAACAGGAACTTAAAAAGCAGAAGGAACTAGTATCAGAAACAACTATGATCATTTGCTAAAATATACAATTGTCCTAATTATGAATTATTGTAGTTAAGTCAAGATTTTACTTGATTAGAACCATCACTTTGCAATAAATGAGAGATGATAAATTTACAGATACTGAGGGTTAGGACTTCAACATCTATTTGGGCAACACAATTCAACCCATAACATCTCCTTAACATCAACAGGATCTTGGGAATCCTGAAGTCCTATACTCTGCCTCCAGCTGGAGTTTCATGGTAATGCTCCAAAGTGCGGCCCCCTCTAAAAAGCATTTGCCCTGGAACAGTGGTTCCCACACATAGCGGATCATCAAAATTGTTGGACAGTATTTACAAAATACACATACCGGTATCCTCTAATCTCAATTAGAGGATCTTAATGATTATGTATGAGGAAGAAAACTGGCAAAATCATTTTTTAAAAATTCCCCCAGACTCTTCTAATAGTCAATTTGATATGGGAATCACCTGATTCCAAATTATACTCCTCTGAATATGTAAATATAGTCTACCGGAGTGGAAGAAAAAATTTCAGAATTTCTATTTCTATTCATTCTACTGTAGATTTTTAAATGTCTGTTTATATGTATTTTTCACAAGGTAATTTATATTACAACAGTAATCACATATTACATATATGAAGGAAGGTATATAATTTATAAATTAAGGTATATTTAGGATGCATACATTCAAAGCCTTTTACCAATAGACTGCAAGCCTAGGCTTTTGGGTCCCATTGTCCTGAAGGGTACTGAGATAGACAATTATCTTGTCTTCTCTACCATGCATGTATTCACAAAAACAAACACAATGATGAGGATGGCAGTGATGAGCAAGATCCCCATTGGACTTATAATAAAAACATGTTTATGGGACCTTAAAATACATAACTTTGTACTTATTATGGGGCTTTTAATTTGTACCAATAAAACATTCTATATACCATCCACATTATATAATGTGGACATTCATTGCTAAACAATGGATGAACTGTATGCATAAATCTGCATATACATAAATCAGTGCTCCTTTGTGTATTTTAAAGTGAGAGAAATACATTAAGATGGGGATTTTTTATTTTAAAAAAGAAGTAGAAATATAAACCCCAAAAATAAAACAATATATAGCTTGAAGAAGGAAAAAAAAAAAAAGAAAGGAGAAGAAAAAAGAAAAGGGGCAAAGGAAGATTCTTTTAAATACAAGGAACATAAAAAGATTTCAGGTATTAAATTAGAATGAAAATACCTTCCCTATAAACAATATAAGTGCTGCCAATTGTGCTGAGAGAGAATGAGGTGGAATTGATTGTGCCAGAATTAGATAAAGCACTAGCTAAACAAAGAGCTTCTGGCATCCTGAGGAAGGAGCCAGAATGTACAAAAAAAGATCAGTTCAGTGGCAGTCAGCCATTAGATACCAATGAAGCTAATCCACACCGCTAACTTGTGAACGAAGTAGATTTTCCTCCTTGTCTGTTCTCACAAACAATCATTAATTTTAAGTGCAGCTTAGGCAGGTGCTCAGAGAGTCCCTACTGTTTTGACATTATGTTGGAGGATTTCCAAGCAGCAAGCTGGTATAGTCCTTGAGTCCCTTCCACTTCGCTGCTTCTGAAATTCACTTGCACCTACAGACAGCCAGTCTCCTACCCATAACATTCAGGGGTAGACTAGCTGGCCTGGCATCTAGGGAGGTTCATTTTCAAAAATTTAAAGCCAAGACGTCTATCAACATATTCAGCAAACGGCAGTAGGAGCATCTAGTCATTGATATAAACTGTCTAGGATAAGTCTGCTAGGGTAATATGATTGCTGATCATACTACCTTGATTAATATGATTGTTGATTGTGTTATATGTTGATCATATAACAGTAGCCTGTTAGATCAGCTTCTGTGGAACGAATTTCTGACATCTTTATGTCCAAGGAGATGTACTATGTAATGTGACTCACTGCCCTTACGACCAATGCAAATGATCTATAAATTTATACTGGACTTAATATACAGAAAGCATTGAAAAGGAAAATAATTCAACTTTTCCCCGATCTAAACTTTTAGCATTTTAGTTCCCATTCTACATTCTATAGTGCACGAGACTGGATGTCCACTTACTTTTCTCACCCACTTTGCCTTTTTTAGGGAAGGCAAATAAAAAATAAAAAAGGAAAAGGTTAGAAGCTGTTTCATCTACCTCTTTTCTACCCATCTGAAAGTCTTGAATAAACAGAAATTATTCCTATGAAGAGCAATAATCCATTTATTAATGCTTATAGTTAAATAAATGCAGATGTCACAAAGGAATTATAAAACCTAGGTGAAATGTGTTCCCATTGTGCATATTGCACTCACTCACCCCCTAAGGTTTATAGACTAGTACCTGTCTTGGTGACAGATCCTCCATGGCCACTGCAAGCTTTCTAGGTGGTGAGCAGAGAGTGCAGCCACATGAGGAACCATCTGTAACATAAAGACATCTGCCAACTCTCTCCTCAAGATTTGGTGAGGACCAATGACAGTGTATAGAGCAATTCAATTTCCTTGGAAAGAAAGACCTGTGAAGTAAGAGTACATTTATTGTCCCTTGGTGTTAGCAGGTAGCTGCCTCCTACCTACCCTATGTGGATATGCCTACAGATGCATAGATAGAATAGGTGGATTGCCTACTAACATGGAAGATTAAATGACAAGGTTAGAAACAAAAACCAAGCACTATTGTCTCCTAATGCAGGTAATGTGTCTTCAGTTCACCAGAGGAAAGAGACGGATGTATCAAGGTATAGAAAGCTTGAATTCCTTCTCTAAATTTCACATACTGAGAAATCTTATCAGTTATAAAATCTACCGGATAAAAATCATCTGGTAAATGGATAATATATTTAAAAAGGAAAAAAAACTTGAGAAATTAGAAGTCACTGAAGAGAACAATTACATTTCACTTTTAAGACATCTATTAGAAAATAAAATATAAGCCAAAAATTGATAAAGAAAAATTACTTCAATTTCAGCTAGAACCCAGACTACATTCTTTTATAAGCTTTGAGACTATCACATTTAAAGATAAAGTTATATTCTTTGAAATGGAAACTTGAGGAATTGTGAATGCAATTGGCCCTCTGAGTTTAAGACATTCATGTCTTGAATTTTAATTCCAATTTTACAGCTTGCAAGCTAATGCCATAATGGACATGTTTTCCTCTCTATTTAGAAGGGAGGAGGAAAGGGAAAACTACATATGGCATCACTGGAAACAAGCCAAGTGGCAGGGTGCTGGGGAAGGAATTGGCAGCCACACCATCTGAGAGATCAAACTGGCGACAACTTTTGTTGCATTTCAAAAATAAGATGTGGCATAGTATGACAAGTACAAACTTTTTAACAAAAGCAGTGAAAATCATTTCACTCCCTCCCTTTTTTTTGCAATTATCATTCTAGCTTTCTAAATGTTCCCATTTGATTTCAGCTACATTGCTATTTTGGTATAAATGTCAAGAAAGTCTTAAAGACTATATTTTTCTAATCTTGGAAGATGCATCAACTTTTTTTGAGAAAACAAGCTTCTAAAAAACAAAGAGAATTTGGAGGTGACTTCTGCATGATTAAAAATGGAAAATATCAGAAGGAATCATTGCTAAAGAAAACCAAACTGGCTATTTAAATTGTTAGCATTCTACAAGGCCTATAATCTAGTCCATGATACTTGAACATAATGGCCCCTTTTATGTGAGGTCCTTGGAGCATCTCCAAAGCAGTCATCTCTTTAATCTCCAAACTATTGCTGCAATATAGAAAAGAAGGGCTGTCTATCAAAGCCCCATTTTCTAGATAGTAAACTCTCAAGTGCAAGAAATGTAAGTCTTATTTGATCTATTAAAAAAAGAAATGGGTGTTGGATCTGAACTGTGTGAGCTCAGATTGTTACATATGGCCTTATCCTCTAACTCTTCACATTTCCATCCATGGATGGATGGGGAAAACTTATACTTCCCTCCCCAGGAAGGAAATGTGTTGGAGGAAATGTATCTAGTTACTTTCTCCCCTCCCATTCTTTCATTCAGTCTTTCCCTAGAGAGGAGGAATGGCTCATTTTAGGAGAAAGGCCCTGAGCAGGTGTAGATCAACCCCTCTGGGTGCACTCTCTGATCTAGCCCCCCTCTCAATACAAACACTCTTCTCTGTTCCAAGTTATATTTCCATCAGGACAGGCTCTGCCTAGAAAGGACAGAACCCTGGAGTTTAAGGTGGAAAAATTGATTCAGTTGGGGAAAGAATAGGAATTCTGATTTTGGTTGCAAATTTAAGCAGAATCTCCTAATCTAGCTTTATTAGTAATGAAGCTGTTGTTCTGGTCCTTTACTAAGGTCCTTTACTAAGAAGAATTATGGGTAGCACTTTATACACCTCCATCAATATGTCCTGTCATTTGGTTTAAATCAATCCATAAAAAGATGCCCAGTCCACAAGACTTAATCTGTGAAAAAGATGCTAGTAATGACAATGGTGATAATAAGTAGCATACTTTGACACTTACCACATGCCTACTCTGTTACCCATAGTTGATTTACATATAATAACTAACTAGATTCTCATACAAATCTATGAGATATAAACTATTATTATAATACAGATAATAAACTGAAGCAATCCAGGCTTAATTATCCCTTCAAAGTCACACAGCAAAGTCTGTTCCCTCCATCATCTTTATTGTCACTAATAACATCGGACATTATCTAACTCTCATCTTCAAATTGTCAAGTCATTTTATAATAAGCATTATTTATATTTTTAAAAATCTGTTCACTTTGACTACTTAGCATGTTGTATTTATGTATCTTTTTTATGGTTGTTTTTTATCTTTTGTTGTTTTTATCTTTAAACATGATAGTCTCAAAGCTTATAAAAGAATGTAATCTGGGTTCAAGCTGAAATTGAAGTAATTTTTCTTTATCAATTTTTGATTTATTATGTTATTTTCTAATAGATGTCTTAAAAGTGAAATGTAATTGTTCTCTTCAGTGACTTCTAATTTCTCAAATTTTTTTCCTTTTTATATATATTATCCACTTACTGGATGATTTTTATCTGGTAGATTTTATAACTTAAGATTTCTCAGTATGTGAAATTTAGAGAAGGAATTCAAGCTTTCTGTACCTTGATACATCCATCTCTCTCCTCTGGTGAACTGAGCATCCATTACCTGCATTAGGAGACAATAGTGTTTGCTTTTTGTTTCTAACCTTGTCATTTAATCTTCCATGTTAGTAGGCAATCCACCTACTCTATCTATGTGTCAATAGGTATATCCACATAGGGTAAGTAGGAGGCAGCTACCTGCTAACACCAAGGGACAATAAATGTACTCTTACTTCACAGGTCTTTCTTTCCAAGGAAATTGAATTGCTCTATACACTGTCATTGGTCCTCACCAAATCTTGAGGAGAGAGTTGGCAGATGTCTTTATGTCACAGATGGTTCCTCATGTGGCTGCACTCTCTGCTCACCATCTAGAAAGCTTGCAGTGGCCATGGAGGATCTGTCACCAAGACAGTTGCTAGTTGTTTTTTATGGTGATTGTATTAGTTCATTCTCAAATTGCTACAAAGAACTACCCGAGTTAACGGGTGCAGCACACCAACATGGCACATGTATACATATGTAACAAACCTGCACGTTTTGCACATGTACCCTAGAACTTAAAGTATAATTTTAAAAAGATAAAAAAGAATAAAAATAAATAAATAAAATGTTTTTAAAAAGTGAAAAAAAAAAAAAGAACTATCTGAGACTGGATAGTTTATAAAGAAAAGAGGCTTTTAAGTGGCTTACAGTTCCATGGGCTGTATAGGAAGCATGGCTGGGGAGGCCTCAGGAAATTTACAAGGCAAAGGGAAGCAAGCACGTCTTACATGGCCAGAGAAAGAGTAAGAGAGCAAAATTGGAGGTGCTACACACATTTAAACCACCAGATCTGGTGACAACTCAGTCACTGTTATGAGAACAGCAAATGGGTTGTCCAAACCCTTGATTCAATCACCTCCTACCAGGCCCCTTCTCCAACACTGAAGATTACAATTCGACATGAAATTTGGGTGGGGAAACAAATCCAAACCATATCAGTGATTTTCAAAAAAAAAAAAAAAAGGTAAATAACAACAATAAAGATAATACCTGAAATTTTTGTCCAGGAGCTATATTAAGCACTTATGTCATCTGATATAATCTTCAAAGCAATCAAATGAGGTAGTGGTGTTATATCCCTATTTTACAGATGAAGTTTCAATTTGTTTTCAACATGAAAATATTTGCTATCAAAATATCTTTAAGTAGGCCTTTAATCCCAGCACTTCGGGAGGCCAAGGCAGGAATATCACTTAAGGCCAGGAGTTTGAGACCAGCCTGGGTAACATAGCAAGATCTTGTCTCTACAAAAAAATTTAAAAACAGTTGATCATGGTGGTGCACACCTGTAGTCCTAGCTACTCAAAAGTTTAAGACACGCGGATTGCTTGAGCCCAGGAGTTCTGGGCTGCAGGAAGCTGACTACGCCACTGTACTCCAACCTGGGTGACAGATCAAGACTCTGTCTCTTAAACATGAATAAATAAAAACAAAATTAATTTTATGTATTGGTCAGTCTGTAATGCTTCAGAAAATTAACCCATACAAAATTTTAAGAAAACATATCTTTATATTAAACCACTTAATATAATAAATGCATTAATTATCTTTATATCTCAAATCATAATGTATTTTTGCTTTTTGCATATTTAAATCATGAGTCTGATCATAACTTTCTAGTTTTGATGGAACTGGGGGAAATTTGAAAGACAAGGTAACTAATGTGTTTTACTTATATTTCACAATAAAAAAATCCCAAAGCCAAGCTTATGTCACCTATTTGCAAGCTCTGAACTCACCCTCAAAACCTTCTTGGATGTTTTTGCTTAAGAAAAATGTAGCTGACAAGCTAAGTGTGGTGGCTCACGCCTGTAATCCCAGCACTTAGGAATGATGAGGTGGGTGGATCACTTGAGGTCAGGAGTTGGGGAGCAGCCTGGCCAACAGGGTGAAACCCTGTCTCTACTAAAAATACAAAAATTAGCTGGGGGTGGTGGTGCATGCCTGTAATCCCAGCTACTTGGGAGGCTGAGGCAGGAGAATTGCTTGAACCTGGCAGGTGGAGGATGCAGTGAGCCGAGATTGTGCTACTGTATTCCAGCCTGGGCAATAGAGCAAGACTCTGTCTCAAAAAAAAAAAAAAAAAAAACCAGAAAAGAAAAATGTAGTTGACTTCTTTAGCATAGTAGTTTGGATAATTCTGTCATTAAAATATCCTTCTGCTTTTTCCAGAATAAATAATCATCACAATTAATTTTTCTTTTCTACCATTTTTATACATCGCCTTCTAAATGAACCATTCTGTCTGAAAGGTTCATTAGCAACATCTAAAAGCTCTACTGATCATTAAATGGCAAGGTAGAATTACCAACAAGGAGGCCCTGGAATAGAGCCAGCCAAACTGCATTGAAACTTGATAAAATACAGCCACCTTTCTATGCCTTGCACATAATTGGAGCCCAACAAATATGGGCTGATTTGTTGATCCACTGAGTTGGATCGGTGGGGAGCATGGATGTGCACAGGATATTCAAGCAGTTCATGGATGATGAGTGAAGTAGGGTACCTACAAATGGGGAGATTAGAAACAAAATGTTTTTAAAGATATCCTGAAGCAAAACTTCAAACACTCTGTCATGGCTATGGACCACTGAGAAACCCACACAGCAGATGGCTCAATCTAATGCCCGGCTAAAATGAAATGGCTGCTTTCACAAAAGTACCAACTTCCCTCCAATGGGAAGAAACAGCTTCAAATGTAGGGCAGTCTGCATTTGTATAGGGTAGGGAAAGGGCTGCAACACACAAAAGAAACATTTTCAACTCAAATGTCATTAAAATAAGCAGTTTCTCTAAATTTCTCTCTGCCTCTTTTACTAAACTTATTTATATAAATGCCTTACTTTATCACTCAAGTCATCAGTAATATCATAGTACACAAATATATTATAGCATAATAAAAAGGACATATATTGAAAAACCTATTCCATAATTCTATCTGGTAAAATGTCATATAGATAGGCTCATCACTTTTTCTAGCCTACTTATTTTTTTTAAATCCATATATCTGCTTCATTTACATTTTTACATTAATCCAATTATTTCAAAATTGTTGACTATCCGTTATCTACAATAATTGAAATCTAGAGTTAAGCATATTTACATTGCCTGTATCACTCATACTTCCTAATTTTTTCCATGAAGTTCTCAACTAAATATTTGGATTTCAAATAAAAATAATTTAATATCACAAAAATTGTCACTAAGGCAGAATTATTAAGTAGGAACTCTCAGCAGAATCTCATTTTATCTTTCAGGTTTTTTCTTCCACTTTTCATGTCAATGCCTTTTTTATGTCAGAAATTCTTTCCACCCCCATTGCCCTCATGTTTTCACCACCCTCTTTTTACCAAAACTTTTCTTGCTATGAAACCAACTGAATGATGACATGGGAGGGTCATGGTAGCTCCTCCCTTCCCACGAGTGCCAGCCTGAGAGAAAAGTCAGGAGAGCTGAACACAGCAGGAGAGAAGGAAGTCCAAGGAACCAGAGCAGGAACATTATTTTAGAACCAGGCTGGAAGTGATGCCTGATTCCTGGTGCACACTACTGCAGAGGCCACAGTGCGCTTGCTGGGCATCCTCAGGGACCATATTGGAAAGAAACTAGTAAAGTAAATTATACTAATGTGTGATTGAGTTATAATAACTATATCTTTTACACCTCCAAAGGTTAGATAGACTTCAAAGGGGACAAAGTAGTTGGGGTTAAAGTTCGAGAAATTCAAAGAACATCTTTTGGTTTTCCTGAGGGGAAAGTGTTATATTTCAACACTCCTGGCTCCTTGCCTCCACTCTACTCCTCTCCATAGGAACAGAATATGGTACCTGGTGAGTTGGTCATGGGCATTATTCCAGTCTTTTCAACTGGGTAGAATAAGTTCTAGATATCTTCTGTAAAATATAGTACCTGTAGTTAACAGGATGTTATAGTACACTTAAAAAATTGTTAAAAGGGTAGATCTCATGTTAAGTGTTCTTACCACAAACACATACACAGGCATACACACACACACACACACACACACACACACACACTGGGACTTTTGGAGGCGATGGTATATGCATATGTTCAAACTTATTAATGGTATACATTAAACATATATTTTTGGTATATCAATTATACCTCAATAAAGCTGTTAAAAAAGAATAATGAAACAATCATGTGAAAAGTAAAGAAAAATATTACCTATTAAGGACTGAAAATTAACAAATTAAGAGACATGTCCCAAGAGCTAATTCTTTGAACACATCAATAAAACAGACTGATAGTGTTCATTAGTAAGAGAGAGAGAAAAAGAGGTAGAGAATGAGGGTATAAGAGATTGGCTTTGGAATTAAAATATTGGAAAAGATATTACAGCATATATCATAAAATACAGACTCTCAGGAAATTAACATAAAATTTTTAAGTAAAAATAATGTAAGAAGCTTTATCACATGATACATCAAATTTAAATAATAAATAAAGCAAATGTATAAAATAATTTATTATATTAGTGAGAAAACTGAGTTTAAGTATTAGTGATATTGAGAATATCAAAAAATAGAATGGTAGGTTCTCGTATGACATTTTATTCCTAAATAAATTTAAAATGGGTTAAATATTTAAATAAAGAACCATAAATGTATCAGAATGAGAAATGACTTTTAAATACTTATTTCGAGGTAAAAAATACAGAACATTTGATATTTTAGACTACATAAAAATTGAAAATATTTGTAAAGCAAAAACTATCAGAAACCAGGCCAGGCGCAGTGGCTCACACCTGTAATCCCAGAACTCTAGGAGGCCGAGGTGGGCAGATCACTTGAGGTCAGGAGTTCGAGACCAGCCTGGCCAACATGGTGAAACCCTGTCTTTCCTAAAAATACAAAAATCAGCTGGGTGTGATGGTGCGTGCCTATAGTCTCAGCTACTTGGGAAGCTGAGCCAGAAGAATCGCTTGAACCTGGGAGGCAGAGGTTGCAGTGAGCTGAGATCATGCCACTGCACTCTAGCCTGGGCAACAGAGCAATACAAAAAATTGAGGGCAATAAGTGTCAAAATAGGTGATGGACCAGATAGTTGATCTATTACTTTAGGAAGTAAAATATATTTTCTCCATACAAGTAAATGTGTATCCAAGACCCACTTTCTTGTCAGCTCCTATATTACCAGACTAGGGAAACAAAAGGTATCTTGAATATTAGGAAGTTGGACCTTGCTTCTCCCCTAAAGCCAAAGAAGAAAGGTCTGAGAGAATCAATTGAAGAAATTGGCATCTTAATCCTTAGTTGAAGGTCTTCTTATGAAGCAAACTGAATGATCTGCACACCAGAGTATTTAAGCAGGAAAGGAAATGAGAAGTTGAGAGAGAAAGTTGGATGGAAGAAGGGACAGAGCATTGGTAAATTTGTTGTGGAGAAAGTAGACATTATAGAAAATAGCAAGGCTTGAAATATTGTGTTTGTCTCAAATCGTGAAAGCAGGTTACCAGGCAAGGGGAATCCCAAAACATAGGGCTATATTGACGATCAGAAGGAGAAACTGAAGTGTGTTTGAAAAAGTTAGCAGGAAGGAGGTCTCCTGTAGTAGTCCATTCTACACTGTTATAAAGAACTTCACTCAGACTGGGTAATTTATAAAGTAAAGAGGTTTAATTGACTTACAGTTCCACATGGCTGGGGAGGCCTCAGGAAACTTACAATCATAGTAGAGGGGGAAACAGGCACGTACTTCTCATAGCAGCAGGAGAGAGAGAAGTGCAAGCAGGGGAAATGCCAGATGCTTATAAAACCATCAGATCGATTGAGAACTCACTATCATGAGAACATCATGGGGCAAACCGACCCCATGATCCAATTGCCTCACACAAGGTCCATCCCTAGACATGTGGGGATTATGGGTATTACAATTTGAGATGAGATTTGGGTGGGGACACAGAGCCAAACCATATAAACTCCCGTGTCTAGGAACTGAACACCGAGGAGATCTCCTATTGGGATCACATGAGCACCCCAAGAGAAGCAACGTATGGAAGCCTGCCACACAAGAGAAGCAATAGCTAGCCAATGTTAGCCAAGAGATAACCTAACCAGAACATCTTTCTCTCTCTCTCTTTCTGGCTTCCATTCTATAAGATAAAAAAGAGAGGCATGGAGAAAATAAATTTGGAATAGATATATTAGGAGCAGACTTGGTCTTATCCCTACTTCAAGTTCCATAAGAGAAGAACTAGCTAGTACTAAGATAAGAGGAAATGTGCAATAAATTGGATATGCAATTGTACTTTTAAAAACTGGACTTGAATTGACTGGACTTTAAAAAAAATAACTGAAAATAATGAGGAAGTTGAGGAACTAGTCAAGATGTCCCTAAGGAATGGAAAAGGGAAATCTGAGAGAGCATAGAAAAAGATAGTTTGATCCCACAAACTTCAGACTGTTCAATAAGCCTGTTATATGTACCATGGTTCCTAAAATAGTCCATTCCTCTTCACATAGAAATTTCATTTTTGGAATTTATCTGTGGTGACACAAAGAATCGTATTGTCAAATCTGACGCTAGAAATCATAGATTTTACCCAATATGAAACTTCACCAATGATTTAAAGAACACAGGTGAAGAATTCTTTCCTTGATGTGATCTGAAACCTTAAGATGCAGCTTCCAATAAAAAAGGACTTTTTTCCTACCACAATAAGACATCATTTGTCTCCAGGTTAATAGATGAAGCAGTGGAGCAATGTACATATTGCTCACACAGAAGCCATTTGGGCTACCTCACATAGTTACATGTTGTCCATGACCTTCCTCAGCTAGCCAGCCACCATAAATCTATAAATACCAGTTGCATTTACAATAAGCAACGTCAACACAATATTTTTCCCCATGAAAAATCTTCATAGATAAGAAATTACCATTATCCTTCTGCTAGTAAAAAAATAATTATTGGGTTTACTGGTAATTCGTATGTTTACCAAGAGGTAGTTTGCATGTTTGACAGTAGAATTAATACAGTCATTCTTTCTTCCTGGACATCCCTGAGAGAGAGAATAGGGTACAGAACTACTGCAAACCCTTTTCTTCCTAAACCATAGTAAAATAATTGGGTAAAATTGCACCTATTTAGGTATAAGGATGTTTTATTCAAGTAATTATAAATAACCCAAATAAGTAAGAAATGAAATTTCTTCAAATAAATTGTTCATACATTCATATTATACAATATTCTATAGTCACTATGAATGATAACATGTAGAGATATATTTTTGGACATAAAATTATGGCTATGAATGAGAGTTTAGTGAAAAGGTATGTTACAATACAATATACACAGCATGATACAGGATGATATGAGTTTATTAGCACTCAAACACGCATATAGAAAAAAACTACAATGCTTCAGAAAATATATTAACAAAGTTTACGTATAACATTCATCCAGTCAAATAGATTTGATTCTAAACTTTAGCTCCTTATAGTTTTATAGATACATAAAGACACATCAAACCCAAAATAGTCTACCCCCCTTATGTATATATGACCTAAAGAAATTTTCTTAACCTTACAACTTTTTGCAAAAATATCTGAAAATCATTATAACCCTCCTGCCTTGCCCAGGCTTTGTTATATATGGCTCCTCTCTTTTCCAACATTTCCCTATTCATACATATATAATAGCACATATCATATGTATGTTTATTATTTTGCTTGTCTCTTCTACTAAGCTGGAAATTCTCTTAGGCAGGAGCTACCTCTATCATCTTGATAATCTATCACAACACATGACATACACAATCTATTATAAACAAAATTTTTTTTCCAGTCTGGAAAGGAAGAAGAAAGAAGATAAAGAGAGAGAGAGAACTACAGGACATTATACTGTGTATTATGGGATGCAGTACTTATCTGCAGTCTTAAAAATTTAGGTTGGAAAAATAAGACACGGCTATAATTTGATTTCCAAATTATGGGACAGAGTTCCTACAGGGTCAGAGTAACTGTTAACCAGACTCTTCTTTTTCTTTCCCCTTCTTATCTTGCTCCTGACCCAGTCACTCCAGGGGAGGAGGACTACACCCATTACATGTTTGTTCTCCAAGGACAGAAACCCAACTAAGAGTAGTTTAAACCAACAGAGGTTTATTATTCACACATTACAGGAAGTCTGAAGGTTAACAGCGACTGGCATTTATTCCTTTTTTCAACATCAACAAGAAACCAAAATCTTTCTATTTTTATGCTGTTCTGACCTTAGCCCATTGGTTTGGGGCCTTACAGCTGCATGATAACTGCTGAACTTTGAATACTATAGCTACAATTCAGGGAGGAAGAGGTAAAAGGAACAGAGGTAAAGGGGTATTCTAGGTGAATAGATTACATTTTATCAAGAATTTAAAAGCATTCTGGGAACTTCTACCCAGCTGACAGACATTAATAATTCACTGGACAGAAGAAGGGTCATAAAACCATAGCTGGGTGGAAAGAAGCTAGAAGGAAGAGCATTGTATTGGCCAGAAAACATGGCAGCTACAGTTTTTTAAGTTGGTTAGTTATTGCCTGGAACATTTCATGGACTATAAATATTGGTGGGCCGTGGTATCACGCTTTAAAAGTTACAAACACATATTAAGCTTCTTCTCTTGAAATCAGTGATTCTTACTTCCATGTAATAAGCAGACTTGGCCAGGACAGGTTTCCTCTATTTGTGCCCAACCATGCCTCTCTCTTCTCCACCTCCTTTATTTCATGTAGTTCTGTGAGTAAGCTAGCTTAAGACCTGCCCCTTGACAAACCATACAAGTTGCCCCATCTTTACCTTGTTTCTTACATGTTGCTAGCCAAAGAAAACCAATTTTTAAGATTCCATTAAGGAGGATGAGGAATGCTAGGAGATCCACTTAAACTTGAGCACAACTCTCTTTGTTCTTCCAACCTTTAGCAACATTTTCATTGGCGATAAGAGGTAAAATATCACTCATAAAGAAAGTGGTATTTCCATTTTCTTTTTTATGATTTTCAGGAATCCTGTGAGCAGCAAGGAAAAACTGGCAAGTTTCAACAATTTTCATATGTTCTCTTTATAATATCAGCAATTTCCTTCGCACCCCAATTTCTAACAGACCCATGATAGGCATGCAGCAATTAGATCCATGAATGCGCAGGCATGTTTGAATATTCTCAACTAACAGACAGTAAATATTCAACTATTTACAACACAAGCTATTTAAAGTATGTTGATGCTATAAATAGGTTCTTGTATGCAAAAAAAAAAAAAAAAAAAGTTTATAACATTGCCCTAAAATGGAGCAAAGCAGATTTTTTAAAAAATCAAAGAAATAAGTATGCTGTCTTGGCCAGATTTTCTAAAATGTTAGAGAGAATTAGGGGTTACAGAAGAACAAAGAACCAACCATGAAAATCAAATTATACTGGTGGGGTAAAAAGAAAATACACATCTGAGGAAACAGATGTAGCAATATATAGAAACATTCAAACTTAGATTCTTGAGAGTAATATATAAAATATGTAAGATACATGCATATAAATGATATGTTATATCAGAAAGAAAGACAAAACCTACAAAAGTTTAGGCTTTTGAAATTGTTATATGATAATAATATTTTTATATTATGACAAATCAAATAATTTTTATTTTATATTCTACTACAAAACAGAAGGTGTTTTCTGTTGATGTTGGTGAATGGCTTACTGTTAATAAATGTCAGGAAGGAAATTAGTGTCATCTCCTATTTCATTGCCTTTTTTATCTTCAAGGAAAACATTTGTTGGAATGGGAAGTATAAGGAGAACAACGATCAGAGGAAATTAAAACTGGGATATGTGGCCCTATCAGAAGAGGACACTATAGGCTTTTATTAGTGGCTTCCAAACGCTAGCCTGCAGACTGACTACAGAAGAAGGCTGAAAATGGGTACAGATGCTCAAAGAGGAAGAAACATTGTTTAAAAATCCAGAGGAAAGATTTTTGTTTGCCTAGGTCAAAGGACAGCAAGAAGGCCACTGGAACTAGAAATATAAGCCAGTATAAGCTGGTGTGAGAGAAACAAAAAATGCAGGTGGAAAGGTAGACAGGGAGCAGCTCATGCAGGAACAAACATGGTTTATAATAAGGACACTTTTTTTATTCTCAGTGCATTGAGAAGCCAATGAAGAATTATGAGCAAAACATGCGTTTTAATATTAACAAAGTTTAAAAACTTTTATTATAGGGCAAAAGAAGATGAACAAAATTTATTGTCTAATCCAATAAATTAATGTCAGATTAACATTAATTTGCTAAGATGGCAGCAGTGAAGATAGTGAGAGCTTGACAGCCTAGATATATTTTATAAGTGTAACCAAAAGAATTTAGGATAAATAGGATATGGAGGGTGAAGAAAAGAAAGAGCTCAAGGAATATTCCTAGACATCTGGCATAGCACTTAGGTAACTGGTGGTGCCGTTTTCTGAAATGAGAAAATCTGAGAAATGAGTATGTTTGGCGGGGGAGGGTGGGGAAAGTGAGAAGACAGAATTCTATTTTGGATGTATTTTCAAAGAATTCTATTTAGGACATATTAAATTTGATATGCCTGTTAGACAACAAAGCAGAGATGTCAAGTAGCCAATGAGGCATACACGTCCAAAGTGCAGGGAGAGTTTCAGGCTGGAGCTGAAAATTGGGAAGGTCATCACAAAGGATATACTTTAGAGCCACGGGACCAGAGGAGATAATCTCAGGGATGGGTTCAGGTGAGAACTTCAAGAAGGTTGGGGAACGAACCTTGGGCGCTCCAACATGTATAGATTAGGTGAGCAAAGGAAAAGAACAGAAACTGCCAGAAAAATGGGAGCACTGGAAATCATACAAGGTAGGTATTCCAAGAGCAGGAGGGAGTAATCAATTGTATTAAGTACTTTGAACTCATGAAATAAAATGAGAAATGAGAATTAATCATTGGACTTAAAAGATAAATGACCTTGTCAAGGGTATTTTAGTGGAGCGTAGAGGTGAAAGCTGATTCAAATGAAGGGACAAATAGAAAATGAGGAATGGAAAACTGTTTTGAAAAAATCACAGTAAAAGAAAGTAGAAAAAAAAAGGTAATACAGGCAAGGGCATAGGGCCAAAAAGAAGTGAGTATTTTTTTCTTTATTAATGAGTGCTTTTGTAGTATTTTGGATGCAAATAAAAATGCTTCAGTAGCAAGAAAAATATTCATTAACCTATACTGCAGATTTTAGTTTCCAAAAGTGACTGTAATAATATTTCCTATCCCATGTGTTTTTCTACAATGGGACCTTGACACTTTTCTCATCAAGAAGGGTGGTTGATGTTCCTTCCCCTCAAATCTGGCAGTTTTTGACTAGCTTATAATCAGCAGAATAGTTGCTCTGTGAAACATCTTTCTGTTCTGTGGCTAGGACAGAAAAGGAAATGAAACTTACTCCTGGATCACTGGAACACTCCCACTGAACCCTTAAATTGCTTCGTAAGCATTCTGACTGCCCTGAAACTCTGCGCTGTGAGGAAGCCCGAAGCAACCAATGCAGAGATGCTACAGAGAGAAGTTTTGAGATTCTGTTTAGTGAGATAAACAATAGCCATTCCCCAACTGCTCCTGACTTGCTCCTCCATTGGTTCTAGCCCAACAACGATCTGAATACATCACATAAGGGATACTGGGCCAGAGAACACCTGATCCAATGACCCATACTAGATAAGAAAATGCTTGTTTTAAGATACAAGTTTTAGGATAATTTGTTAAGCAGCAATAATACTTAAAGAAAGGGGAAAATTGCAGAATAATTTTGCTGAGTAAATCAGAAGGACTGAAATTCAATGCATAAATGTAGAGTTTATCCACGGCAAAAAGTAGATAAGCAACAAATATATGTCCAGATGTGTAGAGCTGGCAGATTTCATGGTAAATGATGAGGTATTTGTCTTCTGGCTGCTTCTATATTCTCAAAGCTGTAAGAAAAGAGTCATTAATGCAGAGTAAAAAGATGAAAGAGATGTGAAAATAGGAAAGAGGAGAAGATGGGAAATCATGTTTTGAAAGAGTAAGAGGGTGACCTGATTAGAGAAATGGAGTAGCATAGCCAGGCAGTCTTGAGGAAACACAGGAGGTTTGTGATTATGATTTTTAAATGAACCAGTTGGTACATTTGTGTGTTTCCCTCTTGCTGTGTTTGGCTGCAAAGTTGCAGGTATGGCTAAAGAAGGGCTTACCTAGTGTTGGTATTTTACTTTATCAGGCAATATGGAGAACAAGAGAGGCAAGGGAGCTGAAATGAATTCAAGGAACTGCTACGGCAAAACAAGGCAATGTAATCTGGATAAGAAGAGATTTTCAGGGTTATCCTGCATGGTTAAAAAGGTGGCATAGAGTTAAAAAATGTGTAAGGTACTATGAAATAGGCAAGCTAGAAGTATTTGATGGTCAGAGAGTGGAATTCCTGAAATTGAGGTTTTGTGGAAATTGGTAATGAAGAAGTTCAGGGAATGACATAGGGATGCATGGTTGAGGATATGAGGAGGGCATAATAATTGGGGTTAAAGGCAGTCAAGCAATTGAGGGTCCATGATTTTAGACAAGGGGTCTCAATGACTGTTTAAGATACTAAGAAAAATAACATGCATAGTGAAATCAATCGCTAAATCTCCAGGGAATGGCAAGATATAACAGGGAGTTTGCAATATGAATATCCAAGAAGCACACAGGGAGCTGTTGTCATGTTCCTCAAATAATCTGAGGGTTTCGACAAAAAGCGGGACAGATGGTGGTCTGGGCAAAACAATGAGAAACACGGAGGACATCTAGTCCACCTCTGATACCCATGGTACATGAAATATAGAAGAAAAACCTGTCACAATTCAAAGAGCTATATCTAAAAGGTACCTGAGCTTATTTTAGAGCAAAAGGTGATTACATATTACGAGAAAAAGATACAGGAGATTTTGTAGACAATACAGTAAAGGGTGTGGGCAAATAGGGAAGGGAGAAAAATTGATTCCGATTAAGGAACACACAGCCATGTGGAGCTGTAACCATGGTGAATGCCCCAGGAGGCTTGAACCTGAGTTTGTGATCAAGGTAAGACATAATGAAATCAGTCCTGATGGTTTCTCGCAGAATGTAGAGAGTCAACTTGATTTATAGTCTCTTTCTTATGATTTGTCTCTTAAACATTGTATAATGTTAAGAAGAGACGAGGTGGGACAGGTGATGAGGATAGTGAGTGACAGTCTTACCAAGTGCGTATGGATTTGCGGGGGTTTCCCAAAATCTTACTCTGGTCATTGTCAATGATGTGAAGACACGATCTTACCAGAATCACAAAGACTTCCTTGGGATTGCATTAAATCTTATTGCAAGTTCTATTGTGACAATATGAGGAACAATCTTACCATGGCCAAAGGGAGCCTTGGGCCTAAAAGGAGTTACACATAAGAGAGTCAAGACCATGGGCAGAAAATATAAGCCTTGTATAGAAAAGTTATTTCTGTTTCTGAAGAATGACAAAATAAGTAAGGAATGAACAGTTAAAGATGTCTAGAAATTTTAATGTTAAGATATGAAAATTCTGAGACTCAGACAACCTTAGAAAAGTACTGATTAATAATGCCTATCACAATGTAGGAAATGAATATAAATTTGATGGATTAAATAATTGTTTGGAATTGCTGTGCTGTATGCAATGGAAAGATAAAGGAAAGGTATGTATGTATTGCTAAGTATCCTGGAGAGTTAGGCATGAAAGTGTAGATGGCAGGGATTATGTCTTCTCTGATCCTCCTGATGTACCCACCCAAGGCCATAGCATGAAAGTTCCTAAAATTTTATATTAGAAAAGGAAAATGTAGTAATTAACATTCTATGTTTATACCTTTAATGGGACTATAAATGTGATATTGCTTTCCAGCTCCTGGCTTCATCCAAGTTGGAACCCATTTACTATATATTTTTACTCAAGATATGTCATTTGATAGTCTAGAATATGTGCTCCCTGAGGTCAGGAAAGATATCTTATTCACCTTTGTATCCCCAGCTAGTATTGCAGCATCTAATATCTAATACACACACAGAGATATTGACTAGAAATGCAACTACACATACGTATTTGTGACACCTTCTAGGAGAATAATGCATGTTTATAATTTGATAAAACTAGACTATTAAAAACTTTGCCATTTTTATATTGTCAAGATTCTAGTACTTTTCTACTTGTTATATATATGTATATACTCTCTCTCTCTATATATATATATTTTTTTTTTAATGAAAAAACATCTCATTTAGCTGCCAACCTAAGACCAGTGGTAGTAATTACAGCTTGCATGCTCACCCACTGTAATGGCAAAAAACTTATGTGAAGGAAAAATGGTATTGCTGGTGTTCTTAAAAAATAAAAACCTATTGTATTGCAAGATTTTAATGCCCAGGTGTTACCTAATGTGTTGTAAATATGTATAGCAGACAATTTCAGAAGAAGTTATTTCATTTCCATGGTAACATCAGGGCCACAATGGCGGGTGCTGGTTAAAAATGGATTCTTTTCATTAAAATCACATAACACGAGGGGGCAATTAACAGACCGAAGGGAAGGCCTAATGAATTTAACAAAAATACAATAAAGCTGTCCCTCTATTTTTACTGTAAACATTTAGGAAGCAAGACTACAAATAAAATGCTTGATAGATTCCAGCCTATTTCAAGAGACAATTCTACAATTATTTGATTTCAAATGTTATATAAAATATTTCATGATTTCCTGACCAGACTGAATAGGAAAAGAAAGAACAGACAAACCTAAAAAGGTTTGTTTTGATTGTTGAAATCACTTAAACTCCATCTAGTATACAAAATTGTGAATCTTAATCACTGTTCAGTAGAAGAAAACTAGGAAAGTCAAAAAGGCTAATTAAAATTTACATAAGTCCAATATAAGATTAATAAGTAAAACCACAAAACATATATTTTCTCCACTCAACTGGGGCTGCTACTGGTCAAGATTGAAAGAATTCTTTTTAAAGTCATGCATTTATTTGCCTGATACTCTGCCACTGTCTGGCACCAAAGAATATAATTCAAAGTGAAACTTGTGTCAGTCATTCAGAGGTTTTGACTACACAAGGCTAAACATCTGCATATTTGGATGAACGCCTGGCTTTCTAATTCACTAACTGAGAGGAGATGCACCATTAGCTGTTATCCTAGGCATCAAGAAGGTTAATTCATTATGCATATCAGGTATCAGTGTACTTGTTTGGGATACATTTATCTTATCATCTAAGATTATGTTGATTTTATTTAGATCATATCCAAATAAAGGATAATTAAACTGCTATGTGACAGGAAATAATCCACTGTTAAAGAATTCTGCAAATATAAAATTAACTGCCAGGATGACCTTCAGGGTACAGGGGAAAAGAGTACAGGAGCAAGAACATGAGGCCCGTATCAATCCTCTCTTAGTAAATCGCACTGTGAGTTCTGTCAAGTCATTTAAAACAGGGGTCCTCAAACCCTGGGCCATGGACTGCTACTGATGAGCGGACTGTTAGAAACTGGGCCCCACAGCAGGAAGATAAGCTGCAGACAAGCAAGTGATGCTTCATCTGTATTTACAACCACTCCCCATCACTCACATTTACCACCTGATCTCCACCTCCTATCAAAATGGGGGTAGGGAATTAGATTCTCATAGGAGTGCAAACTCTATTATGAACTCCGTATGTGAGGGATTTAGGTTGCATGCTCCTTATGAGAATCTAATACCTGATGATCTGTCACTGTCTCTCATCACCCCCAGATGGGACTGTCTAGTTGCAGGAAATCAAGCTCAGGGCTCCCACTGATTCTACATTATGTTGAGTTGTATAATTATTTCATTATATATTATAATATAATAATAATAGAAATAAAGCACACAATAAATGTAATGTGCTTGAATCATCGCAACCTGCCATCCGTGGAAAAACTGTCTTCCATGAAACTGGTCCCTGTGCCAAAAATGTTGGGGACTGCTGATTTAAAGCATCTGTTTCCTCATCTACAAAATAGAATTAAAAATTCTTGATTTACATATTTCCACATATAGTTATAAGATTCATGATTAATTAGTGTTTAAGAGTTAAAGCTCTGGAATTAAGTATGCCTGATTTGAATCCTAAATATCACTAACACTGTAAATTTAGGCATGCTTCAGTTTCCTCACCTGCAAATTGCTACAAAGTCTCTAAGTATTAAGTGAATATACACCCTGAATGCTTAGCACAGTGCCTGGCATTCTGTAAGCAACTAAGAAATATGTGTTTTGGAAAATCAAAGAAACATGTTCCAAGTAACTTGGAAAATGCAGAGAGCCATAGATTGTATCATTTCTTACATTTGAGATGCCAGAATGTATAAGTCATACCCTATTTTCTAAGCTCTCAGAGTTAAAATGAACAAAAACTCATTAACACCGGCATAAACAAAAGGTATATTTATATTCTTTTTTTCTTTATCTGTATGTTCCTTTCTTTTCTTTAATTATTTTAATACCTACCCAGAGATAACCTAGAAATCCCCAGAAATCAACCCAGACTTCTACACCAAACGGATCAAACTGGAGGCCAAATTTAACCTGGAAATATGCTTCTTGTATTTCAAAGTGCTTAAAAAATATTACCCCAAAATAGAAAAATTGGAGTTTTCAAATAAAATTGTTCCCTGGCTTCACTTTAAAAAATTAGATAATCTGGGAGCCTTCAGTGCACGTACTCACATGCACGAAGCTGCTGAAATATAAGAGCAAATTCCCTTAATAGAGATTCACAAACTCTTCAGTTCTCATAGTCCTCACTTCTTATGATTTCTCTGATACCAGGACTCAGTCCAGTCACTGCTTATCATCATATGTACCCAATTATTTTCCTTATAGCAAAGAAACAGTTCCCTGTACTCATGTCTCTATCTAAAGCTGGAATAAGAAAGATCTTTAGGTTACAAGTTTCTAAAAAAAACAAAAGGGATGACAAATATTTTTGTGAATCTTAAGACTGTTGAGACCCATTTCTTAATCTTTTTATTGAAGTATAACATACATACAGAGGAGGACATAAATTATAAGTTCAATGAATATTTATTATCATAAATTAAACCTGTGTATGTGTAACCAGCACCCAGATCAAGAAACAGAACATTATCAGCACCACAGAAGCCTGCTTTTTTGCCTCCTTCCATTCACTATTCCCCTATTCCCACAAGGGAACTGCTATCCTAATTTCTAATGCCATAGGTTTGTTTTGTCTGTTTGAACTTTACGAAAATAGAATCACACAAAAGGTACTCTTGCATGTCTGACTCCTTTTGCTTAATATCTTGTTCATGAGATTCATTCATGTGGTTATATGTAGTTATAATTTTATTGATGCACTTATAAGGTACAAACAAAGCTTGCCTATGACCCCTTTAACTTATGTGACCTGCTGGTCCCATTAGCCATGGACACCCTAATCTAGACGTACATTTTTCTTTAAGAAGTATCCCCCCTGCAATTCTCCTGATACCTCAAAATCCCTTGGCCTTTCTACAACAATTTAACTCCCTGACCCATGATTTAAATTTTCAAAGGGCCTTCCTTGCTCAAGCAGAGATAAAGTTATGCAGTCACCTACTGACTTAATCCTCTTTCCCATCACTAAACTCTTTCCCCTACAAGTTCCCCCTTCTTTTCAAATAAGCCTGAAATATCTTTAATTGCCAAAAAGGGAAGTGATTTTTTTGTTCCTGCTTTCTGTGTTGCTATTTTGTCTGTTCTTGAAGAAGAGGAAGTGGTGTTCAAATATCACAGCTTCTTTGTACAACAGCCTAGAATCAATGCTTTGTAAGTAAAAGTAACTTTTTTGTGTGTATTTTGAATGATAAAATATGTTGCACCTGACATGTAGCCATCGTCAATTACTGATATCACATCATTAATTACCCAAGATTTTTCAGAAGAAGAATAAGGCTAGTGATTCCCAACCACAAAATTATAATCTGTCCAGACATTTAATAGCTAATAACAAATCTTTTGCTTAACACACCCACACATGGTATATGAGTTATTTTTTAATGCTCCTTTGGAAAAATTAAGATATCATGATTCAAAATGTTATTTGGGCAACAAAGAAAAAATGACTGCATTTGCCAACAACCAAGAATAATTTCACTGGGAATTCTCTACTTCATATTTTCTCTTGAGATTTTTAATAGGCTTTTAAAGAAGATTCTGAGCTGGGAACTAATCCAAGAAATAAAGAAAGCCAAGGGGAAAAAGTAATAATAATAGACAGTTGTACTTGATTGTTTCCATGGTCAGGGCCTCCTCCTGAGTGACAGATAATTCATCTTCTGTCAGTTTCCATTGCCTAGAGATCATTCTAAGTATTGTTATCAGCAAAACCTCCATAAAATGAAGGATTTTCAAACAGGAAACCAGATGTGATGGGGTCAGGCCCTGCATGTGATGGGGATATTTGGGTTAATGATGACTGATGCCATATCACATTTCATAAAGTACACACTTGCCAAATCAGGTATTTTTCCCGTCACATAGGAGCAGTTGCTAAGTTCCTTTATGGTAAAGCACCAAGGTGAATGAGGAAGGAGTGAACACAAAAGAAAGGTGGCATAATAAAACAAAGATAATCACATTGCATATTGTATAAGATTTGCATGATAATCTGTCCTAAATGTCTGTTATTTATCTGGGAATTCTAAAACATTTCAATTTTTTCTGTACCTACAACATACACCATGTTTTTGTTTCCTGTTTGTTTGTTTGGGGTCTACTTTTAACTTTGTTTCTCTAAATTAATATATTAATTACATTAACTGTGTCCTTACTGTAATTACTTTATCAAAATCAATGATTGAAGTGGTGAACTCTTAACTTTTTCATCACATATGTCATGATTTGGGGAAAAAAAGTCACTCAAAATACAAATGTATTATCGAACAACACTGCCTTCTATTTGACGGTACATGTAAAGGTAGTGATTTAATTACCAATCTTGCTTTAGTAACAAGTAGGCTTTCTTTGTGTGATATTTTAATATGGGCATATATTTAGATTCTCTAAGAGGACAATTTTCAAACATGCTCAAGGGAAAAAGAGCCCTCACTATTTAATCTTAGAAATAAATCTTTGCAAAACCATTATGCTGTTGTTTTAGAGCTTGATGTTTTCAAAGGAAGGATGATAAATGTTACAACTATCCTAAAATAGCTCTAGAAAGCTTAATAGTTATTATTATGTTGATGTATTTACAAGGACCTTAAAGCATTCATGGTTTTCTACAGCTATTGGTATATTATCAATTTTTTCAAACTAGGAATAATATTTCACAGAGGCTTATAGTCAAAGCTGGTGTAGAAGCTTATATGGTTGATTTTACAATTCCTTTCCTATAATTAAGACGTATCTGGTGGAAAGTAATTGGAAGCAAATAGTTTTGAAAGTCTAGGTGCTAAATAAAAAGCAGAACCACTTTGTCAATGGTAGACTGGGAATTATTGATCTAATAAATTATAAAGGTGTAATGGCTAATTTTATGCATCAACTTGACTGAGCCATGAAAGGCCCAGATATTTGGCTAAATATTAGCTCTGGGTTTCTCTATGAGGGTGTTTCTAGATGAGATTAGCATTTTAATCAGTAGACTGAGTAAAACAGATTGCTCTCTTCAATGTGGATTGGCATAATCTAATCTTTTGAGGGCCTGAGTAAAACAAAGATAGCCAAAGGGAGAATTTGCTCTTTTTCTCTCTGCCTGACTGTTGAACTGGGATACTGGTCTTTTTCCCTTGGACTGGGATGTGCACCATTGGCTCTCCTCATTCTCAGGACTTTAGGCTCAGCTGGAACTATACCATTAGTTCTCATGGTTTGGGCGTCTTCAGACTTGGATTGGAAATATACCACCAGCTCTCCTGGGTCTCCAACTTGCCAAATGAAGCACATGGGACTTCTCAGCCTCATAATCATGTGAATCAATTTCTTATAATTTCTCTCTCTTTCTTCCTCTCTTCCTTTCTCTCTCATTTTTCTCACTTCAATATTTTTTGTTTGTGTTTCTCTGGAGAACCCTAACTAATCACATTTTAGAACTAAGAAGTGAGATGCTGTTGTAACAAATACCAAAACATGTGAAAAGGCTTTGGAAGTGGGTAATGGATAGAGGCTAAAAGGGTTTTGAGGTGCATGCTAGAAATATGAGCATTAAGGGCAACTCTGGTGAGGGTTCAGATGGAAATGAGGAACATGTTATTGGAGACTGAAGGAAAGGAGATCCATGTTATAAAGTGGCAAAATACTTGGCTGAATTTTATTCTAGTGTTCTGTGGAAGGTAGAACTCATGAGAGATGAAACAGAATATTTAGCTGAGGAGATTTCTAAGCAAAGTGTTGAAAAAGTGGCATTGTTCCTCCTGACTGATTTTGGTAAAATGCAAGACAAGAAGAATAAATTAAAGAAGGTTAAGTAAAGAGGAACCAGAGCTTAAAGATTTGACAAATTCTCAGCCTGTCCCTATTGCAAAAGTTGAGAAACCAGGTTAGCAGGAGAATACCAAGGGTGTTGCTGACCAACCATTTGATAGGGAGATTAGCATGGGTGTGAACCACATACCCAATCAGCCATCTCAATAACACAAGCCAGAAATAGAGATGAGATTATACCATCAGAAACACTGCCAGCTGGAATTGAAAAAATAAAGAAATAAGCAGAATAAGGTCTAGTGTTCTGTAGCACTCTGGAGTGACTATAATTAACAATGATTTAATGTATGTTTTTAAATAGCTAGGAGAGCAGATTTTGAATATTCCCAACACAAATAATTGATCAATATTTTAAGTGAGGGATATGCCAATTACCCTGATTTGATCATTACACATTGTATACATGCACAGAAATATCACACTGTACCCCATACATATGTATCATTATTAAGGGTCAATTAAAAATAATAAAAGAAATAGAGAAAATAAGACAGAACAAAGGCAGACCGTGAACATGTGTTAAAGGAAAGAAGGAGCCCAGAAGTGATTTACAGATTATCAGGACTACTATTGCTACCACAGGTCCAGAGTGCCTGGGCTAGGGGGAAAAGCTGCTTTCACGTTGTTTCAAAGGGTGGAACTGCCACCCAGCAGACCCACCTGAGGGTGAGGGGGACCGTCTCAGAGAGCCAGACAGACAGCCTTCCACTGAGCTAAAGGGTACTACTGACACTAGAGGCAATACGGCCAACCCAGTGAATCTGGAGGGCAGAGCATGGAACTAAAGAGGATTATTCTTGAGCCTTAAAATATAATGAACTGAGTAATGGATAGAAGCTGAAAAGGTTTTGAGGTGCATGCTAAAAATATGAGCATTAAGGGCAATTCTGGTGTGGGTTCAGATGGAAATTAGGAACACGTTATTGGAGACTACAGGAAAGGAGATCCAGTTTATAAAGTGGCAAAATACTTGGCTGAATTGTATTCTAGTGTTCTGTGGAAGGTAGAACTCATGAGAGATTAAACAGAATATTTAACTGGATTCTGAACTTCCTTGGGATCTCTCATCTCTTTCTTCTGATTTACTGCTTTTGGAATGGGAATATTAGTTCTGTGCCTATCCCGCGATTGTTTCAGAAACACATAACTTGTCTGTTCTCACAGGTTCACAGCTGGAGAGAAATTTTACCTCAGGGTGAATTGTATCTCAAGTCTCACTTATATTGGATTTAGATGACATTTAAATAAGGCTTTGGACTTTAGACTTTAAAATGAATACTAGAATGAGTTAAGAATGTTGGAGCTGTTGGGATGATTTGATTAATGTATTTTACATGCAAGAAGGCAGGAAATTTGGGGGTCTAGGGGCAGAATGTTATGGACTGAATGTTTTTTGTCCTTTCCTAAAATTCATATGTGAAAACGCTAACTCCCAAGGTGATGATATCTGAGGTGGGGTCTTTGGGAAGTAGACTTAAATGAGGTTATGAGGGTAAGGACCCCTAATAGGATTAGTATCCTTATAAGGAGAGGAAAAGAGATCCGTAAGCTGGTCTCCCAGACTTTCTCTTTCTCTCTTTCCCCTTGCTATGTGAGGACATGAGGACAAGGTAGTTGTCTGCAAGCCAGGAAAGAGACCCTCACCAGAAACTGAATCTGTCAGCAGCTTGATCTTGGACTTCCCAGCCTCCAACTATAAAAAATAAATGTCTGTTCTTAAGCTATCCAGTCTATGGCATTTTGTTAGATAGCAAACCAATCTCACTAAGACAAAAAGAAAATCCCACACCAAACCTTGTTAACAAGTAGGGGTTATTAGCCATCTGCCTATATAATTAGAGCACATGAGGGGAACTGACTTCGGAAGAGATTCATGAGATCACTAAGATTAAATCACAAAATTTACAAAGCTCTTTGAGGCATCAGCCTTGGGTCCTTTCTTACACTCTTTAAAAGAATAAACATTAAATATTTAACGTATTCAAATCCTTCAAGCGAAGGATTCCAGGTAAATTCCTGAGAGGGATTGCCATGAGGGCAAATAAAATAGATGAGACCACAGAAGATAACTGTTTGAATTCACTTGTGAGTACTGTGTTTAAGGCTCTGCACATCTCTCTTTTGGAGTTCTTATTTTGGGAACAGATTTATTAATAAAAGCAGACATATCTATTTCTGTCTTCATTAAGGGAAGTGCCTAACCAACTAACCTGTTTAATAAAATATAAACAGAACTCATTCCCTGTTTAGGGTAATGATAATCAAATTATATCTTAATTATATACTGCACAAAGATATTTTGATGACATTTAAAAAATATATCTGCACAGCTAGTACCAGAACTAGAAGTACAGAAAACAAAGTCTTTCAAATCTGTTCTCACAAACCTCTGATAGACAGGAATCCAAAGTACAAAAGCAGCAGAGTACTCATAGTCTTCCACCAGAGGCATGGGGGGGGGAAAAACGAAATTTTACTCTCTCATGGCTCAAGGTGAAACTGCTCAAATCTGAAGGTAACATGAAAAATGGTTGAGGGAAGGGTTAGCAAAGAAGAGTAGCCTGAGCATCATTTTCTCCTGAAGCCTTCTCTTTTTCACAATGACATCTCGTCCAGAATAAAACTGGCAAACCTAATAGCCACTGACACAAGCCACATTTGCTGAACAAATAATTTTTTTTAATTCTTTCCAATGTATTCTAAGACACCAGCCATTTTAAACAAAGAAGAATTCGCATAACTCTTTAAAATGTAATAGTCTAGTATGTATAGTCTAAATCTAAGTCTAAAACATATATTGCACCATTATACTTGTTTAACATTTCCTGGGAAGAGCACATGATATGCTCGGTGAAAGGAAATCTTTTACTGTTTTCAATAATAAATCCATACGCACATAAAAGGAAGCTACAGATGATGAGCTTCACAATTCAGAGGAACGAGGAACAAGAAGAGGAAGGTATTCTATTTGCATATCTTTTATACTATTCACACAAGCATATCCAAACCTCACAACAATATTCCAGAGAAAAAACTACATATATATATATATATATATATATATATATGGAAAGTAAGAACCAGAAAAATCAAATAGCTTGTACATGTTATGCAAATATACAAGCTCCGTATCCAAATTGCAAATTGAGATACCTAAGACAACTCACATCAAAAGCAGCCCCTTAATAAAATCTCACAACAGCTGTTTACTTTGGGTTTTGTTTTTATTATTTATTTATTTACTTTTTGAGACAGAGTCTCACTCTGTCACCCAGGCTGCAGTTCAGTGGCTCCATCATGACTCACTGCAGCCTTAACCTCCCGGGCTCAAGAAATCCTTCTACCTCAGCTTTCCTGGGTAGCGGGGACTACAGGTGTGTGCCTCTCAGCTAATTTTTGTATGATTTTTAGGGAAAGGGTTTCGCTATTGTATTAGTCTATTCTCACACTGCTATGAGGAAATACCTGAGACTGGGTAATTTATAAAGAAAAGAGGTTTAATTGACTCAGTTCCACACGGCTGGAGAGGCTTTGGGAAACTTACAATTATGGCAGAAGGCACCTCTTCACAGGTCAACAGAAGAGAGAAACCAGTGTCAGTGAAGGGGGAAGCCCCTTATGAAACCATCAGATCTCCTGAGAACTAACTCACTATCACAAGAACAGGATAGGGGAAACCACCCCTGTGATTCGATTACCTCCACCTGGTCCCTCCCATGACATGTGTGGATGATGGGAACTAAAATTCAAATTGACAGTTGGGTGGGGACACAGCCAAACCATATCATTCCACCCCTGGTCCCTCCCAAATCTCATCTCCTTACAATTCAAAACACAATCATGACCTTTCCAACAGTACCCCCAAATCTTAACTCATTACAGCATTAACTCAAAATTCTAAGTCCAAAGTCTCATCTGAGGCAAGACAAGTCACTTCCAGCCATGAGCCTGTAAAATCAAAAACAAGTTAGCTATTTCCTAGATACAATGGGGATACAGTCATTGGGTAAATACAGTTGTTCCAAGTGGGAGAAATAGGCCAAACAAAGGACCTACAGGCCCCATGCGAGCCTGAAATTTAATACGGCAATCATTAAATCTTAAAGTTCCAAAATGATCTCTTTTGATGCCATGTCTCACATCCAGGTCAAGCTGATGTAAGAGGTGGGCTCCCACAGCCTTGGGTAGCTCTGCCCCTGTGGCTTTGCCTAGTACAGCCCGGCTCCCAGCTGCTTTTGGGGCTGGTGTTGAGTGTCTGCAGCTTTTCCAGGCACACGTGGCAAGCTGTTGGTGGATCTACCATTCTGGGGTCTGGAGGACAGCGGCCCTCTTCTCACGGCTCCACTAGGAAGTGTAGTGGAGGCTCTGTGTGGGGGCTCTGACCCCACATTTCCCTTCTGCACTGCCCTAGCAGAGGTACTTCATGAGGGGGTTCTGCTCCTGCAACAAACTTCTGCCTGTACATCTAGGCGTTTTCATACTTCCTCTGAAATCTAGGTGGAAAGTTTAATTCTTGACTTCTGTGCAACTGCAGGCCCAATAACATGTGTAAGCTGCCAAGGCTTGGGGCTTGTATCCTCTGAAGAAATGGCCTGAGCTATATGCTGGCCCTTTTTAGTCACAGCTGGAGCTGAAGCAGCCGGGATGCAGAGCACCAAGTCCCAGGACTGCATAGAGCCAGGGGCCCTGGGCCAGGCCCAGGAAACCACTTTTCCCTCCTAGGTCTCTGAGTCTGTGATGGGAGGGGCTGCAATGAATGTCTTTGACATGGAGACATTTTCTCTATTGTCTTGGTTGTTAATATTGGGCTCCTTGTTACTTATGCAAATTTCTGCAGCCAGCTTGAATTTCTCCCCAGAAAATGGGGTTTTCTTTTTTATGGCATAATCAGTTTCCAAATTTTCCAAACTTTTATGCTCCACTTCCTCTTGAACTATTTGCCGCTTAGAAATTTCTTCCAACAGATACCCTAAATCATCTCTCTCAACTTCAGAGTTCCACAGATCTTTAGGGCAGGGCAAAATGCCGACAGTCTCTTTGCAGAGCAAAACTTACCTTTATTCCAGTTTCCAACAAGTTCCTCATCTCCATCTGAGACATCCTCAGCCTGGACTTTATTGTCCATATCACTATCAGCATTTTGGTCAAAGCCATTCAACAAGTCTCTAGGAAGTTCCAAACTTTTCCACATTTTCCTATCTTCTTCTGAGCCCTCCAAACTGTTCCAACCTTTGCCTATTA
Organism: Homo sapiens; assembly: GCF_000001405.40. NCBI lineage: Eukaryota > Metazoa > Chordata > Mammalia > Primates > Hominidae > Homo > Homo sapiens. The sequence continues at coordinate 66,957,612 of NC_000004.12, forward strand.
CCCAGTTCCAAAGTCGCTTCCACATTTTTGGGTATCTTTACAGCAGTGCCTCACTCACAGTACCAATTTACCGTATTAGTCCGTTCTCACGCTGCTATGAAGAAATACCCAAGACTGGATAACTTACTAAGAAAAGTTTAATTGACTCACAGTTTTGCATGGCTGGGGAGTCTTCAGGAAACTTACAATCATGGAGGAAGTCACCTCTTCACAGAGTGGCAGGAGAGAGAAATTAGTGCCCAGTGAAGAGGGAGGCCCTTTTAAAACTCACTATCACAAGAACAGGATGGAGGAAACTGCCCCTGTGATTTAATTATCTACACCTGGTCCCTCCCATGACATGTAGGGATTATGGGAACCACAATTCAAGATGAGATTTGGGTGGGGACACAGCCATACCATATAAGCCATGTTGCCCAGGCTGGTCTCGAACTCCTGGCCTCAAGTGATCTGCTCACCTCAGCCCCACAAAGTACTGATATTACAGACATGAACCACCATGCCCAGCTTGGTTTTATTTTTAAAGCTAAAATTTATTTTTATTAAATTAATGCACATACATTGTTAAAAATTAAATCATCCAAAAAGACTCATGATTAAAATGATTAGTTATTTTCTTCTCTTCCCCACTCTAAGTTTCGCTTTGCTGCTAAGAATGTACATTTTTATTGTCATTGGTTTAAGTTTTTCCTGTGATTCATGAATTTGACCTTATTCATTACCTTTCTACAGAGCTATATGAGGAGGTAACTTTACAACAATGTCCATTACCTCTCACCCTCCACTTTTCCCAAAATGTTAATATTATTAATTCCTCTATTTATAGTTTATAACCTAAATAATCTAACTTTATTACTTATCTTAAATAATATAAATAATTGTTCCTATACCCCAAGGCTATTTTTTCCTCTACCTTTCCCCTGACTTAACTTTTCCTATCTTCTAGATTTTAATTTTGGTCATCTTTACTTTTCATATTTTATATTTATATTTTGACCTCAAGTATTTTCTGTCTAATTCTAGAGTCACAAACTATGAGCTGAAAACTGTCTAGGGCTCAAAAAAGTAGTGTGAGCTAAAGAAATAAATTCAAAATGTATAAGATGTTTAAATCTATTGAAATAAATATACATTACCTAGAAGGAATGTGTATAGCAAAAAGGCAGAAGAAGAGAACTTTGAGCTTCATGAATAGTTAGGGTTTGGGTAGAGGAGGAACCCAATAAGGGAGAATGAAAAAGATATTGAAGACAAAGAATGAAAGCCAGAAGAGTGTGATGAAAATTAAGAGGAGTTAGTGTTCTTGATAAAGAGGAAATAGCATATTACATCACTTCTGCAGAGAAGTTGGATACGAAAAGGATAAAAATTCAGTGTGATAATGTTGATGACTATGACAAGTGGTGTGATGGGCGAGGAAGCAACATTACAATGGCTTAATGAATAATTTGGCAATGAGGGAGCAATGATATCTTCTGTAGAAAATGCCTTCCAAAAAAATTGGATGTGAATGGGAGCAGAGAAATGCAGCAGTAGCTGGAGGGGTGTGGAGTCAAGAAAGTAATTTTTAAGCCAGTGTACCAATGTGTCAGTAGAGAAAACCCAGTGGTGCCCCGCAAGCTGAACAGATTCTATAAGATAGTGTTGGCCAAGTACATACTGAACAAACATACTGTGGCCAGAGTGGGGCAATAAGATAAATCCATGGGCTGAGGACATCATTTTGGGCTTCAGGTTTCCAGGCTTAGAAAATGATTCTCTGATCCTTATATAACTTTGAGTCATATACTTGGGTGCTGTTAAGTATTACGTGAGTCATTATGGGCTTTGAGAGACTAGAGAACTATAGGTAGGGCCTTTATTTACTCTAATATTTCTGCTACTGATATTTACTGGTGTACAATTTTTAACTATTATTATTAAACTTTTTGCCTGATATTTTTATTTGTAGAATCTCACCATGTTACTGAAACTGTGCTGAGGACTTTAAAAATATTAACTCATTTAATTCTCATTACAACACTATTAAGTGGGTACTATTATGTTTATTTTATGAATTGAGGCACAGAAAATTCTGTTACCAAAGCAGTCTATTTTAAGAGTTCATGATGTCAAACCCTGCATTCAATTATTCCTCTTTTATAAAAGTGCTTATTTGCAAATGAGAGTTGATATGTGGTCAGGTGGAAAACATTTCACCCGACCTCTGGATGGGTGATTGAAGCCAAGTGAAGAAGATTCCTTTTGTTAGTTAACTTGGGCCTTCTGTTCTGGTATCTCTGACATAGTCTATGAACTAGCAGCATTGGCAGTGTGCCTACCATATCAGTTTTCTTTAAACCTACACTAGATGAAGTGACCTAGTATAAAAGCTCATTTTTATCATTAATAGGTATGATGAACAAAGAACTAATTACCGGTTTGCTTTTTTTCATTTGAGAGGGACAGAGTTTCTAACTGAAACTCTAACTTCTTTGCACAGACTTCCTCTGAAATCTGAAAAGGAGCATCTGGAAGAATTGCTGTAGTAACATGACTGGAGCTGCCATCTCTAAAATCATCAATTCAACATTCCCACTATGGCTGGTTGTCTCTTGTCCTCACTGCTACTGCACATGTTCTTTGACTTTAAAATATCTTAAGGTCCTTGACCTTTTAAAAATCTTATTCATTGGCTTGGCACGGTGGCTCATGCCTGTAATCCCAGCATTTTGGGAGGCCACGGCAGGCGGATCACTTGAGGTCATGAGTTCGAGACCAGCGTCGCCAACATGGTGAAACCCCATATCTACTAAAAATACAAAAATCAGCCAGGCATGATAGCATGCGCCTGTAGTCCCAGCTACTCAGGAGGCTGAGTCAGGAGAATCACTTGAACCCGGGAGGAGAAGGTTGCAGTGAGCCAAGATCACGCCATTGCACTCCAGCCTGGGCAACAGAGTGAGACTCCATTTGAAAACAAACAAACAAAAAAAACAAAAAACCTTGTTTATTATCTTATTTCCAACTTTATCTCCTTACCTGTCCATCCTAAATCTTTACCTATTTCATGACCCTCTTGTAGCACCCTCAATTTTTTTACATTTATGTTTCTAGTTCAAATTCCCAAAACATGATCACTTAAATAAATCCAAATGTTGAATTCTCTCCCTCTCCACTCAGACATCTGAAGACCCAGCTGTGTAAAATATGACAATTATATGGACTGATGGTACCGCAAGCCTTGGACATCACACATGAATCCTTTTAGATAACTCAGACCAGTTCCCTGTCTCCTTATCTCCTCTCATTAAGACATAAGCTAGACTGTGCCTGACTCAATTTCAGCCTCATAATACAAAGGGGAGTGAGGTACTTCATCTGTAAGTCCGTCTGCTTCCTATTGCCTCACCTTGATCCCCAGGTCAGGAAAGGGGGGACTGCTCCTCTTTGCAAGGTACTTCTTTCATACATGCTTTACATGCTTCTTTCCCTGCTTCCTCCAGGCTCTTGCTCCAACCATTATTCAATTTTTCTGTATTGGCGAAATTTCCCATTCCATTAGCTCCTTCCCATAAGTGTAGCCAAAATATGCCACATAAGAGACACAAAGAAAATAAATGGAAACTCTTCTACATATCTGTGTTTTTTCTCCTCTGTTACCTTTATTCTACACAGCATATCCACTTTTCCCAAAATATTAATACTTGCTAAAACTTTAGAATATACACTGCATGTCATAACTTTACATATGTTAACTCACTTAATTCCTATAACAACCCTATGAGATAGGCATTTGTATTATCTTCATTTTAGACATGAAAAACTGAGTCACAGCAAGTTTAAGTAAATTGTTCAACATCACTTAGAATCACTTCTTCCCATCCCATTGTCTCTTTGACCTGTTAATTAATTTTTCAGGAATCATCATGGGTGATTACCTGCTTACTTGTATTGCTGCCAGATTTTAAAATTTTAAACTGACCACTTCTTTCAGGATGTTTTAAAATATCTTTTTTAATTTCTACTTTAAAAATTATTTGAACTCTATTTTTATATTTTCTATTTCCATCACAATCCCAACTTGTACTCATTTCTCAGTGATTTAAATGATTAAAAAAAGCAAACTGTAATTGAAGTCAAAGTATATTAAATCTGAATGTATTTTCAGTCAGAGTGTATTGAAGTATAAAAAATACATATATTTTATCTTTGTTACCAAAAAATTATTTTTAAATATTCAAAATTAACTATTAAAAAGAAGTAGGAATAAAAAAATACTTACCATAAAATTTTTAATTTAAAAAATTGTTAAATCTTATTAAACATTTTTATAAAAATATAATTCATCTCAATTTTGCACTTAATGTCTATTTACCAAAGTAAAGCATCACTATCATGCTTCATGAAGCTTACATTGAAACCTAAGTAAATACAAATTTAAGAAAAACATGAACCATTTAATGTAAAACAGATCAAGCTCTGCCACATATTGAGAATGCCTGTTTTTTGTGAGTACCTTAGAAATGCAAATTGGAATATAAAAAGTAACAAAAAATAGATGCTCCACACTACCAGGTAATGGTACTATATTTTGCAGGAATCTTTAGTATTTGTGCCATTTGAGAAGAAGCATTTGGCAGATCAACTCATCTATCTTTTCTCTTACCAATCCCTTTCTGTGCTCTGATCCTGCTCTCACTCTGATGCACTGCTTTTATCTCCAATGTCACAGTGGCATAGCCCACAACCTTCACAGCAATTGGACACAGTTGCCTTTTGCAAGAGATGAAGAAAAATATTACCCTGGGTGAGTATATTATTAGTCAGGAGAATAGATGTTTAAGATTACAGGAGTACAAGTGTTGAGTGCTATATTCTATCTTATAGGAAAACCTATATGTCTTTAAAACGGGTACATACGTGTGTCTAAGATATTCAAAATCTTTTAAAGTACAAGGCTCATATTCAAATTCTTCTAAAGTACCAAGGGCCGCTCTTGTCAGGATCCAAGGGAGTTTTGCTCAAGATGGAAACTAAGTTTAATTGTGGAAACACAAAAAAAGATAAATTATTGAATTTCATAGTTTGAAAATATATATCCAGTATACACTACAGTAAATTACACATACTTTACAAACCTTTATTGATAGTCTGTTTTCTTTCCAAATTAGAAGCTTACTTAAAAAACTGGAATTAGGTCTCAATTAATTACTGTGGTCCCAATGAAGAGCCTATCTTCTGGCACATATCAGCAAATATTGCTGTAGATAATCCATTGTTCCTAAGGAGAATAGGCTGGGATCAAGTACATACAGGAAATGAGCATGCTGAGGGCAAAAATATGTAAAAGGGATTTAAATGAGAGTATCATGAATGGTAAGTAGAAACAAATACCAAATTTAAAGATTATTACAAATGTAATATACGTATTTTCCTCCTCTTTTCTCATTTTTCTTCTTTGAATGAACAATTCCCAATAGTAAATAAAGAAAACCAAGAGCTCTTTAACCACTATATTTTCCAATAGCTATTACTTGTATAGAGTTTCCTTGATATACAAGGAAAAATGTTGCTATTAAACTAAATTTTAAGTAAAAGCACATTATGGTAGAAATAAGGCCCTCCAGAGAATAATTTTATGAGACTATTATTGCACGGTAGCTTGGGCAGTTGAACTCACGTGAAACAAATGGCTCTATAAAACAAGTCCCAAAGTGGCCTATTGCTTAATTAAATTCATATACAAAACGTCCCTCTGCCTTGACATGTGTACATACATATATTAAATACATTTTAAAATTCAGTCTGAAAAAATATGACCTCATAAAGATGCAAAAGTCTAGACTCCACTTCAAAGCCAAAGAACTTCTTGAAGCAATATTTTATGTAGAATTGTGACTTTTAAATAATTGCTTTTTCCCCTTAACCTAGTGAAACCAGTCAGTTTGATGTATATAATATGTTTAAGCTTTCTGCCTAGAAGGGTATGCCATAGTCTCTATGAAATGTTTGCAAGGAATGCAAGTACTGCTAATTCTTTCTTCTCTTATTTCATCAAAATGGAAGCATTTCTAGAGAAGCCTGGGCATGCATAGGAAGAAACACATTTGCAAGCTCTATAGCCCAATCCTTCAAATGAAACATGTCTACTTAGAAGAATGTTAATTTAATGAATGCAAATAAATTAAGACATGTTTTTTCCCTTGAATATAAAATTGTTTTACCACAATGTATTACTCTACTCTTCTGTTTCATGAACCACCTACATGTGGGTAACAGCCCTCCAGGAACAGAATGCAGTCCAGTCTGTTCAATAACCTAAAAACATCTTAAAGCCATCTGCTATTAAACATGTTCAGGGAAGATGGAAGCAAAGGGGTAAAAAGAAAACACAATATTCAAAATGTTACTAATTGATTATAAGATTTTATTTCTGCAAATGTTCAGTTTCAAAATTTCATACTAAAGAATCTAAAATTAATAATTATAGCCTGTCTATTTTCACCTATTCTTTTGGGAAACTCTTTAATAGTGCTTATTCAACTAACATCCCAAAGAGAAATGGGAAACAGTGTGTAAAATCTAGATACATACAGATGATTCTCAAATACAGAAAGTAAATGAGGCCAGTTCTAAATATGTAGGTTACATATTTTTGGGACTTATAAAGAGAAAAATGAGAAAGGTCGTATGGTGGTCTGAATAATTTTTGCAACTAGACACTGAACATGTCCTACATAAACATGTATGGGAGAAAAAGTAATATATTTTTCTCACCCACTGAAATGATCATAGCTGATATCCCTATAACAAAAGACAAACTAACAAGAGAAAAGCAATAATAAATATATTTAACTGTATTTTTATGTGACATGGGATCCCTCAGAAATGAAGACCCAAAGATGCATAAAATACTGTGTATTTTCATGCAGACATTTGATGAAGAATGAACAATCATGTAGAACTGTAACTGGACAAAAAGGGGAGATGATTAGTAATAACTTAAGGGGAACTTAGCAGGGCCTGTTTCTTCAGATTCTTCTTGGCTTCCAGATATAGGGTGGGACTCCTCTAGAATGAGGACCTTATGACTTACTTTCAGAATTGCTTGATGACCATGCTTCAGTGAAGAAAGGTAGGAGAAGGTCAGTGACTTTGCTTCTGCTGTTTATTCAATTGCCTCAGTTCCATATTTTGGGGAAACATGTTCTGAGCTCCGGCTAACTATTATTTATTATATACTCACTGAGTACCAGGCACTATATCAAGCATTTTACACTCATTATCTCATTTAACTCTCATGGCACCTCTATGGATGCATTCTTAGTTTAAAAATGAACTGAGACACTGAGACATTATGCAAATTATTTCAAATGACACAATTAGTTAGTAAATGGCAGCATGAAATTCAGCTCATTTTTCTCTGACATAAAAGCCTATTTTTTGGCCCCTACATCCTTGCTGCCAACTTTGACAACAAATCATGTCTTTTGACCTGGGGAGAATCTTTGTAGTACACGTCTTAGAATCTCACAGAGATAACTCTAAATTTAGGCCACTGACAAGAACAACAACAGGTTAGAGTCACAGCCTGAACATTCACCTCACCAAAGGCAGACTGCACAATCTGACCAGTGTCTAAACCTGCATTTGAAAAAAAAAATTATGTTAAAAAAAGACGTTTACACCTGGCAACACAGTGTCTGCCTCAGTCATTTATATTCACAGATCATTGGATCCTTTAAAGGAATTTGTTTTACCACCATTCTGTAATATTGAGATTTAGAGTGTTTTCACTATTTTTAAATTAACACCTCTTCTGCCATGTAGCACTTTTGAATTCTATCTCTTTACTTTCTTTCAAAGAAACTTACTTTAAGGTCCACATATATTCAACAAATACTTATCAAAAGCCTACAAAATACAAAGCATTATATACAATTGCAGATATTCTTGAATTCAAAGAGAACTTACTGTCAAGCAAAAAAAGTAAAACAAATGGCCAAAGCTATAATGCTAAACAGCCCAAGAGAAGTGCTATTTGAATGACAGAAACTAAATACCTAAGAGAATTTCAGAGTTTTAATTTGGCTTTGGAATGATCAAGTGACCTTATAAACACTAGAGTGCAGCCAAGGTCAAGGCTCCTTAGATGAGGAGAGCTCTTTGTTTCGAAGGTCCTAGAATGGAAATTTCTTGGTATTGCAGAAATACTAGGATTTGTTTACTCTTAAATTGCTTTGACTCAGTTACATTGCAAAGTTACCGTTGTCCTTTGCTAAAAGACCAAATACTCACTCAACGTTAAGAGAACATCTCTTTCTTAACATGAGGGTTTTGTGAATTAAATGCTATGAAGAATATTTAAGAGAATCCAGAAAGAAAAAGTTAACTTTACAGATGAGATGCTGAAGCCCAGATAAGTGAAGTGAGTTATGGGCAGAGAGGACGTCGGCGCCTTGTTTTCTAATTTCTTTTTTTTTAATTTTATTATTATTATACTTTAAGTTTTAGGGTACATGTGCACAATGTGCAGGTTAGTTACATATGTATACATGTGTCATATTGGTGTTCTGCACCCATTAACTCGTCATTTAGCATTAGGTATATCTCCTAATGCTATCCCTCTCCCCTCCCCCCACCCCACAACAGTCCCCAGAGTGTGATGTTCCCCTTCCTGTGTCCATGTGTTCTCATTGTTCAATAACCACCTATGAGTGAGAACATGCGGTGTTTGGTTTTTTGTCCTTGCGATAGTTTACTGAGAATGATGATTTCCAATTTCATCCATGTCCCTACGAAGGACCTAAAAACATTTTATGGTTTTAGGTCTAACGTTTAAGTCTTTAATCCATCTTGAATTAATTTTTGTATAAGGTGTAAGGAAGGGATCCAGTTTCAGCTTTCTACATATGGCTAGCCAGTTTTCCCAGCACCATTTATTAAACAGGGAATCCTTTCCCCATTGCTTGATTTTCTCAGGTTTGTCAAAGATCAGATAGTTGTAGATATGTGGCATTATTTCTGAGGGCTCTGCTCTGTTCCATTGATCTATATCTCTGTTTTGGTACCAGTACCATGCTGCTTTGGTTACTGTAGCCTTGTAGTATAGTTTGAAGTCAGGTAGCGTGATGCCTCCAGCTTTGTTCTTTTGGCTTAGGACTGACTTGGCGATGTAGGCTCTTTTTTGGTTCCATATGAACTTTAAAGTAGTTTTTTCCAATTCACTTTACAGACAAGCAAATGCTGAGAGATTTTGTCACAACCAGGCCTGCCCTAAAAGAGCTCCTGAAGGAAGCACTAAACATGGAAAGGAACAACCAGTACCAGCCGCTGCAAAATCATGACAAATTGTAAAGACCATAGAGACTAGGAAGAAACTGCATCAACTAATGGGCAAAATAACCAGCTAACATCATAATGATAGGATCAAATTCACACATAACAATATTAACTTTAAATGTAAATAGACTAAACGCTCCAATTAAAAGACACAGACTGGCAAATTGGATAAAGAGTCAAGACCCATCAGTGTGCTGTATTCAGGAAACCCATCTCATGTGCAGAGACACACATAGGCTCAAAATAAAAGGATGGAGGAAGATCTACAGCAAATGGAAAACAAAAAAAGGCAGGGGTTGCAATCCTAGTCTCTGATAAAACAGACTTTAAACCAACAAAGATCAAAAGAGACAAAGAAGGCCATTACATAATGATAAAGGGATCAATTCAACAAGAAGAGCTAACTATCTTAAATATATATGCACCCAATACAGGAACACCCAGATTCATAAAGCAAGTCCTGAATGACCTACAAAGAGACTTAGATTCCCACACAATAATAATGGGAGACTTTAACACCCCACTGTCAACATTAGACAGATCAACGAGACAGAAAGTTAACGAGGATACCCAGGAATTGAACTCAGCTCTGCACCAAGCAGACCTAATAGACATCTACGGAACTCTCCACCCCAAATCAACAGAATATACATTGTTTTCAGCACCACACCACATCTATTCCAAAATTGACCACATAGTTGGAAGTAAAGCTCTCCTCAGCAAACGTAAAAGAACAGAAATTATAACAAACTGTCTCTCAGACCACAGTGCAATCAAACCAGAACTCAGGATTAAGAAACTCACTCAAAACCTCTCAACTACATGGAAACTGAACAACCTGATCCTGAAAGACTACTGGGTACATAACAAAATGAAGACAGAAATAAAGATGTTCTTTGAAACCAACGAGAACAAAGACACAACATATCAGAATCTCTGGGACACATTCAAAGCAGTGTGTAGAGAGAAATTTTTAGCACTAAATGCCCACAAGAGAAAGCAGGACAGATCCAAAATTGACACCCTAACATCACAATTAAAAGAACTAGAAAAGCAAGAGCAAACACATTCAAAAGTTAGCAGAAGGCAAGAAATAACTAAAATCAGAGCAGAACTGAAGCAAATAGAGATACAAAAAACCCTTCAAAAAATTAATGAATCCAGGAGCTGGTTTTTTGAAAGGATCAACAAAATTGATAGACTGCTAGCAAGACTAATAAAGAAGAAAAGAGAGAAGAATCAAATAGATGCAATAAAAAATGATAAAGGAGATATCACCACCGATCCCACAGAAATACAAACTACCATCAGAGAATACTACAAACGCCTCTACACAAATAAACTAGAAAATCTAGAAGAAATGGATGAATTCCTTGACACATACATCCTCCCAAGACTAAACCAGGAAGAAGTTGAATCTCTGAATAGACCAATAACAGGCTCTGACATTGTGGCAATAATCAATAGCTTTCCAATCAAAAAGAATCCAGGGCCAGATGGATTCACAGCCAAATTCCACCAGAGGTACAAGGAGGAACTGGTACCATTCCTTCTGAAACTATTCCAATCAATAGAAAAAGAGGGAATCCTCTCTAACTCATTTTATGAGGCCAGCATCATCCTGATACCAAAGCCGGGCAGAGACACAACCAAAAAAGAGAATTTTAGACCAATATCCTTGATGAACATTGATGCAAAAATCCTCAATAAAATACTGGCAAAACGAATCCAGCAGCACATCAAAAAGCTTATCCACCATGATCAAGTGGGCTTCATCCCTGGGATGCAAGGCTGGTTCAATATATGCAAATCAATAAATGTAATCCAGCATATAAACAGAACCAAAGACAAAAACCACATGATTATCTCAATAGATGCAGAAAAGGCCTTTGACAAAATTCAACAACCCTTCATGCTAAAAACTCTCAATAAATTAGGTATTGTTGGGACATATCTCAAAATAATAAGAGCTATCTATGACAACTCACAGCCAAGATCTTACTGAATGGGCAAAAACTGGAAGCATTCCCTTTGAAAACTGGCACAAGACAGGGATGCCCTCTCTCACCACTCCTATTCAACATAGTGTTGGAAGTTCTGGCCAGGGCAATTAGGCAGGAGAAGGAAATAAAGGGTATTCAATTAGGAAAAGAGGGAGTCAAATTCTCCCTGTTTGCAGATGACATGATTGTATATCTAGAAAACACCATTGTCTCAGCCTAAAATCTCCTTAAGCTGATAAGCGACTTCAGCAAAGTCTCAGGATACAAAATCAATGTACAAAAATCACAAGCATTCTTATACACCAATAACAGACAAACAGAGAGCCAAATCATGAGTGAACTCCCATTCACAATTGCTTCAAAGAGAATAAAATACCTAGGAATCCAACTTACAAGGGACGTGAAGGACCTCTTCAAGGAGAACTACAAACCACTGCTCAATGAAATAAAAGAGGATACAAACAAATGGAAGAATATTCCATGCTCATGGGTAGGAAGAATCAATATCGTGAAAATGGTCATACTGCCCAAGGTAATTTATAGATTCAATGCTATCCCCATCAAGCTACCAATGACTTTCTTCTAATTTCTTAATCTAAGTGTTAGTTCCAACACACTATCTTAGTTATTTAGTGGTTCAAATTTATTTAGTCAGTGAAATGCTGTCTATAGGTGTTTTTGCTTTGATCACATTTGATGATTTGTTAACTTGTTTTACAAGTTATATGTCTATTTCTGGGATAAAAACATAAATACAGTGTCCTGAAAGTAAGCAAAGGGATAAAGAAGCTTGGCATAAAACACCAAATAATTGCTTTTGTCTCATATTTTATGAAACATACAAATCTGTCTTTCATTCAAGAGTCGATGTCCTATTATTTTTAGGTTTTGACAACTGAATGCCATAGAATAGTTAGGACTTAATCTGACTGTATTGTTAATTATAATTTGGAGATCTTCGTTTGCACATCTTGCCCATGAAACACTCCCGAAGTTCACATGTCATTTGCACATGAAAATCATCTCAAGTCCACTAGATCAGGTGTAAGTATTCTTCAAACCTGCTCTTCATAAAAAAACAGCCTATGTTAATCTCTCTTATGGCACCCTATGTCATACTATTATTCATGACACTTAATGCGTGACAATATCATAATTTGAAATTATATATACATATGTGTGTATGCATATGTATATTTGTTCATTAGTTTAACATCTGTCATATGATACACTGTAAGCTCTGTGGAGAAAAACAATTAGTCAGCTTTGTGTCAATTTTATTTTCATTCTGGCACCTAGTGGTTATTCAGTAAATATCTTTTGAATGAACAAATGATTACTGATTGGGTGCTCTTCTGAAAATGGAAATTGATGAATATTCTTACATTTTGGCTAGGTACAATTAATAACAAAAAAGGAGTACCATTGCAATACACACCACGAAGATTTTTTAAGTCTATTATTATTCATTTGGTTTAGGTCCAAGCGATACAACACAACAGTTTTAGGTTCAAGTGATAAAACACCACTCAAACTCATTTAAACAAATGTCTTACAGGGAAGTCTGAATTTACACATAAAATAACACAGAATATAGTTAAATGCCAAAATACTTGTTACATATAATAAGAGATATACAATCCTAAGGAGGAGAGAAAAATGTCTATCCAAAATGTTAGTGGAGCATGTAGAGTAAAAAAACTCAAAATGGGTTTTGAAGATTAAACAGAAATAAGAATAAAAATGTGGAGAGGATCTTCTTATTAGAGATTACAGTAAGAGCATGGCCATTGTGGGAAGTGTAAAGAGATAAGACTATTTTGAATAGAATGGGAACTTAATTATGACAAGAATCTTGAGATCAAAAATCAAGAAGGAGGAATGAGAAAAAGAAGGGTCATCAAGGTGTTAAAGTTTCAAAAAGTTGTCTACAAATGTCTGAGAAGATTAATTTTATGAGATTCCATTATAAAGTAAAAACATACTTAACTTCATACTAAGGTTAGAAACTATTTATGGTTTCCTATTTTCTTAATCTTTTAAAAATTCTACTAAAACACGACTCTGAAAAATGTTAATTTTAACAACATTTTAAACTGCAGTAGTACATGTTTCTCTATGTGGATCCAATATGATGATCATAGAAATTTAAAAAAAAAAAACAACCTTTGACTACTGAGGCAGGATTAGAAAAACCATTGTAGAAAGGTCTAAAAGACTTAAGGGAATCAATGCAATTAAGAAGAAAGGTTGATATTAAGCTTACAAAGCATATGAATCATTCTTTTGCTTCCTAAGGTGACTCCCCAAGTCATCTGATATTTTATCCTTATTTTCTCTTTACCTTCAGGGAGAAAAATAAAGCTGGAGTTTGAGCTTCCCACTCACCACCAAAAAATTGTCAGCATTTTCCATTAACTATGTGCCATGAATGCCTCCCTCTCTGCTAGACTTTTCCTCCAGGAATTTTAAGGTATTCAACTCTCTGATTTTATTTATAAAACAAAACAAAGTTAAATCTTCTCTAAGTCATCCTCTGCCTGCTGTCTAGTTCCTCTCCTTTCCTCCTCAGGCAAGTGTCTTTAAAAAGCAGTGCTCACTTCCCATTTAGTCCTGAATTTGCTGTACTCTGACTTCGCTTCCAGCCTCCACATAAATTTTTCTTGGCAAATGATCTCAGCATCTCCTGTGATCTCTCCTTCACCTCATTCAGACCTCTACTCGCATATGACCTCTCCACAGAGGCCTACCCCATGTCCCTATATGTTCACTTGTCCTGCTTTACTGTTCCTCAAAGTATCCATCCTTCCCTAAAATCATATGATTTGGTAATTTGGTTAAGTCTGGCTCCCCACCAGAATCTGCACCCACAAAAGCAAGGACAAGGACTTTGCCTTGCTCCTCTCTGTACCCCAAGATGTAGACATCAACAGACACTAAACAAACATGTGTTGAATTATTTTTACTAAACCCAATTAAAACATTTCGATTTTGACTTACTTTGCTACAAAATTATAACCTTCTTCTTTTTAAATATGCTTTTGTCATAAGTTCAGTGATGATTATTCTTTAATGCCTTCCTTCCTTTATTTTTGTTTCATGCTTCCCATCCTAATGCAAAGAGATATCTTTTTTAACATCCCGCAGGAATGGTTTGGTCCTTGGTCCTCTTTGTTACTCACCCTCTTCAGCCTCTTCCTGCGGTCTTATTTGCTTTAATGGCTTCAATTATTATGTACATGTTCTATGACAACTTTACTTTTATTTATAAAAAACTGTGTTGTTTACATCTTTACCACAGAAATCTCTCTTTAATCCCACAAGAATGTCTTAGATGGCCTACTGATGCCTCCCCATGGAGAAATGTGAAACTAAATGATATATCTCCTCTCCTCTTTTTTCCTGGGTATGCCCTAAACCTTTAATTTATATTTATTAATTCATGGAACTACCCACTCCCTTAATCCTGCCTGACCTTCAAGCATTACGTGTTTTCAATTCTACCTCCTCAATAGCTGACACATGCCATCATTTTTCTTTATCTTTGCTGAAATAGTGTTACCTCAAGCTCTCATTGTTTTCCCTGGATTCATGCCACAGACTTCTACTGGGTCTCCTTGCCTATCATCATGCCTGAATCCCTAATCGACTTGCTATTTTGGTTATTAGAATGACAACTTAGAAATTCAAGATAGCATAATATAAAAGGTCCCTGATGGTGTGTTCCTTAGCTTCCCTCACACTGCTGTTGGGCAAATGCCCAGTGCTTTTTCCCATCACTGTGCCTTGGTGGGAAAAAGCACTGTGCACATGTTGCTTCTACTTTCCGGATGCTTTCCCCCATCGTTTCCTATTGGCCTGCCTAACTCTCACTTTTCTTTTACACCCTGGTTGAAATGTCACTTCCTTCAAGTTTCCTCTTCTGACGGTTACCCCCACCTCCACATCTAAACTTGCATTTGGTGGCACTCCAATGTGTTCCCATAGCTTCCTCCCTACTTGTCATAGGTACATTTGTACTCAAATTAATATGATTTTAAATTATGATTTACTTGCCTGACAGCCTATATCAGTAAGGTAATACTAGCTGCCTAGACAAACCAGCCCCAAAATTTCAATATTTCAATGCAATAAAGTATTATTTATCACTCGTATAACAATCTTGTCAAAGACAAAACTAAGTCTTGGCTAAAACTAACAAAGTCTGTTTATTCATAAACTTGAGCAAAAGAACCCATTTACTATCACTCTCCCTTCAGCTGGGGTTCAAAGATGTCGGAAAGGAGAGTAAGCTTTAAACAGTATAAAGAAAGAACTTAAAGACAGTTCCTGATCGGCAAGTATTTTATTAAAGTATTTTGGAAATAGAGAAGGCTTGCTGGTTTCCAAATACATTTGGTAGCCCTTGAATGCTTGCAGGAGACGAGACAAACAAGCAGTTTGTGGACATTTTAAAAAGGGATTTTTCATTGTTAGTTTAGGAGGGTTTTCTTGTTTGGTTGGTGTGTGTGTGTGTGTGTGCGCGCGTGTGTGTGTGTATGTCTGGCCATTTATTATAACAAATGGAAGTGCATGGGTTTTTTTTTTGTGGTTAAATTTTCATCATGGTCCTTAAGTTGTAGTTGCCATGACAGGGAGTTTCTCTGTCCAAGAACAGTTTCCCTAGTGGTTGAATTGCTTTCTTTCCTGTGATGATGCTGACATGTAAGCTCCTTCTTTGTATGACCCTACCATATGCTTCTAGCATATAAGGAAAGAAATGGCATCCTACTACTTACAAACACCAAACAGGGACTAATAAGCATTACTTTTATTCACATTCTATAGGTAAAATCTAAATCTATGGATATAACTGGATACAAAGGGTGCCAGGAAACATAGCACTAGCTGGGTAACAACCTCCTGGTGACTCATTTTCACTAAGCCAGGGGGAACATCAGTTTTGGGTGAACAGTTTGTAGACACCATCTCTGCCACACATTCCCATCAGATTTGTAGGTTTATAAAAGGAAATACTGTATATTTCCATTGACTGGCAAAGGGACGATGCCACATGTTAGTTGCTCAAAAAATAATGCTTGGATGATTAAATCAATAAATGTTTGAATGGCTCTATCATCCGAAAACTCAGAATCACTAAAGTTGCCTCTTTCTATTCTTAAAGGTTTACTCAAGCAAATTACGTTTAATGGTGAAATAAAAACATACAATTTATAGATATAAGGCATCATTCTGAGAGCTAATACTGAATATCCTTCTATTTGAAAAAACAAAAATGAATCTAAGAATAAGCACTATAGATAGTAAATATCAAATAAACTAATAGCATATTTTGAAAAACAAAAAATCAATATTATACAATAAATTAGAAGAAAAGTTCCTCTAATAAGTGTATTTTCGTTACATACTTGCCAAAGGAATCTTCCTAACATTTTGAAAAGTCTATTCATAAGAGTCATAGGTTTGATCTTAATAACCAACTAGAGATAGATTTTTCTTGAACTTTGAGCTAATTTTTCAGGGAGGAAGATCATTCTTAATCATTTCTATTTGTCACTTGAAGATATTTCTAAAATAAAATTGTCAAAACTAAAGCATGAAATAAATATCAGCACATCACCTAGTGAAAAATATAATAAACAACTTTCCAATTAGTTGTAGAGGTATTCAGGAATGAATTATCCTCTGCTTTCAGGTTTCATGAATAATTCAAATTCCAGTGTCAGTCGACCTAATTAGTAATTATACAAACTATTTCTGAATTATCTGGTTTGAAGCTACCTGTGTTACAGTTAGGTTTATTTCTGATATAATTATTAACCCCATCCGAGTTGGTCTTGTCTCTTTTTCTGTTTCTGGTAATGGAACAGGCATCTCCAGAATGCAGAAAAACCTGCAGATTCAGTTTATTAATGTACCATTACCAATTAGTCCCTCTAGTGCCAAGAACTGACAGCATATACCATACAAGGAAATATTTTAAGCACTTAGAAATGTCTGTCTTACATTCTACTGATTTAACTCTACAACCACAGAAAGAGAAAGCTGGCCTTAAAGGGAAAGATGAAACACTGGAGTAGATATAACAGAAGGATAGTGAAGCAAAGGGACTTACTTAAGGACAGATTGAAACATATTCGGGTGATTGTAGAGGCCCCACATGCTTGGACACTCTTCTCCATGTGATCCATGAAAGCAATTGAACATATTCAGAGCCAATATGGTACAAAGGACATCCATTAAGCTCAAATTTAATGCTGGATTATAATACCCAGAATTATGTTTTCTTTGTATTTTAAATTGCAGTATATCTCAAATTGTATATTTCTTAACAACACTATTTGAACTTACAAATACCTTCTCCCTCAAGAAAACAGGTTTACAAAATAGATTGTAACATCCCTACCCCCAACAAAACCTAAAACCTTAAAATTCTCAACAAGTCTTGAGATAAAACAAAACAAAATAAAATTATAATCGTGATGGGAAACCTACTTCATTGATGGTTCCAACAGCATCATAAATTCTGGGGTGAAAATTGCATTTAATCATGCACCTATTCTCTGATTTCATTCTACTTGTTCCTAAAAGGGGGAATTAGCTGAAATTGCATTACCTTTCTCTTCTTAAGTGTTATTTTTTCTACTGGAAGCTTTTAGAGATTATAACACTCTATGCCATTCTTTCAAAACTGTCAGAAGCATTTACTTTTAACATGCAAGAGCACATCATAAAATTTTATTTCACATTTGCTATTTTCCTGCAATAATGGCTTCACCTATTATCGTCATTAATAGTGTCCTCCAATCCCATACACATTCAACAACAACAACAAAAGAACTCTACTTTTTCTATTTGTTCTTTTTCCAGATTTTACTGACAACGGAGAAGAATAAAAGATGTGATAGGCTTATGGTCATTCCTTGAGTCAGCCTGCTCACAATTCTCACTTTACAGTGTTTTTCTCCCTGTTTTGTTCTTTCTCTTGGATATATTTATAGAAACTTTTCTTATTTCCTTTGAGTCCCTTAGCAACATTATTTCATTTTGCTTTCTTGACTCCCTTATTGTGTGCCTGCATTCCTTGATGGGCAGCTTATATCTATTGCTTTCAATCTCCCCTCTTTTCCATTTCCTATACAATTCTATTTTGTATTTCAGTGCTTACAGAGACCCACCCTTAACCACAGATATTTTTTAATCTTCTTTATATTTTTAACCTGTATTGGAATAGATGTTGAGCTTCCCATGCTGAGCTCGTCTCAAAACTCATTTCTTCCCCTTTCTACCTGCCCCTAGCAAGTCGGCCACTGACTTCATTTTAACTGGTTATTTTGCTCAATACATTAATAAAAAACTCTTCAAGTTTAGTGACTACTCATTGCATCAAGGACATGGAACAGGTATTTAACAATTAGTAGGGACTTATTGGTCTAAAAATGAAGCAGGAATTTTACACACAACCCTATAGTGTCTAACAAATAAGTGAACGGGTGATGATACAGTATCATTGCATACTAAGTCCTACTGAGTCATTGGGATAGGACTGACTTCCCTGAGCTAGGAAAACAGAAAGTCCAGATAATCTCATCATAGATAATTATTGTTGGTCAGCTGATTCATCTAATTGACAAAACTGTGACAGCTGGCACCATTGCTAAGGCCAACCCCAGGTTCACTTAACTTGGAAATACCCTGTATCCAACTGCTCCCGGGACTCAAAAGCCCTTAGTAAATTTGTTAAAGTAATCTTGATAAAGTATGGCTCTGAATCCTCAAATTGTAGCTAGTATAAATATAGCCATAGAATCATAGAAGATGATGTAATAAAAACAGCTTAGCCTAAAAATTCAAAGTTTCATGTAAAAATCTTTTAGTTAAACCTATAGACACATTTTCAGGTAAAAATCTACCAAATGTCTGACTCGTTTTGAAAAACTAAAAATGATCTGGAAGCCTAGAGAGTTTTGTTAACCAAAATTTACCTGAATACCTCAGACCTGTTCCAGCCCAGATATTTAATGATGTCTTCCCAGTAAGCCATTGTGTGCTCTTAAATGAAAGAGCTAAACCCACAGAAATTAAACTAACAGCCTTGCCCCTCCCAAACCAAAAGAAATATAGAAAATATATAAAAGACACTGTAGCTATAGATTGCTCTGAATCACTGGGTGTCATGAGGAGGAGCAAGGGCAAATATTATTCAAGTTATCTCATTTCATTTCACTGGCACCACTTGAAAAAGAAAGATAAATTAAATATTTGCTTCAGGGTGGCTATTTACAAACCTTATATCTATTTGAATCAGCTGACAATTTATATCTGTCTTTCAGTTAATATTAGCTCCTCTACACCTGAACATTTTAAACACAGCTGAAGATTCGTTAGTAACTGATGGTTTTATCCAATTATTCTGATTTTTTTTTGACATGGTGGAACTTATCATATAAAGATTAAAATGAACTTAGGCCCTTCCTTCAAGATACTTCCAAATTAATTACAATCTAGATAAAAATATCTGTTTTATCACTTGCCTTCACACACACACCATTCTAAATTATATGTGTGTACACACACACACACACACATAGCAAGTAGACTTTTAATATTCTTTTACACAGATGGCCACAAGCATTTGTATAGCTAAAAAGCAAATAATCAAGCATAAATTCAAGCAAGATTTTACAGGAGGTAGAGAAAGAAAAATCAACTTTCAGAATCTAGAAAGAAGACTGCCTGCTAAAGGATCACCCACCTCAACCCCCACCCAGTGGAAAGCAGGGCATGCTTCATACGCGTTCCTAAATAAATGACATATAAATTTGTTCATGAATAAGAGAAAAAGGACAACTTTTTTGTAACATGAAGAAAGGGTAAAAGTAAAATACCATCAACATTAAGTGGATTTTTTCCCTTTTTTATGGATTTTACATTTGAAGCTCATATGTCATGACATTTTAATGTAGCAGTACTGAAATGGAGAAAAAGAACATTGATTTTGTGCCCCAGAGAAAAATAAACAATAGCACTTTCCAAAAAGGCTTTGGCCTGAGCTTCCCTTGAATGATATAAAGGACATTAATCCTCAAACTGAATGATGTTGGTAATGACTGCACTTTCCTGACCACTCTTACCATTGAAATATTCTGATTTAATCCTATAAATGAGGTCATCATGATATCCAGGATGTAATATGAAGTGCTGATGAAATATTACCATGAATTCAGATTGATTCAATTTCAGAATACCAAAAATTCAGAATAAACTGCATAAATATAAGATTAGTAAAAATGATTGAATATCCTTCATGTATTTAGCTATAAAGTTGGCAATTTTTAAGAGCAATTTTTACTGAGACTTAAAAATTTAAAGTGTATATCCAACTAGCATATGTTTTAAATATTTTTCCTACTTAAAATTATTTTCCATTCTGTTTTTAGTTTTGATACAGACAAACTGTGTGCTGATTTTTAGTAGTCCTAAAATGAAATGAAAGAAAATACTTTCATTAGGATTAAACTAAAGTTAAAAAGGTTTTTAAAAATGCATATTCTACTTTTGATGCAGGTAAAACCTATTAAATGATGATATGAGTTATATTTAGCAACAGAGGAATTCTTTAACTTCTAGTTTTAAATACTGTCATCTGAAGATTCTTGTTGACATGTGTTGTCTGAAGTCTATTGGGAAAATAAACTATTTTCCTATTATTTTTTATATTTTCCCAGTAGACTTCAGATATCTACTTTTGAAGAAAATAAAATAATATGTGTATACTTTCTTGGATATAAAAAGCCTTCCAACTCTACCAAAATGTATATATTGGAATCCCATTAAAATACCCTAATTAGGATCTATGACACAAGACTATTGTTTAGATGAAATGATATTACGCTGACATTCTTCTGAAAATTCTTATTGTAAATCTTCCATTGTAGGAGGCCATATTTACACAATAGAGTAAAATATAGGCCTACAGCATATATAAATACATTGATTTATGTAGGAAAATTAACTCAACCATCACTTTGATGATGGGAAACTGCCATTTACCATTTTAAAAAATTACAAATTAATAAATTCTTCTTTTCTCATTTCTATATTGTTCTCTGCAATCATACTAAAACTCTATGGGTAGACAGCCTTAAAGAATCTCAAGATAGCATAGCCTTTTCACTTCCTCTGCATGGCCAATTCCCACCTGACAGATGAAAAGCCAAATTGAGGGAAGAGAATTCCCTTAAAAGATATGGGGAAGGTGTTTTCATTCCTCCACATCCACACTTTCAATTATTTTGCAACTGGGAGTTCCAGTGGTATTTGTGTGCAGTGTTTTAAAAGATGGAAGCAAGTTTGGTGGTCCTGCCTACAATTTCCAATGTCATCATCTGCTCTGGACTCTACCCATTTTTCTGAGCATGTACTCTATACTAGCAGTCATTTCCTACTGAGTTCTTACTATCTGTAATCTGGTGCCACAGAGGCCTCCAAAAACACTGTGTGTCTTTATTTCCATTTTCAATAAGATGACTTAGGGAAGCTCGAGTGTTGATTTGGAATATCTTATTATAGGATGCTTCATAGTTTAAGATCTAAGACAATGACAACTTAATTTAGCTGGCATTATAGCTATCCAAAATTATTTTTAATCCATAGACTTTTTGGAAACAAGTGAGTTGGCTTAAATTTATTTGTCTCACACTCCTATTGAGGCTCATTTTATATTTCACATTCAAGAACCTGAGCATCTCATAAATGTCAGTATAAATCTTGCATCCTGTCTAGTCAAATTCATGTTAAGTAGAGTCAAGCCTTCTCAAAAGACAAAGTAATTTAGTATAAATACTTTACCTTTCAAATTGAGAAAAACTAAACTTTGGCATATTTTAGTAAAATATTTGTTTACATTATTAAAATAGTTTGATACTGTTTTTTTCATGACTCAGACAGCCAAAATGTAAAAACCAGCTGCAAATTAATTTTATTTGTCAACACTTTGTCAGTAGTAAATGTTCCATTGGTACTGAACTTATGAAGTTTTCCAGATAAAACCTGAAGGAGAATTGTGGTAAATATTGTATTTTTAAGTATATGCATTACTCTCTGCTCCCTACTACAAGCACACTAAAATGACAGTAAAGAAAGAATAGAAAGAGAAGGAACAATGCAGGAGGATGAAGGAACAGAAGCAGGTATACGATAGCCAAAAGAAGTCAACAAGTTTTTGGAAGAGGAAAACCAGGTGGATGACAGCTTCTAATTATTAAAACAGCAGAAAACTAAAACCCAGAAATGGAAAAACTGAAACCTCCACAGGTGAGGCTGTCAAAAGAAGCAGTTAATGGATGCAGTAATATCAGAGAAAGACTAAAGAATCAAGTCTTTTGAGACTAGATATTTCAGCATGTGGGGATCATGGTAAGACTGAAAAATAGGAGGATTTTGAAAGTTAACTTAAAGATTAAACCTCACAATTTTTTTCCCAACCCTAACCATCCACGGGATTACTCTTTTTCCACTTTGGCTTAATGTTTTTGGAAGAACTGAACAACTTAGACTCTTAAAACAAGGATATAGATGTCAGGAATAGCTGAGAATAGGACCAATTTAGTGGTAATATCAAAGGACGTTTTACACATTAGAACTTATGATTTCTACTGCACAGTTGAGCCAGGTTATACTGCCTAGGCCTGTCACTGGAGAATGCTTCTTGGAGAAACAGTTCAGCTCAAAACAAAAGATATACAGATGGTAACATTTGGACATCTCCAACAAAACAGCTAAGCCCTGCCTAATTACCCTGCAAGGAAGGCTAACAGTAACAAATTCTGCCCAAACACAAGGGTCCCCAGTCCTTAGTGCTTCAATCTAATCATAAATCCAATCATAAATGTGAATAGACAGTCAAGAATTACTAAACATTTGAGGAAAGCCTTCAACATAAATGTTAGAAAATAAAAAACAAAACAGCAATTAATGCAAAGAAATAGATGCAACACAGGAAATGAGTCAGCTTCAAAATGTGTTTATATAATTAATATTCTCAGAGAGATAGAGGAAGACATTGATCTGTGAAAAAGTACAGATTACCATAAAAAGGACAATTACAGAAAAGAAAGAGGCTTTCTGAATAGAAATATGATAGTTAAACATTCTGTTGAAGTTTCAGAAAAGTTGAGAAATCTTTTAAACAAGTAGTATGAAAGAAAAAACTTAAAGAAAAACAATTAGACAGTTAGTTTACGAAGTTCAACTCCTGACCAACAGATGTTCCAGAAAAAGATACAAAGAAAATGTAGAGGAAAAATGTATTTAAATAAAATAAAATGAAATTTCTCTAAAGATGAAATGTCTCTGAAAGACATATATTCCCAGATTAGTTATCACCATAACCAATAAAAAATAACCCCCACCAAGGCACATTTCCACGAAGTTTCAGAGCTTGGGAGTTAAAGATACTACCCTAAGCTCCAGGGATGGTGCTGATGTTGATAAATAAGTTTTCAAACAATTATAAAGGAATAAAGAGGAACAGTTCAGGTCTGCAGGTCCCAGCGAGACCAATGCAGAAGGTGGGTGATTTCTGCATTTCCAACTGAGGTACCAAGTTCATCTCATTGGGACTGGTTAGACAGTGGGTGCAACCCACGGATGGCAAGTAGAAACAGGGTGAGGCATCACCGCACCCGGGAAATGCAAGGGGTCGGGGATCACCTTTCCCTAGCCAAAGGAAGCCATGAGGGACCTTGCCTTGAGAGACAGTGCTATCTGGCCCAGATACTACACTTTTCCCATGGTCTTTGCAACCCACAGACCAGGAGATTCCCTCGGGTGCCTACACCACAAGGGCCCTGGGTTTCAAGCACAAAACTGGGAGGCTGTTTGGGCAGACAGTGAGCTAGCTGCAGAAATTTTTTTTTGTACCCTAGTGGCGCCTGGAATGCCAGCGAGACAGAACCTTTCATTCCCCTGGAAAGGGGGCTGAAGCCATGGAGCCTAGTGGTCTAACTCAGCAGATCCCACTCCAATGGAGCCCAGCAAGCTAAGATCCACTGGCTTGAAATTCTCGCTGCCAGCACAGCAATCGGAAGTCGAACTGGGACACTGAAGCTTGGTGGGGGCAGCAGCATCAGCCATTACTGAGGCTTGAGTAGGTGGTTTTCCCTCAGTGTAAAAAAACCCACCAGGAAGTTTGAATTAGTTGGAGCTGACCTCAGTTTGGCAAAGCCTCTATAGCCAGACTCCCCCTCTAGATTCCTCCTCTCTGGGCAGGGCATCTCTGAAAGAAAGGCAGCAGCCCCAGTTGGGGCTTATAGATAAAAATCCTATTTCCATGGGACAGAGCACCTGGGGGAAGGGGCAGCTGTGGGCACAGCTTCAGCAGATTTAAATGTTCCTGCCTGCAAGCTCTGAAGAGAGCAGCGGATCTCCCAGCACAGTGCTCGAGCTCTTCTAAGGGACAGACTGCCTCCTTAAGTGGGTCCCTGACCCCCGTGCCTCCTGACTGGGAGACACCTCATACAGGAGAGCACTGGCTGGCTTCTGGTGGGTCCCCCTCTGGGACAAAGCTTCCAGAGGAAGGAGCAGGTAGCAATCACTGCTGTTCTGCAGCCTCCACTGATGATACCCAGGAAACAGGGTCTGGAGTGGACCCCTAGCAAACTCCAGCAGACCTGCAACAGAGGGGCCTGACTGTTAGAAGGAAAACGAACAAACAGAATGCAACAGCATCAACATCAAAAAACAAAAAACAAAACAAACAAACAAACAAAAAGACCACACAAAAACTCCATCCAAAGTTCACCAACAGCAAAGACCAAAGGTATAAATACATGAAGATGAGGAAAACCCAGTGCAAAATGCTGAAAATTCCAAAAACCAGAATGCCTCTTCTCCTCCAAAGGATCACAACTCCTTGCCAGCAAGGGAACAAAACTGAATAGACAATGAGTTTGACAAATTAACAGAAGTAGGCTTCAGAAGGTGGGTAATAACAAACTCCTCCAAGCTAAAGGAGCATGTTCTAACCCAATGCAAGGAAGCTAAGAAACTTAAGAAAAGGTTACAGGAGCTGCTAACTAGAATAACCAGTTTAGAGAAGAACGTAAATGACCTGATGGAGCTGAAAAACACAGCATGACAACTTCGTGAAGTATACACAAGTATCAATAGCCAAACTGATCAAGCAAAAGAAAGGATATCAGAGGCTGAAGATCAACTTAATGAAATAAAGCATGAAGACAAGATGAGAGAAAAAAGAATGAAAAGGAACAAAGTCTCCAAGACATAAGGGACTATGTGAAAAGACCAAACCTACATTTGATTGCTATACCTGAAAGTGATAGGGAGAATGGAAACAAGTTGGAAAACACACTTCATGATATTATCCAAAAGAACTTCCCCAACTTAGCAAGACAAATATTCAAATTCAGGAAATACAGAGAACACCACAAAGATACTCCTTGAGAAGAGCAACCCCAAGACACATGATCATCAAATTCACCAAGGTTGAAATGAAGGAAAAAATGTTAAGGGCAGCCAAAGAGAAAGTTCGGGTTATCCACAAAGGGAAGACCATCAGACTAACAGTGGATCTCTCTGCAGAAACCCTACAAGCCAGAAGAGAGTCAGGGCCAATATTCAACATTCTTAAAGAAAATAATTTTCAACCCAGAATTTCATATCTAGCCAAACTAAGCTTCACAAGGGAAGGAGAAATAAAATCCTTAACAGACAAGCAAATGCTGAGGGATTTTGTCAGCACCAGGCCTGCCTTATGAGAGCTCCTGAAGGGAGCGCTAAATATGGAATGGAAAAACTGGTACCAGCCACTGCAAAAACAAACCAAAATATAAAGACAATTGACACTGTGAAGAAACTGCACAAACTAATAGGCAAAATAACCAGCTAGCATCATAATGACAGGATCAAATTCACACATAACAATATTAACCTTAAATGTAAACAGGCAAAACACAGACTGGAAAATTAGATAAAGAGTCAAGACCCATCAGTGTGCTATATTCAGGAGACCCATTTCATGTGCAAAGACACACATAGGCTCAAAATAAAGGGATGGAGGAAGATTTACAAAGCAAATGAAAAGCAAAAAAAAAAAAAAAAAAAAAAAAAAAAAGGAGGGGTTGCAATCCTAGTCTCTGATAAAACAGACTTTAAATCAAGAAATATCAAAAAAGACAAAGAAGGGTATTACGTAATGGTAAACGGATCAATGCAACAAGCAGAGCTAACTATCCTAAATATATATGCACCCAATATAGGAGCACCCAGCTTCATAAAGCAAGCTCTTAAAGACCTACAAAGAGACTTAGACTCCCACACAATAATAGTGGGAAACTTTAACACCCCTCTGTCAATATTAGACAGATCAATGAGACAGAAAGTTAACAATGATATTCAGGACTTGAACTCAGCTCTGGACCAAGCAGACCTAATAGACATCTACAGAACTCTCCACCTCAAATCAACAGAATCAACATTCTTCTCAACACCACATCACACTGATATGGTTGTAGATGTGCAGTTTTATTTCTGAGTTCCCTATTCTGTTCCATTGGTCTATGTGCCTGTTTTTACACCAGTACTATGCTGTTTCGATCACTATGGCCTTGTAGCATAGTTTGAAGTCAGGTAGGGTGATGCCTCCAGCTTTGTTCTTTTTCCTTAGGATTGTCTTGGCTATGTCAGCTCTATTTTGGTTCCATATGAAGTTTTAAATAGTTTTTTTGTAATTCTGTGAAAAATGTCAATGATACTTTAGTGGGAATAGTATTGAATCTATAAATTGCTTTGGCAGTACGGCCATTTTCATGATGTTGATTCTTTTTATCCATGAGCATGGAATGTTTTTCCATCTGCTTGTTTCCTCTTTGACTTCCTTGATCAATGGTTTGTAGTTCTCCTTGAAGAGGTCCTTCATTTCCCTTGTTAGTTGTATTCTTAGGTATTTTACTCTCTGTGGCAATTGTGAATGGGAGTTCATTCATGATTTGGGTCTCTGCTTGTATGTTGTTGGTATATAGGAATGCTTGTGATTTCTGCACATTGATTTTGTATCCTGAGACTTTAATAAAGTTGCTTATCAGGTTAAGAAGCTTTTGAGCTGAAATAATGGAATCTTCTAGAGAGAGGATCATGTCATCTGCAAACAAAAACAATATGACTTCCTCTCTTCCTATCTCAATACCATTTCTTTCTCTTGCCTAATTGCCCTGGCCAGAATCTCCAACTCAATGTTGGAGAGTTCTAACCACTAAGATTGATGAAAGAGGGCATCCTTGTTTTGTGCCATTTTTCAAGGGGAATGCTTTCAGCTTTTGCCAATTCAGTGTGATATTTGTTGTGGGTTTGTCATAAACGGCTTTTATTATTTCAAGGTGCATTCCTTCAATACCTAGTTTATTGAGAGTTTTTAACATGAAGGGATGTTGAATTTTATCAAAGGGCTTTTCTGCATCTATTGAGAAAATCATGTGTTTTTTGTCTTTAGTTCTGTTTATATGATGAATTGCATTTATTGATTTGTGTATGTTGAACCAGCCTTGCATCCCAGGGATGAAGCCAACTTGATCACGGTGGATAAGTTTATTGTTGTGCTGCTGGACTTGATTTGCCAGTATTTTATTGAGGATTTTTGCATCGATATTCATAAGAAATATTGGCCTGAAATTTTCTTTCCTTGTTGTATCTCTGCCATGTTTTGGTATCAGGATGATGCTGGCCTCATAAAATGAGTTAGAAAAGAGTCCCTCCTTTTCAATTGTTTGGAATAGTTTCAGAAGAAATGGTACCAGCCCCCTTTGTACCTCTGGTAGAATTCAGCTGTAAATCCACCTGGACCTGGGCTTTTTTTTTTTTTTTTTTTGGTTTGTAGGCTATTTATTACTGCCTTAATTTCAGAACTTGTTATTGTTCTATTCAGGCATTCAGCTTCTTCCCGGTTCAGTCTTGGGAGGGTGTGTGTGTCCAGGAATTTATCCATTTCTTCTAGATTTCATAGTTTATTTGCATAGAGGTGCTTAGAGTATTCTCTGATGGTGGTTTGCATTTCTGTGGTGTTAGTGGTTGTATCCCCTTTATCATTTCTGATTGTGTTTATTTGAATCTTTCCTCTTTTTTTCTTTATTAGAGGTGGATTATATTGATTTTTTTTTCAAAAAAAAAAACAGCTCCTGGATTTGTTGATTCTTTGAAGCGTTTTTTTGTGTCTCTATCTCCTTCAGTTTCATTCTGAGGTTTGTCATTTCATTATTTTGCTAGCTCTGGGATTTATTTGCTCTTGATTCTCTAGTTCTTTTAGTTGTGATGTTAGTGTGTCCATTTGAGATCTTTCTAGCTATTTGATGTGGCATTTAGTGTTATAAATTTCTTTCTTAACACTGCTTTAGCTGCATCCCAGAGATTCTGATACATTGTCTCTTTGTCTCATTGGTTTCAAAAACCTTCTTTATTTCTGCCTTAATTTTATTATTTTCCCAGGAGTCATTCAGGAGGAGATTGTTCAATTTCCATGTAGTTGTGTGGTTTTGAGTGGGCTTTTTAATCTTGAGGTTTTTTTTTTTTTGGAGGCGGAGTCTTGCTCTGTTGTCCAGGATGAACTGCAGTGGCATGATCTCAGCTCACTGCAACCTCTGCCCCCCAAGTTCAAGCAATTCTCCTGCCTCAGCCTCCTGAGTAGCTGGGACTAAAGGCATGAGCCACCACACCTGGCTAATTTTTATATTTTTAGTAGAGATGGGGTTTTACCATGTTGGCCAGGCTGGTCTTGAACTCCTGACCTTAAGTGAGCCACCTGCCTCAGCCTCCCAATAATCTTGAGTTCTAATTTGATTGCATTGTAGTCTGAGAGACTGTTAGGATTTCAGTTCTTTTGCATTTGCTGAAGAGTGCTTTACTTTCAATTGTGTGATCAATTTTAGAGTAAGTGCTATGTGGTGCCAAAAATAAAGTATATTCTGTTGTTTTTGGATAGAGAGTTCTACAGATATCTATCGGGTCCACTTGGTCTAGAGCTGAGTTTAAGTCCTGAATATCTTTGTTAATCTTCTGTCTCGATGACCTGCCTAATACTGATAGTGGGGTATTAAAGTTTCCCACTATTACTGTGTGGGAGTCTAAGTCTCTTTGTAG
Source organism: Homo sapiens (assembly GCF_000001405.40). NCBI lineage: Eukaryota > Metazoa > Chordata > Mammalia > Primates > Hominidae > Homo > Homo sapiens. Next base: position 66,987,089 of record NC_000004.12, read on the forward strand.
GTCTCTGAGAACTTGTTTTATAAATCTGGGTGCTCCTGTATTGGGTGCATACATATTTAGTATAGTTAGCTCTTCTTGTTGAATTGAACCCTTTAACATTATGTGGTGCCCTTCTTTGTCTTTTTTGATCTTTATTGGTTTAAAGTCTATTTTGTCAGAAACTAGGATTCCAAACCCTGCTTTTTTCTGCTTTCCATTTACTTAGTAAATTTTCCTCCATCTCTTTACTTTGAATCTATGTGCGGTTTTGCACATGAGATGTGTCTCTTGAATACAGCACACCAGTGGGATTTGTCTTTGTATCCAGTTTGCCATTTCGTGTCTTTTAATTGGGACGTTTACCCCATTTACATTCAAGGTTAATATTTTTATGTGTGAATTTGATCCTGTCATCATGGTGCTGGCTGGTTAATTTTTCAGACGTGTTAATGTAGTTGCTTCATAGTGTCATTGGTCTGTGTTTTTCAATGTGTTTTTGTAGTGGCTGATAACGGTTTCTCCTTTCCACATTTAGTGCTTCTTTCAGGATCTCTTGCAAGGCAGGCCTGGTGGTGACAAGATCCCTCAGCATTTGCTTGTCTGAAAAATATTTTATTTCTCTTTCCCTTATAAAGCTTAGTTTGGCCAGATATAAAATTCTGGGTTGGAATTTCTTTTCTTTAAGCATGTTGAATATTAGCCCCTATCTCTTCTGGCTTATAGGGTTTCCACTGAGAGGTCCACTGTTATTCTGATAGGCTTCCCTTTGTAGGTGACCTGGCCTTTTTCTCTGGCTGCCCTTAACATTTTCTCCTTCATTTCAACCCTGGAGAATCTGATGATTTTATGTCTTGGGTAGATGTTTTTATGGAGTATCTTATTGGGGTTCTCTGGATTTCCTGAATTTGAATATTGGCCTGTCTTGCTAGGTTGGGGAAGGTCTCCTGGATGATATATGCAGTGTGCTTTCCACCTGGTTCCATTCTCCCCATCTCTTTCAGGTACTCCAATTAGTCATAGTTTCAGTATTTTTACACAGTCCCATAGTTCCTGGAGGTTTTGTTTGTTCCTTTTTATTCTTTTTTCTCTAATCTTGTCTGCTTGCCTTATTTCAGCAAGATAGTCTTTAAGCTCTGATATTCTCTCTTCCGCTTGGTCGATTCAGCTATTGATACTTGTATTTGCATGATGAAGTTCTTGTGCTGTGTTTTTCAGCTCCGTCAGGTAATTTATGTTCCTCTCTAAACTGGTTATTCTAGTTAACAGCTCCTATAATCTTTTATCATGGTTCTTAGCTTCTTTGCGTTGGGTTAGAACATAGTCCTTTAGCTCAGCAAAATCCATTATACTCACTTTCTAAAGCCTACTTCTGTCAGTTCATTCATCTCAGCTTTAGCCCCATTCTGTGCCCTTGCTGGAGAAGTGTTGTGATCATTTGGAGGAGAAGAGGCATTCTGGCTTTTGGAATTTTCAGAATTTTTGCGTTGGTTTTTCCTCATCTTCATGGATTTACGTACCTTTGATCTTTGAGGCTGATGACCTTTGGATGGGTTTTTTTGGGGGGGCGGGTGTCTTTTTTGTTGCTGTTATTGTTTTTGTTGCTTTCTGTTTGTTAGTTTTTCTTCCAACAGTCGGGCCCCTCTTCTACAGGTCTGCTTCAGTTTCTGGAGGCCCACTCCAGATTTTGTTTGCTGAGTATCATCAGTGGAGGCTGCAGAACAGCAAAGAGTGCTGCCTGCTTCTTCCTCCAAAAGCTTCATCCCAGAGGGGCACCTGCCTGATGCCAGCCAGAGCTCTTTTGTATGAGGTGTCTGTCGACCCTTGTTGGGAGATCTTACCCAATCAGGAGGCATGGGGTCAGGGACCCACTTGAGGAGGCAGTCTGTCCCTTAGCAGAGCTGGTGTGCTGTGCTGGGAAAATCCCTCTTGTCAGGATCAGCTGCAGAGCTGGTACGCTGTGCTTGCAGAATCCCCCTTGTCAGGATCAACCTCTATCTTCATAGGTGGCAGGCAAGAAAGATTAAGTCTGCTGAAACTGAGACCACAGCCACCCCTTCCCCCAGGTGCTCTGTCCCAGCCCACCTTCCCCCAGGTGTCTGTCTGTAAGCCCCTGACTGGAGCTTGTTGATTTCCTTCAGAGATGCCCTGCCTGGTGAGGAGTGATCTAGGGAAGCAGTCTGGCCACAGCCACTTTGCTGTGCTGTGGTGAATTCTGTCCCGTCCAAACCTCCCAGTCTCCTTAGCACTGTTAGGGGAAAAGCATGTACTAAAGCCACTGTAATGGTGGTCCCCTCTCCCCCAACCCCAAACTCAGTTGTTCCAGGCAGACTCCAGACTGCTGTGCTGGCAGTGGGAATTTCAAGCCAGTGATTCTTAGCTTGCTGGGCTCCATGGGAGTGGCACCATTGAGCAAGACCACTTAGCTCCCTGGCTTTAGGCCTCTTTCCGCAGTAGTGTGGATGGTTCTCCTGTCTCACTGGAGATCCAGGTGCCGCTGGAGTATGTAAAAAACTCCTGAAGCTCAGTGCCTGCCCAAACAGCTGCCCAGATTTGTCCCTGAAAAGGCTCACGAGGGAATCTCCTGATCTGCAGATTGCAAAAATCCATGGGAAAAGCCTAGTACCCTTGGCGGGTAGCACAGTCCCTCACCATTTCCCCTGGCTGGGGAAGAAAGGTTGCTCCACTTTGTGCACTTCTCAGGTGAAACGACACCCCACCCTGGTTCTGCTGGCTCTCCGTGGTTCATGCCCACCACCTAGCCAGTCCCAATTACTGCCTTCTATATTGGTCTCACTGGGAGCTGAAGACCGGAGCTGTTTCTATTTGGTCATCTTGGCCCAAGACCTATCCAAAATACTGAAAATCCTGTCCAGAAAATAATTAGTAATCAATAAATTGTTATTATTTGTATTTTTATTCATCTATATTGGTATTATTTAATTCACTATTCCCACTGTTTTCTTAAATCCACAGAATTAGCATAAATCTTAAATGCAGAGAACAAAGGTGCAGTAGGGTACTTAGACTATCCATTATTTAGGCCACAGAAAGATTAAAGAGCAGGTGAGACCCAGATCCTCCAATTGTTTCCTTTATCCACTCTAATCCATACAGCAAGTCACTTGTCCAAAGACAGCAGATTCAGAAACACAAATACATGGCACCTTAAACCTTAAATGAGAGTAAACATTGATAAAATCAGAAGTTAGTAAAGAACTAGACTCCTTTAAAAAAGTTTTTTAAAAATAATAATAACAAGATCTATTTGTCATAATTCAGCTTAGCCAAGCCCAAAGACTTTCTCTTTCCTGTGGCCTACCAATGTTCTGCTTTCTCTACAGCCTGATTATTTAACATTTTACTTTAACTATAGGGAAGGAAAATCATTTTTAGGAAATGATCATTTTTAGTACTTGACCTGGAACCTTCCCTATATAGGAAACAGATAGCTAGACAAACATTTCTTTCCAGACAGCTGAAGTCAGTTAATATATCAAGTAAATCATGAGCATTAACAGTATCTCCAACTGGTTAGATATCAAACTTGTCTTCTAGGAAATCATGATGAAACAAATGTCTTCTGTTAAGAATCAAAGCTTTTGTCTCATTAAACAGCCTGTGCATTGTAATCTTGACATTGAAGCATGATGGATAATGGTTAAGACTCACTTTTGAGTTAAGCTCCGTTTCTGACCTTGAGATATTGAGTACCCCAATGTACTTCAGCTGCATGTTGCACAGATATAATAAGATTTTTTGTTTGTTTGTTTTTGAGACAGAGTCTCGCTCTGTCACCCAGGCTGGAGTACAGTGGTGCGATATCGGCTCACTGCAACCTGGGCCTGCTGGGTTCAAGCAATTCTTCTGTCTCAGCCTCCCAAGTAGCTGGGACTACAGGCGTGCGCCACCATGCCCGGCCATTTTTCTTTTTTTTCTATTTTTAGTAGAGATGAGGTTTCACCATGCTGGCCAGGCTGGTCTCAGACTCCTGACCTCATGATCTACCTGCCAAAGTGCTGGGATTACAGGCATCAGCCACCACGCCCAGCCATAACATGATTAAAACAAACAAACAAAGAAAAAACTTAACATAGGACCTACCATAAAGTAAATGTTCGATAGATTATTGCATTTATCGTTATCATCATCTGAAGTTTGTATGATGTCATATACCTACAATAAAGTAATTTGTACTTATCTTCCCCATTCTAAAGGTAAAGTATTAAGGCTATTTTGCCCAAAGGCACATAGTTAATAAAAATACATTAATGAATTATTACATTACATTTTACATTTGTTTGTCTAAGCCTCAAACTGTTGTTTTTCCAATTGACAAAATTTAAGTGGCAGAACTTTATTTGATTCCAACAATTCCAACTCTTCTCATTCTGTAAAACTTCAAAGTCATAAGTTGCTGAAGGATTATTTACTAAGACATAAACTTCTCCCTTCCTTCCTTATTTCTTTGCTTCATTCCCCAGTTCCCTTTGTCTTGGTTGTCAATAAATAGCACTTACAGTGAAAGGAGGAAAAAGAATAATGTTTATTCAGTTCCACAAATGTTCAAATATCAAGCACAGGCCCACATGAAAAGATTCTTTTCTTCAGTGACTAAAAAGAAAACCACAATAGGAACCTATGACTGGCTCTAGGGCAAAAATATTTTACAATCTGCCAATTGATTGAAGCCCAACAGTTGCCTCAAATTTAAATAGTGAAAAAAGAGAGAATTTCATGACAGGTCAAGAGAAACAGGTTCATGTAGTGGCCTGAAGCTAGGCCAAGGGCATATTTCACAACAGGGTAAAAAAGTATTCTAACAATCTCAAAAATGTTGGAATTTATATGGTTTCAGTTATTTTATACTATACACAATATATGTTACAAAAGTCAAGGAGTCTTTTTATAAGAATCCATGTAAGTGTTTCTTTTTTTTTTTCTTTTTGAGACAGAGTCTTGCTCTGTCGCCCAGGCTGGAGTGCGGTGGTGCAATCTTGGCTCACTGCAAGCTCCGCCTCCAGGTTCACGCCATTCTCCTGCCTCAGCCTCCCGAGTAGCTGGGACTACAGGCGCCCGCCAGCACGCCAGGCTAATTTTTTGTATTTTTAGTAGAGATAGGGTTTCGCCATGTTAGCCAGGATGGTCTTGATTTCCTGACCTTGTGATCCACCTGCCTCGGCCTCCCAAAGTGCTGGGATTACAGGCGTGAGCCACCACGCCTGGCCTAAGTGTTTCTTAACATACTAGTTTTTAGAATAGAGCCTGCTGGCATATTAAATTATAACCTACACAAAATTAATAGGCTTTCAGAACCAGAAGATATCCACAGTTTTCTAAATTGATTGTTTCAGAGAATTATTTCTTGATGAATTTCTCCTGAAGGAGAGATTCCATGACTGACCAAATATGCTTAGGATTCATTTGGTCAAATAAACTTCAGCAACTCATTTTTTCTTTTCGTCTCCTAATTTTTTTAACTCCAGTACTTTTAGTAGCCTTTAAAGTACGTTGTGAATTTCCAAGAGGAAGATACAGACTCCCTTATTTTTCAAGCTGATGTGGAAAGAGAATTTTTTTTCTACTAGTGCACTTATCAAGTGGTTCTGTTAAATAATGATTAGAAAAAATGCTAATGTAATTTAGGAGATTATAGTGTCCTAAAGACCAAAGAATGAACTTATTTTCTCAAGATCAACCAACTAATTAGTAATAGAGCTAAGAGACTTCTATGTTATCTCAGATTATCCAATGAAAAGATCTACTGGTCTTCAAAAAAAAAAATGAAAAAGTTATCAATGGTAAGATACAACTTAATCCATAGCAAAACATATATATATATTAAAACACAGAAGATAGAGAATTAATCAAAGAATTGTTAGAATGTACAGAATTTAGGATATAACATCATTGTTTTTAAACATTGGGCTACGCTAGCAGAATGTATAAATGTAAGATAGCATAGAATATATATATTATATATTTAAACACTGGGCTATTCTAGCAGAATGTGTGAGTATGGTAGTATATACATACGTGTGTTTATGTGTATATATATGATACTATAAGATAAATAGTATATATATAAACATATATACACTAAGATAGATACTATGCTATATTCATACATTCTGCTAGAATAGCCCAATGTTTAAATATATAATATATGTATGATATATATAGTATCTTCTATTCATTCTGCTAGAAGAGCCAACATATATATAATATATACTATCTTATATTTATATATTTATGAATATATATTTATATACACATAAATATATATGTATGTGTATATATACATATATAAATGTATTTATGTACAAATATACATATATAATGTAAATCTATAATATATATTATGGATTTACAGGTGAAATTCTCTGATAGAATAACGTGACTTCCAGTCTTAGCCCAAGTTTTGATGTATTTACCGTAGAAATGTAAAAGGGGACATTGTAGAAATGAGCAACTGGAAAAATATTCATAGGTTATTCATAATATTATTTCTTAGAAGGATAATCTTTCCATCAATTCATTTGTTTATTTAACAAATACCAGTCAGGTACTTGGATGTGCCAGAAATTATTTTACCTCTAGGGTATACACTGGTAAACAAAACAAGAAAGGTTCTTGTTTTCATGAAGTTTACATTCAAATGAGTAAAATGAACAATAAACAAGCAAAAAATAGATCATTGCAACCAAGCACTTTGAAGATAATAAAATGATAATGACATAAAGAAGGGAAGGAAGGGAGACTTTTCCCAGATGAGGAGAAAAACACTTAGAAAGAATGAGCAGAGAAGACCTACCTGAGGAAACAACATGTGCGCTGACACCCAAATGACAGAAAAAGAACTAGATAGCTGTATGAGTTCATTTTCACGCTACTATAAAGAAATACCTGAGATGGGGTAATTTGCAAAGAAAAGAGGTTTATTTGACTCAGAGTTTCACCTGGCTGAGGAGGCCTCAGGAAACTTACAATCATGGTGAAAGGGGAAGCAGGAACCATCTTCACATGGAAGCAGGAGAGAGAAGAGCGTGTGAAGGAGGGACTGTCAAACACTTCTAAAATCATGAGAACTCACTCATTATCATAAAAACAGCATGGGGAAAATTGCCCCTATGATCCAATCACCTCTCTCCCTCAAAAGTTGGGAATTACAATTTGAGATGAGATTTGTTTGGGGACACAGATCCAAACCATATCAATAGCCATGTGAAAATCTGGAGGAAAGAACTATTGTTGAGTGGGAGGCTTCGTGTCCTAAAGGAATCATAAGAACAATATTTGAAACTCCAAAGGGGAGAATAAAGAACATTGCTATGGTTTAAATATGTCCCCAACAATTTCATGTGTTGGTAACTTGACCCCCAATATTGTTGAGAGGTGGGACCTCTGGAAGATGATTGGGTCATGAAGGCTCTACCCTAATGAATTGATTAATAGATTGATAGACTAATGGGCTATTGAGGAAGTGGGTTAGTTATCAGGAGAGTTGTTCTGTTATAAAGTCATTTTGGTCATGTCTCATGAGCCCCCTCTCACCCTGTGATGCCTTCTGCCATGTTATGACATAGCATGAGGCCCTCACCAGAAGCTGAACAGATTCAGCCCCTAGGCTTTGAACTTCCCAGCCTTCAGAACTCTAAGAAATAAATTTCTTTTCTTTATAAATTACCTAGTCTCCGGTATTCTATTATGGCAATAGAAAACAGATAAAAACAAATGGTCTCAAACTAAACAAGAAAGATGCAGGAATATAAAAGTATGATGATCAAAGAGATTCTAATACTAACAGTGCAGCAAAATGGTAAGCCTGTCCAAGATGACAGCAATGGTGAAAATTTGTGCTTTTACAGAAACAAGGTGTCTCCCCAAAAGAAGGACCCCTGAGATCTTTCTTTAAAGTACAGTTAACAGAAGATAACTAACATATTGAAAAGGAGGTTAAAAAAAGAGCAGCATGCAAAACATGGAATACCAGTTACTTAGTTCAGCCTAGCTGCTAGAGTGTTGCAGGAAAACAAAGCCCAGGAAGAACAAACATAATCTTCTAAATTTAAAGAACAGCAGCTGTATGTGGATAAAAATATATTCCGCTTAGCATTGTGATGCAATGATAAAAGATTGAAATGGATGAAAGAAGATATTTGTCTTAGTCTGCTCAGTCTATCATAACAAAATGCCATAGACTGCATGGCTTAAATAACAAATTTATTTTCACACAGTTCTGGAAGCAGAAAGTCTGAGATCAAGATGCCAGCATGGGCATTTTCTAGGGAGGTTTCCCTTCCTGATTTGCAGAAAGCAGCCTTCTCTCTGTATTCTCATCTGGCAAAGAGAGAGAGTTCTAGTGTCTCTTCTTATAAGGGCACTAATCCTGTCATTAGGGCCCCACCCTTATAACCTCACCTGAACCTAATTATCTTCCATAGGCTCCATTTCCAAATACCATCACACTGGGGTTAGGGCTTCAACATATGAATGATGGAGGAGGAGACACAAGTCAGTCCACAGCAACATTAAAGTTCTATTAGCTAAGTTTAGAAATTAATGGAAATATTTTCTAAACTGGATTTAGGATTATGACAAAAGAGTCTGAGGCATTTAAAAAATTAGAATGCTGCTAGAGACATTTGATCAAAGTATTACCTAAAGAAAGAAATATAAGAATCCAAAGAGATGACAATCCAAAAGGCAGGATCCAGGCAAAGACTGAAGTTTTGTCTCTTACCTCTAGTGAAGAACCAGTTCAACTCATGTCTTTTTTTTTTTTTTTTTTTGAGACGGAGTCTCGCTCTGTCGCCCAGGCTGGAGTGCAGTGGCGGGATCTCGGCTCACTGCAAGCTCCGCCTCCCGGGTTCACGCCATTCTCCTGCCTCAGCCTCCCGAGTAGCTGGGACTACAGGCGCCCACCACCACGCCCGGCTAATTTTTTGTATTTTTAGTAGAGACGGGGTTTCACCGTGTTAGTCAGGATGGTCTCAATCTCCTGACCTCGTCATCCGCCCGCCTCGGCCTCCCAAAGTGCTGGGATTACAGGCGTGAGTCACCATGCCCGGCCAAGAAATAGGAACACTTTTACAGTGTTAGTGGGAGTGTAAATTAGTTCCACCATTGTGGAGGACAGTGTGGGGATTCCTCAAGGATCTAGAACTAGAAGTACCATTTGACCCAGCCATCCCATTACTGGGTATATACCCAAAGGATTATAAATCATGCTACTATAAAGACACATGCACACATATGTTTATTGCGGCATTATTCACAATAGCAAAGACTTGGAACCAACCCAAATGTCCAACAATGATAGACTGGATTAAGAAAATGTGGCACATATACACCATGGAATACTATGCAGCCATAAAAAATGATGAGTTCATGTCATTTGTAGGGACATGGATGAAATTGGAAACCATCATTCTCAGTAAACTATCGCAAGAACAAAAAACCAAACACCGCATATTCTCACTCATAGGTGGGAATTGAACAATGAGATCACATGGACACAGGAAGGGGAATATCACACTCTGGGGACTGTGGTGGGGAGGGGGGAGGGGGGAGGGATAGCATTGGGAGATATACCTAATGCTAGATGACGAGTTAGTGGGTGCAGCGCACCAGCATGGCACATGTATACATATGTAACTAACCTGTTTTAACCTTTCTTAAGATGGTCTTAAGAAATGGAGAGTTGGCATTCAAAGGGTATAAAGTTTCAGTTATGCAAAATGTATACATTCGAGAGATCTGCTGTGTAACATTGTGCCTATATTAACAGTACTGGACTATACACTAAAAATGTGTTGAAGGTACATTTCATATTAAGTGTTTCTAGCACAATAAAATAAAACAAAATGATTATTTCTGAGGAAAAAAAAAGAATGTAGTAAAATATGTAACGGCATCAAGCACAATGCCTGGCACAGAGTAGGTTCTTATGAAAGTTTTCTTCTGCCCATTATACAAATCTAATTCAAAGTGGCTCATGCACAGAATTGTTTCTTCTTCTTCAGGCCTTAATTTCTGACATTTCAAGTTGGAAACCTCATTTCATATTTCTTTAAAGAGCTACATAAATACAGTTGAACTGAGCTAACAATCTGATCTTCATTTTTAGTATTTGGGAAGAAAAATAATTCTCACTGAGTTTGCTACACCAGTGGTTTCCCAGAACCTTTTTATAAAACCAGTGCCCTTTGAGATCATCCCCAATACGGGGAGCCCAAATCATAGCCTGTTTAATCTAACATATGCCACAGACTCATAAAATTCACAAGGGAAATGTAAAAAGACCTTTGCAAATTCCCATATGTGTAAATGTCACTGTATCATGTAAGTTTTCACATAAGTCTGTTGAATGTAATGATGCATTTAAATAACCCCCTCAGACCTCTAATGAGGGTTTCTGCATACCTGATAACAAGCTTAAAAAAAAACAGAACCAAAGTGATATTGAGACACAGACTGATTGAAGAGGCTCACTCAAAGCCTCACAGGCTTTTTCCCCCACACTGGCCTCAAGGACACATGATTCAAACATAAGACTCAACACACAAGTGCTGCAATTTGTGAACTTTTTAGGTTTCCTATGAATTGTCAAAATCACAAGTGTTAACTTTGTGAATGGCAAGGCTCCACTTAACCATGAGATGGAATTCAGAGGAATAGCAGGAGGTGAAAGATCTGCACTGGAATAGAAAATGAATTAAGCACACAGATCTCTTGCAGCAGCATAAATGAGAGATTGCATATGTTCAACTCAGTCTTTATATGATCAGGTGAGATATGCAACAAGTTAGTATAAACAGGAGCTAATAACCTGAGTAACAAGCTCTGCTAAGAAATAAATATCCCCATGCTCCCATTACACAATGAACATTCATTAGCATATAACCTTCCACTTACAAGTACACATGGGAAACCTGCCAATAGGACACTATACGCCAAAGACGATTAAATCAGCATTACAGAGAGAAGATCACAAAAATAGACTTTCTAAACAATTTAACTAGAAGTACTACATTTGCTGGAAGACAGAGTTTAAAATCTCTTGCTGCCAGCAATTTGTAAAATGAAATTTCAGACTAGTATGAGAAAGACAATACCAGGTGCTCTTTATTGCTAACCAACGTTGTTGTTCTATTACAAATGCCTTCCCACTTTAATGTTAGGGCATTCATGTAAGTACTAAATTTCATTAAGTAGCACGGATGATGATGATGACCATGATGACAATGATGATGATAGTGGGTTATGTCTATTGCATGCTTTCTACCTACTAAGCTCTGTTCTATGTGCTGAAATGACCTTTAACTATCACAACAATCCTGTAAGATAAAACTTACTGTATTCCCATTTTATAGTAGGAGAAAAAGATGTACAGAGTGAGAAGGGATAACAGTAGAGACTGAAATCAAAAGGACATGGTTTGGTTCTAGAGTCTGAGCCCTTTAACAATTTGCTGCAGTGCTAAAGAATAGTTAAGATAATTCAAATATCTCTTTGCCTCACTTTGCTATGAAACTGAGCAACTGACATAACCACTCTAAATGTAAATTTTTTCATCTGTAAAATGTATATGAATAAATATACCTAACTTCTATTTAAACTTATTGTAAGACTTAAGTGAGACTGAGAATGGAACTCATATTACACAATATATGGAAGAAAAACTTCAAAAATATTATCTCTTAAGAGCTGTATTAGCTCTTATTTTATTAAAAGGAAATTACTTGTCATGTGACACTCTTGCCTTAAAAAATTACCCATTGATTTTAAAGTTAGCTTTATTAAAATACATCATAAACTGCATCCTTATATAAAAATATAAATTATATATTTATAAAATAATTCTTATTAGAAAGTATCATTATTCTTTGTAACAGAAAAATTTGAAATATCAAAGCAGATGTTATATTTAGGACAATAACAGTTATATAGAATATTACTAGCCTTTCTATACCTAAACCTAATCCACTTTTCAACATTCCTTTTTCTTAGGACTTATTTAAAAAATTGAAATTCTAGGTGAACTCACCTACAGCCTTATAAAATAACAAGGACTTTGGAGAAAAACGTTCACTAAACTTAAAAATTGTCTTTAAGAAAACATAAAAGTATCTTGAGAATTATGACATTATTGTATCAATTATCTATTGATAAAAAAAAAGCAAGGAAACAATCTCAGTGGCATCCCAAAATATTCAATGATTTTCATAGATGTACAGGTCGATCAGCCAAGGTGGCCCTGCTTCAGGCTTTGACAACTGAGGAAGCTCTTCTTCCTCATACAGGTCTGAAATTGGCTGGGCGATTCTGTGCCATATATATTCCCTCGGGGTTTCGGTGTAAATGGGCAATACTACCCAGAGGAAGCTCTTCTCATAATCATGGCAAAGGCAAAGGAAGCAGAACACGCAAAGTAAAATCTAGACTTGTTACTAATAACATGTTACTTCTGCCTTGTTCTAAAAAGACAATCTCTTTTTCATTTGGAAAAAGACAAGCTGTCTTACTTCATTTGTGTTACTATAAAGGAATACCTGAGGCTGGGTAATTTATAAGGAAAAAGGTTTGTTTGGTTCACAATTCTCATATCTAAAAATGTTCAAGACTGGGCATCTGGTGAAAGCTTCAGGCTGCTGCCACTCATGGCAGAAGGCGAAGGGAAGCCGGTGTGTGCAGAGATTACGTGGTGAGAGAGAAAGCAAGAGAGAGACGGAGGAGGTATCAGGCTCCTAACAACCAGCTCTCACGGGAACTAATAGAGCAAGAAGTCACTCAACTTCACACTCAGTGAAAACATTAATCTAGGCCGGGCGCGGTGGCTCACACCTGTAATCCCAGCACTTTGGGAGGCCGAGGCGGGCGGATCACGAGGTCAGGAGATCGAGACCACCCTGGCTAACACGGTGAAACCCCGTCTCTACTAAAAACACAAAAAATTAGCCGGGCCTGGTGGCGAGTGCCTGTAGTCCCAGCTACTCAGGAGGCTGAGGCGGGAGAATGGCGTGAACCCGGGAGGCGGAGCTTGCAGTGAGCAGAGATCGCGCCACTGCACTCCAGCCTGGGCGACAGAGTGAGACTCCGTCTCAAAAAAAAAAAAAAAAAAAAAAAAAAAAAAAAGAAAACATTAATCTATTTATGAGGGATTCACTCCCATGACCCCAACAAACACCTTGCATTAGGCCTAACCTCCAACACTATGGATCATCAACATGAGATTTAGAAGGGACAAACATCCAAACTACAGCATTTCACTCCTGGAACCCCAGATCTCATGTTTTTCTCACATTGCAAAACAAAATCCCTTCCTAAAAGTCCCCAAAAGTCTTAACTTTTTTTAGCATCAACTCAAAAATTCAAAGTTTAAAGTTTCATCTGAGACTTAAAGCAAGTGTCTGCCAGCTATGAGCCTGTAAAATCAGTAACAAGCGATTTACTTCCAAGATACAATGGTTGTATCATTCCAAAGTAAACAGTCCCATTCCAAAAGGGAGAAATCAGTCATAAAAGGGGTAACAGACCCTATGCAAGTCTGAAACCCAGCAAAACAGACATTAAATGTCTTATCTGTTTTTATTATTAACTTTTTATTCCCATAGGTTTTTGGGGAACAGGTGGTATTTGGTTACATAAGTTCTTTAGTGGTGATTTGTGAGATTTTGGTGACCCCATTTCCCGAGCAGTATATACTGAACTCAATGTGTGGTCTTTTATCCCTCACCCCCTTCCCAACCTTTTCCCCTGAGTCCCCAAAGTCCATTGTGTCATTCTTATGCCTTTTCATCCTCATAGCTTATCTCCCACTTATGAGTGAGAACATACGATGTTTGGTTTTCCATTCCTGAGTTACTTCACTTAGAATGATAGTCTCCAATCCCATCCAGGTTGCTGCAAATGCCATTAATTTTTTTATGGCTTAGTATTTCATTGTATATGTATATACATACCACAGTTTCTTTATCCACTTATTGATTTATGGGCATTTGGGCTGATTCCACATTTTTGCAATTGCGAATTGCCTGCCATAAACATGAGTGTGCAAGTATCTTTTTCGTGTAATGACTTATTTGCCTCTGGATAGATACACAGTAGTGAGATTCCTCAATCAAAGGGGAGTTCTACTTTTAGTTCTTTAAGGAATTTCCACACGTTTTCCATAGTGGTTGTAGTTGTTTGCATTCCCATCTGCAGTGTAGAAGTGTTCCCTTTTCACTACATCCACACCAACATCTATTATTTTTTTATTTTTTGATAATGGCCATTCTTTCAGGAGTCAGGTGGCATCGCATTGTGGTTATGATTTGCATTTCCCTGATCTTTAGTGATGGTGAGTATTTTTTGGCCATTTGTATATCTTCTTTTGAGAATTGTCTATTCATGTTCTTAGCCCACTTTTTGATAGGATTATTTTTTTTCTTGCTAATTTGTTTGAGTTTGTTAGAGATTCTGGATATTAGTCCTTTGTCAGATGTATAGATTGTGAAGAGTTTCTCCCACTCTGTGGGTTGTCTGTTTACTCCACTGACTGTTCCTTTTGCCATGTGAAAGCTCTTAGTTTAATAAAGTCCTAACTATTTATCTTTGTTTTTATTGCATTTTGTTGGCTTCTTGGACATGGAATCCTTGCCTAAGCCAAAGACTAGAAGGTTTTTTCCAATGTTATCTTCTAGAATTTTTATAGTTTCAGGTTATAGATTTAAGTCCTTGATCTGTCTTGAGTTGACTTTTGCATAAGATGAGAGATGAGGATCCAGTTTCATTCTCCTTCACGTGGCTTCCCAATTATCTGAGCAGCATTTGTTGAATAGGATGTCCTTTCCCCACTTTTTGTTTTTGACTCTTTGTTGAAGATCAGTGGCTGTAAGTATTTGGGTTTATTTCTGGGTTCTCTCTTCTGTTCCATTGGTCTGTGTGCCTAGTTTTATACCAGTGCCATGCTGATTTAGTGCTATGGCCTTATAGTATAGTTTGAAGTCAGGTAATGTGATGCCTCCAGATTTGTTCCTTTAGATTAGTCTTGCTGTGGCTATCTAGGCTGTTTTTTGGTTCCATATGAATTCAAGCATTTTTTTTCTAGTTCTGTGAAGAATGATGGTGGTATTTTGATGGGAATAGCAGTGAATTTTTAGATTACTTTTGGCAGTATGGTCATTTTCACAATATTGATTCTACCCATCCATGAGGATGGGGATGTGTTTCCATTTGTTCGTGTCACCTGATTTCTTTCAGCAGTGTTTTGTAGTTTTCCTTGTAGAGGTCTTTTACCTCCTTGGTTATGTATGTTCCTAAGTTTTTTGTTTGTTTTGTTTTTGTTTTTGTTTTTTGCTGTTGTAAAAGGAGTTGAGTTCTTGATTTGATTTTCATCTTGGTCACTGTTGGTATATAGAGAGCTACTGATTCGTGTACATTAATTTTGTATCCTGAAACTTTGCTGAATTCTTTGATCAGTTCTAGGAGCTTTTCTGAGGAATCTTTAGGGTTTTGTAGGTATACAATCGTATCATCAGCAAACAGTGACAGTTTGACTTCCTCTTTACCAATTTAGATGCCCTTTATTTCTTTATCTTGTCTGATTGCTCTGGCTAGGACTTCCAGTACTATGTTGAATAGAGGTGGTGAGAGTGGGCATCCTTGTCTTGTTCTGGTTCTCAGAGGAAATGCTTTCAACTTTTCCCCATTCAGTTTTACGTTGCCTGTGGGTTTGTCATTGATAGCTTTTATTCAGTTGAGGTATTTGCTTTGTACACCAATTTTGTTGAGAGTTTTAATCATAAAGCGATGCTGGATTTTGTTGATTGCTTTTTCTGCATCTATTGAGATAACCATGTGATTTTTGTTTTTAATTCTGTTTATGAGGCATATCACATTTATTGACTTGCATATGCTAAACCATCCCTGCATTCCTTGTATGAAACCCACTTGATCATGGTAGATTATATGTGGTT
The DNA here is from genome assembly GCF_000001405.40 of Homo sapiens. Lineage (NCBI taxonomy): Eukaryota > Metazoa > Chordata > Mammalia > Primates > Hominidae > Homo > Homo sapiens. The sequence goes on from NC_000004.12 coordinate 67,003,027, forward strand.
GGATTTGGTTAGCTAGTATTTTGTTAAGGATTTTTGCATCTATGTTAATCAGGGATATTGGTCTGTAGTGTTCTTTTTGGTTATGCCCTTTCCTGGTTTTGGTATTATACTGATACTGGCTTCATAGAATGATTTAGAAAGGATTCCCTCTTTATCTTGTGGAATAGTGGCAATAGGATTGTACCAAATCTTCTTGGAATGTCTAGTAGAATTCAGCTGTGAATCTCTCTGGTCCTGGACTTTTTTTTGTTGGTAACCTTTTTTTATTACCATTTCGATCTTGCTGCTTGTTATTGGTCTGTTCAGGGTATCTAATTCTTCCTGATTTAAGATAGGAAGGTTATATCTTTCCAGGAATTTACCCATCTCCTCTAGGTTTTCTACTTTATGCACGTAAAGGTGTTCATAGTAGCATTGAATGGTCTCTTGAATTTCTGTGGTGTCAGTAGTAATATCTCCTATTTTGTTTCTAATTGAGCTTATTTGGATTCTTGTCCTTTCTTCTTGGTTAATCTTGCTAATGGTCTATCCATTTTATTTATCTTTTCAAAGAACCAGCTTTTGTTTCATGTATCTTTTGTATTTTTTGTTTTTGTCTTTATTTCAGCTTCATTTAATGCAGACATTAAATCTTAAGTTCCAAAATAATCCCCCATTCACTCCATGTTTAACATCCTGGGCACACTGATGTGAGGGGTGGGCTCCCAAAGCACTGGGCAGCTGTGACCCCATGGCTTTGCTAGATGCAGCCCACATATCTGCTTTTACTTGTTGGATTCTGGTGCCTGTAGCTATTCCAGGTTTTTCCAGGTTGAGTTGGTATACTTCTGTTGGATCTATAACTCTGGGGCTCCTGCAGCAGCTCTATTCCCACAGCCCCACTAGGCACTACCCTAGTAGTTGCTCTCTGTGGTAGCTCTCATCAGTGGCAGATACTTGCTTGGAACCCAGGTCTTCTGATACATCCTCTAAAATCTAGGTGGAAGCCGCCAAGCCTCTGCCACTCATACATTCTGGGCACCTGCAGACTTAACAACACATGGAAGCTTCCAAGGCTTATAGCTTGCACCCTTTGGAGTAGCAGCTTGAGTAGTACCTGGGACCCTTTGAGTCAAGCCTGGAGCCAGAAAATCTGGGATGTAGGAAGAATCCTAAGGCAGTGCAGGTGCAGGGTAGTGGTGTCCCAGGCCTGTCCTCCAAGGTCTCTGGGGAGGTGATGAGAGAGGCAGCCTCGAAGATTTTTGGAATGCCTTGGGGCCTTTTAACAATTGTTTTTACTATCAGCACCTGGCTCCCTTTCATTCACACTAATCTTTCTAGCAGCAAGTGGTTGCTCTGCAGCATCCTTGGATTTCTCTCTTGAAAATGCTCTTCCCTTTTCTACCACATGGCATGCTGCAAATTTTCCAAAGTTTTATGCTCTATTTCTTTTTAAATTATAAATTCCACTTTTATATCATTCCTTTCCTGCCATGTCTGAACATAAGTTGATAAGTGTAATCATGCCACTTCTTGAATGCTTTGCTTCTCAGAAATTTTATTCTACTGGATACTCTAGGTCATCACTCTTAAGTTCATCCTTCTAAAGAGCCTGAAGGCATGGACATAATGCAACCAAGTTCTTTGCTATGGCATAACAAGAGTGACTTTTGCTCCATTTCAATTCAAATTTCAACATGAGATTTGGAGAGGACAAACTTTCAAATTACAGTGCAAGCTGATAAGTGGTGACTTTCTGAGCAACACAATCTTTCTAACAACCTTGTCCTTGGTTCCTTGATTACCTCACCTCTAGTCATCTTTGTCTTCGTATTACCGCAGCCATCAACTTCTATCTTCACATCTTTTATTTCAGGCAACTTTCTTTCAAACTATGACTTCCTAACCTTCTAACTCACCTCCTCAGGAAAAATTCTGTTATTAATAAAATGTTACAAAATACTTTATATTATTAATAAAAAATTAATTACTTATGTATTGAGTAGTTACTATGTGTCAGACACTGAATTCAGTGCTGTGTATACATATTAATTTATATAACACTTTTGAGGCAATAAAACAGGAACTATCTTTATCCTGTTAACTATTTTATTCCATTATTTCATATCACAGAAGTGTTAAATTAACTTTGCTAGCACATGCACATAAGCAGCAGTCTCAGTTCAAACCAAGACAATCTGATTCGAGAACCTGTTCTCAACCACTACAGATACTGTCTTTCCATTTCTACATTTATTTGACAAATTTAGACAACCCCCCCACAAATATAGATTCTACTTCTTTTTCAAAGCAATTATCCACCCATGTCCTCTTTATTTCCTAATCCTGCTGATATTATGTGGGTCATCATCATAATCATTCCTCTGAAAATCCCCTTAACTAGTGCTCCCCTTCCTTTCTCCACAATATTAATCTTGCATTGCCCCAATCCAAAGGAAGTCCAGCTAACCTCCTAATTTCTGCACTTTACTTGAATATCTTCATGTTCCAGAGAAAGAAATACATCATCATTTGGTAATCTCACATTAAATTTAGGACCTCAAATCACAACTGACTCACCACACTCCCTGACAGTCCAAAAATATTACTGTAGTACTTTTACTTTCCCACTATCCAAAAAAATTATTTAAGGTGAAATGCTGTCATATTTTGTCAATTTTAGGGCTTATACTTCTAAAAAATACCTGAAACTTTGCAATTGCAATCAGCCAAATGGTAAATTATGTCATTCTGTTTGTATACCTGAACCAAAAAACATTGCTATCAAAACTTGCAAAATGGACTTCAGTATCTTGGAATAAAATACTATAATCAATAGTAAATCTTTTTTTAACTTCTATAAATCAACCAGTTATGGGACAGGGTGAGAAAAGTGATGAATCAGAGGTTATTAACAACTTTCCCAAAATACTAGACAAAAGTAGGCTAACTCTACAAAACACTGAAGTCAATTTAAGAGTGCAGGTTTTAGTTATGTTACTGTTTTCTTTTGTTGTTTGTTTAATTTGTTTTACTTTTGTTCGTTTTTTTTTCAATGCTACATCACCAACACTGTAGACTGCACAGATGACAATATTGTGAGGAAAAAACCCACAAATATCAACAATAATGGGTTAGAAGTCATTTAGAAGAGAGAGATTCTGAATGCAAAGTTTTAGGAATACCTTAACATATTTATCCTTGAATGAAAAGTTTTAAGAATACCTTAACATATTTATCTCATTTAATTGTAAAAAACTTTACTAGAGCAATATATGATTAAGATATATGTCTAAATCTAAAATAAACTTTTGATACATATACAATAAAATTAGTTGCAGAAAGTTGTTATCACAATTTAATTAGCAGTGCTTTTCTGTTCTGTGGTACTATAAATGATGATATAGCCTGCATGTGAACTTTAGAGAGGCAAAAGCTTCAGTACTGAATAAATTCTCATATATTTCAATAAATTGTGATTGCACAAGTGTGTGGTAGAAAAAATAATGGCCTCTGATTATGTCTGTATCCTAATTTCTTGAATCTGTGAATATGTTACCTTACATAGCAAAAGAAACTTTGCAGATATGGTTAAGTTAGGGAATTTCAGATGGGAAGAAATTTATTTTGGATTATCTGGGTGTTCCCAGATGTTAAACTGCTGACTTTGAAGATAGAGGAAGAGTCCAGGAATGATGGAATGCGGGAAGCCTGTAGAAGCTAGAAAAAGACAAGGAAATACATTGTTCCTTACAACCGCCGGAATGAATACAGCCCTGCCCAAACCTTAATTTTAGGACTTCTGATCTCTCAAACTGTAAGAAGGCAGATTTGTACTGTCTTAATTCACTAAATTGGTGGCAGTTTGTTATAGTAGCAATAGGAAACTCTTATAAAGTGTATACGGTCTAAGACAGTTGCCAAACTAGTTTAGATGTAGAGGTTTCTTTCACAGTGTCTCATGATATAGTATTCTGAAGAATGACCTCTGGAAAATGCTGTTTTTGCATGTCCCAAATGCAGAAAGGCTAGTGGTTAAGAGCCTAGACTTCCGGTCCAGATCAGCTGGCTTCAAATTCCGGTCCTACCACTTCCTAGCCAATTTCTCACTTAGGCACTTAACCTCTCTGGGATGCTTTGGATTCTTGTCTGTAAAATAAGAATGATGATAGTACCTACCTCAAAGAATTGTTATGGGATTGAAATATGTATTAAGAGCCTATAATAGTGGTTGCCACATTGTAAAGACTATGTTAAGTGTTTGTTTACGAAAAAATAGTGACATCAAGAGAAGTTAAGAAATTAGGTGAAAAGTAAATTACATCTAGCTATACTCTTAATATTAGATTAGTATATAAGTCAAAGATGCTTTTTGAGAGAATAATAGACTCAGATGGTGGGAGAGTTACATAGTAGATAAAGGAAACAAAAAATGATTTTTAAGACCTTAGTCTGAACAAAATTATATGCCGACTTTATCAAATTCCCATTGTCCACAGCCCCTAAAAGCAAACTCTCATTTTAAGAATCTGCTCTTCCTTTGCTTACTCACATTATCAGTTTAAATGTAAACCTAATATAGCCACCTTTTCCCCTGATCATTTCAATTAATTAGAAATTGCTCTCTGCCAATCAAAATATCATCACTTTATCTGCTCTGTTATGTTTTGATAATAGGTCATTTTCATATAATGGCAACTTATTCATTCAAATTCAGTACATATTTAATGGATATCAAGCGTACAGCTACATTCTTGAGATAAAAAATGAATATGTTTGGTTGTTGGCCTCTTTTAGGAATTAAACTAGATTGCAAAGTCTTTAGTAAAAAAAACTAAGAAACATTTGTCTTAAATTAACAAATTATTCTAAAAATTAAAAATGCTCTTATTTATTAAATATTGGGGGCTTAAATCTAAAAAAACTACTCTAAAATAATGATACACTGACTTTAATATATATAGGCTAATTCCTCTTAAATATAAATATGTGTCTATATCTTAAATATATATGTATATCATGAATATGTCTTAAATATATACACACGCATTTATATACACAACACATATATAAATAGCTCTACAACTAACCTGATAACTCATTTTCAACAAAAAGTATGGCTTTAAAAAATAGTATCTACTAGATAGTAGAATCTGAATGCTTTAATATTTCTATTGGAATTGAGATATCTATTTCTAAACCTACAAATAAACTCTACTTGTCTGATTTGAGAATTGCTGGTTACAAAAGAGCAGAGAAAACTCAATAGTTCTTTAGAAAGAGGTAAAACACACACATACACAAACACAAACACAATTCTCCTGTAAAAACTATATTTGATGGCAAAAATCAGATTCTTCCTAAATTCTAAAAATAAAACATATGCCTGCCAGAAGGCCAAGTATTATATCAACCTGATCTATGGAGGTTATAGTTATGAAGGCAACCATAAAATAAGTGCACACTGTTTCCACTTTTTCCTTTAAAAGAAGTTATGTCTACTCACAGAGTATGTTCAGCTATAATGGAATACATGTGCAGTCCAATGTTAGTTCACTGGGCAATGGGCATTTACTATCTTCTAGCTAAATTTATCCATTCATTACATATTTTACTTCTCAATTGCTATATGCCAAACACTTTGATAGGCATTAGGAGAGTAAATATGAATAAAATGTGCTCCTACTATGAAGGAGCCTACATGCCAACAAGTCAGATAAAGCAATGATAAAGTGTTACGGCAGAAATTTGTGCTGAAATTGTAGAAACCCAAGGAATAAGTAACTGGTGGGAAATAGATATACCAGGGGTCAGAGAAGCACCATGTTAGACAGGTCTTTAAGGACACAACAATTTTGTAAATTTATTAAAGTTACCCCTTATTTTCCCCCAGCTTAATGGATGAGACTATGCCTTCCTGTTCATAGGCAACTGAATGAAAAGGAATGTCTGATTCAAGATAGGAAAATTATCTTCTCTCTGCTATTTCTCAATAAGATAAACTGAGAGACATGGAAGCAATGTTAGCAGCTGAACCAACTGAATAGTGAAGGATGGGAATAAATTTTGAGAAAACCTTCTCCCTGAAATCCACTAATTGTTGCCCTTTTCAAAGTCTTCCTTGTCAACCATGTCAGATTTTTCCTGTATTCCATGAGATCTAAACTCAGAAAGTTAACTTTCTTTATTAGAGGGTTTTGATTCTTGCAATGAGATAGAAGGGAAATGGTAATTCAAGCAGCAAGAATTACATATGCTAAAATATAGAAGAGATAAATGAGAAACCAAAATTAAAGTAAAATTCAAATATTTTAAAATGCAAAATAAGATGTTTTCAGGTACACAGTTGGATCTAAGACACTTCCCTCTTCCAGACACAAGAAAATCCAGGGTCTTGAATTTATTTCCCATTTCCTAGCCTTAAGGGTTCTACAAAATGTGACTACAAAACATGAAAAAATATGAATACATATTTCTCATGAGAGAAGTATATTTCTCCATGATCCTAGCTGCAGAATTTTGATTTTTAATTTGGGTGGCAATAGAATGATCTTACCAAATTCTTGATTCATAATGTTATGTATACTTTAAAAGGTGTTTAACGTATTTTTCAAAATGTTACTTATAAAATTAATCTTTAATAACCAAGTCCAGTGTATGAAACTTCAGACAGAAAATAGAATAAAAGGTGAAAGGCAAAAATGAGAATACAATAGTAACTTGAGGTAGAGAATTACATGAACAAGGCATGCCACAAGGCATTATTCTAGATTCAGTCACTATTTACAATCACCTTTAATAAATTGTGAAGAATCTGGTAGTAACAACATTATATATATGTAAATGTATGTATTATATATTACATCTATAGATACTAAAACATTATATAATATGTATACATTTGTGTTTGTGTATATATAAGTATATATGTGTGTGTGTATATATATATGATATAAAAAACACAATTCCCAGCAATATGGGGTAAATATGAAACAAAATATTTCTGCAGTGTAAAGCCAACTCTACAGTTCTTTTTCTTTCTCACTTTATTGCTCTTCCTTTTCTTTTTTATTTTACTTATTTGGAAATAAATGCTGTTGAGCTATTCAGCATATCTTTTAAATACCAATAGTAAATTCAATATTCTGAATTTTTTTTAAAAACTTGTGTTTTCTTTATTGATCATATTTATTTTTCATAATACAAACATGTAAAAAAATTGTCAATATTTCCTAAACATTTTTAAAATGTTTGATGGTCATGATACTTGAATTAATTTTTAAAAGATTATTTATTGAAAGTGGACTTATTAAGCTAAAAGAGAAACAGGAAGTAATCCAGGGTATAGCCATGAGTATAGCTGTAAAGAAAAAGGGTGGGTGGAGAAGGGGAAATAATGCTAATTTTGTGATTATTAAAAATCTGTCTTTATAAGCCATAATAATAGAAGTAAAAAAAATAAATTTTTTTATTCAAAAAAATCTGTTGAGCACTCACAATTATGAAAATTAGTAGGAGGGATATAATAATAAATTATAATGTGGCAACCTTTTTTTAAATTGTACTTTAAGTTCTAGGGTACATGTGCACAACGTGCAGGTTACATAGGCATACATGTACCATGTTGGTGTGCTGCACCCATCAACTCGTCATTTCCATTAGGTATTTCTCCTAATGCTATCCCTCCCCCAGTCCTCCACCCCCTGACAGGCCCTGGTGTGTGATGTTCCCCACCCTGTATCCATGTGTTCTCATTGTTTCAACTTCCACCTATGAGTGAGAACATGCGGTATTTGGTTTTATGTCCTTGCGATAGTTTGCTCAGAAATGATGGTTTCCAGCTTCATCCATGTCCCTGCAAAGGACATGAACTCATCATTTTTTATGGCTGCATAGTATTCCATGGTCTATATGTGAACGTGGCAAACTTTAAAAATGTACTATTTAGTAGGGGGAAATATCAGGCATGCTGAGTCTTTTATTAGCTAATTTTAATACAAAGTTAAAAATTATAAGAGCCATGCTAGCTTAAAGACAGATATACAGGCCAATGAAACAACATACAGAGGCTGATAATAAACCCAGGCATATCTAGTCAAATGGTCTATGACAAGGGTGTCAAGATTATACAATGGAGAAGGTGCAAAAACTCCACAATGGGAAAGGACAGTCTCTCCAATAAATGATTTTGGGAAAGCTGGATATTTACATGCAAAATAATGAAATTGGACCAGTATTTTGCACACACACACAATGAGCAACTAAAAATGGATTAGAATCAAATGTAAGACCTGAAATTATAAAACTCCTAGAAAACAAACATAAAACAAGCTTCATAATATTGACTTTGGCAATAATTTCTTAGATATGACACTAAAAGCAAGGGAAACAAAAGCAAAAATAGACCAGTGGGACTGCATCAAATTAAAAAGGTTCTACACATTATGGGAAATAATCAATATAGTAAAAAGGCAACCTATAGAATGGAAAAAAAAACTACAAGCTATATGTCTATTAAAAAATTAATATCCAAAATATAGGGAACTCCCACAACTCAGTAGCCAAAAAAAAAGACCTGATTTTTAAAAACAAGTAAAGGACTTGAATAGACATTTCCCCAAAGAAGACATAGACATGGTTAACAGCCATATGAAAAGATGATCAACATTACTAATCATCAGAGAAAAGTAAATCAAAACCACAATGAAATACTTCATCACACCTGTCAGGGTGGTCATTATCCAAAAAACAGAAAATAACAAGTGTTGGCAAGGATGTGGAGAAAAGGAAACCCTTGTATACCATTGGTGGGAATAGAAAATGCATCAGCCACTATGGAAGGAAGTATAAAATTTCCTCAGCAAACTAAAGATAGAACTACCATTTGATCCAGCAATCCCATATCTGAGTATTTATCCCGAGAAATTAAAATTAGGATCTGGAAGAGATATTTGTACTCCTATGTTCACTGAAGCAATTTTCACAATAGCTAAAGGTAGAAACAATATAAATGTCCATTGACAGATGAATGAGTAAAGGAAATATGGGATATACATTCAATGGAATATTATTTAGCCTTAAAAATGAAGGAAATTCTGTCATATGCTACAACGTGGATGAACCTCGAGGACATCATGCTAAGTGAAATAACAGTCACAGAAGGACAAATACTGTATAATTCCACTTACGTAAGATATCTTAAGTAGTCAAACTCAAAGAAGCAGAAAGTAGGATGATGGCTGCCAGAGTTTGAAAGGGGAGGGAAATGGGGAGTTGCTGTTCCAATGAATATAGAGTTCCAGTCATGAAAGGTAAAAAAGTTCTAGAGATGTGCTTTAAAACAACGTGAATATACTTAACAATATTGTACTTCACACTTAAAATTTTGTTGAGGATAAAATTTTGTCCTCAACAAAATTTCATGTGGTTTCACGTTGTATTTTTCACCACTATACACGTACACATGTGCATATGTGTATATACACACACACATACACTATATATATGTACCATATACACAATGTATGTATACTGCATATATAGTATAAGATATATATATACACACACATAAAGTGAAATGACAGATAAGTGATATCAAAATTCAGAAAAAGGAAAGATTACTATGAGTCAAGGTTATCAGAGAAAGCTTCAAGGAAGAGACTGAATAAGTCACAGGCCTTAAAAGATACGTAAGATACGAACATTTGGAGATTATTTGCAGGACTGTTTCAGGCTAATGAAATAGCATGAGCAATAGCATAGAGGAAGGAATCTTGGAGCACTCAGGAAATAGTAGTTCATATGAACCTAAGTGAGGTATGTAAAAGGAGAAATAGTAGGATTCGAATGACCAGGCTACAATTAAAGAATGTTGGCCAGGCGTGGTGGCTCACACCTGTAATCCAAGCACTTTTGGAGGCCGAGGTGGGCTGATCAATGGAGGTCAGGAGTTCGAGACCAGCCTGGCCAACATGGTAAAACCCCCTCTCTACTAAAAATACAAAAATTAGCCAGGCATGGTGGCATGTGCATGTAATCCCAGCTACCCAGGAGGCTGAGGCAGGAGAATCTCTGGGACCCGAGAGGCAGAGGCTGCAGTGAGTCGAGATCATGCTACTGCACTCCAGACTGGGTGACAGAGGAAGATATCATCTCAAAAAAAAAAAAAAAAGGTTAAAAAAAAAAATGCCAGGTGAAACCCCGTCTCTACTAAAAATACAAAAAATTAGCCGGGCGCGGTGGCGGGCGCCTGTAGTCCCAGCTACTCGGGAGGCTGAGGCAGGAGAATGGCGTGAACCCGGGAAGCGGAGCTTGCAGTGAGGCGAGATTGCGCCACTGCAGTCCGCAGTCCGGCCTGGGCGACAGAGCGAGACTCCGTCTCAAAAAAAAAAAAAAAAAAAAAAAAAAAAAAAAAAAAATGCCTTGGAAGGTAAACTAAGCAGTACAGATTTTATGTTTCTATATAATATGAAGAACTGAACTTTTGAGGCCTTCAATGAATATAAAATGACAAGAATAAAATTTAAAACCCACAGGATAGTATATTTGAAGTTCATAGGAATATTGGCAATAACTAGCCTATATAAAGCAAAAAAATTACATCTATTCACATTTTTAATTTTTCTTGCTTTTATAGATTCATTAAAAATAATAATTACACAGTACTTATAGGTGTGATAGATGTTAGAAAAATATGAAGGAATATAAAATATTGCTTTTGCTTAAAAAAACTCTTTAGTTAAGAACACAAATCTAAATTATGCAAAGCAATTAGAATATAACCAAGTAATGAATGTACTGGTCAAATTAACATGTAGCTTCAATGAAGGGAAAAATCGGGGAGGGCTGGCTTAATCAAGAAAGGTTAGTCAGCATCAGTGTAGATTAGTGCTTAAGAAAACAGGCTCTGGAATTAGAATGAATTATGTTTAAATCCCTGCTGTGTAATTAGCTGTGCAATCTTGGGTAAGTAACTTAACTGTTTGGGATGTTTCTTACTCTATATAATTGGGAGGATTCTATGAAAATTTATGTAGATGTAAAATTATACTGCGCAGCAGAAACTTAACATGGAGTAGTTATTTTCTCTTCTCTCTTACTGTGCCTAAGGATGAATCAGAAAAATCAAAGAAAATATCAGAAAATATACTGTATATTTCTGGCTAAAAATAATACATGTACTTTTATGAATTTTTGAAAAGAACACAAAAAAGAAGATAATGGAAAAGATCACCTGTAATTTTATTCCATGAAATAAATATACTTAAGATTTTGTTTATTCTTTTCTCAGAGGAAGAGAGACAGAGCACTCCTACCTTATCTGTTGATAATATGAGTCCTCTTTTTTATGATATCAAACATTTTAGGATTGCATTATCTTTAATGACTGACCAGTTGTCCATAATAAAGATTCAACATGCATTTATTTATCAAGTATTTATTGCACATTTCCTATGTGTTCGTTACCGTTCTAGTACCGAAAACAGAGCAGTTGACAAAGAGAAAATCCTTGACTAATGGTTTCTAACCATTTGAAATCTATTTCTTCTAATGTTTCACTATCACAAACCACATATCAACAAATGTCTTTGTATATAGTTTTGCAAATATCTCTGTTTATTTCCTGTTTTCTCAGAAATAGTTATTGTAAGGTCCTCTGAGCTGGCTGCACCATGGTCAAGCCTTCATGACATTCCCCAGCCCTTGTGATAATACACTTTGTGGTATTCCCCATGCTTGTGAATGTACTTTGTAACATTCCTCCCCACCCTTGTGACAATACACCCTCCCTGCCCTTGTGAATGTACTTTGTAACATTCCTCTCCGCCCCTGTGACAATACACCCCCGCCACCCTTGAGAATGTACTTTGTAACATTCCTCTTCTCTCTTGTGACAATACACACCCCCCTACCAACTCTTGTGAATGTACTTTGTAACATCCATCCACTGCACGAAAAATCTGCTCCTAATTCCACCGCCTATCCCAAACCTGTAAGAACCAATGATAATCCCACCACTCTTTGCTGACTCCTTTCTCGGACTCAGCCCACTTGCATCCAAGTGAATAGACAGCCTTGTTGCTCACACTAAGCCTGCTCAGGTGGTCTCTCATACGGATGTGCTTAACAGTCCTGAAAATGGAAATAAAGATATAAATTTAGGAAAGACTCCTAAAACATATAACAAATATGAGTTCTAGATGAGCTGAGCCAATTTTACTTTTGTGGACAATACAGCCATACCTCAGAGACATCGTGGGTTTGATTTCAGACCACCAAATAAAGTGAATATCTCAGTAAAGCAAACCACACAGTTTTTTTTTTTTTGCTTTCCAAATGCGTATATAAAAGTTACATTTACACTATACTGTAGTATATTAAGTGTGCAATAGAATGATGTCAAAAAAATGTAGTCTATTAAGTGTGCAATAGGATGATGTCTGAATTTAAAAATACTTTGTTGCTTTAAAATGTTAATGACTATCTGAGCCTTCAGTGAGTCACAGTCTTTTTGCTGGTGGAGGGTCTTGCCTTGATATTGATGGCTGCTGACTGATGAGCATTGTTGTGGCTGACTGTTAGCTGTGGCAATTTCTTAAAAACAGACAACAATAAAGTGTACTGGATCAATTGATTGTCTTTTCATGAATGATTTCTCTATAGCATGCAATGTTGATGACATTTTCCTGGCAGTAGAACTTCTTTCCAAATTGGAGTCAATTCTCTCAAGGCCTGCTGCTATTTTATCAAATAAGTTTACGTAATATTATAAATCCTTTGTTGTCATTTCAACAGTGTTCATAGCATCTTCCCCAAAAGTAGACTCAATCTCAAGAAACCACTGTCTTTGTTAGCCATAAAAAGCAATACTTCATCCTTTCAAGATTTTTTATGCAATAGCTGAAAATTAGTTGCCTCTTCAGGCCCCACTTATAATTCCAGTTATCTTTCTATTTCTACCACATCTGCAGTTATTTCATCCACTGAAGTTTCAAACCCCTCAAAGTCATTCATTAAGGCTAGAACCAACTTCTTCTAAACTCCTGTTAATATTGATATTTTGACCTGCCCTGAATCATGAATGTTCTTAATGGCATCTAAACTGTTCAATCTTTTCACAAGATTTTCAATTTTCTTTGCCCTGATTAATCAGAGGAATCACCCATCTATGGCAGCTAAAGACTTACAAAATATATCTCTTAATAAAACTTGAAAATTTTCATTACTCTTTGATCCATGGGCTGCACAATGGGTATTGTGTTAGCGACACAAAAACATTAATCTCCTCATACATCTTCATCAGAGCTCTTGGATGACCTGGTGCATTGCCCTTAAGCAGTAATATTTTGAGCAGTAGGTCTCAACTGAAGGCTTAAAATATTCAGTAAACCATGCTGTAAAAAAATGTGTTGTCATTCAGGCTTTAATGTTTTATTTCAATCTATAGGAAGAGTAGGTAATTCTTAAGGGCCCTAGGATTTTCAGAATGGTAAATGAGCATTGGCTTCAACTTAAAACCACCAGCCACATAGGCCCCAGCAAAAGTCAGCCTGTCTTTTGAAGCTTTGAAGCCGAGCATTGACTATTCCTTTCTATTTATGAAAGTCATACATGGTGCCTTCTTCCAATATAATGCTGTTTTGTCTACACTGAAAATCTGTTGATTAGTGTAGCCATTTTCATCAACCATATTAACCAGATCTTCTCAATAGCTTACTGCCACTCCACATCAGCACTTGCTGCTTCACCTCGCACTGGTGACAGCTTCTTTCCTTAAACCTCATGAATAAACCTATGCTGGCATCAAACTATTCTTTTGCAGCTTCCTCATATCTCTCAGCCTTCATGAAACTGAAGAAAGTTAAAGCCTAACTTTGAATTATACTTTGGCTTCAGGGAATGTTGAGGTTGGTTTAATCTATCCAGACCACTAGAACTTTCTCCATACCAGCAATAAGGCTGTTTCACTTTTTTATCATTTGTGTGTTCACTGGAGTAGCACTTTTAATTTCCTTCAAGAACTTTTCCTTTGCATTCGCAATTTGGCCAACCATTTGACACAAAAGGCCTAGATTTCAGCCTATTTCTGCTTTTGACATGCCTTTCTCACTTAGCTTAATCATTTCTAGGTTATGATTTAAATTGAGAGACATTCAACTCTTCCTTTTACTTGAAGACTTGGAGGCCACTATGGGGTTATTAATTGGCCTGATTTTAATATTGTTGTGTCTCAGGGAATAGAGAGGCCTGAGGAGAGGGAGAGAAATGAGAAAAGGCTGGTTGATAGAGCAGTCGGAACACATATAACATTTATCGATTAAGTTCCCTGTCTTATATAAGTGCAGTTTATGGTGTGCCTAAACAATTATAATAGTAGCATCAAAGATCACTGATAGCAGGTCACCATAACAGATATAATAATAATGAAAAAGCTTGAAATATTGTAAGAATTACCAAAATGTGACACAGAGACAGGTAGGGAACACAAACTGTTGGAAAAACAGCACCAACAGACTTGCTTAAAGCAGGGTTGTCACAAACTTTCAATCTGTAAAAAATGTGTCTACAAAGCACAATAAAATGAGGTATGCCTGTATATAAGAATACCCAATTAATCACACTTCTGCTAAAGTATTTTTCATCAGTTTAGTAATATATAGCTGTATAAATTCCATCATCATCATCATTATTCAACAACAAATTCTAGGCTTATAAAATTATACTAAATGTGTCAATCATTTTGTCAGCCAGTCAAGCCCTGATATTTGAGGCCATTGTCAACCACCATGTGACTCAACACTATATTGCAGAAGATATGACCTGGCATGGACATCTTATGGACAAGCTGAGCAGATCAGTGAGGTGATCTAGCATAAAAGAATTTAGTCCAAAGCTTGGTCAATTATTTAGAATCTGAAATTGAAAATATAGAGATAACTAATATTTCTATGATTGAAATTAAAGAAATATGTAGAAAAGAGACTAGGAGGCTATGAAAAGGTCATGTAGAAAACAAACCTATTTAGGAGATAAAACCTTTTAGCTAGCAGAAGCTATTAAGTAGAAAAATAGGTACAAAGGGTATCTGTACAAAGCAAGAATTGTATATGAGAAGGAAATTAAATAGAGTTGCTAAGTAAACTAGTGAAAGAATAGGAGTGTCAAATGAGAGCATCCAAGAGCATAAGACAATTATACTGATGGCAGAGCTATGTAGTGAATTCTCCTCTCTCCAGTCACTGGCCCTAGTTACCAGGTAGAGATAACTAGAGTCCCAGTCGCGGACGTAATAGAATCCACAAAAGAAGCATGAGGATGTGATGGTGCTAGAAACACTATGAAATGCAGAGATAAAGGTAATGTAGACACAGACTGACAAAAAAGGCTTAGCTTAGCCCTGGAGCAGAACTGCAGTTATGCTCTTTCCATAAAACCATTCTTTGAAGTTACCTGCACAGCCCTACTCCTTGTAACCAAAGTGAACTAAAATAATAATTCTTTGCCATTTTAAAAATATTTTATTCTACAATGTCTCATCTGAATTCCCAGAGTCCATATAAATGTTCAGAGCAATCATTACTCTTGCTTTTATCTTTATTTTGCTTTACAGATGGGCCTCGGAGAGATGAAATAATTCATTCCATCAGGTCTTTTGATTCTAAATCATCTCCATTCAGAAAAAAATGTATTAAGAAATTATAAAGAAGCAGAAATCATACTAGTCAATGAAATGACATACATACATACATACATACAAAATACAAAGATACAATGCCTTCCATAAACAAGCTTACAATATAATAGGAGAGGCAAAAAAGGGAATCACGAGTTACGACACAGTTAATTGCAAAGATACATGTGTGCACAAGGTGTTAATTGTAGAAGAGAGAACTTCAACCCAAATTTCAGTGAATAGCAGTGAATATCCAGGGCTATTCAATGGATAGCCCAAAGCAATGGGGAGGAAAGCCAAGGGAAGACAGAGCAATTAAAAAGGGAAGGCTTTATGAAGGAGAGTGAGAGAATAGTATATGGCACGTTGAAGGTGGTCAATCAATTTTGACTGAATAAAGGAATAAGCTAATTACGATCTTACAATTTACTATTGAAGCATGATTGGGTGTTTGAGTAGATGAAGAGGCAGAAGATTATTTTTAAAGAGATTCAGAGATTATAGAATCATTGGGGAAGTTTGAGTTATTTGACATGGTTGGAGGTGTGAGAGCATGTATTAGAATTTGAATATTAAGAGGTAGTCAGGTGCCAAATCACACATGGCTTTCTATGTCATTTTAAGACATTTGATACTTATCTTGAGGTCCCCGAGGAATAAGGAGAGTGCTTATATTTTCACATTTGCATTTTAGAAATATGAGTCTGATAGCCATGTGAAGAGTGGATTAGGGAAAGATAAAAATAAGGCAGGTAGATAAGAAAGAAGGGTTTTGTAGAGGCTGAGGAATAAGGCTTCTGGGGTTAATATAAGTCAGGGAGAGTCAAACTGAATAGGAGGGAACAAATCACAAAGGAATTCAACAATTTATTAGCACAGGACTTAATCACCAATTAGATGTATAGAATGATGGATAAAAAGAGTGATAAATTGACTTTCAGGTCATTTTTGGCACTTTCAGGTGCCATTAACCAAATATTAAATACAAAAATTGAGCAGATTAAGAAGAAGCAGAGGAATAAAAGGAAAGCCAAGAGACAGTAGTGTCAGGGCCTGAGATAATTTAAAGAAGAAAGGAATGACCACAATGTCAAATAGCAAAGTAATGTCAAATAAAGTAAAAACCAACTTATGTGTGAGAGTTGGCAATTAGAGCGCTGGTGGCCTGTACAACAGCTGTTTCAGAGAATAGTGGAGACAGATGACAGAGAGCAGCTGGTGGAAAGAGTGAGAATGGGAATCAAGGACAGGAAACCAAAAGCCCAGAGACTTCTTCCTTATACCTTGTTAGTGGTATCTTACAAAAGTTAAGCATATTGGGAAAATATTAGGGAATTCGAGATTCAGCTAACCATATAAGTGTCATTTAGTTAGAATTAGAGTGAAATATGCGGTACATACTTAGAATCCTTCACTAGATGAAGTGCATTACATTTTCAATAAGAATCATTCCTGCTAGATGATACATTCCAAAAATCAGGAATTGCTCCTGTCTTCTTTCCCATTGTACTAACAACTGGAAGCCATTAAATATGCAGTAGATAATAACTTCCTTATCTCTATTTTTATTTTTCTCATGCCAGTAGAAATTCCATTCATTCTTTCAGGTTCAGAGCAGGAAATACCACTCCCTCCACAAAATCTTTTTCAATATCCCCTGGGTCTCTCTCTCCCTCCCTCTCTCTCTCTCCTTCCTTTTCTCTCTCTCTTGTTATTTCAATATGATAGAATATGTTATATCCATATTCATACCATCTTATCTTTCTGACTTGAATATTTCTGTATCTTTCTGACTTGAATATTTATTAGTTTTGTTTGATCAGAGTAGCAGAAACTGCATGAGTAATATTAGGAATTATTTAGAGGTTTATTTACTTCAAGCCCATCTGTTATCCCTGTCTGGCCCTAAAACAAACTGGACCAGCAGTCAGGAAGGGAAGATAAATATAAATAAGGGGAAGGCAAGAACAACCTGGAGTCCATGAGGACAGGCTTAAGTCTACAAGGATAAACAAACCCTCATCTGTCTTTCACCAGAAGCTTCCCTGATCTCATATCTCCTCCAAGCCTCTGGCCTCCAACTTCAGTGCTGCAGTTTTCCGCACATCTATTGTGCTTCAACATGGTGCTGTGAACAAATGTTTCCCAGGGTTTGAAGAAGGTTAAAAAAAAAAAAAGATCCAGCAAAACTTGGAGGCGAACCTGCAGATCCACAACCATGTAAAAATATTAAAACGGTGCCTGATGCTACACCAACCTGCTGAGTGTGAACATGGCTGCTGCTTCTCTTCTACCTCCCAAATCCCACACAAATTTCTCTTATAATCAACCCCAACCCAGGGTAGAGAATTCTGGAAAAGTAGCCCCAGATTAGCTAAGTGAACATACTATAAAATTACCACAGTCCATCCTTTATTAATTTAGCATCATATATATCCCTTTAGTCATACTTAATTTCCATACAAAAACAATATCAAAATCATGTATTCAGTATTTTGTATAACCAAAAATATGCTAACCCTCTCCCCAAAAAGGATGCAGTCATACTTTTTGAATGATATTATTTACCATCTAGGACAGTCATGTCCCTCTTTGACATCCTGTAAGTTAAATACTAATATTTGATGTTAGCTATTACTATTACTTGTTATGTTAGATCATAGGAGAGTGGTAGAAGGAAAAAATTATTAAAATAGACACAAATATTTTCATATCAAAATAATAAGGAAAAAATGTGATTATTACAGTACTCATTTCTGAAAACTGGATGCATAACAGCTAATATTCATCATGTCTTTCTTTCACTGCCAATTTCATGTATACTTTGCCCACACCAAGCACCTTAGCATGTAGAGTGACCCAAAGTTTCATTTCTCAAGGGTCAGGCCATTAGTCATTTTCTGTGTATGGAATTGTTGTAGTTTATTCATTGACTTTAACTGCAGAAATTGAAACTACTATGAAGTTTCCCAGAAGATTTCCTGCATTCCCATACAGACTTCTCTTTAACCTACTGTGCAGTAGAAAATCAATTTCCTCATGTTAGTTAGGGTTAATCACCATTAGCCAGTATGGTAACCTTCTTATTTGTCTGTTTATCCACACGTGTAAGAACCTGCCAAAGGTTGAGGGGATCTCAACTTCCAGTTTAATAGAACTATTCCTGTGCCCCTGGTGGAATAATTTACCTCTTGGTAATGAAGACCTCTCAACTAGCAGAACCCAAGGTTAGGGAGAAAGGAGCAAAAATTTCACTATCAGATCACTAAAAGTAACAGTGAGAGAATTCAGTTTCATTTCTACACCTTAATTCCTATACTTGTGAATCCTGACTATGGGAAAAACACCACCGTATATTGAAGGCTAATTTAGAGCATATACCATATTCTGATGGCCCTTATCCCAGCTTCCAAGATGTTGCCCAAACTGGCACCAAAACTGAGTCTTCAAAATGTCACGTCACATATTTATTAAAACCAGATACCTCAAGTTGATGGAAAACATGGTAAAACCAGTGAATTCCACAATCATAAGCCTATTGTCACACATTATCTGCTCTAAAATGGGTCACTTGGTCAGAAGAAATGTTTGGGGATTGCCATTACAGTGACTAAGTCATTGGTTAGTCCATGTTTGGTGGTTTTGAAAGAACAATTGAAAAAAGGGAGGTAAATCCATATCCAGAGTCAATGAGAAAAAATTCCAGCTCTTTCCATGAGGGAGGCAATCTAATGTAACAGTCTGTCACAGTTGGCTGCTGGCCACCACAATGAATGGTGTCATATTGGGGCCCACATGCTGGTCTCTGCTCTTGACAGATCAGGCATTCAGCAGTACCTGTAGCTAGTCACTGTTGATGACTGGAAGTCCATTTGCTGAATCCATGCATAACCTGCATTCCCACTACCATGGACAGTTTGTGAGCCCATTGGGCAAGAAAAAGAATGGCTGAAGTTAGAATGTGTCATTTTGTCCATATTATTATGAAGCTCCTTGATATGGTTAGGTATTGTGTCCCCACCCAAATCTCATCTTGAATTGTAATCCTCATTATCCCCACATGTTGAGGGAGAGACATCTTAGGAGATGATTGGAACATGGGGGCAGTGTTCTCATAATAGTGAGTGAGTTGTTGTGAAATCTGATGGTTTTATAAGTGTCTGACAGTTCCTCCAAACACACTCTCTTCTCTCTTGCCTGCCACCAGTTAAGATGTAGCTTTGCTTCTCCTTCACCTTCCACCATGATTCTAAGTTTCCTGAGGCCTCCCCAGCCATGCAAAGTTGTGAGTCAATTAAACCTCTTTCCTGACTACCCAATCTAAGCAAGAGTCACTGACTAACCAATCTAACCAAGAGTCACTGACTATGAAACAGTATAGAGCTATACCTCTGGCTTTTTCTCCTTTCAGATTTGAAGTTCTGGTCACTGATGGGTATTGTTTGGAGTCATCCATATACCAGATCCAATTTTTTTCAAAAATGTTTAAGGCAGATACCACATCATTAAACACAGCATCCTGTATGTGGAAGTTACTCAAATAACTGTTTACATGAACTTAAACTACTTCATTTTAACTAGCAATTTTGATTTCCTTTTGGGAGGAAAAACAGACCAACTAGGGGAGACTAGTGGAACAGAAATTTCTTCCCTTTTGTGCATTTAAATTTAGAATCATTTAAATATATTGCTTATTTTCAATTACTTTAAATTTGGAATAATAAACTCAGCAACTGCAGTTTTTTAAAAAAGAATTTTATTCTTCACAGTTAAAAAATTTATATGTATTCATTTGTATTTCCACTGTCTTGTACTTGAAATCTTAAATTCAGCGTTGATAGAATAGAGGCTGACTTTCTCTTTTATTTCTTGGAGAAAATTTGCACAGCTTTAAAGTAAGCCATGCTTACAAAATACATGCATTAACCTTTTGTAAAAATGTCATTATGCATGCATGTTCACACAGTGCCAGTGAATATCGGATGTTACTCAAATCCACTCTACCATTCCTAATCAAGTCAAACAAACTTCTTCCGACTTCTTTCACTCAACAATTAATTGTTTTAAAGAAATTTTCAATAAGGCTGTGGAGTAGAGCTACATTTTAAGAGTTTGAAATAGTAGTTGCCTTTATTTTTACTGAAGAAAATTTCAGAAAATGTGCTGGTCAGTTCTCCCACATATTGTAGGGGTGGGCATTACCTCTACTTATGTTACTTTTTGCCTCATATTTATCTGATGGTGCAGGAACATGCATGAACATGTGTGTATTCTGAGATTAATTAGGAGATTCCCATTTATTTCCTGTGTTGTACTTTTGGGTTTTTTTCTCCCATATTATATGCAGAGTTCCCATACCAGTGCTTCTCAAGTTTCTCAAGTGTACTCCTGGAATCAATGAATGGCGAGGTTTCATTTTAAAATTATGATCCAGTCTGTGTTCTCATAATGACTTGTTAATAGCATATGAAATATTTGGTCATTTCCTTCTTCAAACACTTCTTCCTCTTGGCTCTTTTGGTGCTTTATCTACATGACTGCTTACTTCCTCCCAGGCTCTTCTGTTGCATTTTCTTAATCTCCATAACCTTTAAATGTTGTAGTCACCAAGGCTTGGTTTTTTCTTCCTTATCTACTCTTATTTCTAAATGATCTCCTCCTTCTTGGTTTGAAAGACCATGCTATGCTAATTGCCAAATTTATACCATCTCAGAACTCTACGCTAAATTTCAGACTCATATTTAATTACTAGCTCCATATTTTCATTTGGATATCTGATAGATGTCTTAAACCACATGTTGAAACTCAACTCCTGATTCCCCACACTCCCCCAAAACTCATTGATTCCCACTGCCCTTCAGCTTTGAAAGTGACTACTCTATCCATCTGCTTGATCTGACCAAAATCCTTGTCACCATTCATCTTTTTTCACACTCACAGCACTTATTCTTTAGCAAATCCTATCAACAACTTTTCTCCCATTTTTCCCACAACAATTCTAATTTAAATCAATACACATCTTACCTGGATTCTTATAAAAGCTGGTCTTTTGTTTTATATCTTAGCCTATTCACAGCTTCCAGAGTGATCCTTTATAACCATATCACATCCTGTTACTCAGTCCTCAAAACCAACCAGTGGGATTAATTTTATTGTTGTCTATATTATTATTAATATGACAAGATTCTTGGCCTTCAGGAATTTATAATGCAGCATAAAGTGGGAAATAAGAGAGAGTAAATAAATTAAAAATTACTGTGGTGGTTTAAGAAGGAAAAGAACGATTCTAGGCAGGAGGAAGAGGCAGGGAAGATGTTATAGAAGGATGATACTTAATCTAGATCTTGACAATGGATAATAGAAGCCTCATGAAGCATATCTAAAAGGGAAATAGTGTGTGCAATGGAAAGAGCATAAGAGGAAAGATAGCTTATTTGAAAAACTGAGAGATGTTTATTAGGTTTGGGTCTCTGGGCTCAAAATAGAGGAGCAGCAAAGAGAAGACTGAATAAATAAGTGGATATCATAAAATCATATGCTTTGTGTGTCACAAAGGAGGTTGGATTGTAGCCTGCAAGTTATGTAAAGCCACTGAAATATTTTAAACATGGTCATATTGGCAATCAAAAAATAATTCTGGGTAGATGGATTAGAAAATGGGAGTTAGAAAGCTACTGAAATAATGTATGTAAATTTATAAGAGATTTGCCCAAGAAAATAAATGAAAAGGGGCAATACAGAGGTAAGAGATGGGAAATAGTTTAAACCAACGTAATATTAAGGTCATTTTGAAACAAGGGAAAACAGGTAATTTAGGATGATTCCCAGATTTCCAGGTCAAGAAGGTAGAAATATTTTGATAGTTTGTAAACTAGAAAAGGAATAAGTTGAAAATGAAATTGAATACAAAATTTCCATTCTGAACACATTGTGTTTAGGATAAATATGCAGCACATAAGACTTAAGCCATTTAAGAAGGTTGTGGAACATCCCAGTGGAACATTCAGTAAGAAGAGACCATTTGGAAGAGATCTGAGCTGCAGGTGGAAATTTGGAGATCATAAGTATATGTGTGTCCATTAAAACCATACATGTAAATGGCTTTATAGAATTTGGAGATTTTAAATATGTGATTCCATAAAACTATATTGCCCAAGGAAAGTACATAGCACAAGAAATGAGTAGCACTGAGATCTAAGCTCTGCAAAACACCCACTTTTAAGGGTCACACAGAGGAAGAGCAACCTGAGAAAAAGACTTGAAAACATACATAGGGAATCAGTAGGAGAATTCTGAAGTCCTAAAGGGTAAGAAAGGAGAGTTAAAAAGTAACTGGTCAACAATGTCACTCCCTGTGGAAAAACAGTAAGGTTGAAAGATAACATATGACAGCTGATAATTTGGTGGCTATCACAGAACTGCTTTATGCAGCCTATTTGTTAGGAATTGATCTTCATTATATACCAATACGAAACTAATTTTCTTTTCATTTATTCAGTATACGTTTCCATGTCTCTGTAGTCTGTGGCCAATATGGCCTCTTAAAATAAAATAGATGCTCCAAAACAAAGCCCTTTTCTTTCGTCATTGAAAGTCCTTGTTCCCTAAAGCATAGGATCAGCTGAATTTGGGCCATTTCCCTTTATCAAGATAGTCATCCTGTAACTCTATAAACATGTAAAATTCTCAAACATTAATTTTGGTAATTCTTAATTTGACATACCTTTATTTTCCTTAAAACATTATTTTATCTCTTCCATAGAAATGGTAGCACCTTTGTGTTTTACTTTGCAACCCTCATCAAAAGACTTGTACTTTATAGAAGTCTGCATTCACCACTGTCTGATATGTGGCCTTTACCCCTCCTTGCTTGCAGCTTACTCATTTTATAAGCCAAAAAAAAAAAAAAAAGAAAAGGCGTAAGATGAAAGTGAGCAAGATAAAAGAGGATAATAAAAGAAGTGAGGCTGAAAAAAGGTGGCTTCCAGAACTCCTTGAACAATAACAGGTCCTCATTCATAATAAGGAGGCACTTTGCTGGAAGCCTTCTTTCAAGAATGTAGTACAGTGCATAACCTTGGAAAGATAAGGTGAAGTCAAACTGCTATAGAGAACAGTTATTCTCCTCCAACCCCAGTATATAAGACTTAAACTTTTATTACATTCTTCCAATACTCACTGGGGAAGTGACAACATCTGTTCTGAACCAATGCAAAGTTTGCATCAAAGAAATAGGAAGGGATGCAATTTGAATAAAAAAGAAGTAAACCAAGCAAGAGCCATGATCACGAACAAGGTTTATATTAGCAGCATACTCTACCACTTTCAAAAAGGTAAGAATAACACAATCGCTTTCAGTTACACCTAAACCACATTGTCCTCACACAGAACATCTGGTAATGTTCAGTTGCAAATTCCCAAAGGATTTTACACTTATTAAATTCTTATTAAAATTAATAGCAGGCCTTCAAGGCATGGCAATATTATAACAGCCCTTTATCAAGAAAACATTATCATCTGAAATAATAAAACTGTCTTCAACTGTAAGAAAATTAAGTCCAAATATTACATACAGGAAACTAGTTAAATTTATTCCTGAAGAATGTTATTCCTTTCCATACCATATTGACACACTGATTATTTATTCATAATACAATGTCATGAACATTACAGATGAATACTTCTGTATGATGACAATAGATATTCCCACAAGCTCAAAATTCTAATTATTCCCATTCTTATATTCCTTTATGCTATAATTAAGTGGTTTTAGTGACTGGAATATCATTTTGCATATTGTGTCATTGCTGCAGTCTGATAAATGCCACTGTTTAAAAAGTCACCCTTTATATGACCTAAATCTCTTCCTGAGACATATCAACACTGCCTAATTAAGAAATTTATGTATAAATTGAAGTTGTTGTTTACCTTGATATTATTACTTTTCTAGTCTTTTGCACCCTGACTTCAACTTTGATGCCCATGCATTCTCTGCCTCTCTTTCTGTTTCTCTGTGTATCTGTCTATGAGTATGTCTCTCTCTGATTCTGTTTGTATCTCTCTGTATACATTTGTGTGTATAAATTTTATTTTTCTTCTGTGTGTGCTGTGTGTAGCTACTGTACTTATATGTTTCCATGGGGTGTGTGGTGTGGGTGTCTCTCTTTTTTTATTGGGATAAAATTGAGGCAACATAAATTTCACTATATTAATCAGTTTAAACTGTACAATTTAGTGTTTTTTAGTATATTCGTAAGGATGTGCAACCATCACTACTAAGTCCAGAATATTTTGATCACCCTAAATAGAAAGATGGTACCCATTAAGCAGTCATTCCCCATTTCTTCCTCTCATCAGCCCCTAGCAACCACTAGTCTTTCTGTCTCTAAAGATTTGCCTATTCTAGACATTTTGTATAAATGGAACCATACAATAAGTGACCTTTGGTGCCTAACTTCTTTCATTTAGTATAATATTTTCAAGGTTCATCCATACTGTAGCATGAATCGGTGCTTCATTCCTTTTTACTTTTAAATAAGTGCTAGTCTAGGTTCTTTGTATCTTCAAGTGAGTCAGCATGTGTGCCTCTCTCTCTGTAGATGTCTTTGTATGCATATTTCTTACTCCCTCTCTCAATTTCTGATAACTGTATTTTTATTAGAAAAATACTGGCTAGGCTCTTCATCTCTGAGTGTATTTGTGTACACTCAGACACAGATAAACACTACAAGAGACTTAGACAATAAATGTTGTGAGCTTGTTTACAGAAAGACTGTATTTAATGATTATTGGTTCTTTTTCTTAGAATCTTGATTGTCTATCAAAGGTAACTGGAGATCTTCCATAGAGGGCCGTTTTGAAATAAGAGGAATCACACCTTACATACAGAGTCTTTCTAGCACCAGCAGTCCCACATAACTAGACATAAAGGGCCTGTTCAATAACAAGTGCATAGTCACTTGGGCAAAGAACTGAAAAATTAAAATAAGAGCTCCACGTTAGAAAAGGTGGCATTAAAAAGGCGCATCTGCAAATGTCCAAATCAAATTATTTTCTATATATTATATTAAGGCTCCTTTTCAAACCATATTCCACACTCTCCAAAATCACAATTGTTACAATCACAAGTCATAAATGACAGGACACATTATGCTGTTACCTTCATAATTTCAGTTTGTTCCCAATTGACTACAAAAAAAAAATTAGAAACTCTTCATTATGGCTTTCCAGCAGATCCACAACTTACCCACAGTTGATAGCTTTAAGATCATCGGCTGCTTTCTTCCGCTTCACCCCAACAGCTCGTTACCTTGAACACACCGTGCTTCTTCCTAGTGCTAGTTCCTCACCTTGAGGTATCTGGGTATCTTTCCTTTTCTGGTCTACATGACCTCTTTCCAGTATCAGATCAAATGTATTTACAATTCTCTGGTTTCTCCCTATCTTCTCACTACCCAATGAAATTAATCTTGCTCACTTATACACTCACATTTTAAAAACAATGCTATCATGGGACCGATCCTAATTTTATTACAGCTCTGTATTTACTTTTCTAAATTCCTTCTAACGTATCAGATTCTGGAGTATTTTACTCAGTTGTTCATACCCAGTGCTTAACAAAATGCCTGGCACACACTAGATTCTGAATAAATTTTGGTGGAATTGGATAATTTTAAATTTTCATTTAGGTAGTGTGAAATTCACACAGCTTTTTGAACGCTGAAACTGAGAAGAAGAAAAGGATAGGGAAGTGAGCAGAATCTAAATAAGAACATGATTCCTAAGCCCAACCTTTGAGGAAGAGTGCCTGAACACTGGCTCCATCGTCTTTGTGACTGGCGAGCCAAGCAAAGAGTTCCTGTGTGCAGTCGGCGAACAATGTCACATTAGTGATGACAGTTGCCAGGCACTTGGGGAAACTTGCTGAGTACCATGGCCCACTGAAGCAGCAATTTTTCTCAAATCAATTTCAGTTTCTCAAATGCTGAGTATGTAGTGATATTTCAAAGTAATCTCCAAAGATGTACTCAAGCACCAGCAGGAGTTCCAAGCTATTGTTCCATTACATCAGGTGTTATTTTTATGCTTTTTTTAAAAAAGAGAAAAAGACACAAGAACTTCAGAGAGGACAAAATTCAACGCTTTTTGGTCAAGTACAATCCCCACTAGTTCCTTTCTAGCGCCCTACAGGTTATCACCCCAATATTCAAATCTAAGTCCCCAACCAACTTAACCTGTTGAATGTGCCTAATTATGAGACATTTTAGAGTTATTATCCTCATTCTTTCTGTGCATATGGATTAAGTATCTCTAGGTTTTTTTTTTAAATGAGCAAAAATATCTCTTTTCCCCCAGCTGAGATGAAAGAATGTTAGAAAATAATTGTATATTTTGAGTTATATATTCTTTTCTAATGTCAGAGAACTCAGATATTTATCTAAGTTGGAGAAAGAGAAACTATGTTTCATGCAGTGAATCAAAACTAAAGATATGCAAGCTTCATAAGTAGGCAAAGAGAAGAGAGACTAAAGTAGAAAAGGAGAATTAAGAGGAGTATGAGGAGGAGATAAGTTGAGCGCAGTGAGGAAAACTAACTTTCCCGAGAGCTAGACAAAGGGAACCCACACTGAAGATACTGTGTCCGATACAGTAGCCACCTTGTGAGCACTTGAAAAGTAGCTAGTCCAAACTAAGATATTCTATAAATATAAAATTATACACTGGAATTCAAAATGTAGTATGAGAAAAAGGAATATAAAATAGTTCATTAATAATTTTCATATTGACATGTTCAAATAGTATTTTGAATATAGTGGGTTAAAAAAATTAAAATTACTTTCACCTCTTTTTATATGACTTTTTCATGTGACTACTAGAAAATTTTTAATTGCATATTTAGCTCACATTACATTTCTATTGGACATGTCAAATGTTTTTAAATTCAGATTTGAATAAGTAAACAATTATTTGAAGCATTATTGTAATAAGAGGAAAGGGACTATTGCAATACAGAGAATGCTCTAACCACAAGATCTGCAAAAACCTCAAAGATTAGGCAGAAAGGAATATATATGTATATTTATCAGAGGGGTAAACAAGCCTAGAAAGAAATGAATGTGGGGAAGTGGGTGGCATGTCTGGACAATTGTTCAAGGAATGTATTTCCTTGCAGTCAGCTGATTCACAAGACATACAGTTAAGAGAACAAGAAACAAGGGTTTGTTTGCTGTATCAAGCTAGGAAGTATTAAAGTTCAGGGACTCAGGGAAGGACAGAAGTTTAAGTTAGTCAACTTAATTAATAGCACTTTGTTTCAATTGATCAACAGGGCAAAGAAATCAGCTAATATTTTATGGGGCAAAGAAATGGGAATGTGGAGGGTCTGTGTCTGGCCTTAGCATAATCAAGGGGGGTGTCCATGAGCCTTACCTGAGTCATATGGGGAAAGGTGGTTCTTCATGATAAGCTATTTTCCTGGGACAAAAAGGGTGGGGAATTTCTTAACTGTCCTTGTTTTCCAGGATCATAGGTTCCAGTAAAATTCAGCATTGTCAGACAGTGTATTTCTAGAATCTAAGTTTAGCACTATTTCCAGAGTGGTGGTTAAAATAAGATGTAGAGTAAGAAAAACTAACTTCAGATCTCAGGCCTGCCATTACCAGCTCTCTGAACTTGGACAATTTACATAAATTCTGTTTGCCTCAGTTTTTTCATTTCTCAAAAGTATTTACTTCACAGGGCTCTTATGTTTGTGGAAATAAACAAAGAGCACCAAAATGAAAACAATAAGGCTATTTGTTCAGAGCTTGCTGTAGCAAGGGAGACAGCCACCATCCCTTGCATTTGGCAGAGACTCAACAGTGGACAGGGGAGTAAAAAATGTTTATAGTGGTAAAAAGGGAAGACGTTAGATATGTTCTGATTGCAGATTGTTGGCATAGTGAAGCTGGAAACAGGCTAACTAGAAGCAGAACATCTATCTCATATCATTGGTTTGGAGAACATATTTGGCTTTCTTTGGTTGGTCTTGAGTTGGAAGCAAGGGTGGGGGCAGTGGAATAATGAAGCTCCCTGTTATTGACCAAGTCCTGGCTTTCTGGGTTGATTACTGCAGAGGTTGACATTTAGTTTCCCTGGTTGCTGCAGAGGATATGGGCCAGAGTTCTACTGGTTATTTAAGTTCTGGTCCCATCAGTTTGTACATTTAGTCTCTCATGATGATAAAGTGAGATAGTGTATGTAAAGTGCTTAATAAGTGATTTGACCCACAGTGAGAATCAGCTTTAATTTTACGCCATCTTCTTTTCTTAGTAGGTAATATGTAGCTCCTTACTCTTACTTGGGCCAGTTTTGTTAACTATAATAGGAAATAATCTATCATATGTCAAAAGCTGGCTCTCCAAACGTTCACACAATTTGGTTATAAGACAAAGGTGAGTTATCACTTATTAAAGACAAGGGAAAATATCATCTTTCAAAGCTTTTACAGTATTTCAGAGGGGAAAAGTGAGATTGGAAGTTATTAAAAATTGGAAATTGGTTTAAGGCAAGGTTTTCAATGCAGGGACTTCATTAGAGTAGGAATCATAATAAAACCATTCCAGGTTTGGTGGAAATAGTAAGATGATGATTTTGAAGGTTCCAAGAATCTTAGGGCATGAACTCTCTGTTGATATTGTCTGTTAAAGAGTTGATGAGTCTTTTTAGAAGTTCCTATAGTCAACAATCACACCACTTGCTGGAGGAAGATGGCCCTGGGAGAATAAAGACATGTTGATGAATATAAAAGTAATATTAATATAGACAGTAAGGTATGATTTCAGTTGTCAGTGCCTAAACTGAATGGGGGAAGACGATTTTGGTTCTTACATAGATTACACCTATTTATGTCTATAAATTTTAATTAGGTATTCAGTTACAAAGAGCTTGATCTAATTTAGAAAATTTGTATCTGTCATGGTGGTTCTTTTTCTCAATGTTTCCAAAAAGTATTCTCCAAAGAGGCCCTCTTCCTCAAGATACAAAAGGTAATTGCTGAAAAAATGTGCTATGGTTGAATAAGATTGACAAGTTTTTCTAGGTCTTCCTCTTGTTGATATATAGCATACTAGAATATAATAAAATGTCTGAGAAGTAGAGCATTCCAGAGTCCTCTTTAACTTGTTTAACTCAAAGGCTTTGAGTGTAAGTGGTTTATATGGAAGGTTAGGCGTTGATTCTAGGAAGAACCATTAGAATGATGGGAAATGAAAAAAAGGAAGGAAAGCAACCTAATATGGGATGTATTAATGAGCAGACTGCCAGTGCACACACCAGGGGCTCGGTGCTGCTGGGAACATGGGGAGACAGTGTGAAAGGAACTTCAGAGTTATTCCACCTAAATTGGTTGTAATCTACAGATTATTTATGCTCAAACTCTCATCATTGGTTGAGTGTTGTTCTTATGGGTATTAACTTCTCCAGCACTTCTGGCTTGCCTTGGGCAAAGGTTAAGAGAAAGCTCTCAGGCAGAGAGCCACAAGATTTTAAAGGCCAATAATATGTACCCATACTACAACAGTGAATGCTATTACAACAATCAACGTTGAAAGGGATAAGCTTTTGGCTCCAGTGGCGTCTGCTACAGTCTGCCACTTGCAATTCTCAAATTCACTCATCTCCCAAGATAAGTTCAATTTGCCCTATCACTGCTTCTTTAAGTTGATGGTCCATAACAATTTCTAAAAACAAATAAGTCTTACAACAAGAAGAATAATGGGAATTTATAACAGAAAATGGGGTAAGCTACATTCCTCACTATTGAAGTTGGTGTTGAGGCTGAAATTGACATTGTACATCTGCTATCACTCACTCTATTTCCTTTAAGTACCTTAAGCAGTACTTCAGCTTGTCTCTGAGAAGTATAAGACCTGCCTATTGTATCTTTGTGTTGGCTTTAATAGCCCACTGGTAGTTACCATTACACATTAAAGCATCAAGAACTCCAGGAACATAGGATGAATATGGTAAGCAATAATGTATTTTTTCAAACAGCTAGAAGAGAGACTTTTGCATGTTACTAACACAAAAAAATGATAATGTTCTGAGGTGATGGATATGCTAATTACCCTGATTCGATCATTACACGTTGTACACATTTATCAAAATATCATGTACCACACAAATATGTACAATTATGTGTCAATTAATATGAATAAATAAAAATAAATTTTAAAAGAGAATTCCAGAAAACTTGTGGATTTCAAATATAATCTTTCCTATCTTTACTACATAGCAGCAACTTCATCTTCTTGTTATAATGCTGGTTAATTACTTATCAGTATGTTAACTTTTTTCTTGGTTAATCTAACAGCACAAAGAATTTCAAATGACATGGAAATGGATATTAGTGGGAACACTACTATATTAGGGTTCTCTAAAGGGACAGAATTAATAGGATAAATGAATATATTAAGGTGAGTTTATTAGAAGAATTGACTCACATGACCACAAGGTGAAGTCCCACAATAGGCCATCTGCCAGCTGAGGAGCCAAGAAGCCAGTCAAAGTCTCCAAACCTCAAAAGTAGGAAAGCCGTCTGGGCGCAGTGGCTCATGCCTGTAATCCCAGCACTTTGGGAGGCCGAGGCGGGCAGATCACAAGGTAAAGAGATCAAGACCATCCTGACCAACATGGTGAAACCTCATCTCTACTAAAAATACAAAAATTTGCCAGGCATAATGGCATGCACTTGTAGTCCCAGCTACTTGGGAGGCTGAGGCAGGAGAATTGCTTGAACTCAGGAGGTGGAGGTTGCAGTGAGCCAAGATTGCGCCACTGCATTCCAGCCTAGCAACAGAGCAAGACTCCAGCTCAAAAAAAAAAATAAAAAAAAAAGTAGGGAAGCTGATAGTGCAGCCTTCAGTCTGTGCCCAAAGGCTTGAGAGCCCCTGACAAACCACCCGTGTAAGTCCAAGAGTCCACAAACTGAAGAACTTGGAATCTGATGTTTGAGGACAGGAAGTATCTAGCACAGGAGAAAGATGGAAGCCAGAAGACTTAGCCACTCTGGTCCTTCCACATTTCTCTGCCTGCTTTTATCCTAGCTGCACTGGCTGCTGATTAGATGGTGCCCACCAGAATGAGGGTGGGTCTGCCTCTCCCAGTCCACTGACTCAAATATTAATCTCTTTTGCTTTGACAACATCCTCACAGACACACCCAGGAACAATACTTTGTATCCTTCAATCCAATCAAGTTGACACTCTGTATTAACCACCACAACTACTGTCTCCCCTGATAGAAATGCTCAATCTCCCTCCCAGGAAACGAAACCTTTAATCCAGAACAGGGCATAGAAAGCAAAGTTTCTCCAGGTATGGCATTGGGAATAGTGAAAGGGGCTTCTCTGAATTCCACCCCTGTACCTGGACCTGTGTATTCTGAGTATCACACAGTATCATATATTGACCATTGGTTCAAAGTTATATCATATCTTGAAGAACAGCACCCCAACTCTGCAGGGCTATAGCTAGCAATACTTTTCGAATGCTACCCTGCTTGAAATTAAGCCAATCATTTCAAGGTTAACAGATGGTAGGATGAGTGAATCTCATGATTATGTGCCTCCTTTGCAAAACAAACAAACAAACAAACAAACAAAAAACACAAGTGGTTCCTATGTTCTAAGGCAGGATATGAGATGCATATCTATGAGTTCTCAGATAATGATGCCAATTAAGAGAATGTGGGAAGTGGAAGAAAACCCACACTCAGAAACATAAATACCAGTGATGATAAACCACTGTCCCCTCCAGAGTTCAGTGCCACCTCCTGTGTTGTTTCTTTCAAATTTGACGTTGACATCTCTCTCTGGAGAGTGGCCATAAACTCTAGCCCATCCCTGATAGGGTTCCAGGAGATTTGATCATAGATGCTTACACTGTGTCTTTCACAGGAAACTTCTTTATCCTGGCAATCAGCCTAAATGTCTGACTCATGACCAGTTGTCCCTCTCCCAGGAAATTTGTTTATACTGGCAGACACCCTAGTGGCTCTTGTCTGATCTTTGACTAGTTTACTTCTGCAAAGATAGCTACTCTCTAGAGAGAACTTGACCCAGAGAAAGGTTAGGTTTTGGTGTGTCAGCTTGGTGAGACCCAGAGAACCCACACAACAAAAACACGTGACATAAAAGAAGTTTATTACTCATAGGTCCATGAAAGAGAGGGATATTGATGAGGGACAACAAGAGGGTCACAAAAGCAATGCCCTCAACCAGCAGATATGGAGCCGGAGAAAGATAAACCTATAGGCCACAGCCTTATTGGGGTTCAAGATGTTACTCAAGCAGGCTTCCTGAGGTAAGTTATAATTGGTGGGTTTAGGGCAGGCACATGTTCCATACAGTCACACTGTGACTGACAGCTAGTCACTGCAGCATATTTGTGCAGTCCATGTGGGTTGTGTGGGGGTCAGTGGGACAAGTCAAGTACGTTGTATCTATCTGTGTCAGAGAGAGGTGGCCATCAGGAAGTGATTGTATAAGACAAATATCTGAGCCAGGTGTGCTGGCTCATGCCTGTAACCTCAACAATTTAAGAGGCCAAGGCAGGAGAATTGCCTTGAGACCAAGAGCTCAAGACCTGCCTGGGTAACATGGTGAGACCCTGTCTCTACAGAAAATACAAAAATTATCTGGGCATAGTGGCATGCACCTGTGGTCCCAGCTCCTTGAGGGGCTGAGGCAGGAGGATCCCTTGAGTTCAGGAGGTCAGGGCTGTGGTTAACCATGGTCACACTACTGCACTCCAGCCTGGGCAACAGACTGAGACCCTATCTCAAAAAAAGACAAATATCTGGTTTCACCACACAGAGGAATTGGAAGGAGACAAAGAATTGGAAATTGTCAAAGGCAACTAAAACCTGCTTCTGGTGTGAAAAAGTTAAAACCTATATTCAAAATGGATGCCAAAACAACATAAAATTATAGAAATTTGCTACAGCTTGGATTTTATGTTACTGTTTATTTGGGTGACCCTAAGAAGACTGGAAAGGAAGAGGTGATATAACACAGGAAACCAATAAAGAGTGTGTTAAGGAGCAAGATATCACCGTGGACAACAGGAGCTCAATCCTGCTAATGATCTCAGAGATAGTATAGAACATGCCTGAGAGTCACCCATCCAAAGGACAAAAACACTGGAGTATTCACACTCTAGCTTCCATTCACTATTAACTAGGAGTTTTTCCTGGTGGCATTAATTCTCCTGGTCTGCCTTATGCAAAGTCTGAGAGTAAGCACTTAGGCAGACAGCCCATAGGACACCTGTTCATTTAATGAAATATTGAGCACTAGGGGAGGGGACATAGGCAGGACAACTGCAAGGTCTCTTACACTCAGCATTTGAGAAGATCATCCTAGAGCAGAATTAATATTCAGCTGGTTTGCTCTGCCTAGCTGTTTCTTATTTACAGCTGGTGTCTGTTCTGATTGTTCAATAGCCATGCTCTGTTGGTTAAAGATTAAAAATATCACCCTCCTTAAGGGTATGGGATTGCTCCCTAATTATTAGTAAGGGAAAGACTTAAAGTATGGAATGAGTTATAGTTCAAAACCCAGAGGTATGAAGAAGAGCTCCAGACACTTGACAACAAAGACAGAGAGTTGTCAACCATCTGAACACTTTGCAAACACCTTCCTATTATATGGCAACCTGGTCTTGATGAGAAAAGCTCATTGTTTAATGATAATGTCAAGCAGAAAGCTTGAGTTTTTACAAATAGGAAGAGACCAAATTTGGATCTATGCCCTTGAAACAGAGATATTTCTTACACTCTCTCTAATGAGACATAACTTATAATCTAAACTTGTTTGAAGTTCAACTAAGTAAAGTGAGCTTGTTAGCAATCACTATCTTGGAGTTATATGTTTTATCAATATTGTGTAGAGGAGAGCTCTAGAATGAACAACTATAAAAAGACCAAGTTAGTTCCATCTTCCAGTGAGTAAAATTCTTAAAATGTAAGTAGCATGCCAAATTGCACAATAAGCATATAAATAAAACCCATCTCTTTGATTTTAGTCCAGAGTTCTGCCCAATAGAGCACATTGCCTCTTAAAACTTCTCAATGGTAAGGAATTATTATTAAATCATGTTCAAAAGGGCAAAACTAGCATGAAACTCAAGCCAATACCATATGGAACAGAGAATAAAATGAATTAGCATATTATTAATTGCATACCATTAATTTTCA
The DNA here is from genome assembly GCF_000001405.40 of Homo sapiens. Classification (NCBI taxonomy): domain Eukaryota; kingdom Metazoa; phylum Chordata; class Mammalia; order Primates; family Hominidae; genus Homo; species Homo sapiens. Next base: position 67,037,915 of record NC_000004.12, read on the forward strand.
AGGACAATTGCAAATTAGAACAACTCATTCATTTCTAAAATGTAGCTTATGTATAGGGAATATCTTCATGTCTCAGACAGGTTATTCATTTATTAAGTTTAAAATATTTTCTTTCAATCTTAGTTCCCTGAAGGGTGCCATAAAAAGGGGACAGATGTTAAATGGGAAGAGTGAGAGTTTGTGAGCCATAAGCCTGTCACTATAAATCAAGGAGAAAAATAGCAAGCAATAGTCAGAGAAGACTGAGGAAGCTCTTTTTGCTATAGCCCAAGCACTCAGTCCAGACACATGCAGAAAAGGAAAAATAATTTCAATAGTATCATTCAAGAAAAACTATGAACATTATAACAAGAATCTATTTTAGTCCCTTTTCAATTGCCTTCGTTATTCAGCTGATGTCAGTAAGGCAAGATTCTCGAAAATTTTACTCCTGAATTGCTTGCAACGCACTGACATTGTGTTCAGCTCCGTATTGACTTAGAAGATGACTTGGTCTTTGCCTGGGGCTCTTACAATCTGGTTGAAGTAGTCAAAGCAATTTAAACATAAAAATGCCAACTGAGAAGGGGATTAAATCCCAAGAGGTATAAAGGTGCATGTAACATTATTAGCCATAACACCACATATATGGTAATTAAGCAAAAAGCACTTCTATTTTGCTACCTTCAGCAGCCCATATCAAAAGGCCACTATTTAAATCAAGTCAACTTGTGACCTTGATGTGACTTATGATTTGCCAAACCTGTAACACTGTAATCAATAATTCAAATAAATTTAAATAATCAGAGTTGTGTGCTGCAGATTTACATGCTCTCTTAACATTTTAGAACCAAAATACATTGTGATTTTTAGACTGTGACACCATCTATGAAATTATTCCAACACTGTAAGAAGTTATGCGGCAGTATAGAAACTAAATTGGGTTTTGATAGACTCATCTTACATGTCCATTGGCTAAGTTGCACTCCTGTCAGTGAATTTATGAAGGCTAGTTGAGTAAGTCAACAATATATTCATGATATGCAACTGTGGGATCAGTGAAGTTAGTTCCACTCTACTCAAGTCTAACAGAATCAGTGGTAATTATTATTTAACTGAATTGTATTCCACATCATATAGCATTATGATTAAACAATGTCCTCAAATAGGCTCTGTTATCTCCACTATGATAATAGATAGGTAGATGATAGATAGATATGTAGGTAGGTAGGTAGGTAGGTATATAGATTAGATAGATAGATACATAGATAGATGATAGATGTTTTATAATGCTAAAGTCCCATTTTATTGTTATGAAGTTGGTATATCTGAAGTTGATGTGAAACTGATCCTTTTTTTCCCCAAAATTTTCATTCTCCTCAGCCCTTCCTCCACTCTCTATAATGTAAATGAAAATTAAGGTATGAATTTTCAGGGTGTTCTAAGAAACATTTGATAACTGAGTGTTTCTTGAACAAAGGGACTATTTACAGAGTTGTAAGTAGATTTAAGGATATCTTAAGCTAATAATGGCAAAACACACACAGAAAAACAACAAGAACCCATTATAATCCCTTGGAACCAAAGGAATCAGGGGAAAGTAAGGTAGTGGTGAAGCCCAGAGAGGTCTTAGGGCCATGAAGGAGGAGCCACGTGATACAACCTATAATTGTAGGACGAACCACTGACAGAATTGTAGCAGGCAAAGAGAGTGGTAAAGGAAGGTAAATACTCAGATTTCTAATTTCTTCTGCCCTCTGATTTCCTGTTTGTGCTTCCCATTGGCTGAAACCAATCCAAAGACAAGAAAACCAAGATGATGCAAACTATAGTTGTCAGTCTCCTGGGGCATAAGCAGGGTAGAAGACAGTAAAGAATGTACAACACAGATAGGTATGGTTAGATATTCTATTTTGCATATTACTAGTAAATGTTTGTATATTAAACATACAGTCTGTGCCTGCATGTAATAAAACTATGAAGTAGTTTTGAATGGTTTGTGTCCCCCAGAAAATCATGTTGAAATTTGATTTCCAACATGGCAGTGTTGGGAGGTGGGGCTTAGAGTTAGGTGTTTGGATCATGAGGCCACCAGCTTCATCATTAGAATAATGCCATCTTTGGGGACTGGGTGAGCTCTCAGTCTCCTGGGAATGGGTGAGGGTGGGTTGTAATAAAGTTAGCACAGCCTCTTATGTGTCTCTTTGCACATGCCCACTCACTTTCCTGCTTCTCCACCATGTTGTAATGCAGCATATGATCCTTACCAGAAGCTAAGCAGATGCTGGTGCCATGCTTCTTGGACTTATCAGCCTCCAGAGTCATGAGCCAAATAATTTTCTCTATAAATAATGCAGTCTTAAGTATTCTGTTATAGCAACACAAAATGGACTAAGGCATCCACTAAATATTGTTTATATAAGATTTCTGTTTACTCAGTTCCATTAATCCACATGTCATTTACAATCCAAGAACCTCTACTCAAGATGACATGGTTGAAACGAATAGTTTCATTCTTACAAGTTAATACCTCCATTACATAACGTTGAATGTATGATCCAATTGTGCTTTTTTCCAGAAAGTATATTCTCAAATGAAAAATTATCATAATTTAAAATGCAGTGTCAGCAATGCCAGAAAATATATAATGATATCTTTGCCTAAACAAAATAATCCAAGCAGGATAATGAGTATGGAGAGAGTGAGTGAGCCCAGTCTGAAGTATATAGATTAATAAGAGGGAAGATAGATAAGGAAATTGTAGACAGAGAAGAAGGGACAAATTCTATATCTTAGAGGTGGGGCTGCCTTATAATGACTAGGTTCATACTGGTGCTGTGTGGAGGTGGAGTACAAATGGAGGTTAGTGACTCAAGGAAAGAGAGGAACTATTCAATTAAGAGATTTAATGAACCATCAACAAGAATAAAAGTGGGAGTGAGTTACAGAGGGAAAGCATAATACATGCTTGTAACCTCCTCTGCTATTTTTTTTTCTGAACCAATTAATGTTGAAGTTTTTACCTCACATATTTACTAGGATCCATTTTTTCCCTGTTTTCAATGTATGCCTCTCAAATGTATGTAGGTATGTTAATTAGTCCCCTTATGTAATTCTACCAAACAGTAGTTGGATGTAAGTGTTTCTACTTGACCAACTGATCCATCCCAAACATGTAAAAAATTATATTCCTTAAAATTATAAAAACTTTAAGTCTACTTAAGAAAGCACAATAAGTATAGTTCTGCACAGGTGGAAATAAGTAATTCTTACTCTGCATTTCAACATTTTAAAAATAAAATTGGACTCTAACATCTATTCTATTTCTATTATACCATGATATCTTTCTTTATGAAGGTTAGTGCTATTTCCCAAACTAAATTACCAACTGCTAGACTTGTAATTCCTGGCAGCATATAGTCTACAGTGCAGAGAGAATTGTTGAAACTCAGGAAATTTTTGTTGAATTAAATTTGATTCATTTTCTATTAATCAATTTTCACAACTTTTCTCTAACTTTATAACCTAAAGAAGAGTGCATTCTAAATTCATGCTGCCTGTTTACTTTTTCATACAATTTCTAGAAGTCAGTCATTCAAATCTAAGGTGATTTAATCCACCTATAAGCATCTACACAAAGTATAAACAGAAATTTTCATATAACCATGAAAATAAAATATAACAAATGACATCCATACTGTTGTGAATTATTTTAGTCACCATTCTTTGGGTTTTTAAAGTTTTTAAGCTTTTAACTACTTTTAAAAGTCATAATTTTGGCCAGGCATGGTGGCTCATGCCTGTAATCCCAGCACTTTGGGAGGCCAAGGCGGGTGGATCACAAGGTCAGGAGATCGAGACCATCCTGGCTAACACGGTGAAACCCCATCTCTACTAAAAATACAAAAAATTAGCCAGGTGTGGTGGTGGACACCTGTAGTCCCAGCTATTCAGGAGGCTGAGGCAGGAAAACGGCGTGAACCTGGGAGGCAGAGGTTGCAGTGAGCCGAGATCGCACCACTGCACTCCAGCCTGGGCGACAGAGCGAGACTCCGTCTCAAAAAAAAAAAAAAAAAAAAGTCATAATTTTATTTTGTGCAATTTAGAACATTTATCGTCATTTTTGTTTCTTCACATAAAACATCAATATGATTTTAATCATGCCACAGCTATTCATCATATGCACATAAGATCTATAATACTATAATAAAACATTAACTTATAACATAAGAAACTAAAGACGATAACCTTCTTTACCATAGTTCTAAAAGCTTTTCCCAAACTTAAAATACAAATTTCCTTGAGAAGGGTTATATTCTTCAAAATATAGCAAAAACTCAAAGAATCAAATTTTGGGACCAGGCAGCACACTAAAAGACCCTCAAAAAATTATCCATTTCTGCTGTGCCACCCTCCTGTTCATTTCTGCTATGCTACATAAAATCCTCATCTCTTAGATGACAGAATTTTAAAATTCTATATTTTAAATTTATATTTAAAATGCTATGCTATGTAGCATAGCATAGATGTTAGAGTCCAATTTTATTTTTAAAATGTTGAAATGAAGAGTAAGAATGTGATCCTCATCTCTTAGATGACAAATTTTTAAAATTCTGTCAACTCAGATAAGAGATGAGGATTTTATGTACACAGGCTCCTCGACTTACAATGGGGTTATGTCCTCATAAACCCATCATAATTTGAAAATATCATAAGTTGAAAGTGCCTTTAATATACCTAACCTACCAGAACATCATAGCTTAGCCTATCCTACCTTAAATGTGCTCAAACATCTACGTTCACCTATATTTGGGCAAAATCATCTACCACAAAGCATATTTTATAATAAAGTGTTAAATATCTTATGTAATTTATTGAATAGTCCACTGAAAGTGAAAAACAGAATGGTTGTATGGGCATTCAAAATACAGTTTCTACTGAATGCTTCTATACCATCCCAAAGTTGAAGAATTGTTAACTCCAACCATCTTAAATTAGGAACTGTCTGTATTTTAAGTTCTCTAGAGAAATAGATTCTACAACCTTATAACATACTGTTAGCACCGTTGCTGTTATATCTTTATTTATTCAAATTCCATCCTACATCTTCTACATATCTTGTATCTTCTATATTTCAGCCCCTTTTCTTTTGTTCTGAATTCTCTAAACATGTAATTCAGACTCTAGAGAAGAGGCTTTCATGTAGTGTTAGACTCCAATTCCAATTCTCTAAACTTGGACTAGTAAGAAGTTGTCAACTCATCTAGATAAACTCCCTCCCAAAGTTGAATCTCTTCCAAAACACCCTTGATGTGTTTGCCCTTCCTTTGCTTGAACACCCCCAGTGACAGGAAGCTTAGTACCATGTGAAGATACTTCTGCAGAGATCTCTTTTCTGCACTGGGTTAATATCTGCTTCCTTCTATTATTTCAGTATCAGCTTTTCAAATAGTTGAAGACATTTGAGCTTTTCTTGGGATATTCTTTTCTAAGATAAACATTTAGTTTTCCTGTCACCACAATTGGTTCCAATCATCTCCCTCCTCCACTATTCATTCTAAATTTTCTTTACCATTAGCTATCACTGCTAATGATCACAGTGGCTTACATGGGGGTATGACCTAAACTCTTTTCTGAGAGATATGAGCACCAATAACTATACCTTTCTTATATAAGGCTTGCTGAACTATTTATAACCACAATTAAACAAGGAAGTAACAATATGTACCCAAGTAGGTACACAGTTCCACTTATATTATATCTTGCCCCCATAATGCAATATCCCTGTATCCTCTTAGTGATCAGGTAAATTATCCCTGCCAATGTCATGACTCCTCTTTTTGACTGCTGGCTCCTGGAAATAAGTAGTACAATGTGCTCAGGTGGCAATATAGCTTATAGTTCAAAAAGACACTTATTGCATCTCCTGACAAGAGCAGGATCCCTTTAAGGACCAACACCTTTAACTTGCAAAGCCCAGAGTTATAGGAACAGCAAAAACAATACCCCCTGCCCCCGCCTTAGTGATCAGGCCACTGGGAATGATGGTAGGTCGAGGCATACTTGCTTCTGCCCCTTGGTTTCTAGACCAATTAATTCTTTCTGTTGAGTTCAGAGCACTATATTGATTCAGTGGGTATACTGCATTCTGGAGTATAGCCCCTCATCCTCACAGGTATTATCTCCAGCCTCTCCTGCAGCTGTAGCTTCAGTAGACTATTCTAGCACTCTATTAGGCTGGCTTCTGCTACATGGTGCAGTATACAATTCAACCAGTGGATCTCATGGTCTGAGCCCATCTCTTCACCTTCCTCACTGTTAAGTGGATCCCTCTGTCAGGTGCTATGTTGTAGAGATTCAATGACTGAGGACCAAGCACTGCATAAGCTCCTGGATAGTAGTATTGATTAAGGAGCTCTAAGAAGGAAAGATACTAGCCAGAATAAGTGTCTGTTCCTATGAGAAAGAATTGCTGATGTTTCCAAGACAGAAGGGGCCCAAAACATTTAACTTGCTACCAAGTAGCTGGTTGATCTTCTGAACGAATAGTGTCATTCCAAGTACTCATGGTTGAGCTCTATTGTCGTCAGATTTATTTCCCATCATTTGGAAGGCTTATGTCTTATCAAGGCCTGCAGCATTGTTCTCACCTTTTGTTCATCCTACTTGATCAGCATGGTATCATTTATATCATATATTAATGTGATGTTTTATATGATATGATGTTTGTGTTATGTTGAGTCGGTATGGATCTTTTTGAATTGTAATTTGACAGAGAGTAGAAGAGTTTGTATACCCCTGAAACAAAATTGTAAATGCATATTATTCCCTGTTCTACATGAATGCAAACTAAGATATTCTTTTTCTATTGGAATAGAAAATAATGCATTCACCAAGTCAATGAATAAATATCTTGTGTCTTAGGCCATACCAATCTGCTTTAATAATAATACCATGTATGGCATAGCAGTTACAATTAGGACTATCACTGGTTGAGATTGAAGTAGTGGATAATCATTCTACAGGATCCATCTGGTTTCTGCAGGGGCCAGATTGGCAAATTAAAAAGATATATGTAGGAATCCCTTAAGTTCTTAAGGTGGATCTAATCTCTACCCTGCCCCCACAGCAAGAGGCTGTTTCAGTGCCTTCAGCTTGGCCTTCTTCATGGCAGACCAAGGACCTAATATGAGAGTTTCTCCAACTGTCAAGCATGCCATTCCCAATTGTACATTCAGAGACCAGTGAAATAAGGACTGTTTGAACCCAAAGACCCAGTGGACCTACTCTCTGCTAGACTTTGGTCAAGTCTACATGTGTTACCTGGTCCCTGTATATTGTTACTTAAATGAGGGTGGAGCAATGGTTATGCTTCAGCCCTCTGGGTATCAGTGACAACTGAGGCCTTATGTCTGAGACTCAAAATGTGTCAGGTATATTTTCCAAATAAACCTGAGTAAATGGCCATTGAGTCCAACTGGGGAAGGACTAGAAAAATCATCATACAACATTCTTTCTGCACTGTTTTACATTACTTTTTCCCAGTAGAGATTTATAAGTTGGACGTGATATGGGAGGAAGGATTCTAATTGGCTCCAGGTCTGAAAACTGACTGAGGTCTGCAAACTGGGAAAAGGATGTGACATTTTATGAAAGCTATGATCTTCAGTTTCCAGTTCATCATTTTTGCCTTCTTTTAATTATGTACAAAGCAGTGTCCTTGTTTGCTGCCCATCTATTTTGTCCCTAGAGATGCTGCTTTCTATTAAGTATCTCCACAATTCACTGCACAGAAAGTTCCCTGAGCTGCCACTCTGACCTTAATAGTTGTTACAATAATTGTGACTGCCCCCATGACCCCCACCCCCTGCATCCCTAGTTTCTGAAATTTAAGTGCCACTGCCTGGCCTCTACTGCTTCAGTGCTACATCATCCCCACTGCTATCAAAAAGCAAAGTTCCATTACAACCTCCTCCCATAATCTTGACTTTCAAAGGAGAACCTCCACTAAACATTTTGGTGATGCTAGAACCCCCCTCATCAGTGCATTCCTGATGGACTTGGTGAATGGTATATCCTGCTTTACTGACAGTCTTTTGATGGGTCTTCTGGGCTCATTTAATGTATCCAATTTAGCATGATCATTTCCAAGCTTTCTTATTCCTTCTTCTGCCATCTTCCATGGCAATTCAGGCATTTCAACTTGTTCAACAAGGGTTAGTGTTTTCTCCAGACTTCTAGGAGTCACCCTTGCAATGAGTTTGTCCCATCACCTGGGGTCTTTGCTAGAGGGTTAAGGCAGCATTTTGAGCATCTGTTCCAAGGCAATATGCTCTCCCTTTTTAAAATTTATATTCAGCCTCCTTTGATTTAATTCTGACATCCCCAAAATGTAGTCCTAAATGTATCCCTGCAGGTCCTGTTGGTTCATGGCAGCTAGTTCTTAGAGATTCTTTGATTTGAGGCCTTTTCTCACATATCACGCCCAGCCTATCCCCAGCTTGATTATGCTTCAATTTCACTCTAGTTACTGGCCCAAAAGCCAAGAGAGGACATAGGGGCTAATCCTGAGAAGAATCTCTATTGTCTTACAAGGAAGATACCCCGGCAGTACCTTTCTACATGGTATTAGCTCTTAAAAAGGAAACATGGGCCACCTCTGGAGGATGGGAAGGACCAAATGAATTGTGAGGACAAAGGCTTTAGGAACATCCACCCAGATTTATCAAGGTACAGGTTTTCCCAAGAGTCATAAAATTCCAGAGATGTTTGAATGCTCAGCCAAGACACGGTGCCGACTTAGCATGAAAATCCTGCCTTGGCTGAGCATTCAAACATCTCTGAAGTTTGGTGACCCTAACCTGAGTTTGGTCATCAGCATTTTATGTTCTGCCACCCTGTCTCCTTTCTTGGAAAATTCTCCAGAGTCACTACCAATGAAAGTTTTAGCAATTGAGCCACCACCCTGTGCCAGAAATAGAGTCCTTGGGCCAGGGATGCCACCTGGAATACCATCCTCATTGCCAACAGATGGTAAGCAACCAAGGCCCCAAATTCCTTCTGAATGGCTCTTTTAGTGGACCACTTACAGTACCACCACATCAACTGAGTTCTCCAGGAAGCAGATCCTGAGACAAAGTTAAGAGTACAAAATGTTCACAAGTAGTGTTTGTGAAAGAAAAAGAGGAAAAAAAATAGAACTGGTCAGAATTGACAGTCTCTGCCAGCCAACTGATAGCTCTGGTGCAAAAATTACCTGTTAGAGCAGTCCTACGTTGGATGGACATAGCTTGTGCTTTATATCACAGTATTGATTATTTATTGGTTAAGGCCACACTGAGAAGAACATGATCTTGACACAAATGCTGAGGTGGAAATGAAAGAGTTAACAGTCAGAGGTTGTCTATTCACCATACTCCCTGAAGGTGCGTACCACTGCCTGTCATAGCTATATTTTATATTTTTGGGTTTTTTTCCCCAAACATCTTCAAAAAGCAGAATTTTGAATTTTGGACCCCCTTAAGACATTGACCAGATGCTTTGGAGTCATGACATTACTAAAATAACCTCTTTTGAAGGTCAAATCCTTAACTAAAATAAAAATGTAATTCATGTCCATCCTGGTCCTCTATACAAGTAAGTGTGACAGGTATTTTTCTTTAGTAAAGTGTACTGATTGTTTCTCAGGAACTTGATTTTATGAAGGTGTTTGAAAATTGATTTTCTCATAGTTGTTCTTGATGCTTCTTTTGCAGGAAGTCTTATCTGAGTTAATCTATTACCTTATATATTACTACGACCATAACTCAGATAAAGCATAACACATTTTCATTTTGTCACTCCATTATTTTTGCAGTAAGTCAATATAATCTGAGATGAAGCATGCCTTGCTCAGCATTTATTGATCTGCCGGTTTGCTCATTGTTTACATCAAAATACCACTTGTCAGTTCTGGCCCTATTATAATTATCTTCTCATATGGGAAATGACAGCTTCAAAGCCCAAGTATGAGTCAATTTCTAAGATGAGTTACTCTCAAGATGCTGGTACGAAATGTGGACCCCACTTTCTCTAGGCATGAATGATGGATAACTTTCATTTTCTAGCTAAAGAAGAGAAAAGCATACATCTATCCTAACAAGACAACACTTTCTCCAATATGAGAAAAAATGTACTTTAACTTGTACCAAGTGCATGAGCATGCAGTAAATGTTCAATACATAGTAACTATTATTAATATTGGTTCAAACAGTTGTGAACATATTATCGTAATTAACAGGAATCAGTTTTGGTGAGGAATGGGAAACGTTAAAGTAAGGCAGATTAAAACAACTTTTCCAGCTCTCACAGAAGTAAAATCTAATTGGTCTTTCAAACTTCTCACTATCCAAACCTTTTACTCAATGCTGAGCTTGACTTCTCAGGTGTCTAAGCTTCTTTTTGCTTACTTTAAAAGTATCCTGCAACCACATTAATTCTCAAAAGCCATGGAAATATTACTATTCTACAAACATTTTAACTAACTTATTTACTATCATTTCAAACTTTTATTTTACTATATACTCACTTCTAGAAAGCAATTTAATCTCCAATTCAGTCAGGACCCTATTGACCCAAGTTTACATTAACCACATTGCTAACTCCAGAGAACTTTGCTTCTGACATCCTTTGAATAAAAATGTCCTTCACTTTTTTCCTTGCTTATAAAAATATATTGAACCATTCCCTTGGCCCAGTTTAAAATTTACTTTCTTCATGGACTCTCATATAAAAGGACTATCTACATACAGTAGGTCTTCTCTCACTGTCATTGAGAGGTTCTTGGAAACCGTGACTTTAAGCAAAATATGACACATACTGAAACCAGTTTTTCTTTTTCTCATCAACTTCACAACAAAACAACGCTGAACAAAACAATGTTATTCAAGGACCTGCTGTATGTCATTTTAGCTTTCCTTCTTAGCCTAGTGTTGTGTTATATGTAATTTTTACTATTCTCTCAGTACCTACCACAGTAGTTAACTTAGTACATATACGAGTATAATAAATTCATGCTGAATAAATGAATGCATGAGTTAATTAAAGTAAGTTTTTGCTGACTTAGAAAGTATAATATGGACAGAGAGATTTAGTTATAACTTCTGCTTATTGTTTACAATTTGAAAGCCTTTGTCACTATTCTACTTAGGTTTAAAAGTAAATCATTAATTTTTAAAAAATTTTTCCAGAAGCCTTTTTCTACACAACATTGTTTCCACAGGATCACTGTTAGATATACATACACAAACTTGAATGACAGTTTTGTTTGATAGGCAATACTTTTTTAAATAACTTGATCATTTGTGTTTTTGTGTCTGGTATTCTTTACTGGTCAAATTGTTGTAAATGCAACTTCTATTAACTGTTCAAAATCATTATAAAAGCTAAAGTAACTCAAAGTATGCATGCATGTATGCATATCAATTATTGAACGTGGATGAAAAGGACAAAAGCAATAGCCTAAATCTATAAATAGTGTCAAAAATTCCCATGCTTCTAACATGTATATATGAAGATAAAAGCGAATTTAGGCTAAAGAAAAGAAACAGACTTTAAGTCTGACTAAAATCTAGCAGCATATGATGATTGCTCTTATTCTGTGAATATAGAAATGAGCTGTTTCTATTACTTCTCTGTGATGAAACTGACAGTAGTTTGTTAATCACATGTACTCACAGCCCGACAGGGAGGTGGAGGGGAAGGAGGTTGTCACATGCCACACAGCACTCAGGAGTAGAGTGACCCAACAGGAGCCATTGGAGGCAGGATTTGTAGTAAAAAGAGGGTTAAGTTTTCCCTGGTTCCTGAGGTAGGTTGTGATAGGCTTGTTTGAATAATTTTGTGGAGTAGCAAAGTGAAACCTATTAAGTTAAGGACCAGGTAGAATGCAGCTGTTTAGCTGATAGGGGAACTTGCCAGGTGGGGAGACTTTCCTGCTGGGTGAAAAGCTTATTTGAGAACAGGGAACTCACAGATAGGCCTTTTGAGCCATGGGAGGCTCAAAGATGTCAAGGCAGAACTTGAAATTTTAGGCTTTACAATACACTTGGTCAATATGAGACCAATATCAGTTTATATGAAAGGAGAGGAGATGGTTAGACATTTATAATTTTTTAAGTGTTTACCATGAATGAGTCTTCTGTATAGCACTTTATGTATGTACTTAGCCACTCATATAGACATGCAACAAGAGATAATATCCAAATGGGTATGAGTGACACCTGACATTGACTGAAGGTGCAGAATCAAAAGGTGTATAATACAGTAGACATCTTTAAGTAATTTTATTAATTTATATGGCAATCTAGCCTGTAAGATTATTTATACTGAATATTTAATTCAGCTAATGTGTTAGTTGGAAACAAATAAGGAGGGGAAGAAGAAAAGAGGAAAAGGAAAAAGATTGTGAAGAATAGGAAGAGGAGAGATGGGTTTATAATGATTATGTTTTTAGGGAGTTAAGTTAAAATGAGATAGTGATAAAATGAGGGAAGCAGAAATTGGAAAAAATGTTATCAAGTATAGTAATATATCAAGTACAGCAGTGGTCATCAATCCCAGTTTGGGTCATTATGCAACATTCTCTGCATCTGCGTTTTGAGCATAAAGAAGTTTCTCAGCCAAATGCAGGATTGCCCATATATTTAGAAAAACGTTTCCAGGTGGATATGTACAAAAATATGTCAGAGATTATGAGCAACACACACTAACATGGCTTTCAACATAGTGTTCTAGTTTTAGGGTTCCTGTATGTTTTTGACATTTTTTCAATAAACTCTGAATTCTTTTTTTAAAACCAGAATATAGTAGTAATAAAGCTATACAGCTTTGTTGTTGATGCAACACTTTAAATACATATTTTTAAATTGTTCTAGTTTTAAAGTACCCTGAACTTAACATAAAGCAACATAAAGCATTTTAATCAGTGAACAAATATTCACAGCTAAAATATCCATAAGAAATAAGAGTATAAATCTCTTCTGTCATCATATTAAGAGCTTGGAAAGGTCACTTTTCTTCCCTGCCACCATCTCCTGAAATGTAAATATAGGGACCTCCTGCCAGAGTCTTTCAATACAGGAATGATTAAAAATACATTCCTTATAAAAGCAATTGAAATTAACAAAAACTCGGGAAATTACAATTAATATTATGAAAACAGAATTATTAAGAACCCACAAGGTGTAGCTTGAATATATCCACCAAGCTGTCAAAGCTATACAATAAGCTTTTATCCTGACTTCCAGCTGTAAGTACTTCAGAGGCTATGAACATCAAGCTTTCCCCCAGGAATTACATTTGCCTTTCAATAAACTCTGAGGAAAGTGTTTCAAACAGATGCCAACTGTGTCCCTATCAACATTAGACTGGGCCAGGGACAAATCCTCACAACTACACTACACTTGTAAAACATCCCCATATTCTTTTAGGAAATAAATCATTTTATGCTTATCCGTTTTTATCATGATGTGTGAACTACTACTTATTCCCTAGAAAATAATTCTCTATATCTTGGCCCCAAAAAGTTGTTGCCTGATTGTCTACACTGCATATATGTTGATTCACTTATTCTTTCAACCAATATTCTCCAATATGTAGGAGGATATAAAAATGTTAACAAGACACAGATCTTGTCAAGACTTGTCTGATAAGGGAAATGAATGGGTTCACAGGCTGTTTCAGTAGCCTTCTGCTGCAATAGGTATAAGCATTGGGTGCTATGAAAGCACACAGGAGGGACACTCACAGTCTTGAGGGGTGGCGAGAGTGCCCAGGGAAAAAGACGCTGGATTTGATAACTAAAGGAGGACTTGTGGCAAAGGAAAGAGAAAACACTCCCATGAAAAGGCCCAGAGCCCAGAATAGGATGGTTCATAGACCTGTGAATGGTGGGACCATACAGTGAGGAAGATGAATCTGTAAGTTAGGCAGAGGCCAAACAATGGAGAAGCTACCCTGGGATGCTAAAAATGTAGACTTTATTCTGAGGGCAATGGAAACCCAGGTAAGGGTTCTCAGCAAAAAAAAAAAAAAAGCAAAATGATCAAATCTGCACTTTAGGAAAACCCCTCTAGCGGCAATGTGCCAAAAAAGTTGAAGAAAAGGTTGCTAGCTGGCAGGAGTTGGATCATTACAGTCACCCGGGTGATGGATGTTGGTGTTTCAACCTCAAGCAACCTTGATAAGATTAGGGAGAACTACAAATGAACTTAAGCACTGAAGGAATAGAATCAACAGAACTTCGGGACTGACTAGATGTGGCAAATGAGTGACTCCAGGGTTTCTGGGAGAGAGTTCTGTTGGTTACCACCTGTGTAACCATACATACAGGATTTAGATGGCATATGAACACATACATACAAGCATTCCTCATGCTCTATTTCTAATTTCCTTTGACTTTTAAAAAATATACTTTAAAATGTCCAAGTCATAAAAAATATGTGTGTCCCTTTTAGAATTCCAAAATTAAGGTCCCTACCCAAGGATGAATTTAATATGCAGTGTACCTGCCTTCCTTCTTCAAGATTGTATAAGTTCCTATCAGAGTAATGGGCCTCCTGAATGAGTTCTGACCCTCAGGAAACCTTCCATAGGAATAGGTTCAATTTGATACTTTTTCATGATCCAGCATATTAGTTACAAAGCTGAGATTTGGCTCTTCTCCCATGCTTGCCTCCTGTGCCTTTTAGTGACTTCCAATACCTCACCTTCATCTTTATGAGGCTGGAATGAATTGCAACATCACTGGTCCATATTATCTGAAAATGCAGGTCAAACATAAAGAGAAGTCCTCTGAAACTGACTTCAGAAAATATTAGCTTTCCTTTTACTATCAACATTTAATATTGCTTTCAGCAAAGGATTCTACTTGTTTCTCTATTATTTTGGTATTCCACTATTTTTGAAAAAATAGTCAGATGTTCCAAATACCATATGGCCATAGGGGGAATTTAGCTGGAGTTCAGACTTTCACGCATGAGCACCAAAGGAAGTGTGAGGGGATTCAGCAGAGTGAAGGCCAGTCCTTTCTATGCTTAGGGGCATAAATCAAGATTAGGTAAAGTATGTTTCCACTTGTCCCAGGAATAGTACTGCCATGCCCTATAAGATTCAGAATAGCGTCCTAAATTATTGCTGATGAAATAGTTTTAAAGAGGAACTGCCTCGTGGGATCTATATTTTTGTTCTTGTCTCTCCATGTTCCGCATGACTTGCTTTACAAGAGCTCTCAAGCGCAAGCATGAAAGCCAAATCTGATGAGGAAACAGCTTCTTCTGATTCCCCACAACACCGTTTCCCCTGATTTCTCTGATAAGCATTTGATTTCCACATAGAGCTTTTTCAAGACATTCTTTTTACAGAATACTGAATCTCATATTGTGTTTTTAATATGATCGTTTAGTGGAAACCAATGTTCCAGTCATTATTTTTCTAGCCATATTCTAGTTTCAGCCATGCTGATTGGTATTAGGGCCACGTAATCAGTAGTGTTTCTAATTGCAGCGGAGAGAATGCTCTTCTACAGGTCACAGTGATTCATGATCTAGCACTGCAGTATCTCCTTTACAGTCCATAATGAAAGGGCTTTCTGCCTTAGCTGGACTGTGCCATGTTTTATGGCATACGGTAAAGATATTTATTTAACAAATGATTTTGCCACACTGTATGCCTACATAACTAAATCATGTCTAAATATATTCAGTCTTGTGTTAGAAAACCTCTTTATCTTAAGTAGGGCTGGTCGAATCTGCCCAAATATGATATTTAAAAACTTTGTGTATAGCTTAGTAGTGCAAGGAAAAATACTATAAAATTAATCTTAGTTTTTAAGAATTTGTGCTTATTTTTAGAATTACTCTTCTCTTAAATATTTTATTGTACAGTTTTGTTGTTGTGGCTAGATATATTTAAGATATCTTATTATATGGAATATAAATTGTAGGAGAAAAGTTGAAGTACGCCTATACAATATTGAATACAAAATGGTTAACTAGGCATATTGTGAATATCTTAAGTCACAAGAATACATTGAACTGCTGCAGCCAAGAGAGTGAAGTAAATGGTTTAATTTGGAAATGTTATAAATTCTAAACTCTGGTGGGGGATGGGATACTAAAAGGGTAACAAATTATTTAATGAAATTCTCAATTAGGAAGTTACTCCCTCTAAAAGGTATTCTAAGCACTCTTTCTTTTGCTGTACTCCAGCAGAGAACAAAGGAACTGAACAAATATGCCACCAGACCAGGAGATTACTTTAAAAAACAGAGCTGGAGCTTCAATAAATAAATAAATAAATACATAAATAAATTAAACAAATAAACCCCAAACAAAATAAAATAGTAAAACAGCAGACACTTTGTAGAATGCAATCCTCCTTATTAATACAATTGATAAATACTTTACTACAGGGAAACATTAACATATGTAAAAGTAAATAGTGGATTGTAATAATGGCTCTAATCTAAGTAGTTTAAGAAATAAGCACAGGCTAATTTTATATAAGAACCACTAAAAAGAATCAGTACAACTTGAACAATTTAAGAATAATTTAAAATATCAATAACTGTAGAAATAAAAATTATCATTTATTATTTCTATTTTCCACACACTCTGCTAAACAATTTATATTCATTGCCTTATTTAATCCTCACAATAAATCTATTGCAGTGGGTACTTATTTTAATGCTTGTTTTATGAATGAAGAAATTGTTGCTTAGAGTGGCCAAGAAATTTGCCCAAGGATAAATGATGGTAAAAACAAGATTCTGACCCAGTCAAAATTACTCCTTTATCATACTCTCTTCCCTGACACTCTAGGAAAAGTATTGTCAACAAATTATTCTCCTGATGGCTTTCACCAGCTCCTTAATAAGGATGAATTAAATAAATGAATTAATAGGAATGAATGACTCTAATTTACATTCGAATCTCAGCAAATAGCATTTGTAATTTTTGTATAACTTCATGTTCAACTTTCTAAAAAAAGTATGTACTTCTAATTATAGAGTGAGGGTTTAGTCATTCTCAAAAATTCTTTTAAAACTTTCTTAGAGTTTCTAGTTAAAAATCTTAATTTCCAGTAACTCTGTGGAACAAAACTAGATAAACATCATAATTTAGAGAATATTTTTACAAGGAGTAATCCAGTCTGGAAGTGCTCCATGTTACAGTAGTACTGACCACAGCTACAATTGATGTCATTTTTACTGGTGGCCAACTTGCCTGAGGTTTCTAAGGCAATTTTTACAAATAATTTATATATCTTCTTTCTAGGTATTTGTGCTTTCCTTATGTATTATGACAATTTTCCTCACCTACACTTTTATACAAAAGATGTACACATATGCATAAATGCATACACTCACACTTACATGCTTCACATATATGTAAACAAGCCACTCATAGCTATAGATTTTTTTTTAATTTCAAGGCTATTGTAATTGAGAGGCTACTTTGATCGCCTAGCAGTTATATCCATGCGGTGTCAGCAACTGCCCAGCTTATGATGATATAAGGGCACTAATGATATTATATTCACTGAGCTGCCATAATACGTTTCCAGAGAAAGATAACTTAATTGGCAGCCTATTATCTGAGTAGGTATATGGGTGCTCTGGCATTTGGAATGTGCTCATTGAAGCCAAGGTAATTGAGGCATCAGGTGATTTGAGTAATGGTGATTAGAATCATCTGTGTGCAATGTGCAGTGAGTAAGAACATGTGTAGGAAAGAATCCTTTTTATGAGACATTTAATTGTTGAGACCCCTGAATAACCTTGCTATTCTTTTACCCTCCTCACTTCTAAATCTACTATTAATTCAAGCTGGAAATAATTTACACAAATATTCCTGGGATTTATTTTTGTAACGATTATGAGATCTTCGGGTAAAAACCCAAACTTATTTTGAAGGTAAAATACTTGTTACTTGATACATATTCTCGTAAGTGTATATTCATTCAACAGTCTGCACCACAGCTAAAGGAATCACAAATGGTTTTGATATGTTTCAGAATATATCATGATGACAGTATCTGAAGAAACTTGAACAGATTTCTAGATTTTGTTAATGTTGGAGAAAAATATGTCAGTGTGAAAGTCTCTATAAGTATGTGGAAAATTCATGATAAACTGAATGAATAAATAATAATTTCCTCCCTATTAATACCAACAATACTGACTATAAATATTAAAGAACACATCAATTTATTCTAAATTAGATTGTATAAATTCTAAGTTTTGTTCTAAATCCCATTAGGTCTGAGAGGCCTATTGTTGGGGGAGAAAAAAACATAATATACAAGGATAGCATTAAACCCTAGGCTTCCCTACATAAACTACTAGTAAAAAATATTTTAAACAGAAAAAGACAGAGATCAAATGTCTATTTGACATGTTTTATCCTATGACAGTTGCTTACAGATATTTGTTAAATTAATAAATGTATATTTGGGAAGCAGAGTTCTGTAATCTGATTATAGGGTTATAGTAATTTTGTTTAAAATTATTTTCCAATAGGAACTTAACTTTTACAGCCAAATAGCAGTGAATTTTAAACACGTGACAAGTCACAAAAAACTTTAAAATATGTTACTTCAAATATTGGATGGTAAATGTTAGTAAATGAGAGTCAGTATGATCATGACTATGTTATCTTTGAGTGATTGTGTAGTAAGCCATTCCCAAAAATGTTGGGAAACTTAGTGAAAATTAGCATTAGATATGAATGTAATATTAATGAAGGCTTTGAAATAGCCATTACCACTATGTGGAAGCATCAGAACCAACCCTGTGGAAGATCAATTGATCCTGGAAACACTATCTTTTTCTGGGTTATTGGTGGCAAAGTTGCATGAGCCTTCTAAGGCAAGTTTTACTAATCATTTATATATTTTCTTTGTTCTTTTCTTGTGTTTTTATTTGTGCTTTTCTTATGTATTATGATAATTTCCCACCTATATTCTTATACCAAATACTTTTTTGCACATGTATGCATAAATGTATACACTCACATGCTTCACATGTATGTGAACAAGCACACAGAGCTACAATTTTTGGTTTTGTTTTTTGTAAATTTCAAGGCTATTGCAGTTGAACAGTTACTATAATAGGTGGAATAAACCTGCATCATAGCCCTTCCTGTGGCTTTTCTATATCATTTTTCTCCTTTAAAAATATTGTGTGAGTAATCTTTAATCCTTTAACAAAACAGGCTTGGTCAAAAGGTAGCATTATCTACTTACTAATGAGACTTAAACTTAGAGATAACCTTTTTCATTTAAGTCAAGTCTCTAGTTTTCCAATGTCAGGGTTTATTATAACCACTTTATATTTAACAAAAAACTTTCATGCTGCTAGAGTCTAATTAGATAGTGACATTACGAGTGAACTCTGAAGAACAGATGTTTGGAAAAGTGGAGCAAGAGGTCATGTCTGCTGAGCACATCACGGTACAATAAAACTCCTAATGTGTCTTAATAACTTACATCACAATAACCTGCCTAATAGGTTAGTTAATACTGCCAATTATGAAAGAAAACAAAATTGTTACCTAAAATGACTTCTTTCAACTAATATTTTCTTTAGCAGGTCTGATTAAAAAAAGGGGTTGGAAGGTACAAGCAGCTACCAATTTCATAGAAATACCTTCCTTGTCGATCAATCATATACCTCACTGAAGAAAGGAATCATTAACAAGCTACAAAGTTTTCATTAAATTTTAATGAAGAAGTGTAGTTGATAGAATTTATCAATCTCACAGTTAGCATAGGGTCCTTTATAATTTTCTCAATGTTCACATTTACTTTTAATCATATTTCCTGAAAAATCAACTCACTTTCCTGGTTCCCCTCCTTCTGTCAATATTACTATCATCATTCTAGTCACCTAGGAAGAAAAATCTAGATATAATATCCAGATCCTTTTAAGCATCAAGTCATGTCATTTCCCTTGGGATATTTCTCAGATCCAGCATCTTCCTCTGAATTTCTATTGCGATCAACATTAGCATGGTTTGAATCAGGAATTTATTATTATTATTATTATTATTATTATACTTTAAGTTCTGGGTTACAAGGAGAGAGTGAGCAGTTTTGTTATATAGGTATACACATGCCATGGTGGTTTGCTGCACCCATCAACCCGTCACCTACATTAGATATTTCTCCTGATGTTATCCCTCTGCTAGCCCCCCACCCGCCACAGGCCCTGGTGTGTGATGTTCCCCTTTCTATGTCCATGTGTTCTCATTGTTCAACTCCCACTTATGAGTGAGAACATCCGGTATTTGGTTTTCTGATCTTGTGATAGTTTGCAGAGAATGATGTGAACAAGGAATTTCTGAAAGCCAGAGACTAGACACATAGGGGTGAATAAGATAAAAGATGTTAAAAAAATCTGTTGATCATGCCACTGCACTCCAGATTGGCAACAAAGGGAGACTCCATCTCAAAAAAAAAAAAAAAAAGCTGTTGTATTTTGACTACTCAATATCCATTTGTCTTCCACAATAGAGATAGCCTTGAGGAACTCTGAGAATGTTTTGAAAATTTACTGGATTTAATCTTGTTAAGGAAATCAGAAGAGGCTTCCCTAAGCAATTGAGTCTGAAACTGAATTGTAACATATAAGTAGGAATAAACTAAGCAATGAAGGGAAGGAAGGGTAATCCAGGCTGAGGGAATATTATGTAAAAAGATGCTATGATGGTGAAAAAAGAAATGAGAAGAAGGCCTGTGCTGTTCCAACAGAGAGCAACAAGGAGCATCATCACATGAACGAGCCTGGAGAGACAAGACCATGCAGTCTTGAGAGCCATGTTAAAAAATTTCATTTTTATCCAAGATCACTGGACCTTTCATGAGATCTCAAATGCAACATGTTGAAAAACAAGAATCTTTCTTCACCCTGGACTCTGATTTCTCCCATTTTAGTTCCTAATGTTTAGTGAGTGGTTTCCTTTACCCAGGCTCTAAAACAAACCTTCAGTCAGTCACCAAGGTCAGTCTATTCTACCTCATATACCTCACATTTATATCACTTGTGTCACTGCTGTTCAATTCAGGTGTCATCATTTTTTTCTTGATTTACGTAATTAGAATTCTCCCTGTTCTCCAGCTTAGCCTCCCTTTAATTCATCCACTTGACTGCTCCTTAAGTGACCTTTCAAAATTATTGAAATAATCCCATTAATTCTCTGTCCCTTCATAGTAAACCTAAAAATTCAGTTCAGCTTAGTTTACCACGCAAACCACTATCTAAATCTTTATTCTCAGTCTTGCAACTTCTTTAAATGCTTTATTTCAGTACTGAGCTTCCTACAACATGAATGAGACATTATTTCATGCTGTGATTATTATTTCATGTGTGTTAGTTTGATTTGGGTCCTTTATCCAACCTTGTCAAACTATTAGTTTGGTGCAAAAGTAATTGCCATTACTGTTAATGGCCAAAACCGCAATTACTTTTGTACAAACCCAGTAACATCTTGACTTTAAGACTCAACCAAAGCAGCATCTCCTCAAGGAAGATTTTAACTCACTTATCCCTCCTCTAGCTCTGTCAACTTTTAAAAGAATATTTTATAAATGTTCAGTAATGGTTTGTTTTAAGATTTGTCACCTTAACCAGATCATCTATAACTATGTCACTTGAATCATGGAGGAACTTAACAACTCTTTGTCAAACTATAGATTTTACATGACAATGTATTTAATTGCTATAATAATTCTGTTCAGTAAACAATCTTAAAGCTATTAAAGTTGAAAGTGTGACGCGGAGAGGGTAAATATCTTGCTCAAGAAATAGTTCTTCAATTAATAAGGAACTCTGTGCTCTCTGTGTAATAGAAAACCAATATTTATGTTAAAGGTGACTCTTTCGTTTTTGAGTTTCACTGTTTACTATCTACTGTTGATAGAGTTTCACTGTTTGCTATCTACTATTGGACCATTATTAGCATTAACTATAACTTAGTCAAGAGGCCCATTTGAGGGTTTCATTGTAAAAAGCCTATATATATAGCATATTATATTACAATTATAATATTCCAATACTAAAAATAATGACAATAGCAATCCAAGATTCCCACAGTTGCAGGGAAAAAGGCCAACATCATCTCTGTATAATATGGACCAATCCTCCTAACATCATCAAATGATATTATGAAGTTAAAACTCTGAGCAGTGATTAATGATGAAAATTAGAAATGGAACTTCGCTAATCTCTATTAATATAGAGAGTTACAGGGAAGAGGGAGTTTGCAATTTTATATTAGTAGTTCTGAAAAGGCCTCACTGAAAGAGTAATATTGAGCAAACTCCTGAAAAAGAGAAGCCCATTTAGTTTCCTGAAAAAAAAAAGAAAAATTATAGCAGTAGAATTTGTCATACCAAGAGAAACTGAGATCCCCCATGGGGTCAAAGACGTAGAGAGTTTAAATAAGGAGGGAGGATGAACCACCAAATGCTACAGAGTAGACATATAACATCAAGGCAAGAAGCACCTACTAGTTTTCATAACGTTGTTTTGTTTTGTTTTGTTTTGTTTTTGAAACAGGGTCTTGCTCTGTTGTCCAGGCCAAGTGCAGTAGCACAATCATGGCTCACTGCAGCTTTGACCTCCTAGACTCAAGCAATCCTTCTGCCTCAGCCTCCTGAGTATCTGGGACTACAGGGCATGCCACCATACCCTTCTAATTTTTTATTTTTTGTAGAGACAGGGTTTTGTTATGTTGCCCAGGCTGATCTCAAACTCCCAGATGCAAACAATCCTCTCACCTCAGTTTCCCAAGATGCTGGGATTACAAGTGTTAGCTACTGTGCCTGGCCATTATTTTCTTTAAAGGATTTTCAGGGGGAGTGTAGGAGCAAACAGAAGCAAAACAACCAAAAACCCAGAGTGCAGCAAATTGAAGAAATGATTAAGAGGTGAAAACAAAATCCAGCATATGTGAACAACTGTTTTGAATAAAATGACACTTGCATCCCTCCACATTAAATTCATCAAGAAGTTGTGTCACCTCTACCTTGAAAATGTATCAGTATCTCACTGCTATTTATCCCCTCCAATGCCATTCTAATCTAAGCGACTACCATCCCTTTTCTAGGTAGTTAATAAAGTCTCCTAATTAGCCATTCCACTTACTCTGTTCCCTTCTATAGCATATTTGCCATAGCAGCAAGTACTTTTTAGTTAAAATATTACTTCTGTAATCAAAACTCACAGTATAACTTTCCTTTCACTCAAAATCTTTGCAATAATCACAAAACCCTATGTAATATACCCCCTACTACCATCTTATTGAGTTCAAATTCTACAACTGCCCACTTTCCTCATTCAGTTCCCAACCACTCTGCCCCCCTTATATTCCTCAAATATGCCAAATATAGTATTACCTCAGGACCTTTATGCATGTTGTTCCCGCTGCTTGAATTGCTACTTCCATCTGATATCTCTGTAATTTTTTTCTTCATTTACTTCAGGTCTTTGCTCAAATAGCACTCTTACACTGAGGTCTTCCTTGAGCAATATAAAATTCCAAACTCCTCTTTCATCCCTTAATCTCTCTCTACACCCATTCCCTGCTTTTTTCTTTTTCCATAGCACTTATCATCAGGTAATATTCTACCTGTTTTATTCATCTTTAATTTATCATTTATCTCTACACACTACAACAGTAGCTGCTATATCAGAGCAGGGACTTTTATCTGCTTCATTTACTGTTTTATCTACAGGACCTAGAACATGCTGAGTGAGTTATATAATAGGTGCTGAGTGAGTATTTGTTGCATAAATAAAATGAGTGAATTTTTTTTTAAAAATGAAAAAATTGGATTAAGGAAGCAGAAGTTCATGGAAGAAATTTTAAAGTATGAACAATAGCAGAACATATGTATATACTGAGGACAAAGAGGAAGAGAAGGTAGAATGGTAAACATACAGGAAAACAAGGAAATTATTGATAGAACAAAACCCCTGCAGCAGCAAGAAAGCATGGGTTTTAGCAGAAATATACATTTAAAAATGCATATTACCACCTCAAACCCATTGACATGGCTCCTATCAGCACACATACATACACACACACACACACACACACAAATAACAACTGTTGATGGAGATGAGGAAAAATTAGAACCCTTGTTCACTGCTGGTGGAAATGTAAGATGGTACAGCCACTATGAAAAACATTATGGAGATTCCTCAAAAACTTAAAAATAAAACTTCCATATGATCCAGCAATTCCACTTCTGGGCATATACCCAAAAGAATTAAAAGCAAGATCTTAAAGAGATATTTGTACACCCATGTTTATAACAGCACTATTCACACTAGCTAAAATGAGGAAGCAACAAATGTTCATAAGTGGATGGATGAATTAATAAGCAAAATGTGGTATATATATACAGTGGAATATTATTCAGCCTTAAATTAGAAGGAAATCTTTTTTTTTATTTTTTTTATTATTATTATACTTTAAGTTTTAGGGTACATGTGCACAATGTGCAGGTTTGTTACATATGTATACATGTGCCATGCTGGTGGGCTGCACCCATTAATTCGTCATTTAGCATTAGGTAAATCTCCTAATGCTATCCCTCCCCTCTCCCCCCACCCCACAACAGTCCCCAGAGTGTGATGTTCCCCTTCCTGTGTCCATGTGTTCTCATTGTTCAATTCCCATCTATGAGTGAGAACATGCGGTGTTTGGTCTCTTGTCCTTGCGATAGTTTACTGAGAATGATGATTTCCAATTTCATCCATGTCCCTACAAAGGACATGAACTCATCATTTTTTATGGCTGCATAGTATTCCATGGTGTATATGTGCCACATTTTCTTAATCCAGTCTATCATTGTTGGACATTTGGGTTGGTTCCAAGTCTTTGCTATTGTGAATAGTGCCACAATAAACATACGTGTGCATGTGTCTTTATAGCAGCATGTTTTATAGTCCTTTGGGTATATACCCAGTAATGGGATGGCTGGGTCAAATGGTATTTCTAGTTCTAGATCCCTGAGGAATCGCCACACTGAATTCCACAATGGTTGAACTAGTTTACAGTCACACCAACAGTGTAAAAGTGTTCCTATTTCTCCACATCCTCTCCAGCACCTGTTGTTTCCTGACTTTTTAATGATGGCCATTCTAACTGGTGTGAGATGGTATCTCATTGTGGTTTTGATTTGTATTTCTCTGATAGCCAGTGATGATGAGCATTTCTTCATGTGTCTTCTGGCTGCATAAATGTCTTCTTTTGAGAAGTGTCTGTTCATATCCTTTGCCCACTTTTTGATGGGGTTGTTTTTTTCTTGTAAATTTGTGTGAGTTCATTGTAGATTCTGGATATTAGCCCTTTGTCAGATGAGTACATTGCAAAAATTTTCTCCCACTTTGTAGGTTGCCTGTTCACTCTGATGGTAGTTTCTTTTGCTGTGCACAGGCTCTTTAGTTTAAGTAGATCCCATTTGTCAATTTTGGCTTTTGTTGCCATTGCTTTTGGTGTTTCAGACATGAAGTCCTTGCCCATGCCTATGTCCTGAATGGTAATGCCTAGGTTTTCTTCTAGGGTTTTTATGGTTTTAGGTCTAATGTTTAAGTCTTTAATCCATCTTGAATAAATTTTTGTATAAGGTGTAAGGAAGGGATCCAGTTTAAGCTTTCTACATATGGCTAGCCAGTTTTCCCAACACCATTTATTAAATAGGGAATCCTTTCCCCATTGCTTCTTTTTCTCAGGTTTGCCAAAGATCAGAAAGTTGTAGATATGCGGCATTATTTCTGAGGGCTCTGTTCTGTTCCATTGGTCTATATCTCTGTTTTGGTACCAGTACCATGCTGTTTTGGTTACTGTAGCCTTGTAGTATAGTTTGAAGTCAGGTAGTGAGATGCCTCCAGCTTTGTTCTTTTGGCTTAGGATTCACTTGGCGATGTGCGCTTTTTGGTTCCATATGAACTTTAAAGTAGATTTTTCCAATTCTGTGAAGAAAGTCATTGGTAGCTTGATGGGGATGGCATTGAATCTATAAATTACCTTGGGCAGTATGGCCATTTTCACAATATTGATTCTTCCTACACATGAGCATGTTTGTATCCTCTTTCATTTCATTGAGCAGTGGTTTGTAGTTCTCCTTGAAGAGGTCCTTCACCTCCCTTGGAAGTTGGATTCCTAAGTATTTTATTCTCTTTGAAGCAATTCTGAATGGGAGTTCACTCATGATTTGGCTCTCTGTTTGTCTGTTATTGGTGTATAAGAATGCTTGTGATTTTTGTACATTGATTTTGTATCCTGAGACTTTGCTGAAGTTGCTTATCAGCTTAAGGAGATTTTGGGCTGAGACAATGGGGTTTTCTAGATATACAATCATGTCGTCTGCAAACAGGGACAATTTGACTTCCTCTTTTCCTAATTGAATACCCTTTATTTCCTTCTCCTGCCTAATTGCCCTGGCCAGAACTTCCAACACTATGTTGAATAGGAGTGGTGAGAGAGGGCATTCCTGTCTTGTGCCAGTTTTCAAAGGGAATGTTTCCAGTTTTTGCCCATTCAATATGATATTGGCTGTGGGTTTGTCATAGATAGCTCTTATTATTTTGAAATACATCCCATCAATACATAATTTATTGAGAGTTTTTAGCATGAAGGGTTGTTGAATTTTGTCAAAGGCCTTTTCTGCATCTATTGAGATAATCATGTGGTTTTTGTCTTTGGTTCTGTTTATATGCTGGATTACATTTATTGATTTGCCTATATTGAACCAGCCTTGCATCCCAGGGATGAAGCCCACTTGATCATGGTGGATAAGCTTTTTGATGTGCTGCTGGATTTGGTTTGCCCGTACTTTATTGAGGATTTTTGCATCAATGTTCATCAAGGATATTGGTCTAAAATTCTCTTTTTTGGTTGTGTCTCTGCCAGGCTTTGGCATCAGGATGATGCTGGCCTCATAAAATGAGTTAGGGAGGATTCCCTCTTTTTCTATTGATTGGAATAGTTTCAGAAGGAATGGTACCAGTTCCTCCTTGTACCTCTGGTAGAATTCGGCTGTGAATCCATCTGGTCCTGGACTCTTTTTGGTTGGTAAGCTATTGATTATTGCCACAATTTCAGATCCTGTTATTGGTCTATACAGAGATTCAACTTCTTCCTGGTTTAGTCTTGGGAGAGTGTATGTGTCGAGGAATGTATCCATTTCTTCTAGATTTTCTAGTTTATTTGCGTAGAGGTGTTTGTAGTATTCTCTGATGGTAGTTTGTATTTCTGTGGGATCAGTGGTGATATCCCCTTTATCACTTTTTATTACGTCTATTTGATTCTTCTTTTTTTCTTTATTAGTCTTGCTAGCGGTCTATCAATTTTGTTGATCTTTTCAAAAAACCAGCTCCTGGATTCATTGATTTTTTGAAGGGATTTTTCTGTCTCTATTTTCTTCAGTTCTGCTCTGATTTTAGTTATTTCTTGCCTTCTGCTAGATTTTGAACGTGTTTGCTCTTGCTTTTCTAGTTCTTTTAATTGTGATGTTAGGGTGTCAATTTTGGATATTTCCTGCTTTCTCTTGTGGGCATTTAGTGCTATAAATTTCTCTCTAAACACTGCTTTGAATGTGTCCCAGAGATTCTGGTAGGTTGTGTCTTTGTTCTCATTGGTTTCAAAGAACATCTTTATTTCTGCCTT
This sequence comes from Homo sapiens, assembly GCF_000001405.40. Classification (NCBI taxonomy): domain Eukaryota; kingdom Metazoa; phylum Chordata; class Mammalia; order Primates; family Hominidae; genus Homo; species Homo sapiens. Next base: position 67,065,610 of record NC_000004.12, read on the forward strand.
CATTTCATTATGTACCCAGTAGTCATTCAGGAGCAGGTTGTTCAGTTTCCACATAGTTGAGTGGTTTTGAGTGAGTTTCTTAATCCTGAGTTCCAGTTTGATTGCACTGTGGTCTGAGAGACAGTTTGTTATAATTTCTGTTCTCTTACATTTGCTGAGGAGAGCTTTACTTCCACCTATGTGGTCAATTTTGGAATAGGTGTGGTGTGGTGCTGAAAAAACTGTATATTCTGTTGATTTGGGGTGGAGAGTTCTGTAGATGTCTATTAGGTTCACTTGGTGCAGAGCTGAGTTCAATTCCTGGGTATCCTGGTTAACTTTCTGTCTCGTTGATCAGTCTAATGTTGACAGTTGGGTGTTAAAGTCTCCCATTATTATTGTGTGGGAGTCTAAGTCTCTTTGTAGGTCACTCAGGACTTGCTTTATGAATCTGGGTGCTCCTGTATTGGGTGCATATATATTTAGGACAGTTACCTCTTCTTGTTGAATTGATCCCTTTACCATTATGTAATGGCCTTCTTTGTCTCTTTTGATCTTTGTTGGTTTAAAGTCTGTTTTATCAGAGACTAGGATTGCAACCCCTGCCTTTTTTTGTTTTCCATATGCTTGGTAGATCTTCCTCCACCCTTTTATTTTGAACCTATGTGTGTCTCTGCACGTGAGATGGGTTTCCTGAATACTGCACACTGATGGGTCTTGACTGTTTATCCAATTTGCCAGTCTGTGTCTTTTAATTGGAGCATTTAGTCCATTTACATTTAAAGTTAATATTGTTATGTGTGAATTTGATCCTGTCATTATGATGTTAGCTGGTGATTTTGCTCGTTAGTTGATGCAGTTTCTTCCTAGTCTCGATGGTCTTTACATTTTGGCATGATTTTGCAGCGGCTGGTACCGGTTGTGCCTTTCCATGTTTAGCGCTTCCTTCAGGAGCTCTTTTAGGGCAGGCCTGGTGGTGACAAAATCTCTCAGCATTTGCTTGTCTGTAAAGGATTTTATTTCTCCTTCACTTATGAAGCTTCGTTTGGCTGGATATGAAATTCTGGGTTGAAAATTCTTTTCTTTAAGAATGTTGAATATTGGCCCCCACTCTCTTCTGGCTTGTAGGGTTTCTGCCAAGAGATCTGCTGTTAGTCTGATAGGCTTCCCTTTGTGGGTAACCCGACCTTTCTCTCTGGATGCCCTTAACATTTTTTCCTTCATTTCAACTTTGGTGAATCTGACAATTATGTGTCTTGGAGTTGCTCTTCTCGAGGAGTATCTTTGTGGTGTTCTCTGTATTTCCTGAATCTGAATGTTGGCCTGCCTTGCTAGATTGGGGAAGTTCTCCTGGATAATATCCTACAGAGTGTTTTCCAACTTGGTTCCATTCTCCCCGTCACTTTTAGGTACACCAATCAGACGCAGATTTGGTCTTTTCACCTAGTCCCATATTTCTTGGAGGCTTTGTTCATTTCTTTTTATTCTTTTTTCTCTAAACTTCCCTTCTCACTTCATTTCATTCATTTCATCTTCCATCACTGATACCCTTTCTTCCAGTTGATCACATCAGCTCCTGAGGCTTCTGCATTCTTCACATAGTTCTCGAGCCTTGGCTTTCAGCTCCATCAGCTCCTTTAAGCACTTCTCTGTATTGGTTATTCTAGTTATACATTCGTCTAAATTTTTTTCAAAGTTTTCAACTTCTTTGCCTTTGGTTTGAATTTCCTCCTGTAGCTCGGAGTGGTTTGACTGTCTGAAGCCTTCTTCTCTCAACTCGTCAAAGTCATTCTCCGTCCAGCTTTGTTCCGCTGCTGGTGAGGAACTGCATTCCTTTGGAGGAGGAGAGGCGCTCTGCTTTTTAGAGTTTCCAGTTTTTCTGCTCTGTTTTTTCCCCATCTTTGTGGTTTTATCTACTTTTGGTCTTTGATGATGGTGATGTATAAATGGGTTTTTGGTGTAGATGTCCGTTCTGTTTGTTAGTTTTCCTTCTAACAGACAGGACCCTCAGCTGCAGGTCTATTGGAGTTTGCTAGAGGTCCACTCCAGACCCTATTTGCCTGGGTATCAGCAGCGGTGTCTGCAGAACCACGGATTTTCATGATCCGCAAATGCTGCTGTCTGATCCTTCCTCTGGAAGTTTTGTCTCAGAGGAGTACCTGGCTGTGTGAGGTGTCAGTCTGCCCCTACTGGGGGGTGCCTCCCAGTTAGGCTGCTCGGGGGTCAGAGGTCAGGGACCCACTTGAGGAGGCAGTCTGCCCCTTCTCAGATCTCCAGCTGCGTGCTTGGAGAACCACTGCTCTCCTCAAAGCTGTCAGACAGGGACATTTAAGTCTGCAGAGGTTACTGCTGTCTTTTTGTTTCTTTGCGCCCTGCCCCTAGAGGTGGAGCCTACAGAGGCAGGCAGGCCTCCTTGAGCTGTGGTGGGCTTCACCCAGTTCGAGTTTCCCGGCTGCTTTGTTTACCTAAGTGAGCCTGGGCAATGGCGGATGCCCCTCCCCTAGCCTCACTGCCACCTTGCAGTTTGATCTCAGACTGCTGTGCTAGCAATCAGCAAGACTCCGTGGGCGTATGACCCTCTCAGCCAGGTGCAGGATATAATCTCCTGGTGCGCCGTTTTTTAAGCCCATCGGAAAAGTGCAGTATTCGGGTGGGAGTGGCCTGATTTTCCAGGTGCCGTCTGTCACCCCTTTCCTTGACCAGGAAAGGGAACTCCCTGATCCCCTGCACTTCCCGAGTGAGGCAATGCCTCGCCCTGCTTCGGCTGTCGCACAGTGCGCTGCACCCACTGTCCTGCGCCCACTTTCTGGCACTCCCTAGTGAGATGAACCCGGTACCTCAGATGGAAATGCAGAAATCACCCATCTTCTGCGTCGCTCACGCTGGGAGCTGTAGACCAGAGCTGTTCCTATTTGGCCATCTTGGCTCCTCCCCCCAATTAGAAGGAAATTCTAACATATGCCACAACATTAGCTGAAGCTTGAAGATACTACACTATATGAAACATGTCAGTCACAAAAACAAAAATACTCTGTCATTTCCCTTGCATGAGGTACTTAGAGTGGTCAAAGTCACAAGGACAGAAAGGAGAATAGAGGTTGCCAGGGATTGGGGATAGGAGAGAAGCGAAAAGTATTGTTTAATGGGTATAGAGTTGTAGTTTTACAAATGAAGAGTTCTGGAGATGGATGACCATAATGGTTGCACAATATTATAAATGTATTTAATATTACTCAACTGTGTACTTAAAATTAATTAAGAGGGTAAAATTTATGTAATGTGAATTTTACCACAATTTTAAAAATTGGGAAAAAAAGTACAGAGTGGTACCCAATCTATGTTTACTGGATTTTCATGTACACTGCTCTTAATAGTTCTCAGAAATGGACTTAGATGCAAAAATTAAAGTTAAAACAATTTACAGTATGTCAAAAATAAGATGGTATTTTCATGAAAATAAATTTTGTCATACAAATTGACATTATTATACATAGTCTTAAGAATTATGCTAATCATTAGTTGCTATCTCTGTAACTTAATTAAATGTGCAGTACGATTTCTATGAAAATGCTATTTTTCTTCATGATTTAATGAGACCTACCATCAAGCCATATCCAAATCATTCAAACCATTAAGAAAGCCCAACTGTTAGAAATAATCAACACATTTTTAAAGATATTTGGAGGTTAATGGGAGATTAAAGGGAACCCATTGTTATTCCATCTGGATCCAAGCATTGCAAAAATTAACATACAAGCTAAATAAAAATGATTTCCCTTTTTTATTATCCGGGAAAGAAAATCAAAGAAGAGCTGGAACATCACATCAAACAAAGTGTTCTCAAACCAATTTTACATGCCTGGTGTGCTTGATTGGTTTTGACAGCGTGTTAAGAAGGGACGACGCGTGGAGGGGTTCAAACACTTGGCATCAGATTTGGCTCTTCTGTATACCTTGTCTATTTCCATTTACCAATCATATTTCAAGAACTTTAAATTCCCCGTTTGAAAGTCTATTCATCCTTTTCAATATCACTTCCACTGATCTAAATCAAGCTCTCATCACCTCTCTCAGAGAGCGGCCTCCTTGTCAAACTCCTCAGTTTTCCGTACTTAGAACTAAGTGATTGCATACATATGGCTGTGATTGCACTACAGATCTCACAGGGAGACCTTCAGAATCTTCAGTGAAAGTTCTGTTGACAGCAGAGTTCCAAGTTGGTCAAAGTTCACAAGTGTCATGCAGAATCATAAATTTACTTTAAGTTGGCTGGAGATGGAATACCCCATAGAGAAACTCCTAAATTAAAATAAATTTTACAAGTCATGAACAACAGTCATTTGATCATATATTTTCCATGGAAAAAAGTAACATTATGTCAGAAGGTAAGTATCATTGTTTCTTGATATATAGACAAATACATACGTATATACATACATGTATACATATTTGTGACATCTTATCCCCAGAACTATTTTTCCTCAGTATTCCCAAGAAGTATCACCACATACCTGATTGATTAATAAGGAATCTGAGTGTCATTATCTCATTTAGATGCTATTGGCTGCAACTAATAGACATCCTGACTAAAACTGGTTTAGACTATAGCGATTCTTCTCACATAACACCTCTCTTTAGCACTAGCTCCTCTTCTCTGTGCTTTTCTAGGAATTGTCTTTCTTTGCCTATTGGCTTTATCTCCTAAGACGAAGGTGGTGGCAGCAAGTTCAGGCATCATATTCAGACGTTACAATATCCAAAGGAGAAAAAAGAACTAAATTTTCTCAAATCTCCTACTTAGGAACAAGAAAACTTTCCAGAACACCCCTAAAATGGGTTGCATTGTATCTCCAAAGAAGATATATTTGAGTCCTAACCTCTGATACCTGTGAATGTGACCTTCTTTGAACATTGGGTATTTGAAGACACAATTTCTTAGGACAAGGTTATTTTCCATTAGAGTGAACCCTCAATCTAATGATGGGCATTGTTATAAGAAAACCATGTGAATACACAGAAAGACAGAGGAGACACACAGGGGAGATCAGTGAAGACAGAGGCAGAGATTGGGGATTGTAGTTGCAAGCCAAGGAATAAGGATTGCCTCCAACTACCAGAAGCTTGGAGGGAGGCAAGAAACAGATACTTCCTCAGAGTCTCCAGAAGGAACCAAACCTACAGACACCTTGATTGCAGACTTCTGGCCTCCAGAACTATGAGCAAATAAATTTCTATTGTTTTAAGCAACCCAGTTTGTCATGATTTATTACAGCAGCAACTAATACAACTTCCAGGCCTTCCCTGCACATCCTTTTGGCCAAGATCGGGTTACATGACTCTTCCTAAACAGATCACTGCCAACGAGAATGGATTATGACCATTGGCTTGGACTAGTCATTAGTGGTGGAATGGATGGTGGGCACTCAGCCACAAGGACTTGTGAAAGAAACACCAGGCTGGACACGGTGGCTCACGCCTGTAATCCCAGCACTTTGGGAGGCCAAGGTGAGTCAATCACCTGAGGTCAGGAGTTCGAGACCAGCCTGACCAACATGAAGAAACTCCACCTCTACTAAAAAAAATACAAAATTAGCTGAGCCTTGTGGCACATGCCCATAATCCCAGCTACTTGGGAGGCTGAGGCAGGAGAATGGCTTGAACCCAGGGGGCAGAGGTTGCAGTGAGCTAAGATCACACCACTGCACTCCAACCTGGGCAACAAGAGCGAAATCTCCCCTCAAAAAAAAAAAAAAAAAGTGAAAAAGACACTTAAGAGCTACTTAGTCCCTCTGCCATGTGAGGACACAGCAAGAACTTGGTAGTCGGCAACCCAGAAGAGGGTCCTTGGCAGAACTTGGCCGTGTTGGCACTCTAATGTAGACTTTCAGCCTCCAGAACTGTGAGAAATGAATTTCTATTGTTTCTGCTTTCAAATATCAAATGCATGCCTAAAATCCATGATGAACAAAATATAAACATTATAATTAAAGACAAGCTCCTTACTGTCTATAACTAAAGACAGTATACTGATTTTTCCTTTTGCCTCAGGCTACGATAGCTCTCTGCACTGGTGACTGGCATTGTGCTAAGCCCTCTTCACACTTCAACTAAATTAATTTTTAAAGCAGTTCTGTTACAAAAAGATAATCATTATCCTCCTTTTATAAATGAAATGTCCTTAGGCTTAAAGAGGTTAAGCAACTATGCTTAGTCCCATGGCTAAGGGTGGTGCGGAGATTAACACTCTAGTCAGCCTGCCTCCGCGGTCACTGCTCTTAATCACTGCTAAATTGTCTCCTGGTAGGTTAATACATGTGACTGGAAATTTTGCCATATACTTTCTATTTTAAATATATGTTTAGACACGTTATAAATTACTTGACCCCAAAACACTTCTTGTGGTGAGTGGAGAAATAACATGAGAGAAAAACATTTATAAAAATAAAAACATTAAAACATTTGTTTACTCAAGTTAAAATGTTTCAAAAACTAGCAAATTTAGTCATTTGCTAACTTTCAAATTTCAACTCCCCTTTCCTTCATTCCTACGGCAGCATATTTTTAAAAATCTTCCTTAAAGTAATACTCACTTAGTCAATAAAGACATGTTTGTAATAGAAAAATATATCCATTCCAGTTAACATATGAATCAAATCATATCCATATGGTAATTTGCCCTTGAGGGCTAAAAAAGTGTCAAATAGGCTTTTTCCCTATACTGGATGGGTGATCATCCTTCTGTTAGAATCAGTCAAATGGTTTAATGAAAAGAGATAATACAAATGAGATTTTGCTACATTAAAGAAAAAAATCCTAGTTTTTACAGGTTTTTTTTTCCATCTCAGTCCTTAGGCATAGTGATTGTCAGGTGTGTTTTTTTATTTCTTCGTGTTTGCTGTTTTTTAATGTTGCAAAATAAGTAGAAGAATAACAATAATTTGACTAATGGCATACACTCTCCAAAGTGTTTGAAAAATGACTTTTTTTCATGATTGCCTCATTGTTTTCAAAGATCATTAAACAATAGAGAGAGGTCAAGTGTTCTCATTTACATTTTGTACTTGAGGAAATAAAAACACGAACAGGCTCAGTGACTTAGACCAGATAACATGGATATCAACATGATATTTGGATATTATGGCCAGATTTCCATATTGTGGTCTAATACTGTAATTGAAGAAGAAGAAAGTGTTTATGATTCAGAGAAAATAGCATAGGTGGCAATCTGGGGGTGAAAGGTGGTGAAGTAAACCTGGTAACTTAGAGAAATGTAAACTCTCTGAACAAAACTATTTACATGGTGATTTTATATACAATGGGCTAATAATATGTATTTTTTCTATTATGCCTTGAGATATGCAACATTATTATGCTCATTTACATAGGAATTGACTGAAAATCAATGTCAGACAATTAGTAAATGATGGAACTAGAATTCATTTCCATGTCCTTGACTCCAAGATTCTTTTCCTGGTATTATACCATAAAACTGAAGAAAGAATTACAGTTGACACTTGAACAAATCAGAGGTTAGGGGCACCAACCCTCCCATGCAGTCGAAAAGCCATATATAATTTTTGACTCACCAAAAACTTTACTAATAGTCTACTGTTGACCAGAAGCCTTACTGGTATATAAACAGGTGACTAACACATATTTTGCATATGTATTACATACTGTATTCTTAACAATAAAGTAAACTAGAGATAAGAAAATGTTATTAAGAAAATTATAATGAAGAGAAAATATATTGACTATTCATTATGCATAAGTGGGTTTCATAAAAGTCTTCATCTTCATCATCTTCATGTTGAATAGGCTAAGGAGGAGGAAGAAGAGAAGGGGCTGGTCTTGCTTGTCTGTCTTAGGGATGGCAGAGGTAGAAGATCTGCATGTAAAGTGGACCCTTATAGTTCAAACTCATGTCATTCAATGGTCAACTGTACTGGCAATGTTTCTTAGTAATCAATAAAATCTCTAGATTCTGCAAATTTATTTGTCTAAATTCACTTTATAGTTGTTTAGACATCAATACAAAAAAAGAATAAAAATTTTAAAATTTAATGGAAATACATCTATTAAAATTGAGCTTTAAATATTCAGGGAATTTTTCTATATAAGTTAAGTGAAATATAAATGACTAAGCAAATGAGTTTAGTCAATTTTTGTTACTTTTTTGACACTAGAATGCTTACTAGATGATAAAGTACCCCAGGAGACATTATTCTGATGAAAACAGACACCGAACACTAAAAGCTCTTACCATGATTTAGTTAAAAGCTCTCTAGGAAACAGAAGTCAAAGCACGGACTAAGTACCAGAGCTCAATTTGCGTGTGCAATTCCAGGGCAGTGAGAGTGAGGGAGAATGGATTTAGGCATCAAGAATGGCAAGCAATTCAAGGTGATGTGTTACTACACTAGCCACTGTTTTAAGAGGAGTCATGAAGAGATACCCCTAGTCATTCAGCAGGTGCATCTGTACAGCCATGCAGAATATCTCTGGAGAGCTGCTATAAGGAAAAAAAAAGTGGGCCACAGAATAGCCCAGTGGAAGAAGAAAGAATGTAGTATTCTTCACAGGTCTTGACAATCTCCTGTATTCTGCTGTTCAAAGTTGTCCCTCTAGAACATAGCTCCCCACGGTTCTGGGTTGCATACTATCTTTGGCAACCTCTTGAGAAGCATAATCCTATGTCCCACACTATGGCTAGTAGGTCCAAAGCAGTTTAACCATGCAAGTATGCATGGAGTAAGTCATCCATGACAGTGGCAGAAAGGGAACAAGAGGCTGAGGGTCCTGGGGACAGGTGAGTCCAAAAGAATATGAGGAAACACTTGTGTCTGATAACGTCGGTGATTCCACTATTCGATTGTTGCATGGACTTATATAAGCCAGCAGATTAAATTCCCTTAATTCATCATTTCTGATAATTGTTAGCAACAATTTCCCTAAACTCAATTTGGAAATTTCTAAACTATATTTCATTCCAATATCTTTGCCAACCCCCACATGCAACTGGTTGAAAATTCCCACTGATTCTTTTACTATAACTACTCATAGTCAGTAATTCCTTTCCATTAATATTTTAATCATCCTGGCTCAATCTGTCAAGAGTCTCTACTGTAAAACTCTTCTTACTGTTCACCCTATTATTTCTCTTTACCTTCAAACTAGTCTATATGCCATGGCTTCTTAAACAAGCTCTATTTAAGGAAAAAAACAGAAGGTTGTATAAATATTTCCAAAGGTCTACAAATTCCCTGCCATATTTTTAAGTTATGTTCCTTTAGAAGATAATCTCTGGATTATCTAAAAGAGCCCCAGGATTGAGTACTGCTACCCAACTTCTGACCTCCAATCAAAGTTGGCTCCAGAATTACTAGGATTCTCTCTGGCTAAGAAGCATTCCTTCTAAGACAAACACATTGTATAAACAAAAATTTGTCAATAGCTTAAATAAAAGAAATATGATGAGAGAATGGAGTGATCACTCTGCATAGCAGAATATGGGCAGACTGAGTAAAAGAAAATTTGCCCTGTAGTAGTCAGTACCATGTTCACTTTGAGAACAGCCAGGTAATCTAGCACATAAAATTTAATATTGCTATTATGAATTATCTTAGTTTTCCTGTCTCATTAGTGTTTAATTTCATATTTATTTTCATTTTATAATTATTATAAGATTTATCATAAGAATTTTTACTGAATTTACAGTTTTACATTTTTATATAGTATTAACAATAATTTGCATCCATGCTAGAAATCCAAGAGAATTACGGCAGTTTCTTTAAAAGTATGCTGTACATTGTTTGAGCTTGGAGATGTTCTGAAATATATCATTGCTGGGTTAATTTTCCTAAAGCATATCTCTAATTATGCCATAGTCTGATACAAAATCTTTAGAAGTTTCTTACTGTATATAAAATTAAAATTCATGAATCTGGCCATTCCTACATGTATGTTCTCCTTCAATGTACTTGTTTTGTTTTCCAGACTACCTCAGCAAATGGACGCATACAAACAACATGTTCACTTATCATTTTGCTGTAGTCCAAATGTTTGTGTACCCCCAAAATTCATATGTTGAAATTTAACCTCCAAGGTGATGGCATTAGTAGCTGAGGCTTTTGGAGGTAATTAGGTTATGAGGGTGGATCCTTCATGAATAGGATTTGTGCCTTTGTAAAAGAGATCTCAGAGAACTAGTAGTTCCTTCTACTACATATGAACACAGCAAAAAAGGTACCATCTAGGAGCCAGAAAGTAAGCCCTCACCCAATATAGAATCTGCCTTGATTTTAGACTTCCCAGACTCCAGAAATAAATTTTTATTATTTATAAGCCACTCTTTTTGTGATATTGTTACAGCAGCCCAAACTAAGACTTCTGTTTTTATCTGAATTTCTTTTTGCCACAATCTCCTCATGACCAGTCTTATCCATGGATTAAAACCCATGACATCTTCCTGATCCTTCAAGTACTTGGGACCTGACTCTTCATTAGAATCCTGTGAAGTTTTGGGCATATCATTCTTATGGCACTCAGCATATCTGCTTTGTATTATGGATACTTGTATAAATTCCTTAGCAAAGTCATCTTATCTTCATCTAAGAATCCGCTAATTGGCCGAGTTTGGTATTTTGTGTAGCTTATCTGTTCAATAAATACTCGTTAAGCTAATGTAAGACACAAAACACAATTAGCTGCTCACACATTTGAAAATATCTATATACTGGGAAAGTAATGACCATGAAATTATTGATGGCTAAATATGAGACAAATAAAGGAATCTCCAAAGGAGTGAATTTATGTGTAATTTGTTGAAAACCTAGCAAGTAATGACAATCTAAATGAAGCACTTTTAGAAGGTAATGGCAAGCATTGGAATCTAAGATTTTGTATTGGTATTGACTAAGATCACTAATGAAAACAAAAAAAGTAGCAAATAAGGGCCAAAATAGTTCTTCGTAGGATACCAATTAACTGCTAATCTGTTTGCTCTAATAGGCCACTATTAGAGGAAATGATAAAATTAGCTATGCACATAAGAAACATTTATTGCCTACATATTACTTTTGCCCTGAGACCAATGCAATTCAGCAAACTTGTACAATAAAATCAGCCCCAAAAGAGTTTAACAAACACAAGTTTTTACCTCTACTTGCTTGAATAAGGGTTTTATTTAAAAAAACTAAAATCCTAAATAGTCAAAGAAGTGAGAAAAATCTGTTTCTTTAAATGAGTTTTGAATACTCCTTTTTTAAACTTCTGAATTGCTTTCTGCATCTAGAATGCTATCTAAATCCCTGCTGATTTATCCTTATACTTTCAGCAGGATTTCATTGCTCCTGGGCACCAGACAGTCTTGTTAATAATGGCAAATCCTTTCAGTCCCTCTTTGGTGCAAGGTGGGCTTTGATTGACAAGGTAATAAAAGTGTTAATGAGACAGAGTGGCACAGTCAGAGATCAATAGTTGCCAATAACAAAAACAATACTGATACTCAGTTTGTAAAATTCCCTTAAACCAGATAAAAATATTTTGCATCAAAATAGAGACTTTTCATTTTATAATTGATGACTTTCTTTTTTGTCTGCAGCAAAGCTGTCATAGGCATTGTACAAAACTATAACCATGCCTAGGATGGATACTGTCCACAAAATCATGATGGAATTTCCTAGTTTGCTGTTTGCTTACCTGGTGGTCTTTAGACAAGGTGTTGTTACAAAAGACTGCAGTCAGAACTGGAATGGATTTTTCAGCCCCTTCATTGAGCAGCTAGGTTTCCCACAGCAAGTTTATAAACTTGTCTGAGACTCATATTTAAATCTGTTGAAGGACTTTACCGACACCTCCCTTGCAAAGTACTCATGAAGGATAAATGATATGAAATCGGTAACGAAGTAAACAGTGTCTGGGGCAGAGGAGACATTTCAGAAACAGAAGCTATTATCTTTAAATATGTATGGCAATTTCTTCTCAGTTACGCCTGGGTTACAGCTTAAAGAAAACTTTGTTTTTGGTTTTTTTTCTTTTCTTCATCTTGGGCATCCATGATATATTGAATTAGAAAAAACACTGGTGAATTCAGGAGGTATAAATGGATATCTACAATTGCTTTTGAATGCTTTGTTTTTATTTGATCTGATTCTGTTTTGATTTGTTTCTCTCTCCCTTTGTATCAATTAGCATTTGTTGCATAACAAACCATATCCAAAATTACTGACTCAAATAATAAACATATATTATTTCTCACAATGTTATGGGTTAGCTGGGTGTACTTCTGGTCTAGGCCAGGCTAGCTAGAACAAGATAATGTAGGATGATCTCTTTCATGTCTAGTGGTTGGTTTATCAGTGGAGGCCACAGAGATGAACTGGCTTCATGCATCTCATTATCTAGCAAGCTATATTGCTAGTGTGTATTCATGCCATAGTCACAGGGGTCCCAAGAACAGCAAGAGAGGCAAAGACCAATAAGCATGCACTTTTCAAGTCTGTTTTTGTCATGTCTGCTATTATCTTATTGATCAAAGCAAGTCATGTTGTCAAGCCCAGAGTAAGAGCATGCATATAGGGAGGTAAATTATTGAGACCATTTCTGCAACAAGCTACCACACCCTCACACTCTGTTTATTCAGATTTCCTCAAGAAATACATACATTTTCCTATAGAACAATTAATTTTTTTCAGATACAACTTAGTCAGAGTTAAATATAAAAAGCACTTTTAATATGCTTTTATGTTTTGTATTCCCATTCAGTGTCTGATTAGCTTTTAATTAGACAGAGTGCTGAGAAGTACATTTGAAACAAATAGACCATTTATACTACATATGTATGATGGTTTTGTTAGAAGCTCTTTGACCTGTAGAAAAATGTTAGTTTTATCTCTCCAGATTAGAAAGCTTGGCTTTTCCTTTGCTTTGATTCTTTTTTACTTAAAGAAATTACTCTTGGGTTAATAATACCTTTTAATTTTAGAAGGGAACCAATGTATCTCAGAACCTGAGTTGTTCCTATTTCTTTGCTAGGTACCTTGGTTTTATTTGTCAGTTTTATGCTATATAATATGACTCCAAACCAGAATCTCTTCCACCTAAAAAATGGTGACAAGGACAAGGAAATTATATTACTTTGCATGGATTGCCCTAACAAAATACCCTAGGCTGGGTGGCTTAAACAACAGAAATTTATTATCTCACAATTCTGGAGCTGAGGAAGTCCAAGATCAAGCTGCCGGTCAATTCCATTCTTGGGAGGGCCTCTTTCTGGCTTGTAGATGGCAGATTTCTCACTGTGTCTTCACATGGTGGGGAGGAAGAAAGAGAGAGAGAGACAGAGAGAGGGAGAGAGCTCTCTGGTGTCTCCTCCCATACAAACACTAATTATTTCATATCAGGGCCCCATCACTATGATCTCATTTAATCTTAGTTACCTCCTTACAGGCCCTATCTTCAAGTACAGTCACATTGAGTGTTAGCACTACAACATATGAATTTATGGGGAGAGACACAATCAGTCCATAGCAGGAATACTGAAAAAGTGAAAGCTAAAAGCTTAAATCTTTACACACTTCGGCAATTTAATTGAGATAGACTTGATCTATATAGTATGTGGTGATTATGCAAACTTCTATGTCTCTCTGTACAGCATTGACTAATCACAATACAGATGAATGAAGCAAACAAACCTAAAATTGGTCAAGAAATAGTCTCCTAAGAATATGTAACCGAAGCTAAAATTTGGCAGGTGTGGCCTAATGCAGTACCTACGAAGTCTGTTGAAAATAATTTGAAGAATCATGAAGAATGTAAACTGTTTCTTCTTCCTTTTAATTAACAAAAATAAATAACTTCATAATGCTGTTTCCTATAAGACTTTTTGAAATATATTCTTGATGTGTCTCTGGTTTCAGCATGAATAGGTTTGGAAAAAACTTAGATAATGTGACTGGAATGTAAATGTAAATTTCCATTCCTAAAATACATTTTTCCCAGAGTAGTAATTGTTTGAAAGTCTTAAAAGCATAAATTTTATTTTATAAGTGCTTTATGACTTTTTTGAAGGGACATAGAATAGATAAACTTAAAAATATTTAAAGCATTTTATAAATGCCTTTACACATTCATGGCAAAATGCTTAGTAAAATTTCAGGTACAAAATTCTCTAGGGTATTACATTGTTGAGTGTCCTTAAGAACTATAAAATTTCCTATCCCCATTATTTCTCCTGTTTAATTTCCTGTCACCACAGATGAGTCTGGGCTTTGTTTGTTTTGCCAACTACAGAGTTGAAAACTGACTTGCGGGATATTGCTAAATTATAAAAGGAGGCATTTTTTTCTTCTCGTTAATGTTCTTTGTGAAAAGAACATAGAAAAACTTAGTATTAATACTGCCCAGTATTATGCCAAAACTACAAACTAAAAGTCATTCACTTCTGTATTGAACATGTCATAATGAAACAAATTTTAGTTTAAGTTACTTGGAAATCTATATTTGACAATATATTCTTACAGTTTGTTTGTTTTTTTTTTTTTTCAACAAATCCAGGGGATTAAGATGGGTATCTAGGAAGGTGTGTTAGTCAGCTTTGGGCTGACATAAAATATCACAGACTGGGTGGCTTAAACAACAGAATTTTATGTTCTCACATTCCTGCAGCCTGGAAATTCAAGACCCGGGTGTCAGCTGATTCAGTTCTTGGTGAGAGTTTGCTTGCTGGATTGAAGACAACTGATTTCTCTGTCACCTCGCTTGATAGGAAAGGAGAGAGAGAGAGAGAGAGAGTCTGGTGTCTCTTAATATAAGGTCATTAATCCTAACATGAAGAGCTTCAATGCTATGATCTCATTTAAACTTTATCACCTCCTCATGGGCCCCATCTCCAAATGCAGTCACAATGGGGGTTAAGGTTGAATCATACCAATTTGAGGGGTAGGGGTTGATACAATGCAATCCATAGCATGAGGCAACTGCTGCATCCACAAGTCAGGCTGCAAGACTAATCTTTCCTGTTGAAATTTCCTCTTAGGCCCCACAAACTAATGGGTCTTGTATCATCAATTAGGTCATAGTTTTCCAAACTGTCAGTTATCATATGCCTGTTGATTTTGATGCTGTCTATTGTAGATCCTGCTTCAAGGATCATCCCTGAGAAGAGAAATGAGAGAATTCTCTGCTAGTGTGGAAACATCAAGGGACCTGCAGTTCAACCATCTCATCCAGTGGAAAGGGAGGAGGCTCATCTCCCTCTGCCTTTTTCCCATTTCTTCCTACTACCCTCATCTCCAAAGCATTTTCCAGAATACGAAGAGAAAATACAGAAATCAAATTTTATATTTGCTTTTTACTTATTGGTTATTTTACTTAATAAAATGTTGCCAGATGTTGTGCTGTAAATTAGGGGTAGAAATAGCACTCATTTATTCCTTCAGTGAATATTTATCAAGTGCCTACTATGTGCCAGGCACTATTCCAGAATCTGTGAATAAGATAGAAAAAGATTCCTTTCCTCCTTGAGTTTATATTCTAAGGGAGAAAAACAAACAATAAACAATCAGTTTTAAAAGTTAAATGATATGGCAGGTTAGAAGTTGATAAGTGCCAATAATTACCAGAGCAAAGAAAGAAAGTAGAAAGTGAAGAGAAGTGAGCAAGTTGCAGGAATAAGTAAGGTGGTCTAGGTGGGCCTCACTGAGAATGTAAAATTTGAGTAGGGAACCAAAGATGAGAGAGTTAGCTAAGTAGATACCTGGGTTTAGGATATTCCAAGCAGAGGGAAAAACTAGAACAAACGTTTAGGCTGGCATGTGTCTGATGAGCTCCAGAAACAGCAAAGAGGTTAATGTGGTTGAGCAGAGTGAGCAAGAAATTCAAAGTTGAAGAATTAAATTACGTAAGGCCTTGTAAGACAAAGGGTTGCCATTAACTCCTCGTGGCTTCAGGAGGCATCTCAGGGTTCCAAAAAAATGCTCTGATATATTTTCAAAGTATTATTTTTTACAGTTAAGTTCTATAAGACAAATATAATTGTATTTTGCTTTTTAATTCAATTTGATCCTCTGTCTTTAAGTAAATGGTTTACTCTATTCATCTTGATTAGAAATTTGGACTCATTTCTACCATCTTTGTATTACTTATTTGTCCTCCCCCTCTTTCCTAGTGTGCTTATTTTTTCTCTTTTTTTCTTCTTTTGAATTGACGTGGTCTCCCCAATCCCCATTTGATGTTTTCCCTCTACTCATTTTTAAGTACCTCGTCTAACTTTTTTCATTTCATTGTTTTTCCAGAAATTTTAGCATGCTTATTTAACCTCATCAGTTCTAAGCTGAATATCTTTATTTTCCCTCTGAAAAATACAATGACCTTACAATGGTTAATTCCAATAATCACACTCCTTCCTCACTTATATAATATTATTGGGGAAGATTTTTATAAACCACAAAGTGTCTGAGACACATCTCAATGGAATAGAGGTTTATTTTGCCAAAGTTAAGGATGTGTCTAAGAAACAGAATCACAAGTTATAATAGAATCCATGGCCTATGCTTCTTTCCAAAGACAGTTTTGAGGACATCAATATTTGAAGGGGACCAAGCAAGCAGGAGGGAGAGGAGGAAAGAAAAATAAAAGAGGAGGTTAGGCAACGAGGCAAGTGGTTACACTCTTGTGAGGCTTTGATTAGTGCTCACTGAGTCCACATTTTACATGCAAAAAGGGAGGGTCAATTATGCATTCCTCTAGCACTCAGTAAATCTACATTTTACATAAGATAAAGTGAGCTGTGAAATTACAGCTGTTTGGAAACAAGAGGAAGTCAGTTTTTGGTTTGTTTTCTTGTGTTTTGGTTTGGTTTGGGTTGAGTTGGGTTTTTTGGGGTGTGTGTGCACGTGTGTGTGTGTGTCTCAGCTTCCAAGCTTAAGTTTTCCCTTTGGCATAGTGAGTTTGGGGTCTCGAGATTTTATTTTCTTTTCACTTTTTTTTTTCTTTTTTGAGACAGAATCTCACTCTGTCACCCAGGTTGGAGTGTAGTGGTGCGACCTGGGCTCACTACAACCTCCGTCTCATGGGTTCAAGTGATTCTCCTGCCTCATCCTCTCGAGTAGCTGGGATTACAGGCGTGTGCCACCAAGCCGTCTAATTTTTTATTTTCAGTAGAGGCGGGGTTTCTCCATGTTGGTCAGGCTGGTCTCGAACTCCTGACCTCAGGCGATCCGCCCACCTCGGCCTCCCAAAGTGCTGGGATTACAGGCATCCTTTCACATTTTATTTCTATCTTAAGTTTTTTTTTTCCTTTCCCAATTAGACAAGATAGTTACTGTTTTACAGTCAGTGATGGTTTAGATTTTTCCCACAGGCTTGCCATTGTTTTGCTTACCATAAGTTCTTCATATGGTACTACTTCTGACTTTTCCACTATGATCCTTTTCTCTCTTAAAGGAGAAGTTTTAGACATTCCTTTAGTTAAATTCTATTGTCAGTAAAATCTCAGTTCTTGTTTACCCCAAAAAAGCATTTCTTTCTGTTTCTGAAAAATAAAATTTTGCTCAGTATAGAATTATAGGTTAATAGATATTTTCTTTCATATTTTGGCTATATCATTCTACTATCACCTGACTTCCACTGCAGTTATTAAAAGTCACCTGTCATTTAAGTAGTCACTCTTTTGTTTATCATCAAATTGTTTTCCTGCTGGAGGTTTTTATGTAATTATGATTGTAATTAATTACATTAAAACTTTTCCGAATGAAATCTTTGCATTGCTGGAATAACTCTGCATACAATGATTCTAATAATATACCTTTGGATGCTATTTACTAATACATATCTAGGATATTTACTTCATATCAGGATTTGCATTTCCTTTACCCTTTGCATAGAAGGATCTGCAATCCTCGTGTCTGGCTTCTTCTTGTCAATCAGGTGTCAGCATGAGTGTACCTTTTTTCACCGGGCCTTTCCTTTCCAAGCAATCTAACAATAGCCTCCCTTCAGTCTTCATAACATCACCCTTTTTACATTTGTTTCAGAATTCTCACAACTACAATCATCCTACCAATATGCTTGCTAATGTGTCTGCTTCTGTAGCTTTCCGTTCTCCTCTCCAAACCTACGTGAATGCAGAATGTTCCCACAGGGCCCTCTTTGTTCCTTATGGAAAAGGGCACAAAGTTTCTTTGTCCTGGAAGCTTATACAAAATCAGAGGATTCGTAATTAGAGGATTACTGACTTTTATCATTTCTTTTAACTTGGGGTTTGGGGAGGATGCACATCAGTATATGTCAAGAAACCGCCTGGGTCACAATTTCTTACTTTATTTTTTAAATGTTATTAAATATGTATTTTTAAATTTAAAACAGGAATAAACAGTATGATCTCATTTTTCATAAAATAAAAATATTTTTATGTTCAGATATTTTATTCATATTCATATGAGTCTGAAGATAGTACTGTAAAGTGGAGAGTGATTGTTTCAGTCTGTTATAGCTTTTTCCCCAAAGCTTTATGCATATAGGTAAGTTTTGCTTCCTTTTTCATGTTTTACTAAATTTATAAAATAATAAAAATTAGAAATTCACCAAGGATCCCATCAACCAAATAAATACATACTTACATAGAAAATTAATTGCCCCCCAAATCTCTTTCTTTCTTACTTAACTCTTATAAATATAGATTTAGCTTTTTGTGAATTATATGAAACTGAGCTTCCAGCTTTTATTAAACCTTCCCCAATTCTACTCAGGCCTCTAAAACACAACCTCCTATCTGCCAATTGTTCTTTATGTAATTTTTTGCCACGTCATGAATTGGCAAGTACCAGAACCAAAGGTACCCCTTAATCACATGTGCGACTAAGGAAATTGACATAACTTTTTGCCTTGGGAATCTTCAAACCTTCATGCCCAGATATCTCAGAAAGCACTGTTGCAGTCTTCCATCGGATTGTATATCAAAACAATGAATGTGTAGCACAAGAGAGCTTAACCCTGCACATTTTCTCTGAACAGGGCCATAAAGAAAGAGTACCCATAAAAAGAGGTTTATATAACTGAATTTCATGGGGAAACAGGAATATATTCTTTTTTATGAGAAATTCTTATGCCTTGGAGCCTGATTGTAAGGCACTGAATTTCATTTCAATTCTTATTACTGGAAAAAAATAAAAGATGGATTGTTCTCTGAACTAATGAAACTCAAATGGCTAGCAGATTGAGCTCTGATACCTTTGCTCCAGTTTTTTGAAGTATTTGCAATGCAAATAACTGTTCAAGATTCCTTTGGCTACACTAACATTTGTGTGTGTTGTGCCAAATAAAATAGCTATTTATGTGTTTAAGGGAGAGTATTTCTTGTTCTGTATGTGCACACCTGGGCTCACTTCCCTTGAGAAGATGCCTCAACAGTGCTAGTATAACAAGACAATAACAGCGAAATAATAGAGATTTATAGTGATTGTCCAGAAGTCAACAGGGGATGGCTCACACAGTGAGTGTAACCATAACAAGTGTCAGTTTTTTCAAGCAGAAAACAAAAGCAAAGCTGTTTGATGCAGTCTAAGTTTGAGCCAGAAAGCCACGCTGAATCTACAGGCTAGATTCATGGCATGCTCTTGCTCCTGGGATTAAAAAAAGAGGAAAAAGAATCATAAAATATTAAACTGTAAACCCTACAACCCAAATTGCATGTAAAACTCTTATTTTTAATGAAAACATCATGATTTTTCATTGCTGATGATGCTTCCTAAAGGTCTAAACCAGTCCACAGATTTTTTTTTTTTCGTCTCTGTCGCCCAGGCTGGAGTGCAGTAGTGCGATCTCGGCTCACTGAGACCTTGCCTCCAGGATTCAAGGGATTCTCCTGCCTCAGCCTCCCAAGTAGCTGGGATTACAGGCGCCCCGCACCAAGCCCAGCTAATTTCTTTTTTTATTCTTATTTTTAGTAGAGATGCAGATGTGTTTTGTTTGACCCATGCAGTAATAAGGAAATCAGAACGTCTCCACATTTAAAAGTCTAGATTTTCAGCTTCTTTGAATTGAGAGGATTTAGCAAATTCAAAATCATGCATGCATGGTAACCATCAGATGGGGCTGAGTAACAGCTGTCCATATTTTAGCTCTTTCTTTTCTAGTTGAGCACATTCTCCTCTACTCCCTATTGTCTTTCATCTCCTACTCCTTTACTAATTTACATACAGTCTTTACTTGTCTGGCCCCTTTGCACTCAAGTCTGCATTCTCAATACAAATAAGTCCTCTACTATTACTACGGAGTCGGTTTTATCATCAAGGACTTTACATCTCAGGAAAAGCTCTGAGATAGATATTATGGTGTGAAATAATTTGCAGTGCAAATTACCTTAGGCTTAGAGGTTTTGAAATGACTTATCCATGTATATTAAGACATGCCTTTGAAGGGAAACTAGAATAAAGATAAATTAAATTCACTCTTCATATGAGGTAAATTTTCCAATCTTAGAATTTGGAAGAGAATGGTATCATGACATAATGAAATCGTCCAGAGCCCCGTACTAACTCTGGGTCAGCTTTAGGCAGATTATTTTATTTATCTGGGTCTCAGATTCCTCATCCTTAAAGTAACTGTGTCTGATGTAATGAGGGCCCCTTCCCACTCTTGATTTCTGTATGAATCCCGACTAAGAGGAAAGAAGTATCTCTTTCTTAACCCTTCCTGGCTCCAGAGAGCAAATGTAAAAGGAAACAACATATTTATGTCCACCTTCTAGTTGTTCAGTAGCCTTTCTAAAGGGAAAAAATCTATTTAACCAGTATTTTCCAGTAAAATAATTACTCCTGTCTTTAAATCATCTTGAATCCTCATCATCTAGCACTAGAAACCATGCTATAAGACATATCGAAGATCTGAAAGACTGCCCCAGTGTCCAGATTCCAGGGATATCTCCAATAAATTATAGATATGCCAACCATAACTTTCTAACAACTATCATGATGATTATTGTTTATTGACATTTTACTAGGGTTTCTGCCAAGCATATCACATGCATCTTCCTATTTAATTCCAGATACCACTTCATAAACACAGGAGCCATTCATGTCTATGCATCTCTATGTTTCCTCTTAAACGTCATTGTCAATACCACATTATGGAACCATATCACTGATGCTTAGAAATGGAAAAACATAAATCCAGGATGGGACAAAAAGCTTACCTACTGTATAGAACAACCATGAAATCTTAGTGCCTGGTTATGAATTTTAAGAGTTTATAACTGTCCATTCCATCTCCATTTTATTTGTACACTCCAGTCACTTGTCTTTCTACCAATATATACTTCTTGTGTACACACACAAAAAAACCTTGTAAATATTGACTTAAATTTGTTTAAAAACACTTTTTATCCTGTTTCAAATTTGTTTCTCTAAATGCATATATTAATATTTAGTACAGAATTCACTACACAATTACTTGGGATAGAAAAGAAACTAATAACAAAGAAATTATTACTTTGATTATCCTCAGGTCTCTTGAAGAAATCACTTAAAAATGTGAAGCCTTACTTTCATCAGATACAGCAGAATCAGTAAATGATTTCTGTAAGGGGCCAGATAGTACAATAAATATTTTGGACTTTCCATAGCACAGTGTCTCTGCTGTAACTACTCAATTCTGTCGTTATAGCATTGAAGCAGCCATGGATAATATGGAAATGAATGAATATAGCTATGTGCCAATAAGACTTTATTTACAGAAATTTCAATTTTATAAGATTTCACATGTCATTAAATGTTATTCTTCTTTTGATTTTTCCCAACCATTTAAAAATTTGAAAACCATTTTAAACTCACTGGGTGTAAAATACGTTCCATACAAGGGCTATATTGGCCTACAAGCCATAGTTTGCCAAACTTGAAATACAGAATGAAGGTAAAACAACTTAGCTTATAGAGTTGTTGCGAATATATGCATATTAACCTATGTAAACTGCCTTATGGAGTATATATAATACAACAGGCCCTCAATACATAGCTTTTATTTGTAATTCTTAATATATATAAGATTTTTTTCTTTAGTTTAAGCTATACTCTTTTATAATTAAAAAAACTTAATGGTAGATAGCAAGTATTACATTAAGATAATTCTAATAGAATTAGAAAAATAAAATGTAAGATGTCTTATTACTGCTTATTTAATAAAGATTGTGTTAGCAAATGGTGTTTTATAGTTCTAGGTTAGACAATCTGTTATCATAATTTTTATATTAGGTCTGTATGATTTGTTTTCTAAATATTTTGAATATTCATAAAACAACTTACTCATCACTGTGACAACCTTAAGTCATTATGGTGAGGAGAGAGCCTCAGGGTCTCACAAATAGTTAAAATCTCAAGAGGGGTGTCATAATTTATGGTTATCCAAGTACCTTTTTAAAAGGAGGGTTACGGTAAGCCATGTGCCTTTACACTCTATCAATAACATCTATTACTCTACTCGGCAATTCTATTGAAGAATGTCTGTGAGGGTTGTGTCCACCAGGGGGAGCTGAGATGCAGTGTTAATGTTCTCAATCTTTCACTAAGCATAATCAGCAATAGTTGGTAGAAGCTTCTCTATGAAGAACCATTTCCATCAAAGGTAATTTTATAATCATTAAAATGAAGAAAATCCATTGTTCTTAGACTAAAAAGAATACACCCAGCTCTTGTTGTTGTCAAATTTGTAGATGACACAAAGATGATGATGAAAAGAAATATATTAGATGACACAATCAAGATGACAAAATATACAGGCCGTCATTTTGAATTTGTATCAAGATTCTCCAGAGAAACAGAACAAACAGGATATCTGTATGTGTATGTGTATTACATACATATTATGTATTATATATATATATAAAATACATAATACACACACACATATCCTATTGTGTGTGTGTATGTGTGTATTATACACATCCATGTTTCTTTTAAGGAATTGGCTCACACAATTATAGAGGCTTGGTAAATCCAAAATCTGCAGGGTAGTCCGGCAGGGTGGAGACAGGAAAAAGTTGATGTTGCAGTTCAACTCTGAAGAACATCTGCCTGCTGAATTACTTCTTACTCGGGAAATCCGTCTGTTCTATTGAGGCCTTCAACTGATTAGATGAAGCCCATCCACTAATAGAGGGTAATCTATTTTACTCAAAATCTAATGTTAAGTCTAAATGTTAATCTCATCTAAAAACATCTTCATTGAATGTCCACAATGTTTAACCACATATCTGGGCACTGTGACCCAGTGAAGTTGACACATAAAATTAACCATCAAAGGCCTGAATACAGCAAGAAAAAAAAAATTTAAGAGATGCAACTTGTAAGGGAAGAAAAAGTTTCCCTGCTCTAAACCTGGTCAAACCTTTCCTGGTGTCGTGTTCAAGTCTTGACAAGATGTTCTAAGAAGTGCCTAGAGACACTTGGATCATAATTACATCAGCACAGAGCAAAGCACTTTTGATAATGAAGGGACTTAAAACCATAACATGGGTAAGATGGCTAAGGGGAAGAAGAATGTTTAATTTTTTTAAAAAAATTAGAGTTTTGGAAGGGATACAATAACTATCTTCAAACAGTTGGGGAATTTTCAAGTGGAGTTTTTCTGGTTAATCTAAATATCCAAAGACAAATGCTGAATCCAGTCCAGAGACTACATGCTACAAAGAGATTGATTTCTTACCAACATTAACAAAAAGTATTTAACAGACAGTCATTAAAAGATAGAATACAAATACAGCAGAGATAGATGGCAGGTAGAGTCTGCCTTGCTGCACATGTACAAACTTGGAATGGAAGACCACATGGAGAAAATGTTCTAAAGGAGATTTGATTACCACATTGATGATTTGACCAAAATACTTTAAAAGAATCATTCTAACTTTGACTTTCATGTTTTTGTTTCTAACAAAATCTTGAGCTGGCTCATTGCCCATGCTGATGGTTTATAAATAATTTGTATTCTACAGAAAATATTCTAACCTAGGAATAATATATTTCTAGGACCTAGGAAAGTTAATTATAAGACTTGATGAGCCTGAAAAAACGGGATACAGATGACAGAATTCTTCCTATATCAACATTTTCAATGAAAAAAGCACAATGAAATATAGCACAAAATTTTAATCTAGAATCTTCCTTTTCAAAATGTATCTTCCAAGTATTCTAATTAAAATGCTTTTCTTGGCCGGGTGTGGTGGCTCACTCCTATAATCCTAGCACTTTGGGAGGCCAAGGCAGGTGGATCACCTGAGGTCAGGAGTTTGATACCAGCCTGGCCAACATGGCAAAACCCAGTCTCTACTAAAAACACAAAAATTAGCCAGGCGTGGTGGCAGGCACCTGTAATCCCAACTACTTCGGAGGCTGAGGCAGGAGAATTGCTTGAACCCGGGGAAGCGGAGGTCGCAGTGAGCTGAAATCATGCCACTTCACTTCAGCTTGGGTGAAAGTGAGAGACTCTGTCTTAAATAAATAAATAAATAAAATTATTTTCTTCTATGATACCACCTGCCTCAAATTACTTTTAAATGAACTTTTTTTTTTCCTGAAAAGTATAGTATGCACTTGGCTAGTGGCAGCTGTTCTCAATAATGAGGAGAGGCTCTACAGATTTTTTGCCAGGTTACAGTTTCCTGATTACCGTGATTTTTGCCTCTGTGAGTTTTTTCAAGGCATCTGTAAATATGCAGGGAAAGAGACACAAGATTCTAGAGGAAGACAATTGAGTAATCTGTAGCCTATTTACAGTTCAGCCAACAGGAGGACTTTCAAGCAGTCAACCCTTGTTGAAGTGCATAATACGGAGAATAAATGCTGAACTGGGGCCTTGGCACAGGGAAAAGCAAATTGTGACTGGGTGGAACAACATGCTGACATTCTGGAAACTTTTAAAATTATGATGAAAAAGTTAAAATTACTATTTAATTACTATTACTAAAAGTTATAGTTACTAAAATTTATTTACTACTAGTAAAATTTAAAAATTACTAATTTAAATTACTATTCCTCCATTTAGTAATTAAAGGGAAATGTTTGTATTCAGTGCCTTGTAGAAAAAAGTTATGGCAAAATGCTGAATTTCAAACTGTGAGAAAGTGGTGGAAGAGGTAGGTAATCCCTCTCTGCTGTCTATGACTTAAAAATTTGGCTAAATGGGGATGCCATTAAGTATAAAATCTCTGCCATAGCAAGTCTAGGATCTTTACTTTCTTTCCAATCTTTTTGAAGCAGTATTCTAGCAATTTTCAAAAGACAAAAATTGTCACTTAAGTGGCCTGATATCTGCAGCCTCTACCATCCTAGACTGTGATATCACAACTCTCAATTCTTACCTAGAACATTGCAATATTTAATGTCTCAGTACATATATCTGTCTTCCCTCACTAAACAGTAAATTCCTTCCAAGAAATAACGAGGTCCTATTGATCTTAGACTTGGCCTAACAAATCACTATGCATAGTAAGTGCCCAAACTTATGATTTAGAATGAATAAATAAATGTATAAACTCATAAATATAAAAATATATAATCTTGGATGACAGAGACCATCTTACTTATCTTTTCACACATTATATCCACATACAGTGTCTTGAACTGTTGGGATTTTTCCTGCACTACTAATTTTAAGAAAAACCTCCTGTACTGTGCCTAAAGGGAAAATAGCTCTACTGAATTCTTTCATTTTCCAAATAAGAAATAAAATTATGTTGAACCTCTGGCAACAACAACACACAAAAAAAAGAAAAATATTTACATCTGGATTGTATAGAGAACTTTTTAGAAGAATGAAGAGAAGATTATTAAATTAGGAAAAGGACTTTTTTCCTTATGATGCCTGGAATCCACACTCCAGCAGACAATATTTGCACCCTAGTTGACACTCAGTGTTAAGCACATGGTGTCTGAACACTTGCTAAACATCCCTGATTATGCTAACACCACAGAACAGTCGAATCCCTAAAGCTCCAGGTATAGATTTCATTCCACATTGGACTAATGGTAAATACTTTCACTACTTTGCTTCCTAAAAAAAAAAATGTGATTAACTTTGATGGAAACAATGAATGTTCAACCCTGGAGCAATGTCCACTTTCCATTCTTTCTATGAGAATTGTTGGAATGAAGGAAAAGAAATAGCCCAGGAGCCTTTTAAGCATCCTTATTTTTCTCTGTCACAACATTAAAGGTTCAATGAATCTCCAATTAAGTCTCCCTGGCTGCTGTCACCAATTTGATTGATAGATGTCCTTGGCTCACCCTCCACAGGACATGCCAGTACACCAGGCCCCCACCTGCCACCATCAATTATCACTCTCTTGTCATCAGTGCCCTCACTTGTCAATTTATTTGCCACAAATCCAGTGAAGCCTTCTAATCAGGAAAAAAAAAGAAAAGCCATTCTTCTTTACTTTTAATGGTGGAATAGGAAAAAAAAAAAAACTTAACAAACCACATACTGTTTAATCTTAGGAGAAGGTTTGCTTTAGCCTTTTTCAATTTCTTTCCCCACACCATTCACCAAACTGGCATAGAAACTGGGTGTCATAGGGACTGATTTGTACACACATATAGCTAACCAAAGCCAAGAGAAAAATGGGAGATTTTAAAAAATATATACTTATAGAAATATAGACTTTTGACTCTATGAATCCACCAAGCGTTTGCCAAGGGGAAAAAATTATTGAATGTCTTTCAAAATAGATATAAAGAAGCACAGATTAGAACTGATTAAAAAGAATAAAGCAGTTCTTTGGTTGTTGGCAAAACTAGTAAACATGATAAATTTTGCTTGTCTCCTGCCCCACCTGTTTAATGTTTAAACGTGAGCTGATTGTGGTCCTTGATAACTGATTACCTGTCTAGGACACTGCAATCTTCTGTCTATTGACAGGAAAATATAGTTTCCCCTGAAGTGCCAATATCCATTCTTGCCTTTGACCATGAACCACTCTGCAAACACCCGGGAAGGCTCAGGTGCATCTGACAGGCTCTTTGAGGGAGAGATTGATTCCATTTGTATGCCTGTTAGATAATGACCTTCGGCCTCTGTACCCAAAGTGACAATAAAAAACGCCATCTCATATTCATCTCATGTCCCAGGAAATACTATTTGGTTTCCTGTAAACAGTTTACAAGCTTTGGGTTTTCCAGTTGTTGGTTTGGTAGTTTTGTGTTGTTTTGCTTTCTTTTCTTTTTTTCATTTTTTTCTTTGTTTTTGTTTTCCTCATTGGACAGAAAGAAAAAATACAAGAGAGGAAAAAGAGAGATTATTTCATGAGATAAGAAAAGGTCTCATCTCATCACAGGTGAGATCATAGGAAGTCATTTTCTGGGTCTAAAGCATCTCCCAGGGATGACTGATGCTCTCCCTAGTCCATCTATTTTGCCATTTTGGTAGCACATTACTTATTACATCATTAAACATATATTCTGAAAAGACTAACTTTGTTCATTCAAGAAGGTGTGAAATGAGCAGAGAGAGGAGGGAGATTATCTTTTTCTTCTCTCTTCTATATTTAAAGTTGTCCTTCCTGCTGTGATCAAATCACAGAATGTGAACAAGCATCTATAGTGTCAAAATAATTGTAGTGCAGTGCTAAATGCCTATATGACTAAGAAGATATTGAACCAGTATTTGTAGGACTATAGTCCACCACTATTTGATGAATAGTTACTTTGTAAGGTCATTATATAGGTTCTTCCAAGGTCTATCCTTCCCCCAAAAGAGTGACGATAGTTAGGTAAATGGATTCTAAGTGTTTACTTTTGTTTTTAATTTACATTTTATCTATTAATGACCAGGCTAGGGACTTTTCACTGTTTTAAAATATTTCTCATCTTAATAGCTTCTGTTAAAGTAGTCTACCCTTAAGAAAAGGGATTCACTAAAGATAAAATTACCTATGAAGTCAAATTATAAATATTATAAATATCCTTAAATATATATCACTGAATTCTCCACAGGAGCCAATATTCCAACCCTACTTGTTAAGTCTTAAAATTGGTTCGAGAATAGATGACCATGAAGTTATTTGGGCTTAGTGATTATGAGCCTGACTTACAAAACTCATATGTCATTCTTCATATAGGAATTTCTGGCACAAGAAATGCACAATGAAGTGATGTTTCCATCAAAGTCTAATCCAGGTTATATGGCCGCACAGTCACTAATTATAGCCTTGCCCAGTTCATGCAACCTGAGATGTTTAGAAATTGAATACAATTTCCATACCAGAACACATTTAGTATACCCCCAGTTATACAAAGTAACTGATTTTTCCAGTTCATCTTTGAATAATTTGAAGTCTCCCTTTCCTTTGGGGACTCTTTGACACTTGATTTCTTCTCAGATCTGAATGTTAATGGTGATATTTGCTTTTGGTGATACAAAAATATTCTAGATCATATTGCTCCTTCTCATTATATATTATATATTAAAACAATATTGATTTACCATCTGTCTCCAAAAGTCCTCTTTATTGTACTGACAAAAAAGTTATAAAAATATTTTAGCTCTCATTTATTGATATAAATGCAGTGATTCCATTATACATTTACTCTATCCCCTTTACCAAGTTTCTAAGCATACAAATGCTTTTATCATTTATGATTCTTTTATATTTAATATACATTATCTTTTGTATAGTGCACAGCAGAAAAAAAAGTTCTTTTTAAAAATTAATAATTAATCATTCAAGTGACTATCCCCAGGAGTCTATGGAACCATTGTCAATTGTGCTCAGATACTTTTCTGGTTTAGACAGCAATTGCTGCAGTCCTTAAGTATCAACCATCTTAATATTCAAGGGCTCCTTGTTAGCTTGCTGCAAGGACCACTCGTTTCTCTTAACTGTAGTTTTAAATTTTTTAACCACAAGAGAAATCCACAAGTCCTATGTAAACAACAGTTCTGAGCCTATATTTAAGCAATACTTTCTAGGAACAAGCAGTTTCTTAGAGCACTGCTTCTTTGGCTTAATGTGCATGTAAATCACCTGGGCATCTTGTTAAAATGTAGATTCTAACTCAGCAAATTAAAAGTGGGACCTGAGATTCTGCATTTCTAACAAGCTCCTAGGTAATATCGATGCTGTTGGTCCACAGACCACACTTTGAGATTCAACCTCTCATAACACAAATAGTATACATTCAATTTTGTAAGATGACCATACCCACTACCCCATGGAATTGGTTTGATGAATTTTCTAGACTAGCCTAATCTAAACATTGAACATTTAGACCTCAGATTTCCTTTTTAATTCTAAACAACAAATAGTAAATATATTTTAATGGAGCATGAAACCAAGTTGTAAATATCCTTAAATATTTATGGCTGAATTTTGCACAGTAGCTAATATTCCAATTCTAAGTGTTAAATTGTGAAATTAGGTCAATAACAGAAGATCATGAAGTTGTTTGGCCTTATTAATCACTTGCCACTAAACTAAACTAAAAATCCTAACATGCAAGTGGCATAGTAGTTGCTAAATCTAAATTAAACCCGAAGATACAGTGCAAGTAGCATATAGTTGTTAAATCTCTATCTGTTGACAACTTAAGATATTTTATCTCCTCTTTTATTTTGTTCTCCATAAGACTGCTTCTGAAATATCAGTATGCACAAGAGTCCTCTAAGGAGTTTGTTAAAGGGGCAAATTACAAAGCCCAAATCCCCAACACTGATTCAGTAAGATGGGATAGAGCCTGAGAACCTGGATTTTCCAGCCCTCAAATGGACCTTGCACAGGCAATGAGCAAATCACTCTTTGAGATATACTGCCATATGGTGATGAAACACTTTTGGACCATCTGAAAGGCATTTTAGTTTTGAATGAAAATAAGTTATATCATTATTAATTTTATCTTTTAAGATTTGGAACTGAAATATTGTCTGTCCTGTGATTTGTATGCACATTAAGCCTAATCAGTTGTGGTGAATCCTTTTATTAACATGGATTAAAAAAATACCATTTAAGTGCATTTTATTGTTGTGCGTTGGAAAATATAATGTTGTTTCTTAAGGACAGCAGGGCTGCTTGAGGGTAGGACAAATACTTCATTTGGCCTCTTAACTAAATATTAAAATTGTTAGTTATTCAACCTCAGATTTTCTTTCTTTTTTTTTTTTTTTTCTGAGATGGAGTTTTGCTCTTGTTGCCCAGGCTGGAATGCAATGGCATGATATCCACTCACTGCAAACTCCACCTCCCAGGTTCAAGCGATTCTCTTGCCTCAGCCTCCCAAGTAGCTAGGATTACTGGCATGTGCCACCACACCCAGCTAATTTTGCATTTTTCGTAGAGACAGGGTTTCTCCATGTTGGTCAGGCTGGTCTTGAACTCCCAACCTCAGGTGATCCACCCACTTTGGCCTCCCAAAGTGCTGGGATTACAAGCATAAGCCACTGCTCCTGGACTCAGATTTTCTTAAGATATTATAAAGGAAGCTTAAAAGAACCAAGGTGCTGAAGGCGCAAAAAGCCTTGTTTGATCTATATCTCTGTTTTGGTACCAGTACCATGCTGTTTTGGTTACTGTAGCCTTGTAGTATAGTTTGAAGTCAGGTAGTGTGATGCCTCCGGCTTTGTTCTTTTGGCTTAGGATTGACTTGGAGATGCGGGCTCTTTTTTGGTTCCATATGAACTTTAAAGTAGTTTTTTCCAACTCTGTGAAGAAAGTCATTGGTAGCTTGATGGGGATGATATTGAATCTATAAATTACCTTGGGCAGTATGGCCATTTTCACAATATTGATTCTTCTAACCCATGAGCATGGAATGTTCTTCCATTTGTTTGTATGCTCTTTTATTTCATTGAGCAGTGGTTTGTAGTTCTCCTTGAAGAGGTCCTTCACATCCCTTGTAAGTTGGATTCCTAGGTATTTTATTCTCTTTGAAGCAATTGTGAATGGGAGTTCACTCATGATTTGGCTCTCTGTTTGTCTGTTATTGGTGTATAAGAATGCTTGTGATTTTTGTACATTGATTTTGTATCCTGAGACTTTGCTGAAGTTGCTTATCAGCTTAAGGAGATTTTGGGCTGAGACAACGGGGTTTTGTAGATATACAATCTTGTCATCTGCAAACAGGGAGAATTTGACTTCCTCTTTTCCTAATTGAATACCCTTTATTTCCTTCTCCTGCCTAATTGCCCTGGCCAGAACTTCCAACACTATGTTGAATAGGAGTGGTGAGAGAGGGCATCCCTGTCTTGTGCCAGTTTTCAAAGGGAATGCTTCCAGTTTTTGCCCATTCAGTATGATATTGGCTGTGGGTTTGTCACAGATAGCTCTTATTATTTTGAGATACGTCCCATCAATACCTAATTTATTGAGAGTTTTTAGCATGAAGGGTTGTTGAATTTTGTCAAAGGCCTTTTCTGCATCTATTGAGATAATCATGTGGTTTTTGTCTTTGGTTCTGTTTATATGCTGGATTACAATTATTGATTTGTGTATATTGAACCAGCCTTGCAACCCAGGGATGAAGCCCACTTGATCATGGTGGATAAACTTTTTGATCTGCTGCTGGATTTGATTTGCCAGTATTTTATTGAGGATTTTTGCATGAATGTTCATCAAGGATATTGGTCTAAAATTCTCTTTTTTGGTTGTCTCTGCCAGGCTTTGGTATCAGGATGATGCTGGCCTCATAAAATGAGTTAGGGAGGATTCCCTCTTTTTCTATTGATTGGAATAATTTCAGAAGGAATGGTACCAGCTCCTCCTTGTACCTCTGGTAGAATTCGGCTGTGAGTCCATCTGGTCCTGGACTCTTTTTGGTTGGTAAGCTATCGATTATTGCCACAATTTCAGAGCCTGTTATTGGTCTATTCAGAGATTCAACTTCTTCCTGGTTTAGTCTTGGGAGGGTGTATGTGTCAAGGAATTTATCCATTTCTTCTAGATTTTCTAGTTTATTTGCATAGAGGTGTTTGTAGTA
Organism: Homo sapiens; assembly: GCF_000001405.40. Taxonomy (NCBI): domain Eukaryota; kingdom Metazoa; phylum Chordata; class Mammalia; order Primates; family Hominidae; genus Homo; species Homo sapiens. The sequence continues at coordinate 67,097,544 of NC_000004.12, forward strand.
TTCTCTGATGGTAGTTTGTATTTCTGTGGGATCGGTGGTGATAGCCCCTTTATTATTTTTTATTGCATCTATTTGATTCTTCTCTTTTCTTCTTTATTAGTCTTGCTAGCAGTCTATCAACTTTGTTGATCTTTTCAAAAAACCAGCTCCTGGATTCATTAATTTTTTGAAGGGTTTTTTGTGTCTCTATTTCCTTCAGTTCTGCTCTGATTTTAGTTATTTCTTGCCTTCTGCTAGCTTTTGAATGTGTTTGCTCTTGCTTTTCTAGTTCTTTTAATTGTGACATTAGAGTGTCAATTTTGGATCCTTCCTGCTTTCTCTTGTGGGCATTTAGTGCTATAAATTTCCCTCTACACACTGCTTTGAATGTGTCCCAGAGATTCTGGTATGTTGTGTCTTTGTTCTCATTGGTTTCAAAGAACATCTTTATTTCTGCCTTCATTTCGTTATGTACCAATGGAACAGAACAGAGCCCTCAGAAATAATGCCGCATATCTACAACTATCTGATCTTCGACAAACCTGAGAAAAACAAGCAATGGGGAAAGGATTCCCTATTTCATAAATGGTGCTGGGAAAACTGGCTAGCCATATGTAGAAAGCTGAAACTGGATCCCTTCCTTACAACTTTTACAAAAATTAATTCGAGATGGATTAAAGACTTACATGTTAGACCTAAAACCATAAAAACCCTAGAAGAAAACCTAGGCAATACCATTCAGGTCATAGGCATGGGCAAGGACTTCATGTCTAAAACACCAAAAGCAATGGCAACAAAAGACAAAATTGACAAATGGAATCTAATTAAACTAAAGAGCTTCTGCACAGCAAAAAAACTACCATCAGAGTGAACAGGCAACCTGCAAAATGGGAGAAACTTTTCGCAACCTACTCATCTGACAAAGGGCTAATATCCAGAATCTACAATGAACTCAAACAAATTTACAAGAAAAAAACAAACAACCCCATCAAAAAGTGGGCAAAGGATATGAACAGACACTTCTCAAAAGAAGACATTTATGCAGCCAAAAAACACATTAAAAAATACTCATCATCACTGGCCATCAAAGAAATGCAAATCAAAACCACAATGAGATACCATCTCACACCAGTTAGAATGGCGATCATTAAAAAGTCAGGAAACAACAGGTGCCGGAGAGGATGTGGAGAAATAGGGACACTTTTACACTGTTTGTGTGTCTGTAAACTAGTTCAACCATTGTGGAAGTCAGTGTGGTGATTCCTCAGGGATCTAGAACTAGAAATACCATTTGACCCAGCCATCCCATTACTGAGTATATCCCCAAAGGATTATAAATCATGCTGCCATAAAGACACATGCACACGTATGTTTATTGCGGCACTATTCACAATAGCAAAGACTTGGAACAAACCCAAATGTCCAACGATAGACTGGATTAAGAAAATGTGGCACATATACACCATGGAATACTATGCAGCCATAAAAAAGGATGAGTTCATGTCCTTTGTAGGGACATGGATGAAACTGGAAATCATCATTCTCAGCAAACTATTGCAAGGATAAAAAACCGAACACCGCATGTTCTCACTCATAGGTGGGAATTGAACAACGAGAACACATGGACACAGGAAAGGGAACATCACACTCTGGGGACTGTTGTGGGGTGGGGGAAGGGGGGAGGGATAGCATTTGGAGATATACCTAATGCTAAATGACGAGTTAATGGGTGCAGCACACCAACATGGCACATGTATACATATGTAACAAACCTGCACATTGTGCACATGTACCCTAAAACTTAAAGTATAATTTTAAAAAAAGCCTTGTTTTATTTAGAAAATCACAGTCAAATTTTGTGCTGAAGGATGAATAGCATTTCCAGAAGTAATGTTTTCAACTTGCAATTTCTTTTCATATGATTTTGGAGGGAAAAAAATATACATAAATAAGAAACCACACAAAGATCATCTCAGACAATGAGAGGCAAAATATAGGACATTCCTCAGTTTGTTGGATGAGCCTGGGAATGAAAAGAAATAAAGCCAATGACTACCTACTATTGATGATAATCTAATAAAAGGGCAAAAGGAAACATATTTGGGAACTTGGGCCCTGGAAAGAAAAACACAAAAAGAAAGCCAGAAAAATATTGGGAAAATAATTTATATTAATAATTCACATATTTATGGGACATTGAACCTAATGATTATATCTCAAATATAATCAGAATCCACAGGGAGTAAAAAGAGGCCTCTGAATTCAAAATACATGAAAAAGTCCATTTGGTATAGTTTTCACCTTCTATTTGAGTGTGAGGGTCTTACATCCTCACTCAAAGCTTATTTAAGCATCTTATAAACAATGTTAACAAGTTTTCTATCAAGTTTTCTCTAACTTGGAGGTTAGCATTTTCCATTGAATATGGTAATGTATAATAAATTGAACAGCCTACTTTACCTCACTTATTGTAACAGACCAAGAACAGAAAAAATGCTTAATTAATATAGAGATATACATAGATTAATAGATATATGCATATATGGTTATATATATACAGAGTGTTGAACCTGAGATTCTATATCACTTGCATGTTCTGAAAGGGTATCACTGAGAATTAAATAATCTAATATTTTAAAGAGTTTGGAATACTGTGTGGTTTGTTATTATTCTTGTTTTCATTACTGTTCTTATTACCCAGTAATAAAGAGTTCAACTTCGGTCATTGTGTGGCTGGGCTTACTTTCAGGTTCCATGATTTGCTAAATGTCTGACCTTGGGCAAGTTGCTTAACACCTTAATTCCCAGTTACCTCCTCTGTAAAATTATAGTCTTCACTTCATTGTTTGACAAAGTTTAAGAGTCATAATGAAAAGTTCTTAGCCCTGTGCCTGTGCCTGGAATTTAAGCAGTATCCAATAAAAGTTGCTGTTCTTGTTGGATCTGTGGTTCTGACGAAGGTATTATAATCCCATTTTACAAATGAGAAGACCAAGGTGAAAGATGTTAGATAACTTGCCCAAATTCATACAGGTATTAACTAAATTAATTTGGTCAAATGCAGGTCTGCCGGAGGACAGGATTCATGCTTTTTTCACTCTATCAGGCTGCCTTTCATTCATCTTGACTGAATTTTGAAGATGAGAATTCAGCAATCACAGTTCTTAAAGTGTAGAATGCAATCAGTAAATATTTATGGATTGGTCTTAATAGTAGGGCAATACTTAAAAGTCAGCAAGGTATGATTTCCAAAACCCCAAGAAATATCTTTTTCCATAGATGGAATCAAAATTCACCCTTCACTAGTACATTAGTGACTGCCACTCTACAACTGATTATTTCCTTTGTTTCTGTAAAGATATAAGTACTGTATAAAGGATAATTTGTACTTTAGTGTGTAATGACATTATCTTTCTTGGTTTTTGTTTTGCTTGTCACTGTTGTTATTATTATTGTTTTCCAAAAGCAGATTTTGAGTAGGACGCGTAGGACCAAATAATGAGTACACAATGGAAAGGAGTAATGAATTGCACCTAAAGGCTTTAATATATTCTATAAAACACATAACCTAGTTCCTAATTATTTCCAAAAACCTTCTCATACCACTCACCTCCTCTCATTCTTACCTGGTAGAATATATTACTGTTCCTAGTTAGTCTCTGCTCTCCCTTTAAGAGAACTATAACATATCTGCCCATTGCTATGTGACTTGTAGTGCCCCCTAGGAGAGCAGGATACTTCCCTGCTCTACCCATGATGACCATGGCCACATGCTTGATTAACCAATGGAATATGAGCCAAAGAGCTTCAGCTATTGTGTGTGGTTCAGCTACTTCTTTCTTTTTCTTCTATCACAAGAATGGCATTTTCATTTAGGAACTGCTCTTCCTGGCTTAGTCCTGAAATGGAGACTTGGGGAGAAGCAGCACAACCCAATAGCACATCACCAGCAACAAGAGTGAGATGTGGGCCTTTATTGTAATAATCTACTGACACGGTGGGGCTGTTACTGAACCACAACAGTGAAAGCTGACTAATTCAATATTCCATTCACACTAAGCTATTTTTAATTCCCCAATTGTGTCACACTCCTCCTCAGTTCTAAGCATTTATACTTCTATTTCCTTTAGCTTAGATCATACTCATTCTCCAGTTTTGATTATGTAACTCTTATTCAGCCCTTATGCCTCAGCTTGTACACCATCCTAATCCCCCCATACTGTGTTAAGTGCCCTCCTATATGTATGCTCCCATAGCAACCAGACCTTTCCTATCATAACACATACCATGTTGAATTGCAAATACCTGTTTGTTGGCCTGCATCCTTCCTGAGGCTGCTAGCTTCATAAGAGAAGGGACAGCATCTGTTTTGCCTCTATTGTTCCATCACTGCCAAGTCTAGTGCCTGGTTTATAATGAACTCACAGCACAATTTACTGAAAAGTAAATGGATGAACAAACATGTGAAAGAATGAGGGGCTGTATGGTTAAAAGGTTAAACATATTGTCTTTAAACTCCCTGGACTGGAATCCTGGCTATTTTGCCTCCTAGCAGGACTAGCTACATATTTGTGGAGCTCAAAACAAAATGAAAATGTGAAACTCTTGTTCAAAAATAATTAATAGTTTCAATATAAGGACAGCAAGATCATTAAACCAAGTATGACACCCTTCTAAACATGGGATCCTGTGTAGCTGCTTAGGTCAAAATGCTCATGAAGCCAACCCTGATTCCTAGCTGTATAAATTTGAACAAGTGAGCTAACCTTTTTGTGGTTCTGTTTTCCTATGTGAAAAATGTGATTAAAATAGAATTGAAGTTAAGGTATATTCAGTAGTCTCTCCTTATCCAAATGGGATATGTTCCAAGAACCCCAGTGGATGCCTGAAACTGAGGATAGTACTGAACTTTATAGATACTATATACACATCCTTTTGTTTTTTTCTCACAATTTCATAGAGAGAAGATTCATTCTTACCATAGATCTTAGTAATCTCAATATATGATTGTTTTCCTTCCCTTATTAAATCAAGAACTTTCAATTTTTCACTTAAAGGAAGCACTTTAGAGCTTCTCCTTGGCATATCTGAACTGTAAGCATCACTGATCTTGAGCTTTGGGGCCATTATTAAGTAAAATCAGGGTTACTTGGCACCAGCACTGCAATACCATTACAGTTGATCTGATGACGAACACAATGATTAAGTGATGAACAAACGGGGAGCCTAGACAGTGTGGATATCCTGGACAAGGAAGAATTCACATCCCAGGAGAGATGAAGCAGGACACTTGAGAATTCATCACACTACTCATGATGACAGGCAATTTAAATCTTATGAATTTTTATTTCTAGAATTTTCCATTTATTATTTTCAGACTTTGGTTGACCAACGGTAACTGAAAATGCAGGATGTAAAGCCATGAATAATGCAGGACAAGTGTAAAGACTTCATAATAATGAATCCTACATATGTACTGTTATTACAGATGGGAGAAACTATGGATGTCAAGGGCAAATTTTTATTTTTCCAAATTTTGCTTCAGGTTTCCTAAAGGCTACAAGACCGTCCGGGCCCACCAATCTAGATCACTGTTTCTGAACTGTGGGTGATTTTGCCTCCCAAGGGACATCTGACAGTGTCTGGAGACATCTTTGGTAGTCACAACTGGGGGCATTACTGGCATCTAGTGGATGCTGCTAATATTCTGCAGTGCACAGGACAACCACCACAGCCAAGAATTACCGGTTCAAAAATATCAGTGGCACCAAGGCTGAGAAACCCTTATCTAGATTGATTTCTGGGCTTCCAAGGACAAATCACTGAGTTTTTTAGACTCTCAGTTTCTCTATCTATAAAATATGGCCAATAACAACTGTGCCTACTCACTTTGCAAAGACGTTGTAGAGATAAATTTAGAGGGAAAAAGCCTAGCTCTCAGAGGGGAAAGGGTACTATTACAGCCTGAGGTGTTATTATCAAGCTGTGCCGACACTTTCACTCTCAGGAAGCCAAATGTTCTACTTGGAAATGATAATTTCCCTCCACTAAATGAGCATTTTACTTCCCAGAGGGAGTAATTTTATTCACCTTTTGCCATCATTGGATTGGGCCCATTACAGCTGTTGTTCTTCCCTTATTTGAAATTTCATAACACACATAACAACAGAGCTTCTCCCGGTGGAATGGGCAACCATGCAGCAACAAGCCACACACATGTGCCCACATGTAAACAATCTGCTAACCCAACCAGCTTGGGTATTTATTATGTAAGCATCATCCTCATATCCAAATCTGTTTCAATGAGACTATTCAGTACAGAAGAAAAATTAATGTTCTTATGAGCCATTGTTCACATCAGCCACTCTTCCAAATTCCAATATGAGTTACCAGATAAATAGTAAAGCACCATTTTGACTTTCTGTTTATAAAGTGAATGCTTTAGAGACTGATTGGCATGGCAAGAGGTAAGGGGGAGGCGAAGGAACAAGGAAAAGTTCAGACAGGGAAAATAAAGGAGAAATCCTAGGAAACCACAAATGCACTCAGCTGATATTCTCAAATGCCTTAAATGTGTAATTAATCAATAGTTTGTGCATGAAGACTGCACCCCTTGCATGAAATCAGAATGGAACCACATTATAGCAATTAGAAGGAGCTAATGAGCCCCCAGATGTTCAGATCAATTGCTCTCTAACGAAATCTGTGTTCACAAAATAATCCCAGGACAGAAAGTACTAGCTGGGGAAAGATTTACCTAACATGAGTATTGCATCACAGTCTTGCTTTGTTCTCCCCTTTTGTCTGACAGCTGAGGAGCAGAGCTGCCACAGGCTTGCTGTGCAGGGCGTTGAAGGTGAAAGCTGAGAGGGAGACGAGCTGCTTGCTGTGAAGAGAACTACAGAGCATGAATCAACTTATCAAGTTCTATCAGTGCCTGCATGGGGGAACTCATGAGTATGAAAACATCTTTTTATGGCTTTCTCTGTGACCAGTAGAGAAGTAGTGAGCAGACAATAGTAGTAGGGATGACAGCAAGCACTATGGAAGGTACTGGGTGCCTTGGGGTCAGAATGAAGGCCTGAGCCTTCCACCCTCCAGTGTTGGCACTGCCTCTGTTTGTATGTTACCAGGACAGAGCCCTGGGGTGCAACAGAAGTAGAAGGTCTGTAAGGACCAACACCTCAGCTCTAATTTTCATCACTTTTAGCTATTTTAGTCACTGTACATCTGACTTTCAATTTCCTCCTCTGTAAAATGAGGATAATTATCCTTATATGACAGCAGCAGTCCCCAATCTTTTTGGCATCAGGGACCAGTTTTGTGGAAGATAATTTTTCCATGGGCCAGTTGTGGGAAGGCAGTTTTAGGATGAAATTGTTCCACTTCAGGTCATCAGGCATTAGTTAGATTCTCAAAAGTAGCACGCAACCTAGATCCCTCGCATGCGTAGCTCACAATACGATTTGGGCTCCTATGAGAATCTCATGCTGCCACTGATCTGACAGGAGGCAGAGCTCAGGCCATAATCTCTGCTCACTCACCTGCTCGCTGCCTGCTGTGCAGCCCAGTTCCCCACAAGCCACAGACTAGTTCTAGTTCATGGCTTGGAGGTTGGGAACTTCTGTATAACAGAAGAATAAAAAAGAAAAGAAAAGAAAAGTTCGTGAATAGAAAAACTTATAACACAACATATAGTTGTCACGCCATGCTTATTCGCTTTAGGAAAACATTTTTCCCTACTTAGATCGCCAATCTTCCTATGAAACCTCATTTAAAATTTACATCTTCCCCAAAATTGGCCTTGACTGGTTGTGCCACATCCACAGATCTCTTTTATGTCACATTCCTTGACCTTATAGGCACTCAGTTTTAGCTACTGCCCTTCACTCTTGGTCAACTATCTGTCTGTGAGCGCCCTGCAGTTCCATCGTCTCCGTGTGTTCCATCTACACCAAAGCAATGCTGACCGTCCTTGCTTGTGACTGGCCTTTACACACCTTAAAATTGTAAACAGGGGGACATGAGTGAATATTGTCAATTGCGTAAACTTTTGCATGACTGAATTACTTGGCTTGGTTCTGGAAAAAAAAAAAAGACTCAAGTGGTTCCTTCTCATCACATGCCTCTGTAATGTGATCTGGTAGAAATCTAGAGCCTGAGGCCATGTTGGAGTAAGGTCAGAGTGAGGAGAAAGTGAAAAAATTGGAGGGATTCACTCAATTTAGCCTCCCCTCCCCATCTATGTGCAGACATGTTTATGTTCCTAGTCCTTTTCTCTTCTTGTTGTAAATTAATGTCTTAAAACTCCATAGTGACTTTAAGGTACATTACAATGACCACTGATTCAATTACAGTAGAGTCACTAATTAATGGTACTTTTTTTACCATAAGCTTAATTTTTGTGCACTTGATATGCAAAATCACATAAATAAATATATAATCCAAAATAATGGGAACATTTGTTATTTTGCCAAACGAGTAAGACTGTACTGCTCCTGTCAAAGTAAGCTAACCACCACATGGCATTCAAAACCTATATGGCTGAACAACATGATATTCAGTCCCTGATTTGTTAGTGTGGCCTTTTTTAACACTAATAAGGACCAGTAAAGAAGGTCTTTCTCAATCTTGCTTTTCATATCTTTTATTTCATATCTTCAGTAATTAGAGTCACTTTTCTTATTTGCTGTAGGAATAATACTTAAACATTCCACCCAACAGTGATCATACCAACAACTCTCAGATGCTGACAACAGAATGTCATTGCTTTTGATAACCGATTATATTCTGTTATTGAACCATAATTTTAAAAAAAATGTAAAATAAAAGCAAAAGAAAACAAATTCTCAATTTTACATGCAGGTTATGATCAGCTGTTTTGTTGGAGTCTCACTTTGGATCCTCCCTACGTCTTCCTTCTGTGTTCAGACGCAGAAGTGGATAGAAATGCACCAATAAGCAGCTGCATAATTAGCAGCAATTAACCCGGAGTGAGATTCAACAAAGGCAGCAGAATACTCAATTTTCCCTCTTATTCCCAATTATTCAGTCACAATTCTAACTCTATAATTCCAAGAGAGGCTAAAACAGGAACTACCATCAGAACTGACATAAGAGAACAATAATGGAGCAAACATCGATTTGATTTTTGACTTAGGCCGGTTGTTATTTTGAAAATGCTTCATCCACTGCTACTTAAAGTGATGCTTCAGTGACTTTCCTACATCAGTTATCTAATGACAGGATCAAAAGTCAAAGATTGCAGGGTTAGAAGGAAGAGTTTGCTTGTTTGTTTGTTTAATTTGTCAACTCCATCATATTGATCATAAATGACCATGTCTTCTGTTACCAATGCTAAGAAATAGACAATCAGTGCCAGGCAGGTCCTGTTGCTATCAGGCAGCACTTAGGGTTCACCTAGCTCCCTAAGAGATAACAGCAGTCTTATGTTGTCCAGCTGCCCCTCCCAGCTTCTTACTCTCACACTCACCATCACAAGAGAGTGCTAGAAAAGCCTGCAGTCCAATCAGCACAGTCTAAGCCAGTTAGCCAGATGGTGAGTTTTGCTGCAGGGATAGCTAATGGACTCATGTGATAGTGAGATCATCCTCCAGCCTTTCAGGAGAGGAGACGGTGCTATTGAATTAGCTTTGCCAACGATCCTCTTTCAGCTTAATCAACATTTACAGAAGGAGGAATTAGATTGTACAGTCTGTAAATGCAGCTAGCCACCTTCCATAGTGAGACATTGCTGCTTCTGATCACCATGGAGAATGGACTTTATTTGCACAGCCAGGTCAGGTCTGAGTGCATATTTACTAGCAATGATCATGGTTGATTTTAAACTCTTAGCATGTTTGTTTTGAGAAAGGAAAACAGGTCAGAACCCTAAAATTTAAAACATAAAATCGCTTCTGAAGTGCAGGCTCAGATTAAACAGCCTCAAGAAAAATATTGTAGTTTCCCGGTTAACCTTGAAATTCTTTGTTTTTTAAATCTGTGAGATATTAAAATTTGTTAAATCTGTTGAGTTTGCTCCTCTTCTAAGCAAAGAACATATTCTTTTCAAAGTCTGAGATTGTTTAGCTCAGTTGGTTGGAACACCGTATTTAAAAAGACTTTATGGAGCAACTGTGTTTGTTCTATTCCATGGCCATGAGTTTCATACATGTAGTCTGGGAAATGTACACCCTGGTCATAAGGGGTCTGAATGAAACAGCCCAAACCTGAAGTTTCCTCTGGGAGAGAAAACAAAAAAAAAGAGACAATGGCAAGTAACTGCTCTGCCACAGGCATCCACTTTGTATGTTGTATCGAATGCAGCATTTTACCAATAAATGGATAAGACCATATCAATTTGAGGACTCCAAAAGTTAGATTTTAAATTTTATGAAGTAAATTATGATTTTAAGTATAAATACCTGCAGAAGTAAGCATTTAATAAAGGTATGTTGAGTAAATGAGTGAAAGAATTTATCAGCTCTGTCCAAAATCCTGAGCGAAATATAGAGGAGCATGCTTTATTTAAATGTATCTATCATATAAATATAGAAAAATTGAAACATATGGAATTAAATCCAGATATCTAAAACTATTTTAAAGGTACTTAGTCTCAAAGAGAAGTATAATATCTTCTCTACACCTGGATTTCTCTCCAAATAAAACAGGGTAATCAACTTTTGTTATCAGACATTTTAAATCTGAAGAAAAATTACATTCTTATTCCCTTTTTTCCACTAGCTCAGCTCCTGGGAAGCAGGAAAGGCAGCATCCTCAGATTATCTGTGGCTCCAGCAAGCACCATTCAGAGCATCATCTCCAGCGCTGTCTTTCCTTCAGCTCTGGCCTACCCTGTTCTACACCTTGGTTAAATGAATGGAGGCAAAGGAACACTAATCTTTGGGCATCAGTTGAAAAACTTATAGAAGTCACTGAAATGAGGATTTCAAAACTTCTAAATCCCAGCAAGTGTGAATTGTATTAAATAACAATCAAAAGCCATTTTACCAAAATGGGAGAGACTTCATTCCTGTAAAATTTGGAGTACTTGAGTCCATCCCAATCTCTGCAGTATATGATTATAAATATTAGTATAATATAAGAAAGCCAACTATGTAAATAGGAAACTAACAAAGAATTCAAAACTAAGAGTAAAACATAGCTGCTCACATCTTAGATAAAAAAGTTATCAAAAAATTATAATTAAATCATTAAAATCAAGTAAGAATTATTTTTCTCATGTTAGCATTTTTCTTAAATCAAAAGAAAAAATTCTCAGAAATATGTTGCCTTCTACAACATCTAAATTAGTAAAAATTACAAAATAGTGATTAGTTTAAATTATATGGTTAGGGCCAAATTGTTCACTTCAGGCTTTTATTTCAGATAAAATATATGTACTATACCATTTGATGCATTGTATTAAATAGAAATATTTCTGATACTTTATATATATTCACTACTTAGTCATATTTACTCATTACCTTTCATTATAACTGAAGGTAAATGGAAGAGAGAAGTGTAGTCTCTCACCATCGTCACCTTTGTTATTATAGGTATCATTAATTATCATCATATCACAAAGAATCAATATTTATTGAGCATTTTCTAAGTGCCAAAAATTATGCTTATAAAATTACTATAAATTGGGAATTCTTACTATAACTGACCAAAGTCATAGAGCTTTCTAGTATAATTGGAATTTAATTCAAATCTACCTGACTCCAAAGTTCATACTTTTGCTAATAAATAAAACATATAACATACTTTGGAATGCAAAATTCATCTTTGTAAAGTCACTTATTTGGAGAAAAATATATTAGTTTTATAAAATAGTAATACAATAAAACTATTCAATGAGAATATACAGACAGTCCCCAGCTTATGATGGTTTAACTTAGTGATTTTTCAGCTTTACAATGATGTGAAAGTGATACATGCTCAGTAGAAACCATACTTTGAGTATTCACACAGCCATTCAGTTTTTCACTTTCACTGCAGTAGTCAATAAATTACATGTGATATACAACACCTTATTGTAAAATAGACTTGTGTTAGGATTTCTCCATAAAAGTTAATAATATCAGGATAGTTTTTGCAAGTGATCCCTGTACTTAAAGATATATAAAATAACATATTTGGATCTCCTAGGGGTCAGTGGTAGACCTGCTAAGTTACTACTTTTCTTGGCTAGCCCAACCCTGGATTTGCCACGTAGGGGAAGGAAAGAAAAAAGGAAAAGAAAAGGAAAGGAAAGCAAAGAAAAGAAAAGAAAGAGAGAGAGAGAGAAAGGAAGAAAAGAAAGAAAGAAAGAAAGAAAGAAAGAAAGAAAGAAAGAAAGAGAAAGAAAGAAAGAAAAGAGAGGAAGAGAGGGAGGGAGGGAGGAAGGAAGGGAGAAGGAGAGAAAGAGAGAAAGGAAAGAAGAAAGAAGAGAGAAAGAAAAAAAGCAGACAGAAAGAGAGAAATAAAGAAAGAAAGAAAAGTAAAGAAAAGAAAAGAAAAGAAAAAGAAAAGAAAAAGTATAAAGATCTTAGAAACCAAGGATCCTGTGATGATAAAAGATTGTTGTGACGTGGTGTGGAGAGGAAAGTAAAGTCTAGGGCAGATGGGGGCTGGATGCCACAGATGAGAGATACAATGGAAGAACAACAAAGCTGGGACCAAAGTAAATATAAGTGTAACGCAAATATGAAAAATGTAAAATAAGAATAAACATAATTACAAGCTTTACGGAAGAATAAGGTTAACCTGAAACAGCACAAAGCAGTTATAAGAATAAAACAAAGTGGAATTACACTTAGGAAAAATTTACCTGTGAGGCAAGGAGAAAATGGCATGAAGTAATCATGATTAGATGGTAGACCTAAATATACTCTGTTATATAGATTTGATTTTGACATAATATATATAACCATGAAGAAACTAAATTTAAAAAAGCAATTCAAATGTTTAAAGCAAAATTAAATGAATGTAAATGTATATCCAGTTTGTAGCATAATCACACTGAGAAGAACCCTTTCTAATGACTCTAATGCAAAGAAATTTGATTATACATCTTTGGGGCAACATATCATAAGGACAAAAAACCTGAAAATAAATTAATTAAATAAACTGTTTTTAGTAATCATACTATAAGTGGTAATATTGTTATTCAATATATGACTATTACAAAAGTATTTTAGAATAAAGAGGATCAGAAATTGTATGAGTCTAGAGATACTGGCATTTGGAGCAAAGGAAAGGAGAAATTGATATCAATGTATTTCCTTTAAATTTATGTTAAAATCTGTAGTCCTGAATTTGAGTTGGAAACATGAAAATGAATTCATAAAATATTTGATACTGAAATAGAATGTATCTTCTAGCTATTATTAATACAAAACCAGTAGCAAGACACTCCCCTAGTGCCCATCTTGTGGTCTCTAAATACCAGTTTTCACTAAAAGAAACTGCAGCCTCTTAAAGGAATGTGTAATTTGAGGTCTAGACTATGAAATGTATAAAAAGAAACTGAAAAATTCTGTCTTATTAATCACCAAACAAGAAAGTTACCAAAAACTTCTGAGAGTGAATCAAAAGCACTTAGGAGTAAACTAAAGAGGCTCCTACTGACCAAAGATGGAGCAAAATGAACATCAAGAAGAATAATGATTACAATGGACTTAAAGATATCAAATTTATATAAATCCATTTGTATGCAACGATACTTAGAACAAAGAACAGCAAAATTAAAACAACCTCATTGGTCACCTTTGGAGAATGCCAGGTGTTGAAATTATTACTTAGGAAACTAGTAAACAAACGGAAAGAATCAAGCAACTATCTTTCCTTTGCTATATGAATTAACTTTAGATTAAGCAAGGAGTTGGTTAAAGTTTCTCTTTATAAAGTGTGTTGGTTTCCTAAGGTTGCTGTAAAAAATATGACAAACTGGGGGGTACCTTAAAACAACAGAAACTTATTTTCTCAAAGTTCTGAAAGCCAGAGCCCAAAATCAAAGTGTTAGTCATACCCCCTCCAGAGCCTCCAGAGGAGGATTCTTGTCTCTTCCAGCTTCTGGTGGCTGCAGGACTTCCTTGGCATGTAGCAGTAGAACTTCAGGCTCTCCCTCCCTCTGTCTTCACATGGCCATCTTTCTCTTGTTTCTGTTTGTGTCCAAATTTCTTCTCTCTTACAAGAATAATAGTCATATCAGATAAACTCCCCCCTCCCATGAATTTATCCTAACTTGATTACATCTGGAAATGCAGATGGGAATAGCAGAAAGGCTGTTTCCAGACAAGGTCACATTCACAAGTATGTGGGCTAGAACTTCAACATATCTTTTGGAAGACACATAACATAGAGAATTCCAGCTATTAATGAGAATGAATACAATAAAATATCATTTTTCAACTCCTTGTAAAATAATGAACCTATGCAAGGATGATCAATGACTAATAACATCAAAAAAGCAGCTATTTTGGACCCTCTGAGAAAAGTATACAATAACCATCTATTGAGAAGTTTTATCAAAAATTCTACCATAAGTCTGTTCAAGCCTCTAGCACTTAACTACTAATTTACAGCAAATACAGCCATCATAGGAACAATTGTAAAGAACACCATAGGGATGCAATCAACAACAAAATTCAGACTGCAGGAAACTATAAAAAACAAATAACTTATTTCTCCACTAAATACATTAAAAGGGAGACAGAGAGAGAGAATGAGAGAGAGGCAGATCTACAGATTTAAATAGATCTAAAAGAAAACTCAAGAAATTACAATATACGCTCCATGTTTTATTTCAAAACTGATTTCACCAAATAAACTGTAAAAAATCATTTTAAAGATGATAAGATGTAAATACTAGTTTTAAGTACTGATTGAATAGTACATAATGTTAAGGAATTAGCACTAATTTTCAGAAAACACTGGTATTATTATTATGCTTAGAAATAAAAAGAATTTAGCCTCTAGAGACACTTGCTGAAATACTTACTTACTTTACTTTTAAGTAAAAACCTAAATGTTCACATCAGAGAACAAATTAATGGCTGGAATATGAGATAGAGGATTCTTCAGAAGACACTGGGAAGAAATGAAGAGATAAATAGACTGGGCACAGGGGCTCATGCCTGTAATCCCAGCACTTTGGAAGACCAAGGCGGTGGATCAGTTGCCCTGCCAACACAGCGAAACTCCATGTTGTGGTGGTGCATGCCTGTAATCCTAGCCACTCAGGAGGCTGAGGCATGAGAATCACTAGAGCCCAGGAGGTGAAGGTTGCAGTGAGCCAAAATTGCACCACTGCACTCCAGCCTGGGCAACAGAGGACAACTCTGTCTAAAAAGAAAAACAAAAAAAGAAAAAAGAAAGAAATGAAGAGATAAATATATTGAAGATAGATATGAAAAGAGTTTCAATATTTATGTCATATGAGTCCCAGGAAAAAAGAAAAAAAAATTCCTGAAAGGCAGAATATATTTGGATACATAATAACCAAGAATTAGAGAAAGACATGAAACATTAAAAGGAGTCATAGAATTTTCTTTTAGGAGAGATTTTTCTAAAAATGTAACCAACCACAACAAAAACATCCATACCTGGACAGAATGTAACAGTACCAAAATGAAAGAAAAACTTTAAAAGTTTTTGGAGAGAAAAAGATCACCCCTAAAAGGTAATTATTGGATCATTATATTCTTCATCAGTAACATTAGATATAAGACAAGAGTTTGGTAACATTTTAAAGTTTTGAAAGAAAATGAATTTCTATATAATATTTTATATTCCAGTTAAACTACTATTTAAATATTTGTCTTTATAAGTGTGAGTTTTCTAGAAAACAGAATCATACGATATGAAGTTTTTAGTGACTTTTTTCACTTAGCACATTTTCAAACTCCATCCATGGTTTGGTGTAAGTTCAGTACTTTATCCCTTGTAATGGCCAAATACTATTCCAGTATATGAACATACCACATTTTGTTTGTATATTCATTGGCTGATGAAGATTTGAGTTGTCTCCACATTTTTGTTACCATGAATAATGCTGTTATGGACATTAATTTTCAAGTTTTTGTGTGAACATGTTTTCATTTTGTTTGGATATATACCACAGAGTACAACTGCTGGGTGAAATAACAACTCTGTTCAATTTTTGAGAAATTAAGAAATGGTTTTCCAAAGTAGCTACACCATTTTACATTCCCACCAGAGAGTATGAAAGTTCCAATTCTTTCACATCCCAACACTCTTTATTATTCTGTCCTTTTGATTAGAGGCATCCTAGTGGGTTTAAGTGGTATTTCACTATGTTTTTTTCTTCATTTCCCTGATGGCTAATGATATTGAGCATCTTTTTATGTAATTATCGACCATTTGTGTATCTTCTTTGGAGAAATTTCTATTCAGAAGTTTTCTCCACTTTTTGTGTCATTTGTCTTTTTGTTATTGAGTTTTATAAGACTTAAAAAAAGCAAGTACTTAGAGACCTACAAAGAGTCTTAGACTCCCACACAATAATAGTAGGAGACTTTAACACCCCACTGTCAATATGTGACAAATCAACAAGACAGAAAATTAACATGGATATTCAGGACTTGAACTCAGCTCTGGACCAAGTGGACCTAATAGATATCTACAGAACTCTTTACCCTAAAATAGCAGCATATGCATTCTCAGCACCACATCGTACTTATTCTAAAACTGACCACCTAATTGAAAGTAAAACACTCCTCAGCAAATGCAAAAGAACAGAAATCATAACAAACAGTCTCTCAGGCCACAGTGTAATCAAAGTAGAAATCAGGATGAGAATCTCACTCAAAACCGCACAACTACATGGAAACTGAATAACCTGCTCCTGAAAGACTACTGGGTAAATAATGACATTAAGACAAAAATAAATAAGTTCTTTAAAACCAATGAGAAAAAAGAGACAATGTAACAGAATCTCTGGGACACTACTACAGCAGTGTTGAGAGGAAAATTTATAGCAATAATGCCCACATAAGAAAGTGGGAAAGATCTAAAATCAAAACCCTAACATCACAAAAGAACTAGAGAAGCAAAAGCAAACAAAGTCAACAGCTAGCAGAAGACAAGAAATAACTAAGATCAGAGCAGAATTGAAGGAGATAGAGACACAAAAAACCCTTCAAAAAAAGGAATGAATCCAGGAGGTGTTTTTTTTTTTGAAAAGATTAACAAAATACACAGAACGCCAGCCTGACTATTAAAGAAAAGAAAGAAGAATCAAATAGACACAATAAAAAATGATAAAGGGGATATCACCACTGATTCTACAGAAATACAAACTACTATCAGAGAATACTATAAACATCTCTATGCAAATAAACTAGAAAATTTAGAAAAAAATTGATAAATTCCTGGATACATACACCCTCCCAAGACTAAACCAGGAAGAAGTTGAATCCCTGAATAGACCAATAACAAGTTCTGAAATTGAGGCAGTAATTAATGGCCTACCAACCAAAAAAAGCCCAGGACCAGTTGGATTCACAGCCGAATTCTACCAGAGGTACAAAGAATAGCTGGTACCATTCCTTCTAAAACTATTCCAAACAATAGAAAAAGAGGGAATCCTCCCTCACTCGTTTTATGAGGCTAGCATCATCCTGATACCAAAGCCTGGTAAAGACACAACAAAAAAAAACAGAGAATTTTAGGACAATATCCCTGATGAACACTGATGCAAAAATCCTCAATAAAATACTGGCAAACCGAATCCAGCATCATATCAAAAAGCTTATCCACCACGATCAAGTCAGCATCATCCCTGGGATGCAAGGCTGGTTCAACATACACAAATCAATAAACACAATCCATAACATAAACAGAACCAAAGACAAAAACCACGTGATTATCTCAATAGATGCAGAAAAGGCCTTCAATAAAATTCAACAGTGCTTCATGCTAAAAACTCTCAATAAACTAGGTATTGATGGAACGTATCTTAAAATAATAAGAGCTATTTATGACAAACCCACAGACAATATCATACTGAATAGGCAAAAATTGGAAGTATTCCCTTTGAAAACCAGCACAAGACAAGGATGCCCTCTCTCACTACTCCTATTCAACATAGTGTTGGAAGTTCTGGGTAGGGCAATCACGTAAGAGAAAGAAATAAAGGGTATTCAATTAGGAAGAGAGGAAGTCAAATTGTCTCTGTTTGCAGATGGTGTGATTGTATATTTAGAAAACCCCATCGTCTCAGCCCAAAATCTCCTTAAGCTGATAAGCAATTTCAGCAAAGTCTCAGGATACAAAATAAATGTGCAAAAATCACAAGCATTCCTATACACCAATAATAGACATACAGAGAGCCAAATCATGAGTGAACTCCCATTCACAATTACTACAAAGAGAATAAAATACCTAGGAATCCAACTTACAAGGGACGTGAAGGACTTCTTCAAGGAGATCTACAAACCACTGCTCAATGAAATAAAAGAGGACACAAACAAATGGAAGAACATTCCATGCTCATGGATAGGAAGAATCAATATCGTGAAAATGGCCAAACTGCCCAAGGTAATTTATAGATTCAATGCTATCCCCATCAAGCTACCACTGACTTTCTTCACAGAACTGGAAAAAAACTACTTTGAAATTCATATGGAACCAAAAAAGAGCTGCATTGCCAAGACAATCCTAAGCAAAAAGAACAAAGCTGGAGGCATCATGCTACCTGACTTCAAACAATACTACAAGGCTACAGTAACTAAAACAGAGATATTGACCAGTGGAACAGAACAGAGGCCTCAGAAGCAACACCACACATCTACAACCATCTGATCTTTGACAAACCTGACAAAAACAAGCAATGGGGAAAGGATTTCCTATTTAATAAATGGTTTTGGGAAAACTGCCTAGCCATATGCAGACAAATGAAACTGGACCCCTCCCTTACACCTTATACAAAAATTAACTCAGGAAGGATTAAAGATTTAAACATAAGACCTAAAACCATAAAAACTCTAGAAGAAAACCTAGAAAATACCATTCAGGACATAGGCATGGGCAAAGACTTCATGACTAAAACACAAAAAGCAATGGCAACAAAAGCCAAAATTGACAAATGGGATCTAATTAAACTAAAGAGCTTCTGCACAGGCAGCAAAGAGGCAACCTACAGAATGGAAGAAAAATTTTGCAATATACCCATCTGACAAAGAGCTAATATCCAGAATCTACAAAGAAGTTAAACAAATCTAAAAGAAAAAAAACAAATAACCCCATCAAAAAGTGGGCTAAGGATATGAACAGACACTTCTCAAAAGAAGACACTTACACGGACAACAAACATATGAAAAAAGCTCATCATCACTGATCATTAGGGAAATCCAAACCACAATGAGATACCATCTCACACCAGTTAGAATGACGATCATTAAAAAGTCAGGAAACAACAGATGCTAGAGAGGATGTGGAGGAATAGGAACCCTTTTATACTGTTGGTGGGGGGTGTAAATTAGTTTGACCATTGTAGAAGACAGTGTGGTGATTCCTCAAGGATCTAGAACTAGAAATACCATTTGACTCAGCAATACCATTACTGGGTATATACCCAAAGGATTTTAAATCATTCTACTATAAAGACACATACATGCACACGTATGTTTACTGCAGCACTATTCACAATAGCAAAGACTTGGAACCAACCCAAATGCCCACCAATGATAGACTGGATAAAGAAAATGTGGCATATATACACCATGGAATACTATTTAGCCATAAAAAAGAATGAGTTTATGTCCTTTGCCAGGACATGAATGAAGCTGGAAACCATCATTTTCAGCAAACTAACACAAGAACAGATAACCAAACACCAGACATTCTCACTCATAAGTGGGAGTTGAACGATGAGAACATATGGGCACAGGGAGAGGAACATCACACTCCAGGGCCTGTCAGGGGGTGGAGGGAAAAGGGAGGGATAGCATTAGGAGAAATACCTAATGTAGATGACGGGTTGACGGGTGCAGCAAACTGCCATGGCATGTGTATACCTATGTAACAAACCTGCATGTTCTGTACATGTATCCCAGAACTAAAAGTATAATAAAAAAAAGTTTAAAAAAAAAGGTGAGGTCTTGTTTCTGTGTTCTAAATTCTATTTCACTATTTGTCTATCCTTATGCTACTACCAACATTGTGTTGATTACTGCTACTCTGTAGTAAGTTTTGAAATTGACAAATGTGAATACTTCAACTTCATTCATATTTTTCAAGATCATTTTGTCTATCTGAGACTCTTGAGTTTTCAAATGAATTTTAAGGTCAGCTTATTGGTTTCTACAAAAAGAAGGTTGTCCAATCTGTTCCTCCTTCTTGGCAACTGTATCATATATCAGATTTTCATATACACATGAAATGTTAAGTTATAGCTCAGTTGTAAATTTAAGAGAAGATGGAAATATTTGCAAGGTAATAATAGTTTGCTCAGGTTTGATAATTTTACCTTAAGGTCCCCATTTCTATAAAAACTTTATGACAATGTTTAAGTATGAATGTGATTTGGAGGACACAAAAAATTCAGGGTAAAATGAAGGACAATGATACCTGAAATTCCTGAGATAATATTGTCGAAAGAGTATTTCCAATTCATTTATTTCTTTATTCCAAAGTTTTTGTTAAGAAAAACTATGTATAAAATCCCTCAAGGTGTGATATCTTTAAAAAGTTATTGAACTAGATAAAAGAGATATCTCATATTGGAACATCTAAGCCCTAACTCTACCACAGCAGGAGAAGATCTATTCTTGCATTTAGTAAGCATTTGAGTATATTCTGTGTGTCGTGTTGGGGACACAAAGTGGTTCTCCCTGAGTTCACAGTCTATTGTGGAGACAATTATGATTCAGAATGGTAAGTGCCAGGATAGCAGCAGGCATAGATATCTTTAAAAACGCCAAGGAGAGCATCTAATGAAACCTGTCATTAATGGTTAAACTGCAGAAGGAAGAATAGTTAAAATTGTGAAGAAGTAAGAAAGGTGTTTCAGTTAGAAGAATTTTTTTTAACTTTAAAGTTCAGGGATACAATGGTTTCTTACATAGGTAAACTGGTTTCATGGGGGTTTGATGTACACATTATTTTATCACCTGGATATTAAACCTAGTACTCTTTAGTTATTTTTCCTGATCCTCTCCCTCTTCCCACCCTCTACCCTTCAAAAGGCCTCAATGTGTGTTGTTCCTTTCTATGCATCCATGTGTTCTCATCATTTAGCTCATAGGTGAAAATATGTGGTATCTGGTTTTCTGTTCCTGTGTTAGTTTGCTAAGGATAATGGCCTCCAGCTCCATCCATGTCCCTGCAAAGGACTGGATCTCATTCTTCTTAATGGCTGCATAGTATTCCATCACATATACATACCACAATTTCTTTATCTAGTCTATCATTGATGGGCATTTAGGTTGATTCCAGTCTTTGCTATTGTGAACCGAAAGAAGACATACATGTGGCCAAAAATCATGTGAAAAAAAGCTCACCATCACTGATCATTAGAGAAATGCAAATCACAATCACAATGAGGTACCATCTAACACTAGTCAGAATGGCTATTATGAAAAAGTCAAGATAATAGATGCTGCTGAGGTTGTGGAGAAAAAGGAATGGTTATACACTGTTGGTGGGAATGTAATTGAGTTTGACCATTGTGGAAGACAATGTGGTGATTCCTCAAAGACCTAAAGACAGAAATACCATTTGACCTAGCAATTCTACTACTGGGTATATACCCAAAGGAATATAAATCATTCTATTATAAAATCAGAAGAAAGTTTAAGTGCAAAGGTGTGGAAATGAGAGACAGCACGGAATATTCAGAGAAGAGAAAGTAGCTAGACCGAGAAGTGAGTGTGACATGTTCAACTTTATTATTATACAAACATCTATTTTCCGTTTAGAAGTTAGCATGGTTGAAAACAATTATTTTCACTGGAGATAATGCAACTGTAGAGCTGTTTAACTTCTAATGTGTACCTCAGACCCCTAACTACCAAAGAAATAAAGACGTAGCAAAGTGGGACCTGAGGCTGATAGGACACAGACTAAGCACATCTGCCCTCCGCTCCAACTTTTCATACATCACTAAATTGTTCCTTGGAGTAATTTGAGAACCAGGAATTAAATAACAAAGCCCTAATTTGAGGGGATTTAGCTCTAAATCATACTGGAATTGTAGTAGCAAGATGGTAGAAAAAAGGAAGGAAACTATAAATGAATAGGACCAACATAAAACGATAGACATGCATATAAGAATGGATTTCAGAGGAGGTCAAATTTAGATCCTCTGAATTGGATGGTAAACTTGAGTTCAACAGTAGCAGAAATCTATAATACAGATTTTCAAGAAATGGCAATATTCAGGCAGGTAATTCTTATGGGTATCTGGTTTAAGAATCTGAAGATAGTGATAATAAGACCCCGCCTCCATGGAAAAGGAAGAAATAGTGGCAAGGAATATCTACACAGTGTCAGAGCCCTAACCTAGAGGAATGTAGTTTCATCAGAAAAACTGAAAAGAAAATAAAGAAATCAATCCAGAAATGTAGTCATACGAATTGGGAAGATACAATGGGGTGTTTTAAAGCCTGAATCTCAGGGATCACAGGGACCTGGGATAAACTCCTAACATTATGATGCCAGGCTTAGGACAGCATAATGAATAAGGGTCCCTGCTTGTAGCTAGCCATGGGGTTCTGAAAGTACTGACTGCAGAGAGCTGACTCCAGAATTGGTATCAGTAAGTCTGCAGGACAACAATATCAGAGACTTCAAGGGCTAGGGAGGGCCAGGCTGGATAGCAAGGTAAAAACATATCAATCATATTCCAGAGAAATAATTGGCTATTCAGATATTTATTCTACCTGAATAACTATATAATATAAAGTTAAAATGTGCATAGTTAAGCTCCATTTGTTTCTAAATATTTATGGCAAAAGTTAACCAATAGCAAGATGGTACACTGAACTTTGACTGTTGGTCTAGACATTTTGGCACCATAGTAACGTAACCACTGAGCACATGCTGCAGAACTGTAACTCTGCCATACATATGTGTCACTCCCATATATTTTGCAAATGCCTCCCCCAAAGATGAAATACAGCCTATTTAGGAAGGAATAAATAGCCTTATCCTCTACAAATGGAAATTCACTTTCAATTATTTTAAAATGCCTTTGTTCTATAACATTTTAAGATGATAAAAACCACCCATCAGAAAAGTTCTTTTTGAATACTTCCACAGGCTGCTGTTTATTGAGTGAGAAAAGGGAAGCATAGGAGTACAACTACGTTCACTTCTAGAGAGAATTCTGAGGGCTTTGAGAATTTACTAAGTTAGTTACTTCATTGAAAATCAGGGAAACTATCTCTATCTTATCTTTGCAATAAAGAGGCTTATTAATATTATTAAAATAGGAATCATGGAAAACATTTGGGGAATGAGATAGGAAGACTACTATCTGCTTTCTTTTAAAAGGGGTTTTGATGAGAACATAAATACAGATTTAGAGAACTATTAAAACTCCAGCTACAAAGGAAATGAAAAACTTGAATTGCCTGTATTCTTGTCATCTCCACAGCTATCCATCTCATAATAGCCTTATTGCAACTAGACACGGGGTGATGAATGCAGAAATGTCAGACAAAAAGAAATGTGTAAAGATAAAAGGCTATAGGGTGGGGAAAAAAACCCATACAACAAAGAAGTGACTGCATGTTGCTTTTGTTATCATTTTGTTTCCAAAAGCTGCCCAGGTGGCAGCTAAGCCAGAATTCCATAAAGATAGACGCAATCCACAAAAGGCCCCTGATGTTTCTGAAAAAAAATTATAATATATAAAAAGATGGACAAACCTAACACCAAAGGTTTCTCTCTCTCTCTCTCTCTCTCTCTCTCTCTCTCTTTCTCTGCCTATCTGTCTCTCTCTTTCTCTCTCTCACTGTCTCTCATCTTTCTCTAAAGTTAAGGCTTAAACTCATATGAACATGTTTTATTTAAGGACCTCAAAGCATTATACCCACAATTAATTATTCGACCATTTCCTATTATCAGTCGAAGACCGGAAGCCTTGAGAGTCAGGTTCAGCAGGAGCCTTCAAGTCCTATTATGCAGAAATAGAGGGTAAGTTACTGACTTGAGTGCCACAAGCATCAATAAGAGAGCCATTGTTGCTTCCTTCTGTTTTAACCATTCTCATTTCCCAAAAAATTGCTTATTGTAATCTGCCAGAGATAAGAAAACCACATCATACAGTGTCTTCTCTTTATTGAGTCATTAATTGTACACTTCAGAGATGCATCATCTCTTTCTCTAAAGAATACATTTTAATTAAACCAAATTACATATAGAATTACCTCACTGTTAAAAAAAAAAAAAAAAAAAACCTCCTAAATACCATCATCAAGTTTTTTTTAAGTACTCTGACTCTTCCAAATACCCATTCAGTCATGGTACAAATATTTAGATGGACTTTATTTTCTAACTTTACTCCTCTTTATTACACATAAAAATTACCTTATATAATAAAAATGAGAATATTCCATTATTTTCCCAAGTGGCACCATTGATACTACAGAAGAGAAAACTTTCTTAGGAAAAATGTATTCACCTGTGATAACGTTAGAAAGTCTTTCCCGAGAGCCCAAGTAACATTAGCTGAACTGACATTCACCAGTAGGGGGATGCATCTCTGCACAACAGAAAAAGAAGTCTGGGAGCACCTAGAGAACATACAGAACTGAAACAATGAGAAATGGAAAGGTAAAGAGAAGGAGGAAAAAACAGGCCAGTGATAACGGTGTGTGAATTATTAACTGTTACTCACTCCTATAAGCCTAACCCACAAAATAACTTCACCAAAGTCAATTAAGTTGTCTGCTCCAGGACACAGATTAAGACACTTGACTCAGGTCCCCTCACCCAAACAAAACCCTCAAGATACCAGAACCAGAAAGTATGTAGGGGATGGTGTAGGGGAATGAGATAGAATAAAAATGAAAGTAAGCTGAGATTGTTGTCTTATATTGATAGCAAAGGTCAGTACAACTAGGGGTCTTAATTAGTTAATGACAACAAGTAGATGAATAAAAATAGAATACATTCTTTCCAACCAAAGTGCCAAAAAAAATAAAATTTGAACAAAGAAAATTTTATCTCCAATCAAAAGTGAGAAAGGAAGAAAGAAGCATGGTATTTGTACAAAATAAAGTGTTAGTAATAAGTCTTGATTTACATTATTACAACAAAAGAATTAAACTCAACGTTTATGAGACATAAACTCTTAAAATGAATTTTTCCCAAGTAAATCCAACAATGTGTTGCACTAGAGGCACCAAAAAAGATAAAGGCACAGAAAAACCACAGAAAACAAAGGGATTAAACATATATATTAAGCAATATGTACTAGACATAATATAATTTAAGATGAAAAATCCCCTAAAGGATAAAGATGCAAATTTTACACTGGGCAAAAAATCCAACATACTAATAAAATATAATAATCATTAATATATACTCCCAATAATAAAATCTCATAATATATAAAGCAAAAACAATAATTACTAGAAAAAAATAACATTTAGTTTCAGTACAGATTGTAATGTATCCATCTAAAACTGGTAAATAAAACAATGAAAAAAGAACATAGAAGACAGGAATAATATTCTCAATAAATTTGAAATAATGGACATTTTGAAAAATGTATATCCAGGAAACAGAGAATATACATTATTTTTGAAACAAGAATATATTTAACAACCCGTCATAAATTAGGTTAAAAAGGCAGTCTTGAATAAATTTCAAAGAATTATTTTTGAACACGTCATATTTTCTGATAACAATATAAGAAAATAAAAATGAAGAGTAATAATATCCCATATAACTGAAAATCAATAACCTTATGTCCAAAAATCAGTGGGTTGAAGAGCAAATAGCTCAAATTATGAAATACAGTTACAAGATTATGAAAGCACGGCACATCATAATTTGAGAAACAAAGTGATGATATACGTAAAGTCTAATTTACAAATAGAAAAAAACAAGAAATAAGGATTACTAAAAAAATTAAGCATTCAACTCAAAAAATAAAAAATAAGCAAGAGAATATTTTTTAAACTAAGAAAGAAGGAGTAATAAAACCTAGAAATCAACAAAATAGAAAAAAAGGAAGAGAAAGGATTGACAAAACCATGCTATTTTAAAACACTAATATGGCAATTCATGGGAAACATTCATCAGGCAAAAATAAAAAAATGAATAAATAAGCAAAATTCTGAATGAAAAAGAAACATATCACTGTTTACAGAGCAGATTCTTAAAAATTATAAATGAATCTTTTTAGTGACAACATGGGCCAATAAGAAATAGAAAACTGGAATAGATCAATAACCATTAAAAATAATAAGATTATAGAAGAAAACTCCTCTTCAAAAGAAGTAATCACCCAGATAAATTTTTTAGGCAGAGTTTACCAACCATTCAAAGAACACATAATAACCTACAGCTTCTATGGTGCCCACCGGACTTATGCAATATGAAAATTATAATTGGAAAATGTTTAAATCAATATGGAAGAAAAAAATCCTAAAAATAACTATGATAATCCTGGAAGAGAAGAGAAAATAATGAAGACTAATTCTATCAGCTATTAAGCTATTTTATAAGGCTACAGTAATTAAGATAGTACTGTAATAATAGAAAATGAAGCCAGATCAATGTATATCCACCTTATACCAATGTTTCTTACAAATATAATAATTTAGACAATAAGAAATATTGGAAAGGGTTATAGGTTTATGTATTAGTGAAGTGATTTTAGGGTACAAATTGACAGAACCCGGTAAAACTGAGTATATGCATAGCCTATGCTCTGTTCCACTTTTGGTTTTAAACTCTCAGAGAAACTTTCATACCTGAATACAAAGAGGAAAGTATAAACATGCTCATTCTAGTCTTGTTTGTAATAGCAAACACTCGGAAGCATCTATAAATATCCATCGAGGTAAAAAGATAAATTAAATGCTATATGAGGTATTATTTAAGGCTAAAATTATATATATATATCAAATGTAGATAGGTCTTAGAAAAAGTTTTGTGAAGTCAAAAATAGAATGAGAGGCACATCAAAATATAACAGTATAGATACTTTAAGTAAATATAAAACATATATATAGTGTATACATCACAAATACGAAATATATAATATACATTATTTTACATTTTATAATGTGTATTTATATAAAAAAAAAGACATAGAAAGTACATACATACAGAACGAATGCTTGTTTGAGTGATGTTTTGGCACTGAAAATCAATTAAAGAGCTAGATTCACATTGGAATGATACACTGCAGAACATAGAAAAAAAATAAGAGGAAGAAACTAACAAGCAGAGAGCGCCAGCATATCTCAGTCTTTCATCAACCTCCCTGTACAAAAAATAAACAAAAATATTGATGGAAGCTTTGGATTTCCATAGATCATGAAATTAGAGAATTCAAGTCGCCACTATCATCTAGATAATACAAGGCTGTAGCAGGTCCCAACTGACATCTCACTTAGATTTATAACAATGAAACTTTTATTGAGGGCAAAACCATGTCTTAATTTAGTTAAGCTCAACAACTCACAATATGTTTCTTATGCATGAGATATTGTGCTAGAAGCTGCTTTGGCTTATGAGATGATTGGAAGGGCAGAAAAGATGTCTTTTAATCACATTTATAGAATATCCAAAATAGCGTCACACATTCAAAGTACTCATCAGGCTCAGAGAAGCTAAATGGCGTGCCCAATATCATGTAGTTAATAAATGGACTAAAAATGAGAAGCCGAGATACTGAAAGTTCTGAGCAATTTAGATAAATGCTAAAAATAAATCAGAAGAATAAATTCACAGCAATATTTTCTTTAAACAACAAAAAAGAATAACCAATATTAAATATAGGAGTAGACATACTTGAATGATATGAAAAAAATGGGAATATCATATTGTGTGGGAACCAAGGATAGAAGTAGTCCACTGTAGAAGTAAAAAGAGAGTACAAATTATGATAATAACATGTTATCTATGCTACATTTCTTGTTTTTTATTGTTACTTTCCCTCTAATGCAAATGGTTTGACCTCAATGCGATGCCTCTCTCATACTGAACCTATTGTCACTAGGTGGTCTTCCAGCACAAAGCCTGAACTGGCAGTCTTATCTAAATCAGACACCACCACAGTTCTCTTGTATCATGATCCACAGCTTTTGAGGTCACCGTGATGACTTCATTTAGGCAGTAATCGTTACACTGTCAGTGACAGCAATATAATAGTCCCATCCTTATCCACAGGCAATACATTGTAAGACCACCGGTGGATGCCTGAAACCACAGATACTACCAAACCCTCTATATACTATGTTTTTTCTCATATATACATAACCTCTAATAAAGTTTAATTTATAAATTAGGCACAGTACATTAACAACAACTGAAGATAAAATATAACAATTATAACAATATGCCAGCATCACTGCTCTTGAGATTGAAAACATTATTAAATAAAATAAGGATTGTTTTAACAGAAGCACTGTAATACCACAACAGTTGACTGATAACCAAGAGGGCTACTAAGTGATGAATGAGCAGATAGTGTGTACAGTGTGAATGCACTCGACAAAGGACATAATTCACATCCCAGGTAGGACAAAGCAGGATAGCACAAGATTTCATCACACCTCTCACAGTGGCCCACAATCTAAAATTTATGAATTGTTTGTCTCTGGAATTTTTCATGTAATACTTTTAGACATGGTTGAGTGAGGATAACTGAAACCACAAAAAGCAAAACAATGGATAAAGGAGGACTGCTGTAATTGCTCAATCAATCATCTAATTGTTAAATGATACAAAATTGGGATGATTCCACTAACATGTAACACCATTTTTTAACTTTCCACCAGGAATTTGAAAACTGGATTCATACGCAAGTAGGTGAACACGATTTGATAATAGATAGTCAATTCATATTTTAGCCTGGGCAGCCTCTGGGGGAGCATTTCCATTCTTTAGACAGAAAATACAAAATTTTATTCTTATTGCCAGCCCGGCCCAGGGCCAGAGAAGAAATGTGAAGATTACTGTTCTCCTAAAAAAAGACATGAATATAACCACCGGCCAACAACATCATTAGCCACCCATTCAATACTTCAATGATGATTGATGTGAATAGGGAAGCATTAGTCTCTTGGGATTGTCCAGAGTGGTTCATGACAGTAACAGAATTATTGCAGTCAGCCATAAGTCACCGATGTTGCGGCACTTCCCTTAAAAAAACTCTATCCCCATGGCCTTAAGGGTTTGCACAGCTAACCTGCCTTATATATTTAACTTTGGTTTTCTCATTCAATCTCTGAAAGGAGTTGGATTAGAATAGAAATTTAAAAGTTTATTTTAACTTCCTTATCCATAAAAACAGGTGATACAAATTGATGTTCTTAAAATGTTTTATTATTCTAAGTCAGGACTTTTCATATTTACTTTAAAGGGATTCTTATTTGCTTCCTTTCTTATATTTAACTTCTTATCTTAGTGCTCTATTGCCCAAATTAAAATGGAAGGTTTGCTTCCGAAGAATATATTCAGAACATATAGAGACTGAATTAGAATAGAATGACCATAGGGTACTTTCCTTAGTTGAAACAACTTTTTTTAAGTGCAAAACAAAAAAACAAATAAATCCTCTATAACTTCAGAGGTGAGAAGTGTGATAATTTGTGAGAAGTAAACATTTTTATTTCTCCTAAGATGACACAAAGGTGATGGAAAAACTGATGGCCTGGTGGATAGTAATTTTGAGATTTTTTTGGTCTGAGGGTCAAGAAAAAAACAAAATGGATAGTGGGGCCACCGAATGTGTTACTTAACTAAATAAAGAGGATCTTGTAATAAAGAGGGACAGCCAGTTCAAGATGAAGGAAAGAACCAATGTGTTTGTTTTCTCTACCTCCCAAAATCCCATTAAAATGACAGAAAAGATACAATAAAAATTAATTCTATGGTTTTTAGAAAACAAAAGGATTACCCGAACAGAAAATATAAGGACTTTTTGGAATAGAGAGAGAAAGTACATCGGGCATCAGATAGATGGAGAAACAACAGCACAGAAAACTACAGGCCAGAATACAAAAAAGATCTAAAGAGACTAAGAGCCATACATTCCAAGAGAATTATGGAGAAACTTCACACAGCACCAACAAGTACAGAAGATAGAAGCAAACTGTGAGCAATTAATAACTGTACTAATGGAAATTACGAACTAGTAATCCCACTTCTCCTGTATGGGAGATGGATGGAGATATAAACTGCAGGTTAGCCTTATAAAAATGCACAAGACAAAGTCTGTAAATAAAATCGACAAATGAGCAGTTACTTCCGTATATAAATGTGTATTAATACACACACACATACACACAAACTTAACATATAAACTCATACCCTGATAAAAGAGGAACTTATAACTCTGTTTCATAAAATGGGATCATATCATAAAATTACCTGAAGCACTGAATATAAAGTGATTTAAAACTCATAAGATTATCTCTCATGTGCCAAATCTCAGAATACATGATAGACTATACAGAATATAAGAACAGGAGAAATTGCTGTGATTAAGTTGTATGAATTGTAGGATTATTATTCTAACCATAACACCTAACAAAACTTATTTGACTCAATCTAACAAGACTTATTGGTTGATTTTGAAGGAAAGCTGTTTAATGAATTGCAATACAGAATTTAATTAAGAAAATAATTAAAACTACAAGTTTAACCTAACAGGAAACTTTAAGATTACTACATAATGTTACCAGGGAACATTATACAGATAATTTTATGTGCCACAAAGATCAAGATTGCAATCATGAGTCAAGAAGAGAACTGGATCACCAAGATAGCACAACTGCCAATGGTTCTCACTTTCATTGTGATGGTTCAAGAAGAATTTTGTTTGAAATGATACAGCTAAATCCATGATGTGTCATTTAGTTTTCATTTAGCTGCAAGTAAGAGAAAAACAGCTAACAGTTGGCACTTAATTATCTCAAATAATGAGAAGTCTTGAAGTAAGCAGTTTAAGGGCTACTGAAAAAGCTCAATGACTTTAAGTGACAATTTTTGATATAAACTTATAATTCAAATGTATGAGGACACTATGACATAGAAGTAACTAAGGTGACCATCAAATAAATAAATAAATACCTTCAACACATAGCTAAGGTCTACATCAACTTAGTTATATATCATAACTTATTCCTCTGCCTCCTTTTTGGCAATTTATATAACTTTGTTATTTTGAATAAAATATGCATGCTAATTTCTGAAATTTTAAAATATGAAAGAATTTGACCTTATACATAAACAAAAACATAAATGCATGATTATAGTACATTATAGCTGAACTCAAAATAACAACATTATCAGATATTCAAGGACCCAGAAAGTTCAGCATGTACTCACTCCTAAAAAGAGCTTACTCCTGGACATACTTCAGTAAAACAAAAAATCTAAGAGACAAACATGGGATCCAAGAAACAGTGAAATCACCTAAAGTATTAGTCTACTGGATGCTATAACAAAATGCCATAGACTGGGTGGCTTAACAGAAGTTTATTTTCTGAAAGTCTGGAAAATGGAAATCCAAGATTAGGATACCAGTACATTCAGTTCCTGAGGAGGGCTCTCTTGATGGTGTGCAAACAGCCACCATCTCATTGTAGGCTCACATGACCTCTTCTCTGTCTATGCTTGGAGAGACAGCACTCTCCTTATAAGTTCTCTTCTTATAAGGATACTGATCCTTTCAGATCTGGGGCCCACTTTTATGACATTATTTAATCTTAATTACCCCCTAAAGACCCTGTTTCCAAATATAGACGCACTTCAAGTTCAAGCTTCAACACAAGAATTTTGGGGAGACACAGTTCAGTCCATATCACCTAAGGTATTCAATTAATAAAAAGAACTTTGTGTAAAAGCTGTGCCATCAGTTAACCAAAAAAAAAAAAATACTGGTTAAAATTAGAACAGAAAATCTGAGACTTTTGTGAAAAAGTCTTTAAATTAGAGTGAATATTGCGATGTAGGTCATATGAATAAGAATATATAAATTAAATTATAACTTGTTTTTAATGAAAAGGCATTCTTCTTAACAGAAAAAAAAGTAAAAATAGAAACAAATACAAATAAAAAGTTATGGTCCAAACCAAGTAATCATACATAGTATGATTTTGAGTAATTGATTAGATTATAAGAAATAACAGTTCTTGAAACAACAAAGTCAAAATATTTAGTCATATAATTCAGATAAATAAATACGACTAGTACTCTGAATTGAAACTTCCTTGTTTTATAGATCTGCCTTTTCATACTTAGAGAGTAATCCTAAAGGTAGACTATGATTTTAAACTTGTTTTTATATTAATGAAAGGCAATCTGATTTTACGAGATGGTACATTAAGTTTTACTATCTGGAAACTTTACTCTTTGAGAAATATGAAGCCCTAATGTCACAGTAACAACCCCCATAACAATAATAAAATGTTAATGGAAATCTTTTCATTTTTGCCTTGATCTTTTAATTTTGGAAGAATATTTTAGCAACTATTCATATATTTTTAAAATTAAAGTCTAACATTCTCATTTTAGCATATTTTTCCTTCTGTCAAATTCAAGTAAAGTTAAGCTTAATGTGTTTTAAGATGTCAACCATCATTCTTTGGATGACAGGAATATGAACAATTTCCACTTTATTCTTGATCCTTTTTGATATTTTCCAAGTTTCCCACCATAAACACATTATTCTTAAAATCAGAACAGATTGATGATGTTATTTGTAATTAAAAGAATAATTAAATTTCAAATAAAGAAATATTGATATTAAGGATGAAATAGCTGTGGGGAAACTGATCATGATTCTACATTATCTCTAAAAGTAGAGACAAGAAAGACAGGATTCAAAGAAATGACAAAGAGAGAGAGATCACTAGACAAAATGTTTTCCACTACTGGAAACAGCTGAATAGACCACAATCCAACCTCAAAAATTTGTGAATGTTAGTCATTTGGAAATTAAAACATATTTGCCCTAGATGCTGTAAATATTTGAAAAGATATCTGAACACCCTTCCTTTAATTATCTTTACCTTTTTCGGTTTTTCTTGATATTTACTGGAAACAATTTGGATTATAGATAGCAAAAAGCATGGATAAAGAGGTTTATTCTGATTTTGTAATAATAATAAACAACAATTGGCATCTGTTGAGCCTAGACTATATGATAGGAACAAGTCTAAGAACTTTACATTAAATTTGCTCATTT
Organism: Homo sapiens; assembly: GCF_000001405.40. Taxonomy (NCBI): domain Eukaryota; kingdom Metazoa; phylum Chordata; class Mammalia; order Primates; family Hominidae; genus Homo; species Homo sapiens. Next base: position 67,130,908 of record NC_000004.12, read on the forward strand.
GATCCTCCCAACACTGCCTTGAGGTAAGTATGGCTATCCTCACCTTACAGATGAGAAAACCAAGACATAAAGAGTTTAAATCACTTGCACCAGGTCACTCAGAGCAAGTATAAGCTCAGTAATAATCCAGACAGTTTGATTCCTGAGGCCAGCTCTAAACTGTGACACTAAGTCGTTCTTAACAGGACAAAAAAGATGATCAATCCTTTTTCCAAGATGAATTAAGAACCATACGAGGTAAAAGTGGTAATCAGTTTTCAATTTCCAACTTGGTTTATAAAAAAAAGATGTAGGCTTTCTCTTTGTGACTAAACTTGCTACCAAAAGAAATGAAATCAGTTAATCTTTGAAAAGCATCCTATAATTTACAAACCATGATTACATGTTAGAGCTAATTTAATGGGCCAAAATCTTGAAGGATCAGTGGTATTATTATTTAGTAGCTGCAGAATATGAATATCAGAGAACAGAGATGACTCACCTATTCACAAGAGAGTCAGAATGAAACCATGCTCTTTAGCCTGTATGCTATTCTCTTTCCATCACTGTTTTCACAATGAATGCCAATACTCATATCATTTGCAGTAATGTGGATAGAGCTGGAGGAAATTATGTTAAGTGAAATAAGCCAGGAACAGAAAGTTCTCACTTACATGTGGAAGATAAAAAAGTTGATCTCAAGGAAGTAAAAAGTAGAAAACAGGATAACAGAGACTGGGAAACTTGAAGGCAGGGAGAGACAGGAAGAAATATTTTAAAGAATACAAAATTAACAGTTAGATAGGAAGAATAAGTTTCAGTGTTCTATGCCACTGTAGGATGACTATAGTTAGCAATAATTATATAGTTTCAAATATCCAGAACTAAGATATTGAATGTTCCCAGCACAAAGAAATGATAAATGTTTGAGATGATGGATATGCTAATTACCCTGATGTGATCACTATACATTATATGTATCAAAACATCACTATGTGCCCCATGAATATGTACAATCATCATTTTTCAATTTAAAAAATAATTTTAAAAAATTTTAAAGCAGCAACTCTAGCTAGACACAGTGGCAAACACCTATAGTTCCAGCTACTCAAGGCTGAGGAAGGAGGATCACTTGAGCCCAGGAGTTTGAGACCAGCCTTGGCAACATAGTGAAGACTTATCTCTAACATAATAATAGTAATAATAATTAATAATAAGCTGGGTAGCTGCAGGCATCATGCTACCCAACTTCCAACTATATGATATGATTTGGCTATGTCCCCACCCAAATCTCATCTTGAATTATAGTTCTCATAATCCCCACATGCAGTGGGAGGGACCCAGTGGGAGGTAGTTGAATCATGGGAGCAGTTACCTATGTGCTGTTCTTGTGACAGTGCATTCTCGCAAGAACTCACTATAAGAGTTTTATAAGGGGCTTTTCCCCCTTTTGCTTGGTACTTCTCCTTGCTGCTGCCGTGTAAAGAAGGATGTGTTTGCTTCCACTTCTGCCATGATTGTAAGTTTCCTGAGGCCTCCCCAGCCCTGCAGAATTGTGAATCAATTAAATCAATTAAACCTCTTTCCTTTATAAATTACCCAGTCTCCGGTATGTCTTTATTAGCAGCATGAGAACAGACTAATACACTGTACTATAGGTCTACAGTAGCCCAAACACAAAACAGCATGGCACTGGTACAAAAACAGACACATAAACCAGTGGAACAAAATAGAGAGCCCAGAAATAAGGCCACACACCAACAACCATCTGATCTTTGAAAATCCTGATGACAACGAGCAATGGCGAAAGTACTCCCTGTTCAAAAAATGGTGCTGGGATAACTGGCTAGCCATATGCAAAAGATTGAAACTGGACCCCTTTATTACACCATATACAAAAATCAACTTGAGATAGATCAAAGACTTAAATGTAAAACCCAAAACTATAAAAGCCCTGGAAGACAACCTAGGCAATACCATTCTGGACAAAGAAATGGGCAAAAAATTCATGATGAAGAAGCCAAAAGCAATCACAACAAAAGCAAAAATTAACAAATGGAATCTAGTTAAACTCAAGAGCAAAAGAAACTATTAACATATTAAACCGATAACCTCCATAATGGGAGAAGATATTTACAAACTATGCTTCAGATAAAGGTCTAATATCCAGCATCAATGAGAAACTTAAACAAATCCACAAGAAAAAAACAAATTACCCCATTAAAAAGTGGGCAAAAACATCAACAGCCACTTTTCAAAAGAAAAACATGTGGCCAAAAAGCATATGAAAAAAGGCTCGACATCATTGATTATTAGATAAATGCAAATCAAAACCACAATGAGATACTGTCTCACACCAGTCAGAATGTCTATTATTAAAATGTCATAAAATAACTGGTGCTGACAAGGTTGTGGGAAAAAAAATGCTTATACATTGTTGGTGGGAGTGTAAAATAGTTCAGCTACTGTGGCAAACAGTGTAGTGACTCCTCAAAGATCTAAACACAGAACTACCATCTGACTCAGCAATTCCATTACTGGGTATATACCCAAAGAAATACAAATCATTCTATTATAAAGATACAGCATTCACATTTATGTTCACTGCAGCAGTATTCTCAATAGCAAAGACGTGGAATAAACCTAAATACCCATCAATGGTAGACTTGATAAAGAGAATGTGGTGGCCGGGCACCGTGGCTCACACCTGTAATCCCAGGACTTTGGGAGGCTGAGGCAGGCAGATCACGAGGTCAAGAGATCGAGACCATCCTGGCCAACATGGTGAAACCCCATCTTACTAAAAATACAAAAATTAGCCAGGTCTGGTGGTGCATGCCTGCAGTCCCAGCTACTCAGGAGGCCGAGGTAGGAGAATAGCTTGAACCCAGGTGGCCGAGGTTGCAGTGAGCCGGGATCATGCCACTGCACTCCAGCTTGGCAACAGAGAAAAACTCCGTCTCAAAAAAAAAAAAAGGAAAGAAAGAAAGAAAAGAAGAAAGAAAGAAAGGAAGAAAGGAAGAAAGGAAGGAAAGAAAAAGAAAGAAAGAGAAAGAAAGAAAGAATACGTGGTACATATATATCATGGAATATTATGCAGTCTTAAAAAAGAACAAGATTATGAACTTTGCAGGAACACAGATGGAGCTGGAGGCCATTATCCTTAGCAAAATAACACAGGAACAGAAAACCAAATATTGCGTGTTCTCACTTATAAGCGGGAGCTAAATAATGAGAACACATGGACACATAGAGGGGAACAACAGACACTAGGGCCTATCGGAGGGTGGAGATTGGGAGGAAGGAGAGGGTCAGGAAAAACAACTAATGTGTACTAGGCTTAATATCTGGGTGACAAAATAATTGGTACAACAAACCCCATGACAAAAGTTTAACTCCATAACAAACCTGCATATGGAATCCCTGGGTGTAAAATAAACGTTATGAAAAAAAGCAGCAACTCTTTAAAGTCTGTCTTTGTTTGAGAAATGTCAGGAAGAAATATAGAATTTTTTATTTGTTGCCATGATCTGTTTTCCCCTTCATTCTTGTACTTCACTCCAGTTCCCACCACCCCCACCCTCACCCTTGACCCCAGCCCCAGGCATCTGCTCTACTGTGTTTAATATCTGTCCTTAAATTACCATGTATCCTTATAAATGCATTTTATGTCATGCATTAATTTACAAAAATGGCATTGTGCTGTGCCTTTTATTCTGCTCCTCATCTTTGCTTTGTCAATTATCTTTGAGACTTGTATGTACATCTAGTTTACTGTTCCTGATTGTGTGTGATTTTCCTTGCTATGCAGCCACCCCAGTTTCCTTATTCACTTGTCTAGTGATAGAAACCGACTCTTCCTTTTTCCCTGTACTACAACAAATAACATCCTGACATAAGCCCTAAACTTGTTTCCTTAGTGACCGGAGAAAAAATTTCCTGGCAGATATCCATCAGATGGATTATCATAAGGCACGCATTTTCTTGTTTTCACTACGGACTGGCAGTCAGCTTCCTGTAAAAAATATATCATTTATTCTCACTAGCAGAGCATAAAATTATAGTATCTCACATCCCCTCCAACCTTCATAGCATATTCTAATCATGACCAATCTGACATTTGTAAAATTTTATCTCAGTGCCAAATTTAGTTCCATTTCTTGGATTCTTACATACCTTATATACTCACTGGCAAATCAGGTTTCCCCTTCTCTAAATTACCAATTCATATCCTTTGCCTATTTTTTCCATTTGATTTTTATCTTTTTCTTGTTTTTATAAAAATTTACTTTATATTCTAGAAATGGATCCCTTCTTGACTTTACAAAATGCAAATATTGTCTCTCAAGTAGTTGTCTAAAACCTTTCTTTGCCTGTGGCATCCTTTATTGAGCAAAAGTATTTTTATTTTTATAGATTTAGGAGTACAAGTGCAGTTGTGTTCCATGGATATATTGTGCAGTGGTAAAGTCTGGGCTTTTAGTGTACTCATCACCTGAAGAGCATACACTGTACCCAATAGGTAGTATTTCATCTCTCACCACTCTCTCATCATCCCACTTTTTAGAGTCTCCAATGCCTACTACTCCACTCTGTATGTCCATGTGTGCCCATTGTTTAGCTCTTACTTGTAAGTGAGAACATGTGGTATTTGATTTTCCGTTTCTAAGTTATTTCCCTTAGGATAATGGCCTCCAGCAGCTCCATCTATGTTGCTGCAAAGGACATGATTTTTTCTTTTCTTTTTTTTTTTTTTTTTTGACTAATAGTACTCTATGTTGCATATGTACTACATTTTCTTTATCTAATGAATTGTTGATGGACGCTTAGGCTGATTCCATGACTTTGCTGTTGTAAATGGTAATGTGGTAAACATGGGAGTGCAGGTGTCTTTCTCATATGGTGATTTACTTTCCTTTGGGTAGAGCCCTAGTAGTGGGATTGCTGGATAGAATGGTCATTCTATTTTTAGTTCTTTGCGAAATCTTCGTATGGTTTTCTACAGAAGTTGTACTAATACATTTCTATCAGCAGTGCATAAGCATTTCCTTTCTCCATATCCTCACCAATATCTGTTGTTTTTGGACTTTTTAATAATAGTCATTCTGACTGGTGTAAGATGGTATCATACCGTAGTTTTAACCCGCATGTCTGAGTAGTAATGTGGAGCCTTTTTAATACGTTTGTTGTCTATTTGTATGTTTTCGTTACAGAAGAATGCAAACATCTGTTCATGCCCTTTGCCCATTTTTCAATGGGATTACTTGTCTTTTTCTTGTTAAGTTGTTGAATTCTTTGCAGATTCAGGATATTAGCCCTTTTTCAGATGAATAGTTTGCAAATATTTTCTCCATTCTGTACATTGTCTCTTTACATCATTGATTATTTCTTTTCCTGCACAGAAGGTTTTTAATTTAAGTCCCCAAATTGGAGAGCCACATGCAGAAGAATGAAACTCAACCCCCATCTCTCACCATATACAAAAATTAACTCAAGGTCGATTACATACCTGAAACTATAAAAATCCTAGAAAGAAAACTAGAAAAAATTCTTGGGGACATTGCCCTAGGCAAAGAATTTATGACTAAATTCTCAAAAAGAAATTCAACAAACACAAAAATATTTATTTCAATGTAACCTGACCTAGCCATTTATCGTCTTAAAATGTATACCCCTGGAATTTCATCTAAAAATTCTTCTCCTCCCCTAAGTTACAAAATATTCACTATGTTTTCTTCTATCAATGCTATTTAACCTTTCACAATAAGGATTTTAATGTGTCAAATCTCCTGCAGATTAGTAAAACAAAGATCGGTGTTATTTTTCTTCATATAGGAAGCCAAATTTTTCCAATATTGTACACTAAGCTGTTGCATTCCTTTGTTTTGTGGTCCATTTTTAATATACATTATATTCCTAGAACACAAACAGATTTCACAGAAGGGCCTCATAATGATAAAAGATTTTAACCAAGACACTAGCTGTGGTCCTTAAATCATATTTAAAGAAGATGAATAGCCCATGATCCCCATTGTTTGGGACCCAAACTTAAGTTATAAGAACTGCATTATATCATGTGATATTTAATTAGTACCTATCTGCTCCATTCTTCAAATTCAGTCACCTTCTTAAACCTCTAAACTTTTTCTTCAACGTAAGAGCTTCACTTCAGAAAACAGTAACCTGCCCAGAATCCACTTTGGGGATTTCTAAAACCCACACTTTTCTGGCAGAGCTGGTAGCTAACTTGCTATACCCAGGCAAAACATTGGTCTTCCCAAGCTAAATTGCGAGACTCTTTTTCCAAGAAGAGCTGCATAAAGAAACAGTAAAAAATATTATGCAGCATGCATAATAATAAATGAATAATCAAATCTCATGCTTCAAGAAATAGAGTAATTACTGCCGGATTTAGGAACCAGAGCCTACCTCCTCCATAAATAGCATTGTCCAAATCACTGGAGGCTTTGTGTATAAATGTGTGTGTGTGTTTAAGTATGTGTGTTTATGTGTATTTGTGTGCAAGGGAGACAAATCAGGTATATTAATAAAAATCTTGGAGTGAGACACAATATGCCTCTTCCTCCTAAACTTCTGGTATTAGTCAGTAGAAAAAAATCAGAGCCTAAGATGCATAGAGTTATAGTCTACTTGGGAATAATAAATCCCAGATTTTCATTGTCTATCCTGCTTCCTTGCTCACTAGAGAATAATCTCCCCTGAGACTGTGCCCAGGTCAAAAGTGCCAAATAGCATTCATTAAAGAGATTGCTTCTAGAATTCCTCTTGCAAAACACTTATTTCTCCCTTTTGTGGTTTTGGTACATTTGACAGGTTGGTAGCAAATCTAACATTTTTCACTGTACCACCACTTCATAAAATACTACTTTTAAAAATACATATTTTCCATTATTTTTCCCATAATGCAAACCTATTTCACTTAACACTAATTCAGCTACATATAAAATCACTTAAATGCCAAAAGCCTTTTTTGATGGAGTTATTATCCTAAGCTCTAATCCTAACACTGTCAATGCCTTTCACCTTTTCAGCTTGGGCTAGTAATAACCCATTCAGCGATAGACATAAAAATCCTTGACCTAATTTCAAAAGTTCAATGAAAATCATACATTTATGTAATAAAAGGTTATAGGACAGCTTAAAACTTCAATGTGATCTCTTTGCTTAATATTATATCATGAAATCAGCTCAAATTGATGTATACCTTTCTCACTAGACTGTAAACTCCTTGAAGGCCAAGATTGTGCTTTATTCACCTTTACATCCTCAGTGCCTGGCATGCTATAGACAATCAATAAATTATACTGTTGTTGACTTCAACTATTAATGTTGATCAGAAGCTCTGAATTGGCAGTTTTATGTTATATTGATATAAAAAATATGGGGACTATAAATTAATGATTACTTAATAAAGACAGTTTGAGAAGGAGAGTACATGAAATAGGGGATTATTTTTTAAGTTGGGAATCATGCAATTACACTATCATTTTGTATATTATTTGATATTATTACACTTTCTAACTTTGGATTTCTCCAATGTAAGAGATAAATGTTAAATGTCTAACCCACAATAACATAAACGAGATTTAAGAATAAAACTATAACAAACATGGTTTCTTAAATAGGCAGTCTTGTATTTTTGGTAATTCATCTTTAGGGTAGTTTTAAGTATTTGTGTGGGAATTGGAAGTGATTATTCAATAAGAATATAATATGCAATCCTAGGCAGAACTAATTCCACCAAAAATACTTCACCAGGAATTAAATATGTTTTCTACTATTATCAATGTGTTGCTAGATTTTTTAAATTGCTTTGATTGCTATTGAAGTGCCAGACATATTCAAGAAAATGTGAATAACATTGCAGTCTAGGTGAGATGAAAGCAATAGATAATATTCTAAGATCAATTTAACAAACAAATTAAACAGGAAGGAATGTAATATAATGCACAGTAGAAAAATCATGCCTTACCTCACTAAAGACAATCTCATAGGTAGGAATCAGTTTTGACCAACATCTAGCATGCTCTTTCTTACTCTCTTCTCTCAATAGATAAATAAATATATACCGATAGATGTACATATATATCTTCTTGAAAATTTTTTCTTGTTCCCAGAACCTAACATTCCAGCTTAGTCAAGTTTAGGAGAATAGACTCTATGTGTAAAAAATAAAAAACCATATTAATTTGCCAATCTCAGTTGCCAGGCATTATAAAATGTCAAAAGCAGCAATCAAAAAGCTAGAACATCCCAATTGTTTTAGAAGCAGTCGTCACAAATTCTCCAAAAAAGAACACAACAATTGGCATATGGAAGCAGATCAACAGAAGTTTATTAAAAGCATAAGATCAAAGTTGACAAAGTATTTATCTGTTAGCTGTGTATCTTCCCTTTACCTGAGTCCTAAAAAATAACAGGCTGTTTACCAAATAGAGAAGAAAGTCCAGGGTTAGGAGCACACATGAGTAAGATGATGGAGGTCCGTGTCCCCCAAACAATGACTACACTCTACCATCTCCTACATTCTCTGAGAAAATTTCATCTAGAAAGGGTTTCTCCAGGCTCGGGCATTTTGATATTTAGGCTTCATCAGATAAACAATTCTCTTTCTGTAGACGTCAGATTTTTAACCTCTGATCAAATCAGAAGCAATAAATATGATTATTACTAGACATTACATAGAAAATTTTGTGGGTAAATGCTAAATATGAGTCTTTAAAGTAGCTCTAACTTTATCAAAATATACTGTAAACTTAATGGCATCTACTCTCCTTCAAAATTTTCTGGTTGATAATTTTAGAAAATTTTTTTTTTTTTTTGAGATGGAGTCTCGCTGTGTCGCCCAGGCAGGAGTGCAGTGGCATGATCTGGGCTCACTGCAAGCTCCGCCTCCTGGGTTCATGCCATTCTCCTGCCTTAGCCTCCCTAGTAGCTGGGACTACAGGCGCCCACCACCACGCCTGGCTAATTTTTTTTTTTTTTTGTATTTTTAGTAGAGATGGGGTTTCACCGTGTTAGCCAGGATGGTCTCGATCTCCTGACCTTGTGATCTGCCCGCCTCGGCCTCCCAAAGTGCTGGGATTACAGGCGTGAGCCACCGTGTCTGGGCTAGAAAACATTTTATCTTTGAGATGACTATGTTAACACATGGACTGCTCAGCTCACATCTTAATCCTTTTTTTTTTTTCCTAAGAACTTGGAACTGAATCTGTGGCCAAGAAGTAAAAGGGAGCCTGCCTAAAGTGGACATTCGATAAATACTTAAACAGAGTTAACTATTGGAAGGAGGAAAAATTGGATCATTACCAACACATAGCATTTTCTTATGTTGGTAAAAACATACTTACTGACTAAAGCAAAGCATTCATAACCTACAAATAAGTGGATTCATTTAAGTTTTCAAACATGCCTTACATGGGCTCACAGACCATATCTTCCTTATAAACGGATCACAATGCACCTGACTCAGGAATTTTGTACAGCTTTCTGATGGGATAGGCAATATAGCAAATGTTATTTGGATGCTTAGGACATTTATTTCAGTGATTTGCAAAACTGCAAGGAGAAATTGGACAGCTTCTGAAAGCCTGGGATATATGGTCTCTATAATTATGGAAAATTTGAAAGTTAGAGACCAGTACAAGGAGAAGCAAAAGAAAAAAGGAAATGCAGGGGTCAGCCATGCTGCCTAGGAAAACAATATTATTTTAAATGGAAAACTTTGGGACATCAAGATTAAGAGTTAGACGTAGATAGTCTCCTAATGTACCAAAAATACATTGCCTCGTGAAACCCACAATTAACCAAGTCAGCTATTAAAATATTATCTCTGTGCTGCATAAGGGCAGGAAGAGGTTTTTATCTAGGAACACCAAATTATTCTTTATGGATGAAGCATTGGTCTAGCGAATACACTAAAGCAAGGCTGTTTTACCTAGAGAAGAAAAGAATATTACTAATGACAGAAAATATAAACTAGCTAATACAAGGCTTGAAAATGGAATTTGCACATTCCCAAACCAAAGAAACACACCTTTTCTCTGCGCTCTTCCTCTCTTCAAAAACTAAAATAAAATGATAAGTAATTTCTTTCACCAAGATACCCATGTAGGCTTACTTATGTGTGAGCAGCCTGAGACCTACTGGCTGTCAATGTCATTTCAGTCATTCTGTCAATATATGCTCTCTCTACCTCACACTGATTGGAAGGGTTTTCTAATTTCAGTCACCAGTTAGTCTGCTCACTCAAGCATCCTGCAGCCATACGTGAATTCTTCCTTATTACAAGGTCACTTTCACCTTACATCTCTGCCTTCTAGTTGGATGTAAAATATCCATGTGTTCTGGATTATTAAAACATACACACAACTTACCCTGCTTGAGAAATATTATATTAATTTTTCATGGGGTTTTACATCTCATAATAAGCTACTTGTGTGATGATCCATTTTCATTTTTCATTAGGATGTCCTCTGAATTCCCTTTTTGCTCCTGCAGACAAGAAAAAAATTAATCAAGAGATATCTTTGTAAGCTTCAAAACAATTAAAATGCAATTCTTGTAGGAGTGTTATCAGATCAAGAGAATCTGGAATTAGTTGTTTGGTGTTATCATTATCAAAGGCAAACTCTCACTCTAAATGTAAAACATGTCTGATAGGCCTTATCACATAAAGTTAAAATAGTGTTTTTAAGAAGGAAAATGGATTCCTGAATCTGGTTATGGATATCTAATGTCAACTTAACAGGGTGTCTATTATGAATGAGTGATTATGATAAGTGCTGTCTTGGAAGGGAGCAAATCCTGAGAAATAATTGGAATTGCTAAATCCAGACTCGCTTTGGCTTTGGTTCTGGCACCTGCCACAAAAAAGGACAGCTATTCTGGACTCCCACCAAGTAAATACTATTAAGCTCATTAACACAAACATTTTGGCTATGATCAAGTGAAGTATCAGTTTAATCCATTCTGTGTCTCCTGTCAAGGGACTTACTTGTTCTTGCCCTGCTACTTAGAGAGGTTGTGGGGTGGAACTTGGCAGACCAACGCAATCTCTTCCATCTTTAACAGCTATGAGTTTTATTTATGATCCAGGTGAAATGGCATAACGATGATAATGATAATAATAGCTCAGGTGGATAAACACCCCAACCCTAAGGAGCTCAGAGGGCTCTGCTGATATTTATCTAATTAATCCTCACCACATGCTTGGTGAGGAGGCATGTGGCATTATCCCTAGTTTACAAACGAGGAAAACAGGGCAAAAGTGACTAGCCTGGAATCACCAAGTAAACTATTTTGGAGAAAATACTATAGTCAAGACTTCTGATCTCTCAATGAAAATACTGTGATTAAAATTAGCAATGGTCACAATTTTAAATTTCTGGTAAAAACTGCATATGTAACTGTGAATATTACTATTTGGTAATTGCATTGCATTGCCCAAGGAGCAATAATCAAACAAAATAAAGTGATATGTGGATATATTATATCCTCAGATGAGCTATAAATCCCTTTTTATCCACATATGTTGACCATTGTGTTTGAACAAGTTATAATTGAATTAAAAGGGAGAAATGGGGCAGTTATTTAGGAAGCTTTTTAGGCACTACTCCAAAAGAATTTAGAGATCACAAACAAACCTATATATTCTATAACTTATATCATGCTTCCTGTTTAAACCTCAGGATTTTACCTCATTAAAACTGCTTGTAGTAAAACAATGATTTTTGTTCATATTACTCAAATATTATCATAAATAAAACAACCTGGCAGATGGTATCTGATCCTTTAATTTTTAAAAAAATCCCAGCTTAAAGAAAAGTGATTACACACATTTAGCTTAGAAAATCAGATACAGAAAGCATTGGGCCTCCATGCTATGAATCAACCTGTCCTTGTACTTATAGGGCCAACTGAATATTTACTAACAGCCATTGGCGCTAATCCACTGAACATTTACCATGACAATGACAGCCTTTGAAATAATTGAAATTTGACCAATTGCAAACTCTAAAAAATGTATGCATGTTTTTCTGGAACTGTATGCTTTTTCTTTCTGTATGCTATTTATTTCAGCAATAAAAATATTTTGTCTTTTTCAAGGATGCCTTCTCTCACCACTCCTATTCAACATAATGTTGGAAGTTCTGGCCAGGGCACTCAGGCAAGAGAAAGTAATAAAGGGTATTCAGTTAGGAAAAGAGGAAGTCAAATTGTCCCTGTTTCTAGAGGACGTGATTGTATATTTAGAAAACCCCATCGTCTCAGCCCAAAATCTCCTTAAGCTGATAAGCAACTTCAGCAAAGTCTCAGGATACAAAATCAATGTACAAAAATCACAAGCATTCCTACGCACCAATAACAGACAAACAGAGAGTCAAATCATGAGTAAAGTCCCGTTCACAATTACTACAAAGAGAATAAAATACCTAGGAATCCAACTTACAAGGGATGTAAAGGACTTCTTCAAGGAGAACTACAAACCATTGCTCAACAAAATAAAAGAGGACACAAACAAATAGAAGAACATTCCATGCTCATGGATAGGAAGAATCAATACCGTGAAAATGGTCATATTGCCCAAGGTAATTTACAGATTCAATGTCATCTCCATCAAGCTACCAATGACTTTCTTCACAGAATTGGAAAAAACTACTTTAAAGTTCATATGGAACCAAAAAAGAGCCTGCATAACCAAGACAATCTTAAGCAAAAAGAACAAAGCCGGAGGCATAAAGCTACCTGACTTCAAACTATACTACAAGACTACAGTAACTAAAAGAGCATGGGACTGGTACCAAAGCAGATATATAGACCAATGGAACAGAACAGAGCCCTCAGAAATAATGCCGCATATATACAACTATCTGATCTTTGACAAACCTGACAAAAACAAGAAATGGGGAAAGGATTCCCTATATAATAAATGGTGCTGGGAAAACTGGCTAGCCATATGTAGAAAGCTGAAACTGGAATCCTTCCTTACACCTTATGCAAAAATTAATTCAAGATGGATTAAAGACTTAAATGTTAGACCTAAAACTATAAAATCCCTAGAAGAAAACCCAGGCAATACCATTCAGGACATAGGCATGGACAAGGACTTCATGACTAAAATACCAAAAGCAATGGCAACAAAAGCCAAAATAGACAACTGGGATCTAATTAAACTAAAGAGCTTCTGCTCTGCAAAAGAAACTACCATCAGAGTGAACAGGCAACCTACAGAATGGGAGAAAATTTTTGCAATCTACTCATCTGACAAAGGGATAATATCCAGAATCTACAAAAAAATCAAACAAATTTACAAGAAAAACACAAACAACCCCATCAAAAAGTGAGCAAAGGATATAAAGAGACACTTCTCAAAAGAAGACATTTATGCAGCCAAAAGACACATGAAAAAATGCTATCACTGGCCATCAGAGAAATGCAAATCAAAACCACAATGAGATACCATTGCACACCAGTTAGAATGGCGATCGTTAAAAAGTCAGGAAACAACAGGTGCTGGAGAGGATGGGGAGAAATAGGAACACTTTTACACTGTTGGCGAACTGTAAACTAGTTCAACCATTGCGGAAGACAGTGTGGTGATTCCTCAGGGATCTAGAACTAGAAATGCCATTTGACCCAGTGATCCCATTACTGGGTATATACCCAAAGGATTATAAATCATGCTACTATAAAGACACACGCACATGTATGTTTACTGCAGCACTATTCACAATAGCAAAGACTTGGAACCAACCCAAATGTCCATCAATGATAGACTGGATTAAGAAAATGTGGCACATATACACCATGGAATACTAAGCAGCCATAAAAAAGGATGAGTTCATGTCCTTTGCAGGGAATGGATGAAGCTGGAAACCACCATTCTGAGCAAACTATCACAAGGACAGAAAACCAAACACTGCTTGTTCTTATCTATAGGTGGGAATTGAACAATGAGAACACTTGGACACAGGGCGGGGAACATCACACACCGGGGCCTGTTAGGGGGTGGGGGGAGGGGGAGGGATAGCATTAGGAGAAATACCTAATGTAAATGACGAGTTGATGGGTGCAGCAAACCAACATGACACATGTATACCTTTGTATCAAACCTGCACGTTGTGCATATGCACCCTAGAACTTAAAGTATAACAACCAAAAAAGAGAATATTTTGTCTTTTTTCTTCTTGCAGCAATGAGGATAGTTTTACCTTTTTTGCAGTCAGAATATATCTATAACAATACCATAAAATAATCAGGAAGTAGGTTGAAGTTCAGAAAAAATTTTGCTGCTAGTCCAAAAGCCAGATGGACCACAATTTAACTTTGTTCAGAGCCTCTGCTTCCGTAAAAGAGAGAGTAAAGGAAAGATGGAATGAACAGAAAATAGACATATTTTCCTACCAGAAAATGTATCCAGCAAAGGGACAATAGCTGATTGATTTTTGAAGAATATTTTTCCTTTCAGCACTCACAACTTTTGAGTTCCCTTATCTGTCCACTCTAAGTACATTTTAGTCATAGTATAAGACCCTTAGTAAGATAATTATTAGTTGAATGTTTGATATTTTTGTATGCTAGCACTATGCAAATATGTATCACTTTTCATATGTGAGGTATTATGTTAGGCACTTTCATATTACTGTTATTTAATCTTCAAAACAAACTTGTTCTTCTCATAGGTAAACATCCAGCAAATACTGGTTGAATAAATGAATAATAGAGAAATATGTTATCTTTATTTTACAGACAAGGAAACAGGTTCATACTGATAAAATAATTTGACTGATGCCAGGTTGCCACTAAATGTCCAGGTCAGAGTTCAGATCCTGAAAATCTTACAATGAGTCCATAATTTCTATTATACAATTGTCTCCTGAAATAGGTAACTAGTTTTTAAAAATGGCTTTATTTAAGGTAACTCTTTGAGACTAATGAGTGTCATTTCTGAGCACCTAATAAGTATAACTGGGAGATAAGAGATAAGCAATCTCATAAAGACCTATCTAAATCCCAGGAAGTTAATGACTTAATTCCTGTCTACCTTCTTCTTTCTAAAGTAGAGATGCTGTTCAAATGAGTGTGGTCTTAGGAGAACAAAGATTATAACATCCTTAACCCTTGCCTCCATGGCCATTAGAATATCACTGAAGCTCCTCATGCCTCCCTCTTACTGTCCCTAGTAAATATCTGGGAAATATAACTGCTTTTGACATCTGACCTCAGGAGGAGGAAAATTGGAGAACTATTTAAAAAGTCACTACAGTAAATGTATACAAAAGAACCACAAATGTAGGAAGGAAAAAGAAGATCTGAGAAAGTGAATGAGGAACGTTTACATTTTGTTTTAAATTACTATCAATAAATAACTCTTTCAGAAATGGTCTTTGAAAACCAAAGGCAAATATGCTAGACAATGGGAGTTATATATATGAACTAAACACAAGATGTTTAAGCTTTGGTGTGCACGCTTATTTTATCAACATGCCATATGCATGCACTTTCAAATGCAAACTTCAAAACATTTTGTATTTTACTCATGAAATACTTGAAAATTATGAATTTCACAATCATGATGGAATTTAAAAGACCAGTTAAATGTTGATTTTAATTAGAAACATGATGATCTCCATTCACAAAATTATAGAACCAGTGTATAGAACCACCAAATATTGTCAGTATAATTCACACAGAAATATTAACATTTGAACAAATCCTATATTTAATCATTCATTATTTACACATCAAGTATCTGTTCTTATATTACTGTGCTATCTTGGCTCTTTTTGGTAAAATCCAAAACTAACCTGATAGGGTTTCACACATTGTTAAAAATCTCCATGGACTAATTTTGCAACCCCCTGGATCATAGTCAGCTCTTCACTGTAGGGTCTTTATGTCCACAAGTGGACCCTTCAGGTATGAGAGGCTTCAGTTTTAATGGACTCCTAAGAGCTAACAATGAACCAAACAGAAATATAGAATAGTTAAAAGGGCAAAATTGATAAGGATTATGATCCTGTGCATTTTTAAACATTATCTAAACAGGATCCTTGCCAAGAATATACATAGATTATAAATATGTGTGTGTCTGTGTAGTGTGTGTATATATATATATATATATATATATATATATATATACACACACTACACAGACACACACACACACACACACACATACACCTGAGACTGGATAATTTATAAAGGAAAGAGGTTTAATTGACTTACAGTTCTGCATTGCTGGGGAGGCCTCAGGAATAACTATATATGTAGTTATTCAACTTAGTTTAGCTAGTTCCTTTATGAAAGGTTTTCATTCCAAAGGGACTCACTTCACTCCACCTAAGAGGAATGCTCAAGCAAGTCACTGCAGATTAGGCTCTTTATGCACTGTCTTTCACCTAGCCCACACCAACTTCTTCATTATTTGCACTCCTTCATCTTGTTTCTTTGGATGCAAAATCTAGTTAAACATGATGAAAAGCCTCAACTCTGCTGCCTATGAATGTCTTCCCTCCTCTCCTACTCTCTACTTTTATCTATTGCCTTCTAAGTATACCTTGTGGAGACTAGACCTCTCTAGTTCCAGATCTGCCTCAATCCCTTTTCCCTTGCTTTTTTCACTCCCAAATCTTATTTTAGCATTTTTTACTTTGGGTCTTTCATTCACTGAATAAATGTTTATTGAGATCCCACCATGTGGTCAGCACTGTTTTAGATACATAAAAGACAGCAATGAACAGGAGTCCTGGTTGTCACAAAACATCCACTGTAGTGTGGGCACAGAGAGTAAAAGTAAACAACAGAATACATAACATATCTTCAGGGAGTTGGTGCCAAGAATAAAACACAGCAGCATATAAGCCTAGAGAATAAATGTGGGGCAGGGAAGTCTCTTTTAAATACGTGGTCAGAAAAGATCTGTAAAGGAAGGAGAACAGAGACTGTTTTAATCAGGCTGCCATAACAACACATCATAGACTTGGGTGACTTAAACAACAGAAATCTATTTTCTCACAGTTCTGGAGGCTAGGAGTCCAACTTCAGGATGCCAGGATAGTCTGTTTCTGGTAAGGAATGCCTGCCTTGCCTGGGGACAGCTGCTGTTTCCTCATGTGACAAGGAGAGAGACACAGAAAACTCTCATTTCTCTTCATATAAGGGCACTAATCCCATCATGAGAGTCCCACCCTCAAGACCTCATTTTAATCTAGCTATCTCCAAAAAGCCCCTTCTCCAAACACCATTAACTTGGGGGTTTAAGCTTCAACATATTAAGTTAAGTGTGAGAGGACACAATTCATTCCATGGTGGAACCCTGAATGATGTCAATGAGTGAAAATCTTATGGAGGAGATATTCCAGCTGGAGTGCCATGAAGCAAGAATCAGCTTGGACGATTTGAAGAATGGAAGGCCAGTATAGTTAAAACAGAATGAGAAAGTGGGAGAGTGGTAAGAACAAGGATGGAGAGACAGACAGGGGCCAGAGCATGGCAAACATTATAGGAGCAGGGAGGAATTGAGGGATTATTTTGAATATAATCTAAATAAATAGATGGATTTTGAGAAAGAACATTACTTGATCTAATTTATGTTTAAAAGAAAATCACCCCCCGCTGCTATGTGACGAATGGACTAAAGTGGGAACACGAGTGAAAGCATCCTTGTTTGGAGGCTCTTAGAAAAGTCTAAGTGGGAGATAATGATCCTAGTTTAACAGTAGTGGAAATAGTGACAGGTGATGGGACTTAGTATGTATTTTGAAGGTAGAACCGACAGGACTTGCTGATAGAGCAGGTGTTGAAAGTAAGAAAAAGAAGAGTGAGATAAAGACAGCAATGACAGCTTATTAGTTTTGTCTTCAGCAGTGACATAAACAGTGATACTGTTTTCTGAGATTAATTAGAATTAGACAAGGAGGGGAGACACGATAAGATGGAAATTAAGGGTTCAATTTAACATATAAAGTTTGAGATGTCTCTTAGATATCCAAGTAAAGGCTTAATGCTGAAAAAGTCAATGGAAGGGTTACAAATGAACATATAACTTGGAAGCCATCAGCAGAGATGTGGTATTTAATTCTATGGAACTGAATGAGGTCACTTAGGAGAGTCTAGAAAAATAAACACTATATTAGTCTGTTTTCACACTGCAATAAAGAAACTACCTGAGACTGGATAATTTATAAAGGAAAGAGGTTTGACTCATAGTTCTGCACTGCTGGGGAGGCCTCAAGAAACTTACAATCATGACAGAAGGTGAAGGAGAAGCAGGCACCTTCTTCACAAGGAGACAGGAGAGACAGAGAGAGGAACTTCCAAACAAACACTTTTCAAACCATCAGTCCTCACGAGAACTCCGGCACTATCATGAGAATAGTGTGGAGGAAAAGCTGCCCCCATGATCCAATCACCTCCCACCAGGTCACTCCCTTGACACATGGGGAATACAATTTGAGATGAGATTTGGGTAACGACACAGAGCCAAACCATATCAGAGGCCAACAGGTGAACTCTAGTGCTGCACATTTAGAGACAGGTAATAGGAGGAAAAGTTACCAAAGATGTTGAGGAAAGGCTAGCAGAGCTGTAGAAAGAAAACCCAGGAGAGTGTTCAACCATGCCACACTCTGCTGAGAGCTTAAGGTGGAAAAGCACAGTAAATGGATCACTGGACTTGACAAGATGGAAGCCAATAGCTACCTCCATTTTTAGTAGACTTTTAGTGATGTCATGGTGACAAAAAATTGGAACAGGTTAAAGAGAGAATTGGAGAAAAGAAAGTGGAGAAAGCCAGTAGAGACATTTCTTTTAAGGAGTTTTACTCTTGAAAGAGATCAGAAATATGTGGCAGCAGCTAGAGAGAACAATGGGTCAAGGGAAGATTTCTTAAGATAGAAAAGAATAGCAAGTTTGTATGCCGATGGAAATCACTTGGGAGGGGATAATTGATTCAGGCATAAAAGAAAAGAGACAGAAAGAAAATAACTGTAAGAAAAAAGACCTTGAGTAGACAAGAGTGGATGGAATCCTGTGCCAAAGGAGAGAGTTTGGATGTATACAACAGCAGAGAGAATTCATTGAATTCAATAGAAGAAAAGTCAGGGTGCGGCTTTACATAAGGTATGTCTTGAAATTTGTTAGGGGAAAGATGGACTAGTTTTCTTCTGAATGAAGGGGGAAGAGATTGAATTTGAGGTTTGAAGAGAGCAAGTGTGAGGTAATTATGAAAGTAAATGAGAAAGTAAAATTATATCTTTTATATAATACAATAAAAGTAAATTTCTTTTGAAACCTAATTCCTATTTGCAACACTGTTTGTATAGATAATTATTTCAAATAATGTCACATATAATAAAGCCCACATTTCCAAAAAATAACCCTGCTGTTATTCAAGTAAGTGAAGTATTCCTTTCTTACAAAACTAATACTACACTAATGAAATTTTGCTAACAAAATCCACCAAGTTGCTCATTACCTCCTATTAAGTAAAGTCTTATTATATCTAATACTCTCTTTTTTTATTAAGGAACTAAAACCCTGTTAACCATATTTAGTCTGTTTTGGATGAAGAAGTCCAAATTTTTCAAGCAAGAAGCAATTATTTTAAAGAAAATAAGCTGACAATAAAAAATCTCTATCAGGTTCCAGCCCCAGCTGAGACCCAGAAGGACTGGGTGGATGGGCAGAAAGAACACTTGGGGGGCCGTAGGCAGGAGAATATGGTTTTATTCAGCAGCAGCTCTCATCAATAGCTTTCTTACACTGGCTGTCTCACACTGTCTGCCCTGTCTCGGCTGCTTGAGGCGGCAGCTCCAACACACAGCTGCATGGCTGGCTTGACCCTGCCTTCAGGGTCAGTAGCTTAACTCTTTTTTCTCTCTGGGCACGAGCACAAGCCATAACATGCCATGCCGTGCTGAGCCATGCTGTAGCTCCCCTCTGTTCATTGGCAAGATGGACAGTTTTGGCTCTCTCTCTCTTTCTGGGCACCAGAGCCTGCAGAGGAGCCGTGCTGGGCCAAGCCAAGCCCTGTGCAGTGTCAGCAGGGCAATTATACCTTTTACAGACAATAGTGGCTCAGGGCCAAGTCTGAACTTACACAGTTTATATAACAAGTAGAGGTCTGTGCCTGCAAGCCAAACTCACTGAGCCACGCCAGCCTGGATATCCGCCTCGGCCTATTCCTTGACCAAAGCACATCCATGTGCCTTACAATCTCAGTAAGGTGAAAAACACTCATTGTCACTGTATTTTCTAGAACACACACTGAACTTGAACATTGGAGAACAAAATACCCTGGGAAGATTTCCCTGAAAGTTTTAATAAGAGTACATGCACGTGAAGAGGTCCATTTATGTTTAAATTCACTACTTCTTTTTCATTATTTTAATTGTTAGGTTCACAATTACACCAAATGTCCCTCTTGGGGACAGATTCCAGGCCATGCTGAGGTCTGAGGGGAGTGGGTAGATGAATGGCAGATAGCTGAAAGAACCCTCGGGGGGCTGTAGGTAGGTGAAATGTAGTTTTTTTCAGCAGCTCTCCCATCAGCAGCTTACTCACATTAGCTCTCTCACTGTCCACCTTTATCTCTGCTGTTTGCTCCGGCTCTGCAGCTCCTCTCAGCAGCCGGCTCCCACGCACAGCTGCACAGCCAGTCTGCAAGGTAAGCTCTCCCTTACAGTTTTAGCAGCTCAATTCTTTCCCTCTGGGCACAAGCTGATTCCTGGCTTCCCACTGCCCCCCTTCAAGGTGACCAGCTCTTCCTTACACTGGTCAGTAGTGCTGAGAGGTGACAGCGTGCTGGCAGTCCTCACAGCCCTCGCTCGCTCTTGGCGCCTCCTCTGCCTGGGCTCTCACTTTGGCAGCACTTGAGGAGCCCTTCAGCCCACCGCTGCACTGTGGGAGCCCCTTTTTGTGCTGGCCAAGGCCGGAGCAGGCTCCCTCAGCTTGCAGGGAGGTGTGGAGGGAGAGGCAAGAGCGGGAACCCGGGCTGCGCGCGCGCTTGCGGGCCAGCTGGAGTTTCCGGTGGGCGTGGGCTTGGCGGGCCCCGCACTCGGAGCAGCCGGCGGGCCCTACCGGCCCCGGGCAATGAGGGGCTTAGCACCCGGGCCAGCGGCTGCGGAGGGTGTACTGGGTCCCCCAGAAGTGCCAGCCCACCGGCGCTGCTCTTGATTTCTCACCGGGCCTTAGCTACCTTCCCGCGGGGCAGGGCTCGGGACTTACAGCCCTCCATACCTGAGCCTCCCACCCCCTCCTTGGGCTCCTGTGCCGCCTGAGCCTCCTGGAAGAGCGCTGCCCCCTGCTCCACGGCGCCCAGTCCCTTCGACCACTCAAGGGCTGAGGAGTGCGGGTGTACGGCGCGGGACTGGCAGGCAGCTCCACCTGCAGCCCCTGTGCGGGATCCACTGGGTGAAGCCAGCTGGGCTCCTGAGTGTGGTGGGGATGTGGAGAATCTTTATGTCTAGCTCAGGGATTGTAAATACACCAATCAGCACCCTGTGTCTAGCTCAGGGTTTGTGAATGCACCAATCGACACTCTGTATCTAGCTACTCTGGTGGGGCCTTGGAGAACCTTTGTGTCCACACTCTGTATCTAGCTAATCTGGTGGGGAGGTGAAGAACATTTGTGCCTAGCTCAGGGATTGTAAAGGCACCAATCAGCGCCCTGCCAAAACAGACCACTAGGCTCTACCAATCAGCAGGATGTGGGTGGGGCCAGATAAGAATAAAAGCAGGCTGCCCCAGCCAGCAGTAGCAACCTGCTGGGGTCCTCTTCCACATTGTGGGGGCTTTGCTCTTTTGCTCTTTGCAATAAATCTTGCTGCTGCTCACTCTTTGGGTCCACACTGCTTTTATGAGCTGTAGTACTCACTGTGAAGGTCTGCAGCTTCACTCCTGAGCCAGCAAGACCACGAACCCACCAGAAGGAAGAAACTCTGAATACATCTGAGCATCAGAAGGAACAAACTCCGGACACGCTGCCTTTAAGAACTGTAACACTCACCGCGAGAGTCCGCGGCTTCATTCTTGAAGTCAGTGAGACCAAGAACCTACCAATTCCAGACACAGTGCTACTCTCTCTCTGGGGACCAGAGTGCATGCCACGTCCAGGCAGGCCATGCCCTGGCTCTCCTCTGTCCATCTGCAAGATGAGCAGCTCTGGTTCTCTATTTTTCTGGGCTCCAGCAGCTCCTGTACAGCAATAGCAGGGCAGTTGTACCTGCTAAGACAATAGTGGCTCAGAGCCAAGTATGAACTTACACAAACAGGTTATATAACAAGTGGAGCATGCACTGGTGCACCAATCCCGCTAACTCGTGCATGCCTGGATGTCTGCCTGGGTCTAATTCTTGACCAAAGTGTACCCATGTACCTTATAATAATGGAGCTTTATCAATAAATACAAAACAAATTAAACATTGAATATTATATAAATATGTGTTCTGTGAAGAATATGTTAGAATCTCATTTGTTTAGAATATTCTCTATAGTTCTAGTTTATTTAAGTCACTATATATATAAATATTACTGTTTTGTCTTTTTTTACAATCACCATGGAATTATTTGAACTGGGAAATGTCCAGTGAACTCTATATTACACTCATATTTAGAATACACAAAATCTGGGTTAATCTGTACATTCAGTTAGGACTGCCTGAGCAGTTGACTCTGAGCCAGGGACTAGCCTACAGCAAGTTTGCTGGGAAGTGCTGTAGGTATTATCAGCTGGAAGAAGAGAGAAGGAAGCAGGATTGAACAGAGGGTGAGGTTGTGCTGCAGTACATTCTCAACAAAGTCCTTAGTTGAAACCGTGAGAGCACTGCAGCTAGGATGGCTTTTCAGAGTTGTCCCCAGCTGGGGAGAGGAAGAAAAGGTTTTGCACCCAGCTTAAACACCAGAGACAGCGTATGAATTTCCCCTGGGAAGGGGACATAATTTGCCCAAGGCAGTTCTCTTCAGCTGAGGACCATTTCCAGCTGTGATCTAGCAGGCAGCAGTACTCCTGGCAGCTGGAGGAAAAGCCCTTCAGTTCTACAGGAGGAGCAGTGGGCAGCACATGGTCCACTACAAGAGTAAAGATCATCTTAGCTCCATTGTAAAATTGAGAAAAAAAATGATAGTTTTAAGGGTTGCTTTTGAAAATGCAGAATCAAATCAGTTTTTCCTACAGGTGCAGTATGTTTTGTGGGAACAGGAGTAAGTAAAGGATTTTTTTTTTCTCTGAGTATGTGTTGATGTGTTGACCTCAGAGTCCAGAGAGGTCCTGACCAGCAGCTCAGAGCTGAGAACTCTAATATGCACAAGATTCCCTGTAATCACAAGAGGACTTGGATGGAATGTGACAAGTGCCACCTTTATCTTTGAGGAAAGGTATTTACAGGTCAACGCAGGTGATTAACTGCAAATTAGAGGACCACTAGTAAAGAGTCAGTAATTTGGTGGTCTCCACTCCCCCCAGGGACACAGGATATGGAGAATTATCAACATAGCTATCCTCTGTTGAAAATCTAGAGAATGTGACCCGAATAGTAGTAGTGATGATGTCAGTAGTAATAACATTAGTTTTAGTAATAGTAGTAGCAGAGGTAGCAAAACCACTTATTAAGTAATGAGTATGTTCTATGTAACAGGCATTGCATTAAGGACCATAATTGAATTACAAAAAGTAAAATAACTTCCAAGGCTACCTGCTGATGACAAGCAGAACTAAAATTTGGCTATCCATCTATATTACTCCAAAATATTATGTTTACTACATAAATGATGGTCTAGAAAGAAGGTTTTAAACACAAATTCCTTCAAAAGTTACACAAATAAAAATGGGTGAAGTAGGCTGCTGTGATGGTTAATATTGAGTGTCAACTTGATTGGAATGAAGGATGCAAAGCATTGTTTCTGGGTGTGTCTGTGAGGGTGTTGCCAAAGATTAACAGTTGAGTCAGTGGACTGAGAAAGGCAGATCCCTCGGTCTGGATGGGCACAATCTAATCAGCTACCAGCATAGCCAGAATAAAAGCAGGCAGAAGAACATGGAAAGACTAGACTGGTTTAGTCTTCTGGCCTCCATCTTTCTCTTGTGCTGGATGCTTCTTGCCCTTGAACATCGGACTCCAAGTTCTTCAGCTTTGGGACTTGGACTGGCTTCCTTGCTTCTCAGCTTGCAGATGGCCTATAGTGGGACTTCACCTTGTGATCGTGTGAATCAGTACTCCTCAATAAGCTCTCTTTTAATATACACCTATCCTATTAGTTCTATCCCTCTAGAGAGCCCTGACTAATACATTGCAAATAACCTACATTGCACATATTATGTGAGTAATGGAAGCTCAGATAAATTGGAGAAAGGGGATAATTAATACTCAACTCCCATCAAATGTTACCATTTGGAAATCTGGGCCCCATCTGACCAAATATACCAACTGTTCAAAAAAAAGCAAAAATTATGTAGTGTAGTGTGAATTCACCCCTTTACTGTTGACTTAATTTTTAAATAAATAAATGTTAAACAAAACGTGTCTGGAACGAGATTCAACTACTTCTGAATTAGAAAGAATTTGTTATTCTAGGTGCCAATCTATTCTTGATTGGATTGGTTGAATTATAACCATAAAGCAAGAACTCAAAGAAAAAGAGGATAGAAGGGGAGCTTTAGTGGTAAACCTGGAGTTAAAGCAAAACCATGGATGAGACCTCAGCAGGTGGCCAACCTTACTAGTCAAGCAGCAACAACATAGATGAACTTGGCTAAGAGTGGACTATATCAGTTCAGCAGCAGTGGATCAGAGCATAATGAACACTGGAGGCAGTAATTTGTGGAGTTGGAAGACTTTTTGTCTCTATCATCAAAGGATATTGCCCAAAAGAAGGAAAAAAGCTTCAAGAGTAGCACATTAGGCCACATGAGGATTTGGCAGCTCTGAATATGGCCCTGGAAATTGGTAGGAGAAATTGACAGCTGGGTTGTTGCCTTTGAGTTAAAACAATCAGGCTGAGAAGATCCTGGAGCAGCTGCCACTTGGAAACTTCATTGAGCAAACCTGAAATAAGAGGAAAGCCTGGGCTTTGAACTCAGATGAATCTCAGCTGGTCAGAGCTGACTTGCAGGATGGTGAAAGAGTTAGAAACAAATGTGTGTATAGGTACTTGAACAGAGTTTGAATTTAGGCTAGCTTTGGCCAGAATTCAGTGAGTAGTATGAGAAGGGGCTTATGCAGGGCAAAAAGGAAACCATCCTAAATGGGAGAAGAAGGATAAAAATATTTCCACTGACTCAGACCTGAAGACATGAAATGATCAAGTCCTAATTATAGCATCAAAAAAGTCTCAGCATTATTATGAAGGATGGCAACAAATTAGCTGATTTAAATATTAGCCAAAATTAATACAAATTAACTGCTAACCACCCTCTACTGCAAACTGTTAGGCACTCCCAGAAAGAATGAAATGAGAGATAGATACATTTTAAGTGGGCAAGATGATTAAGAGGTAAGATTTTTGCCCTAGGAGTATCAGGCCCTAACCATTTTCATTATATTTTGAGGATATCAGAAGTTTGGGTTCGGTGAGAGGATACAGAGAGGTTAAAAAAAATGTGAAAGAAGGGAGAATACCAAGAGCCAACTTTGCATATTGACAATATTGCCCAGGCCTAGCCAATATCAAATAATTCCTTTCAATGGCCGTGCCCGCTGAATCAAAGAGTAAATGAATCACCCAGAAACATTCAATCATTTTTAAGAATCTCTACCTCTAAAAGATATACTGAAATATTATGGAGACAGCCCGAGACTGAATATGATAATACCTGAGACTGAATATGAATATGATAATACTGAATATGATTCTGGTCCTAGTGACCACTCATCAGTCATGTGACCTTGAACAAGTAGCTTAACCTCTTGATCCTCAGTATCTTTTTCTGCAAAGTGGAGATAATTAGACCTGCTTGTCTTTTTCATACAGTTACTAATGAAGCTTTAGTTGAATAATAAATGTCTCAGAAAACTATAAAATCCTGTGTCAATATGTCATTCTAATAGTTTTGTTCCTATAAAATAAACCTCCTTAAAACTTTGCTTTGTTACTGTCACTCACACTCCATACATTTAAGGATGATCTATTGTCAAGAGAAAAATAAGTATCTTGAAAGCATTCACATTTTTGACTCCAACTATTCACTTCTGAATTCTCCATACTAACAAACAAATTTTGTACCATTATGGCCTGGTGCTTTTACTCAATCTATTAAATTGACTCCAGGAAAAAAAAAATCCTTCAAGACTCAATTCAGTTTGCCTGCCTTTTCAGATGAATCCAGCCCATAATGATCTCCTTTTTATGTGAATGCCAAAATCCCTTACTATTGATACTGTTAATTTAGTAATTCGTAGTTGTCTAGGTTTTTTAACCAGTTTTCTAATGCTTTTGTGCACATTTATGTCATACATTACTAAAATCTCCCTCTGATTATGTCTTATTTCCCCAACTATACTATATGTAAATTGAAGATAGCAGGGACTATCCCCTCAACATATTTCTATTTCTCCCATCAGTTCATGGTGTTAATATAATAGAAGGTTCCTCCTAAACAGCTGAATCTATTTCACTGCTGCCACTGCAATCACTGAACTTCTGTAAATCTGCCCTGCATTGCAAAGACTCCTAGCTTCACAGCCACAACCCACTGCAGCTGAGCTTGGCCACTCAAGTGCAAAATCTCAGTCACAATATCATTCTGACTTGGGTTTATTTCAGAACTCACTTCACTGATCATAGCTCTGTCTGTGATGTGGCCCAGCACACATATTTAGATTGTGAGGCTACATACCATCATCAGGAACTGTCAGGGCAAAGTCTTGCCTATGCAATAAATATTGCCATAAAATTCAACTTTTCTTGCCATCTCTTCCAATATTTGTTATCCCAAATGATTATCAAGAATCAATCACTTACTGACCTGTTTTCTCTGCCCTTTGACTAAAAAATGGTAGAGCAGAGACAAGTGGGCTGCCAAAGTCTATAAGCTCTGAGCATTTACTTCCTCATGTCCCATCTTTCTAGCCTGGTGATGCCCAATACCATACCTACTAGCCACATATGACATTAAGCACATGAAATATGGCTAGTGCAACTAAGAAATAGAATTTTAATTTAATTTTAATTTATTTAAATTTATAAACTGAAGCAGAATGAAATGGTTTTTTGTTAAAAACAACTTTATAATATGACCAAGATTACTTTTCCCTTATCCATTGAAAATTTAGCGTTCAAAGTAAGGTGTGCTGTAAATATAAAACACACACTGGAGTTTGAAGATTTAGTATGCAAAAATATATAAAATTGCTTTAATAATTTCTATATCATGACTAGTTGAAATGATATTTGGACACAGCAGACTACATAAAATCATATTATTAAATTGACTTCATGGCTTCTTTTTTTACTTTTTTAATGTGGCTAACAGAAAATTTACTATTAGATACATACCACATAATATTTTCCTATTGGATGATGCTGCTCTAGCTCATCACCTGGTACATGGAAAGTGTGAATAACTAAGAATATTACATACATTATCCCACTTCATGTTCACCATGAATTCTGTTTTATAGATGAGAAAACTGAGGTTTAGGAAGATGAAATGACATCAATATTACCTAGCTAGTAAGTGATGGAGCTAAGATTCGTGCTTAGATCTGTTTCTCACCAAAGCCCATATAGAACAATTGATTGACTGGGATATTTACCTCCTTGCATTACAAAACTACTGCTCTAATATGCTCAGAAATTTATTTTTTTAAATACAGCTGCAATTGCCTAAGCAATTACAAACAATGAAAAAATTCAGGCAAAAGTTGGACAAAAACACAGTCTGGATTGTTTCCAAAACAGAATCCAAATTGGGTCAGTCAAGAGTATGATAATGGAAAAACAGTGAGGAAACAACTGACAGGGACACAGAACAAACAAAACTCAAATGAGGCATAGGTTTAAATATTCCCCAAAGCACTGTCGCAAACATGTACCAAACAGTAATAATATTATTCATTTCTCACAGTTTTCTCATTTCACTCCTGAAGGAAGTTTTCCAAGCAATTCAAAATCTTGGCCAACTGGCCTTCATCACAATAATGAGTAGAGTATTGGTATATTTTTGGAATCTGAAGAATTGCTCCACAGGAGGCTAATTATTTGCATCTTGAATTTATACCCACTTCACATTAATTTCTGTATCTTGCCAGGTTTTCAAACTGCCTTTAGAAAGTAGCAGTGACAGTGACATCTGGCCAGATTCCTGATGCCGCTTCAGAGACACATTCTCATGCAGAAATGGAGTATGAGCTTGTCATCCATTTTGGAAACCTAAATTTTTTTCTACAACTATAAAATGGTATGAGTAAGGCTGATAAGTGAGACTGGCTTAATAGTTTATCATGTCATTGGAGGTGTTGATTCTTCAAGTATATTTCCTGAGCAAATAATCTAGTAGTGCTGAAACTCTATATCTGAGCTCTATAAATTATTGATCAGCACTATCAAGCTCAAAGAAATCCCTTTGAAAAATTTTCCCAACTACAAATACTCTCTCTCACACACACACACACACTTGCAAGTTTATCTTTGCACAAATATATATCTTTACTTATATGGGTTTTGCTTTGAGTTAGGACAAAAATATTTCTATGGAATAAATCAAGAGTACTATTTGAAATCAAGTTACATGTCCTTTCATGTAGTGATACTAGGTGAGCCCAGATTCTCTTTGGCAGTGTTAGTTTTATCCAGAATTGTAAAAATATGCTCCTCTTTCAAGTGGACTAAAATCAGTTTTCTTTCTGAAATCTAGAGTGTACCTACCCAGATGTAAGTCAAACATGTGGTTTAGGTATATTTTCTCACAAGAATTATTTACATTTTCAGAAGAAACTCTTGAAGCCTGGAAAGATTCATGATACTCAGGAATGAATATGTAACAGTATAAATTTCAGACAGACAGATATCAGGGATAAAATATGAAAACAGAACTATTTCCTCCTCAAATGGTGACATTTTGGCTGCTACTTACTCACAATGCCAGTTCTGTCTTCAGAATCCCCCTTAGCTGGAAATTTACATGGATGTTTTAGCCCTCCAATCAATTTTCCCTCCCTTTTTCTTTCCTTCCTTCAGCAGATATTTACGGTGAATGCTACATACATATTTCTTGCACCAAGCTTATGTAAACACACACCTTTTGGATGTGGGTTTAGGTGGTATGTATCCGCATAAGGAATGGTCAGAGTAGGCCAACTTTAAGCTGTTTGAAAATAATGGCAAATAAAGAAAAATAGATGCCCAAGCCTCTCTCCTCTCTGAGAGTTTCCCAAATATCCCTGACCTGAAGCTGGAATCTTTCAGCTCTCTTTGAAGCCACTGCTGCTTGTTTTGCTCCGGCAGCTTTCTCCAGCCGCTGTCACATCTGTCTGAGATCACAGCAAGCTTGGCTGCTTTAATACTTTGGTATCTGTTATGTTAGCTCCTGCTGGAACCTGGCACCTCAACTCTTCTATCAGCTCAGATCATCATCATTACCATCCAGGCTGACCTCAGTCTCAGCCAGCGGCTCTCATGTAGTCTCCCTGTTAGAGGCACACCTCGGGCAGTAGACAGTCACAAACTACTCCCCACGGCTGTGGGAAGAGGTTACATATGACTGCTAAGCTCAGTCATATTTTATCAAAGCCTTTGATCTCTGGTTTGATCTTAGCCAAGATCTGTGACACAAACAGGTCTTTGCTCACATGGTAACTGGTGCTTACTAACTCAGTTCCCTTTTTTTACTTTGAGCATCCTGCTGTCTGTATATTAATGCTGTCTAACACTAAATGAAAGGTCAAAGTAAAAATAGGCACTTTGTGATAGAAGACATTTTTCCTTTCACCCTATTGGCTTTTTCTAGGGCCCCACACTTTTGCAAAGCTTTTCTTTGTACCTGCCTGAAGGGCATCATTAGATGGTTTCCTGTCAGTTCCTTTTTTGTCTTGCAATAGGCAAGTTTTAGAGGGACTATAAGGTAAAATAATGTTTTATGTGTTGCACATTAACTTTATTAGATAAACATTTAATAGTTTAAACAGTTATCATGAGTAAATGAATAACACTTTATCAAGAAATGACCCAAAAATATCTTTCTGTCTGTGTGTGTGTGTGTGTATTTTGAATGGCTCTTGAAAAAAAAATAGTTCTGTTTAAAGGAATAATTAAAACAATTGTAATGAAGAGAATTGTGAAAACCTAGAAGAAGTAAAAGATGTCAGATACATTGGATAGGATGAGGAAAACAAAATCACTCAGAATATGAACACCTAACAGGGGCAAGGATTGTGCACTTGACTCTTGGGGAATGGGAATACCTTCTGGGATTTAAGAGTAAGAATGGAAATGCTGGAAGCACAGAAAGAATCTTTTGAATAGTGGCAGTAGGCAGAAATGGAACAGATGGACTGCTTAAACGCAGAGGGTTTCCGTGAAGAGAATCATTCAGGTAAAGACTAGGGCAGCAGTGGAGGGGGAGAAAAAAGCTGCAGATTTAAAGTGAGGCAGCAAGATTTGGCAATCGATGTGGCAAACAAAGGGCAGGGATATATAAAGCTCTCACAGGGAGTTTGAGTTTGGATGTCAAAGAGAAAGACTGAAACCCAAAGCTGCTGCCTCCTGTGAAATACTATTATGGAGATAATTACAGTGGGAAAGACTTGTACAAAAATAAAAATAACATCTTACCCTAGCTTCAACATCAGCCATTCTGACCACCACCAGGCCTTATTAGGCAGGTAAAAAATTTAAAAAAAAGACTGAAAGACATTCCAAATTTAAGAAATTTGTAGAGCCAAACCATAATACCATCTCAGCTTACCAGCCTTACCATCAACCTAGATAATCAAGCAAGAATTTAGGAGGCAATCTTGATTTCTTTCTTTCTCTCATCCCTGATAAGCAACCCATCATGTATCCTGTTGACTCTATCTTCAAATATATCCTATAATCATCCATTTCTCTCAAATTCACATCTATCACCATAGTCCACGATATCATCACATCTCACTTGACTAAAATGGCCTACTAAGTAATCCTCTTTCTGCCAGATGATCTTTCAGAAATATCTATCAGATCAATCTCATGTTATGTATATGTATACTATATGTGATATATATAACATGTGGTAATATAAGTACAAAAATGTTTCAATAAAATATAGAATAAAAGGCAACTTACCAGGACCTAAAAGCTCTCCATGATCTGATTCCACCCTCCTCTTCAACCTCATCTAGTGATGCTGTCTCTCCTGCTTATTCATGATACTTCAGCCACACAGGCCTTCTTTTTGCTTTTCTTCATGTGCTAAACCTGCACTGTTACACTTGCTATTGCTCCATTTAAAATGGTATGTCCTATATCTTTGTAAGCCTAGCTTCTCCTTTTCTTTCAGTTTGGTGTTTAGTGTCACCCCTGAAAGGACCTTCCTTAAACACCAAATCAGACATGGCCAGACCTCAACCATAGTCACTCTACCACAACCCCCTGGTTCTTACATATAGGTTCACCACTCACTCCATTCTCAGCAGCTAGAAAAGTGCTTGGCACAACGTAAATGCCCAATAAATATTTGTTACTTAATTAGTCTGGGCCTCAGTTTCCTCATTTTTAAAATTAAAAGCTATATTAGATGACTCCCAATTTCATCCAGTTCTATGATTTATTTTAAGTAATTTGAGCAGATAAGAAAAGTTTTATAGATGGACTCCCAGGTTAAACCAGCGTAGACACTCAATAAGTGTTTGCTAATAAATAAAATGTTATCTAAGCTAGTTTTTTGTACATATGTAAAGATGTAGTCACCAGAGCCCCTGACACACTGCTTTTTAGGGTTTAAAAGGGAGGTTTGATTTGCCTCCCATTAATTTAATCGAATTCACCAGAGTAAATGCCACCTCAGCAAAATCCTCACAAAAACAATGAGAGCTGACATCCAGCTGGTAGGCATTAGTTCTACAATATGTGTTGTTCACAAGCAGCATCTTTTCTGATTGGTCAGTCTCTGTATCATATGGAGGTTAAATATTTTGATTCTCACACATCTCCAACCCATGGCTCTATTTAAGCCTATCAGTTCCCAGAACTTTCAAACAAGGATCTCAGTTAAGGTCTTTCAGTTAAGATTATACTAGGCAACAATGGGCACTAAGCCAATTTACTATTCTAAACCAAGGACTAGAAAAGAGTGCATGGAGAATATTGGTCATATTTGTTTACAGCATGTGTGACTTAATAAATTGAGCACCTAGTTTTTTCTAAAAGTTGTTTGATTCTTTATTGATGGGATTGGAGTTTGTGGAGGTTTGTGGGTTTTTTCTTTTAATCTTGTTTTGTATTTTTCTGAATTGAGTTTTGATGAGCCTGTTCTGCCTCCTAGAAATACTTTCTCAAGTTATTACACACTTGATGGTATTACTTGTATCCATCGGAACCACAGCAGAGGTGCATTTGAGAAAGTGATTTAAAGATGTTATTGCTGCCATTTGTTTATGAGTTTACTGAAGAAAGCCTAGGCATCGTATGGATTTCTGCTATATCAAGAATTACTTTGTCTTTAAAAAGTTCAAATGATGTTGTTGCATAATAGATGATTTTTTGTGATCTTTTCTCAGTCTACTCAAAAAATATTGGAAATAAATAAAATCTAATTAGAACAAAAAGACTGAGGAATACTTAGGCTCAGCATTCTGTACAGCAATGAGTCAGCTTTATAATTATTTTGAAGTGTCAGAACAATATGTCTTCATATCATTACAATAACTTAAACATTAATTAGTATTCACTGGCTACTGTAAAATCTCATAAGTAAAAATTCTGTTTCATAATAAAATTTCTTCTTAAATATATGGACTTATTAAAAATAAAGCAGAAAATAGATATTTTTAAATGATAGAAATGTAGTGTTTTAAATGAAGCTTAAAGTTCTCAAAATTATATTTCTATTCAAGCCTTAAGAGAACATTGAAAATATTTTCAAAATCACTCATGAATCATACTTTCCTTTTGATGTTATTTATTGGTGAATAACATGTATAAGGGATCACTTTTCACTCTAATTATCTATCTATATCTTATCACAAATGGTAGACTGTGAATTTCTTGGAAGAAGAACTTGGGTTTCATTGCCCTGTACATGCCCCTATATTGCACAGGAACTTGTACATGACAGGCACTCAATTTAAATGAAGGTATGAAATTCACAATATTCTTGTTTTGCTTATGAAAAATTAATGAGGCTACTTTAATTCAGTTTTGAGATTTTGACTTTCAAGAGACATTGGCCAAACAAATCCCCTTCCCTAATGGGTATTCGTACTTATGTCTCTGGAACTGCTGCTGTTGCAAACAGCAGTAACTTCAGAAACATCAGGAATAAATTGTGGCAATGCCAAACCCTCAGATTCAGGGTAGACCCATCAGTTCACAGTTTGGTCTGAAAAACTTTTTCTACTTTAATAAAAAATAGCCTATCAGGACGTCCAAAAATTGACCAATTTTCCCAGTATCTTTTGTATTTGAAGTTAACATCAAACTAAAGCTCTCACATCCTCTTCAGACAAGTGTTGATTCCCTGGTCCCATTACAGACCCAATGGGTTCCTCTATCACAAAACATGAACAGAGGTTACCTAAGGTTCTCATTTTACAATGTTAAGTGAATAAGCCAATTGTAAAGAATGCAATAACAATAAGTACCTTGATTTCAGAAATGTTAACTAGAAATGTAAAAAGTAAGATAAAATAAAAACCATTGTGGAAAGTAGAAATAAATAAGAAATTGCCAAAGAATAGAGCATTATCTCCTAAAGTCTTCAGGGAGGGGAGACAGAAAGAAAGGAGAAATTGTTTTATTAAAAAAGAATAAGAAGATATATTCCAAGGGATAAAGAAATTAGAAGACCTTAAAAAATATTAAGGGGACTGACTATTTAAAAGCTTTTGGAAAAAGAATTTCCAAAAGCTTTTAAATGACTTACAGGAGCAAACACCCTTTAAAATACCTGTTAGAGAGATCTTACATGTCCATAAATAGGAAGACTCAATGTTGTCAAGAAATTAGTTCTTCCCAATTACTTCTATAGATTCAATGCAATTCCAATCAAAATCTCAGCAAGTTATTTTGCAGATATTGACAAAATGATTCTGAAATTTTTATGGAGAGGTAAAAAATCCAGGATAGCCAACACAGTATTGAAGGACAAGAACAAAGTTGGAGGATTGACACTACCTAAATTCAAGACTACTATAAAGCTGTAGTAATGAAGACAATGTGGTATTGATGAAAGAATGGATGAAGAGATCAATGGAACAGAATAGAGAGCCTAGAAATAGACGCACGTAAATGAAGTAAACTGATTTTAACAAAGGAGCATAGGCAATATAATAAAGAAAAGTGTCTTCCACAGATGGTGCTAGAACAACTGGACATCCACATGCAAAAAGAAAAAAAAAGAATGTAGACACAGATCTTACACACTTTATAAAAATAAATGCAAAATGGATTATAGAACTAAATATGAAATGCAGAAGTATGAAACTTCTAGAAGATAACATAGGAGAAAATCTAGATGACCTTGGGTGTGGGAATGACTTTTAAGACACAACACCAAAGGTATGATTCATGAAAAAAAAGTTGATAAGCTACAACCTGTTACAATTAAAACACCCTTGTGAAAAAGACAATGTTAAGAGAAAGAGATTGAAATAAAACATTTGCAAAAGACATGCCTGATTAAAGATTTCTACCCAAAACATACAAAGAACACTTAAAACTCAAGAATAAGAAAACAACCCAATTTAAAAAATGGGCCAAAACCTTAACAGACACCTCACCAAAGAATATTTCAGAAGGCAAATAAGCATATTTAAAAAAGGTTCACTTCGACAACGAGATATTACAACAAACCTACTGAAATGGCTAAAAATCAGAACATTGACAACTGTAAATGCTGGTAACGATGTGGAACAATAGGAACACTCATTCACTGCTGGTAGGAATGTAAAATGGTATAGCCACTTTGTAAAAGAGTTTGGCAGTTTCTTATAATACTAAATGAACTCTTATCACATGATTCAGCAATTCCACTCGTTGGTATTTGCCCAGAAGAGTTTTAAACATACATTCACATGAAAACTTCCATACAGATGTTTATAGAAATTTTATTGATAATTGCAAAAACATGGAAGCAACAAAGATGTCCTTCAGTAGGTGAATGGATAAAGAAACTTTAATATACGAGGCAATAGAATATGATTTAGTGCTAAAAAGAAATGAGGTATCAAGACATGAAAAGACATGGAAGAAACTTAAGTGCATACTACTAAGTGAAAGAAGCCAGTCTGAAAAGAGTACATACTGTATGACCATATGAAATTCTAGAAAAGGCAAAACTATGGAGACAATAAAAAGATCAACAGTTGCCAGGGTTTGGCAGCAAGAGAGGGGAAAAGATGAATAGGCAAAATTCAGAAATCAGTAAAACTACTCTCTGTGTGATACTATAATGGTGGATACATGTCATTATACATTTGTCCAAGCCTGCAGAATGTACAACATCAAGAGTGAGCTCTAATGTAACTATGAACTTCAGGTGATAAAAATGTGTCAATGTAGGTTGATAAATTGTAACAAATATACCACTCTAGTGAAAGGTATTAGTAGTGGGGGAGGCTATCCATGTGTGGAGTTAGAGAATAACTGAGAAAGTACTGTAGCTTCTGAATTTTGCTGCTAACCTAAAACTGCTGTTAAAAAAAAAAAAACTTGAGCATTTAAAAAATTACATCTTTAATGAAAAATGTGAAGATAAGAGGTTTTCATAGCAACGCTCTGAATTTAGGATATGAACATGTATTTACATCTATATACATATAATGAATTGAAAATTAAATATCATGTGAAACTATCTTTTATACAGTAAATTTTTAAATTTTATTTGGTGAAATTAGGGAAATGCAAATTTAAAACTACAGTGAGATACTCCTATACATCTATGCGAATACCTAAAATTCAAAAGACTAATAATACCACAGGCTGACAAGAATGTGGAGCAATAAGGACTCTAATTCATTGCTGAAGAGAATGCAAAATGGTACAGCCCACTTTGGAAAACAGCTTTACAGTGTCTTATAAATTTAACATAAGACCCAGTAATTCCACTCCTAGAAATGAAAACATATGTTTCCAGAAAGATATGTACACTGTATATGAATGTTCATAGCAACTTCATTCATATCTACACAGTTTCTGCCCAAGTGGGTATACCAAAGTATATTTCTAACATCAATTCCTATAGTTAACATCAGACTCCACAGGTTACTTCTCCGCAGGATTGCTCTTGCTTTACATGCAAGCTGCATGACTTGAGAGTTACACACATTTATGAGAGGCTGGCTATAAATGCAAAGGTTCCCATGACTTTGTCACTAATTTACAAAACAAAAAGCCTCACAAAACTCACTAAAAGTACTATACTTATAAGTAAGGTTTTATTATAAAGACTATGCTCAGGAACAGCCAAACAGAAGAGACTCATAGTGGAAGGCATGACTTTTCCCTGTGTGTCAGAGCTCATCGCCCTCCTGGCATATCAATGTCTTCACCAACCAAGAAGCTACACCAAACCTTTAGAGTTTTTTTTTTTTTTTAGATGAAGTCTCGCTCTGTCACCCAGGCTGGAGTGCAGTGGTGCGATCTCAGCTCACTGCAAGCTCCCCCTCCCGGGTTCAAGCAATTCTCCTGCCTCAGCCTCCAGAGTAGCTGGGATTATAGGCATGTGCCACCATGCCTGGCTAATTTTCTACTTTTAGTAGAGACGGGGTTTCACCATGTTAGGTCAGGCTGGTCTCGATCTCCTGACCTCGTGATCCACCTGCCTCGGCCTCCCTGTTTAGAGTTTTTATCAAGGTTTCATTGTGTAGGCATGATTGATTAAACATTGGCCTTGGGCTTGAACTCAGTCTCTAGCTCCTATCCCTGGAGGTCAAGAAGCTGGAAAGTTCCAACACTCTAATCCTGTGCTTGGCCTCTCTAGTGACCAGCCCTATCCTGACATAATCTAGCTCTGCTACTTTCACCTCTGTGAGTCACCTCATTAGCATAACAGAAGTGTCTCTATCACTCAAAAAGGCCTCAGGATTTTTAAAGCTCTGTCCCAGGAACCAGGGACATAGACCATATATATTCTTTTATACCGTGGTACCTAAAACCTGAAAACAAACCAAATACCCATTAATCCATTAATAAAAAAGGAATAAACTACTGACAAATGCAATGGGATGAATCTCAAAAGCATTATGCTAAATGAAGAAGCCAGATATAAGACTATATATTCCATGATTCTATTTGTATGAAATTATATAAAACACTGAACTAACAATCATAGTGATAGGGGTTTGGGGAGTGGGATGGGAAGACAGAACTGACAGTGAAAGAGAAAGGGGAGGAAACTGTCTAGAGAGATAGAAATGTCCTTTCTTTTGATTATAGTTGTAGTTACATAGCATATAACATTTGTGAAGACTGGTCAAACAGTACACTTGAAATGAGTAAATTTATTGGGCATAAATTATACCTCATCAAAGCAGATAAAACTTGTTTTTTAAAAAAGTTAATTGATTAGATGTGATATCCAGCCTCACAGACTAAAAAATGAACATTTTGATTCACTTTTCTGAAAAGAAGTAAAAGCCTAAATTTTACTAACCTAAATCAGCATCAATAAAGATGAGCATTAACATGATTTTTGAATATGAATAGATTAGAAAAAGAGTAGCACAGTACTAATGATGCACAAAGAAAGGCATACTTGCTACAACATAGCCAAAAGTCACAAGTAAGCATTTAAACATGGCAAAGTAGTAAAATAAAATTAGACTTCATTTAAATGCATTAAAAACTATGTATTATAAGATTTATCAAAAATTGAAACGTGAAAACAAACACATATCTCTGACAATAATGAACATTTTTTTAACTGGTTTCATTCATCATTTTCTGATATAAAATCTGTTGGGGGCAAGTGAAGAAGTGACTTTATTATCATTGACTATTTTTATTAAGTTCACCAATTAAATAGGCATCTCTAAAGCACATAAAAAGACATCTTTGGTCTACTTATTCTTAAATGTTATTACAGTGAT
This sequence comes from Homo sapiens, assembly GCF_000001405.40. Lineage (NCBI taxonomy): Eukaryota > Metazoa > Chordata > Mammalia > Primates > Hominidae > Homo > Homo sapiens. The sequence goes on from NC_000004.12 coordinate 67,169,133, forward strand.
AATGATGAGAGATGCTAATTGTCCACAATAAGAGGAGTCCTGAACACCCTTTGTTCAATTTCAAGCACCTCATTACTAGAAATTTGCAAATTTCTATAAAAAGCCATCAGAAGGGCTGAGGGCTAATGTAATTCATTCATATGAAAAGGTCAAAAGAACATCAAGGATGACATACAATTAATCCTCATTAATTTGGCCTCAGATTATTCAAAGTCAGGGCTTTATGGAAGTTGGGGAAACCTGGACTTTGAAACAGCTGAGACATGAATGAGTTGCATTAAATGATGTTCAGGGCTTACTGTGTATGGTTAAGAAGAATAATTTTTAAAAGGCAGGATAGTCTATTATGGAGAATTTTGGGACAGAACAACAGTGTAATGTGTCATGGTGGCCTTATTCTTCAATGTTGAACATACCAAAAAAAAAAACAAAAAAACCCAAAACTTTGTATTTCAATCACTCACTTAGGAATAATTTGATGATATCTAGAAAACTGGTTAATGATAAGTACATTCAAAACTGGCTAATGTGTAAATTCATTCAAAAAGATCATGGTGTCCTCATTCCTCAGTTTTGAACATACCTAAAAAAACCCCAAAAACTTTACATTTTAATCACTCAGGAATAATTTGATGATGTCTAGAAAACTTGTTAATGCTAAGTACATTCAAAACTGGCTAATGTGTAAAACATAATGCTAAGGTATACATTTTTAATAAAAGAGTATTTTTCAAATAATTGAAAAATGCATTGCCTCTATCTAGGGACACATTTCCTGGATTAAAAATAACAAGAGGCAGGGCACGGTGGCTCACACCTGTAATTCCAGCCCTTTGGGAGGCCTAGGTGGGCGGATTACATAGTAAGGAGATCGAGACCATCCTGGCCAACATGGTGAAACCCTGTCTCTACTAAAATACAAAAAATTAGCCAGGCGTGGTGGTGCACGCCTGTAGTCCCAGCTACTTGGGAGGCTGAGGCAGGGGAATCAATTGAACCCAGGAGGCAGAGGTTGCAGTGAGCAGAGATTGCGCCGCTGCACTCCAGCCTGGCGACAGAGCAAGACTCCATCTCAAAAAAATAAAATATAACAAGAAAACTGGATTCATAATCAAATGACTGCTTGATGAGAACAGAGTTAGAACAAAGGTAAAAAATTGTGTTTCATTTAAGTAAGAATAATCTCACCCAAATTGTAAAGAGAGTCAGATTGCCATTAGTTACATGCATTAGGCATTGATTCTTATTTGCTTCAGTTAAGGTGACTTTCTCACCTTGTCTTAGATATTGAGATGCAGGGTTTACTTGCAGTTCATATTATCACCTATTCAAATACTACATTGAGCAATACTATTCTTTTTTGGGTTTTTTTTTTTTGTTTTTTTGGTTTTTGGTTTTTGGTTTTTTTTTTTGAGACGGAGTCTCACTCTGTCACCCAGGCTGGAGTGCAGTGGCGCGATCTCAGCTCACTGCAAGCTGCACCTCCTGGGTTCACACCATTCTCCTGCCTCAGCCTCCCGAGTAGCTGGGACTACAGGTGTCCCCCACCACCCCTGGCTAATTTTTTGTATTTTAGTAGAGACGGCATTTCACCGTGTTAGCCAGGGTGGTCTCTATCTCCTGACCTCGTGATCCACCCGCCTCGGCCTCCCAAAGTGCAGGGATTACAGGCGTGAGCCACTGTGCCCGGCTGAGCAATAATATTCTTTAAGCAATAAAGTGTTCCTTATTAAAGCATGATCTCCAACAATTTGGTGGCATAATAAATTGTCTTCTACTATCTGGCTATATAGACAAGTGAATGAGACTTTAAAGTAGTGATTAATTTCTATGAAGGAATGGTAAGAATGGGTTTTTATGAAATATCCCTGTTTTACTCCTGCATTTTGCAGTTTATTTATTCTTTCAATTCTACTACCTACCAAACACTGTGTTTGGCACTGGGGATTTTATAGTAAACCTATAGAATTGGCCCTTGCCTTCATGGAGCATTCTGCGCCTAATAGTGGAACGAAACAGCCTGCATTTGTTAAAACAGTATCTCTATGAAGTTCTTTCAGTTCATGAATGAATTTCTCTGAATACCTGGTATAGCTCATGTGGTTAGTTAGACATGCAAGTCTCATAAAGCCAGTAAGATCTCGCAAGGAAATGGGAACTGTATAACATGATTTAACATGTGGTTGTTTAAGGAGCATGTTAATTAATTGTCCACTTGATTATTTTCTTGCTATATGGGAGAATAATTGGCATTCAATTGTGTATTGCCAGTAGCAGAAAGCTCTTTGAAATGGATATCAGTTATTCATTACCATGTCTTTGAGCCCAAATACTTTGGTGGAAATATTTCTATGAAATTATAATAAAAGTTAGTAGGCAAATACAAATTAATTTCTACTATCTCTTAAATATATCTAAAGCAAAAAAAAAAAAAAAAAAAAAAACACATCTCAAATATGGTCATGATAATTCCTTAAAGGGAAGAGAAAGATAGGGTAGCAAAAAGGCTGGACATGGTGGCTTACACCTGTAATCCCAGCACTTTGGGAGGCCAAGGCGGGCAGATCACAAGGTCAAGAGATCAAGACCATCCTGGCCAACATGGTGAAACCCTGTCTCTACTAAAACTACAAAAATTAGCTGGGTGTGGTGGTGCACACCTGTAGTCCCAGCTACTTGGGAGGCTTAGGCAGGAGAATTGCTTGAATCCAGGACTCAGAGGTTGCAGTGAGGAGAGATTGTGCCACTGCACGCCAGCCTGGCAACAGAGTGAGACTCCGTCGCAAAAAAAAAAAAAAAAAAAAAAAGGCTAGTAAAAAAAGAAAACAATGGAAGGGACAAGAAGAGGCTAATATGATCATCAGTAGCTGGTAGAAGGAGACCTCATTCCAATTCACTTTCCTCAACACTTACTGAAATCCCCTAGGTTCAAGGCACTGTACTAGGTCAGAAGGAAATAACAAAATAAGTAAGAAATATTTGAACTCCCCAGGGTTGCACAATTTTGTAGGGATTTATTTCTTCTCATTCTAATTTCTCTAACTCAGGATGCTTAAAGAGTGTCTGATTCTAAATCAGTATCTGGCCCTCCCCACATATTACTGGATTGTTTGAGAGTTAATGAGAGGTTTAAGAGGAGAAATTAAAACATTCACAAGAGTCCTGCTTTGGTCAGATGCTCTTGCACAGTTATTGAGCTTTTCGGTTGCATTTTCATGGCAGTATCTCTCTGGGTTGTTTGTGAGTTTGTCTCATCAATAAGAAGAATCTCATTGTGCCACCCACCAAGCACGCACTTGCTAATCACTGTTAATTGCCTACAATTGAGATCAGCAAACTGTTCACTGAGTACAGCGATGGGCACTTAACTCATTGACACTGAGCTTTCCTGTGTGCCCATTTTCACTAATGCATCGTTTGTCCTGGAAATTGGAAATCCCAGCATCAATCACATAAACCAGACTCAGTAGGCGGAAGTGTTTACTTTCCTCTTCACTTCCAGAGGGGGTGCAATATGGATAGGCACTTACATCTGGCCAGAGGGTGGGCAGCCTTTTCAGAGAGCAAAATCCTTCACTCCACCAGTAGAGCTTAAAAAAAGGGAACTCCCAGAGAGGCAAAATGTCCAGAAACACGACGAGAAGAGGCAGAATCTTTCACTGTTATCCTTTTGTTTTCAGACTCCCTGTCAACAAGCCACAGCCTTACGGGAAAGGTTGAAGAATGCCTCTGGAGATGACTGAGGAGGCAGGCTTCTTCGTAACTACTTCAAAAGCTGCTTCCTCTTAAGAGCCCACTATCATTGCAAATATGGGGATAAAAATCACTGCGATCAGCATCTAACTGTTGATAGCATATGGCCCTGATACAGAGGGATAAAAGAAAAATGTCTTCTATTCCCAATTGTTGTGCCTATACATCTTCCTCCAGAGGTCCGAAGAGATACAATTGTACCTGTGTTTGATATGATTTGCACTTCCCTATAGTCACAGTATACATGTCTAATGCTATTAGACATATTAGTGGTGTTGCTACACCACTTAAAAAGAGGAATTTCCTGGGAATTTGTTAGATCTCTTGCCTCCATTGAACAGTAAAACCTTATCCCCTACAATCCCAAATCACCTTACCTTCACTTCCCATGATTACTCTTTATCACTGAAGTTTTGTTTTAAGGTATTAATGAAAAAATTATTCTGACACTTGTCAAAACAGTAAGGCAGGCTTTTTTAGGATTATTGCAATAGCTGCTAAGACTATCGCACTAGGGGAGAAAGATTAGGCTCAACTCCAAATACAAGACTGCTGGGATTACAGACAATGAGCAGAATAAGGAGGGTCAGTAAATGGAAAATTACTAGGAGGAGACATCAAGTTTATGGAGACCCATGTTAAACTGACTTAACAGGATTCTTGCTGAAGTCAGGCCAAGGTGATCAGATATCAATGGTGGGAGGATTCTTGGTAAACCGACTTATTGGATTTTGGCTAAAATTGGACTCAGCATGCAAAGACAATCCCCAAGGAAAAAGTGTAGTCAAAAGGAAGGTTCTGAAGAGCCTGTTGAAACTTTGGTAAAGGAAAGAGTCTTTGTCAAGGTGCAAGAGTGATCCTTGTAATAGGTCATGCTGTGTTAGAGGTTACAAAGTTTAAAAGCAGGTTTCTGTCCTTGCAATAGTTTGCTGAGAATCATGGTTTCCAGCTTCATCCACGTCCCTACAAAGGACATGAACTCATCCTTTTTACGGCCGCATAGTATTCCGTCGTGTATATGTGCCACATTTTCTTAATCCAGTCTATCATTGGACATTTGACTTGGTTCCAAGTCTTTGCTATTATAAATAGTGCCGCAATAAACATACGTGTGCATGTGTCTTTATAGCAGCATGATTTATAATCCTTTGGGTATATACCCAGTAATGAGATGGCTGGGTCAAATGGTATTTCTAGTTCTAGATCCTTGAGGAATTGTCACACTGACTTCCACAATGGTTGAACTAGTTTACAGTCCCACCAACAGTGTAAAAGTGTTCCTATTTCTCCACATCCTCTCCGGCACCTGTTGTTTCCTGACTTTTTAATGATCACCATTCTAACTGGTGTGAGATAGTATCTCATTGTGGTTTTGATTTGCATTTCTCTGATGACCAGTGATGATGAGCATTTTTTCATGTGTCTTTTGGCTGCATAAATGTCTTCTTTTGAGAAGTGTCTGTTCATGTCCTTCGCCCACTTTTTGATGGGGTTGTTTGTTTTTTTCTTGTAAATTTGTTGGAGTTCATTGTAGATTCTGGATACTAGCCCTTTGTCAGATGAATAGGTTGTGAAAATTTTCTCCCATTCTGTAGGTTGCCTGTTCACTCTGATGGTAGTTTCTTTTGCTGTGCAGAAGCTCTTTAGTTTAATTAGATCCCATTTGTCAATTTTGGCTTTTGTTGCCATTGCTTTTGGTGTTTTGGACATGAAGTCCTTGCCCATGCCTATGTCCTGAATGGTATTACCTAGGTTTTCTTCTAGGGTTTTTATGGTTTTAGGTCTAACATTGAAGTCTTTAATCCATCTTGAATTAATTTCTGTATAAGTTGTAAGGAAGGGATCCAGTTTCAGCTTTCTACATATGACTAGCCAGTTTTCCCACCACCATTTATGAAATAGGGAATCCTTTCCCCATTGCTTGTTTTTCTCAGGTTTGTCAAAGATCAGATAGTTGTAGATGTGTGGCATTATTTCTGAGGGCTCTGTTCTGTTCCATTGGTCTATATCTCCATTTTGGTACCAGTACCATGCTGTTTTGGTTACTGTAGTCTTGTAGTATAGTTTGAAGTCAGGTAGCGTGATGCCTCCAGCTTTGTTCTTTTGGCTTAGGATTGACTTGGCAATGTGGGCTCTTTTTTGGTTCCATATGAACATTAAAGTAGTTTTTTCCAATTCTGTGAAGAAAGTCATTGGTAGCTTGATGGGGATGGCATTGAATCTATAAATTACCTTGGGCAGTATGGCCATTTTCACAATATTGATTCTTCCTAACTATGAGCATGGAATGTTCTTCCATTTGTTGTACCCTCTTTTATTTTATTGAGCAGTGGTTTGTAGTTCTCCTTGAAGAGGTCCTTCACCTCCCTTGGAAGTTGGATTCTTAGGTATTTTATTATCTTTGAAGCAATTGTGAATGGGAGTTCACTCATGATTTGGCTCTCTGTTTGTCTGTTATTGGTGTATAAGAATGCTTGTGATTTTTGCACATTGATTTTGTATCCTGAGACTTTGCTGAAGTTGCTTATCAGCTGAAGGAAATTTTGGGCTGAGATAATGGTGTTTTCTAGATATACAATCATGTCATCTGCAAACAGGGACAATTTGACTTCCTCTTTTCCTAACTGAATACCCTTTATTTCTTTCTCCTGCCTGATTGCCCTGGCCAGAACTTCCAACACTATGTTGAATAGGAGTGGTGAGAGAGGGCATCCCTGTCTTGTGCCAGTTTTCAAAGGGAATGCTTCCAGTTTTTGCCCATTCAGTATGATCTTGGCTGTGGGTTTGTCGTAGATAGCTCTTATTATTTTGAGATACGTCCCATCAATACCTAATTTATTGAGAGTTTTTAGCATGAAGAGTTGTTGAATTTTGTCAAAGGCCTTTTCTGCATCTATTGAGATAATCATGTGGTTTTTGTCGTTGGTTCTGTTTATATGCTGGATTACATTTATTGATTTGCGTATGTTGAACCAATCTTGCATCCCAGGGATGAAGCCCACTTGATCACGGTGGATAAGATTTTTGATGTGCTGTCAGATTCGGTTTGCCAGTATTTTATTGAGGATTTTTGCATCGATGTTCATCAGGGATATTGGTGTAAAATTCTCTTTTTTTGTTGTTTCTCTTCCAGGCTTTGGAATCAGGATGATGCTGGCCTCATAAAATGAGTTAGGGAGGATTCCCTCTTTTTCTATTGATTGGAATAGTTTCAGAAGGAATGGTACCAGCTCCTCCTCATACCTCTGGTAGAATTCGGCTGTGAATCCATCTGGTCCTGGACTGTTTTTGGTTGGTAAGCTATTAATTATTGTCTGAATTTCAGAGTCTGTTATTGGTCTATTCAGAGATTCAACTTCTTCCTGGTTTAGTCTTGGGAGGGTGTATGTGTTGAGGAATTTATCCATTTCTTCTAGATTTTCTAGTTTATTTGCGTAGAGGTGTTTATAGTATTCCCTGATGGTAGTTTGTATTTCTGTGGGATCGGTGGTGATATCCCTTCTATCACTTTTTATTGCATCTAACCAAACACCACATGTTGTCACTCATAGGTGGGAATTGAACAATGAGAACACATGGACACAGGAAGGGGAACATCACACACTGGGGCCTGTTGTGGGGTGGGGGGAGGGGGGAGGGATAGCATTAGGAGATATACCTAATGTTAAATGACGAGTTAAGGGGTGCAGCACACCAACATGGCACATGCATACATATGTAACAAACCTGCACGTTGTGCACATGTACCCTAAAACTTAAAGTATAATAAAAAATAAAATAAAAGCATCTTTCTTAGAATTAACTCTCTTATTGTAGTTTCCTAAATCAACAAGCCAGATGGAAGGACAAGAAGCTTCACTCAAATTGGCTTCAGTATGGGTTTACAAAAATAGCTTATCTATTTTTATACATTATATATTATATATATTTTATACATTATATATTTTTATATTGCTTATCCTTTCCCTCTCTATTCACTCCATTTGATCTATGCAGACATTTATCTCCTTCTCCCACTCTTGCTACTCTCCCCTCCATAATCCAGACTGTAGCTTTACTGATTTTCAATGTCTTCATTTTACCACCTATAGACCTCCATCTAGTATCTAGTACCAATAATTTATATTTGATTTTATATCAGTTTTAAAATGTTCCGTGAGGAGCCAAGATGGCCGAATAGGAACAGCTCCAGTCTACAGCTCCCAGCGTGAGCGACGCAGAAGACGGGTGATTTCTGCATTTCCATCTGAGGTACCGGGTTCATCTCACTAGGGAGTGCCAGAGAGTGGGCACAGGCCAGTGGGTGCACGCACCGTGCGCGAGCCGAAGCAGGGCGAGGCATTGCCTCACCTGGGAAGCGCAAGGGGTCAGGGAGTTCCCTTTCCGAGTCAAAGAAAGGGGTGACGGACGCACCTGGAAAATCGGGTCACTCTCACCCGAATATTGCGCTTTTCAGACCGGCTTAAAAAACGGCGCACCACGGGACTATATCCCACACCTGGCTCGGAGGGTCCTACACCCACGGAGTCTCGCTGATTGCTAGCACAGTAGTCTGAGATCAAACTGCAAGGCAGCAGCAAGGCTGGGGGAGGGGCGCCCACCATTGCCCAGGCTTGATTAGGTAAACAAAGCAGCCAGGAAGCTCGAACTGGGTGGAGACCACCACAGCTCAAGGAGGCCTGCCTGCCTCTGTAGGCTCCACCTCTGGGGGCAGGGCACAGACAAACAAAAAGACAGCAGTAACCTCTGCAGACTTAAATGTCCCTGTCTGACAGCTTTGAAGAAAGAAATGGTTCTCCCAGCACGCAGCTGGAGTTCTGAGAACGGGCAGACTGCCTCCTCAAGTGGGTCCCTGACCCCTGACCCCCGAGCAGCCTAACTCGGAGGCACCCCCCAGCAGGGGCACACTGACACCTCACACGGCAGGGTATTCCAACAGACCTGCAGCTGAGGGTCCTGTCTGTTAGAAGGAAAACTAACAAACAGAAAGGACATCCACACCGAAAACCCATCTGTACATCAACATCATCAAAGACCAAAAGTAGATAAAACCACAAAGATGGGGGAAAAACAGAACAGAAAAACTGGAAACTCTAAAACGCAGAGCGCCTCTCCTCCTCCAAAGGAACGTAGTTCCTCACCAGCAACGGAACAAAGCTGGATGGAGAATGACTTTGACGAGCTGAGAGAAGAAGGCTTCAGACGATCAAATTACTCTGAGCTACGGGAGGACATTCAAACCAAAGGCAAAGAAGTTGAAAACTTTGAAAAAAATTTAGAAGAATGTATAACTAGAATAACCAATACAGAGAAGTGCTTCAGCTGATGGAGCTGAAAACCAAGGCTCGAGAACTACGTGAAGAATGCAGAAGCCTCAGGAGCCGATGCGATCAACTGGAAGAAAGGGTATCAGCAATGGAAGATGAAATGAATGAAATGAAGCGAGAAGGGAAGTTTAGAGAAAAAAGAATAAAAAGAAATGAGCAAAGCCTCCAAGAAATATGGGACTATGTGAAAAGACCAAATCTACGTCTGATTGGTGTACCCGAAAGTGATGCGGAGAATGGAACCAAGTTGGAAAACACTCTGCAGGATATTATCCAGGAGAACTTCCCCAATCTAGCAAGGCAGGCCAACGTTCAGATTCAGGAAATACAGAGAACGCCACAAAGATACTCCTCGAGAAGAGCAACTCCAAGACACATAATTGTCAGATTCACCAAAGTTGAAATGAAGGAAAAAATGTTAAGGGCAGCCAGAGAGAAAGGTCGGGTTACCGTCAAAGGGAAGCCCATCAGACTAACAGCGGATCTCTCGGCAGAAACCCTACAAGCCAGAAGAGAGTGGGGGCCAATATTCAACATTCTTAAAGAAAAGAATTTTCAACCCAGAATTTCATATCCAGCCAAACGAAGCTTCATAAGTGAAGCAGAAATAAAATACTTTACAGACAAGCAAATGCTGAGAGATTTTGTCACCACCAAGCCTGCCCTAAAAGAGCTCCTGAAGGAAGCGCTAAACATGGAAAGGCACAACCGGTACCAGCCGCTGCAAAATCATGCCAAAATGTAAAGACTATCGAGACTAGGAAGAAACTGCATCAACTAACGAGCAAAATCACCAGCTAACATCATAATGACAGGATCAAATTCACACATAACAATATTAACTTTAAATGTAAATGGACTAAATTCTCCAATTAAAAGACACAGACTGGCAAGTTGGATAAACAGTCAAGACCCATCAGTGTGCTGTATTCAGGAGACCCATCTCACGTGCAGAGACACACATAGGCTCAAAATAAAAGGATGGAGGAAGATCTACCAAGCAAATGGAAAACTAAAAAAGGCAGGGGTTGCAATCCTAGTCTCTGATAAAACAGACTTTAAACCAACAAAGATCAAAAGAGACAAAGAAGGCCATTACATAATGGTAAAGGGATCAATTCAACAAGAGGAGCTAACTATCCTAAATATATATGCACCCAATACAGGAGCACCCAGATTCATAAGGCAAGTCCTGAGTGACCTACAAAGAGACTTAGACTCCCAAACATTAATAATGGGAGACTTTAACACCCCACTGTCAACATTAGACAGATCAACGAGACAGAAAGTCAACAAGGATACCCAGGAATTGAACTCAGCTCTGCACCAAGCAGACCTAATAGACATCTACAGAACTCTCCACCCCAAATCAACAGAATATACATTTTTTTCAGCACCACACCACACCTACTCCAAAATTGACCACATAGGTGGAAGTAAAGCTCTCCTCAGCAAATGTAAAAGAACAGAAATTATAACAAACTATCTCTCAGACCACAGTGCAATCAAACTAGAACTCAGAATTAAGAATCTCACTCAAAGCCGCTCAACTACATGGAAACTGAAAAACCTGCTCCTGAATGACTACTGGGTACATAACGAAATGAAGGCAGAAATAAAGATGTTCTTTGAAACCAATGAGAACAAAGACACAACATACCAGAATCTCTGGGACGCATTCAAAGCAGTGTGTAGAGGGAAATTTATAGCACTAAATGCCCACAAGAGAAAGCAGGAAAGATCCAAAATTGACACCCTAACATCACAATTAAAAGAACTAGAAAAGCAAGAGCAAACACATTCAAAAGCTTGCAGAAGGCAAGAAATAACTAAAATCAGAGCAGAACTGAAGGAAATAGAGACACAAAAAACCCTTCAAAAAATCAATGAATCCAGGAGCTGGTTTTTTGAAAGGATCAACAAAATTGATAGACCGCTAGCAAGACTAATACAGAAAAAAAGAGAGAAGAATCAAATAGACACAATAAAAAATGATAAAGGGGATATCACCACTGATCCCACAGAAATACAAACTACCAACAGAGAATACTACAAACACCTCTACGCAAATAAACTAGAAAATCTAGAAGAAATGGATACATTCCTCGACACATACACTCTCCCAAGACTAAACCAGGAAGAAGTTGAATCTCTGAATAGACCAATAACAGGAGCTGAAATTGTGGCAATAATCAATAGTTTACCAACCAAAAAGAGTCCAGGACCAGATGGATTCACAGCCGAATTCTACCAGAGGTACAAGGAGGAACTGGTACCATTCCTTCTGAAACTATTCCAATCAATAGAAAAAGAGGGAATCCTCCCTAACTCATTTTATGAGGCCAGCATCATTCTGATACCAAAGCTGGGCAGAGACACAACCAAAAAAGAGAATTTTAGACCAATATCCTTGACGAACATTGATGCAAAAATCCTCAATAAAATACTGGCAAACCGAATCCAGCAGCACATCAAAAAGCTTATCCACCATGATCAAGTGGGCTTCGTCCCTGGGATGCAAGGCTGGTTCAATATATGCAAATCAATAAATGTAATCCAGCATATAAACAGAGCCAAAGACAAAAACCACATGATTATCTCAATAGATGCAGAAAAAGCCTTTGACAAAATTCAACAACCCTTCATGCTAAAAACTCTCAATAAATTAGGTATTGATGGGACGTATCTCAAAATAATAAGAGCTATCTATGACAAACCCACAGCCAGTATCGTACTGAATGGGCAAAAATGGAAGCATTCCCTTTGAAAACTGGCACAAGACAGGGATGCCCTCTCTCACCACTCCTATTCAACATAGTGTTGGAAGTTCTGGCCAGGGCAATCAGGCAGGAGAAGGAAATAAAGGGTATTCAATTAGGAAAAGAGGAAGTCAAATTGTCCCTGTTTGCAGACGACATGATTGTTTATCTAGAAAACCCCATCATCTCAGCCCAAAATCTCCTTAAGCTGATAAGCAACTTCAGCAGTCTCAGGATACAAAATCAATGTACAAAAATCACAAGCATTCTTATACACCAACAACAGACAAACAGAGAGCCAAATCATGAGTGAACTCCCATTCACAATTGCTTCAAAGATAATAAAATACCTAGGAATCCAACTTACAAGGGATGTGAAGGACCTCTTCAAGGAGAACTACAAACCACTGCTCAATGAAATAAAAGAGGATACAAACAAATGGAAGAACATTCCATGCTCATAGGTAGGAAGAATCAATATCATGAAAATGGCCATACTGCCCAAGGTAATTTACAGATTCAATGCCATCCCCATCAAGCTACCAATGACTTTCTGAACAGAATTGGAAAAAACTACTTTAATGTTCATATGGAACCAAAAAAGAGCCCGCATCGCCAAGTCAATCCTAAGCCAAAAGAACAAAGCTGGAGGTATCACACTACCTGACTTCAAACTATACTACAAGGCTACAGTAACCAAAACAGCATGGTACTGGTACCAAAACAGAGATATAGATCAATGGAACAGAACAGAGCCCTCAGAAATAATGCCGCATACCTACAACTATCTGATCTTTGACAAACCTGAGAAAAACAAGCAATGGGGAAAGGATTCCCTATTTCATAAATGGTGGTGGGAAAACTGGCTAGCCATATGTAGAAAGCTGAAACTGGATCCCCTCCTTACACCTTATACAAAAATCAATTCAAGATGGATTAAAGATTTAAACGTTAGACCTAAAACCATAAAAACCCTGGAAGAAAACCTAGGCATTACCATTCAGGACATAGGCATGGGCAAGGACTTCATGTCCAAAACACCAAAAGCAATGGCAACAAAAGCCAAAATTGACAAATGGGATCTAATTAAACTAAAGAGCTTCTGCACAGCAAAAGAAACTACCATCAGAGTGAACAGGCAACCTACAAAATGGGAGAAAATTTTCACAACCTACTCATCTGACAAAGGGCTAATATCCAGAATCTACAATGAACTCAAACAAATTTACAAGAAAAAAACAAACAACCCCATCAAAAAGTGGGCGAAGGACATGAACAGACACTTCTCAAAAGAAGACATTTATGCAGCCAAAAAACACATGAAAAAATGCTCATCATCACTGGTCATCAGAGAAATGCAAATCAAAACCACTATGAGATATCATCTCACACCAGTTAGAATGGCAATCATTAAAAAGTCAGGAAACAACAGGTGCCGGAGAGGATGTGGAGAAATAGGAACACTTTTACACTGTTGGTGGGACTGTAAACTAGTTCAACCATTGTGGAAGTCAGTGTGGCGATTCCTCAGGGATCTAGAACTAGAAATACCATTTGACCCAGCCATCCCATTACTGGGTATATACCCAAAGGACTATAAATCATGCTGCTATAAAGACACATGCACATGTATGTTTATTGCGGCATTATTCACAATAGCAAAGACTTGGAACCAACCCAAATGTCCAACAATGATAGACTGGATTAAGAAAATGTGGCACATATACACCATGGAATACTATGCAGCCATAAAAAATGATGAGTTCATATCCTTTGTAGGGACATGGATGAAATTGGAAATCATCATTCTCAGTAAACTATCGCAAGAACAAAAAACCAAACACCGTATATTCTCACTCATAGGTGGGAATTGAACAATGAGATCACCTGGACACATGAAGGGGAATACCACACTCTGGGGACTGTGGTGGGGTGGGGGGAGGGGGGAGGGATAGCATTGGGAGATATACCTAAGGCTAGATGATGAGTTAGTGGGTGCAGTGCACCAGCATGGCACATGTATACATATGTAACTAACCTGCACAATGTGCACATGTACCCTAAAACTTAAAGTATATAAAAAAAAATGTTCCGTGATTCAGTTCAATTATTATAACTGGGGTTTGGAATATTATTGTCTCTTCTTGAATTTTGGTTCTTTTTCTTCTTCTAGCTAATGTGAAAGCTTTCTAAACCCTCGATCTACATACCCTCCAAGCTAAAGTCCTCCAAGACCATATCTAGAATGTGATTTTTCTATTTTCTTGATTCAAGACAAGAAAATAAAATGAGACATAATTTTGAGCATTCATCAGAAGAGTATAACTTTAAAATCAAATAGTACCTGGTGGTAGTGAGTATATTACTAGAAGGAAAGGATATTGCTACTATGACTACATGGCTGTCTTTTCATAGTCATGAAGGTTATGGAGAAGAAAAAGGACTTCCTTGTAAAATGATGCTCTAAAGACTGCAAACTTTTTGGAGATGATAGGTTCTGTGAGAGTTTTTGCCTTTTTTTTTTAGATTTATAAAATATTAGTTTGTGACATGTTATTTTCAATTATCAATGAATGTCTTCATTTTTTGTGTGTTTTCATTCCCTTCATCTTCACAACCCAATATCTCATTCTATTCCCTTTTTCACTCTAAGCACCCAAGCTTGAGTTGGTATTTACCCAAATGGTACTAACTTCTAATTCTGCTCACTTTTCCCAAAAAACATTAGGCATCTCAGATTGATCCATATTATATTTATAGTCCTAGTTCATACATTTTAACTATGTTATTTTTGTGCATATAATAATGTTTAGTTGGACATTAATTGAGTATTTCCATTGTTTCCAACTCTTAAGCCATTACAATTAAAAATAGTTCTCTGATAGATATCCTTATCCATGATTATTTGGGCACTGATCTAAGAGCTTCTCTGGGATATGTATTAATACCTTCAGACAGGAGATTATGCATACTTGATTTCACTAAATATTCAAATTGGTCTCCTGAATGGTTGCCGCAATATCATTTTCTTCCAGTAATATGCTACTAGCACTGGAAGCTATCTGACTTTTTAAGTTTTACTCCTCTGATGAGTGCACAAAATTATGTCTCATTTTAATTTTTCATTGTCTGATTACTAATAAATGTGAGCACTTCTCTATGAAAGTGCCATTTAAGTTTTCCCCCTGAAAATTATCTACTCATATCATTTGGTCACTTCTGTATTGGGTTGCTTGACAGTTTCTTCCTGATTTGCAGGAATTCTTTACACATTTTAGCTATTAATCCTTTTTATTTACATATTTAAAAGTCATATTCCTCCAGTTGTTAACTCGTTTTTTAATGTCTACATATGGTATCCATTGTTAAACAGAAGTATTTAAGCCTACTGTAATCAAATCCATCTATCTTTCTGTATTTGTGATTTGTGCTTTTTTTGTTTCTGGTTTAAGAAATCTTCCACAGACCCAAGGTCATAATGATATTCTTCTGAATTTTGTTCTAATAGTTGTATAACATTTCCTTTCATTTCTAGGCTTTTATTTAATTTTGATTTTAATTTTTTATAGGTGGGAGAATGAAGCCCATTTCCAAACAGCATTTATTAATAATCTTTTTCTCACCCAGTTATGAAGCCACTACTACTGTCCATGTATATATGCATATATATGTGTAAATATATATACACACACATATTCATATGACTGTCTCATATGTATGTATACATGCACACACATAATATGCTCATTTAATTATGCAGTAAAACAGTATCTTATTATCTGGTCAGATAAGTTTCTCCCTCTTTTATTTTTGTGGGTGTAAAAGGTCTTAACTATTCAGAAACAGTCTTCTATAAATTTTAGGGTTATTTTACTTAATTCTCAGTGGGATTTTGAAAAAAATTCATAACGTTTATAGTTTAATTTGGGAAGAACTAACATCTTTATGATGTTAAACTTTCTCATTCATGAATATGTTATATAGCCATTTTTTAACTTAGCAGCTATTTCCTAAATATTCATTGCCATTATAATTGATATTTTATTATATATCTTCTGATTGCTACTATTAAAAAGGAATACTATTGATTTTTGTATATTTATTTTATATCCTAGAAATTTGCCAAGCTGCCTCATATTCTAATAGTTTATTATTGATGAAAATAACAGTTTAGTGTCATCTCTTCCATTTTTTGAATCTTTTATGTAAGGTAGTGTTATGAGTGGAGACGCAGAAGCCAAACTTCCTGACCCTGATGCTTATTAGCTGTATGACCTTGAGCAAGATACTTGATATCTCTGAGTCCCAAATATTTTCATCTGAATTATGGAGCTAGTGATAGGACCTCCTCATAGGTTCTTGTGATTATTAAATAATTTAATGCATATAAAGAAACTAAAATAGTGTTGGTAAATTATTACTGCATTGGTAAATTTTAACTGCATTGTTGAATTGAATAGCAGCAAAGATAGACATTCTTGCTTTATTCTAAGGCTTAGGCAGGATGATTCTAAGTCTTCTCCACTGGGTACAATGATCAGTGTTGGGTTTTGGTAGCTAATCTTTTCTGGATAAAGGGAGTCCCATTTTATTCCTGGTTATCTGAGAGTTTTATCTGGTACATTTTAATATGTATATTTATTAATATTTTCTTAAATGCCAACACAGGCTTCTGGAGCATAGCAGGTTAATTATTATGCTTACATAATAAAAAGCACACTAGTCCCCTTTGCCTCAATTCATAACTCTTGAAGGTGGCACGATGAGAGCTATATATTTTCCAACATGTTAGCGGACCTTCTGTGGGCAAGGAACCTTAAAAATACATCTCTGGATGCTTACATGCATGCTTTCCCACTTCCCATGAGAGCATCTCCTTGCAAATTTATTGAGAAGAGTCCTGGATCCTCACTCTTTGTAATGTAAATAAATCTAAGGAAAAGATAAGAAAGGTATCTCCAGCTTTACCATCCAGCAATGTTTCCATGTCTTCCAGTCACATCACCCCTTTGGAGATAAACACATACTTGCAGGGAAGTGAATCTCCCTGGAGTGTTCTCTTGCTAATCAGTCACAAATTGACTTATATGGATTGCTCTTTTAACCCAGGTCCCGAGCTTTAGTTACATTTTCTCAGAAAAACCCTAACTGTGCATAAATTACAATATCATAAATAGATATTGAATTTCATCCCCACATTACCATAAGTAGACATTGAACTTTATCAAATGCTTTTTAAATTTTGCCCTCACATTATCGTCAATAAATATGAAACTTTCAAATGCTTTTTCTACATCGATTTAGAAGGTCATATAAATTTTTGCCTTTCCTATGAATAGGTAGTAAACCGTATCAACAGATTTTCCAATTTCAAACCATATTGCATTCCCTTCTTGACAAAAATCCTACTTGATCTTGATATAATACACTATTAGGTGTTTCTAGCTAACATTTTATATAGATTTGATATCTCTATTTTGATAAGTAAAAATGGCCAATAAGTAGCTTTTCTTACATTGTTCTCATCTGGTTTTGGCTTTAAGATTAGACTACATTTCAAATGATTTGAGCAACTATATTTTTTAATCTGTAAAACAATATGTTTAAGAGAAAAATGATCTATTTTTTGAAAATTGGGTAGGGCTTCCTTATAAAACTATCTATCTCTGGTACTTTTAAGGGATGGAGAAATAGGGGGTATTCTTATTATAAATTTAAATAATCTAATAGAAATTATTCCATTGAACCCTTCTATGTTTAATTAGAATGTCTGTATCTTCTTGGGCCAATACTGATCAGTATAATTTTTTTCCAGAAAGGTATGTGTTTTCACAGAAGTCCCAAATTTACTGGGATTCATCTGTGAGTTGAAATATTTTTATCTGTAGCTATTGTCCTTTCTGATTCCATATTATTTTCTCTATCAGTCTTGCCAGAAATCTATCAGTCTTTTAAATTTTCTTACCTTAATAATTAATTGGTCTTGCTAATCATCTATTTAGATATTCTTCCCTAGATAGGATGATTTATGCCTTTTATATTTATTATTTCTTTTATTCCTACTTCTTTAGTTTATATTTATCATCCTTTTCTATATTCTTGAGAAAAAAGCTTATCTAATTTTTTCTTTTTTTTGAGGCAGAGTCTCACTCTGTTGCCCAGCCTGGAGTGCAGTGGCACAATCTCAGCTCACTGCAACATCCACCTCCCAGGTTCAAGCGATTCTCCTGCCTTAGCTTTCCAAGTAGCTGGGACTACAGGTGCACGCCACCACGCCAGGCTAATTTTTGTATTTTTAGTAAAGACAGGGTTTCACCATGTTGTCCAGGCTGGTCTCAAACTCCTGACGTCGTGATCCGCCCGCCTCAGCCTCCCAAAGTGCTGGGATTACAGGCGTGAGCCCCTGCGCCCAGCCGCTTATCTACTTTTTATTCCTTGTTGTATTCTGATAAATACACTAAGCTATAAATTTATTTTAAAAGTGATGTAAGTTGCATTGGACTAATTTTGTTACATAGTACATTGTAATTCACTGCCAAGCATTTTTTAAGGCCTTTTACAATTTGGGGTCAAGATGTATGTTTTTTATTTTTTAGTCATACGATTATTTGAGTTTCCAAGGACTCAACTGGGTGTATGAAATAATGCAGTAATAAGATATTCAAGAGTATTTGTAAATGTGATACATGGTTGTTCAATAGAACACGTTAACATAGATTGCATTGAGAATGCATCAACTGAAAGCTAAATTACAATTTAACTTTGAAATTAATTGAAAAGATGGTGGGTTGATGAGCAAATCAGTTTGAAACAGAAGACTAAGTTTCCTCTTTTCCAAATAGCCCAGAGATGAAATAATACCTCACTTCTGCCCCCAAAATCCTTGGACAATGACAAAATGGTCTAGTTAACTTTTACATAGGTGCCAGATACTTCAATAAACATTTATTTGAAGAATGTTAAGGCATCTCTGTGTGTTTCCTCATTTATAAAACAAAGGGTAATGACTAGATTGTGCTAAAGTAGTTGGTTGTGACTTGTTTAAGCCAATCCACCAGGAAATAAGGAATCTACACCTCAGAATATAAATAAAGCAGTACTTCATCAAGAAAGCTTTCCTTTTCATCTAGGGAAAGGAAATAATAGTGTGATCGATGAAGATGATTTCTAGTTTCCTTTTTAATTCTAAGTATGATTATTTGATTGATAGTAGTTTATGAGGCTTTCTAATTTTGTAAAAGTTCTAAATGTCAGAAGTTTTGCTATAATTTGCATAGCCCTTATCGCATAAAAGCTGTTCCTGTTAATTTTTTCAGATTTCTTAAAGTGCTTTGATTCTTTATAGGTTGTCATTGTTAAAAATTTTGTTTCTTCTAGTCTTTCACATATCAATGCTGTCATCATCATGTAAGTCATCTTTGCAGAAGTGGAAAGCAGGGAGAAGACCTAAATTAGACTAAAGTAGAGACAATGAAGTACATTATCATTTCTGTGCCCTGATGGCACAGGGAAGGCAGTTGCAAGAACATTAGATTAGTTGATAAATTACAGAACCTGGAAAATCGGTACATCTCTATTTTGCTTAACTAACTACATTGTTCCAAGTGTTTCCTGGGGATGTGTATAAGGGAAAGGAAGTTCGTCCTCAACATATCTTCATTGATAACCTTCTGAATTGCCTTTTCCTTCCTCTTAGATGAGTAGTTGATATTTTTCTTCTCAATCCAAACCTCTTTGTTTAAATGGTTGTCACATTACAGTATTCTGTTGGAAAGAATTAGAGTCAACATATGATTACACAATGTTTCCACCAAAGTAAGTGAGGGGAAAAAACAATAAAATAGTTGATGTATGTTTTAGTGCAAGATATTTTTTAAATGTGCCTTCAAACCCTCTCCAGCCAACTCACTGGCCTGCAAATTACCCTAGGAACTTTTTTAAATGCTGGATACAATTTTATAGAAATAGCATAGAATAATTTTCATTGATTATTCAATGGGGCTGGAGAAGAAGTTAGAGGTATATGACCTTTTAAAAACTCCACAGATGATAGTGCAGTGAAACTGCTAATCATGGTTTTAGAAAGGACTTCATATACTTAGTTCTTTAGCCCAACTACATATTCAATTCTTAAACTAATCAGCAACACCCTATCAAGCTTGACGCCACATGATTAGACCCCCTTAGTGACAGTAAACTCACTTTCCAAAGCAAACTGTTTCAACTTTAGAGAATTCAGAGTATAAGAAATCACTCCAAAATTAGTCTCATGGCAGCTTCCAAAATTGGTCTCATGTCTTTCCAGTGGAGCTATTTAAAACAAATTCAATTCACTTTACCCAAGATGGTCTTTCAAATATTTCAAGTAAATTTTAAGAGACCCTATTCCAGGCCCAAAGCTTCATTTCTTAGCCTATTTTCTTGTGGCCCTCTGAACATGCTACAGTAGAGCTGCATTTTTTTTTTTTTTTTTTTTTGAGACAGAGTTTTGCTCTTATTGACCAGGCTGGAGTGCAATGGCACGAATTCAGCTCACCGCAACCTCCACCCCCTAGGTTCAAGTGATTCTCCTGCCTCCGCCTCCCGAGTAGCTGGGAATACAGGCATGCACCAACAGGCGCGGCTAATTTTGTATTTTTAGTAGAGACAGGGTTTCTCCATGTTGGTCAGGCTGGTCTCGAACTCCTGACCTCAGGTGATCCACCCGCCTCAGCCTCCCAAGTGCTGGGATTACAGGCATGAGCCACCGCACCTAGCCCAGAGCTGCTTGTAAAAGCCATCCTTAAAATAGGCGAAATCCTTCATATGAAATCTCAGAAACTAGATCAAAACTATTTTCTCTCAATATAGATGCTGTGTTTCAATAAATACGTTTTGACTATTTGCCATTTGAACTATTCTTTGTGGAATCTATATCACAAAAATAGCCCACCTTTAATTTGAATAACCTAAAATTTCTAAATTGACATGCCATGTTTTACAAATTTATACTTGCTGCTAACTTTGGCCCTAACAGAAGAATGTTCTATTGATCACTAGAAATATCTATCCTATTGGAATTGATTTATTGTCATCACTTACCACCAGGTTTTATTTTGATTCTCACATCATTTGTAGTCACTGCTCATCTCTGCTTCTGTGCTGCCCCTGTATTCATCCACATCATCCATGAAAATGCTCTAGAGAAGCAAGACAAGGATAGAGCTATGTCACTGACAATAAGATTGTCTTCCAGGCTCTTATGGGTTCATTGATTCAGTGGTGCTGATTAGTATCCTCAGAGCATGTTTCTTCCACAGTTGCTAATTTCTTTAGTTGTATTATACTAGTTTCAGGTTCATATTTCTCCACTACTTTCAGATGAACACAACAAGAACCTCTTTCCAAATATTTGGGTCCAAATATTCTAAGCTTACCATATTATCCTGACAAACCTTCCTGTGGGAAAAACAAATGAGGCCAGTGTGACCTAAAGTGGTTCTACTAACCTTTGATGTTCTTGGTAAGTGCTGTTTTTCGCTCACAGTATACTGAACCATCCTTTTAATAGTCTGCCCTAGAATCTTGCCCAAATTTAATGACAAAAATCAATCCATCAACATCAGGCATGCCTAGACTCTCCCCATGTTTCTTACAGAGTTTACTATATTTTATTATAATTGTTTATAGATATGTTACCAAAGGCAAGAACTGCATCTAAGGACAGTGCCTGGCATATGAAATATCTGTTGAATGAATACGTTAAAATCCTTCTCACATTTTTTAGCAATTAAAATTAAAGGCATTGCAAGGATTTTAGATGATAGGAATGGTAGACAAACTCTAAGATGATGCCCATGTGCGTGCCTTCTGATATTTACACCTTTGATTAGCCTTCCTTTTGAGTGTGAGTAGGACCTGTGCCTTGCTTCTAACTAGTTGAATACAGCAAAGGTGATGGGATGCATGGGATTATAAGTACATGATTACATTAAACAACATGGTAATGCTCATCTTGGGAAGTGAGTCCTTCTTCCTTGCTGGTTTTGAAAGGGTAAGAAGCCATGTTGGAAAGAAATACATGGCCAAGAAACTGAGGGCAGCCCCACATCAACGGCCAGCAAAAAACTGAGGCCCTCAATCCAACTACCCACAAGGAACTAAATGTTGCCAAAAACTATGTGAGCTTGGAAACAAATCCTTCTTCAGGCAAACCTCAGATGAGACTATAGACCACTGACTCCCTTAATTTGAGCCTTAGTAATGACCCGCTAGCCATGCCTGGGCTTCTGACCCACAGAAGCTACATATCCAAATGATCTAGGAAGCTTTATAAGTATATACATGTTCCAACCTCAAACTTCAACTATTCTGAAAAAAGAAAAGAAAAGAAAAGAAAAGCCTTGCAGGTGATTCTGGTTGAGAACCCCTGACCTAAACTAATCAATTTTAATACAAAAATTAAAAATAAAATTATGCAAGAGTAGGTAAACAAAACAAAACAAAAAGATATTCTAAATGAATAGAAAGGACAAGAAAGATATGCTCCAGAAATGGCCACGAAGGGTGTTGAGGGTGTAATTTGTACATTGTACAAATTGTACGTTCAGATTTTGCCTTTCCCTAAAGATTCCTTCAGCACGCTGTGTTGAAGTATGGCTATCAGTATTCCACTGACAAGACAGAGCTCCACATTTTTGCTATTTTGTTCACATTTATCTTAAAAATCTTGGTTTCCCTAGGGCTATCTCTGACCTCTAGCTCTCGATTCTAGAACCACCTTTCTTATCTGAGATTATAGATTTTGAGTGCATCTAGGTCATCCCTGCTTATCATGTAATATCCTTTCCTAAGGTACGCTCCTGCCTTTCTTGTAAAACAACCTTCTCTTAGGTCCCTTTTACATGCCCCCATTTTTAAACAATATCTGTGCTATGCATGTTAACTCGTCACCACCTCAACCCCCATCTTTCAATGAGTACTCTGGGAAAACGTTTTTATTATCCTGAAGCAAGAGCCTCTGAAGTTACACTGAGAAAAGTTTCAGTTATATCAATGTCTATTGCTGCAGGGGTACATTTTTCACCTAATTTCTCTGATATCTGTTCTCTTAGCTACCCTGAAGGAGATAAGCTGTTCTATTAACAAACAGGGCAGGCTATGTCTTCCTAGTTATCTCTAAACTGAACTATATTTCCACTAATTAAATTGGACTCCCTCTACTGAAGAATCAGAGCCTACACTTGAGGCTTTCTTCTAAATTTGTGTTCACTCTTTCCCTTTAAATCTTCCCATCAGCTTGCCTTGAAACTAAGATGTCCCCCTCAAACCTCTGCTTGTTCTCTTTGTCCAAAGACTTATATATGCCTCAAAGTTGTGGTTAGACTCAAGCTTGTCTCTAAAAGGATATATCCAGTACATCACTTTTTTTCGGATAATTCTAACTTTTCCTTTAGCCTTTTGGAAAACTTTCTAACTTTCCTTTATCTCTCCATTTCTACTGGGAAGAGAAAACTGCTTTCTGCTGCTGATGGTTTAAAAAATAATAATTTCTTATTAAAAATAGTCATGCGTAGCTATGCAACACATTTTAGAACAGCCTACCAGGCCAAATATATAGAAACAATCTTACAATAAGTAAAAGTAAGTTACAGATCAGATTTGCATTTCGAATAAGTTCATTTAACAAGTTAAAGCCTTCTAATCCCAGACTACGGAGGATGTAAAGTATAGACACCCTTTACCAGCGCAATAACAATGACCCCTAGAACTACTAGCCTATCTATTTACCCAGCAAGAAAAAACAGGCATGCATTAAGAGTAAGTGGGAACACGAGGATTTGTATCCCTTGCTTCCCCTTCTCTATCCTTCAGGTGACCCCAAGAGTCACACTGCCGGTAGCATTTCTATCACAATAAGACTGCTACTGCTCCATGAATGTGGCCTACATGGAAAAAATTAGAGATCTGCACCCTAATAGCAAAACAAATCCAATTATGTACCAGCAATTTTAATGCCTTTCCAAGATTGAAGTAGCTCACTAAACCTCAGAGAGTAAGGATCCAGGGAGCATGTTTATTTATTTATACCATGCCTCCCTCCAAATAGGATTTGAAGCAGTTCAGTGAGCCTGTTAATAATGCTTATTCTCAAAACCCTATTTACTGTGTTGTGCTGCAGCAGATATCATTACCCCTGTTTGCTCTTAGAAAACCTGACTCTGGGGAGGGTAGTTTGTTTATTGTGGGATTTTCTGAAATTCAGAAGGGATCTTGAGGTCTGACAAAAAAAAAAAAAAAAAAACTCCCATGGGATATGTGAGAAGAAGGGAAGGAAAGAACCCAAACATTGGGGTGGAACCACCCTGGTAGGGGAGGGCAAGAGGAACCGAACCAACAAGGTTCTAGGATTCCCAGGATAGTGCTGATCATAGAGATCAGGGCCCACAGGGGGTCCTAGCCAGGAAATGGGACTTGGAAAATTATTGAAGAATTGTGCTCCTGACACCAGAGAATGTTGCCTATGTATTCAATTATTAATTTTTTCTTTTTGATATTTGTGATTAGGGCACTGTGGAGTTTGGAAACTTCTGCTGCCTAGAAATGACTATTTTCCATGTTTCTGGGTGGGAATTCAGGTGGAGAGAGAAAAGGCATTGCTGAGGGCTCACCAGGCATCACATATTGTGATGGGTATTTTGCATATAGAGTTTCAACAGATCCCAATAAGAAATCTGCAAAATTGGAGTTATTGTTCCCCTTTTGTAGATGAGGAAACTGATGCAGAGAGAGAGCCAATTCATCAGAGGCAGCTAATAACTGACAAAGCTGAAAGTAGAATATTTAAAAATAAAGGATCTAGATAAGACCTTTGTGTAAGAGAAAAACTTCTGAGTGATTTCTTACACTGTGCTCAGCATATAGTAGGCACAAGGCTATAGTGTCTGCTTGCAAAATTGACACAAAAATATAAAAATAAGCCATTCAATAGATATTGACTGAGTGCCTACTATGTGCCAGACACTATGAATCAACATAGAATAAATTCTACACTAAAATTACAATTAGAATGTAAATCGGCTTTAATCTATGAAAATGAAATTAGGCCAGCAGGGAGTCTATCAAATGAGACTATTAAAATACATCCCATAAGAGGAAGAGCAAGCAGGAAAAAATCAGGCGAAGGGACGATGAGATAATGTAATTTTAAAATTGGCTCTTGTTCTCCTGAAATACTTTTAAGATATTACTGCAAAATTACACAGTCAACAGGAATATGTCATTTTTAAAAGACTTTCTCACTCAGGTCAGTGCATAAATAATAATATGTTTTTTAAAATGTATGACTATTCATTAAACCATTGACCACTTCCAGCCTATTAAGTATGTAAGTATTTTAAAAATTACTTTAATACATATTTACCCAATAGACCAGAAAAGTTCCTTTGGTCCACGATGTGCATTTTAAAAGCTGCCTACACAAGGAGTTATCTGATTGAAGCTAGAGCCTGCTGCCAACTACATAATACGCATTTTAAAGAACAACCTAATTATGTGCTTACCCAAGAGAACAAAGTTAATACTGAGGGTCAATAGTTATTACCTTCCTTTACCATCTTTTATTCTTTTCTGTCAAATAAAATGGGAGGGGAAGTTTATGTCTGCTCTCTTATCTATTTTCTCTTGACAACTCATGTTCCAATGTTTTTTTCACCCCTACCTTCAAAAAAACAAAATAAAGGAAGGAAGGAAGGAAAGAAAGAAGGGAGGAAGGAAGAGAAGGAGGAAGGGAGCATGGGAGTAAGGAAAGGAGGTAGAGAAAGAAGGTGGCAAGAAGGAAGGAGAGAAAGGCAAAAAAAAAAACAAACATATAATTAAAAGTGAGTGCCTGGCTTATAACAAACAGGAAAGATCAAAATTCCATCCCTTTATATTATTTTATCTGAAAGATCAAAAGTC
Source organism: Homo sapiens (assembly GCF_000001405.40). Classification (NCBI taxonomy): domain Eukaryota; kingdom Metazoa; phylum Chordata; class Mammalia; order Primates; family Hominidae; genus Homo; species Homo sapiens. The sequence continues at coordinate 67,194,910 of NC_000004.12, forward strand.
CACTTCTTAATTTATATTATTTTCTCTTTTCTAACAGTTTAACCTATATACTCCTTATTTCCAAAATTATCTAGTGTCCTCTGTTTATTGGAAATATTACCTTTCCCCATTTTCCTTGGTAAGACAGAATGATATAGGTTCCTTTCTTCACTTGCACAAAACAAAAATTCTATGTTATTTAAGTCATTGAGTCTGTTTCCAATGGCACAATATAAAGGGTTTCTCAGCAGAAAATCCATTCTCGTGCATACAAATATAAAATCAAAAACTGTATTTTCTACCTGGCACAATGGCTCATGCCCATAATCCCAGCACTTTGGGAGGCCAAGGCAGATGGATCACTTGAGGTCAGGTGTTTGAGACCAACCTGGTCGACATGATGAAACCCAGACTGTACTAAGAATACAAAGATTAGCAGGGCATGGTGGCATGTGCATCTAATCCCAGCTACTCAGGAGGCTGAGGCAGGAGAATCACTTGAACCCAGGAAACAGAGGTTGCAGTGAGCCACTGCACTGTCTCCTGGGTGACAGAGCGCAACACCATCTCAAAAAAAAAAAACAAAAAAAAAACTGTATTTTCAACAGGCAGACTGACAGGCTTACTAGTTTCTCTGCTTAGTGTCCTCATTTTGCCACACTGGCAGTAGCAATACCACCCCACCTTTGAAAGGGACCTAATAGACCAACAGAACAAGGTTGGCAGTTTCCCCATAGGGATATTTCCCCTTAACTTTTGGTGATGTATAACTACCTATTTAGCTCTAATGAATATAGCCAAAATGGAAATATCACCTCTTATTTAAGTAGTAGATGTCAGCTCCTCATGAAACAGTAAGTTACGGCTGTGAATACCGATGGCTGCCATATACGCTACTCATAAAAGTTATCCTCTATCACTCCCAGCTCTGATAGCAGACTTAAGGGTGACATTTATTTTATTTAAAAAAATCATTTTGAACAAAGATTTACTTCCTCTCTTTACCACCACTTCCCCATCACTTAAGTCAATTACATTCTGTCTCCAAAAAAATCAGAAATCTTTCACTAGTTCTAACCGAATCTAAAGACGTCCTCCTATTCTAAATGTGTTTATTTTAATCAGTCTCATAAGATGCATTCAGGTTTAAAGATGGATTAAAAATACCAGAGTCAAGGTTATTTTTTAATTCATCTCAATAATTTATCATTTCTATGCTTTATTTTGTAATCATTATTGTATACCTGAAGAATATCCCAGAGATCCAAAAGCTGATGGGAATTTCTTAAATAAACTTGGCAATTTTATAGAGAAAGGAAGAAGTCTTAGAAACTAAGTGGACTTTAATTAAAGAAAAGTTGGTTTACTCTCAGCATGGTAATTAAAATATAATTAATATTTAAAGAAAAAATTCTAATACAAAAAATATGTTTGAACTTCTCCATGACTGTACTAATGAGCTCAATGACTCACCTTACTGTACCCATGTTTCCTACTCTCCAGTTGACAAGAACAACAAATATAATTGTAAACATTTTGTAAAAATAAAATCATTATTTTGTATTTAATGCATATAGATATGTAGCAAAAAAAAAAACTAGATAAAATTTAAAAATAATGAACGCCATTATAAATCTAAACCGCAAGATTCTGACACCACCACCTCTTTTTTTTTGTGATGGAGTTTCGCTCTGTCACACAGGTTGGAGAGCAATGGCCTGATCTTGGCTCACTACAACCTCCACCTCCCGGGTTCAAGTGATTCTCCTGCTTCAGTCTCCTGAGTAGTAGGGATTACAGATGCGCATCACCATACCCGGCTAATATTTTGTATTTTTAGTAAAGATGGGGTTACTAAATGTTAGCCAAGCTGGTCTCGAACTCCTGACCTCGTGATCCGCCCACTTCGGCCTCCCAAAGGGCTGGGATTACAGGCGTGAGCCACCGCACCCAGCTTGCCACCACCTCTTAATTACATATTACATATATTAGTTTTTTATAGACATACCATTCTCTATCAATAGTAAACTCTACTAGGGGGTCAGATTTATTTTCTCATTTAGTAATAGATCCAAGATGCCAACTAAAAGTTAGACCAAACTGGAAAGAAAATGTAAAGTCTTCAGTCTCCTTGTTGTGTTTGTTATTTTTTTAAGTCTTTGAGAAATACACCAATACCTGTTGGTTTACAGGCATATTCTCCTTTGTTTCTAATAAGTTTTAAAATAAATTTTGCATTTTTATCAAATTAATTTGAGCCATAATTGAACTCAGTTTGACAAAGGAAACACATCAGAATCTACTTGAGTACATTTTCTGTCACCATCTGAGTTTAACTGGTATTAGGGCAGCCTTTCTTCTCAGTGCTCTAGATCCAAAATATGCCTTTAAGAATCAGATTAGATTCAGTTGCAAGTATATTTAAAAACTCTGTAGTCCCCATCAGATTCATCTCTCCCTTTCTTGGCACAGGTCAGCCACCTATATAAAATGGCAATGAGATACTAAACTCTTTGGTCAATTTGTTGACTCTGATTTTAAGCTAGACTCAAAAATGAGAACCAGATGTAGACGCAAAGTTCATTATCTGTCTGGCTACCACTTTCCCAGACAAATGACCTATTGACTAACTCATAGGTAAATTTCCATCAATAGCTTCAAATTCCACATAACCTCGAAGGACATTAAATCTATTCATTTATGTCTTGCTTTAGTATCCAAGTAAATGAAGCAGGATTTAGAAACTTGATTAGCTGAATCATGGTTGGTTATGGGATAAGCTTTATTACTTATTTGGTAGAATTTGCACAACACATTAAGTTTGGTAATTAATAGAATCATGTATGGTAATTTGGGCTGTTAAGAGATTTCTGTTTGGTTGTGGATAGTCAAAACTACTTGATTAAAAGATTTCATAAGCTTCCATATGTAGCTTCTAAAACAAAAGCTGATTATATATTTAGTACCTACTACTGTATATTCACTGTTTTCTACTCATATCCCAAATCAAAATCTTGTCAAAAATGAGAACAAAGAATACTTTGAATTCTTTTTAGAAGAAGGTAAGATTTTGGAAAAAGGTGAGTTTTGGATAGCCTCTCAGCATTTCTGGGATTGCTGCTTGTGCATTTTTTTACTGCTGACAAGATCCCTAATAGAACTAGAATTGTTTCAAACGAGATTGTGCAATTTAGCTTTGCATCCTTTTCTCTAGACCTATAAGTGTGATAGTAACTGATTCTCTTTTGTATGGCTCTAGAGGTAAAATTTATAGATTAGTGGACTTGGATTTGATACCTCACAAAGGGTTGGGGAAAGACAAGAACTAAAGAGCAGTTCACTGTGTCCTATGTCAAAGAAACCCTGAATGCAATGAGGAAAGGGAGGAAAAAGAGTTTCATAGATCAGACTCTAAAATAGAAAAGGAGAGTGAATGCATTAAGGTTCAAAGGTTATAACTTGACAACAACCTAATATGGCAGTCTTATAATGGGAAGGGATCTGATCTATAAATTGTAATCCTATCTCTCTGTCTATCCCACTGCATGATCTTGGGACTCAATTTTCTAATCTAAAAATGAGAATATTGAAGTTCTTGGTCTGTAAGTGTCATTCTAGCTGTAAAATTATCTAATCTGACCTGAAACAGGAGACTGAGTCCAGTTGTGAAGTAGGTAAAATTTCTGGCCTACAATCTCCCTACCAGTCTACATTTCCTTCCTCTTAGCACATTTCCTGCTGATCTCTTCAACCTCCAGGTCTTGTCCAGGATAAATAGTTTCCCTCTTGGGGCAGTAAAACTGTCTGGCAATTAATGCAATGTAGTTGACTAATAATAAAGATGTTAGCTGATGATGGCTAAATGAATGACCCTTCCCACAAGTAATAGCATTTTAAACATAAATGGATTCTCAAAGACTAAAAAACCATGACCCAAAAGACTGAAATTATAATGATGAACTGAGAGGAAGTAGACTTAATCTTTTGTGCATAAGTAATCATCTACCCTGCTTACTCATAAAGCTGTCCGGACTGCTTTGTCTAGAGTGAGAAGTTCAAGGTAGAAGTTGAAACAACGCCACAGTGTGGTGGTTAATAGCACAGACATTGAAAGCAGAGTTGGATTTAAGTCCCTGCTGTATCATTTCATAATTGCTTGAGTTTTAACAAGTTACTAACCTATCTAATCTTAAGTTTTCTTATCTATAAAATAGGATAATAATGTCTATATCCCAGAATCATTTTAAAGAATGATGACAGTATAGTTGGCACATAGTACACATGTAAAAACTGCTTACTATCATTATTATTACCACTTATCTGGGAACATTAGTGATGAGCCTGTTTAAAAATCAAATGATGTTATTTTCACTTCCACATGTAGAGCCACAACAAGCCTTGCTGTTTTATAAAATGAATATACAATATAAGATCTCTGACTATAAAATAATGACACTGGCTTAGCATCAGCAAATCAATCTGATTGTTTTATAGTTACATTTTCATAATTAATTGGCTGAATACTGGTTTACCTTGTAAGATCCATCCTTCCTATGTTCAATGGGCAACTTGCAGCCCCGCATAAATGGTGGATAATTTCCCTAAGTCTTCAAAATTATCTGTCCTATTCGATAATCTTTAAATGATGGAAATAAATTGAATTGAAATGGAAAAGGACTGACCTCATGCTATGAATCAAATAAGTACAAATGAGAAACTAATCCAAAACAGAAGCACTCTGGATTTGCACACTTTATTAGCCCTTGGTCCCTATGTCTTCTGACTACTCAATATCAACTATTGTAGCATTATTTTACTATATAAATCCTTCTATGTTTTATTCAGATCAATAGCTTTTGCCTTTAAATTTATAGATCTTGCTTGACCAAGTATTGAATAACTATGAAGCCAAGGACTGGGAAGAGCTCCCTCTGCTAATAGTGCCAAGGGGAATCCTGACAAAGTAAGCCGCCATCTACTCCTCTCCAGCTTTTCATCTTCAGAGTCCAGAGGGATCCCCAGATGCGGGGAGTAAGCCTACTCCTCTGACCTCTATACCTCCATTACTAAGGGTCAAATGAAAAGTGCCAAATCTTTACATATCCAGGTAAGAGCCATCCTCTCCTCCTGCCTGAATACTGACTAGACTGTACCAGCCTTAGGGCCATCAGGACAAATTTCATCATGCTTCTTATCACTGTTTATGTCTTTATCACAGGAAACCCAAGATTTCCTGGTCATCCTTCCCTGAACTTTCTGCTCATTTTCCCTGAGACAAACGAAACAATCCGAAGATGACTTCCAAAAGTTTTACTACTATACACACCCATCTATTTTCTGCTTATTTTCTCTTCTTTCTCTCTCATTACTATTAACTGTCTATGTTCCTAGCTAAGGTTAACTCTTCTGCTTTGCAATAGATATCATCATCTCTTGCCTGCTTGAGAGCATTTGTCCTGCTGATTTCCCCTCTCTCTTGCATTGTCAATGTTACTTTTTCCAGAATCTCTCTTTTTTTTTTGCTTCCACCACTCTAGAAATTCCTCTTACTCTTATCATTGTCAACCTGACTGTATTATTACTAATTCAATAGTAAAATTCTCAATCCTCTTGCTACTTAACCTATCAACAGCATCTGACACATTTCATTCTTTACATCTCCTTGATGTGGCTTCTACAACTCCACACTCACCTGACTTTCTCATAACTCACCAGGTACTTCTTTTAGTCTGTGTGCTAATTTCTTTTTTGTTCACCAACCTCTTGATGAAGAAGAAACCGAGGGCTCAGTCCTTGGACCTCATCTATTTTCTCTCTACATCCACTTCTTTGGTAATCTCAGTCAGATTGAAGGCTTTAAATAGTGCCTCTATGCTGATGACTCTCAGATTTAATTTCCAGCTGGGATCTAGCCTCTCAACTTCAAACTCCCACTCAACATCTCCACATGCACATCTAAAAGGCATCTCAAGGGCAGCATACCCCAACTCTCCAAATGAACTCTCAAACTCCTCCTGCCCCCTAAACCTAAAACAGTCTATCTTAGTGAAGAACAGCTTCATTTTTCCACTTGTTTAGACTGAAAACCTTGGAGTCACCCTTTACTCCTCTCTCTTTCTTGGCCTCTCACACACACGTGCATCTTGTCTTATTAAAAAACAAATCCTACCAATTCTGTCTTCAAAATATATCCAGAGTCCCATCATGTTTCACCATGTCTGCTGCTGCTTCCTTTCTGGCCCAGGCCACCATTTTTTTGCTGAGATTATTGCAATAGCCTCCTAAGTGGTCCTCCTGCTTCTTTCTGTGAATTCTCAACATTGCAGTAATAGGCATCCTAGGAAAACTTACCAGTCAGATCATATCACTCTTCTGCTCAAAACTCTCCAATATCTACCATCTCACTCATTTTAAGAACCAAGGTTTTTACAATAATGGCCTGTAAGTCCCTATAGGATGTGTGGCTGCCTGTTAACTCTCTGACTTTATCTTCTATAAACTCAATTCCCTGTGCTCCTGCCCTGCTGGGCATCTTATTCCTTCTCAGACTTGCCAGATGTGCTTCCACAACAGTGTTTGCACTCACTTCCTTAGTGGCCTGGAATGCTCTTCCCCCAGACACCAACATGACTTATGTCTTCACTTCCTCATTCATCGCGTCTGTGCAGGTATTCTCTTCTCAGGAGGGATTCCCCTGCCTGCCATATTTCAAAATGGAAGACTCAGCCCTGACTCTCTGGTCTCTTTCCCTGCTTTACTTTTCTCTGTAGCACTTTCATCATATAGCACACTACATATTTTACTTATACTCTTTTTTTTTTTTTTTTTGAGACGCAGTCTCACACTGTCACCCAGGCTGGAGTGCAGTAGCGTGATCTTGGCTCACTGCAAGCTCTGCCTCCTGGGTTCACACCATTCTCCTGCCTCAGCCTCCCGAGTAGCTGGGACTACAGGTGCCCGCCACCACGCCCAGCTAATATTTTGTATTTTTAGTAGAGACGGGATTTCACCAGGTTAGCCAGGATGGCCTCGATCTCCTGACCTCATGATCCGCTGACCTTGGCCTCCCAAAGTGCTGGGATTACAGGTGTGAGCCACCGTGCCCAGCCCCCATATTTTACTTATATTCTTTATTAACTCTCCCTCCCTGTTCAGACGCAAACTTTATGAGAGTGAGGATTTTTTGTTTTATTGTATTCTCTACTGTCTCAGGTTCCTAAAGCAAAGAATTTTAAAACTTGAAAAGTTCTTAGATGTTTAGAAAATAGGCAACATACTCAATTACAGTGTTGTTATAATAATAATAATAATGAACATTGTAATGCTTACTGTGTGTCAATCACTACTTTAATGGTTTTTCTATGTCTGTCTATTCATAAAATTAGCTCATTTAACCCTCACAATTAACCTATAAAGTAGAAAATACTTTTGTCCACATTTTATAAATAAAGAAATTAAGTCCCAGAGAGGTTAATGATGAGGCTTAGGACATGCTACCCCAAAATATGGCACCTTGGTATTTGAGAAAACAGCAAAAGCAGAAAGGTCACTCTCACCTTCCCCTCATCACTTCTCCCATAAAGCAGGCCATAAAACCTAACTGACCTTCCCCATAAGACCCTATACATGGAGGAAAAGAACATTCTTATCTCTGAAGACACTGAGACCCAGAAAAGAATCTGAGCAAACAGGCTTTGCTAAGTTTCCCCAGTCTATCACCATTAGATCATACTTGTCCTCGCATACTTCTCCACAACTATCAACTTTATCAAACAGCATAGAAATACACAGGTTTCCCTGTTTCTTTGGGTCTTCATTTCTGAAGCCTTCTGTGTCCTGTAACACTTATATTGAATAATTGTTATGCTTATCTCTTGTTAATCTGTCCTTTGTTTTACAGACCTCAGCCACGAACCTAGCAACATACATTTAAAAACACGCTCAAGATTACACTGTATATGGAAAATCAAAATTTGGATCTGGAATTTATGCTTAACTTCTCTAGGCTCTGTTTCCTCTGTTAAAATTGAGAAAAAAAGATATTTGCAGGATTGTGGCGAGAATTATATATAATATATTGAGGGTATAAAGACAACAGCACAGTGTCTAACTCTGGGATGTCAGTACATGGAAGCAATAATTATGCTGCAACTGCTAAACATACAGAGTAAAATTTGATACAAGGAATCTGAAAATACCTTTCTAAATAGAAGTGCTATGTTATTCAGTCTCCCAATTTGTGTTTTGTTTGGTGGAGCCATATTTAAGAGAGGCCTTCAAAATCACACAAATAAAAATTAGTCTTTCTGCTCTTTGGAAAAAAATTAATTGGAGTTCATTTTTGTTATTGTTTTCTTAGCTTAGTGGCTGTATTATGCAAGTCTGTATCAATATACACACAGTCTAACAATGCAGGCATATTTTCAAGTGAAAGGGGGTAGATTTTGTAAACCACTCAGTATTTGTTTCGTTAGTCCAAGACTCTAACCTTCTCTTCATTCAAGCTTGCAGAGTTCCAATATAAAGAAATCTTTAAACCCCATGCTGCTGACTGGCATGAGCTCTGTTCTGGTACCATAGAGGAGCCAGACATAAGGCTCCAGACAGGGACCCTGAAATGAAGTAGGTAGATTGATGTCCCCATTTGTGATCCAGTGCCCCAAAATAACTTCACAGCATGAGTGACTGTGTGAGGGCCCTACTGAATTTGTATTCTAGAACAGACTAAAAGGTCAACATGCATGTATATTTACAAAGGAATTGGTATTTGCTAATCAGTTAGGGGAAATGTTTCTTCCTTTGTAGCAATTTCTCAAAAAAAAAGCTTCTTAAAGAGAGCATCTCATCTCTTTTTCTGTAGAAAGCCTGCAGTCAGTCTTAGAAAACTCTCACAAATTACACTTCTGTATTTTCTGAAATACTTAGGACAAAACGTGGTCAAACTGATAGTCTACTCATGCTACAATCTTATAACCAAGATTAAGATGCAATGTCAAATAGTAAGTTTTTCATATCCATTAAAGGGGGAAAATGTGCATACTTGTTTTGAAGCCATATTGTTGTATAAATTCCCTAGACTGGCAAATATTCTTTAGTTGCAAACTATGGGTGGAGCATGTCAGTTTCACATGTGACAATAATTGTCAACCACCTTTATCAGAATAGAGATTATACCGCTATACAATTCCTCTGATAGTAAGAATGAGTAAAGTGATCTTCTATCTCCAATCCCCAATTCTATAGACATAAACTTATTTGTCATGTTATCCTGGCTTAATTAGTTCTGAAAACATTTGTTAGCATGACTCTTATAGAGATATCTAGAAAAATACATTAATAATGAAAACACTCCTTTTGAAAATATAAAATCAGAGTTGCTTAGTAGCCCTCCATCTCCTTTTCAGGCTATGCTGTCTGATAGACTGCTTCTCCAGAATCCATGTCCTTTACATCAGGTAACTCTTCCAGTCACCAAACAGCACTTGCACCTGACAAAGTGATGGAATTGCTGGGCCTCACAGCTTCTCTGCCTCTATTCACTCCACTGCTCAGTTTGTTGTGATCACTACATCTCCCTTTCTCAGTCAACCCTCTCTCATAACCCTTTAAAATTTCACACTAGAGATTATTTTACATAGAGTATAGTTCTAATTTTGTGAGTTCTAACAACATAGAATAGAATCCCTTAATGCCTTTAATCACTTAATCCCTGTGACACCCCCACTTCCAGGAATATCTGATTACCTCCATGATTTATGTCTTCTTGCAAAGCTTAACCACAGTAGCTGGCACTTCCTCATCTGGCCTCAGCCCCCTGCTGTTTTATTTCTTCTTCAGTTACTACTCTCAGTATTCATTCTCATCCACTACTTTACAAATATTACTCAATAAATATCAGTTTAATTAAGTTGGGTTTTTTCTTATTATTTTAGTAACTTTGGATTCTAAATGTGCTTCTGGGTATAAAGTGAGCTTTGGTTTTATACATGAGTGCCTTGGGAATTTATTGAAGGGATAATTAACGCATATTTGAGTTTGTGGAGAAAAACTAGAATGGGTAATTTGGAGGTAAAGATAAAAAGATGACAGAAACATCACCTAGTTAAGACAAAGGTAATACTAGGATGAATCTGAGAGATCTATCAACCCAAACAAGTATAATAAAAACAATGTTTAGCTTACAATACGCATAGAATGTGAACTCCAGTGGATAATGGTGATGGGCAAGGCAGCAAGGTAAATGAAGCAACTATTACACATGGACAAAAGATCAATCAGTAAAGAGGGTTGGTATGAGGTCATAGCTGCAGTTAACACTTGTAATTCAGCCACAATGATATTCTGTCATGAGGAAAATACAATAAGTTTAAAGATTTGCCATCTAATAAGATGTTTTTATTAGTGGAGCATAAACACAATGTTGTATCAAATGATGGATTAGTACTCAAAGAATGAGAGTTGAAATAATTTTTTTTTCAGATAGTTTCACTCTGTTGCCCAGGCTGGAGTGCAGTGGCACGATCTTGGCTCACTGCAACCTCCACCTCCCAGGTTCAAGTGATTCTTATGCCTCAGCCTCTCCACTATCTGGGATTACAGGTTTGTGCCACCACACCCAGCTAATTTTTTGTCTTTTTAGTAGACATAGGGTTTCATCATGTTGGACAGGCTAGTCTTGAACTCCTGACCTCAAGTGATCCGTCTGCCTCAGCCTCCCAAAGTGCTGGGATTAAAAGTGTGGGCCACTGCACCTGGCCTGAAATAAATTTTTATTTGATAATGTATCCATATATTTTTATTGCCTGAATCCTGTAGTTTTACTGAGTAGTTTTTTGAGGAAATGGAAGAACTAGTTATCTCATCCCTTAGATTAACAAAAATTATAGGAAAAAAAAGCTCATGAGAATATTTAAACAATAATTTGTGTACATTACTATTATAATCCTATTGACCCATAAAGATGTGCACGTACTTATTACACATGCACACACACACACACACACACACACACACGCACGCATGGCCATAACTGTGCCCTGGCCAGACTTTACCTGCCCATAGGTCTCAGAGCCCAATTCCTCACCTCCAATGTGAAGAACTAGATATGGGGGCAGGAATGTAGATAGCAGGGGCTTGGGGCAACAAGAATGTGTGCACTGCTAGTGGTGTGTACAATGTAGCTGCAGGGAAGTGAGTGAGCAAAAACATGGGTGTGTGCACACAACCAGCATGGCTGCCATGTAGAATTCTTCAGGTTCTACAATATTAAGAAAATTTACTTAAGAAAGGAAATCTTTTCTAATTCAAAAAAAGGTATTAAATGGATTAATGGTGTCCCTCCTTCTGAAGCTAAACCTAGAAATATAACACTATATAAGAAGAGGCAGAAAAAAACATACCTACAAGAGAAGCAGAAAAATCAGGAACCAGCTCACAAAATGGACTTAAGACTAGAAGAAAAATGGAATGCAAGTTGAAGACAGAGTTAGTAAACTATAGACAGAAAACGTGGAGCAGAGAAGGGATAATTGGGTGCCACTGAAGAATGTAGTGGTCTGCTGCCACTTTCCCTGATTGCTTGTGTTCAGATCCCTGGGCAGCCACTTACTAAATGGTACTTGTATTAGCCTGTTCTCACACTTCTATGAACAACTTCTGGAGACTGGGTGATTTATAAGGAAAGAGGTTTAGGCCAGGCGCAGTGTGCTCATGCCTGTAATCCCAGCACTTTGGGAGGCCAAGGTGGGTGGATCACGAGGTCAGGAGTTCAAGACCAGCCTGGCCAAGATGGTGAAATCTCGTCTCTACTAAAAACACAAAAATTAGCTGGGCATGGTGGCATGCACCTGTAATCCTAGCTGCTCAGGAGGCTGAGGCAGGAGAATCCCTTGAACCCAGGAGGTGGGGGTTGCAGTGAGCCGAGATCGTGCCATTGCTCTCCAGCCTGGGCAACAAGAGCGAAACTCCGTCAAAAAAAAAAAAAAAAGAAAGAAAGAAAGGAAAGAGGTGTAATTGACTCACAGTTCTGCATGGCGGAGGAGGCCTCAGGAAACTTACAATCATGGCGAAAGGGGGAGCAGACACCTTCTTCACAAGAAGGCAGGAGGAGAGACGAGTGTGTGAGAGTGCAGGAAAAACTACATTTGTATAACCATCAGATCTTGTGAGAATTTACTCACTATCAAGAGAACAGAATGGGGGAACCACTCCCATGATCCAATCACTTCCTTCCTTCAACATGTGGGGATCACAATTTGAGATGAGATTTGCGTGGGACACAGAGCCAAACTATATTAGTGCCCATGGTCAAGTCATTTAAACTGCAAGTGCCTGGATTTCCTCGTCTGCAAATTAAGATCATGACACTACACTTGTCATAAGTTTTGTGTATGTAAGTACATTAAATAAAGAAACAAGTCTAAAGCACATAGTAATAATAAACATTCAATAAATGTTGTTATCATTAATGTTAGTCTTATTATTATTCACAAATGGTTTGGTAACAGGTTCTCAAAGCCATAAATTGCTCTGCACCAAAGCCTCTTCCCTGACTTACCTCCATGACATGAGAAATCAGTAAAGGCAGTATCACATCCCTTCCAAATCTGTATGTCCAGTGGGATCTTCTAGCAGGACCAGAGAGCAGTGGAAGGACAGGGCCAACATAAAAATGGTGCCCAGAAGAAAGCTCTCTGCTCGTTTCCATCTCTTCCATTTTCCAAGTCAGCAGGCAAAGGATAGTATCCAAAAATATGAAGCCACTTGTCTAGGAATATGGCCAGGTGGATAAAAGTGAGTACATGGTGTGCAATTAATCATGCACAGTATTGTGGAGTTACATACATTACTAAGAATTGCCAATAAATCTGTCAATTAAGTTATAATACCAGAATGAATTAAGGACATAAGGAAATTGTCCATAGAACCTAACATTTTCATTAAAACACAATAAAAATGTTGCCCTAAATTTTGTTTCTGGGGCAGAACTCTTTCCAGTGGTTGCATGATAATTTTTTAAAAGAAATAAAGGCCTTTTTAAGAAGCAAATAGCATGGCGTCACTGTATTCCAGACTAAACCTAAGAAAAATGTTTCTTACTTTCTATTTAGGTGATCTAAATATACTATAAATAACGCAAGAAACTTCTAGAACTCCTCTAAGCTATAATGAACCTAAAATAGAAGCAGAAGATTATGAGTAATAAACAAGCTTACCAGGACAAATGTGATGCATATCATAGCAAAACCCCCAGGGCATCAAAAATAATGATGAAACACCACATATTTGACGGGGGTGCTGCAGCAGCTGTCAGAACAGCATGGAGTATCAATACAAGCTACAGAGAAATTGTGTTTAAGTATGGTCCCCGAGCCCACTGTGCACCTAGGAGTTGTGACAGGCACTTCAAATAGCATCTTTAATGACTATTCAAATAAAGATAGAATGATTCGTGATATCCTTTCTCATTTTTTTAAATACCAAATATGAAGCCAACCCTACATAAATTCCTTTACCTTGCTGAGTGAGAAAAAATCTCTCATTATAATATACTCCCATAAATCACTCAGGATTGTGTAGTAGAAATAGCTTGGCTCTGCCTTTAATTCTGTCTCTCTCTCTCTCTCTCTGTGTGTGTGTGTGTGTGTGTGTGTGTGTGTGTGTGTGTGTGTGTGTGTGAAAGAGAGAGAGAAATAGGATTATCACCTACTTTACAAAGTCTTTGTAAGTAAAAGTAATTTGTGTCATAAGTGCTCAATGATATATATTTTCTCTAGAAATAAATGCAGTATCTATAAGCTAACATAATGTCTAACACAGAGTACTTCTTCAATGAATATTTGTATAGGAAAATGAGAAAGATGATAAAAGGATAGGGGAGAGAAAGATTAGGAAGAAGAAAAGCGAAAAGACAGAATGAAGAACTATTAGAAACATTTCCTAACACTCTGGCTAGCAGAAAAACCAGATCTTTGTGTGTTTTATCTGGTGTAGAAGCACAAAGTGTGTTGATGGAAAGGTGGTAGCTATTATCCCCACGGTTCCCTGGTGAGGTATGTGAAGATTCAACAGTTCTCCTAACTGGTTAGTGGCAGAGCTAGAATTGAATTTCAAGTAGTGTACCTACTAAATGCTTTGCCATACTTAGGTGAAAGCTTATGCATTATATCCTATTTGACCCTTTTTCTAAAACCTCTCACCAATTTGATGTGGCATCAGAGAGCAAGACACCACATATCAATGCTAATCGCTTCCATTAGGCTGAACACTTTTTTTTCTCTTCAATTGATTTCCACCATTTTTGCTCTTGTAATTTAGGAAACTTTCTGAATGCACAGTCTTCAGTCTCTTGGGTAGGAAACGTTTTGATATTTCCATGAAGTACTTTACTAATCTGCCTATATCCTTCTCAGCTTCACTGTTCACTGCTACCCATAATATTATTCCCAATCAGTGTGTCTCTTTAATGTGTTGAACCTTTAGGGTGACTGATATGGGTTACACAGTAGTGAACTAAAGTGGATATAGAAAAAAAATGAGTGTCATAAGTCAGTTTGCTCCATTATTCTAATGGCTTTTAAAACATGAAATTATTTTTGATCAAGGCGTATTGAAAGTTTGCACAGTTTAGAAGCCATTTGATTTTCACATACTCTATATTTTAACATTTAACAATGTGACAGTCTCAAAATGGCACATTGTCAACTTGAAAGTCACTTTAGAAATTCTGAGGTACTAAACTAAGTGTGGGGTAGACCATATACAATTATCTATGGAATTGTAGGGCAATGTTGGCTCTCAAGGACTTAGATGACAATATCATCATCATATGACCCATATAACTGTCACATTACTTTTCTTAAAGTGTAAACTTTTCATTAAATGTATTTTATTGAAACCAAAACATTTACAATTGAAGCTAAATTGATGAAAAACAGTAACACCCTATGATACATACAGTCTGGCTCCGTGTCCCCACCCAAATCTTATCCTGAATTGTAATTTGAATAGTAATCCCCACATGTTGAGAAAAGGACCTCGTGGAAGGTGATTAGATCACGGGGGTGGTCCTGCCATGCTGTTTCTGTGATAGTGAGTGAGTTCTCACAAGATCTAATGGTTTTATAAGGGGCTTTTCCCCGCTTCACTCTGCACTTCTCCTCCCTGACACCATGTGAAGAAGAACATATTTGCTTTCCCTTCTGCAATGATTGTAAGTTTCCTGGGGCCTCCCCAGCCCTGCAGAACTGTAAGTCAATTAAAACTATTTCCTTTAAAAATTACCTTGTCTTGAGTATTTCTTCATAGCAGTGTGAGAATAAACTAATATAGTAAATTGGTACCAGTTAGTGGGGCACTGCTGTAAAGATACCCAATATGTGGAAGCAACTTTGGAACTGCATAGCAGGCAGAGGTTGGAACAGTTTGGAGGGTTCAGAAGAAGACAGGGAGATGTGAGAAAGCTTGGAACTTCCTAGAGACTTGTTGAGTGGCTTTGACCAAAATGCTGACAGTGATATGGACAGCGAAGTCCAGACAGTGGTAGTCTCAGAAGGAGATGCAGAACTTGCTGGGAACCGAATAAAGGTTACTCTTGCTATGCTTTAGCAAAGAGACTGGTGGCATTTTGCCCCTGCCCTAGAGGTCTGTGGAACTTTGAGTTTGAGAGAGATGATTTAGGGTATCTGGCTGAAGAAATTTCTAATCAGCAAGGCATTCAAGAGGTGATGTGAGTGCTATTAAAAGCATTCAGTTTCATGTATTCACAAAGATATGATTTGGAATTGGAACTTATGTTGAAAAGGGAAGCAAAGCATAAAAGTTTGAAAACTTTGCAGCCTGATCGATGTGATAGGAGAGAAAAACCTGTTTTCTGAGGAAAAATTCAATCTGGCTGCAGAAATTGCATAATTAATGAGGAGTCAAATGTTAATTGCGAATACAATGAGGAAAATGCCTCCATAGCATGTCAGAGACATTCCAGCAGCCCCTCCCATCACAGACCCAGAGACCTAGAAGGAAAGAATTGTTTGGTGGGCTGGGTCCTAGGGCCACCCTGCTGTTTGCAGCCTAGAGACTTAGTGACCTGCATCTCGGCTGCTCCAGCAATGGCTAAAAGGGGCCAAGGTACAGTTCATATCATGGTTTCAGAGGGTGCAAGCCCAAAGCCTTGGCAGCTTCCATGTGGTGTTGAGCCTGCAGGTGCACAGAAGTCAAGAATTGAGATTTGGGAACCTCCACCTAGATTTCAGAGGATGTATGAAAATGCCTGAATGTTCAGATAGAAGTTTGCTGCAGTGGTGGGGCCCTCATGGAGAACTTCTGCTAGGGCAGTGCAAAGGGGAAATGTGAGGTCAGAGCTCCCACACAGAGTCCCCACTGGGGCACTGCCTAGTGGAGCTGTGAGAAACAGTCCACTGTCCTCCAGATGCCAGAATGGTAGATCCCTGAAAGTCTGTACCATGCACCTGAAAAAGCTGCAGACACTCAACATCAGCCCTTGAAAACAGTCAGGGGTGGAGGGGGTGGGGGGGTGGTGTGGGCTTTGCTGTATGCTGCAAAACCACAGGGGTGGAGCTACCCAACGATGTGAGAGCCCACCTCTTGCATCAATGTGTCCTGGATGTGAGACATGGAAGCAAAAGAGATTTTTTGGAGCTTTAAGATTGAATTATTGCCTCATTGGATTTTAGACTTGCATGGAGCCTGTAGCCCCTTTATATTGGCCATTTTTTCCCATTTGGAGTAGGTGTATTTACCCAATGCCTGTGCCTCCACTGTATCTAGAAAGTAACTTGCTTTTATTATATAGGCTCATAGGCAGAAGGGACTTGACTTGTCTCAGATGAGGCTATGGACTTGGACTTTTGGATTAATGCTGAAATGAGTTAAGACTTTGGGGAGCTGTTGGGAAGGCACAACTGTGTTTTGAAATATGAGAAAGACAAGATTTGGGAGGGGCCAGGGGCAAAATGATATGGTCTGGCTCTGTGTCCCCACCCAAATCTCATCTTGAATTGCAATCTTAATTGTAATCGCCATATGTTGTGGGAGGGACCCCGTGGGAGGTTATTAGATCATGCGGTGGTCCCCCCATGCTATTCTCATGATAGTGAGTGACTTTTCACAAGATTTGGTGGTTTTATAAGGGACTTTTCCTCCTTTGCTCTGCTCTTCTCCTTCCTGCCATCATGTGAAGAAAGACATGTTTGCTTCCCCTTCCACCATGATTTTAAGTTTCCTGAGGCCTCTCCAGCCCTGCTGAACCATGGGTCAATTAAACCTCTTTTCTTAATAAGTTACCCAGTCTTGGTATTTATTCATAGCAGTGTGAGAATGGACTAATACACCCTATAATCTAATTCTTTAGTATTTAGTCATCCTACATGATTCAAGTTTTTATTTTGATATATCTGTCCCTTCAAAGTGAGACTTACCAATTATAGTAGCCCTACAGTGTGCTTTGATAATTACACGTTGTATACATGTATTGAAATATACACTATACCTGATAAATAGGTACAATTATGTGTCAATTAAAATCAATAATAAAAGCAAAAAAAAGTGAGATTTGCCAAAATATCTCACTTTTATGAGTTTAAGAAATTGAATTTCCCTGTTGTCATTGAAAAAGAGACAATTTACATTCTTCTAGAAAACAGAGCCAAGTGATACAAGGAAACTCAAAAGGTCAAAATGGAGAATAATAGATACAATTTAAGTTAGGAAAAGAAATGATGAAAGTGAAAAATTGAATTTTAAAATAAAGAGATGTTAGTGTATTTTTAAATGTATATGCAGAAGTGAATCAGAACACGTAGAATACAAATTAAGATAAGAGAAAATTTTGCAAACAAACTTTTGCAAACAAACCACTGCTAAACCACCAATTTTATCACTCCTGTGAACCACATTGAAAAATACCCACTCCAAACCTTGTGCCTTACAACATTTGCAATGTATCTGTCCATTTATAGGAGTTCCTCACACCAACTACAGTGCACGAATTTGAGAAGCCAGAACATTTGCTCTTTGGCAAACTGATGACCAGCTGATCCTTTCTTGCCTACAGTTCCTAAATTTTTAAGCCAACACTCTAATATAAGCCCTCAAGCCATCTATGTTCCCCATACATTCATCCTAATTCTGATAGGCACTTGTCATCTATGACACAGTCTTTCACTACTCCTCTCCAATCCCATCACACAATCTGACAGTGACTTTTCTGGGTTAAGCTTTTGTTATGTAAACCCCTGAGACCTAGATGCTGTTTGTTTCCACAATATAACCTAGCCTATCTTGACCAATATACTCCTGAGTAACAATATCTGTTATTGAGCACTCTCAAGAGCACTGTTTTCATGTATTAATTCTTATTCACCTCAGAATCTGGATCCCAGTTCAATCATCCCCTCTCTCTTCCTTATGAGCATTACTCATTTAAGGATCATGCCATTAACAATAAAACCCTTGAAAATTTTCTCTTACATGGCTGGCAATCAATCTGGATGCATTCAATATTCACAGGTATGATCAATTCACGAATTTACCAATCAGTTATATCACTGTATCACTTCAATAATCTCAATACCACCTCCACCCCACATTCCATATGCATACACACATATTTTCATCACCTGGATCAGTTTTGCCTCTGAAATATGGGATTCATTCATGTCACTTTCTGAACACAGCCCCTTATATGCCAACTTTGTTTGTTTAATCATTCTCCAATAAACCAATTCTTCAACCTCATCAGGACCCTCAGGATACTGACTCTTCTAATTTATCTCATTTTTATCTTAACGACTATTGACCTCACAGTTTTTTATCTCTGGCAATTGTAAACCTAATGATTTTGCACACTTTTGTCAGTATTCACAGTGTCTTTACTTCACTTTCCTTTCCTTTCCTACCCCCAAAAAAGCTACTTTGGATGAACAAAACTACTTGCTCTCTCTGCAGCTTCACCTCAAAAAATATGTTATCACTGGGTAGACTGATTTCACTATAAATTTATGTTTACCAATATCAACTGGATCCCCCTATACTCACTGGAAATACTAATGGTCCACTATAACTCATTGTTTCACTCTACAAAAATTCCCCATTATTCTTAAATCTCAACTTGATTCACTCTTGCCTTGTTTCTTTATCACAGAAATCCCAAGAAATCCCTTTGAATTCCCAACCACATAACCTGCTAAGCTACAAGCATCAGTAACCATATTTTCATTCATTGTTCAATCTATTGATTTTCTCCACTCTTCCTTGTATCTCCAAACTCTTCCTTTTTAGTTTTTTCCGTCAACATTTAACCATGATCATGATTCTTCCCTAGCTTATAATTACCCAAGCATAAAAGTAGTCCTCATAATTCCACCTAAAATACTTTCATCATATTCAATAATGATGTTAAATGCAAAGAACTTATACATATATCATCTTCTTTCATCATTTAACAGTATTTTTATACAGACGGCCACATTTTTCTCTTTAGCTTCTGCACCCCGCACTGTCTTGATTTTTCCCTAATGTTCCTAGCTGGATAATCTCAGCCTAATTCACAGAACCTTCTTCTATGTCCAGTTCCTTAAACCATCAGTATACCTTTAGATTTTATTCTTGGTTCAAATTCTCTACTTATTTCACACACACTTCTGTGTGATCATGTATACACACATGGCCTCTACTATCTACATAGACTATATATGAGTGATTAACACATTTACCTAGAGAACAGATTTCACTCCTAAGCTCTTGGCTAACGTAGATAAGTGCTTACCACACATCCCCACATAAGTGTTAATTGGGAAACTTAGAAACAACCTATCCAAATTATTTTTTAATAAATCAAAGTGTTTCAAGAAACAAGGAATAGAGCATATGAGGCACAAGGAATTTCCAGGTTGTTGAGTAAGGAAATGCACAGGATGAACCTGTGCAACAGACATGGAGAGGAACCTTTCCCAATTGAAATGGGAGAACAGAGGCCCAAGAAGGGATCCCAGAGAAAAACAAAGCTGATAAATATACACTACATTTAAAGAAATTTCAGAGATGTCTCACTAAATAGAGTGGGGATTAATTAGCAATAAGCACATAGAAAACAAATGACAATATTAGACTGTTATTAACTCCAGGAAAAGCAAAAAATTAACAACAGAAGAAATGTAATCATAGAACACTTCTTGAGTCATCTGTGAATATTGGTTACATAATTATAAAAATATAAATATTGACTGCTGATGTACCCAAAATTTTAATATAACTATATTGACAAAATAAGACAAAGAACAAGATGCTAATAAATTATATATAACATTGAAAAAATAAGAAATAAAAATATAAACAAAGGGTATTTATTACAATAATTAGCTAAAAAGATGTGAGCACATTATTTCAAGATAGTAAAAACCTGGAGAAGAGGGGATGGGGCAGGTGACTACTATTTTAAAATATTAGTGTACTAATACTATTTTGCTTTTTAAGTAATATATATGTACTCTTTTGATATAATTTGAAAATATTAATAAAGATTTTAAATATATGTATCTTGCTCTAGATGCGGAGGTGTGAGGTGCAAATACTACAAAAATACTAGGTAGAAAATACAAGGAAAAAGGGTGAGTTGGTAAAAAGAAGACGAAGCATGTTGCTGCATGTAAAGTGGAGAGTATTTGCCTGGTTAGTGAGTAGTTAGGAAAACTAGGAGATAAGAAAGAGAATAAAGTACATAGGAAATGGTTGCTAAGCTTGTTGAGGGTGGATAACATGTATAATTTACTGTCGATACAGTAGGTAGCCTAAAGTTATTATGAAAAGAAATACTTTACCGAAGTACATGACAAGTTGATGAAAGGACATTTAGAACAAACTTAATAATGGTACTGAATCTCCTTTGATGCTAAATGAAAACTTACTCTCTGAGTATGTTTTGAAAATGTTGGGATGAAGGATGAACCTAGAGTTGCCATATAAAAATACAGATGCCTAGTTAAATTTTAGTTTCAGATAAACAACACATTTTTATGTATGAGTGCCCCAAATATTACTTGAAATTTACTTATAATAAAAAAGTATTAATTGTTTATCTGAAATTCAAATTTAACTGGAAAACCTATATTTTTGTTTGCTAAATCCGGCAACCCAAGGATGACCTGACAGACAAATAGAAATGCAAACATTCTGGTTGAAAAATAAGAAATTACATTAACTAATGTTTTTAAATTCATTTAAGAACCTAAATTTGGCTGGACACGGTGGCTCACACCTGTAATCCCAACACCTTGCGAGGCCAAGAAGGTGGATGGTTTGAACCTAGGAGTTTAAGACCAGCCTGGGAAACATGGTGTAACCTTGTCTCTCCAGAAAAAAAAAAAAAAAGGAGTGGGGGGGAAGAAAGAGCAAAAGAAAGAGGAAAGGAAAGGAAAGAAAGAGCAAAAGAAAGGAAAGGGAAGGGAAGGGAATGGAAGGGAAGAGAAGGGGAGGGGAGGGGGAGGGGAGGGGAAGGGAGGGGGAGGGGAGGGGGGGAAGGGAGGGGGAGGGGAGGGGGAGGGGAGGGGGGAGGGGAAAGGAGGGGGGGAGGGGAAGGGAGGGAAGGGAGGGGAAGGGAGGGAAAGGAAAATTAGCTGGGAGCAGCGGCATGAACTTGTAGTCCCAGCTACTTGCCAGGGTGAGGCAGGAGGATCACTTGAGCCCAAGAGGTGGAGGATGCAGTGAGCCATGATCACGCCACTGCACTCCAGCCTGAGCAACAGAGAGAACTCCTGTCTCAAAAAAACAAAACAAACCAACAACAACAACAACACTGTAAAACTGAAAAGCAGAGTAACAGAAGTTCTGAAATTAAAACCCAGGTGTAAGAAGTCCCCTTACCCTTGTTAAATAAAAATAAATATTTTTGTAAAATAATGATGCTAGCTTCCTAACTGGGTGAACACCACCATGAAGCCACCCTCTTGCCCCATATTCAAAAGAATTAATCATCCTCCTGATACACATCTAAGTTCCTAACCAAGAGCAATTTAGAACAGAGAAATTCATTACTTCCTTGCAAATTAAACTATAAAGCAAGGGTTGGCAAACTGTGGTCTACCAGCCTGTTTTGTAAATAAAGTTGTATTAGAATACAGCCATGCCCATTTGTTTATACATTGTCTATGGCTGCTTTCTCACAAAAATGGCAGAGATGAATAATTGTGACAAAGACCTTATGGCTCACAAAGCCAAAAATATTTACTATCTGGTCCTTTACAGAAAAAAGTTTGCCAACTGCTACTCTGAAGGCTACCTTGACCAAGAGGACACAGCAGAATCAGGCAAGTGGATGTGAGTGGACCTAAAACTAAGCCTTCTTTTCAATAGCTGAAATTTTAGTGTGAATTATAATCAGCTCAGGAGAGATCAGAGTTAGGCTGAGTTAAGCAGAATTATTAAAAATCATTTGCAGACTGAGAATAGTTTATTTTTGGTCATCTTTCTTCCAATATTTTCTCTTATTGTTACAATCTACCATGTTAAGTGCTAGATTTTTACTTAAAATGTCAACTAGATCGTACACATTGTCTTCAAATTTTCAGTTTGTTTTGCTTGGAGAAGAACCTGCTTGCTGAGTTTGTGCTTAGACTTCCACCTGGCCACAGTGGCTGACACAGAAATATGGGTTTGCAGTCTTAGAATGAAAATGAGAAGTAAGACTTAAGTAAATTAACTTTGTAAATTCAACATATTTTGATAACAGCAAGCATCATATTATATCACAGATATAATTGATATTTTCAGTTTTAGCTGTTTAGTCAATTGAACTTTTAAATGCAACCTTGGAATTGAAAATTATAAAGCTGCTTATAGGATAAAAATTAGTCATTTTCTCAAAAAAAATTTGAGAAGTCTGTTCACTAAAATGTCATAGGTAATAAAATCTGTTTTCTACCAGGTAGCACAGATGTAGATGCTTTTTAAAAATTCCTATACAATAAAAGTTGATTTTTTTCCCATACATTTATCATTGGCTTATTTTCTCATTAACATATAAAAATATGCTGAAAGAGAGAACCTGTTAAATAGTTTCATCACTTAAAATTATTTTACGGAGACAGAAATTTATTCTTGAAAAAAAAGGACTTGACTTTTCTCCTTGTGAATGAGATACAATTCTCAAAAATTATATCAATATTAAAAGCATGTATTTTAAATAAACATTTTAAAATTCTAACATTTTTACTTGTTTAAAACATTTTCTTGAGATATAATTAACAAATAATACAATTCACCTAAAGTATGCAATTTAATGTTTTATACATATTCACTGTGTTATGCAGTGATCTAATTTTAGAACATTTTTGTCCGTCAAAAAAAAAATACCCATTATCAGTCATTCTTCATTCTTCTCCATTCCACCTACCCCCAGCCTCAGCTTTAGGCAACCAGTAATCTACTTTCAATATTATAGATTTGTCTGTTCTAGAAATCTCATATAAATTGAATCAGACAATATGTCTTCTTTGTGACCGTATCTTACCATGTTTTCAAATTGTATCCATTTTATCACATGCATTAGTACATTTTTTTCATTGCTGAATAATACTCCATTGTATAGTTACACCACATTTTATTTCTTCATCAGTGAATGGACATTTGGACTGCTACCACTTTTTGGGTATTATAGATAATGCTATGAACATTTATGTACATAGTTTTTGTATGGATATATGTTTTATTTATCTTAGGTGGAAACTTAAAAATGGAAGTACTAGGTCATGTGGTAACTCCATGCTTAATATTTTGAGTAAATGCCAAACTTTTTCCAATGTCACAGCACTATTATTTTAAATTCCCACCAGCAACGTGTGAGGGTTCCAGTTTCCCACATTCTCACCTATACTTATTACTGTCTTTTTATTATAGCCATCTATTGAGTATGAAACTTTAACTCATTGAGGTTTTGATGTCCATTTCTCTAATGGCTAATAGTGTTAGAGTACTGTTTCAAGTGCTTAATGGGAATTTATATATCTTCTTTAGAGAAATGTCTATTCTGACACTATACCCATTTCTCAATTAGGTTGTTGGGTCCTTTGGGTTATAAGAGCTCTATATGTGCTATATACAAGTCTCTTATCAGATATAACATGCAAATATCTTACCCCTTTCTGTAGATTATCTTTTCACTTTCTTGATGACATCATTTTCAGCACAAAAGAGTTCAACTCTGAGGTAGTCCCAATTCATTTGTTTTTTTTTTTTTTTTCTGTTGTTGTTTGTGCTTTTGCTGTTACATTTACCCTAAGGTCATGAAGATTTACTTGTATGTCATTTCTTCTGAGAGTGTTATAACTTTGTTCTTGAATTTAGGTCTGTAATCCATTTTGTGTTATTTTGTGTTTGTGCGAGGTAAGGGTTCTACTTTATTCTTCTGCATGTGGATATTCAGTTTCCCAACCCTGTTTGCTTAAAGATTATTCTTTCCTCTATTGTCTTGATAGCCTTGTCAAAAATCAACTGATCATAAATATGAGGGTTTATATCTGGACTGTCAGTTATATTCCACTGATCTATATGTCTACCCTTATGCCAGGACCACACTGTCTTGATTACTGCAGTTTTGTGGTAAATTTTGAAATCAGAAAGTGTAAATACTCCCGTATTCCTATTCAAGATTGTTTGGCTTTTCTTGAGGTCTTGCATTTTCTTAAGAATATTAGGATGATGTTGGACTACAGCTTCTTCCTTATAGAGTGGTGGCTAGGTGGGGGAAAAGATACCCAATCCTCTCAGTGCACCTACCTGCAACATGAGGCTGGAAGGAATCGGAAAAGGCAGCCTTCCCCACTAGAGATGAAACTGCAGCACCAGACTAGGAGCTGGAGAGTAAGTCCCTTGCCTTCTTGGCTGTATATACCTGAGGGAATTTCAGTATCACAGAGCTGGTGTGGAGCGGGGAGTAGTGTAAGGGAGTGAGCCATGACTCAAATCCCAACTCTTTCTGTTCTAAAAGAGATTTAGTAAGTTTTCTTAAATAAATGTTTCTCCATTCTCTGTATGCCTCCAGGATAAATTTAAAGACTTTAGAGGTTTGCTTTTTATAATTTTCACCAGTTAGAGTATTGTTTGTTAAGGAGAGTCCTACTAAGCTCCTTATCACTTTGCATAAACTTTAACAATCTGCTTGATTATTATAACATTACTGTAAGATGAGGAGTAGCAGGTATTTTTCTCATTCTTCAAATAAGGTTAAAAACGTTGAATGTAGAAATAGAAATTATGCATCTGAAAATAAAGCATATATCTCTCAACCAACTAGTTTCATCAGTTCAAGCTGCTTCTGTGTTGAAATAAGTCTGGAGAAAAAGGTCAATTAATGTAATTTGCCTTCTAAAATTCACATGATCCTGTGTCATGGTTTTGTCATGTCGATTTTTATGAAGTTGCAAAGACAGTCAGACCTAGCTAGGCAGCACTTTTGTCAAATGTTAGTAAGATATACCACTTAACTATCTTTAGTAGAACTTCTTAATAGAAAGCATGCAAGAAACAGATAAATTGGTGTTAATAGACTAGAGTTAAAATTTAGATACATTTTCTAATGATTTGTACTAGTTTATATCACACAACTTTAAAAAATGACATAGAAACCACAAATGCATACACACAGCTAAGCTAACTCATAGGGAAACCTGCCACATTTAGACAAAAAATATGTGATCAACTTAAGACAAAATTGTGATGTAGACCATTGTTTCTTCTTCTACACAGTCTTCTCCTGCTCTAATAACAATTTCATTTCTCCAGCTGCAAATGTCTGGTGGGCTTGTGATCTTATTCACAACTATTCACATCTTAGTGTGGTACCCATTCAAGTTGTCTGCATCTTTACTTAGGTTTGAGTTAAAGACTATATCTGCATAGTATCTGGCATCCTCAAGAGAGTAAGAAAGACGTTTTGGAATGCAGTGAAGCTGTCTTCTCCTACACTCTGAAATCACTCACATGTGGGTAGTTTTCTATTCTACTTACGCATAAGGATTTCTCTACAAGAAAGACATCCTTTCTGCTTGTGTAACTGAATGATTCTCCTGAATTTACAGCTTCTACCCCTCTATCAGTCATTGTGACAGCACTTCACGGCAATACAACAAGAGAGATTGAAGACAAAGACAACTGATCTGCCCACCAGTCAGATGTGATTACAGCTCTGCACATCAATGTTTAGATTATAAGGCAGTGTATACCATCTTTATCACAATCAGATGAGCCACTTACTGTTCATTGTCAGGAAAGCCTAGAAGAGAACACATAGCACCAGACACATTGTGTCATCTTTCTTTCACTGGAAAGTAAAACTGGAGGACAGAAATGAAAATTAACCAGTTTAGGGATTCAGAACTTAGCTGAATTTGTTATTTAACATCAGATATATATCACCTTTTTATTTTAGTTCTTTGAAGAAAAGATCTAGCTAAGAATACAGGGAGGGGGAGAGGACATTGCAATGCTTCTAATTTTGTTACAATTTTTGGTCATGCTCAGTGTCAGGTAGGAAATACTGAGATGCAATAGAAAGCTGTCCTTTCTTAGGTTGAATCTTCCAGAGAAAGAATAGCAAAAGGTTAACAAAATCCTGTTTGAAGCATACCTGGTTATGTAAGAGTCCCAGAAAGGAGAGTATAAAGCCAGTGGAGGACATAAATGGAGTTGATAATGCCATCTAAGTAAGTTCTATTACCCATCTTTCCAGGAATCTGCCCTAACTGTGTCATCAACAGAAGTATTATTTAAAAAATGGTAGTTTTATACAGCTCAAGTCATCTTCTTATCATGAAGTTCTAATGACAGACTTTTAATGGCAATGCAGAATAATTGTTGAGTATACATTGTACACTCCTACTTGGCTTTTTTAATTAATAGTAATAAGTAAACAATGTGATATTTTGTATGTTTTAATAATTTTAAGTCAATTAAATTTTTAGCCTAGGTTTATTTATTTATTTTGAGACAGAGTCTTGTCTGTCACCCAGACTGGAGTGCAGTGGCATGATCTCGGCTCACTGCAACCTCTACCCTCCAGGTTCAAGCAATTCTCCTGCCTCAGCCTCCCAAGTAGCTGGGACTACAGACGCACGCTGACATCTCTGGCTAATTTTTTTTGTATTTAGTAGAGACGGGGTTTCACTGTGTTGCCCAGGCTTGTCTCGAACTCCTGAGCTCAGGCAATCCACCCCCCTTGGCCTCCCAAAATGCTAGGATTACAGGAGTGAGCCACCATGCCCAGCCTAGCCTAGGCTTATGAACAATAAAATAGTCAGTACCACTTTCCATTTATTTGGCTCACATTCAAAACCTTATTCTCTTGCCTTTGCACCCTACATCTAATCCATCAGAAAGTCTTAAGAATTCCACCTTTAAAGATACCTCAATCTACCATGTCTTACCACATAGCCACCTTCACAACTTTTAGATTCTTCTAGGAGTCTCCCAGAAGATTCCACTTTTGCTTCACTTCTGGCAATTTTCTGCACAGTAACCAGAGTGAACATTTTTTTAATCAGATTATTTCGCTTTCTTACTTAAGACCTACCAATGTCTTCTCTCTTCTCAGCTTCTTCAAAGAAATTTCAAACTCTTTATGATGGCCTGAATGCCTAGTATAATCCAATCCCAATGACTTATTCTATTCAAGCCACACTGACTTCTTGCTCCACTTTGAATATGGCTTTCTCCTTAACAAAATAAGGTTTATGTTTCAAAAGAAAATACAGTGATTCAATACGACATTAAATCCTTCTATATGATAGTCCCCTTGAACAATGCCAAGTAATACCTCTTCAGGAATGAGTGGTGGGCAAAGTAATGATAAGTTCTCTTACTAGGTGTATTAGTCAGGGTTCTCTGGAGAAACAGAGCCAATGGAAGATAGATAAAGGATAGAGATAGATAGATAGATAGTCAGATAACAGAGATTTATTATAAGTTAAAGGCTCATGCAATTATAGAAGCTGAGAAGTCCCATGATCTACTGTACACAAGCTGGAAACCCAGGAAAGCCAGTAGTGTAGGTCAAAGGCCTTAAAGCTGGAGGGCCACGGTGTAGAGTCCAGTCTGAGCCTGAAGGCCTGAGAACCAGGAGTACCAAGGGTAAGAGAAGATCAATGTCCCAGCTCATGCAGTCAGGAGTCAGGCAAAGAGAGAGCAAATCTAGCCTTCCTCTGCTCTTTTGTTCTATTTAGGCCCTCAGTGGATTGGATGACACCCATCCACATTATGGATGGCTATCTGGTTTACTCAGTCTACCAATTCAAATGCTAATCCTTTCCCAAAGCACTCTCACACACACCCAGAAATAATGTTTAATCAGATATCTGGGCTTCCCATGGCCCAGTCAAGTTGACATATAAAATTATCACATTAGGTAATGAAAATATGAATGAGAATCTCCTATATATCAATGAAACCATCAAATAGGAGAAAAAGGTTTGAAATCAAATTGAATGCACAATTATTCATATCAGCTGGCAACTAATTGGATCACAGCATCTTTTCAGAATCAATCAATATTTCACTTCATATCTGATCAATTGGCTAGCATAATCCAATATAAAGAAAAATGAATTAACTTTTTAGAAAAGCCATCTAAATCTCACAATCATTTTATTAAGTCCTTTGCTTAATAAGCAATAAAATGTTGAACAGAGAATATGAACATTCATCTTAACCTTACATCAGAGAAAGAAATTAGGCATTTTGGAAATATCCTTATCACACATTATCTATTTGAACAAATCTTTGAAGTACAATGGGATTTCCATGCATAAAGAAATGATTTTCTTGTAAGTATTAAATAGAAGTTGCTTAAAGTCTACTTCATGTTATGTATGAATAAAATGTTCAACATATATTTTTACTTTTTGCACATGCTCAGTGGTTTTTAATTCATAGACTTTACATCATAATAGTAAATCCTCATTGTGTGTTTTTAAAATGCTACCTGTTTATTATAGTTCTAGTCCCACTCTGACTAATGTTCTAAGATTAAAATGGTTCTTTACCTCAAAAGAGATATTTTCTAAAAAGCTTTAAGTATATAGTATTTCTTAGAGAAAAAAACTATAATTCTAGAGCTGATAAGAATTGGACAGATTTAGTGATACTCAATCCAGCTTAAAATAAAGTTGCTGTCCTGTCCTTTCCTGTGGCTTATGTCTCTGACAGCAAACATAATTAAAGCTACAGAGAGAGAAATCACCAGTTGTTCTGAATCAGTGAGACTCGACAACCAAGAAAATAATGCAAAGCTTTTTTTATCCCAAGTACTGATTCTACCCAGTCTCCTTTGTCTCTGTGTCATTCTTAACAGCAGATATAAATACAGAATAAACATGAATCAATAGAAAAGACTAGGGAGAGAGAGAGAGAGAGAGCAATCTGGGGACTTTTGGACACATCATAGTTCACACATTTGCAACCATCCAACAAGCCTGACGTCCTCCGCAGCTCTGAGATGCTGGTACCTGCTTCATTCTTCTCATCAGCTCCACCATTTCCTGTCTCCTTCCCTCCCATAGACTGAACGTCAGTTCAGATACAAGAAAAAGTAGGGCTGATAGTTCAACACCTGTTTCTTACTAAAGTCAGAAAAATTGTTTCTCAATTGCCTGCTATTTGGTCTTTCCAGTAAAGGGTGAATATAAAGAAGGAGAGTGGTACAATCAGAGGAAGCAGTTTTAATTTCTGTCATCACTAATAAATATGCTTTTCCCCAAAATGGCCTATGGAGTCATTTTGAACCAATTTCTCTCGGGCTAGCATGTTTCTGATTCACTTGCATTATCCTCCTATACATCAGGGACATGGCATCTTTAAAGAAATTAAAAAGAATTCTCACCATGAATTCAGATTGTGTTGTAACTATTGACCATATATAATATGTATGTTTGAAACTGCCATGAAGATTCTAATTTTCCATAGACCGTTTCAGCATGCTGCATAATGCCTTGGCAGTATCTTAGAAAGCAACCTAGAAATCATCAGTGTGATTCTGCCTCTAGTTCTTGAGCTCAGAAGTGGGCAGTTGTGTAGTGCTTTCTTAAGAGAGCCTGCAAATCCACTGGGTTTGTTCATGACCATGCCCTCCTATAAGTCACACGCTAGTGGGATTTTAAGGACTTTAAGGACATGCTAAGAACTATTATTAAGTCCTTGAATATAACTAACACACAACATCATGCCACCTTGTTATCTTTTGGACGACTGAAAAGCCCTTTGGCTAATGATAACATTGAATTTGCACCTCACATCACACACCAGGTTAAACTTCAAAAGGATCAAATATAAGACATAACATTTATATAAAGTAGAAAAAGAAATGGATGAGTGCTTTTTTCAGTCCAGGATTGGGGAAACCTTCCCAACTCTTCAATATCTAGTTGCTATTCAAGAAAAAAGAATAAGCCACTGACTAATCATTAAGAAGTATTCTACACAGCAAAAACATTGTAAACAAAGTCAAAATGTAAATTAAAAACTTGGAGAAATTATTTGTAACTTATATCACAGGGCCAGAATAACTAATAACAAAAGAGCTCCAAAAACTCCCATGAAAAAGACTTGTAATTCAACAGAAGTATACGCAAAAGATATGAAGGTAGTTCACAGAACAAGAATTTTAAATGACTCTTTAAAACAACAAAAAATGGTCAATCTAATTTATTAAGAGAAATTAAAAGCAAAACTATAAGAAAATACCACTCATCTATTAGAATGGCAAAATCTAAAAGCTTCACTATAATACATATTAGGGAGAATGTTAGGAATAGAAACTCATAAATTTTGGTAGGAATGCAAACTGAAACAACCACTGAGACAATAATTTGACAATATATAGAAAAACTGCAGATGCGTATACCTTTTGACGTTTCTACTTCTAGAAATGTATCTTACATATACACTGAAAGAAAAATGTGAAATAATTTGTCAATAAGGCTATTTATTGTAAAAATATGTATAATAGCAAAAGTTTACAAATAACCAAAATATCCACCAGCAAGGAACCAGTTCAATAAACTAATGCATTCACACAATAGAACACTATGCAATAAAAACAAGAATAAAATAGATTCCTATGTGTGAATATAAAATTATCTCCCAGACATACTAAGTGAAAAAACAAATTGCAAAAGAGTATGAATATTGTTTCCTTTATGTGAGAAGTTGTGCGTTTATTAGCTTATATTTATAAAATAAAACAAAAACTTATTAAATATGGTTATTCATAGGAATAGAGGGGGAACGGGAAAGAGAACCCAGGGATAGAAGCAAGATTTTTCTGAATCCACCTCATAAAATGTTTTGATTTTATTCACAAGAATTTAAGGGGTACCAATGCAATTTTGTTACATGGCTATATTGCATAATGGTTAAGTCTACGCTTTTAGTGTGTCTATCACCCAAATAATGTAGACATTGTACCCATTGTACCTTCCTGTGGAACCTCTGTGCTTTTGAAAACTGGAGTGAAGGTATGTTCCAGAGACCCAACAAATGTTTCTTCTAAACCAGAAATGCCAATATTCTTAGCAGAACCATGAGTCAAAGAACATGAAGGTCTAACTACATCTTTTGGATACAGAGGGGAAATTTTACAGTGACAAACAGAAGCCCAAATCAACACTGTGGTGTATATAATTTAAATAGGTGACACAGCAATAAATGCACCCTGAGAAGGCAGCACTGTTAAGCGGCAAGAACACTGAGTGTGGAACTATCATACACAGATTTGAATCCTAGGCCTGCCATATGCCACGAGATGACCTGGGCAACTACTCATTCTTTCTCACCCCTGGGCTTCTCTACTGTAAAGTGGAAATAAAAAAATAATCATTCTTGCTTTTACCAAACCAGGGAGTGGTTTTAAAAGTTCAGTCAGGGTAGATATGTGAAGATATTTTGTATATTGGAAAGCATTTAAACCAATGTAGGTGATTGGATACTACACACATAAAAGGAAGTAAGAAATCAGTGTGTGTTAAGAGTTGTCAAAGAAAACTTCCACACTACAGGGCTATAGTAACCAAAACAGCATGGTACTACTGGGACAAAAACAGACACAAAGATCAATGGAACAGGATAGAGAATCCAGAAATAAGGCCGCACATCTAAAACTATCTGAACTTCGACACACCTGACAAAAACAAGCAATGGGTAAAGGATTCCCTATTCAATAAATGGTGCTGGGATAACTGACTAGCCATATGCACAAGATTGAAACTGGGCCCCTTCCTTCCAGCATATACAAAAATTAACTCAAAATGGATTAAAGATTTAAATGTAAAACCCAACCTAGGCAATACTATTCTGGACATAGAAACAGACAAAGATTTTATGACAAAGACACCAAAAGCAAATGCAACAAAAGTAAAAATTGACAAATGGGATCTAATTAAACTAAAGAGCTTCTGCACAGCAAAGTAAACTATCAACAGAGCAAACAAACAACTTACAGAACGGGAGAAATTTTTGCAAAACATGCATCTGACAAAGGTCTAAATATGTATAAGGAACTTTACATATTTACAAGAAATTTACAAGAAAAAAAACAAATGACTCCATTAAAAAGTGAGCAAAGGACATGAACAGAAATTTTTCAAAAGAAGACATACATGCGGCCAACAATCATATGAAAAAGTGTTGAGCATCACTGATCATTAAAGAAATGCAAATCAAAACCACAATGAGATACCATCTCATGCCAGTCAGAATGGCTATTATAAAAAGTCAAAACAAAAAACAGGAGCTAGCGAGGTTGTCGAGAAAAAGGAATGCTTCTACACTGTTGGTGGGAGTGTAAATTACTTCAACCATTGTGGAAGACAGTATGGCAATTCCTCAAAGACCTAAAAGCAGAAATACTATTTCACCCAGCAATCCCATTACTGAGTATATACTCAAAAGAATAGAAATTGTTCTATCATAAAGACATATGCACATGCATGTTCATTGCAGCACTATTCACAATAGCAAATACATGGAATAAACCTAAATGTCCATCAATGGTAGACTGGATAAAGGAAATGCTGTACATATATGCCATGGAATACTATGCAGCCACAAAAAAGAACAAGATCATGCCTTTTGCAGGAATATGGATGGAGCTGGAGGCCATTATCCTTAGAAAACTAACACAGGAGCCAAAAACTAAATGCCACATGTTCTCACTTACAAGTGGGAGCTAAATGATAAGAACACATGGACACATAGAGGGGAATAATAGACATGGAGGCCTATTGGACAGTGGAGGGTGGAAGGAGGAAGAGGATCAGGAAAAAGCTAATGGGTACTGGGCTTAATACCTAAGTGACAAAACACTCTGTACAACAAACCCCCATGACACAAGTTTACCTATATAACAAACGTGCACTTGTATCCCTGAACTTAAAAGTCAAATTTTTTTAAAAAAGAAAACTTCATGAAAGAAATAGAAGCTGAGTTAAATGTTTTAGAAGTGATAGAATTATATAGAAAGAAAATATTTTGTAAAGAAACACAAAGGCAAGAGTAAACAGGGCCCTCCAGAAGAGCAAGGCAGTCAACACCCTTTAAAGAGTGTTTGTACCTCTCCCACTGACCAGTCATAGATTAGGGCTTCCCCTAAAAAAGGGTCAACAACTAAGGTAAGGAGGCATTCTTTGGCCTAAACAGGAAAATTCCTGCAGAAGGATGCAAAAGTGAGCCATTAATTTCTAAAAGATGCAGATATAGGCAGCCTAGTACGGTATCCACCTTATGGACACTTGTACTGAAAGGAATCACTGAGCCTGGTATCCTGAACCCTAATATTCGGTTTTCTGCTGTATGTGTGTGTGTGTGTGTTTTGAGACATGCACTTAATATCAATAGCCAGTAAACAAGAACGTCTTATTTTTCTCCAGTGAAAAATGAATGACAAAAAGAAATTCTATATTACCAAAACAATATACAAGCACCTATTTAATTTCTATTATCAATCTCTTTGATAATATTCTTTGCCAATAGTAAAAAGTAATAAAAATAAGGCCAATAATACAGAATCAAAGGCAAATGTTGACAGTACTAGCACAAGAGTAAGTGAAGAGAGGAAAATGTGTGATTTATTTCCTCCCCTCAGGATTTTCATAAATCCAGAGAGGCGACAGTTGGCATCAGCTTGTTGTTTGATTGCCATAGGAAAGTGAAGGGCATGAAGGATTTTTTGCTGTTGCTTTTACATCCTGTTCTCTGACTTACTGTTTATTTGTTTTACACGGATGCATCAGCAGCGTATGCATCAACTTATGAATGCTGTTTGCTCAATTTTAATAAAAATAAATGTCATCCAGCAGTCTGATTCTCTTTGCCAGGACAGATAAAGCCCAGAAATCAGCTTTCATAAGGAAAATGTTGCACAAATCTTCTTTGTGTTGGCTCACTGGTCAGGCGTCTGTCTTGGCGTGTTCTCTCACATGTTCCACTGTTTTCTAAACTGAAAGTGTTGCCCCTGTGGACACACAAGAAGACAGATGGGGGACAGTGTCACCATTAAATTTTAGAAAAGAACATATTGTCAAAGCTATTGTTGCAAGAGTCAGGTGCAGTGGCACAAGCGGTAGTCTCAGCTATGTGAGAGTCTGTTGAGCCCTGGAGTTCAAGACCAGTCTGGGCAACATAGCAAGACTTCCTTTCCTAAAAAATAGAAAAAATATATTGCTTCAGCATCTGTGAATATATCTGTAGTTGATAGAATATGAACAACAGATTTGTTTTGCTTTGTTTTGTTTTAAGGCTTATTTGTATTTATTCTCTGTGGTGCTGCTATTATCTGAGATAGTTTTATAAGTGAAAAAGTAGACCAATAGTCTAAGGAGAAAGCTCTGAATTGTGCAAATAGAACACTGGAACATCCTCATTCTCATCGAATAGCTAAAATGTCAATTGACATTTATCTACCATTGTTTTCCATTATATAAAGTATGTGTGATCTATTTTGGTCACTGATATACATCAACATTACTACACATTAAATTAAAAAGCTCACATATGTGAGCTTCAGTTCACATATATTCCCACATATGCTACATATTAGTTCCCTCTGAAAATATTCTTACCTGCATCTGGGACAAAAAAATTAGTTAAAATAAATATGTAAAAGGAGGAAAATGGTACATTGACATGTTTTAGAACATTTTTCCTTCTGAAGATATTTGTAATTTAGCAATTTGACAGTCCACATTTTTTATATGTACTGGTGCACATATACACTAGAATATGTTCCTAATAGATGATATTATATTTCTGTTTCTTATTCTCTCCCTGTTTCTTTCTTTTTTTTTTTTTTTTTTTTTTTGAGATGGAGTCTTGCTCTGTTGCCCAGGCTGGAGTGCAGTGGTGCGATCTTGGCTCACTGCAACCTTGGCCTCCCGGATTCAAGCGATTCGCCTGCCTCAGCCTCCTGAGTAGCTGGGATTACAGGCGCATGCCACCACCCCTGGCTAATTTTTGTATTTTTAGTAGAGATGAGGTTTCACCATGTTGGCCAGGCTGGTCTGAAACTCCTGACCTCATAATCTGCCCCCCTCAGCCTCTCAGAGTGCTGGGATTACAGGCGTGAGCCACTGAACCCAGCCTCCTCTCCCTGTTTCTTAATAGGAAATCAAGAAAGCAGTTGCCAGCAAACGATTTGAGGGCAACATTAGAAAGAAGCTGCCCTGGAAAGTCAATGATAGATATATTTAGTCCTTTAGAGATCACCATTTTACAGATGAGGAAAATGTGACCAAATGAAATTAAGTGATCTGTCTTTAGCCATTTGCCTATTTAATTGATATGTTAGAAAAAGAACCCAGGTTTTCTGACTCCCTATCACACTAAAATCACCCACCCCAGGATCAGCAGCAGGCAAGCGATGGTCATTCTTAGTAATATCCTTGGATCCACTCCCGTACAGAAGCTGTTTATCCCTCTAGCCTCTCTTAATGGTAAAAGTCTAGCTAGCTGCATCTCCAAATTTAAGTAAGCCAGGTTTTCAAAGGATTACAGAACACTAGTTGTAGAAATTATGTCTTTTACCTGAATGTGGAAAATAATGTAGCTGCAAATGAGATGCTTTCTACCCCAAAAACAATATTGCTACCGCAATACTTATCCCTGTATATTATTTATTTTAAGATTACCTGATTACAAGAAGACCAATAATAAAATATACTTTCTGCATAATGCTTTGCAACTTACAAGTTATTTCATATACATTATCTTATGAAAGCCATTTGATGTGAAATTTAACTCCTATTCATTCTTTAGTTATTAGTTTAGAAGATGCTTCATCTTGGAAGCCTTCTCTGATCTTGCTAGACTGAGTGAATTGTTCCTGCCACGTGTTTTTCCAGCACTTAGATCCCCTTGTCTGTCTGATTATGTCACCTCCACCTGAATTATGTGGGAACAGAAACTGTTTACATCTCATTCACTCACGTATACCCAAAAATCTAGTAGAGCTCTTGGCACACAAAATACTAAATATTTGTTAATGAATAAATAAATGAACAAAAGAAGTTTTCAGGCAAAGTGGGAGTGAAGGAAAAACAAAAGTTTTTAGGGCCAAGAATTTTACTATAAAGATGGCTATGTAACTGGGCACAGTGACTCATGGCTCTAATCCCAGCACTTTGGGAGGCCAAGGAAAGTGGATCACTTGAGCCCAGGAGTTTGAAATCAGCCTGGGAAACATGGGGAGACCCACCTCTTTATAAACAAATTAGCCGGGCATGGTGGTGCACACCTGTAGTCCCACCTACTTGGGAGGCTAAGGTTGGAGGATTGCTTAAGCCCAGGAGGTTGAAGCTGTGGTGAGCTATCATGCCACTGCACTCCAGCCTAGGTGATGGGAGTGAGACACTGTCTCAATAATAAAAAAATAAATAAAAATTAAAAAATTTTAAAAAAAGCTCTATAAGGCTGAGGGTCAGATCCTCTATGCAGTTTTTCTTTCCTCAATTTCTGCACAAACAAATTTTCTAAACGCTCATTATCATAATGGCTTCTGCAGCTACACATCTAATAGTAAGACAAGATAAGAATAGGACAGAAATATTTATGCTTTCTTTTTACATCTGGATCCATCTACAAAATGTTTTTAAGTCAGAAGCTGTCTGAAAGCTTCCTTTTTATTTAATGGTACTGTGACTATTCAATAGGAACACAGTCTGCTTTGGGTGCCTTTTGGGCCATAGCTGTATACATTAGCTCACCTTATCAAACATACAGAATACACTAGAAAAAAGATGGTAGAGATTATCTCCTTTCTATGACTTTGTAAACCTCACATAAGAGCTTGAAGTTCTGGGAAGTGTCAGATAGGGGATTTTATCTTTCACAAAATAATCACAAACATAGTTAAACCAACTACACTCTGGAGGCCCATACTGATTTGTAATGGGAACTAAAAGTCACATGGCCCTGGTCAGAATGTGGCTTTTTCAATCCCAGGATAGCTGATCAATGTAATAATTTTGGCAACTTAAGCTATCTCAAAATAGCTTACAGCAATGTGGACTATAACTAACATCCAAATTTCTACATCAGATAAATGTAACTGTTTTCCCCACCTCCTTCCTGACTTCATTCCTTCCCTCTCCCTCTTTAAGCCCCCCTAGGAATCATTTGTCATTGCTGCAAACCCAAATGGCTGACTATAAAAATATATGTTTATAAAATACTTGTGCTATGCTCTGCATCTTAGACTCCCTTGAAATAAAGCAGCCATAATCCCCACGACAGTTGCCACCATTAATGCTGATCATAAATGCTGGTAAAGAGGCAGAGATGCTGATTTACCACACGTTGCTATGCTTGTGTGTCCTTTTTCTAATAAAAATGAGGGGAATTATTACTTTCTGAAAGTTGAGCCCCTCAACATTTGTATCACGAACCTCCTCTACCGGGAGATTTCACTGCTCCCCATGCTATTTTTTTTCTCCCCAAAAAGCTGCCAGTGTAAATGTGCCACACTTGAGCTCCATGGCAGACTGAGCTGAAAGAGCATATGTCCTATATCTATACTGGAAAATTTGGTGTTTAGGGAGCAATGAAGTAAGCTATAACTCAGACTTAGAGATAAATGCTATTTGAGGCTCCTGTTCTGTTTATAGATATAATTTGAAAAGCTTAGAAATCTTTCCCGTAAGAACTTTTACTCCCAAGATTTAGGTAAAATGAGTGGTGCTACAATGTTTAATATGAATAATATCTTATTATTTTTTGCTTTATTTTTATCTAACACATTAATATAGATGAAGTCAGAGCACTAAAAGTATACAGCAATAGGATGTACCAAATGCTGGAATCATTGGCATACAAATCTGGATAAGATGTAGGACTCCAGGAATAAATGGTATTAATTTGATTTAGCTTCATATTTTATGTGATACTTTCACTAAACCCAAAATTATATTCCAGAAACACTACGAGTTTTAAAATAAGCTTTTGACCTGGCCATATTGTCACTTACAAAACTCGTCTTTAGAACTCCAGAGATTCGTTCAATGGAAAGTGATTCCTGGGTATCATAAACACACACAGACACACACACACACACACACACACACACACACACTTGCCAAAAAAAAAAAAAAACAGATATTCAAAGAAGTACTTTGATTCACATTTCTTTAATATAATCATAATCTCCCCAAGAAAAACAGTCATAAAGTCCGTTTCAAAACTTGTTTATTTTTCTTTCCTTTAACAAATGTGTATTGAGTACTTTCTATGCAAAGGTCATTTTGCTAGATGTTACAGAAACAATGAAGAACAAAACGAATACAATATATTCTTTTATGTATTTCATTTTCTAAGGGTATAAATTCACTGTCAGAATTTATTCCTAATAGTGGAGATAAATAAAAAGCAAAGTTACATAAAATTGTTTTAAGTATCATAAAGAGAACATATAGTATTATGTGACTGATGTAGTCTGGCTCTGTGTCCCTACCCAAATTTCATCTCAAATTGTAATCCCACAAGTTGAGCAAGAGACCTGTAATTCCCACGTGTCAAGGGAAGGAAGTGATTGGATTATGGGGGTGGTTTCTTTCATGCTGTTTTCATGATAGTGAGTGAATTCTCACGAGATCTGGTGATTTTATAAGTGTCTGACGTTTCCTCCTACACACACTCACTTTTTCTCTCTCCTGCCAGCATGCGAGAAGGTCTGAACTTACTTCCCCTGCACCTTCTGCCATGATTGTAAGTTTCCTGAGGCCTTCCCAGCCATGTGAAACTATGAGTCAATTAAACCTCTTCCTTTATTAATTACGCAGTCTCAGGTATTTCTTTGTAGCAGTGCAAAAATAGACTAATATAGTGATAGAACGCACCGTCATATTCAGAGGTACTTTGTCTCACATTATGTAAATATTGCAAATGCCATTTAGTCTCCCCAGTAAATTCACCATTACTGCTCCTTCTTAGTGATCAAACTGTCAGGATTAAGCTATTTTAGTAAAGCTTCATACTCCATTCTGTCTAAAATACCATGGGAAGGGATCTGGAAAGAACTGAAGAGTTATGGACGTGGACTCAGAAGACAAGATTGTAAGGAATTTGCTGGGAATGAGAGTGAGTCTTGAGTGGTGTCAGGCACACAGCACACATTCCAGGATGAACTGATCAGGAAAAGAAAGGAAAAATCCTGAATTTCGACACAAACAACAAATGCTAACTGCTTGTCTATTGTGATCCATGTAGATAATTAGAATTCAAAGACACATAATAATATTAGTAATAGTTAACACTTACTGAGCATTTACCAAGTGCCAGGCACTGTGCTAAGCACTTTTACATATGTTACCTCTAATATTCACAGCAATGTAATGTGGTAGTTAGTAATATTAACTTCATTTTGCAGATTAGGAATTAGAAAGGATTTTTCAAAATTAAATTGCCAAGGTCACACAGTTAACACATACGTTTTCAAAGATTGAAATCTGAACATTCTGGCCATTCTCCTACAGTCCTATTTTCACAGGTTGTCTTATCACTTTATAATGTATTGAGGGGAAGCGTTCTAGATAAATACAAGTTAGTCAAATGTAAGTAAACACCATGATACACTATAAATAAAGTTATATGTTGTCTTACTGAAGTAAACATTCAGTGATCATACTCACCAACACATCCTGGGTTCTACAAAACTTTTTCTTTGAAACAACTTACTCTAAATTTCTATCAATTTTTCAACTAAAATACACTATTTCTCTTTCTTCTTCATTTAAAATTCAGAGTTAATCTTTTCATTCTCTGTTTCTGGAGTGCACTGTACACATTTTTGTAATTATTCGTTATTTAGATATGTGCTTCCCCCAGTAGATTAAGTTGTAGACAGGTAAGGACTTTATACTTTCTCCCTAACTTCACTGCAAGGAACTGTCATATAACAACTATCCAATGAAATGTGCATTCAATAAACTGCAAGGTACCTTTATGGCCACATAGATGTGACACAATAGTATAGCCTCAATTTAAATGCAGTAATTGGAACTTGGATACAGATTAAATGACTTCTTAATACACAAAGACTCTTGAGATGACAGACTTTCAGGCATTATTCTACTACAGTTGCAAATGGACTATTATTGTACTATAATGAAGAGAATGATGGAGCACTTAAAACCACTAATATTTTCTCAACCTTTATGTGTAAATCTACATGGAGCCAGACTAAAAATGGCAAATACACCGCTACACCCCTCATCTACTCTGCAAGAGACACTGCTAATCAATCACGACATTGGCTGCTTCTGTGTCTGGACTCATCCTTTGCATCAATTTCAGCATGACATTCTAGCAGTCACTGCCAATTGACAGGCCTTCATCATCAGTTAATGTTCACATGTCATGCTTGACCTGGATCAATGTCACATAATTTTCCTATGTGTAACATTTTACCACTTGGTACTTCTTCTAGTGAAGAAAGAAAGCATATGGGCATCTCAGGGAAATCTTATATAACTAGAGTTCCAGATTTTATTTGAGCCAGCTGGGTCCCAAGAGCCAGGCCATAGACCATTACTGATCTGCAATTGATTTTCTCACTACCTCATGAGAAAAAAAAAAAAGGAAAAGAAAAAGAGAAAAATAGTCCAGATACTAATCTGACTGGCTGCGTTAGAATCACCTGGAGAGCTTTGTAAATACTGTTTATAGATCCTCAATCCTGAATCAACATCACTAGAGATTATGTCTGAAAACCATGTGAATATATGTATATTATGATATACAGTCTGGTTTAGGTACAGCTAAATTTTTGTGTCCATAGGTATAACATTTCAGTTGCACGTCTTTGAAAAAGAAAATTTTTTT
This sequence comes from Homo sapiens, assembly GCF_000001405.40. Classification (NCBI taxonomy): domain Eukaryota; kingdom Metazoa; phylum Chordata; class Mammalia; order Primates; family Hominidae; genus Homo; species Homo sapiens. Next base: position 67,236,253 of record NC_000004.12, read on the forward strand.
CTTTAAACAATGTCACTCTTACTTTTAATTTTTAGTTTGAAAATGCCTTATTTATGAAATAATGGAAATAATAAATAGAGTTATAAGAGTATTTTTGGCTGCTTTTTTTAATGCCATACTTGACAAAATAAAGAGTTGGGAATCCTATGGAAGTCTCCTTTTTCGGAAATGGTGTCTGTCCTTTCAACAGGTCTATTGGTACACAGCTCTCCGATCAGACAAGTCTGAGCATTCAGGGTGAAGTGGTGGGTGGAATAAGCAAGACAGAAATCTGCATTTATTCAAAACTGAAGAACCTCCTGGGAAATATCTAAGGCCAAGAGGAAAAATGTCAAGAGCACAAGCTAGGCTAATCAGCAAATCCTTCTTCTGGGAAATGGACGGAGAGGATTCTAGTCTTTGGCATATGCCTTGTCCTGGTGCAGCCTCACACATGGTCTTCAAGCCTAGCTGCCATGCAGTGGGGCTATGAAGAGAAAGGGGCAAATTATACAGTAAGAAATAAGAAGACCCAACTCTGTTATTAAAACTTCTTCTGCAAGATATTGAGGTTTGGGAAAATCCTTAACAGTGTAGTGCAGAGAGGGGACAGAGGCATCCCTCCACTTTCCATGGGTCACTGGGTAGCTTTGGAGCCTTCAGCATACATGTGGCAGTGGCAGCAGTAAGAGACAAAGGAGAAGCTAGCTGCCATGAGCAGGGAATCAGCAGTGTCTCAAAGACAGCACTCTTAGTGGTGGCAGCAGAGTCCAGCAGCACCGAGGTCCCCCAGCAGGCACAGAGAACCAGCAGCCATGTTCAGCAGAGAGTGGTGCTCAGAGAATGCTGTGTGGTTCTCTTGAACATTTATGAAAGGCTTCCCAGAAACACACTAGATAAAGAGGGAGAATTCTTTCTATGGAGCTTAAACCTGACATTAGTAGGCTCCGCCAAGAGCCCAAGAAGTTTTGATACATAATGTGACGGTTACCCCATTTCAAATCCCAGTTAGTGTAGCCCACAGAGCAAGCAGTCTCTATGAAATGAGAATGGGAGTACACTGGTAAGTTCTGAAGGGCAACCTCTCACAATACATCAGGTTCTCAGTCTCTTTTGGTCACAAACACAAAGGTTCAAACTAGCCCATAGAAATAAAAAATGATTCTAGTAGGAAAAACATCAAAACTAATTCAAATCATGACCTGAATGGTCAAAGGGAAATATTTTTCACATCTATTACATACTTATACTAGAAATTAAGAGGAATGGCTGCCTGTCCTACAGAAATTATCCACCCAGTGTATCGGTGTTATCCCAGTGGATCTACCAGAAAGAGCCCCACTCTTCTGGTCAAAGCAGTGCAGTTGGCTGATCCAATCTTCTCCCCTTGCTGAAGCAATTGGTATGAGAATCAAATTAGCATTCTTTCCTAGATTTATATTAAACAGGAGCTAAGAGAGATTCTTCTTATTTGTGTGTGTGTGTGTGATGTTTTGTTTTGTTTTGTTTTGTTTTTTGAAGTAAATACCCATGCCACCAGGAGAAAGTTCATCTTCAGTAGGAATAAATGAAGTTGACACAGAAAAAGGCAAAGAGGAAAGATGGAGAGGGAGAGTGTGCAATGATGTTCAAGAACCTAGTTTCCATATCTCCGGTCCTTAGAGCCATTGTGTTCCTATTGCAATACCTTTGACTGCATGAGCTACTCTCAATTTCTGAATAAATTCCCTAGTTTGAGTTGGGCTTTTGTCATTTGTAACCAAAAGAATGCATGACTGAAGTATCAGTTAAGATGTTTTCAGCTACAATTAAGAAAACCCTACTAATAAAAATTAAACTTTAAGCATATTTATTGTTAACAAATCTAGAGGTAGTCCTATATTCAAAATTACCATCAAGTTTCTTTTTTTTTTTTCTGTTCCGTCACTCTAAGAATACAGGATTTTGCCTCAAGCTTGTAGCCTCAAGGTCACAACATGGCTGCCACACCACTAACCATCATATCTTCATATCACAGCATCCAAAGCAGGAAAGAAAGAAGACGACAAATGAGCTCTGTCATTCAAAAGAGAAAAATATATATATTTCCCAGAAGATCCCCATAAAATTCCCTTTTACATCTCACTGGCTAAAACTGGATTATATAAACTGATGACCAACGAAGGGAAAAGGGAAAGCCCTGATTAGCTTATGCCTCACAATTTACCCTCCTGGCTAGATACTTTGCTAACAGCATCCTGTTATTGATTTTTACTGGAGTGAGTAGCCATCAGTCTCTATCCCAACTATATAGAGATTTGAGGTTTAAGAACTATAACTGTGATCACATTCCAAACTAAATTATTTTATTTTTTAGATTCTGGGGTACATGTGTAGGTTCGTTACAAGGGCATATTGCATGATGCTGAGTTCAACATGAATTCTTTTTTTAAAAAATTTTCAATTTTTTGTAGATTTAGGGGGTACATGTGCAGGATTGTTACATAGATATATTCTGTGATGTTGACGTTTGGGATACAAATGACCCCATCACCCAAGTACTGATCATGGTACTCAACAGTTTTTCTGGCCTTTCCTCCCTCCCTCTCTCCCTACTTTTGGAGTCCCTAGTATCTATTGTTCCTATCTTTGCGTCCATGTGTATCTAATGTTTAGCACCCACTTACAAGTGAGAACATGCAGTACTTGGTTTTCTGTTACTGCATTAATTCACTAAGAATAATGTCCTCCAGCCGCATCCATGTTGCTGCAAATGACATGATTTTGTTCTTTTTTATGATGGGATAGCATTCCATGGTATATATGTACCATATTTTCTTTATCCAGTCCACTGTTGATGGGCACCTATCAGCCTGAATTCTTATATGATGATGTCAATAATGATGGCAATAATAATTAATAGTTCTAAATCTGGGCCAGGCCTGTTCAAAGCATTTACTTAATTCTTAAAACAATTCACTGAAATTTCACAACATCCAATGAGGTAGGCATTATTACTATTATCATTTTTATTATTATTATATTACCATCATATTAGACATGAGATAAATGAGGCATCTTGGAGCTAAGTAACTCATGCAAAGCCACTTGGCTAAGAAAGTATGGTGTTGAGATCTAAACTTTGGAAGATTGACCTGGAGACAAAGATCTGCTACACTATATTATATGACATTCTTCTCTCTCCAAAATCAAATGAGATAATAGTATTATGAAGATATGAATTTTATGCACAGGAAACATATTGTAAAAGTATTATTTGTCCACAGACTGACCTTGAAATTATAGCTACCATATTTCCAAAAAGAATACATTAATTCCAAAATGTAGATCATTCCCATTAACCTCCTTTCTGTTTCTTTCCTTGCACACAAATGACTGGGTATAGGATTAGAAAATCCTCTGCACAGGGAAACACAGAACAATTCAATTAATAATTTCAATTTCATTTGGCATTAAAGGTGTTTTAAAAATAGATGTCTTTATCTCAACGAAAGCAAGACCATTAAATGAAAAGAAGTCCCTCTGAAGATTGAGAGCTCAATGACACTAAATTAGTCAATGGATTTAAAATTACAAAGACTTAAAGCCCCCCAGGAAAGATTTTATAGTGTCTTTTATCAGGTGACTTTGGATATTAGGCCTTGGGAGAAAGAAAAAATCCATTCTGAAGAAGCATGAAAAGCTGAAATAAAAAAAAAAAGTACTCTTGGAACTGTAAAAAAGGCAAATGACATTGAACAGCCTAATATCATTTTCCAATCAGAGTGCATTAAAAGCAGAGGAAACAAAGTAAATTTAGATTAAGACAATCCTAAAAGTTAAGTAAACAAAACTTATTAGAATTTAGGAAATTTAACTTTTTGTTCTTATTCTTAATGATGTGAACTCCAAGTCATACAGGCAAAATTTTTCAAAACAAGTATAATCCTTGTCTCAACAGTTTCTCTTTAATAAACTTTCTGGTCGAATGTCATCCAATTGTTTTCAAATGGTGATTAGCTTATCCTCCACTGTGTAAACAGTGACCAAGCTGTTGCCTCTACAGCAGCTGCCATTTCATACCTGAAGGGGCAAAGGATATGACTGCCTGCTGGATTGGCATAATAACTGGGGGAACATAAAAATGAAAATGTCCTTGAAATCTCCAACAGATGACGTTAGTAATTTCTACTTAGCCACAAAGATGAATTTTCCCTCCATCTCTAATAGAAAATAAGAGAACAGGATTATCAGTATAATCCTAAACATTAAACAAAATAAATTGCAAACCTGAAGTTAAACAACCAATGTTACTCAAATGACACATATACAATAAATAATTCAGTCTAGTTCAGTTATTGGAGAATTAAGTGGAGAAAAAAAGAAGTTTGCTTGGGAAACCAACTTACTCATTCAGACGAAGCACCTCCATTTGTCCAAGCACTGGACTAGGGATCAGGAATCAAAATGAGGTAGAGCCAGATCTTGCCACCTAAGTAATCATAGAATCCACCAAACACCAAGAAACCAGAACCCCATTGCCCCCTAAAACCAATACAAAATTTTACCCTTAATTCAAAAATCTATACATTCCATTGACTATACATGTAACCTTTCTGTCTTAGTTATTTTTAGTATTAAAAAAATGCATTTTTTTTCATGGAGTCTTGCTCTTGTCACCCAGACTGGAGTGCAATGGCGTGATCTCGGCTCACTGCAACCTCCACCTCTTGAATTCAAGAGATACTCCTGCCTCAGCCTCCCAAGTAGCTGGGATTACAGGCGTGCACCACCACCCCCGGCTGATTTTGTATTTTTAGTAAGGATGAGGTTTCACCATGTTGGCCAGGTTGATCTTGAACTCCTGACCTCAGGTGATCTGCCCACCTTGGCCTTCCAAAGTGCTGGGATTACAGGTGTAAGCCACCATGCTCGGCCTCAAAAAGTGACATTTTTATATACCCATAAAATTTCAAGAAATTTAAAAATAACTGAAATTGTCTTCCTAATATTTTTAATAGAAAGCCTCATAACAAGATATCTTTACTGATCCTTCTGTCTAATGCACAGGTTCTACTCAACACTAAAAGATGCAGATGTTAAATTATCTCACCAGTCACCTGGATGTCAAGGTGATAGTCCACCTATTAGCTGGTAGTTTCTGTTATCTAGAGGGAGCCAGATGCTTGACATCTGATTACTAAAATATTCTAATGACTACCAGCTAACCAGCTCTTAATAGTCATCTCAAAATTTTGGTTTAATGTAGAAACTAAATGTCAAGGAATTCTTTTTCAGAATGAGTTCCTGTCCTTTGCAGGGACATGGATGAAGCTGGAATCCATCATTCCCAGCAAACTGACTCAGGAACAGAAAACCAAACAGCACATAGTCTCACTCATAAGTGGAAGTTGAACAATGAGAACACATGGACACAGGGAGGGGAACATCACACTGGGACCGGTGTGATGGGGACAAGGAGAGGGAGAGCATTAGGATGAATACCTAATGCATGCAGGGCTTAAAACCTAGATGACGGGTTGATAGGAGTAGCAAACCACCATGGCACATGTATACCTATGTAACAAACCTGCATGTTCTGCAGATGTATTCCAGAACTTAAAGTAAAATAAAAAATAAATAAATAATTTAATTTTTAAAAAGAAATTCTTTAACTCAAATCTTTCATGCTTTAACTTGGTCACTTTCTCCTTATTTTGTTGTGAAACAGAAAGAATAATGGTTATAATTTTCTATCTCTTAGTTTTAAGAAAAAACAGAGGTCCTATTGATTAATATTGGTAATGTATTAATGTAGGATCACTGGAAACTCTACTACATTATTGAGATTATTAATCTATTTACTATTCAACAATTCCTCAGTGTCAATATAAACCATATGCTATGCTACATCCTGGAGATATAATGGTGAGGCACAGTCTTAGTCTCTTGAAATTTTTAGCCCTGTGAGAAAGCCAGAAAAATAATTGCACAGACATATACAGAACTATGACAAATGATTTAAGCAGAAGGTACCCAGAATTATGAAAGCCTAATGTAACAGAATATGGCCTTTTAGAAAGAGTCAGAGAAGACTTCCATAGGTAAGTGATCTTCAAGCTAAAAACGAAGAAAAATTGGGAGAAAAGAAAAAATTGTCCCCAAAATAAGAGCATATGAAAAGGCCCTGTGGCAAGACAAAGCATATTAAATAACAGTTTTCAAAATATAGTCAGAACCCCTATGAAAATAGTCGAAAGCAGAGTCATAATAATATATGATGTTGCTTTCACTTTTCACTATGATTCTCTTATAGGCATACTGTAGAGTTTGCCAGGGGCAACATGAAATGTGATACTGCAACAAATTAAATACGAGAGCAGATATGAGAATCCAGCTGTGTTTTATTAAGCCAGACATTAAAGAAGTTTGCAGAAATGTAAAACAGAGCTATTCTTTTTACTAATTTTCTTATGCAGGAATATATAGTTTATTCTTATTATTATTATTGGTCTCTTAATACGTAATAACCCAATAATGTTATTCTTAATAGATTAATAAATGAACACTTTTTGAAGTTTTAAATTTTCATTTCCAATTATGGTAAGCAACAATAGATACAACACACAAGAACAAAAGCTCATTGGCATCCTCGATAATGAAGAAAAGAAGCCCTAAAACCAAAAAGTTGGAAACCTACTGATAGGAGGAAATTAAAAATGAACGGCGTGACTGAAACAGAGAGTAAGGGAGAAGATGTTCATCAGGGTATTGCTTCCCCTTTCTCTGATCCCTCACACCAACATTCTGCCTATTTCCTTTCAACTGAAAGAAAATAATTCACCAAGTCTGTCACAAATACATATACATACCTGCGCATGTGTCTGTGTGCATGTGTGTGGTGTGTGTCTGTGTGTGTGTGTGTGTGTGTGTGTGTGAAATAAGGAAAATGAGCAGTAGCTCTTTGGTTCTTAAAATCAGGGCCAGTCATATACTTTGCAGGGCTCAGTGCAAAACTGAAAATGTGGAGTTTCTTATTTAGAAAGCAGGGGTGGGAGGAAATGCTGTTAAAGATACTGAAATGTAATATTTTTCCTTTCTTTAATGATCCCTTTCTCTCTCATCTGGTGCTTGTTATTTGTATTTAACATCATTCTATGTAAGGAAAATTAGAATTTTTAATATTATAATAATGTTTACTATTCATTTTATACAGTACAATGCTAATTTTAAATGCAAATATAAATTCAATAAGAAATATCTATTTTTAAAGCTTTATAATTGATTTTGATGATTGTTGTGGTTAAGAAACACTGAGAAATTCCATTGTTTCAAAGTGTCATAAAACCAATAATCAAAAGTAAGAAAGAGGCCAAGATAGATATCTCTGAGAAGCATTTATAATAGCCACCCAAAATATTTAGTGAATCCAAAATAAGCCACATACGATTTGGCATGCTGAGGTCCAGATATTTCTTTCTGCATAAGAAATTGATTACTGAGGGTAAGAGGTGGTTTGAAAAGTTAACAAAGATATAAGAGAAACAAAAAACTAAACCGAAGACTCAGAGAATGAGCAAAGCTCTAAACCTAACTTAGTTAAGGAAGTAAGAGAAAATTTTGGAAAACATTATGATATCTTCAGGAGCTTGAAATAAAATGTGACCATCAAGGCCAAGGAGTCTAAGAAAAATAAAACAATAAAATGAAAGAACAGTTAGATGAAACACAAAGATAACAAAGTAAGATTTAAAGGAATATCAAAGAAAGGTTTCAAAGGAAACCAAAGTTATAATAGCTGAATACAAAATTTGCATAACATTTTTTAAAGAGCATTACTGATCATGAAGAAATAAAATAAAAACGATATACATTTGATGTAGAGAGAGAATTAAAATCAGCCCAACAATTATGAGTACTTTCAAGAAATTTGGAATCAAAGTAGCAACCAAGACATAATTGAAAAAATAAGGTGAACTAAGAAAAATAATTAAAAGAGATCATTGTTTAGAACTATTCAGCTAAGATTTTTCGTAATTTGCATTATCAAGAGGAGAAAATCTCTTGTAAGATTATAAAGGTAGAAAAAACTAAGCAGATTAACCACTAAGGAATTAAAACCAGATGGATTCTGTCTCCAAAATTATATAGCAGAAAAATAATGAAACAATATACATAAAATTTTCAGGGATATAGGCCCAGTAAAAATATCATTCACTTCTGAAAACAACCAAAAGACATCCTCAGGTATACAAGAACTCAAATATAACATCTTTGTACCTTTCTTGAAACTATCTTGTGCAACATACTAAAGATATCAAATGTTAATCAAAATTGAGTTAAAAAATGAAAAAGTCAGGTTATATAAATGCAAATGGTGTATCCCGAGAATAGTTTAGCAAAGTTAAATTTAAATAATTGTTGTTAGTTGGAGTAAAAAGTTGAATGCAAACATCAAAAATAATCATTGTAAAAGGAAATACAAAAGGTAGTATATATTTAGTTAAGAATGGTTATCTGAGTTGCAAACCTCAGATTGTATTAATATTAACGAGAACTATGGCTTTTAATTACAGGAGAAGATAAAAGTAAAGAAAGCAGTCACATTTTATAGGGCAAAGAAAGCACAAAATGAGATGGAGTTAAGACAAAATATTTGAGTGTAGAACAAAAAGCTTAAATTCCTCTATTAATATAAATAGTATCAAATTAAATTGAGACACAATGTAAATATATGCTGCTTTCAAGAGACCTACCTAAAATAAAGTGGCATTAAGATGTTTTTAAAAGATAGGCAGAGATTTATCAAACTGAAAACAGACTGCCTGCAACCGCGGATCTAATAGAATAAAGAACTGATTGTCTACATTAACACATTTTTACTATTCCAATAAATTCTTGCCTAGGAAAATAAAGTTTCAAATAACGTAACCGTTTGTTTCATGAAGTGCTTAAAAATTCATTTACCATTTCTGCTCGTCTCCTTCCTTCCATTTGTAACCCTCAAGTAGACCCCAGTGTCTGTTTTTACCTTTGTGTTCATGAGTTCTCATCATTTAGCTCAGAAAATATAATTATTGGGTACTGGGTTTCATACCTGGGTGATGAAATAATCTGTACAACAAAATCCCCTGACACAAGTTCACCTATGTAACAAACCTTCACACGTACCCCTGAACCTAAAATAAAAGTTCAAAAAGTAAATAAATAAAAATCAAAATCAATTTATCTGAAAAAGAAACTGTTCAACTTGCCTCCTCCTCAGGCATTAGGGAGAAATAGCCTCTTTCTGAAGAAAATAGATTTCTTAAATGGGCAAACTTCTCCATTATCAAACAAATGTTCATTTATCAAGACCCACATTAAAACCCTCATTTTTCTGTGCCCACCAATTATAATTAATATCAAAAACTTTGCACAATTCTTCTCAGATCCCTGCATTTAAAAATTTGCTTTAAACCAAACCCCAAAACTCCCTAAATATCCACCCATAAGTGATATTCTCCCTTACTGTAGTGGGTAATAAACTTATATTTGCCTAAACTATGTGTTTTGGGGTGAGTTTTTTTTTAATTGGCAATCAACAAAATAATCTCAAAAAAGTTAACATTTGTTTTTGAATAAACTAAACAATGATTTAAAAAACTAGCTGGGTGTTACTTTCTGTTGATCAAGAGATATAATCCATAACAAAGATACAACAGTCATAAACCTTTAAGTGCTAAATAACATAGTGTCAAATATGAATAAATTTCAAACTGTTAAAAGTATGGGAAGAAATTGATGGATACAGAACCATAAAGGGAGAACTTAACTTTTTGCAGATCAAGTAGTCAAAAAAAGGAAGACAAATAGACAAATGCAAATAAAAAGAAAAAATAAGAATGATAATGTCAGACAAACTTAACTTTGAGGAAAAACGCAAAAACGTATCATTTTTGATAAGATTAGAATAATTCAACTAGTAATCTTAAATTCATAACTATAGATTAAATTCAGTAGCCTACAAAAAAATGCCTTTCCATGTGTATATAGAACACCGAATTTTTAAAAAATGATAATATATTAAACACTGATTTTTTATAATGATAATATATCCATAATATAGTTATATAGTAATCTCCATAATAGAGAAATTTAAAATTCCTTAAGCAAATGCTTTCGAAGCCATAGTTGCTAATCACAGTGCCATAGAACAGGGAATTAATAATTTGTTTTAACTAATCAAAATGAAAATGTAAATCATGTACTTACATAGTTATTGGCTTAAAGAGAGAATTAAAACAATTATATCTCATGTACAAAAAATTAGAGAACTATTTACCAAAGATATGAGCCATAGCCAAAGCTACTTTCATCCTAATAATAGTTTTCTATTTTCGAAGAATGAAGTTGCTATGGTTTGAATGTGCTCCCCAAAAAGCTTATGTTGGAAATTTAATCTCCAATGCAACAGTATCGTGAGGTGGGGCCCAATGGGAGGTGTTTAGATCATAAGGGATTCACTCTTATGAATGAATGGATGACAATTATAAAAGGGTTGAGGTTGCAAGTTAGATCTTTTGCTCTCTCATACGGTCTTGTCCTTCCACCTCTACTATGGAGTAACACAGCAAGAGGCTCTGACCAGATGATAGCATCTTGGAGACTTTTCAGCCTCCAGAACTGTGAGAAATAAATTTCTTTTCTTTATACATTACTCATTTGGCAATTTTCTATTATAGAAGCACAAAATGGACTAAGAAAGGTTCTAAACACATTGTATGCATTTTCTCATTTAGTTTTAACATCTCTTTAAGGGAGGTATCATTATGATTTTTATACATACAGAGACTGAGGCTTAGAAAGCATAAGCTAGTAAAATAATATTAAATTTAAATTCAGGAATCTATTAAAAGATCACATAACTCAAAGTAAAGATAAATACACACACACACATAAAATTGTTGTGAAAAATGCAGAAAACACGAATTTAATAAAATGCAATATGCATTCCTGGTTTTTAAAACTTAAAGCAACTTCATGAACTAGAATAGCACTTTTGTTAGCATTATTAGAATAGATTACCTATTTAAAGCCAAGAACATTATACTTAAAATTTTTTACAAATTGAATGTTTATGTTGTGCAAAATTTATATATTGAAATCCTAGTGCCCAGTGTGATAGTATTTGGAGGTGAGACCTTTGGGAGTTGATTAGCTCATGGGCATAAAGCTCTCGTCAATAGAAGTAGTGCCCTTATAAAAGAGACCACAGAGAGCTCCCTTGACCCTTCCACCATGAAAGGACACAGAAAAATGATGGTCCTCATCTTTTTGAGGGGTCCTCATCAGACATTTAATCTGTTGACATCTTGATTTTCTCAGCCTCCAAACTGTGAAAGATAAATTTCTGTTGTTGATAAACCACCCAACCTATGGTAGTTTTTTATAACAACCCAAATGAACTAAGACAAAAGTGAAACCCAAGATAAATATTTCCCAAAATTTATTTCATAAAAGGCTTTTATGAAAATTATCAAGGATTCAGCACTCACGTAAGTTTGAAAACTTGTAATGCTATAAACCCTTCTTCTGCATGTCACAATATATATGAGCACATGTAAGGCCCTGAAGTTCCTTCAGTTAAAGAAAAACTTTATTTAACCTTGTGTTTCTCCAACTTTCTTCACCACAAAACACTTGTCACACATTTCATCTATTAATATTCTCTCCTGGGCACTTTAGAACAGGCATTGCTATTAAAGTAGGAAGCCAAACAAGGATACTTATAATCATCACTTATGTTTGGACAAACAGTCCAAAGCATAAAGGCAGAAAGTTTTTCCAAAAAAAAAAAAAAATCAGAATCAAAAATACAAATAGTCTATAAAAATGCTGATAAAACCAATGTTAAGCACATCTGAGGCTCAACTGAAACCGGTTCAACTGATCTCTTATTCTAAGCTCATTTGGTATGCAAAAGTGAGAACAGAGAATTATATTACCAGAAAAGAGAAGTTAATTACAAATAATGGAAGAAAAAAAAAGGTGACACAAATAATCAAGAACTAATCTAAGTAGAAAAACAAGGCAAAGTAAGTCAGCTAAAAAAAGAGCTAATATCTAAGGGAAGAACAAATCAACATTAGTCTAATTATTTGAAATTTCAAAAAATATATAAAAACATAATACCTGTAAAGACAAAAACCAAAAGATGTGCTAAATCTGATGCCTCTATGTTATGATGCCAATATGTTTCTATTGTCATTAATTTTGTATTGTTTCTTTCTCTATTGCCAGGTGGATTTCTGTTGGTACTCCAACTGTAGAAATATGCCATTGATTCCGTTTCTCTAAATCAGTGTAATAATTAGAGGCAGAGACTGTCAATCGGTAAGTTAATTCCTGAATTAATCATCTATTTAGTTATTTAGTTACAACTAACTGACAAGCCAGAATGAAAGGTGAAGTGAAGCAGGAGAAATGGTTTAGTTTATAAAAGAAATTAACAGTATGATTATTGTTTTGAATGAGTTAAAATTGATTTTCAAGTGGAAAAAATTCTTACAACTATTAAAAATGTCAACACAATATAAGTACTGGTGAAACTTTTAAATGGCCATTTTCTGTCTTCTTTTATCTAAAGCCCAAAAATTCTAGAACAAAATAAAAGGCAAGTATTCCCATATTCCAAATCAAGTGCTAAATCAACTAACTGGAAATTGTAAGATCATTGAAAGGTTTGCAAATCTTAGCACTTCAGCCTCTGAAACTGTATAAAAAGAGTTTAAATTAAGTCCAGAAGAATGAACTTTATTTCTTTGATTAAAAAAAAAATCTCTGACTTTTCCTTCCACCATCCCTCACTCCCTTGGGGAAATGAAGAAGGGCCTTTGAGTATCTACTGGAGAACTTGATATTTGTCCCCTGAAGTTTAAGAAGAAACAAAGGTTTAAAGTTTGACACAACTCTGAGAAACGTTCAGGCAAAGATCACTGCAAGATTCCAGGCATGAAGGGCTTTAAGAGTTTGCTACTCCTGTTTTACAAAGAAAAAAAAGAAAAATTTCCTATGGCACTCTAGTGCATCACTTTACTGCTTTATCCCCTTTTATCCATCAATTTATTTTTACCTATCCCATCTTCCTATTCACCTACTTCCAGCTCACCTTACCCACATTTAATTCAATGTCCTATCTCTTCTGCACCCAAGCTTTTGTCCCAAGATAGTTCATATGAACAAGAATAGTTTTCTTTCATCCTCTATGCCAATTCCTGGCTGCCATTTTGCCTGCCCTTCAAATAAATATTGAACTTGTTTTCTATTTGAAATGCTAAAAATTCAAGCAATGATCATTTAAAAGCTGAAGGATATCATTTACATTCATCAAATGGTTCTCCTAAGACTTCTAGCTGAAACAAATGATCTTTTCCACTGAAGGATATAAACCTTTTTCCCCCAGACAAAGTATGAAATGGCTCTGATTCCATACCACGGTCAAGATCTACCTCTCTACTGGATCACGGTTCAAATAAAACTAGGCCGCATATTTTTTAAAACACTTAAAAAAGAACCTTATCCTATTCTCTGTCTTCATTTCAATGTCTCAAATATCTGTAAAGCGAAAGAATAACACACCCAGAAGAGTGGTGCTCCAAAATTCAAAGATAAGTAAGTAGGCTATGTAAAATACACCCTTTTATCCTTGTGGCTTTATTTTGTCCAGTGTCATGACAAGAAGGAATCAGAAAGGAACTGGTTTCTTATGAAATTTACTGCAACTAATTTACATTAAGAGACTAAATTGAAGAATCAATGAGAACTGCAGCTCCATTAAAACAATAAATATAAATTATGGATATATGTGTCAAAAACACATATATCCATTGAGATGGCATACAGGTTGCTTTTGATGTTTTGTTTTTTAACCATGAATATCTCATGGTCGGTGTTTTAGTTGCCAAAACAATAATGTGATTGCAAAACAGAACTGCCAGGAAGCTTTCATAATTGAACTCTGGCGTCACACAGTTTGTCATGTTAGACAATTGAAGCTTCAGAAATTTCTGTTTTTCCACAAACCTATGAACTGTGCCATTCTCCAGTAAAATTACAAAAGCCATGAATTTGACACATCCAGAAACACAAACAGCAGGCTTCACAGAAAAGGAGCATGTGCTAGGGCATGTAAACATTTAACACACTGTCACAGAACTGCCTACAGTTCTCCTCTTGTCAAGGGCTCAAAATAACTTAAAAGCATTCTGTGTATAGGAAGCCAAAATGATTACCAAAATAAAATCACTTTAACCTCTGTTGCATTTACAATGAGGGTTATGGGGGTTGATTTTTTTTCAAAAACAAAAATAATAATTTGTAAATACCTTAATCTCTAAGAAGTTACAGAAACATATAATATGAAATGAGAGAACAAAGGAGAACCAGGATCCACGTAAGTGTGGGTGGAGTGCTAGAGGTAGAAGGGGAAGCCCCATTTTCTGACTTCAAAGTGACACAGTATTGTGGTTAGATTGTGGGTTCTGGAATTGAATTTGCTAGATGTGAGTCCTGGAACAATGTAACTAGCTGTGTGATCTCAGGCAAGTTTATCCCATATCTCTTATTTTCGGGTTTTTCACCTATAAAAATGAGAATAATTCAAGATCCTACTTGATTGAATTGCTGTGATTATTAACTAATGCATGTAAGATACTTAGTATAATGCCTAGAATATATTAAGTACTCGTAAATGTTAGGTTTTATAGCCATCGTTATTTCTTCTGTAACTTGCTACCTCAGGCTTAATATCCTTGAATTTGTACAAAACATCTTTTGTAAACATCTTTTTGAAGCCTTAATCTAGAGAAAACTGCCTCGCTGTAGCATCATCAAACAGAATAAAGGCAGTTGATTTGGGCCTCTTGTATTTTTTTGTTTTGTTTTTTTGCTGGAATAAAGTTGGAGAAAGGCAAGGAGCTAAAAGTCTTTTCAGAATCTCTGAGAACTTAAGATACAGACAATAGCATAGATCCAGAAAGACCTCCATATACACAGGTGTCTGTACATAAAATTGAAACTAGCCTAGGTATTTTACACTTCATGCAAGGAATAAGATACTCACAAAATATTTGGGAAGACTGGAGGGATATGTGTATATGAACCATTGAATTCAAGAGCTTACTGACTAAAAGCTACAACCCAGGATCAGAAAGCTGCTGCTGCTTCTCCAACTGCCCCAAGACACTCACGAAGCTGCTGAGTAGGCCTTGGAACCTGAGCCCGGCCATCCTGCCTCTATCACTGCCATGAGTGGGTGAATGACAATTAGAACCCTGAGTCCAGCTGCCACTGCCACCTCATGTTTCCACAGTCTTGCCTGCCTACAAAAACAGCAGCAGGGAGAAAGCACCTGCCTCATGTCCAAAGCTCAAATTAGTGGAATCCTACTTGCATCTAGAACCCTAGAGGTAAGGGAGTCTGGAAAATGTAGCAGTAAGTTTCTCATGCCCTGGTAGGTAGATAGAATGAGTAGAGAATGATATTCAGCGTGGGTCCTCTCTTTGACTTCTTAACATTCATATATGCCATTTGATATGAAATTAAGATTCTAAACAAAAATAGTAAAAATGATATTGATGCACCTAGAATAATACAAATATTCCTCACAGAAACATAACAGAACTCATTCTTTCCCCAAAAGATGCACCCTAAGACTTTCAGTCTGAATTTAACTCTCTCTCTGGGTCACATTTCTTCTGTTATACTTCAGTCACAATCTGGCTTTAATAATCCGTTACCTAAGGACTAAACTATAAATCTAAACTACCACCAATACAGTTAATGTAAAGTAATAAAACAAAAAGATGGAGGAAGAATATGTTTATTGATATATTTATATACTACATATATATATACACAAACACACACATGATTAGAGTCCTCTTTTATGAAACTGGCCACAGGACAGAAATGGAATTTAAAACTTCCTTCCTCAACTACACATTCCATTTTCCCTTTGCTCTCAACAAGATGTTAGCTAGTATGTGGTTTTTATTTGGTGGTATATGAAAACCTTCAGTCTTGAGATATCCAGCCATAATGGCTCTTCCAGCATTGAGTTGAGACAATTGTTTTATGTTATTTTACTTTAAGTTCCAGTATACATGTGCAGAACATGCAGGTTTGTTACATAGGTAAAATTGTGCCATGGCAGTTTGCTGCACCCATCAACCCATCATCTAGGTATTAAGCCCCAAATGCATTAGCTATTTGTCCTGAGGCTCTCCCTCCCCTTTCCCTCCAACAGGCCCAAGTGTGTGTTGTTCCGCTCCCTGTGTCCATGTGTTCTCATTGTTCACCTCCCACTTATGAGTGAGAACATGTGGTGTTTGGTTTTCTGTTTCTGCAATAGTTTGCTGAGGATGGTGGCTTCCAACTTCATCCATGTCCCTGCAAAGGACATGATCTCATTCCTCTTTATGACTACATAGTATTCCATGGTGTATATGTACCACATTTTCTTTACCAAGTCTATCACTGATGGGCTTTTGGGTTGGTTTATGTCTTTGATATTGTGAATAGTGCTGCAATAGACATAGGTATGCATCTATCTTTTTAATTTTTGTTTTAGATGGCATCTCACTCTGTCGCCCAGGCTGGAGTGCAGTGGAGTGATCTCGGCTCACTGCAACCTCTGCTTCCCAGGTTCAAGCCATTCTCCTGTCTTAGCCTCTCAAGTAGCTGGGACTACAGGCACATGCCACTGCACCTGGCTAATTTTTGTATTTTTTAGTAGAGATGAGGTTTTGCCATGTTAGGCTGGTCTCGAGCTCCTGACCTCAGGTGATCCATCCACCTTGGCCTCTCAAAGTGCTGGGATTACAGGTGTGAGCCACCATGCCCGGCCTGCGTGTACCTTTATAATAGAATGATTTATATTCCTTTAGATATATACTCAGTAATGGGATTGCTGGGTCAAATGGTATTTCTAGTTGTAGATCCTTGAGGGATCACCACCATCTTCCCAATGGTTGAACTCATGTACATTCCCACTAATAGTGTAAAAGTGTTCTTATTTGTCCACAGCCTTGCCAGCATCTATTGATTCTTGACTTTTTAATAATTGCCATTCTGATGGGCATGAGATGGTTATCTCATTGTGGTTTTGATTTGCATTTCTTTAATGATCAGTGATGTTGAGATTTTTTCATATGTTTGTAGGCCACATAATGTCTTCTTTTGAAAAGTGTCTGTTCATATCCTTAGCCCACTTTTTGATGGGGTTGTTTGTTTGTTTTCTTGTAAATTTGTCTAAGTTCCATGTAAATTCTGGATATTAGACCTTTGTCAGATGGGTAGATAGCAAAATTTTTCTCCCATTCTGCGTTGCCTGTTCACTCTAACCATAATTCCTTTTGTTGTGCAGTAGGTCTTTAGATCCCTTTTGTCAGTTTTAGCTTTTGTTGCAATTACTTTTGGCAATTTTATTATAAAGTCTTTACCCATGACTATGTACTGAATGATATTGCCTAGATTTTCAGATTTTCTTCTAGGGTTTTTAAGGTTTTAGGCTTTACATTTAAGTCTTTAATCCATCTTGAATTAATTTTTAGATAAGGTGTAAGGAAGGGGTCTAGTTTCAGTTTTCTGCATATGGTTAGCCAGTTTTCACAGCACCATTTATTAAATAGAGGATTCTTTCCCCATTGGTTGTTTTTGTCAGGTTTGTAGAAGATCAGATGGTTGCAGATGTGTGGTCTTATTTCTGAGGCCTCTATTCTGTTCCATTGGTCTATGTGTCTGTTTTGGTACCAGTACCATGCTGTTTTGGTTACTGTAGGGTTGTATTATAGTTTGAAGTCAGGTAGCGTGATGCCTCCAGCTTTGTTCTTTTTGCTTAGGATTGTCTTGGGTATATGGGCTCTTTTTTG
Source organism: Homo sapiens (assembly GCF_000001405.40). Taxonomy (NCBI): domain Eukaryota; kingdom Metazoa; phylum Chordata; class Mammalia; order Primates; family Hominidae; genus Homo; species Homo sapiens. The sequence goes on from NC_000004.12 coordinate 67,254,123, forward strand.
GTTCCATAGAATTTTAAAGTGGTTTTCTCTAATTCTGTGAAGAATGTCAATGATAGTTTGATGAGAATAGAATTAAATCTATAAATTACTTTGGCCATTATGGTCGTTTTCACGATATTGGTTCTTTCTATCAATGAGAATGGATGTTTTTCCATTTGTTTGTGTCTTCTCTTATTTCCTTGAGCAGTGGTTTGTAGTTCTCATTGAAGAGGTCCTTCACATCTCTTATTAGCAATTGTGAATGGGAGTTCATCCATGAGTTGCCTCTCTGCTTGTCTATTGTTGTTCTATATGAATGCTTGTGATTTTTGCACATTGATTTTATATCCTGAGACTTTGTTGAAGTTGCTTATCTGTTTAAGGAGTTTTGGGGCTGAGATGATGGGGTTTTCTACATATAAAATCATGCCATCTTCAAACAGAGACAACTTGATTTCCTCTCTTCCTATTTGAATATCCTTTATTACTTAATCTTGACTGATTGCCCTGGCCAGAACTTCCAGTACTATGTTGAATAGGAGTGGTGAGAGAGGGCATCCTTGTCTTGTACTGGTTTTCAAAGGGAATGCTTCCAGCTTTTGCCCATTTAGTATGATATTGGCTGTAAGTTTGTCATGAATAGCTCTTATTATTTTGAGATACGTTCCATCAATATGTAGTTTATTGAGAGTTTTTAATATGAAGGGATGTTTAATTTTCTGGAAGGCTTTCTCTGAGTCTATTGAGATAATCATGTGGTTTTTGTCATTTGTTCTGTTTATGTGATGAATTACATTTATTGATTTGCATATGTTGTACCAGACTTGCATCCCAGGGATGAAGCCAACTTGATCATGGTGGATAAGCTTTTCAGTGTGCTGCTGAATTCGGTTTGCCAGTATTTTATTGAGGATTTTTGCATGGATGTTCATCAGGGATATTGGCATGAAGTTTTCTTTTTTTGTTGTGTCTCTGCCAGGTTTTGGTATCCGGATGATGCTGGCCTCATAAAATGAGTTAGGAGGGAGTCCCTCCTTCCTTTTCTATTGTTTGAAATAGTTTCAGAAGTAATGGCACCAGCTCATCTTTGTACCTCTGGTAGAATTCATCTGTGAATCCGTCTGGTCCTGGGCTTTTTTTTTTTTTTTTTTTTTTTTTTGGTTGGTAGGTTATTTATTACTACCTCAATTTCAGAACTTGTTATTGTTCTGTTGAAGGATTTGAATCCTTCCTGGTCTAGTCTGAGAGGGTGTATGTGTCCAGGAATGTATTCATTTCTTCTAGGAGGGTGTATGTGTCCAGGAATGTATTCATTTTCTAGGTTATTTGCACAGAGGTGTTTATAGTATTGTCTGGTGGTAGTTTGTATTTCTGTGGGGTAGGTGGTGATATCTCTTTATCATTTTTTATTGTGTCTATTTGATTCTTCTCTCTTTTCTTCTTTGTTAGTCTATCTAATGGTCTATCTATGTTATCAATATTTTCAAAAATCAGCTCCTGGATTCACTGATTTTTTTAAGGATTTTTCGTGTCTCTATCTCCTTAGTTCTAGTCTGATCTTAGTTATTTCTTGTTTTCTGCTAGCTTTTGTATTTGTTTGCTCTTGCTTCTCTAGTTCTTTCAGTTGTGATGTTAGGGTGTTGATTTGAGATCTTTCTAGCTTTTGATGTGGGCATTTAAACTCTACACAATGATAGTGGGAGAATTTAACACCCTACTGTCAATATTAGACAGATCAACAAGACAGAAAATTAGCAAAGATATTCAGGACTTGAACTCAGCTCTGGATCGAGTAGACCTGATGGATATCTATAGCACTCTCTACCCCAAAACAACAGAATATGCATTCTTCTCAGTGCCACATGGCACTTACTCTAAAATTTATCACATAGTTGGAGGTAAAATACTCCTCAGCAAATGCAAAAGAACTAAAATCATTACAGTCTCTCAGGTGGAAGTAAAATACTCCTCAGCAAATGCAAAAGAACTAAAATCATTACAGTCTCTCAGTCCACAGTGCAATCAAATTAGAATTCAGGATTAAGAAACTCACTCAAAACCATACAGCTACATGGAAATTGAACAACCAGCCCTGAATGACTCCTGGGTAAATGATGAAATTAAGGCAGAAATCAAGAAGTTCTTTGAAACCAACAAGAACAAAGAGACAACATATCAGAATCTATGGGACACAGCTACAGCAGTGTTAAGAGTTGAGACAAATTTTTATTAACTTTTCCATGGGGCAGGATCATTAGAGGCGCTGCAGAGGGTATCTTGAGTTTCAGACATATTTCTCCTTGCCTTCACAGTGTAACTGATACAGGATAGCCGAGCCCCACAACTGGGGCTTATCCCAGGAAGGCTTTTGGCTTCACACAGGAAAAAACTCAAGGGCAAGCTGGTGGTGTTACATAGCAATCTTTTATTAAACAGTACTGCTCCTTGCAGAGCAGAGCTAACTCACGGGCAATGCCCCCAGAGCTGGCCACATATGGGCTCTTGGCAACTCTATTTATACTCACATAAACCTACTTTTAATTACTGTAAATTAATGGGTGGGTCAATGCAAATTAAGGAGTAGTTCAATGCAAATTTAGGGATGAGTTATTTAAAACTTTCTAGGAAATAGGTGGTAACTTCTGGGCCATTGCCACGGAAAGGAGTGATAATTTGGGGGTCATTGCCATGGCATTTGTAAACTGTCATGGTGCTGGTGAGAGTGTCTTATGCTAATGAGCAAGGAGGGTGGCTAAGGATCACTTTCATTGCCATCTGCTGGCTCCTGCCAGCTTCTTTACTTTATCCTGTCTGGGCTAGATTCTGCTTTGGTCAAAAGGGCTGTAATCAGAACACAAGCCTGCCAGTCTCCTGCCTCATTAAAACCACCTAATAAACCTATGATCATCAAGATCACCTAGATAACACAGTAACCATTCTTTTGCTTGTTGGTTCGGTGGCATAAGAGTCCAAAATGGCCAGGTGATCACCTCAATATTCAATTTATATGGAACCAACTCTTGTGTTCTCTGGCAGAAGCGTGCATCTAAATCTTCTAAACAATCAGAATTCCAGGTTTCTGGGATATTTGTCAGGTGCAAAATGACCAAAATGACTAGGCATTTTGGCTTTGGTCAGATAAAGTCTATTTCAGGATGAGAATCTCAGGTCACAGGGTGACTTGTTTCCTATGATCAGCCATTTAGACTCCATCAGGACCCAGTAGTAAGCTAGGAATTGATTTACAGAATGAAAATTGTTATTTGTAAAAGGAAATGTGATGATCAGTTTTTTGTGTCAACTTGGCTAGGGTATAGGTCCCAGTTATTCAATTAAATACTAATCTACACATTGCCATAGAGGTATTTTGTAGATGTAGTTAACCCCAATTATCAATTGACCTTAAATAAAAGAGATCATCCCCAATAATGTGAATGGGCCTTATTCAATCAGTTGAAAAACTTTAGAGCAAAACTGAGGTTTGTGTAAGGAAAAAAAATCTGTCTCAGGAAAATAGCATCAACTCCCATCTAAGACTTTCCAGCCTTCTGGCCTGCCCTACAAATTACAGACTTGCCAGACTTCCCATAATCCTGTGAGACAATTCCTTGAATTAAATTTTTCTGTCTATCTATTCATCCATCCTACTAGTTTTGTTTCTCTGTGAATCCCTGATTGATACAGCATCCATAACTTTATTCAAAGTCCAAGGTGACTGCAAATGATTCTCAACACACAATCCTCTCCTGTCATTGGTTTAGTAGGTTTAGTAGGTCATAAGGTTAAGTGGAAAAGAGTCTCAGAAATCTGATTACTTTGCAGCCTGAAGCAACTGAAGAACTATTTCTTGCACTGGGACACACTCAAAACAGGCAACATAATGGAATTATTGGATCATAGAAAAGGACCAAAATATGATTTAGATTGCATTCAAAATATACAAAATGTAGCAAGTATTGCAGATGTGTGTGAACTTGTGTTTGTGTGTTTTAGGAAATACAAAGTATATCAAATTGTCTTTTGCTTTGAATGGGGGTATCTTCACATGCCCCATACAACTGGATTCCCAAAAACTTCACTGAAATGGCAGATCCCTTAACTTATAAAGAGTATATTTGTCCCATCCTCTGGCAAACATAGGTCTTACAAATACAGATACAGTACCACTAATCAAAGTGTGGTCACATATTTGTTCTGGTCTGTGAACTCTTTGTTACTGATTCTCAATGTGTACAGAAATTGAGAGAAAGTACTTAGAAATGTTTACAGTAGTTTTATAGACTGTAATAATTAGATTTGTACTTTCATGCCCTTTCATCTTTTAATTATTTACTTTTATTATAATTTACAAAATCATTGCTGAATAGATTGAAAACCTTTTAAAAACTCGTCCATCATCCTTCATTATTTGAGAAACACTGACCTAGAACACCTACTTTCTGCTCATCAGATTCTATCAGCTTGATGTCATCAATATGGTGGAAAAATATTCTATCCTATGGGATGATAAAATGATCAAATGTCCCATGGAGTAAATTATGACAGAGAACCAGAGAGAAGTCCTACCCCTGAAGTAAGATGTATACTCTTTTTCTTGTCAGGTTAAGAGCAAGTTGCTTCTGTTTGTAGGGAAAGAGAGAAGAAGTACACATTAGAAATGCGGTTGCATACAAGGTACCAGGGATCACGTTGATTGGCTCTTGCAAATAAAACAATTTGAATTATTATTTGATTACATTTAAAATTATGTGCTGTCATTCTCTAAGACAAATCCATATCCATTCTATCTTTGGTGGTGGCACTAATCTCTGTTATTCTCTCTCTGAGAGACACAGTACTGCTTTTGATTTACTACTTTGAACAGGAGGAGAAGTTTCAATGATCTTTACTTAGCTTTTAATACCAAAATAACCCTTAATCCATTAATCACCTGATTTTCAAAAAAGATAACTGTGACATGAGGACCAAAATGAGATTATCACTTTGGATTATCAACAGGACCTCTAAGGATTATCATTTTTTTACAGTCACTAATCAATAATTCTCAAAATAACTAGTTTTTTTTTCTTTTTTCCAGTATTTGAGTGTTATGGCAAATGGCAAATCACTTGGGGAGGATTAGGAAAAACACTTACTGAATGTTGCAAGTACTTTTTCAAAAGGACTCAGCCATCCCTTGAGTCAAGATGCTGTGGAGTATGAGAGCTCTCTCAAATCTGGGGTTTGGTCATGAATGTCCTCGACTCTACATTATGTTACCTCAAGTCAGTTTCCATTCACCAGCCTTAAAGATTTTATTTTGCTTTAGTTATAAAGATCAAATAGGAACCTAATAGCCTATTCATTGGATTCAACATGGAAACTATGATCAGTTAGCCCCACAAGGATGCAGCACTCAAATAATTCCAATTATTATTCTTTGCTCTGCTCTGTATTAGGGTAAAATGCTCTTTTTGCAACTGGTGGCTATCACTGGAATTCTGACCCTCTAGGATCCTATCACATCCACTGAAATCAAAGATTTCTATAACAGCATCTTCCATGGTTATCTCCAATCTACAGAGAATTTCCACTGTTAGGGGCTGAACTGTATGGCCCCCAAATTTTTATGCTAAAGCCCTAACCCCTAGTACATCAGAGTGTGACTGTATTTGTTGGAGATAGGGCTTTTAAAGAGGTGATTAAGTTTAAATGATGCTATTAGGATTGGCCCTAATCCAGTCTGACTGACATCTTTATAAGAAGAGGAAATTTGAACACACAAAGAGACAACAGGGATACACAACCTCAGAGGCAAGGCCATGGGAGGTCACCACGAGAAGGTGGCCATCTGCAAGCAAAGGAGAGAGGCTCAAAAGAAACCAAAGACCGTGATCTTGGACTTCCAACCTTCAAATGTGAGAAAATAAATTTCTGTTTTTTAAGCTACTCAGTATGTGGTATTTTACTATGACAGCCCTAGCAAACTAATACATCTACTAATGCCACTGCTCCCTTTACCAATATAGTTTTCAATTTCCATTGTGAAAGCAACTTTTTTCCTTTGAGAAGTCACACTTAGGAGGAAGAGACCAAGTGACATGTGATAAATGTATTGCAGTGTTCTCATTAGCCTAAATATTTGCATTCCTTCCTCCACAGGTTATCTAGCAAGTCAAATTTATTTGGTGTTTACCAGCACTGAATTCAAATCTTCATTAATCAAGTAAATGATAAGGGTTAACTAGCCGAAGGCTGGTTCCCTGAAGCAGAATAGCCTCCTGTAAAGTTGCACAGAAAATGGCTATGCTCAAGCACGTTAAGAATATTAAAATAAGTAAAATGTTCAGGTGGCATTTAAGACTATTGGCCCACACCCTCGTGCTGCTGCAATTGTGGGGTCTGGCCTGGTATCAGTCAGCTCAGGCTGCCATAATACAATGCCATAGACTGGGTGGCTTAAACAACAGAAATTTATTTTCTCACAGTCTGGGACCTAGACTTCCAGGATCAGGGGATGAGTATGGTCATTTTCTGGCTCCCTTCTTGGTTTGTAGACAGCTACTTTCTCACTATGTCCTCACATAGCACTTCTTCTGTGAGTGTTCATGGAGAAAGACAGAGTGTGAGCTATCTTATAAGGACACCAAACCTATTGAATCAGGGCTCCAACCTTATGATATCTTTTAACCTTAATTACTTCCTTACAGGTCCCATCACCAAATACAGACACATTGAAGGTTAGAGCTTGTACAGGTTGACAGGTTCAATTTCGAGAGAATACAACCATTCAGTCCATAACAAACCCAAACTCCTTCATCACACTAAGGGAGGAGTTAGTGGTCTCCTATACCTGAATGCTAAATTAGCAGCTAATGGCCATTTACAAATTGTTAGAATAATTCCTATATCCTTGAGCTTGCACACTGAATTCAGAATCTCTTAAATCTATGCATAGACTTAAAGTCATCCCCAAACAAGAACATATCTTTCCTCTCTGGTCTAGCATACTTAGTATCCATTCTAATGGATGTTTTTCAGGTTTCTGCTGATATTTAGCAATTATTTTTATGTGTAAATCCTTTGCTTTGGATCAGACTTTATACTTGACCCAGGACATGTTAAGATTGACTTATTTCAAGATAATTGAGAAATGGTAGGGATGTCACATAAGGAGAGATGGCATGTCCTTTCAAAGTAACTGCCTCAGGAGAAGTCATTACAAGTTGTCCGGTAAGTACAAGACCAGCCCCACAGACAGGAAGAAAGGGATGCTTCTGATGGCAGGGGAGGCTCAAAGGGGTTTGGTCATTTAGTCTACTTAGATTCACTGTAGTCCGCCCAAATGTCCCCATTCTAATTCTGAGTGTCTCGATCTTTCCCAATTAATCAAAGTTTAAACATCAACAACAACAAAAAGACCTGCTAAGGCTGTAAATTCAATTATTCAGTTATGTTGTAATGTAGCAACCTTCAATACCAGATTTTGGTTATATCAGCCATTAAGCATTAAGGGAAAAGAAATTTGATCAGGAACCACAGTTTTTGTGTTATTTGTCTCTCCAGTAAGAGTCTCTCATAGAAGCCCTTCAGTCTACCAAAGCCTTGCACTCTGTAGACACTTTATCCCTGGGGATGCCATGTAATAAATAATTTAAGGAATTCTTTTTCCTGTGTGCCACTGACTACCAGAATCCAATTTTTCAGTAGTAACAAAAATATCACTGCCTTCAAATATTTCTTAAGCAAAGTCAAATAACCAATCCAAATTCCCATCAGTCAGAGTTTTGTCCTAGAGATGTACTCAGTACTTCTAACAGATTGCAACTGAATACAGGAAATCAGATATTTACAAAGCTTTAATGAAAGCTGAAAAATTAGGAGTCAGAATGACACCACTGGAAATTTTGAAGATAGAAAACACGGTGCTGAAGTTCCATCCAGGAAAAGATAAATTGCTACCACCACCACCATCACCATAACTTTCCCTTGACACCCACAAAGCTAGTGACTAAACTCTGAAACACCAAACTAGGGTACAGCAGTTGCCTCCTGACACTCCATGACCTTGCTTGCCAGCTGAAATAGCACCAGGAATATGACCACTGACTCACTTTCAAATTGGTCTTGAGTGCATGCTACCATCAGGACATAATTTCTTGCCAGAACCCCAGCTGCAATGGACTCTTGGAAATGTATTTTTAACTTTTCAGCATGTATAATACAGGAAGACACATAAAGGAGTAAGCACAAGACTGTTAATTTACCAAAGCCAGCAGAAGTTCAACCACTTAGTTCTCCTGGTCACCCGGAAGTTCTCTTCAAACCAGCAGGATTCCTACCTTCTTCTCAGCCTCAGTTTATACAGAGCTACCCTAACAAGAGCAGCAGTCTCAGATTTCGGGGTGTTTCATAAGTGAAGAGGTCACTGGTTTTTGGTTGTTTCTCCTCTTTTCAAGTATTTCTCTCATAGCCTATTTACAACAGCCCCTTTTCAAAAGAAGGTATAGTCAATCCTTCACTGGCTCCCAAGGTTGCTTTGTTTTGGCATCCTAGCAAGGAAGCCTGGAGTTAAGTACTAATGTGTGTCTATTTATGAGAGCAAAAAAAAAAAAAAAAATGAAAACGAGACTGTATTGTTTTCCTAGGGCTGACACAACAAAGTACCACAAAAAGGATGACTTAAAACAGAAGAAATTTATTCTTTTTCAGTTCTTCAGGGTAGAAGTCTGAAATCACAGCAGTGCCATGTTAACCTCTCAAACACAGGGTAGAATTTTTCCTTGCCTTTTCCCAGCTTCTGGTAGTACCCATCAGCCCTTGGCATTGCTTGATTCACAGTGTCTTCCCTCCAATCTCTGCTACTGCCACCACATGACATTCTCTCTGTGTGCTTGTGTCTCTTCTCCTCTTCTTATAAGGACACCAGTCATATTAAATTAGGACTTAACCTAATGAACCATGACCTCATCTTCACTTGATTACATCTTCAAAGACCTATTTTCAAAGAAAGTCATATTCCTAGGTGCCGGGGAGTAGGACTTCAACATATCAATGCAACCCATAACAAAGGTAAAGAAGGTAAGTCTCACAAAGAGGGCCAGAATCATTAGTAACAGAAAGTTTCCTCAGGAATTTCAAGGAAAATGGCAGGTCATGGTCTGCCATGGCTTCAACTCTGATTGTGGGTTTGAGTAACTTACATTTATATGCAAAATTATACAGAAAACACAGAGGTAAAGAACACCAAAATGTAAACTTACTTAAGAGATTGTTCATAAGGAAAAAAAGGAAATCTTCCTCTAGATGTTATGACACTTTCATAGCATTAATTTTATTTTAGATAAATATTAAAATTCTAACATAGACTAATTGTGAATATAGCCATACAAAAGATATTAATTATTAACTTTTGTTCAGATATAATTTAATTTCCCAGATTTCAAATTTAACATCCATTTTAACCTACTAACAGAGGTATAAAGTCTATGATTTATGTAATCACTCAGAAAATATTTCTTAAGCACCTACTATAAGCTAAGTATTTCATATAAAGGATTCAAAATTTTTAAAAACATGGTTTCTGCTCCAAGATACCTCTTGATAGTCTGGTAGAAAGAATAAGTGAATCAATACACAATTAGAGTGCCACACTGAAGTTAATAACAGTATTGTGGGGTCAAGATAATAGCTAATAACCCACTGGGGTTGAAGTGATTAGGAAAATTTTCCCACCTAGAGGAAGAAATTCTAGAACTGGATCGTAAAGAGTATAAAAGAGTCAGGAAAGGTGTTTTAGGCAAAGAAAGCAACATACGTATTTACAAAGCTGTGAGAGATAGCACAGCACATTCTGAGAACTGCAAAAAGTTCAGTATGGCTGGATTTCAATGAGAAATGGGGATGGGATGGTAGGGTAACAGAGTGGTGCAGGGAGCAGTTATAGTGAAAGCAAAGATCAAATTATGGAAAACCTCTATGACAAGGGCAATGGACAATGTGGTAAACTTAACCAGTGCTCACCAATATCTGTTCTCTCCTCCTGGACACGTGACTGTACTTCACATACCTTGAAGTTTAAGGGGATTGTGGGGTACCTATACGACTAGTTCTGGTCAATGGGCTGTGTGTAGAAATGCAATATGTCACTTCTGGTCCAAAGCATAGAACAGCAATTGTAGCATCTTCCTGTGCTCACTACTCTTCCTGCAGCAACCAGCAATATCCAGATGGCAGAGCCAATATAAGGCTGGATTCTTGAGTGACTTGAGGCAGAATATCCAACCCATAAACCTGAGCCACAGGGGATATGTAGAATGAGTAAGACTTAAGCCTTTGCTTTGCTAAATCACTGAGATTATGAGTTAATTTGCCCCTGCACCATAATCTAGTACTAACCTGATAATATAGAGTGCAACTGCAAGAAAATTTAATCAGGAGAATTGCTTAGTATGATTTGTGTTTTAGAAAGATCACATTAGCTAGACGGTAGAAGGTGGGCTAGTAGAGCCAAGGATGAGTACAAGTAGAAAAATCCAAAGCTATAACAATAATTCAGAGTCCATGGGTGCTGTCTCCCACCTTAGCCAAACTTATCTCTTTCCAATTAAACCTCAAGATACCAAACATTGGGAAATCCGGGGCCATAGCATGACAAATGGGGTTTCCTTGGGCCCAGCCCTCTTCCAGGATTATTACATATAGCAATTCTACACCAGGTTTCTTGCACTCTCACAAAGAACTTAAGACCAATAAAACGGTCTGCATTTCTGGTTAGGATAATAAACTCTGTGCTAGTAGAGAAGAGTGTATCTCACAACTTGTCCTAAATGACTCTGAAATCATTTTTCTGCAGCACTTATTCTAAGCATTTAGCATTTTGAAATTCAGGACAAAAGATTCAAAAGGAAAAAGTTTTCATGTACCATATATTTCCCAACCATCCATAAGTGGATCAAAACTCCAACCCAGATTTCCCTGAGCATCACGTGAAACATAAAGAATTTACTGAAATGAAGATATAAGGAAGCCAGTATAAAAATCATCAATACATTTGCGTGTTTAATGCTAACAATAAAATTGCACCACAGTTACAACCCGCATAGTTACTAAGCCAGTTGGAAATAGAACATATTTGGAGATAACCCTAGTTTGGAATTTGGCCATCAGGCTACTTGGCTAGCCTAATGGTGGGTCTTTTAGTGACCTTGGACAAGCCACCCACCTTCTGTGTCTCCCTTTCCCTTTTCTAGCTTAACAAAAAAATTACTTTTCCCCCTCAGAAAGATCACGTAAGAAGTTGTAACAGAAGCGTTTATGAAGCATTTTGTATCTCTTTCACACAGGGAGCCTGAAGTTCAAAGCAGCTCTATATATGCCCAGACAGGGACCCATAATTGCACTTGGTCCACACCAAGGGATGATTCTGCCATGTGTTACTGCTGAGAAATGAAGGACTTGCATTAAAATGCATAATTTAATCAAGAGAAAAACCACTAATCAGTAGGAAATATGCAACCTTGATGTTATGGGATTTTTTTAATGTTCATGTTATTAGAGCTGCCACAATTTCTCATGAATCTATTGAAATGAAAATCAATGTAAAGGAGAGGTTTTAAAAGATAAAATGAGCTCAAACATGAGGTCCTCAGGAGGGTTTGGCACTCCTCTAGGGAAAATGCAGAAAAGCAGAAGCACCATGACTGCAGCCAGGGCTGTCACTGTTCCTGCTCCCTGCTGAAAAGTACAAATTTGCAAGGTAAGTTTTGCAGTCCTTTGGAGTTCTATAAACTATGTGGCCATTCTACTAAACCAGGGCCCAAACAGTAGCAGAATACACAGGCCACCCTATAATACAGCATCAGTAACAAACAATAACAGAACATAGGCCACTCAATAATACAGCATCAGTTTCTCATTGTCTTCATCTATTTGGGCTGCTATAACAAACACCTTTAACTAGTTAATTTGTAAAGAACAGAAATTTGCTTCTTCCAGTTCTGGAAGCTGAAAACTCCAAGATCAAGGCACCAGCAGATTCAGTGTCTAGTGAGGACTCTCTGCTTCCAAGATGGTCCCTTATTGTTGAGTCCTCAGGTGGAAGAATGGGTAAGTACTGTGTCCTCAGGTGGCAGAATGGGTAAGCACTGTGTCCTCAGGTGGCAGAAGGGCAGAAGGACAAAAGGAAAAAATGCTGTGTCCTTCCATGGAAGAAGAGATGAAAAGCCAGGCAGCTCTCTGAAGCCCCTTTCATAAAGGCATTAAACCGTTCATTAAGGCAGGGCCCTCACGATTTAATCACTTCCCAAAGGCCCCACCTCTTAATACAACTACAATAGGGATTAAGTTTGAACACATAAAATCAGTGGGACACGAACATTCAAACTATAATAGTCATGCACTCTTCAACTTATGAGTGGAGTTGGCGAAATAACCGAAAAATGTCAGTGATGTTCTCAGGCCTGCCCATGGGTCAATGATTAGGTACAATCTTCCAAGCAAGTGTTTATGAGATTCATCAGGGAGCCTCATCTGAATCCAAGGAAGTCATGAATGAGCACATGTGACAATTTCATTAGCATTTTATTGGTATAACACTTGATTGGAGGTTTAGGGCTGGGACAAGGGATGTGTGTGTGTGTGTGTGTGTGTGTGTGTGTGGGTGGGTGGGTGTGTGTGTTTATAGCCTTTTTCTGTATTTTTCTCTTTGTGTGTGTTGCTGAGAGAGAATGCAGTAACAATCTAAAAGCCAGAAAATGGGAAGAACAAAATGGTCTCCAGCTTATCCCCATTAACTCATGTCTAAGCTTTAAAAAGAGAGATGCTCAAAACTGCTGCTGAAGTAGTTTTCTTGAAAGATTCTATATGATATGTAGCCACAAATAGCACCACTTTTGTTCCCCAGTGCCTACACAGAATAGGGAAAACAGAACAATGAGCCCACTTCTTCATGGAACACACCTTGGTGTAATGAAGATTATAGGTAGGAATATCATCTATCAGGTCTGCCCAAGATCATCCAGTTTTTGCCCACTGTTCCAGCATAATTATCAACAGCATTCTTTTTTACTCTCAGTAGTATCTCTAGTTATAGAGAATGAATAGAATCTTGATGGGTGGACCTTTGAAAGCTTGGAGATAGGGCAACACTCAGTATGAGAAATATTCTCAAGGAGTGGCACTGATTAGCAGTGATGATGGAAAGCAGCAACCTCAGGGCCTTTGGGAGCAATGGACATCAACAGAGGCCAATGAGAGCAGAAGGCAATGAGATGACTGCTCATGGGCACCTGTGTGACACTCTTCTGGGAGAGACAGGACTGTATATTTCAGGTCTGATTCAAGAATTAGGAAAACCATTGGCTTTCTCCACCTATGCACATGGTAAATGTGACAATGTTAATGACTAATTGTTTCTTTAAAAATAAGTTACATGACTATGTGTAACTTTTAAAGTAATCATTATAATGTTTTTATAGCATTGCATTATGCAAACTGGTAATAGAAAAAAATTTACCTTACCAAATTTCATATTACAGAATTCTTGTATTTCCTTTTCATTTTAAATCTTTGTGTATTTATGCTTTGTTTTTCCAATGTTAAGGTCTTGGAGTATAGAAATAAAGACTCATAGCATAGAGCAAGCACATACTAGCTTCATAAAGACAGAATTTATTGCTTCCTAACCAAAGAAAATATGATCTGTATTTGTTAAATTTGACATAAAACCGTAATTATTTTCAATTTAAAAAATAGTTAATATTTTTCCAATTTACTCCACATTTTCCAAATACTACTTTTTCAATTCCCATCAAGGCTGTATATTTCTCATGGTGATTTATGCCTTATGCAGAACTTTCCCACAGTAATCCTGGGGGAAAATTATTACCATTTTATAGATGAGGTTCCTAGGGCCTAGAGATGTTAAATTATATGTTCAAGGTAACACAGCAATGAAATACAACTGGAAATATCCCAGTGCAACTAAAACCTATGTTTGTCCTAGACTCTTTTCCTCCATGTCTTCCTTCTCTCCCTCCCTCTTTCTTTGTTTCCATCTCCCTTGCTTCCTTTCATCTTATTGTTTTATTTTACTTTTTTTAATTTTTATTTTTATTTATATATTTTTAAAAAAAAACTTTTTTATTATGCTTTAAGTTCTGGGGTACATGTGCACAATGTGCAGGTTTCTTACGTAGGTAAACATGTCTCATGTTGGTTTGCTGCACCCATCAACTCATCATTTACATTAGGTATTTCTCCTAATGCTATCCCTCCCTGAGCCCCCTACTCCTCGAGCGTGATGTTCCCCACCCTGTGTCCATGTGTTCTCATTATTCAACTCCCACCTATAAGTGAGAACATGTGGTGTTTGGTTTTCAGTTCTTGTGATAGTTTGCTTAGAATGATGGTTTCCAGCTTCATCCATGTCCCTGCAGAGGACATGAACTCATCTTTTTTTATGGCTGCATAATATTCCATGGTGTATATGTGCCACATTTTCTTAATCCAGTCTATCATTGATGGACATTTGGGTTGGTTCCAAGTCTTTACTACTGGGAATAGTGCCGCAATAAACATATGTGTGCATTTGTCTTTATTGTAGAATGATTTATAATCCTTTGGGTATGTACCCAGTAATGGGATGGCTGGGTTAAATTGTATTTCTAGTTCTAGACCTTGAGGAATCACCACACCATCTTCCACAATAGTTGAACTAATTTACACTCCCACCAACAGTGTAAAAGCGTTCCTATTTCTCCACATCCTCTCCAGCATCTGTTGTTTCCTGACTTTTTAATAATTGCCATTCTAACTGTCATGAGATGGTATCTCATTGTGGTTTTGATTTGCATTTCTCTGATGGCCAGTGATGATGAGCTTTTTTGCATGTGTCTGTTGGCTGCATAAGTGTCTTCTTTTGAGAAGTATCTGTTCATGTCCTTGGCCCGCTTTTTGATGGGGTTACTTGTTTTTTTCTTGTAAATTTTTTTAAGTTCTTTGTAGATTCTGGATATTATCCCTTGGTCAGATGGGTAGATTGCAAAAATTTTCTCCCATTCTGTAGGTTGCCTGTTCACTCTGAGGATAGTGTCTTTTGCTGTGCAGAAGCTCTTTAGTTTAATTAGATCCCATTTGCTATTTTGGCTTTTGTTGCCATTGCTTTCAGTGTTTTAGTCATGAAGTTTTTGCCCATGCCTATGTCCTGAATGGTATTCCTAGGTTTTCTTCTAGGGTTTTTATGATTTTAGGTCTTATATTTAAGTCTTTAATCCATCTTGAGGTAATTTTTGTATACAGTGGAAGGAAGGGATCCAGTTTCAGCTTTCTACATATGGCTAGCCAGTTTTCCCAGCACCATTTATTAAATAGGGAATCCTTTCCCCATTTCTTGTTTCTGTCAGGTTTGTCAAAGATCAGATGGTTGTACATGTGTGGTATTATTTCTGAGGGCTCTTTTCTGTTCCATTGGCCTATATCTGTTTTGGTGCCAGTACCATGCTGTTTTAGTTACTGTAGCCTTGTAGTATAGTTTGAAGTCAGGTAGCATGATGCCTCCAGCTTTGTTCTTTTTGCTTAGGATTGTCTTGGCTTGTGGGCTCTTTTTCGGTTCCATATGAACTTTAAAGTAGTTTTTTCCAATTCTGTGAAGAAAGTCAGTGGTAGCTTGATGGGGATAGCACTGAATCTATAAATTAGTTTGAGTAGTATGGCAATTTTCACGATATTGATTCTTCCTATCCATGAGCATGGAATGTTCTTCCATTTGTTTGTGTGCTCTTTTATTTCATTGAACAGTGGTTTGTAGTTCTCCTTGAAGAGGTCCTTCACATCCCTTGTAAGTTGGATTCCTAGGTATTTTATTCTCTTTGAGAATAAAATGGGAGTTCACTCATGATTTGGCTCTCTGTCTGTCTATTATTGGTATATAGGAATGCTTGTGATTTTTGCACATTGATTTTGTATCTGAGACTTTGCTGAAGTTGTTTATCAGCTTAAGAGATTTTGGGCTGAGATGGGGTTTTCTAAATATACAATCATGTCATCTTCAAACAGAGACAATTTAACTTCCTCTTTTCCTAACTGAATACCCTTTATTTCTTTCTCTTGCCTGATTGCCCTGGCCAGAACTTCCAACACTATGTTGAATAGGAGTAGTGAGAGAGGGCATCCTTGTCTTGTGCCAGTTTTCAAAGGGAATGCTTCCAGTTTTTGCCCATTCAGTATGATATGGTTGTGGGTTTGTCATAAACAGCTCTCATTATTTTGAGATACGTTCCATCAACACCTAGCCTACTGAGAGTTTTTAACATGAAGGGCTGTTGAATTTTTTCAAAGGCCTTTTCTGTATCTATTGAGATAATCATGTGGTTTTTGTCATTGATTCTGTTTATGTTATGGATTATGTTTATTGATTGGCGTATGTCAAACCAGCCTTGCATCCCAGGGATGAAGCTGACTTGATCGTGGTGGATAAGCTTTTTGACGTGCTGCTGGATTCAGTTTGTTAATATTTTATTGAGGATTTTCACATAGATGTTCATCAGAGATATTGGCCTAAAATTTTCTTTTATTGTGTCTCTACCAGGTTTTGGTATTAGGATGATGCTAGCCTCATAAAATGAGTTAGAGAGGATTCCCTCTTTTTCTATTGATTGAAATAGCTTCAGAAAGAATGGTACCATCTCCTCTTTGCACCTCTTGTAGAATTTGGCTGTGAATCTCTCTGGTCCTGGACTTCTTCTGGTTGGTAGGCAATTAGTTATTACCTCAATTTCAAAACCTGTTATTAGTCTATTCAGAGATTCGACTTCTTCCTGGTTTAGTCTTGGGAGGGTGTATGTGTCCAGGAATTTATCCATTTCTTCTAGATTTTCTAGTTTATCTGCATTGAGGTGTTTATAGTATTCTCTGATGGTAGTTTGTATTTCTGTGGGATCAGTGGTGATATCCCCTTTATCATTTTTTACTGCGTCTATTCGATTCCTCTCTCTTTTCTTCTTTATTAGTCTGGCGTGCAGTCTATTCTGTTGATATTTTCAAAAAACCAGCTCTTGGATTCATTGATTTTTTGAAGGGTTTTTTGTGTCTCCATCTCCTTCATTTCTGCTCTGATCTTAGCTATTTCTTGCCTTCTGCTAGCTTTTGAATTTGTTTTCTCTTGCTTCTCTAGTTCTTTTAATTGTGATGTTAGGGTGTCAATTTTAGATCTTTCCTGCTTTCTCTTGTGGGCATTCAGTGATATAAATTTCCCTCTACACACTGCTTTAGATGTGTCCCAGAGATCTCGTGCATTGTGTCTTTGTTTTCATTGGTTTCAAAGAACATCTTTATTTCTGCCTTCATTTCGTTATTTACCCAGTAGTCATTCAGGAGCAGGTTGTTCTGTTTCCATGTAGTTGTGTGATTTCGAGTGAGTTTATTAATCCTGAGTTCTAATTTGATTGCACTGTGGTCTGAGAGACAGTTTGTTGTGATTTCTGTTTTTTACATTTGCTGAGGAGTGTTTTACTACCAATTATGTGGTCAATATTAGAATAAATGCTATGTGGTGCTGAGAAGAATGTATATTCTGTTGACTTGGGGTGGAGAGTTCTGTAGATGCCTATTAGGTCCGCTTGGTGCCACGCTGAGTTCAAGCCCTGGATAACCTTGTTAAACTTCTGTCTCATTGATCTGTCTAATATTGACAGTAGGGTGTTAAAGTCTCCCATTATTATTCTCTGGGAGTCTAAGTCTCTTTGTAGGTCTCTAATGAGTTGCTTTATGAATCTGGGTGCTCCTGTATTGGGTGCATATATATTTAGGATAGTTAGCTCTTCTTGTTGGATTGATCCCTTTACCATTATTGTGTAGTGGCCTTCTTTGTCTCTTGATCTTTGTTGGTTTAAAATCTGTTTTATCAGAGACTAGGATTGCAACCTCTGCTTTTTGTTGCTTTCCATTTGCTTGGTGGATCTTCCTCCATCCCTTTATTTTGAACTTATGTGTGTCTTTGCACATGAGATGGGTCTCCTGAATACAGCACACTGGTGTATCTTGACTCTTTATCCAATATGACAGTCTGTGTCTTTTGATTGGGGCATTTAGCCCATTTACATTTAAGGTTAAGGTTGTTATGTTTGAATTTGATCCTGTCATTATGATGGTAGCTGGTTATTTTGCCCATTAATTGGTGCAGTTTCTTCATAGTGTCGATGGTCTTTATCATTTGGCATGTTTTTGCAGTGGCTGGTACTGGTTGTTACTTTCCATGTTTAGTGCTTCCTTCAGGAGCTCTTGTAAGGCAGGCCTGGTGGTGACAAAATCTCTCAGCGTTTGCTTGTCTGTAAAGTATTTTATTTCTCCTTCACTTATGAAGTTTAGTTTGGCTGGATATGAAATTCTGGGTTGAAAATTCTTTTCTTTAAGAATGTTGAATATTGGCCCCCACTCTCTTCTGGCTTGTAGAGTTTCTGCCGAGAGATGAGCTGTTAGTCTGATGGGCTTCCCTTTGTGGGTAACCCAACCTTTCTTTCTGGCTGCCCTTAACATTTTTTCCTTCATTTCAACCTTGGTTAATCTGACAATTATGTGTCTTCAGGTTGCTCTTCTCGAGGATTATCTTTGTGGTGTTCTCTGTATTTCCTGAATTTGAATGTTGGCCTGCCTTGCTAGGTTGGGGAAGTTCTCCTGGATAATATCCTGAAAAGTGTTTTCTAACTTGGTTCCATTCTCCCCATCACTTTCTGGTACACCAATCAAATGTATATTTGGTCTTTTCACATAGTTCCATATTTCTTGGAGGCTTTGTTCATTTCTTTTCACTCTTTCGTCTCTAATCTAGTCTTCTTGCTTTATTTCATTAATTTGATCTTCAATCACTGATATCCTTACTTCCACGTGATCGAATCAGCTATTGAAGTTTCTGCATGCATCACGAAGTTTTCACGCCATGGTTTTCAGGTCCATCAGGTCATTTAAGGTCTTCTCTACACTGTTTATTCTACTTAGCCATTCATCTAACCTTTTTTTCAAGGTTTCTAGCTTTCTTGCAATGGGTTAGAACATGCTCCTTTACCTTGGAGAAGTTCATTATTACCAACCTTTTGAAACCTACTTATGTCAACTTGTCAAACTCATTCTCCATCCAGTTTTGTTCCCTTACTGACGAGGAGCTGTGATCCTTTGAAGGAGAAGAGGTGCTTTGTTTTTGGAATTTTCAGCTTTTCTGCCCTGGTTTCTCCCCATCTTTGTGGTTTTATCTACCTTTGGTCTTTGATGTTGGTGACCTACAGATGGGGTTTTGGTGTGGATGTCCTTTTCGTTGATGTTGATGTTATTCCTTTCTGTTTGTTAGTTTTTCTTCTAACAGTCAGACCCCTCAGGTGCAGATCTGTTAGGGTTTGCTGGAGGTCCACTCCAGACGCTCTTTGCCTGGGTATCACCAGCAGAGGCTGCAGAACAGCAAATATTGCTGCCTGATCCTTCCTCTGGAAGCTATCCCTGAGGGGCACCCGCCTGTTTGAGATGTCTGTCAGCCTCTACTGGGAGAAGTTTCCCAGTCAGGATACACAGGGGTCAGGGACCCACTTGAGGAGGCAGTCTGTATATTCTCAGAGCTCAAATGCCATGCTGAGAGAACCACTGCTCTCTTCAGAGCTGTCAGGCAGGGATGGTTAAGTCTGCAGAAGCTGTCTGCTGCCTTTTGTTCTACTATGCCCTGCCCCCAGAAGTGAAATCTATAGAGGCAGTAGGCCTTGCTGAGATGCGATGGGCTCCACCCAGTTCTTGCTTCCCACCTTCTTTGTTTACACTGTGAGTTACACAAGCCTCAGCAATGGTGGACACCCCTCCCCCAACCAGGCTGCAGCCTCACAGGTCAATCTCAGACTGCTGCACTAGCAGTGAGCAAGGATCAGGCTCTGTGGGCATGGGACCTACCAAGCCAGGCACGGGAGGGTATCTCCAGGTCTGATGGTTGCTTAGACTGTGGGAATAGTGCAGTATTTGGTTAGGAGTGTCCTGTTTCTCCAGGTGCAGTCTGTCACAGCTTCCCTTGGCTAGAAAAGGAAAATCCCCCAACCCTTTGCACTTCCCAGGTGAGGTGACCCCTAACCCTGCTTCAGCTCACCCTCAATGGGCTACACCCTCTGTCCAACCAGTCCAAATGAGATGAACCAGGTACCTCAGTTGGAAATGTAGAAATCACCCACCTCTGCATCAATCTCACTGGGAGCTGCATACCAGAGCAGTTCCTATTTGGCCATCTTGGAAGCAACCCCCCGTTTTATTGTTTTAATGCTTTTCTTTTAGCATTCAGAAGCTATAAGGATTCTAAAGGCCTTAAACTTACTTATTCTTTAATATCTTGCTAGAAAACTAGAAGAAATGAAAAATTTAAAAACAGGAGGGGAGGCAAGGGCAAGGTAGTGTGTCCAGAATTGGTGGGTTCTTGGTCTTGCTGACTTCAAGAATGAAGCCATGGACCCTCACGGTGAGTGTTACAGTTCTTAAAGATGGTGTGTCCAGAGTTTCTTCCTTCTGGTGGGTTTGTGGTCTCACTGACTTCAGGAGTGAAGCTGCAGACCTTCACAGTGAGTGTTACAGCTCTTAAAGGTGGCGCAGACCCAAAGAGTGAGCAGCAGCAAGATTTATTGCAAAGAGTGAAAGAATAAAGTTTCCACAGCATAGAAGGGAACCCGAGTGGGTTGCCACTGCTTGTTCAGGCAGCTTGTTTTATTCCCTTATCTGACCCCACCCACATCCTGCTGATTGGTCCATTTTACAGAGAGCTGATTGGTCCGTTTTACAGAGAGCTGATTGGTCCATTTTGACAGGGAGCTGATTGATGCATTTACAAACCCTAAGCTAGAAACAGAGTGCTGATTGGTGCATTTACAAACCTTGAGCTAGACACAAAGTGTTGATTGGTGCATTTACAATACTCCAGCTAAACATAAAATTTCTCCAAGTCCCCACCAGATTAGCTAGATACAGAGTGCTGATTGGTGCATCCATGAACCCCAAGCTAGACACACAGTGCTGATTGGCAGATGTACAATGCTCCAGCTAGACATAAAAGTTCTCCAAGTCCCTACCCAACTCAGGAGCCCAGCTGGCTTCACCTAGTGGATCCTGAGCCAGGGCCATGGGTGGAGCTGCCTGCCAGTCCTGCACTGTGCACCTGCATTCCTCAGCCCTTGGGTGGTCAATGGGACTGGGCACTGTGGAGCAGGGGGTGGCGCCCATCAGGGAGGTTCAGGCTGCATGGGAGCCCATGGGGGTGGGGTCTGGCATGGCAGGCTTCAGATCCCAAGACCTGCCCTGCGGGGAGGCTGCTGAAGCCCAGCGAGAATTTGAGTGCTGCATGGGTGGGCCAGCAATGCTGGGGGACATGGCACACCCTCTGCAGCTGCTGGCCTGGGTGCTAAGCCCCTCACTGCCTGGGGCTGGCAGTTCTGGCTGGCCACTCTGAGTGCAGGGCCTGCTGAGCCTGTGCCCACCCGGAACTCGCACTGGCCCACGAGGGCCACGTGCAGCCTCAGTCCCACCTGCGACTCTCCCTCCACACCTCCCTGCAGGCAGAGGGAGCCGGCTCCAGCCTCGGCCAACCCAGAGAGGGGCTCCCACAGTGCAGCGGTGGGCTGAAGGGCTCCTCAAGAATGGCCAGAGTGGGCACTGAGGCTGAGGAGGCACCGAGATTGAGCAAGGGCTGCCAGCATGCTGTCACCTCTCAATCCCTCCTCTAAACAGGACACCCCAACTGCTGTTGGGAATTTGGCCGATGACCACTCTAGCTACTTCCTGCTGGATAGGGGCAATGAAGGGGCCCTGCAGTTGTAGTGTCCTCCAGAGGGGAGATCTCTAGGCCAGTGAAACTGACAGTGGGTTGGTCCAAGGGTCTTTGGTAGAAGTCGTTAGTTGAACTCATTTGGGGTTCCATTTGTAAGACCATCTGTAGCTTGATGGTCCTGATTCTAGAGGAAACAAATTTGACAAGAAGGTTAAAAATACAGAACCCAAAGGTGAGTAACAGCAAGATGGCTGCCATGGGACCTAGAAAGGGAGAAGCCATGTTGCCCAACTCCAGAGGTTGGTATAAGAGTTTGAAAGGCAGTGTCTGATTTCAGAAACCTTTTCCTGTAAATGCTGGGTAGCATCTCATACTATCCCTGACTGGTTAGTGTAAAAACAACACTCTTCCCCTAAGAAGGTGCTGAGTCCTCCTTTCTCAACAATAAGGAAGTCTAGGCCTCGGCAGTTTTGGAGAGTCACTGCTGCCAAATAGTCTATGCGGGATATAAAGTAAGGATAGATTTCGTTATTTCTTGCCAACTGTCTGAGAAATCCTTTGACAGTGTGTGGTAGTAGGATAATGAAGTAGATAAACTGGCTATTCTGGTTCCTGTAGCAGTAGCCATTCCTAACCCTATAAGTAGAGGTATTAGTTGTATGGCTCTGCACTGACAGACTTGAACTTTGAGGGGTACTGATAAGGTCTGATTTCCTGGGGCAATGTTAATGTTGGGACTTAGAAAGACTAAGGTGCAGGTGCTTGTCCAGTTAGCGGGTAGGCAGATATAGGTCAATGTTCCACATAAGAATATGCCTTGGCTGGGTAGACATTTAGAAATTTACCCTGGCTTTTAAAGGAATAGGGTACACTATTTTTTCTTTACTACTTCTATCTCTCTCTTTGACTTCTCCTTTGTCTCTCTCTTTCTCTCTTTCTGACTCCCTCTTTGTCTGTCTCTTCCTCTCTGTCTTTTTTCTTTGACTTTTTATCTCTTTCTCTTTCTTTCTCTCTTTGTCTCTCTCTTTCTGACTGCCTCTGCCAGCCGCTTGTGCTGCTGTTCTCCCCTCTCCTTCCCCTTTCTGATGGCTTTGGCAGTGTAAGACTGCCACCTCCTTGGGTTTTTGCACTGTGTGCAATAACTCTATAATTTCCTTGTGGTATTTAATGGGGTTTCCCCCAGAGGTTAGGAACTCCCTTTCTTTCCATATTGCAGTATGGGCATGTAGGATTAGATAAGCATACTTGCTATCTGTATACACATTTATTCTTTTTCCCTTTCCCAGTTCTAAGGCTCTGGTAAGTGCCACTAGTTCTGCTAACTGGGCACTTGTCTCTGGGGGAAGAGGCTTACTTTCAAGTATGGTTACATCACTAACTATGGCATAACCTGCCCTTCATATCCCATTCTCCACAAATGAACTTTCATCAGTATATACGTTAAGGTCAGGATTAGCTAAGGGGACTTCTAAGAGATCATCTCAGGCGGCATAAGTCTGGACTATAATTTGTTGGCAGTCATGCTCGATTGGTTCCCCATCCTCTGGGAGAAAAGTGGCAGGGTTGAGGGCCACACACATGTGTATTTGAAGCACTGGTCCCTCAAGGAGTAGCACCTGGTATCTAAGTAGGCAGTTGTCTGATAGCCATAAACTTCCTTTGGCACCTAGTATGCCATTTACATCATGAGTAGTCCAGAGAGTGAGATCCTTTCCTTGTATTATTTTGATAGCCTCTGACACTAAGATGGCCACTGCCACAACTACCCATAAACAGTGAGGCCAGCCTTTTGCTACTACATCAATTTCCTTACTTAGGTATGCCACTGGTTGTGGGGTTGTCCCACAAATCTGAGTAAGGACTCCAAGAGCTATCCCTGCTCTCTCCATGATGTATGAAGAGAAGTTTTGTCCCGTCAGAAGGCTTAAAGCTGGAGCTTGTACTAGGGCCTGCTTTAAGGTTTTGAAGGCTACTTCTGCCTCTGGTTCTCATTCTATTAGATGAGTATTTGCCCTCTGGGTTTCCTTGATTAGGGTATAGAGGGGCCTGGCTATCTCGCTGTATCCAGAGATCCATCATTAGCAAAAGCCAGTAATTCGAAGGAACCCCTGCAACTGTTTTAATGTCTTAGGGTGAGGATAAGCAAGTATAGGCAGTATTCATTCTTTCCTGAGGGCCCTGGTCCCTCTGGCTAAGATTAGGTCTAGATATCTGACCTGCTGTAGGCAAAGCTGGGCCTTCGACCAAGACACCTTGTACCCTTGATTAGCTAGAAAGTTCAAGAGATCTAGAGTAGCCTGCTGGCACGAGGCTTCCAAACTGGTAGCCAAAAGTAAATCAACCACATATTGAAGGACCAGAGTGCCTGGACTTGAGAAGTGGCCTAGATCTTGGGCCAGTGCCTGACCAAACAGATGAGGGCTATCCCTAAACCCTTGGGGAAAGACCATCCACGTAAGTTGAGACATGTGATCTGTGGGATCCTCAAGGCAAAGAGAAACTGGGAGTCAGAGTGCAGAGGAATACAGAAGAAGGCATCCTTGAGGTCCAGAAGAGTGAACCATTCTGCTTCCTCTGGTATTTGAGAAAGCAGGGTATAGGGGTTGGGTACAACTGGATATAGAGGAATTACTGCCTCATTGATGAGTCTAAGGTCTTGCACTAGTCTCCACTGACCATTCAGTTTTTGTACTCCCAGAATTGGGGTGTTGCAGGGACTGCTACATTTCCTTGCTAAGCCTTGAGCTTTTAAATGTTTAACAATATCCTGTAATCCTTTATGAGCTTCAGGCCTTAAGGGATATTGCCTTTGATAAGGAAAAGTGGTGGGATTTTTAACCTGATTTGGACTGGGCGGGCATTTTTTGCCCTTCCAAATTGTCCCTCCAATGCCCAGACTTCAGGGTTGATTCCCTCCTCAAGTAGGGGACAACAAATGGGTAATTTGTTTCCCCATATTCATGTAGATAATAGCTCCAGCCTTGGCTAATATATCCCTCCCTAATAAGGGTGTGGGACTTTCAGGCATAACAAGAAAGGCATGTGAAAAGAGCAAAGTCTCCCAATTACAACTGAGAAGGTGGGAGAAATACCTGGTTACAGGCTGTCCCAGGATTCCTCAGATGGTAACGGACCTTGAGGACAGTTGTCCAGGACAGGAGATTAACACTGAGAAGGCTGCACCAGTGTCCTGGAGGAAGTCAATTTCCTGGCCCTCAATGGTTAAATGTACCCGGGGCACAGTGAGGGTGATGACATGAGCTGGCACTTGCCCCAGGCACCCTCAGTCCTGTTGTTGGATTGTCTGGTTGGGGGCTTCTGACCCAGAGAACCTTCATCCTCTACGGCAGGGCACCTTTTAGTGATTGCCTCAGCATGGTGGACATGGATGAGGGGGCAGCTTGTTTCTCATTGGACAATGCTTTTTAAAGTGCCTAGTAAACCACACTGATAACAAGCCCTACTGGGTGCTTGGCCTGCTCCATTCTCTGTCCTCTCTGAAACACCAAGGTTTGTTTGTCTGAGGGCCATGACTAAGGCTGCGGCCTTTCTCTGATCTCGCTTTTCCTTTTGGGCCTGTTCCTCTTGGTTCCTATTATAGAACACCATGGTTTCCAGGTTTAATAATGCCTGCAAATTTTATTCAGGGCCCAGGGCTTACTTTTGGAACTTTCTCCTGATATCTGTGGCTGATTGGGTAATAAACTTATCTTTTATAATCAATTGACCTTTGAGTGATTCAGGTGACAGGGGAGTATATTTTCTTAAGGCCTCCCATAGCCACTCGAAGAAGTCAGAAGGATTTTCTTCCTTTCCCTGAGTTATGGTGGACATCATTGAATAATTCATGGGCTTTTCTCTAATTCTCCTTAGTCCTTCTAGATCACAGGTCAACAGATGTTTACAACTCCAGTCCCTATGATCTGAGTCAAGGTCCCAGTGAGGATCCATACTGGGGATGGCTTGCTGACCAGTAGGGAATCTGTCCCTTTCTTCAGCTGTCATTATATCATTTACTTGACTAAGATACCAGGTATCTCCAAACTCTCATGCTGCAGCTAAAGCTGCATTCTTTTCATTAAAGGCAAGGGTTTGATCTAACAGTAGCATGACATCTCTCCAAGCGAGGTCAAAGGTTTGCCCTAGACCTTGTAGGACATCTATGTACCTATCAGGATCATCTGAAAACTTCCCCAGGTCTGTCTTGATCTGCTTTAAATCAGAGAGGGAGAAGGGGGCATGTACTGGGTTGGGCCAAATTCCCCTCCCCCTACAGCTTGAAGGAGACATAACTGATAGCTGGGGTTTTTTGATGCTTTGGAGATTTCTTTGCTTATTTCCTTCTGGGCAGGGGAGATTAGAGGAGGATTATCATTAATAGGAAGGGGAGCTATAGGGAGGCTAGGATATGGGGGTAAGCTGAGAGGTCCTCCTGTGGGATGTAAATTGTAAGCTTTGCATAGTTGTGTATTCTCCTTCAATGAAAAGAAAGCTCAGACATAAAGTATTTTGCTCCATTTGCCTTCCCTCTTACAGAAAAGGTCAAGCTGCAGGATAGTATTGTAATTTATACTTCCCTCAGGTGGCCATTTTTCCCCATCAGAGAGAGAATACTGGGGCCAGGCTGTAGTGCAGAAAAAAATGAGCTGCCTCTTTTTCAGGGTTTGTGGGTCAAATTGGTCCCAATGGCTTAGGATGCATTTCAAGGATGAGCGTGTTGATGCCAGAGTGTTTCCCATCTGAAAGACAAAACTGCCCACAGTTTTGGATTGTTTTGTTTCTACCCCTGCCCAAGAACCCACAATGGTCCCTGGACCCTACTGATTGGAATAGGTGTGCTCATTGATGCAGCAGCAGAAACAACCCCTGCCCAAGAACCCGCAACCATCCCTGGACCCTGCTGATCGGAATAGTTGCGCTCACCAACACAGCAGCAGAAACACTAGTTTTCCTCCCAGACCACAAAGAGGACCAAGGAAGGTCGGATTTAGTGGCCCTGACTGACACATTCTCAAAAACCTGCACCCTTGCCTGTCCTCCTAGACCACAAGGAGGACTGAGAAAAATCAGATTTAGTGGCCCTTACTGACACATTCTCAAAAACCTGTTAAAGTCCTAAGCATTCTCCTGTTAGTATTTGGAGCTTGCCTGTGTCCTATAAAGATGTTATGCCCCAAAAATGAAGTGGAGGGCCATGCCCTGAGGGAAGGAAGTGATCTCTGGAGTTGGAAGACTGATGGCTATTGTCCTCACTTATATGAATAGGAAGGATAGAATTTCTGAGGCTCCCCATATCCTAGCTTCAAGAATAGCTTTTGTTAGGCCTGCTAGTCTAAGGAGGGATCCTAAAATTCCAGATAGTTCCCCCCTATGACAGGGCTTTGGGCAAAAATTATGTCTTTCTGATTGGTGAGCCCAGGTGCCTAAAGAAGGTAACAGAGCCCTGGAGTTTATACTAGAAATCATTCTTTCAGAGAAACTAGAAAAGCACCAGAGACAAGGAATTGTTTTTAGAATTGGGGCTAGCCTCAGAGAAGAGAGGTGAGAGGAAGTTTGTCTGGCAGGCATTAGGACCCAGGGGGCAAGGTCAGGATAGATAGGATAGATGGGTGAGTCTCGCTTGGGCGACATGCCTTTGAGAGTTCTGCTCATGGCCACAGGGTCAACCAACTTGTTGTCAGGACCCCGGAGCTGAATGACTTTCCTCTGTCGACCCTTGGCTCAGCCCAGAAGTACAGCAAAAGTGGTAGCTGGTTCCAGGCAAACCAACGCTCCCAACTCTGAAGAGTCAGGGGTTGTTAGAGAGCCCTTTCCCAGAAAGCCTGACACCTGTGTCTTTAGTCCAGCGGCTGCGCTAGTCGCTTTTAACTGGCTGACAGGTGCCTGGTATTTAGACCCTGAATACTAAGGAAAAATAGGACAGAATAGCAAGTGAAAGGGGTCCAATGGTTCTCACTGCTTGGCGATAGGTGATAGTCTCACTGCTTGGTGATAGGCGGTAGTCTCACTGCTCAGTGATAGGCGATGGTCTCACCACTTGGTGATAGTCTCACCACTTGGCAATAGGTGATAGTACCTTCATGGTTGCCAAAATGTGTCTGAAACTGGTGGGTTCTTGGTCTCACTGACTTCAAGAATGAAGCCACGGACCTTCAAGGTGAGTGTTACAGCTCTTAAAGATGGTATGTCTGGAGTTTGTTCCTTCTGATGTTCGGACGTGTTCAGAGTTTCTTCCTTCTGGTGGGTTCATGGTCTCGCTGGCTTCAGGAGTGAAGCTGCAGACCTTCGCAGTGAGTGTTACAGCTCTTAAGGCAGTGCATCTGAAGCTGTTCGTTCCTCCCATCCAGAGTTGTTCATCCCTCCTGGTGGGTTCGTGGTCTCATTGGCCTCAGGATTGAAGCTGCAGACCTTTGTGGTGAGTGTTACAGCTCATAAAGGCAGTGTGGGCCCAAAGAGTGAGCAGCAGCAAGATTTATTATGAAGAGTGAAAGAACAATGCTTCCACAGTGTGGAAGGGGACCCAAGCGGGTTGCTGCTGCTGGCTTGGGCATCCTGCTTTTATTCCCTTATCTGATCCCATCCACATGCTGCTGATTGGTCCATTTTATAGAGAGCTGATTGGTCCATTTTACAGAGAGCTAATTGGTCCGTTTTGACAGGGTGCTGATTGGTGCATTTACAATCCCTGAGCTAGACACCGAGTGCTGATTGGTGCATTTGCAATCTTCTAGCTAGACATAAAAGTTCTCCAAGTCCCCACCAGATTAGCTAGATACAGAGTGCTGATTGGTGCATCCACAAACCTTGAGCTAAACACAGGGTGCTGATTGGTGCATTTACAAACCTTTAGCTAGACATAAAAGTTCTCCAAGTCCCCACCCAACTCAGGAGCCCAGCTGGCTTCGCCTAGTGGATCCCATGCTGGGGCCGTGGGCGGAGCTGCCTGCCAGTCCTGTGCCACATGCCTGCATTCCTCAGCCCTTGGGTGGTCGATGGGACTGGGAACCATGGAGCAGGGGGCAGTGCCTGGTGGGGAGGCTCGGGCCATGCAAGAGCCCACCATGGGGGGTGACTTGGGCATGGCGGGCTGCAGGTCCCAAGCCCTGCCCCATGGGGAGGCAGCTAAGGCCCGGCGAGAATTCAAGCATGGTAAGGGCAGACCGTCAGTGCTGGGGGCCAGGCACATCCTCCGCAGCTGCTGGCCCAGGTGCTGAGCCCCTCACTGCCCGGGGCCAGTGGCTCTTGCCAGCCGCTCCAAGTGTGGGGCCCACCAAGCCCGCACCCACCCAGAACTCACACTGGCCCATGAGGGCCATGTGCAGCCTTGGTTCCTGCCTGTGCCTCTCCCTCCACACCTCCCCACAAGCAGAGGGAGCTGGCTCTAGCCTTGGCCAGCCCAGAGAGGGATTCCCACAGTGCAGCAGTGTGCTGAAGGGCTCCTCAAGCATGGCCCCAGTGGGCGCTGAGGCTGAGGAGGTGCCAAGAGTGAGCGAGGGCTGCCAGCATGCTGTCACCTCTCAATAATCTCCAAAGTTGTCAGAAACCTGCATTCAAGAGCACCTGAAAGTTCTATAGCTGATTAAAAACCACCTTTTGAAGAGGATAAAAACAGGACAACTGTCCATGGATGACAAAACATCTTAGGGTAGCCTCTATTAAAGCTACAATTGACTAGAAATTTTGATTACTCCTGTGGCATACAACAATTTTGAATAACAATTACAGTTTTTAATAACATATACTAAGTCATCAGAATTATAGGAGTTTAAGAAAGTTTTGGAACACATATCAATAACATATTTATACAAATACTGCCCAAAGAAAACCAAGCACCATTTCATATTTGACAATGCTTCCTGTATAATTTTTATACCAAATAAGCCAATATGTCTCTTCTGAACTTTAGGGGACCTAGCTTTTAAAAGATTAATTAGGTCTGAAAAAGACATAATTTATCATTTAATTTTAGAAAGTTTTTCACATATCAAAGGTTTAAAACACTTGATATTAAAAAATAAAGTCCCAGATCACCGTAAATTATTGGTAAATTATTCATTTAGTCAAAATGATGACTTAAAAATTTTAAGGAGGCAAAATCTTTACTAATAGAGGAAAGACTTAGCTTTCCAAACAATCTTTTTTCTTTCTCTTCTTTTTCCTATAGTTTATTCAAAAGGCAAACAAAACTTTTTTAAATAAAACATAAAAATCTTGTTCAAGAGAGAAAGGCAAATTTTACTGTTACATTACTGCATTATTATTATTATTATTATTTTTCTTTTTGAGACAAAGTATCTCTCTGTTGCCCAGGCTGGGGTCTAGTGGCACAATCGGGGCTCACTGCAACCTTCGCCTCCTGGGTTCAAACTGTTCTCATACATCGGCTTCCCAAATAGCTGGGATTATGACATGTACCACCACACCCGGCTAATTTTTGTATTTTTAGTAAAGATGAGCTTTCACCATGTTGTCAAGGCTGGTCTCAAACTCCTGGCCTCAAGTGATCAGCCCGCTTTGGCCTCCCAACGTGTTGGGATTACAGGCATGAGCTTTCGTGCCTGTCCACATTAGTGCATTATTGATGTCAAACCCAATTCTTAATAAAACCTTACAGACAAAGCTATTCAATTTTAATGTCTGACCATAAGATTCTCATAAATCTTTTTTTATAACCTTTTACATTTTTTGTTAAGAAGCAGATCAGTGGTGTAAGAAAAACATATTTTGCTTTTATTCCAATGTTCAGTTTATGGAAAAACTGAATAATACTCCTTTATTCAGTTTTTAGCCAATATGTTTACATATGGAATTTCTTTTACAAGGTTAATTTTTCTAAACCTTCTACAACTTGCTCAAACCTTCAGCTTTAATATATCTAACTTAAAACAATCTGTTAACCCTTTAATATAGGTTAAAAAAATCCACATTCCCATGACTTCTTATAATCTTTTACCAAAAACACATTTTACTTTCCTTGCACATGTTGCATGTAAAACTGTTTTTATTTCTAATAGATTGCTAAAGCCATGTGAACTAAAAAATATTAAAGTTTTTATTTTTCTGAGAAAATATTTGATTTAAGCTCTTATTATTTTTAAACCAATTAATCAAAACTCTTTCATATCACACACACATCACATATAAATACACAGACAGAAGAAGACCCAGTAGTTTTAAGATCTTCCATTTGCTAGTTCTTTAACCAGATTATTGACTTCAGGGTGCAGCCTTTGGAGGAACAGGGCCAGGAAAGCATGCAGTTTCTATGGCCTTATAAGCAGGCACAACTGGAAGGTAAAACATATCTCCCAAAATTAAGGATCCCATTTTTTATACCATAACTTAGATCCCAAAACAGAGAAACTCTGCAGAACAATACAGTGCAATGATTTTATTGCAAAGGAAACAAAATCCAATCAGCCCATTCTGTGATTAGCCCATCCTGCATGGGAGTCTTTTCTCGCAGTGGGGTTTTGGGGGTTGGGGACATCTTCATACCTTCCAGGTTGCCAGAGCATGCTTCTCTGATCCAAACATGCAAAAAGCTGAGGATCTCCAAAACTGTTTTTTCTACCTAGTTATTACACATCAAAGCTCTTTCATAATGCAAAGTGGTTTCAGATACCCCCAAGAGTAAAAACCATCATATAATGCAATAGGACAGAATAGCAAGTGAAAGGGGTCTGATGGTACTCACTGCTTGGCAATAGGCGACAGTCTCACCGCTCAGCAATAGGCGATGGTCTCACCACTTGGCGATAGTCTCACCACTTGGCGACAGGTGATAGTCTCTTCATGGTCGCCAAAATGTGTCCAGAATTGGTGGGTTCTTGGTCTCGCTGACTTCAAGAATGAAGCCACAAACCCTCACAGTCAGTGTTACAGTTCTTAAAGATGGTGTGTCCAGACTTTGTTCCTCCAGATGTTCAGATATGTCTGGAGTTTCTTCCTTCTGGTGGGTTTGTGGTCTCACTGGCTTCAGGAGTGAAGCTGCAGACCTTCGAGGTGAGTGTTACAGCTCTTAAAGGCAGCGTGTCTGGAGTTGTTCGTTCATCCCTTCCGGAGTTGTTCATCCCTCCCAGTGGGTTCATGGTCTCACTGGCTTCAGGAGTGAAGCTGCAGACCTTCACAGTGTTACAGCTCATAATGGCAACATGGACCCAAAGAGTGAGCAGCAGCAAGATTTATCGCGAAGAGCAAAACAACAAAGCTTCCACA
The DNA here is from genome assembly GCF_000001405.40 of Homo sapiens. NCBI lineage: Eukaryota > Metazoa > Chordata > Mammalia > Primates > Hominidae > Homo > Homo sapiens. The sequence goes on from NC_000004.12 coordinate 67,286,074, forward strand.
GCGTGCAAGGGGACCCCAGCGGGGTGCTGCTTCTGGCTCCCGCAGCCTGCTTTTTTTCCCTTATCTGACCCCACCCACATCCTACTGATTGGTCCATTTTACAGAGAGCTGATTGGTCCATTTTACAGAGAGCTGATTGGTCCATTTTGACAGGGTGCTGATTGGTGCATTTACTATCCCTGAGCAAGAAATAGAGTGCTGATGGTGCATTTACAAACCTTGAGCTAGACACAAAGTGCTGATTGGTGCACTTACAATCCTCTAGCTAGACATAAAAGTTCTCCAAGTCCCCACTAGATTAGCTGGATACAGAGTGCTGATTGGTGCATCCACGAACCCCGAGCTAGACACAGAGTGCTGATTGGTGCATTTACAATCCTCTAGCTAGAAATAAAAGTTCTCCAAGTCCCCACCAGATTAGCTAGCTACAGAGTGCTGTTTGGTGCATCCACAAACCCCGAGCTAGACACAGAGTGCTGATTGGCACATATACAATCCTCCAGCTAGACATAAAAGTTTTCCAAGTCCCCACCTGACTCAGGAGCCCAGCTGGCTTCACCTAGCGGATCCCACTGCCAGGGCTGCAGGCAGAGCTGCCTGCCAGTCCAGCACCATGCGCCCACACTCCTCAGCCCTTGGGTGGTTGATGGGACTGGGTGCCACAGAGCAGGGGGCGGCACCCATCATGGAGGCTCGGGCCACACGGGAGCCCACGGCGGGGGTGGGGGCACTCAGGCATGGCCAGCTGCAGGTCCTGAGCCCTGCCCTGTGGGGAGGTGGCTGAGGCCCGGCGAGAATTCAAGCATGGCACGGGTGGATCAGCAGTGCTGGTGGACCTGGAGCACCCTCTGCAACTGCTGGCCTGGGTGCTAAGCCCCTCACTGCCCAGGGCCCGCGGCACTGGCCGGCTGCTTAACATGCAGGGCCCACCAAGCCTGCGCCCACCTGAAACTTGCACTGGCCCGCGAGGGCCACGTGCAGCCTGGGTTCCGCCTGCACCTCTCCCTCCATACCTCCCCTTAAGCAGAGGGAGCTGGCTCCAGCCTCGGCCAGCCCAGAGAGGGGATCCCACAGTGCAGCAGTGGGCTGAAGGGCTCCTCAAGTGCGGCCAGAGTGGACACTGAGTCTGAGGAGGTGCCGAGAGTGAGCAAGGGCTGCTAGCAGGTTGTCACCGCTCAGTAGGAGAGGGGAGAGGTGGGCAAAGTAGGAGGGGGAGGAGAGGGGAGGGGAGGGGAGATTATCTTTACCCATCTTTTGGCTCTGGCTAGTCTTCCCTGTACAGTAAAAGTTCTCGAAAGAGTTCTGTGTACTCACTATATTCAATCTTTTCTTTCCCTTCTCTCTACTTCTCTCTAACCAAGTATCTCCTCTGTTATACCACGAATACTTCTCTTGTTAAAGCCACCAAAGACCTCCACATGAACAATTCTGAGACCCCCATTTTAGCTGACCTATTGGCAGCAGTTGATACTGTTGGTCAGTCTTTCTGCTTTAAAACAAATTCTTCACTTGGTTTCTGGGCCATTGCATTCTCCTGGTTTCCCTTTTTCCTCTCTGGATATTTTCCCTAAGTCTTCTTAGCTACCTTACCATTATTTCCCCAATCTTCACATTTGGAGTATCTGACAACTAAGTTTTTCCACATTTTTGCTTTTCTATCTTCTGATTTCAAAGCAATAAATACCATCTATATGCTGATCACTACCAAATTGATGTCTCCATTAATGACCTCTCCTTTGAATACCAGTCTGGTATATCCAACTGTCTATTAGATATTTCTACTTGTATGCCTCTTAGACATCTCAAAGTTTACATACATAAAACTGAACTTTCACCAAAATTTGTTCATCCCACAATCTCCTCATTTCAGTATCAGGCCAAACACCTTGTAGTCATCCTGAACATCTCACTTTCTCTTATGTCATACACAGTCCACTAGCAAATCTTGCTAGCTGTAATTTCAAGATGTATACAGAATCCAACTAATTCTCACAGCTTCCTCCACTGTCACCCTGGTTCATGCCACTGTGACATCTGCTTGGATTGCTGTAACAGCCTCCTGACTAGAATTCCTGCATATGCTCTTACCTGTCTTCAGTCTCTTGTCAAAACATCAGCCAGGGTGATTCCTCTGTTCAGAACCCTCAAATGACTTCCCATCTTGCTCAAAGTAAAATCTAAAGTCATCACAAAGACCTTATAGCCCTATGAAATCTGTTGCCTCTTTCTTACCTGGCTTCACCTCACCTACTATACTCACCCTTCCTTACACTGGCCCGCTTGCTACCATTCCTCAGAGACACCAGGCACACTCCTATCTCAAGGCCTTTGCCCTTGCTGGTGGTCACTCTTTCTAAAATGTTCTTCCCACAGAAATTTGCACAGCTTGCTTCCTTGCTTCAGATCTTTACTCAAATGCCATCTCCTTAGTGAGGACTTCCTGACCACTCTATCAGAAACTTGCAGTCATACACACAATTTCTATCTCCCTCCCCTACTTCAGTTTTCTCCTTGGTGCTTTGTCACTATCTAATACACTGTATATTTTTATATTTCTCATATTTAAGGTCTGTCTCCCCCATTAGAATACTGAGTCAAGGGAGCTTTATCTACTTTGTTCACTGCTCTATCTCCAGCACTAAGAATAATAATGACACTCAGGAAATACTGTGGAAGGTAGATATGTTACAATTGGCAGTTAGTCACACACAAGCAGGGCAGAAGACCCTCCCCCCAACCCCCACCAGGAATGTCAGGTGACCATCAGGTAATGGTCAGACAGTTGGGTTAACTGTCTCTCTCAAATAATAATTGGTCACAACCAGCACCAGAGAAAGCCAGTCTCCCAACAGCTAGAAACACCTGAAACTGATGATCAGCAGCTTCCCAATAAGATTTCAGGATTTGGGCGAGTGGGCTCAAACATGCACAATAAGATGCAAAATGGTGGAGTTTAACTGTTACATGACCTTCTTCTCGGAACACTTGACTGGTAAGGGAAAAATGCCTGAAGTGAGCATGTGCAACATTTCAGTAAGCACACTGCACATGTGCCAGCAGACCACTGCTCAGGCAGACAGCGCACCCCAGTGGAAGAATTGGGGGAGAAGGGATGCAACCCCCAGGAAGCATGCCAACATGTAAGATCCCAAGTCAAAGGTCAAACCATGCACTTGATCTTTCATGTCACTCGCTTAGCCCTCTTCCAAGTGTACTTTACTTCTTTTTCTTCCTGCTCTAAAGCTTTTTAATAAACTTTCACTCCTGCTCTAAAAATTGCCTCAGTCTCTCACTCTGCCTTATTCCCCTCAGTCAAATTCTTTATTCTGAGGAAGCAAGAACTGAGGTTGCTGCAGACCTATACAGATACACCGCTGCTAACAGATGGAAGGAGGGAAGAAGGGAAGGAAGGAAGGACTGCAAGAATGGTTACAACATTAGTTTCCCCTCTCAATGTAAAAACAGCACTTAGCTAGCTTATGATACTTAAGTTGCATGTGGCATGAGCCTACCCCGTTGCTTCCTGAGTAGATCTAGAGAAATAGAAACCATCAGCCTCTAAAGAAAAAGTGGCATCCTCCTAACTAAATGTACTTTTTAAATGCCCATATGAACCAATTAAAATATGAAGTGATTTCAACTTCCAAAGCTTTTTTCTTAGACAACAAGCTAGGAACAGAGGCCAATGCCCAAGCTGCCTGCAACTTCACACCATGTTAAGTGCAATGCTGGCTCTAGATAAATGTTAAATTGCCGCTATATGCCTTTCACTTCCTAAAACTAGCTTTTGATTTACCTTATTGTGGGTTTTGAGCATCTGGAATTTTCCCAAGTGAACTAAAATCTTGCCAACGGTAAAACTACTGCTCATTACCTGCGTTAATTTCATCTCTTTCTCTGCATTCAATAACCCCATCTGTTGCAATACCAGCTGTGAGAAGGGAAAGGAGCAAGAGACTGAGCAGACCTAACACAGAGACTCTGTGGGGTAGCAATAACTCCTTCCCAGGAAAAAGGAAATTTATAATTCACAGTGGACATGACTAGATCCACCAAAAATAACTAGGCAAAATGGAATCTTAGGGTTAGTTGCTCAGATTTTTTAAGTTTTTATTTAATCATGTCAAAATATCCAGTATAATTTACTGATAAATTCATTTTTATAAATATATTTGTTATATAATACCCTAAGCAGATCCTGCCTCGAAGTGCATATAACCTAAGTTTCAGTAGGAGGCTGCCACAACCATACACCGTATTTTTGAATTGGGCTTTGCAGAACTGAAAAAAAAAATGGCAGGCATAATATGCCATATGGTAGATGCTCAAGAAATGTTAGTTCCCTCTGCCCCTTTGAAGAAACAACCAAGTCTGGTGCAGCTAGTTTGTACTTTGTGACAAAGTTTTTCAGCAATTCCCTGCTTCACAAGAGTCACATCTGGCCCACTACATTCCTGACCCCTGCCGTCTTCTAAGGAGCTTCCTGAGGCTCTGAAAAGCTGCTGAAACTGAGTGAAGCATGCATTTTCTCCTCTCTAGATTGATAAGCAGGATTGTAGTGATTTAGAATGACACTTCAACAGGCTCAATTAATATCTGATAGACAAGAATATGGTTGGTTTCAAAGTTGCCCCTACCCTAAAGGCAAATGCTGTGCATGTAAAGGAAGTGAGTGTTCTTGCAAGCTTTGCTCCCTTTCCTAAAACAAAGCTTCTCTCTCTCTCTCTCTACCCCTCAGCACCAAGGAAGAATAAGCATTATACAAGAAAAAATTAGCAATGAAAGGAAAGGAGGGAAGAGAGGAAAGTTACAAGCAAAGAGAATGACATGAACAAAGGCACAGATGGATGAAAATCCATACATGTTGAAGAAACCATGAATTGCATTATTACTAGAGTATGAAATATATAAAACAGAGTAGCAGTGGTGAAAATTATGAGATGAGTGGGAGCAGATCGTGGCCCTGTGTGCTGAGATCAGGGATCTATTGCTGCAGATCTCTTGAAAGATTTTAAGCAGGAGGTGGGTGTGGTCTGATTTGTTTTTTAAACAAATCGCTTTGACAGCATTGTAAAAAATAGTTGTGAGAAGGATGAAATTGATCCAGTTGCTAAAGCATGCTGGAGATGATGAGAAACCAACTGGGATAAAGTGAGAGAGGTGCAGAGTTGGAGGCAAACTTGGTAAATATTTATGAGAAAAAAATAAAAGGATCTGGTGAGCAATGAGATATAATGGGGAGAGAAAGAGGAGGGTTCCAGGATTAACAATGAGCTCTCCTTGGATAACCAGACTAGTGGTCAAATTTCACACACAACGAGGGCAGGTTAGAGAGGGAATGGGAGGGATGTTATGAGTTCAGTCAGGAGAAGATAATTTTCAGATGCTTGTGTAGCAATGCTTTGTCTCTAAAAATAAATAAATAAAAATAAAAAGATACATATTTTTAAATAAGGAAATACCTAGTAATACATAAATCGGAGGCTCAGGAGAACAACGTTAGAGAAAAATATGCAAGTTATGAGCACAAAAATATATGTTTACCAATTAAAGTTGTTTACTTGGTTATACTAGAAAACACAAAATAGCAGCAGTTTTAACAGAATAAAAATTTATTTCTCTAGATCCAAAGGTGGGGAGTAGGGGCTGTAATGATGGCTATAACCTGTCATCAGGGAGCCAGACTCCCAGCTTTCTGCACCACCATCCTCAGTGCACAGCTTACATCCTGTTCTGGTGTGGCTGCTCAAGCTCTTCCCACCGTGTTCATATTTCAGGAAGCTGCAAGAAGACAGCAAGGGCAAGAGAGGGCACTTTCCAGCACCTTTTAGGAGCCGCCTCTGAAATCTCATACACCAGTTCTGCTTGCAACTCCTTAGCCAGATCGTCAACGTATGGTGCACCTAAGTATGACAGAGACTGGGAAATGTAATCTTATAGCTGAGTCCATTAACTCCTTGTATAAAATTGATATTCTGCTACTTAAGAGGGGTGAGTGGATATTGGTTAAACAAAGAGTAATCTCTGTTACATCATGCAAATGACTAAGATGGAGGAAGAACTTGAAGCATAAAAATAAAGTGGGTCAAGACAGACCTAAGAGGAATGATTTAAGGGGCAGACAAAGGGAAGGCACTGAGAAGGGAAAATATTAAAGGGAGGGGAAGAACCCAGGGGAGGAAGTACCTTTTCCACAGTTTTCCAAATAGTGAGTCATTAAGCCTTCTGCAGTTGTAATCATATTACATTCCTGTGAATTAAGCTGATGCTTCTGTGTTATTTTTAAATTGATTATTCAGATTTCTAGCTATAATTTTTTATTATATACTTATTTATGCCTGATATCTGTGATCATGATATCTGTGGTCATTTGGCTTCTTCCAAATAGGCACCTTTGGAAACTGCATTAGCTCCTTCAAGTCGTCAAAATATGCTGGAGTAACAAGTTCCTAAACAGTATCTTCACTTTCAGATACTGAAATAATTTATGACTCATTCAAAAGCATTAGGTTAATGAGAACATTAAAAGTAACAATAGATGTCAAGTCAGAATGCAAAGCCAGAGCAGAAACAAAGTTATACTGATATCCCTTAATAAAATAAACAGTTCTTTACTGAAGCTTGTCTTTTAAGCAAAATTCTGATATTGAAACCATATTTTTCTCATTCACTGGTACTTCCTATGGGGAAAAAAAAATCAGTCCTAAGACGTTTAAAACAGAACTGTACTCCAGAGCCAAGTATCTCCTCCACTAATGGGAATGAGGAAATGAAACAGGAAAGAGGAAAAGATATCATTAGTCACAGTATACTGGCTTATACTCTCTAGATAGAAAAAAAGAAATTAACAAGCCTGTCAAGAAAAGGAAAACTGGGGCTAAATGTAGGCCAGAAAAGAGAAAAGAGACTCGCAATCATCATTACCTACCAAAAGGCAGCATGAGTGAATTTTCAAAGTATGGTATAGCATTCCTTAAATGGCCATATATCAATTATCGAGTGCTGTTAAGGAATAGTGCCTTCCAGCTAATTCGGAGCCCTAGGTGTTAATAAGAACCTTACATATCTAAAGTATACTAAGTTGGCAAAGTATTTTAAATGCAATAGGACATTTTAAGTCACCTGAAGTTATTAGTAAGATGATATTACATAATCGCATTTTACAAATAGAAAAGCAGATTCAAAAAACCTATCCTTATCTGTCATATGAAAGGAGTGCTGTGGTCTGAATATTTTTGTCCCTTCCAAACTTATCTTGAAACTTAATCCCCCATGCAACAGTGTTAGGAGGTGGGATCTAATGGGAGGCGTTGAGGTCACGTGGCTCTACTCTCATGAATGGATTAACGCTGCTATAAAAAATGGGCTTGCAAAAGTGGGTTTGCTGTCTTCTGGTTCTTCCACAATGGCATCCAAGGTGCCATCTTGGAAGCAGAGAACCTGTTGGTATCTTGATGTTGGACTTCTCAGCCTCCATAACTGTGAGAAAATAAATTTCTGTTCTTTATAAATTACCCAGTCTGTAACAGAATATCTTCTCTGTGGCAGCATAAATGGACCAAGACAAAGTGTAACTGAATTTTTCACTCTAAAAGTTCTATAAGACTATGAGAACTACACAAATATTGAGAGATAACGTTAGAACTTGAGGTTTGCAATTCCAAGACCTTGATTCCCTAAAAATCTCACAAGAGCACTTAGTATATATGGCTCAGGTGGACCGTCAGTATTCAAACCATTAGCAAAATACCATAAGCAATAATGTTACCACATATTAATGATTAGAGAATGTGTTCATGTATCACAGGTCTTCAGAAAAATCATCATAAGGATCAACTGTGCTTAAAAGTATACACAGACATACCAAAAAATAAAGCTCTGATTAAGCCTGTCTCCAATAAAAGAGCACATTATTATTAATCTTTACATTCAGGTACTTGTTATATAATTAGGGATCTCAGAAAACTTATATCTAGAACATAGATCATCCTACGTTTTTCTTAAATTATAAGGCATATGACTGATTTTCATTTTAATTAACTTTCCTGGATAAAAGTTTACACATGGTTTCCTTCTTTTCTCAACTCCCCATTTTGACAGTCTTTCAGCATTGCATTATGACACAGTTACACAAAGAACCTCTCCAGATGGTTTATCAACACCACATTTTTCATATCAGAGGCAGATATAGAAATGTGGCAATCCATGGTAAGTACTAGTTTCCTATTGCTATTTTAACAAATTACTACAAACTTAATAGCTTAAAACAACTGCTATTTTACAGATTTAAAGGGCAGAAGTCTGAAATGGGTCTTAGTCATCTAAAATCAAGATGTTAACAGAACTGCATTCTTTTAAGCCTCCAAGGGAAAATCTATTTCCTTTCCTTTTCTAGATTCATAGGCTTCCCGCAATCCTTGGCTCATGGCCCCTTTCTTTATCTTTAAATCCAGTGGAGTTTTTTTTGAATCTTTGAATCTCTCACTTATTCTAAGCATCACTCTCCTTCCTCTGTCTTTCACTTATAAAGAACTTTTTGATTACAGGGGCCCACCTAGATAATCCAGGATAATTTCCCCATCTCAAGATTCTGAACTTAATCACATCAGCAAAATTTCTTTTGCCTTGTAAAGTAATATATTCGTGAGTCTGGAGATGGAGACATGCATGTCTTTGTTAAAAGGTCTTCTAAAATGCATGACTTATAACAGGGTGTTGTGTGGTCCTTAAAGTGTGCAGACCTAACTCAGCAAACCAAAACTTGTTTTTCTTTTTTATTATTATTATTATTATACTTTAAGTTTTAGGGTACATGCGCACAACATGCAGGTTTGTTACATATGTATACATGTGCCATGTTGGTGTGCTGCACCCATTAACTCGTCATTTAGCATTAGGTATATCTCCTAATGCTGTCCCTCCCCCCTCCCCCCACCCCACAACAGTCCCTGGTGTGTGATGTTCCCCTTCCTGTGTCCATGTGTTCTCATTGTTCAGTTCCCACCTATGAGTGAGAACATGCAGTATTTGGTTTTTTGTCCTTGTGATAGGTTGCGGAGAATGATGGTTTCCAGCTTCATCCATGTCCCTACAAAGGACTTGAACTCATTATTTTTTATGGCTGCAGAGTATTCTGTGGTGTATATGTGCCACATTTTCTTAATCCAGTCTATCATTGATGGACATTTGGGTTGGTTCCAAGTCTTTGCTATTGTGAATAGTGCTGCAATAAACATACGTGTGCCTGTGTCTTTACAGTAGCATGATTTATAATCCTTTGGGTATATCCCCAGTAATAGGATGGCTGGGTCAAATGGTATTTCTAGTTCTAGATCCCTGAGGTATCGCCACACTGACTTCCACAATGGTTGAACTAGTTTACATTACCACCAACAGTGTAAAAGTGTTCCTATTTCTCCACATCCTCTCCAGCACCTGTTGTTTCCTGACTTTTTAATGATGGCCATTCTAACTGGTGTGAGATGGTATCTCATTGTGGTTTTGATTTGCATTTCTCTGATGGCCAGTGATGAGCATTCTTCCATGTGTTTTTTGGCTGCATAAATGTCTTGTTTTGAGAAGTGTCTGTTCATATCCTTTGCCCACTTTTTGATGGGGTTGGTTTTTTCTTGTAAATTTGCTTGAGTTCATTGTAGATTCTGGATATTAGCCCTTTGTCAGATGAGTAGGTTGCAAAAATTTTCTCCCATTTTGTAGGTTGCCTGTTCACTCTGATGGTATTTTCTTTTGTTGTGCAGAAGCTGTTTAGTTTAATTAGATCCCATTGGTCAATTTTGACTTTTGTTGCCATTGCTTTTGGTGTTTTAGACATGAAGTCCTTGCCCATGCCTATGTCCTGAATGGTAATGCCTAGGTTTTCTTCCAGGGTTTTTATGGTTTTAAGTCTAACATGTAAGTCCCTAATCCATCTTGAATTAATTTTTGTATAAGGTGCAAGGAAAGGATCCAGTTTCAGCTTTCTACATATGGCTAGCCAGTTTTCCCACCACCATTTATGAAATAGGGAATCCTTTCCCCATTGCTTGTTTTTCTCAGGTTTGTCAAAGATCAGATAGTTGTAGATATGTGGCATTATTTCTGAGGGCTCTGTTCTGTTCCATTGATCTATATCTCTGTTTTGGTACCAGTACCATGCTGTTTTGGTTACTGTAGCCTTGTAGTATAGTTTGAAGTCAGGCAGCGTGATGCCTCCAGCTTTGTTCTTTTGGCTTAGGATTGACTTGGCGATGTGGGCTCTTTTTTGGTTCCATCTGAACTTTAAGTAGTTTTTCCAATTCTGTGAAGAAAGTCATTGGTAGCTTGATGGGGATGGCATTGAATCTATAAATTACCTTGGGCAGTATGGCCATTTTCATGATATTGATTCTTCCTACCTATGAGCATGGAATGTTCTTCCATTTGTTTGTATCCTCTTTTATTTCATTGAGCAGTGGTTTGTAGTTCTCCTTGAAGAGGTCCTTCACATCCCTTGTAAGTTGGATTCCTAGGGATTTTATTCTCTTTTAAGCAATTGTGAATGGGAGTTCACTCATGATTTGGCTCTCTGTTTGTCTGTTATTGGTGTATAAGAATGCTTGTGATTTTTGTACATTGCTTTTGTATCCTGAAACTTTGCTGAAGTTGCTTATCAGCTTAAGGAGATTTTGGGCTGAGACAATGGGGTTTTCTAGATATAAATCATGTCATCTGCAAACAGGGACAATTTGACTTCCTCTTCTCCTAATTGAATACCCTTTATTTCCTTCTCCTGCCTGATTGCCCTGGCCAGAACTTCCAACACTATGTTGAATAGGAGTGGTGAGAGAGGGCATCCCTGTCTTGTGCCAGTTTTCAAAGGGAATGCTTCCAGTTTTTGTCCATTCAGTATGATATTGGCTGTGGGTTTGTCATAGATAGCTCTTATTATTTTGAGATATGTCCCACCAATACCTAATTTATTGAGAGTTTTTAGCATGAAGGGTTGTTGAATTTTGTCAAAGGCCTTTTCTGCATCTATTGAGATAATCATGTGGTTTTTGTCTTTGGTTCTGTTTACATGCTGGATTACATTTATTGATTTTTGTATGTCGAACCAGCCTTGCATCCCAGGGATGAAGCCCACGTGATCATGGTGGATAAGCTTTTTGATGTGTTTCTGGATTTGGTTTGCCAGTATTTTATTGAGGATTTTTGCATCAATGTTCATCTAGGATATTGGTCTAAAATTCTCTTTTTTTGTTGTGTCTCTGCCAGGCTTTGGTATCAGGATGATGCTGGCCTCATTAAATGAGTTAGGGAGGATTCCCTCTTTTTCTATTGATTGGAATAGTTTCAGAAGGAATGGTACCAGCTCCTCCTTGTACCTCTGGTAGAATTTGGCTGTGAATCCATCTGGTCCTGGACTTTTTTTGGTTGGTAAGCTGTTAATTATTGCCTCAATTTCAGAGCCTGTTATTGGTCTATTCAGAGATTCAACTTCTTCCTGGTTTAGTCTTGGGAGAGTGTATGTGTCGAGGAATTTATCCATTTCTTCTAGATTTTCTAGTTTATTTGCATAGAGGTGTTTATAGTATTCTCTGATGGTAGTTTGTATTTCTGTGGGATCAGTGGTGATATCCCCTTTATCATTTTTTACTGCGTCTATTTGATTCTTCTCTCTTTTTTTCTTTATTAGTCTTGCTAGCAGTCTATCAATTTTGTTGATCTTTTTAAAAAACCAGCTCCTGGATTCATTGATTTTTTGAAGGGATTTTTCTGTCTCTATTTCCTTCAGTTCTGCTCTGATCTTAGTTATTTCTTGCCTTCTGTTAGCTTTTGAAAGTGTTTGCTCTTGCTTCTGTAGTTCTTTCAATTGTGATGTTAGGGTGTCAATTTTAGATCTTTCCTGCCTTCTCTTGTAGGCATTTAGTACTATAAATTTCCCTCTACACACTGCTTTGCATGTGTCCCAGAGATTCTGGTATGTTGTGTCTTTGTTCTCGTTGGTTTCAAAGAACATCTTTATTTCTGCCTTCATTTCGTTATGTACCCAGTAGTCATTCAGGAGCAGGTTGTTCAGTTTCCATGTAGTTGAGTGGTTTTGAGTGAGTTTCTTAATCCTGAGTTCTAGTTTGATTGCACTGTGGTCTGAGAGACAGTTTGTTATAATTTCTTTTCTTTTACATTTGCTGAGGAGAGCTTTACTTCCAACTATGTGGTCAGTTTTGGAATAGGTGTGGTGTGGTGCTGAAAAGAATATATATTCTGTTGATTTGGGGTGCAGAGTTCTGTAGATGTCTATTAGGTCTGCTTGGTGCAGAGCTGAGTTCAATTCTTGTATATCCTTGTTAACTCATAGACACATCCTTGTTATGTGATATCTTGTTAACTCATAGACACATCCTGGATATCCTTGTTAACTCGTAGATACATCTACTCATAGACATATCCTCGAGTTCAATTCCTGGATATCCTTGTTAATTCATAGACACAACCTCATTGATGTGTCTAATGTTGACAGTGGGGTGTTAAAGTCTCCCATTATTATTGCATGGGAGTCTAAGTCTCTTTGTAGGTCACTAAGGACTTGCTTTATGAATCTGGGTGCTCCTGTATTGGGTGCATATATATTTAGGATAGTTAGTTCTTCTTGTTGAATTGATCCCTTTACCATTATGTAATGGCCTGCTTTGTCTCTTTTGATCTTTGTTGGTTTAAAGTCTGTTTTATCTGAGACTAGGATTGCAACCCCTGCCTTGTTTTGTTTTCCATTTGCTTGGTTGATCTTCCTCCATCCCTTTAATTTTGAGCCGATATGTGTCTCTGCATGTGAGATGGGTCTCCTGAATACAGCACACTGATGGGTCTTGATTCTTTATCCAATTTACCAGTCTGTGCATTTTAATTGGAGCATTTAGCCCATTTACATTTAAGTTTAGTATTGTTATGTGTGAATTTGATCCTGTCATTATGATGTTAGCTGGTGATTTTGCTCATTAGTTGATGCAGTTTCTTCCTAGCCTTGATGGTCTTTGCAATTTGACATGTTTTTGCAGTGGCTGGTACTGGATATTCCTTTCCATGTTTAGTCCTTCCCTCAGGAGCTCTTTTAAGGCAGGCCTGGTGGTGACAAAATCTCTCAGCATTTGCTTGTCTGTGAAGTATTTTGTTTCTCCTTCACTTATGAAGCTTAGTTTGGCTGGATATGAAATTCTGGGTTGAAAATTCTTTTCTTTAAGAATGTTGAATATTGGCCCCCACTCTCTTCTGGCTTGTAGAGTTTCTGCCGAGAGATCAGCTGTTAGTCTGATGGGCTTCCCTTTGTGGGTAACCCAACCTTTCTCTCTGGCTGCCCTTAACATTTTTTCCTTCATTTCAACTTTAGTGAATCTGACAATTATGTGTGTTGGAGTTGCTCTTCTCAAGGATTATCTTTGTGGCGTTCTCTGTATTTCCTGAATTTGAATATTGGCCTGCCTTGCTAGATTGGGGAAGTTCTCCTGGATAGTATCCTGCAGAGTGTTTTCCAACTTGATTCCATTCTCCCCGTCACTTTCAAGTACACCAATTAGACGTATATTTGGTCTTTTCACATAGTCCCATATTTCTTGGAGGCTTTGTTCATTTCTTTTTATTCTTTTTTCTCTTAACTTCTCTTTACACTTCATTTCATTCATTTCATCTTCCATCGCTGATACCCTTTCTTCCAGTTCATTGCGTCAGTTACTGAGGCTTGTGCATTCATCACGTAGTTCTTGTGCCATGGTTTTCAGCTCCTTCAGGTACTTTAAGGACTTCTCTGCATTGGTTATTCTAGTTATCCATTCATCTAATTTTTTTTCAAAGTTTTTAACTTCTTTGCCATTGGTTCGAACTTCCTCCTTTAACTTGGAGTAGTTTGATCTTCTGAAGCCTTCCTCTCTCAACTCGTCAAAGTCATTCTCCATCCAGCTTTGCTCCATTGCTGGTGAGGAGCTGCATTCCTTTGGAAGAGGAGAGGCACTCTGATTTTTAGAGTTTCCGGTTTTTCTGCTCTGTTTTTTTCCCCATCTTTGTGGTTTTAGCTACCTTTGGTCTTTGATGATGGTGACGTACAGATGGGTTTTTGGTGTGGATGTCTTTTTTGTTTGTTAGTTTTCCTTCTAACAGTCAGGACCCTCAGCTGCAGGTCTGTTGGAGTTTACTAGAGGTCCACTCCAGACCCTGTCTGCCTGGGTATCAGCAGTGGTGGCTGCAGAACAGTGGATATTGGTGAACTGCAAATGCTGCTGCCTGATTGTTCCTCTGGAAGTTTTCTCTCAGAGGAGTACCCGGCCGTGTGAGGTGTCAGTCCGCCCCTACTGGGGGATGCCTCTCAGTTAGGCTACTCGGGGGTCAGGGATCCACTTGAGGAGGCAGTCTGCCCATTCTCAGATCTCAAGCTGCGTGCTGGGAGAACCACTACTCTCTTCAAAGCTGTCAGACAGGGACATTTAAGTCTGCAGAGGTCATTGCTATCTTTTGTTTGTCTGTGCCCTGCCCCCAGAGGTGGAGCCTACAGAATCAGGCAGGCCTCCTTGAGCTGTGGTGGGCTCCACCCCGTTTGAGCTTCCGTTTTGTTTATCTACTCAAGCCTGAGCAATGGTGGGTGCCCCTCCCCCAGCCTTGCTGCCGCCTTGCAGTTAGATCTCAGAGCTGTGCTAGCAATGAGTGAGGCTCCCTGGGCATAGGACCCTCTGAGCCAGGTGCGGGATGTAATCTCCTGGTGTGCCGTTTGTTAAGCCCATTGGAAAAGCACAGTATTAGGGTGGGAGTGACCCAATTTTCCAGGTGCCGTCTGTCACCCCTTTCTTTGACTAGGAAAGGGAATTCCCTGACCCCTTGTGCTTCCTGGGTGAGACGATGGGATGCCTTGCCCTGCTTTAGCTCACACACGGTGCGCTGCACCCACTCTCCTGCACCCTGTTTCCGGCACTCCCCAGTGAGATGAACCTGGTACCTCAATTAGAAATGCAGAAATCACCCATTTTCTGCATTGCTCATGCTGGGAGCTGTAGACTGGAGTTGTTCCTATTCAGCCATCTTGGCTCCACCCAAAACATGTTTTTCAAAAGTCAAAAGCATAGCTAAGAACACTGCTCAGACGTATAATCAAAGGTCTTATTTAGGACAGGAACTAAAGTCTTTTATTGTGACTGTGTGCATTGTCCACAGAATTGGTTAGTAATCTCTCCAGGAAAAAAAAAAAAATATATATATATATATATATATATATATATATATATGTATATATATCAGGGTTATCAGAGAACAAAGATGGTCTACTTTTGCTTTCCACATTCAGGAAGGTAAAATAATTTCTTAAATTTCTTTAGCCTTAAATTTCTTCAGGCATTTCTAATTTTTTGTGAAATGAACATTTGTTAGAAGGAGAGTGTGTGTTTGTGTGTGTGCATTGTGTGTGTGTGTGGTTAGTTTAAAAGATCTTCAGAGGAGAAGAAATAATTTACCCCATAACCTTTTAAAATGGGAAATAACTTTGACTTTCTTTATGTAGATTAATCTCTATGTGGCTGTCAGAGGATACTATTTAAGTAGAAGACAAGAAAAAGAGGTTAGAAACCCATTTCACTCTTTCTCAGAATAGCAATAGAGAGAAGAAAATACCAGGACAGTTCTCACCAGTCTCTTCTTCCTGATACAGGAGAAAATCTCAGTTTAAAGCAGAATGGATTTTAATCCTTTCTTAATTTCATTTGTGGCCAAGAAAATTTAACAAAGTCTTTAAAAATGTACACATGACATGGTCTATGAGAGAGATACAGACATAAATACAACTCTTATTCTAAATGGCACAATCATAACTGTTATTTTAAACACCCAACTGTCTGTATTCTTAGAGTCAGAGACAAGGCATTGTGCATAGCTGTGGGTGGGACTCTGAGCTTCTAAAACAGTTTCATTACCCACCACTGGTATGAACTATCAGCAAATTACCTAATCTTTCTCAACTTCATTTCCTTATCTGTAAAGTGTAGATAATGGTACCTGTCTCAAAGGGTTGTTTTTAAGTGCTTATTGCAATGCCTGATACTTACTAAGAGCTCAATGAATGTTAGCCATTATTATTACCTAAAAGTCACTCCAGAATCGAGAAGAGACATATCAAAAATAAGCATCCGTATGAGCCCCAAATGCAATCTTAGGATATGGAAGAAAATTAAAGAAATGCGCATGAATTGGTGAGTAATTGGTCAAATTCTTTTTCAAGTCCTATTTTGACACTGCAGAGGCTCCTCTTTTCAATTTATTCTTCTCAATGAAAAATCTACTGAGAAAAATTTTTATCAGAGATTTTATTTCTTTGATGCCCTGAGTAGGAGGAATTGACAAAGCATAAAACAACTGAGAGCTGTCTGCTTCATTATTATTAATGAATTAGCCCTTAAACAACCCAGGATTACAAAACAACCACCACTAACTGGAGACTGGTTAATTACCAAAACCCACACAGAATTAGCTTCTTATTTACTTAAAATTGGGTATGGTTTCAGAATAAAAGTAATATCCAAATGCAACAAGACTGTAGGAAAAAGGCCTGGCATATAGAGGGTGACAAACAACTATCATTACATGACAGTCAGGAAAAATGGAGGTGGAGAGAGAGGAAGGTAGGGGGAAGACAGGAGAGAGAGAGGAAAAAAGAGAGAAAAGGAGGGCTGACTCCTGTTCTCCAGAGACAGGGGATGGCCATAGCCAATCTTATTCTTTCTTGCTCATTCCAAACCTCACCTTTTCCATCCTCCCCACTTTCACACTCCCACTACACACACACACACACACACTCACACACTTCAGTCCAGAAACAGTCTTGTCTTAAATTCATGAGACTCATCTTGAACTGAATCCTGGATATGTAAATCACCTTTATACAAGCCATTCAAGTTTCTACCTTTGAACTCGAATTGCTCTGCCAAAACTAACTTATTCTGTAGCAAAGATCCAAATTCATCTCTCCAACAAGCAGCCCTGACTTAACAATGGCCCATTTATACAAATGGCTGTCATTACTCTCATCCTACCCTGTACTTTACTGGAACATAAAAACCGTCCAGAAAACACGTATATGCTCATAAAGAACCTGTTCGTTTGGAAGAGAGGAGAGAAAGAAGTTATAAAAATGTACAGCTTGGCCAGGCACAGTGGCTCACGCCACCCATAATCCCAGCACTTTGGGAGGCCAAGGAGGGCAGATCATGAGGTCAGGAGATCGAGACCATCCTGGCTAGCAAGGTGAAAACCCATCTCTACTAAAAATACAAAAAAAAAAAAATTAGCTGGGCATGGTGGTGGGCGCATGTAGTCCCAGCTACTCGGGAGGCTGAGGCAGGAGAATGGCATGAACCCAGGAGACGGAGCTTGCAGTGAGCCAAGATCACACCACTGTACTCCAGCCTGGTAATCCATCTCAAAAAAAAATTTAAAAATTAGAAAAAAATGTAGAGCTTTAGTGACTTTCATCCTGAGATCAGATTCCTAGGTGAGATTAACTGGCCTGAGCCAGCCTTCTTATGTCCAGCATTGTTACTAAACCAGCCAATTTGCTTATATTCTTACCTTGTTCCTTTGTCTAAAATTCTATAAATAAGATATTCATCTTGGTTATCTGGGTTATCAAGCATTCTTAGCAATGCAAATGCTTCCCAAAAGGTTAATGGGCTTTCAATCGTGAACACATTTGTTTTGAATTAACTCAGTCAGATGGCTTTCCTCCTAACTTCTGGAAAGCATTTGAATTAAAAAGAGTTTTGATTCTGGAGAAAATATGAAGGCAATATAGAGGTATTGAGAACTTTGTTATTGATCTATCTATTCATTCATTCAGACATATTAAATGCTTCTAGGTGCCAGGTCCTGTTCCAGGCAGGAGCACTTAGTGGCTAAGGTGGTCATAGGAGTTGAGGGGTGGGGGTGTTTAATATGCCACAGTGGAGGCCTGAGGGCACAATGAGAGCACCAGAAGCTGTAATGAGAATTCCTGGGAGGTCAAAAATATATTAAATTAAGGCAACAGAAGGAAATAGAAGGTTAACAGTGACAAATTTTATCTACTTGAAAAGTTTGTGTCATATTTTCCTGCATCAAAGAAAGAGAAAAAAATACATTTTTCTTCCTGCCCTGAATAACCCACTGTTTCTAGGATACAAAACATAATAGAAATAGTTTCATAATTTACCCATCTTCTTGGTCTTATGATAAGAATTTATTCTGGGTGGAAAACAGAAACTATTGATTTTATACCCTTTTAAAAGTGTTTTAAATTTTATTTACTTCCATTTAAAACAACCCTACAGTTAAGTTATACTACTCCAAAACCATTATGATCATGAAGTCTTCCTGATACCTGTATTGGTAATGACCTCAGAAATTATTTAAGGAAGTGAAGCTGTATCTCAAATGCCAAAACACTCTAGAATCCCATTTATAAATTATTAGACTTATTATGTTGTTTTTATTACTGACTCATTCTCAGGTGTCACTTCTTGTGCTCTACCTCTGGCTCTTGTGCACGTACCTCTAGCCACCTCCTGTCTAACTTGCTATTCTACTTCACTTAATCAAGACTGTGTGAACTGTGTGTGAAATAAGGGTGAATAGAAGCGGGCGCAGTGGCTCATGTCTGTAATCTCAGCACTTTTGGAGGCCGAGGCATGCAGATCACTTGAGGCCAGGAGTTCAAGACCAGGTTAAGCAACATGGCAAAACCCTATCTCTATTTAAAAAAAAATTATAAAAAGTAAATAGGAAGCCTGAAAAAATCTGTAAAAAAAAAAAAAAGTTTATGAGTTTCGATGCATCAACTTTGTGACATTTATTTTAATGTTTAGAGGTTTTCATACATAACTTTTCTGCTTTGTTCTGGGTAACGGAGGATTTCAGGTAAATAACCTCCAATTAAAGAGAAATTGTGATATTGCAATTTGCCATAACATGATCAGAAGAAAAGCTCACAATGGAACAACAAATCCGTTTATGCAGCGATCAAGATATAGTTTTCTTCTTTTTTTTTTCAGACAGTCTTGCCTTGTCGCCCAGGCTGGAGTGCAATGGCACGATCTTGGCTCACTACAAGCTCCGCCTCCCAGGTTCACGCCATTTTCCTGCCTCAGCCTCCAGAGTAGCTGGGACTACAGGCACCCACCACCACGCCTGGCTAATTTTTGTATTTTTAGTAGAGACGGGGTTCCACCGTGTTAGCCAGGATGGTCTCGATCTCGTGACCTTGTGATCCATCTGCCTCAGCCTCCCAAAGTGCTAGGATTACAAGTGTGAACCACCATGCCCAGCAGTTTTCTTTTTAAAATAACTTCTTACCTGCATCTACCTTTGCTGTAGTCTCAGTCTCACATTCATGAATGACAATTGACCTATAGGAATAGGCATCCACGGTTAGATCAAAGGACAAAATACAGTCTTCCACTCATGGGTGGAAAAAAGCCAACACTTATGCTTGGTGTTATATTTGAGATATGCAGAGAAAAGTTTTATTTCTCTAAAATATGTTTCTTACCTAATAGCTAATTCTTTGAAAAAGCCCTGGCTTAAAGCCTCTTATTCTTGTTATTAGGCAAATATTCTTGGAATACTTCTGTTTTTCAAATTAAAAAGTACAATAGTCTCTTTAGGAGTCTCCTTAGCAATGCAAATGCATCCCAAAAGGTAATAAGCTTTCAGTCATAAACATAATCATTTTGAATTAGCTCAATCAGATAGCTTTCCTACTAACCTCTGGAAAGTCTTTGAATTAAAGGGATTTTTCATTCTACAGAATACATATTCTTCAATAAATAATTGAACGCTTCCTCCTGTGGGAGAATTCTGTAAACTGTCTACCAAATCCTTCTCCCCTTCTTACATAGAAATAAAATTGTAGCAAACCATTGGCTGGCTAGGTAGACTGCATTTCCCACTGGCTAGATAGACTACCTCTCTTGTAGTTGAGTGTGGCTATGTGACATGGCGAACGGAAGTGATATTCTCTTTCCTGGCCAATGTCTTAAGACAGCAGGAGTATCTTCTGCACACTCCCTTCCCTCTTCTTTCAGAAAGCAAACAAGACACAGTGGAGACCCACCACATATAAAACCCTACCCTAGGGAATGAAGAAAAGCAAAGTTGAAAATACTTGGGTTCCTGAATATCCTTGTGGAGCCAAGCTACCTAGCAAACCAGCTGCACTACAGTCTTACATGGAAATGAACTAAACATCTATCTCATTTGGGCTATTGTATTTTAAGATATCTTTGTTGAGGCAGTTTAGATTTATTCCAGTATACATAGAAGCTATGATATGCCCTTCTGGCAAGTGAAGAAAATTCCTGATTCTCAATACATTGATGTCTAAGTTTTAAGGAGGTGTGACTGCCTGGGTTATTTTTGTTTCAATTTCTAGTGGAAGTCTTTGATATTAAAGAAACTCCTCCACCTGTGCTCTGAGCCCAAACCACCTCTCAGAGGCAGCTGTACGGTTTATTCCTTTCTCTTCTGTTGCTTTAGCTTCTCCCTAACTCCTTCCTCTCAACATTTAAACATCCTAACACAATATTAAAACTAATCCTCTCTCAACTCCATGGCCTCCACCATCTGCAACTCTATCTATCTTTCTTCTTTCTTTCATTGCCAAACCTTTTCAAAATATTGTATAAACTCTCTTTGCTTCTCCAACTTTTACTCAAGCATATTATCTGACATCCAGCCCCATGAACATCTTGAGACTACAATTGTTATTGTCTTGATTTTATGGCCATCCCCTATCTTGAACACTTTACCTCACCATCTGTGACTCCCACTGTCCTCATTTCCTCTGCTTCTCTACCTCCTTCTTCACAGGCTCCTAGCAGATCTCTTTTCCTTTGACTGTCCTTAAATGCTAGGATAACTCAGCATTGTGTCCTGGGTCCTCTCCTCATTCATCACTTTATACTTGCCCATGCTTGATACTTTTTTCTCTTGTGATTCTCAAATAAGTAGCTCCAGCCCAGGCCTCTCTCCTCAACTTCTGGCCCTTAATGCAACTGTTGCCTGCCCCTCTCTCCATAAAAGTTTGCTCCTTTCTAATATTCTGTATATCCAAAATATCCACCCAGTTTCCTGACAACCAATTGAGAGACAGGACTAGCTGGATTTCCTAGGCTGACTAAGAATTCCTAACCCTAGCTGGGGAAGGTGACCGCACCTACCTTTAAACACAGGGTTTGTAACTCAGCTCACACCCAACCAATCAGGTAGTAAAGAGGGCTCACTAAAATACAAATTAGGCTAAAGCAGGAGGTAAAGAAATAGTCAAATCATATATCGCCTGAGAGCACAGGGGCAGGGACAATGATTGGGATATAAACCCAAGCATTCAAGCAGGGAGCGGCAACCCCCTTTGGGTCCCCTCCCAAAGCTCTGTTTTCACTCTATTAAATTGTATGAGAGCTCTGTTTTCACTCTATTAAATCTTGCAAATGCACACTCTTCTGGTCCGTGTTTGTTATGGCTCGAGCTGAGCTTTTGCTCACCATCCACCACTGCTGTTCTCTGCCGTCCCAGACTCGCTGTTGACTTCCACCTCTCCAGATCCGGCAGGGTGTCCACTGTGCTCCTGATCCAGAGAGGCGCCCATTGCTGCTCCCGATTGGGCTAAAGGCTCGCCATTGTTCCTGCATGGCTAAGTGCCCAGGTTTATCCTAATTGAGCTGAACACTAGTTGCTGGGTTCCACAGTTCTCTTCTGTAACCCACAGCTTCTAATAGAGCTATAACACTCACCGCATGGCCCAAGGTTCCATTCCTTGGAATCCTTGAGGCCAAGAACCCCAGGTCAGAGAACAAAAGGCTTGCTGCCATTTGGGGAGTGGCCCTTCCCCATCTTGGGAGCGGTCCGCCATATCTTGGGAGCTCTAAGAACAAAGACCCACCCGTAATACAATGCACCAAGCACTGAATCTGCTAATTAATTTCTACTCTGCTTACTTATTTTCCTCTCCAAAAATACTCTCTTAGTTCAGCCAGTCCATTATAGTGATTAAGTCAAATTGCTCACGTTTAAAGCTAACTTTGTGATACTGGGCACATTTCTTAACCTCTCTATACCCCAGTTTCTTCATCTGTAATGTGGGGATAAGTATAGAATCTACCACATAATGTAAGTTTAAATGAGTTATCATACATATAAACACCTAGAGAAGTGTCTGTCACTTTTTAAGTGCTAGTTAAGCATTAGCCATCATCATCACTTGTGAGATTATTACAGTAACCTCTTAATTCATCTTTCTTAACAATTATTTCTCCCTCACCAACACTAACCTTAACACGAAATTTCTTCTTACCCTTCCAGTGCTTTCCTGTTGACTTAGTTTACGATGCTAATTCCTTAACATAACTTAAAAGATCTTTCATGATCTGACTCTCTGACCCTGCTCCCCACATTAGCCTCTTTTTTTATTTTTGAGACAGTCTTGCTCTGTTGCCCAGGCTGGAGTGAAGTGGCACGATCTTGGCTCACTGCAACCTCTGCCTCCGGGTTCAAGCAACTCTCGTGCCTCAGCCTCCTAAGTAGCTGGGATTACAGGCATGTGTCACCACAACTGGCTAATTTTTGTACTTTTAGGAGGATTGTGGATTGTGTATCATCATGTTGACCAGGATGGTCTCCAACTCCTGGCCTCAAGTGATCCATCCACCTCGGCCTCCTAAAGTGCTTCTTACATTCTGTGCTCTCACCATTTTGGCCCCATTCAGGCTCCTGTAACACCCTGTACTTTCTAAGTTATAACATTTAACATTAAATGCTGCCCACTTATTTTCTCTCCATTCCTCATATGAGTTAACCACGAAATAAATGCATTTCTAAGTTGTTTAAGAAATGCCTTTCCAACAATGTAGTGCTTGCTCCTATTGCCTTTTGCATTTTAACAGAATTGATTCCCAACTATCGCCTCATTGGTCCTTTGATGTTGATGAGCCAAGAACAGTCCTTGCTCTCTGCATTTAGAAACTTCTATTTATGTTGTGATATTCTCTGAGAGTAACACTTGCATTTGAATGATGGATCTTATACTCCTGGTTCTTTCTGCAGCAGCTCAAACAAAAGATCACTTTCTATTCTACATTTAGAAACAATTCCAAGGATAGAGTGTGCTTGCATTAGCAAACTCTGAGATAACCATTATCCTAACCTGATTGGTCTGAGGATATTGTGTATGTATATGTGGCAGGAGGAAGAGATATTTGAGCTATAAACCCCAAGTCATTATTCCTCTCTCTGACCTCCAAAGTGTAGAGAAAACTCTGGGATCAAATTTCTAAGAGTTAGTGCCCTCCCCAGGCTTCCATCATCATCAAGATGACTGGGAAAGGGTTTGGTCAGGCTGCTTAACAGCCACATTCTCCTTTCCTCTGCCACATTTCAGGCTAATCATTGTGCCTTTATAGATTCACTTGCCCTTTGGTACCTCTATATTTTACCTCAAAACCCTCCTCTTCTGCCACTGACTGCTCATAATGCTTTGAGTTTCAATTCCAATAATACAAACTTTCCATAATGTTCATTTGAAGTAATATTTGTATGCAGCTTTAGAGTTTGCAAATAATTTCTATATGTCTTACCTCATATAATATAAGATGCTACACAGTGTAGTGGTCAAGAGAGCATACTCTGGGGCCAGCCTCCCTGAGTTCATATTCCTTGCTCTGTCCTTTACTAGTTGTGTGACCTTGACCATGGAAGTGACTTTGGAACTGGGTAACTGGCAGAGATTGAAACACTTTAGGGGGCTCAGAAGAAGGCAGGAAGATGTGGGGAAGTTTAGAACTTCTTAGAGACTTGTTAAAAGGTTTTGGCCAAAATGCTGATAGTGATATGGACAATGAAGTCAAGACTGAGGTGGTCTCAGATGGAGATGAGGAACTTGTTGGGAACTGGAGCAAAGGGCACTCTTGCTATGCTTTAGCAAAGAGACTGGTGACATTTTGCCCCTGCCCTAGAGCACTATGGAACTTTGAACTTGAGAGACATGATTAAGGGTATCTGGCAGAAGAAATTTGTAACCAGCAAAGCATTCAAGAGGTGACAGAGTATAAAAGTTTAGAAAATTTGTAGGCTGACCATTTGGTAAAAAGGAAACCCATTTTCTGAGGAGAAATTCAAGCCAGCTGGGGAAAATGTCTCCAGGGCATGTCATAAACCTTCATGGCAGCCCCTTCCATCACGGGACTGGAGGTCTTGGAGGGAAAAAATGGTTTCATGGGCTGGACCCAGGGCCCCACTGCTATGTGCAGCCTTTAGACTTGGGGCTTTGCATCCTAGCCAATTCAGCTCCAGCTATAGCTAAAAGGGGCCAATGTATAGCTCAGGTCATTGCTTCAGAGGGTACAAGCCCCAAGCCTTGGCTGTTTACATGTGGTGTTGGTCCTGTAGGTGCACAGAAGTCAAGAATTGAGGTTTGGTAACTTCTGCCTAGATTTCAGAGGATGTATGGAAGTGCCAGGCAGAAGTCTACTGAAGGGGCAGAGCCCTGATGAAGAACCTCTGCTAGGGTAGTACAAAGGGGAAATATGGGGTTGGAGCCCCCACACAGAGTCCCTACAAGGGGCACTGCCTAATGGAGCTGTGAGAAGAGGGCCACAGTCCTCCAGACCCCAGAATGGTAGATCCACCAACAGCTTGCACCATGCACCTAGAAAAGCTGCAGGCACTCAACACCAGCCCATGAAGGCAGCCAAGGGGGGTTGTACCCTGCATAACCACAGGGATGGAGCTACCCAAGGCTATGGGAGGCCACCTCTTGCATCACTGTGACCTGGATGTGAGACATGGAGACAAAGAAGACCATTTTGGAGCTTTAAGATTTAATGACTGCCCTATTGGATTTTGGACTTGCATGGAACCTGTAGCCCCTTTGTGTTGGCCAATTTCTCCCATTTGGAATGGGAGCATTTATCCAATGCCTGTACCCTCATTGTATCTTGGAAGTAATAAATATGCTTTTGATTTTCAGGCTCATAAGCGGAAGGGACTTGCCTTGTCCCAGATGCGACTTTGGACTTGGAATTTTGAGTTAATGCCGGAATGAGTTAAGACTTTGAGAGATTGTTGGAAAAACATGATTGGTTTTGAAATGTATAAAGGACATGAGATTTGGGAGCGTCCTGGAGCAGAATAATATGGCTTGGATCTGTGTCCCCAACCCCCAAATCTCATCTCAAATTATAATCCCCACCATTGAGGGAAGGACCTGTAATTCCCACTTGTCAAGGGAGGGAGGTGATTGGGTCATAGAGGAGGTTTCCCCCATGCTCTTCTCATGAAAGTGAGTGACTTCTCATGAGATATGATGGTTTTATAAGTGTTTGGCAGTTCTTCCTTCACTCCTCTCTCTCCCTCCTGCCATAATGTAAGACATGCCTTGCTTCCCCTTCACCTTCAGCCATTATTGTAAGTTTCCTGAGGCCTCCCCAGCCATTTACCTAGTCTTTATAGTAGTGTGAAACAGACTAATATATTGATTGAATTGTAAATTCATTTCATATTAAAAAATAGCTAAGCCCTCCATTTTAGCTTATACCCTATAAGTAAGACAGCCTTGTCTTCATATCATAGCTTATGCTAGAATCCTAACACTTTAAAGACTCAATACCAGAAGCTAACTTCTTTCTTCCTTCCTTCTGCCTTCTCTCTTCCTTCTCCCTTCCTTTTCCCAATTGCTAACTAAATCTGAGTGACTCATCTGTCATTATGCTTCTCATATCTCCTCTTCTTTTTCATTCATGCCGCCATTGCATTAGTTGAGGTCATTATCAGCTCCTACCACCAAGAGATCTGTCTGTGTCTCCCATTTCCTTTTTCCAGTTCTACTTCTCACTGCCAAGAGAGTGGGTGATACAAAAAAGTATAAGACACTCTAAAATCTTGTAATGAAGTGGAGATGTCAAATAGACATTGTACATTCATGAGAAACAAATTACATGGGGGAATAAATACAAGCAAGGACTGCAATGGGAAATCAGAGAAAAAAGACATCACCTCCAGTGCAGGCAATCTGGGAATACTTCATAGAGGATGTGATTGATCAAAGCCTGGCTTTTATCCATTAATTTATTCACTCACAAATGTTCATCCAACCAATATTTACTGAGCGTCCACTTTGAGCAAAGCATTGTTCTGGCCATTAAGACAGACCAATGCTTTGTTCAACAGCAGTGAAAAAAAAAAGATGAGACTCCCAGTCCTTATGGAGCTCACAATTCTAGTAGAAGACAAACAACAAAAAATATGTAAGTGAAATATGTAGTATATTAGAAGATTATAAATGCCATAAATAAAAATAAATCAAAGAAGGGAATAGGAAATGAGGAGTGTCAAAAGCATGATTAAAGAAGTACTTACTGAGGGGCAATAGTTAATCAACTAAAGTACGGGTCAGCAAACTATGGCCCATAGGCCAAATCCAGCCCAAAACCTGCTCATATATGGCCAGTAAGTAAAAAGAGATTTTACATTTTTAATGGCTGAAAAAAATTAAAAGACAAATAATAATTCTTGACATGTAAAAATTATAAGAAATTCAACTTTTAGTGTTCATAAATAAAGTTTTATTGTAACCCAGCCATACTTATTAATTTATGTATTGTCTATGGCTGCATTTGTGCCACAGCAACAGAGTTGAGAAAGTGACAGAGACCTTATTACTGCAAACCAAAAAATATTTGCCATCTGCCCTTTTTATAGAAATGTGCTGACCTTGAGTTAAAGAAAGTGAGAGAGAGAGACAGAGAGAGATGTATGTGGTTTTCTGGGAATGGAGCATTCCAGGCAGATGGAGCAGTAATACCAAGAGCCTGAAATGAGAATATGCCTGGCATGTTCAAATCTCAGCAAGGAGGCTGGCATGGCTGGAGTGAAAGGAGTAAGGGGAGAATAATAGCACATGAGGTCAGAGGAGTGACAGAGGCCAAGATCAATATCAGCCTCACTGGCCACTTTAAAAACTCAGCTTGTATTCCAGGTAAAAATAGAAAACCACTAGAGAATTTTGAGCAGAGGAGTGACATGATCCAACTTCAGTTTCAAAAGGAACACTGTGGCTAATATGTCTGAACAGAGATTGCAGATATTGAGAATGGAAGAAGGAAGATGGGTTAGGAAGCCATTGAAATAATTCTCATGAAATGATGATTTCTTGAACCAGGAAAATAATAGTGCAAGTGGTGGGAATTTGTCTGCTTCTAGCTATATTTTAAGGTAAAGCTGACAAGATTTGATAAAAGAGAAAAAAAATCCAAGGATGCCTCCAAACTTTTTGGCGTGAATACATGGAGGATGGAATTGCTGTATCTGAAGATGGCGAAGAGTGTGGTTAGAGCAGGTTTTAGGAAAAGTTTGTTTCAATTGTATACACATTAATTTTGAGATGCCTCCTATAAATCTCAGTGAAGATGTCAACTAGGTGGTTAGAATATGAATCTTGGAATTCAGAAAAAGTGGTCTAGATGGAAATAAAAGTTTGGAAGTTGTCAACGTAGAGATGATATTTAAAGCCATGAAACAGGATGAGCAAGAGTAAATAGAGAAGGAAAGAGCACAAGGGCTGATCCCTAAATGACTCAAACATTGAGAGGTCATAGAGAAGCAGAGGAATTGACAAAGGACACTAACAAGGAGCAAAAAAGAAGCTTAACACCAGGAAAATGCGGTGCCTTAAAGCCATGGGAAGGAAGTGCTTCTAGGAGGAAGGAGTGATAACCCATGTGGAAGGTCCCTGATAAGTCCAGAATGATGCATTGATTTATGCATTTCACAACAGGGAGGTCTTTAATGACTTTGTCTAGAATACTTTTTGTAGGGGAGAACAAATTAGTGTGGTATTAAGACAGAATAAGAGAGAATTGGGGAGAAAAACAAATATACACAACTCTGCCAAGGTATTTTGCAAAAATGGGAGTGATTAGGGACAGAGTTTGGATAAAAAGGAAGGAGAGAAATATTCTACTTGGCACAAGTAGCCAGAGCCTCATTTTCAAATTCAAGATTCCTTTATTAATTACACAGATTGTCTTCTTTTAAATATTTTTCTAAAAATAGTTCATTTTCTCTCTTAACTTCTTTATACATTGGTTCCTTACCAGATCCCTTCAGAATAGTTCCCCAAATAAACAGTGACCACCAGAACTATATATATATGTGTACACACACACATATTTGTGTGAGTGTGCATGGATACATCTATACATATGTGCATGTATGTTCATATATAAAACATGTACTTATATGTATATGGCATTTCACCTTTTTATGACCATTACTTTTGTCTCTGACATGAATTCTGAAGGAATCTCTCTGTCTCTCTCTATATATACATATATATGTTTATATATATTTACCTGTGTAAATATGTATGTGTATATATGTATGTATTCACATTTATGTATCACATGTATAAAACATACTCATGTATACTATATATACATGAGTGTATGTGTATGTTTGTGGAGAGAGAGAGAGAGATTTGAGATTGAGAGAAAGGTCCCTTCAAGATCCATTTAAGATGTGAAGGTGATGCTCAAAAAAAAAGATCGATTGTTTCTCAAAATAAAAGAGTCCTTTGGCCAGTGACCTGATACTTATTGCCCACTTTGTATCCAGCAGTGTTCTAGGCCCTGGAAATTTAGAAATGAACAGTACAGACCTAGCCTCGTCCTATCCTCTGGGATGACCTACAGAATCCTCGAAGCAGTAGGGTGTTCCATCACTGAGTCAAGCTAGAGCTGTGTGTCTCAAACCTGGGAAAGATTCTGTCTCTTAGGAAATATTTAATCATTTCTGGGGATATTTTTATGGTCATGATTAGGCGGATGCTGCCAGATTTCAGAGATGCTGCTAAACATTCTATAATACATAGCTCAGCCCCACACAACAAAGAGATTTCTGGTCCAAAATGTCAATAGCATTGAGGATGGGAAACCCTGAGCAACAGGATATAGGGAGAGTCGTATTCTCTGAGCTTACTATTATGTAATACTACTTCACTATCTTTCTGCATTAATTCAAAAACGATATATTTTAAAGAGGATAATAAGCAGACTGGACAGTGGAAAATAAAACAGTATATATTGGAACAGGATGCTAGGGACCTATTATGAGTGTTTTGAATCCTGACCAAAAGACCTACTACTAACTAGTTGACAGTATTGGTAGATGACCAAGGAATGAACAGGAGAAATTTTCGAGGCTTACTTTCTATGCTTCATAATTTTACCAAGCCTTGAGAGAAATTGTGTCTCTGAGATGGGCTGCTCTCTGCAAAGCAAGGATTTCTCCACAAGGAACAATATCAATTATCTATCAGAATATTGGATTCTGATGGTTCAACTCACTGTAGAGATTTGGATTTAGGTTAGAACAAATATAAGGCCTGCATGCAGCAGCATCAATCTGGACAGCGTAAATGAATGAAGTTACTCAGCCAGCTTCATGAGAAAACAATCAACCTATTCTGTTCCTAAACCAAGCAATTAGAGATATAGATGGCTAATGCAATTCTGTGTGTCAAAAAAAGGAACACAACTTTCCAGTTTCTAAGGTAGATAAAGTTATTCTCTACTCTTCTTCACTGCCCAAGTAGTGGCAGAAATGGAATGCCAGATAGCTTAAGCAAAAAGGGAAATTGATTCACATAAATAGTAAAACCTAGAACTTTAGAGGATAATCTCTGGATGAATCTAGGACCTCAAATAATATTCTCAAGGAGGGCTTGGTCTCTTTCTAGCCATACTTGTTCTCAGTCTCTGCGGGGTTCCATTTTTTCCTGCTTTATCCACACTTTTTCCTGTGGTGAAGAAGATGGTGGCAAAAAAAAATCAGGCTATTTCTAGCCAAATTAATTTTATTCAACATAGTATAAAGTTTATGAATCTCAACTAACAAAGAGATCTTTAACTTTTACTTCCCTGTAGAAATATAATTTTTTATAAATCCTAAGTGTTTTACTGCATAAATACTGGTACTTCTATCAAATTATTGATATCATTTTAAATATCCTCTGTGAGGCTCACTGACTTATGACAAGTATGATTCCCTTGCCCCTGATGACAGTGGAAATGCCTCTTTCTTAGCTGAGTGTTAGGAAGGCCTTCCTACCCTGCTGACCACAAAGCAAACTTTGGAAGCATCTTGGATTTTACTCAGTTGTAAAAATGCCTCTAAGTGTAACATGTTGAGAAACCTGGATGTGGTGGTCCCCACATCTAGATGTCAAATTCTCATTTTCTTTCTTCCTGTCATGCAATTCCTATGAATGCCTATGTCTTTCTTGTCTTTAAATTCTGAGTCTGTAAACTTGTTTCCATGGCAATGAACACAGGAAGCCCTAAATTTACATTTTTTCCAGGTTGGCAACCCCAAAAGAAGGTGATCTCTCCTAACTTCCCTATAGCAATCCCCCAAAATAATCTAATTTTCCAGAATCACCCCTGGACCAATCGCTGGCTAAAGGATGGCAGTAGTCTGGATTATGTCCCCAACACTACATGGAATTAGGACTCTATAATTGACAGCCCTTCAACAACCACGGGAGTGATACTGAGCAGACAAAATCAAGATATGTGCACTATAATCTTCAAATTATTCATTGATTGAAGTAAAACTAGACAGTATGCCTTTCTTATTGACAAAAAGAATATTTTGATTTCCATTACTTCCCACTATGGGAAAAATTAAATACTAAGGTAAGAACCCCCCCCCTGTTTTTTTTTTTTTTTTAGTATTTTACAACTAAAAGGGATCTTACAAAATCTAGTCCAACCCCTCACATTACACTTGAGGAAACAGTGAACCAGAGAATTGAATTGGCATGATTTAGGGTGAAGCTAAAACCATGCTAACATCCCTGGATCCCTAAACCATTGGGCTTTACTCTATACAAGCCTGTTACTCAAATGAAGATAACAACTAAGAGATCATTTCCATCATGACAGGGCCTATAAAATGTGTATAATGTTAAATGATTTAATAATTCTTTACCATACATTTTAATACTAAATATCAATTGCTTGGCAACTTCAAGGTGCTGAACACCATGGTCATAAACAATTAACACAATATCAGAGGAAATCATACTGAATTTTTTTAACTCATAAAATGTTAATATGGGACTACATCTTAACTTCTAAATGCAAATCAAATGCAACACTATCTGTATGCAATTTCTTTTGTTTGTTTTTTGTTTTTTGTTTTTATTGCAGACTGTGGTTCTGTACTGCTCCAGGAAGCATTTTTCACACTGGGATGGAATTATGGAACCTATGCCCCTGCTGGTAACTTCTGTTTTTTTTCTTTTTTATTATTATTATTATACTTTAAGTTCTAGGATACATGTGCAGAACATGCAGTTTGTTACATAGGTAAACACATGCCATGGTGGTTTGCTGTACCCATCCACCCGTCACCTACATTAGGTATTTCTCCTAATGTTATACCTCCCCCAGCCCCCCACCCATTGACAGGCCCTGGTGTGTGATGTTTCCCTCCCCGCATCCATGTGTTCTCATTGTTCAACTCCCACTTATGAGTGAGAACATGTTGTGTTTGGTTTTCTGTTCCTGTGTTAGTTTGCTAAGAATGATGGTTTCCAGCTTCATCCATGTCCCTGCAGAGGACACGAACTCACCCTTTATTATGGCTGCATGGTATTCCATGGTGTATATGTGCCACATTCTCTTTATCCAGTCTATCATTGATGGACATTTGGGTTGGTTCCAAGTCTCTGCCATTGTGAATAGTGCCACAATAAACCTAAGTGTGCATGTGTCTTTATAGCAGAATGATTTATAATCCTTTGGGTATATACCCAGTAATGGGATTGCTTGGTCAAATGGTATTTCTGGTTCTAGATCCTTGAGGAATCACTCACTGTCTTCCACAGTGGTTGAACTAGTTTACACTCCCACCAACCGTGTAAAAGCGTTCCTATTTCTCCACATCCTCTCCAGCATCTGTTGTTTTCTGACTTTTTAATGATTGCCATTCTAACTGGTGTGAGATGGTATCTCACTGTGGTTTTGATTTGTATGCAATAAGTTTTTAAAGACCTTTGAAATTGAAAACTTGATTACAAATCAGTTGCTAGTTTATCTAGTTTATACTGAAAGCACCAGCAAAATTATTGTTAAAACACCACTATATTTTTAGAAGACAGACGAAATTCAAAATATCATTGCATGATATAAGAAGAGAAAGCAAAATGTCGCGAAAATTCAAAGGTAGCCAGCTCGGTTTTCCTGATGACTAAAGCCAGGGAAGATACACCTTATTATTTAGGTAATTATATATTTTTTTCTATCTTTTTTTTTTTTGAGACAGAGTCTCACTCTGTCACCCAGGATGGAATGCGGTGGCACAATCTTGGCTCACTGCAACCTCCACCTCCTGGCCTCGAGCGATCTTCCCACCTCAGCCTCCCAAGAAGCTGACCACAGACATGTGCTACCAGGCCCAGCTAAGTTTTTGTATTTTTGGTAGAAACAGAGTTTCACCATGTTGCCCAGGCTGGTCTCTAACGCCTAAGCTCAAGTGATCCACCAGTCTTGGCCTCCCAAAATGCTGGGATTATAGGCATGAGCCACTGTACGTGGCTTTTCTAGCTTTTTTTTAACAAGGTGCTGCTTATTGCCCCTCTCAACTTATTTTATAACCAAGAAATCAAAGCTAAATAGAGGCAGACTGATATTCAGCAGCTCCCCTCCAGCTTAGCAGAACTGGGTGTTCACAGTATCTCTTCTAGTTGGTTGATTTCAGTGCTGTACCAGCTTGATGATTAATTTTATATGTCAACTTGAGTGGGCTAAGGGATGCCCTGATAGCTGATAAATACATTATTTCTGGGTATGTCTGTGAGAGTGTTTCTGGAAGAGATTAGCATTTGAATCAATAGTCTGAGTAAAGAAGATCCATCCTCACCAATGTAGGCAGGCATCATACAATCTGTTAAGGGCCCAAATGGAACAGAAAGGCAGAGGAAAGGTCAATTATCTCTGTCTAATTGGTCTTGGATATTCCTCTTATCCTTGGATCTCCTGGTTCTTAGGCCTTTGGACTCCAGGTCTTACACCAACTCTCTCCTAACCCCCACCCCTTCTCAGGCCTTCAGACTCAGACTAAATTGCACCACTGGCTTTCGTGGTTCTCCAGCTTACAGATAGCATATCATTGAGCTTCTCAGCCTCCATAATCATGTGAGTCAAGTCCCATAATAAACCTCCCCTTATCTGTCTATCTATCTATCTATCTGTGTGTGTGTGTGTGTATATATATATTTATGTATGTGTGTATATATTTGTGTGTGTGTATATATATATATATATATATATATATATATATATATATATATATATATACATATATATCCTATTGGTTCTGTTTCTCTAGAGAACTCTGGCTATGGTATATTGTGTTAGTACTGCCTAATTCTCCAGGTGTTAAGTATTTTTAGATCATATTTGTATACAGAAATGAGTTAAAATACTAAGACAATTAATATCAAAGTATAGAATTAAAAGACATCTGGCCTTCAACAAAATTGAGACTTTGGGCCAGGCACAGTGGCTCACGCCTGTGATCTCAGCACTTTGGGAGGCCAAGGCAGGTGGATCACAAGGTCAGGAGTTCAAGACCAGCCTGGCCAAGATGGTGAAACGCCGTCTCTACTAAAAATAAATAAATAAATAAATAAATAAATAAATAAATAAATAAATAAATTAGCTGGGCATGATAGCAGGTGCCTGCAATCCCAGCTACTTCGGAGGCTGAGGCAGGAGAATTGCTGGAACTCGGGCAGCAGAGGTTGCAGTGAGCCGAGATCAAGCCACTGCACTCTAGCCTGGTTGACAGAATGAGACTCTGCCTCAAAAAAAAAATTGAGACTTTGTTCCCTGTTCTTCATGCCCAATGAGTCTCCTAATTGTTTCTCCTCATGCTCTGTGAAATCAAGCTCTCTTCACTTCTCCATCTCCCCACAAACACTGTCACAGGTAAAAATATGAAGCTTAGCCAGAATAAGGTATAAACAACAGGTAACAATTAATGTTTTATACCTCCCAAGGAGTCCTGCTTATGAGCCAGGGACAAAGCTTACCCAACACAACAGGTATACTGAGTTATTTATTGAATAAATGTTTACTGAATGAAGATATCTACTGAATAAAGAATAAATGAACAACCTGTAGGAGAGTCATTTTGGAAAACAACAGCCCTTTTCAATGTCTTTAAAATTATACACATGAGAGGTGCCTACTCAATCTATATAAAAACCCAATTTCAGCCAAAATCTCTTCTCACAAACTCTGTGAGGTTGCATCAAAATGAAAAAAAAAATGAGAAGTATGGCTAATCTCCTTCCATAAATTCTTCAGCTCTGAAACTGCACTTAGAAAATCTAAACCTAAGAGGAAGGCTTCACCTATCTGGCTCCCTATCTCAAGAATAACTCTTTAGCAATATGTCTAGAATAGCTATGGGTTTATTTCTTATATTTGTTGTTATTCCAGGTTCTCAACCAGATTCTCAACCTGATTCAAATATTCAAATATTGTTTGAACCTCAAATATTGTTTGAACCTCATATGCCAGAAATGTTTTTAATAGCAGTCTCTTCAGTGTGACTCACAAACAAGATCTACACTAGGCCTGGGCAGCTAATGTTGCATCAGGAACATGAGCTAGCGAGAACCATAGGAGTTTGTCTCAGGGTGGGGCACAGGAGACGGTGACTGAGTGTGGAGGCAAAGGGCTGGGACAGTGGTTTGGATCTCAGCTGGTACAGGCTGACATAATGAGCTACAGAAGCTACAGAGGCCAATTTTCCTGCCTGTGAGGACAGACTGCTCTCCAGAAGAAAGCACGAGCTATTTTACAGCTGTTTGAGCAATTTTTGAAATCCTCATTGCAATACCCAAGATGACCATCCATTATAAAATACTACTCCATCCCTACCATCACTCTTTGTCCCCCTTGTCCTGCTTAATATTTCTTGGTTAGCACTCCTGATGTCTTACTTGTTCTTTGTTTATCTCCTCCCATAAGAATGTAAACTACATAAGAACAGGGACTGTTTTATTCACTGCTCTATACCCAGTGCTTGGAACACAAAAGTACTTGATAAAAAAATTTAAAAAAAGAATAGTTGAAATGAACAGAAAATGCATTAACTATGGCACTGAGACAGTACCCTGATTCTTGGGTTCATCACTGTCATCACCAGAAATAAAGTAATCAGTTTCTTACAAAACTAAATATACTCTTACCATAAGCTCCAGCAATTGCACTCTTTGGTATTTACCCAAAGGAGCTGAGAACTTGTGTCCACACAAAAACCCACACAAGGATGTTTGCAGCAGCTTTATTCATAAATGCCAAAACTTAGAGGCAACCAAGATGTCCTTCAGCAAGTGGGTGGATAAATTGTGATACATCTAGACAATGGGATAATATTTAATGCCAAAAAGAAATGAGCCATCAAGCCATGAAAAGACAAGGAGGAAGCTTAAATGCACTTTTTTTTTTCTTTTGAGACAGAGTCTGTCTCTGTCACCCAGGCTGGAGTGTGGTGGTACAATCTTAGCTAACTGCAACCTCCGCCTCCTGGGTTCAAGCTATTCTCCTGCCTCAGCCTCCTGAGTAGCTGGAATTGCAGGCACGTGCCACTGAGTCCGGCTCATTTTTGTATTTTCAGTAGAGACAAGGTTTTGCCGTGTTGGCCAGGCTGGTCTCAAACTCCTGACCTCAAGTGATCCACCCACCTCAGCTTCCCAAAGTGCTGAGACTACAGGCATGAGCCACTGCACCTGGCCTTAAATGCTTATTACTAAGTGAAATAAACCAATCTGAAAAGGGAACATATTTTTTATTCCAACTGCATGACATTCTAGAAAAGGCAAAACTATGGCAGCAGTAAAAACATCAGTGGTTGCCTGAGACTGGGGCTGGGGAGAGAGATAAATAGGCAGAGCATTTTTAAGGCAGTGAAAATACTCTGTGTTATGCTATAGTCAAGGATACAGATCATTACACATTTGTGCAACTCCCTAGAAGGTACAATACCAAGAACCCTAATGTAAACTATGAACTTTGGGTGATGATGATGTGTCAATGTAGGTAATATGGTTTGACTGTGTCCCTGCCCAAATCTCATCTTGAAATTGTAGTTCCCATAATCCCCATGTGTTGTGGGAGGGAGGGACCCAGAGGGAGGTAAATGAATCTTTGGGGCAGTTACCTCCATGCTGTTCTCATGATAGTGATTGAGTTCTCACAAGAATCTGATGGTTTTATAAGAGGGTTTTCTCCCACTTTGTTCTGCACTTCTCTTTGCTGCCACCATGTGAAGAAGAATGTGTTTATGTCCCCTTCCACCATAATTGTAAATTTCCTGAGGCCTCCCCAGCTCTGTGGAACTGAGTCAATTAAACCTCTTTCCTTTATAAATTACCCAGTTTTGGGTAATTCTTTATAGCAGCATGAAAACAGACTAACACAGTAAATTGGTACCACAGAGAGTGCTGCACTGCTGTAAAGGTACCCAAAAATGAGGACTTTGGAACTGGGTAACAGGCAGAGGTTGGAACAGTTTGGAGAGCTCAGAAGAAGATAGGAAAATGTGGGTAAGTTTGGAACTTCCTAGAGACTTGTTGAATGGCTTTGACCAAAATGCTTAGAGTAATATGGACAATAAAGTCCAGGCTGAGGTGGGCTCAGATGAAGATGAGGAACATGTTGGGAACTGGAGCAAAGGTTACTTGTGTTATGCTTTAGCAAAGAGTCTGGTGGCATTTTGCCCCTACCCTAGAGTTCTGTGGAACTTTGAACTTAAGAGTGATGATTTAGGGTATCTGGTCAAAGAAATTTCTAAATTGCAAAGCATTCAAGTGGAAGTGGAGCATAAAATTTTGAAAAATTTGCAGCCTGATGATGTGATAGAAAGAAAATCCCATTTTCTGAGGAGAAATTCAAGCCAGCTGCAGAAATTTGCATAAGTAATGAGGAGCCAAATGTTAATCACCAAGACAAAGGGGAACATATCTCCAAAGCATGTCAGAGATCTTCCCAGCAGCCCCTCCCATCACAGGCCTGAAGGCCTAAGAGGGAAAAATGTTTTCCTGGGCCAAGCCCAGGGCCCCCCTGCTGTGTGCATTCTTGAGACTTGGTGTCCTATGTCCCATCTGCTCCAGCCATGGCTAAAAGGAGCCAAAGTACAGCTCAGGCTATGGCTTCAGAGGGTGCAAGCCCCAAGCCATGGGAGCTTCCACATGGTTTGGGCCTGTAGGTGTGCAGAAGACAAGAATTGAGGTTTGGGAACCTTCACCTATATTTTAGAGGATGTATGGAAATGTCTGGAAGTCCAGGCAGAAGTCTGCTGAAGGGATAGAGCCCTCGTGGAGAACCTCTGCTAGTGCAGTGCAAAGGGGAAATGTGGGGCTGGAGCCCCCACATGGAGACCCCACAGGGGCACAGCCTAGTGGAGCTGTGAGAAGGCCACCCACCATCCTCCAGACCCCAGAATGGTAGATCCACTGACACCTTGCACCATGCACCTGGAAAAGCCACAGACACTCAATGTCAGCCATGAAGGCAGCTGGGAGGGAGGTTGTACCCCTGCAAAGCCACAGGGGTGGAGCTGCCCAAGGCTGTGGGAGCCCACCTCTTGCATCAGTGTGACATGGATGTGAGACATTGAGTTAAAAAAGATCATTTTGGAGCTTTAAGGTTTAATGGATTTTGGACTTGCATGGGGCCTGTAGCCCCTATGTTTTGGCCAATTTCTCTTTTGATTTTACAGGCTCATAGGTGGAAGGGAATTGCCTTGTCACAGATGAGCTATGGACGTGGACTTTTGAGTTAATGCTGGAATGATTTAAGACTTTGGGGGACTGTTGGAAGGCATGATTGTATTTTGAAATATGAGGACATGAGATTTGGGAGGGGTCCGGGGTGGAATGATATGGTTTGGCTGTGTTCCCACCCAAATCTCACCTTGAATTATAGTTCCCATAATCCCCACATGTCTTGGGAGAGACCCAGTGGGAGGTAATTGAATCATGGGGGCAGTTACCTCATGCTGTTCTTGTGATAGTGAGTGAGTTCTCATGAGATCTGATGGTTTTATAAGGGGCTTTTCCCCACTTCGCTCTGCACTTTTCCTTGCTGCTGCCATATGAAGAAGGATGTGTTTGTTTCCCTTTCTGCCATGATTGTAAGTTTCCTGAGGCCTCCCCAGCCCTGCTGGGGAGTCAATTAAACTTCTTTCCTTTATAAATTACCCAGTCTCAGGTATTTCTTCATAACAGCATGAGAATGGACTAATACAATAGGTTCATCAATTGTAACAAATATACCACTCTGGTGAGGGGTGTTGACAATGGGGAAGGCTAAGCATGTGTTCAGGAAGGGAATATATAGGAAATCTCTGTACCTTTCTCTCAATTTTTCTGTGATTCTAAAACTGCTCTAAAGAAATTGTCTTAAAAAAATAAATAAAGCAGCCTCTCTTGCATTATCACTAAAGAACTTTAACTTTGCTTAGTCTGCCCACTACTACTTTTGATATACTTCTTGGCAAAACTTTAGGAAAGAGATTTGATCTGGGAGCCCAGCTTTACTCATTATGTCACTATTTCCAACTTACTTCTATTATATGGTTTGGCTCTGTGTCCCCACCCAAATATCATGTTTAACTGTAACCCCCAGTGTTAGGGGAGGGAGCTGGTGGAAGGTGATTGGATCATGGGGGTGAATTTCTCCCTTGTTATTCTCATGATAGTGAGTTATCACGAGATCTGGTTGCTTTAAAGTGTGTTGCACTTGCCCTTTCATTCACTCTCTCTCTCTCATGACTCTTATGCCACCATGTGAAGATGATGTTCTTGCTTTTCCTTCACCCTTCTGCCATAATTGTAAATTTCCTGAGGCCGCCCCAGACATGCCTCCTGTACAGCCTGTGCAATTGTGAGTCAACTAAACCTCTTTTCTTTATAAGCTACCCAGTCTCAGGCAGTTCTTTATAGTAGTGTGAGAATGAACACTCTACTTTGAAATCAGATTTTTTTCTTATATACATATCCCACTTCTTTTCCACATGTACCTCTTTTCAAGACTAAAGGGGGAAAGAAAAGATAGAGGAAGGAGGATGGCTTTCATCACTAAAGGTGCTATTAGCCAGCTGTATCCATTTGCATATCAGATAGATGGCTCCCTTGCTATCTGTGATACTAGGATGTTGTGGTTCGGTGATATAATCAAACAGTAATCCCCCCATTCCCAATTATCATACCTGGAATGAGTCAATAAAACTGATGGGGTAAATCTTGCCAAAAGAATATTCAAACATCCCATATCTGGAGTTACTTCAAATATCCTCCAAGAGCCTTGATTTCTTCACCTCTAAAGCGAAGGTGTTGTTCTGCGCGAAGGCGTCTGAGGGGTCATGGAGCTCTCACATATTAGGACTGCATGTCTGGAAATGACACCAGAAAGTCAAAAAACAGCCTCAACTGTACAAGGAGAGGTTTGGGCAATACATTCTGGATGTCACAATGGGATCCGCTTTAATGTAATCTGTGAGATTTTCTTTTTAAATTCCCACACTCTACCTAAGTCAAATGTCATCCTGGAGCTAATTTGTGAGCCTTGATAAAGTTTGGGCAGTAAGATCTTCAAAAATATTATTTCAATTGAATCATTTTATATGTTAACTTTGAAAATGTCAACAGCAGGGGCTGTTGGAGGAGCTTAGGAGGTCTATGCATTTGCCATTTCAAAGGCTTAAGCCATCAGTGTAGGGGTGGGGGACAGCCTGCTGTGCTCCATGTTCTGTATAAACATTTCCAGAAATATTTAGCAGATAATAGGGCTCCCACTGGGGCCGTGTGTTCAAAGGCACCACGTTGAGCCACCTACCAGGAAAGATGTGGATGCCAAAGCTGAGAGTGCTCTGGTTTTTAGACTGGGTTCTTGCTTCCTGTACAGGATTTCCAAATACACAAAGAAAGGGGAAACAACAGAAGCCCATCTTAAAGGAAAAGTGCTTAATGGATGCCAGAAGAAAATAACATAATGGTCAATGTCTGAGTAATATTCAATAGCCTTCCATCATGCAGCAGGTCTGTGAAATAGTCAGACAACTTGAGAATTGAAGGCCAGAATTCACTGCTTGACAGACTAACACCCATCAATTTGAAAAGCTCTGAAATCCTTCTTGATTTTACGGAATAAAATTGGTTATGGT
Source organism: Homo sapiens (assembly GCF_000001405.40). Taxonomy (NCBI): domain Eukaryota; kingdom Metazoa; phylum Chordata; class Mammalia; order Primates; family Hominidae; genus Homo; species Homo sapiens. The sequence goes on from NC_000004.12 coordinate 67,326,346, forward strand.
TAAAGTGACAGTGATCTCTTTTTCTACTGCATTTTACATATAAAGACATTAGTTTTTAGTTCTGAATTTGACTGGAAATTGATAAGTGAACAGGCAAAATTAAGACATAATCATTCTGAATGGTTTTATAAGAGGAAAGATAGAAGAATGAAAATGACACACACACACAAAAATACTATTATACATTGTAAATAATATAGTTATGTGCCACATAAAGATGATGTGCATATATGTGGTCCCAAAACACTGTAAGACTATAATACCTTATTTTTAATGTACCTTTTATATGTTTACATACAGAAATACCATCATGTTATAATCACCATTCATTCTAGTAACAGACTGTACAGGTTTGTAGCGTAGGAGCAATAGGCTATACTATGTAGCATAGGTGTGTAGTACAATATACTATCTAGATTTGAGTTAGTAAACTTTATGATGTTCTCACAAAGGCTATATTGCCTAACAACGTGTCTCTCAGAACGCATCCCTGTTGTAAGCAACGCATAATGAAAACATTGTGAATTTATTTATATACATGTTACACAAACATTTATATTGCCATGTTTTAGTCAAGCAGTGTCCATGTACTAAGAATTTTTAAATGCTTGAGACCAGACTTCTGTCATCAAGAATCTTGCAAACTAGTACAAGAGAAGGGTGCATACATGAAAAATTAACAATGCAATAAATGCCATTAAGGAAAGTAAAGTAAAATGTCCTGTTGGAGCCGGAGTGGGGAGTCGCCTTCCGATACTGCAGGAAGACACAGAAACTGTGCAATAGGCTTTGTCACACCAGCTAAAATCTAAGCCCAAAGGGCCAGTAAAGGTAAATATCCCTTTTCATTCTTAGGTAGCAATCACAAAAGAAAGGTTTTCTACAGTGAAACCTCTTCAAACATTTTTTTTCACAGTTTCATTTTTTTAGAGGCGACATTCTTTATTTTGTTCCCCTCTCCCATGAAACCTTGAATACCACTTTTTAGTCATTTTTGAAAGAAAGCCTTTCAAAATACGAGCCTTGAATCTGAGGAACCACCTGGGTGTGGGGAAGCTTCCTGCCTAAAGCTTTCTCATTCGCTTGCCTTTTACTGACCTCTAGTGGCCATGTCTTGCTATGGCCTGGAAAGCCGATAGATTATTGTATTCTGAATTGCGTTAAATTCCGTCACTCAATTTCCCTTCTACCTGAATACTTAATTTTTCCACCCTCTTTCCATATAAATGCCAGCACAAATTTGGAGTCAATACAAATTCATAATGTACAAAACACCCCTGCACACATGGAAGTACAAATAAAAAACCTTTCCTCATAATGTGGCTTAAAAAAAAAAACTGATTTCAGAATTGTCTTAGATAAGACAGTGGACCTTAATGGCAATTACTGGAGCAGGGTGCCTCATAAGATTTCAGCCAGATATTGTACTAATATTTCTTTTATATGTCTACTTTCAAAAACAACTAATTTCCTTACCCATTCTTATCTCATTCCAAAGAGAATTACATTCAGTCCAAGTTTCAGCTCAAGAGTTTATTGCTAAACAAGAAATGCTCCCCTTGATTTATGAGGCAATTGGAAGGGGAAAACTCCCTCATCTATACCCACTAGACAGCAACCCCTTTGTTCCTTTGTACCATTTCTCTTGAACTGCTTTCCATAAAGAAGAAATAAATTTGATCTATAAAGGCATTAATAGATTTGATTACATCTGTGTGGCAAATGACTGGGTCATTGTGTCAGCGAAGGTATTCTAAATGTTAATGCACAGCCTGCTCACTGCTCAACAGACTGGAAGCCAAGACAAGACTATGATGAAGATCTCAGTGTCACAAATTTGTACAATAACACTCGGAACCTGATAGTTAGGACTTCTAAAATAATGATAATTAATACAATAATTTAAATAAACTGGAAGGAGAAAACAAGGAACACATGTAGGAATCAGGAGCTTGGGTTGACCAAAGGATAGAAAAATAAATCTACAATAATGAAACTGGGAAAACATTTTGTAGGACCAGTGGATTCTGGTTAACACCAATACCCTAGTCCATGTCTGCCAAATGGAAGAAGCTTTTATTCATAAAAAAGCACATATCAAATTCTATAAATCTCTCTCTCTCTCTCTCTCTGTCTCTGAATTTTTCCCTTCTTTTCATTTGGCTGGTATTTTAAGCATTCTCTTAGTCTAGCAATTGGGTAATCCAAAAGTGATTCCAACATACAATGTGATTTTCCTTCACACAGTCTAATTAAAACTTAATAAATTCTTGACACAGCAAAGAAGGGCTGTGCTGTCAGTGCAACAGAAATGAGATTAAAATATAAAAGAGTTTTTCCCCAGGGATTTTGTCATCCAACAAAAAAGCTGACAACAAATTTTCTTTGGTCGAGGTCAAGATAGCTCTGTTCTACCCTCATAGGTATAAGAATAGATTGTGTAGATATAAAGTATAGATAAATGTTTCCAAATATATGTCATCCAACCTTTACAAGCATAGAATCATAACAATTTTAGCCCCCAGAATTTCTTAATAATTAAAAATCCACCATTACAACCATTTTGATTCCAAGGAAAACACCTGCATTTTAACTAAAGGTCTTAGCAAATCAAACTAGAAAAAGCCTTTAAAAAGGAGATCTTAGGTCCCAGAGATACTCCCCTTTGAAAGATTATTGGGTAAATATGACTCATTTTGTTGAAAGTAAGGCAGTTTGGAGAATGACTTAGAAGGTAAGCAATCTCTCTGATTCTTTTTATTTAATTATATGAACTCAAAGTGCTGCAAAAGCCAAGAGATTCACAAGTCATTTGCTTCCTTTTTGGCTTTGAAGGCAAAAAATGTAGTATATTCTTTTCCACCCCAATATTTCCTCTCACTGCATTTTTATTATACCTACACTCAGTGCTAAGAGCTCAAGTCTTCACTCAACGTCACTGTTGGGAGACCCAATAGCTAGATAAGAATACATTTAAAGTCTGCTATGATAGGAATATTTGTGTGCCCACAAAACTCATGTATTGAAATTCTAACTCCCAAAGTGATGATATTAGGAGGTCGGCCCCTGGAAGGAGATTTAGGTCACATGAGTGGAGTTGGTGCCCTTGTAAAAGAGGCCCTAGAGAGCTCCTCACCTTTCCCATCTTGTGAGGACATGTTAAGAGTGAATTGTCAAAGGGCTAATATCCAGAATCTACAATGAACTCCAACAAATTTACAAGAAAAAAACAGACAACCCCATCAAAAAGTGGGCGAAGGATATGAACAGACACTTCTCAAAAGAAGACATTTATGCAGCCAAAAAACATGAAAAAATGCTCATGATCACTGGCCATCAGAGAAATGAAAATCAAAACCACAGTGAGATAACATCTCACAACAGTTAGAATGGCGATCATTAAAAAGTCAGGAAACAACAGGTGCTGGAGAGGATGTGGAGAAATAGGAACACTTTTACACTGTTGGTGGGACTGTAAACTAGTTCAACCATTGTGGAAGTCAGTGTGGCGATATCCTCAGGGATCTAGAACTAGAAATACCATTTGACCCAGCCATCCCATTACTGGGGATATACCCAAAGGATTATAAATCATGCTGCTATAAAGACACATGCACATGTATGTTTATTGAAGCACTATTCACAATAGCAAAGACTTGGAACCAACCCAAATGTCCAACAATGATAGACTGGATTAAGAAAATGTGGCACATATACACCATGGAATACTATGCAGCCATAAAAAATGATGAGTTCATGTCCTTTGTAGGGACATGGATGAAACTGGAAACCATCATTCTCAGCAAACTATCGCGAGGACAAAAAACCAAACACCACATGTTCTCACTCATAGGTGGGAATTGAACAATGAGAACACATGGACACAGGAAGGGGAACATCACACTCCAGGGACTGTTGTGGGGTGGGGGGAGAGGGGAGGGATAGCATTTGGAGATATACCTAATGCTAAATGATGAGTTAATGGGTGCAGCACACCAACATGGCACATGTATACATATGTAACAAACCTGCACATTGTGCACATGTACCCTAAAACTTAAAGTATAAGAATAACAAAATAAAATAAAATAAAGAATGAACTGTCTATGAGCCAGAAGTGGGCCCTCAGCAGACACTCAATCTGCCTTTATCCTGGACTTCCCACCCTCCAGGGTGGTGATAAATAAATTGTTATTGTTTATAAGCTACCCAGTTTATAGTATTTTGTTATAGCATCCTGAATGAACTAAGACAAAGTCCCAGCAAAACAAGAATACCAAGGGGAGGGAGACAAGGAAAGAGAGGAAAAAAAAAGTAAGAGAGAGATCCATTTATATACTTTGTTATGTAATATTTCAGAATAAGAACAAATAGAGTTCTCATGGGGTGAAAAGAGCACTTTATTGAACATCCTTGCATTTGTTTAATTGCTATTATTTTATTTTTAGCAGCAGTGTAGTATCATAGTTAACAGCATGGACTCTGGAGTCAATAAACCTACAGCTGCATCCCAGCTCTACCATAAACTAGCTATTTTCTTCATCTATAGAATAGTCATAAAAATAGTATCTAAGTCAAAGGTTTGCTATGATAAGTACATGAACTAATGTATGCAGAGCACTTAGTAAAGTACTTGGTATGGAAGAAATGCTTAGAATCTTGCTATTACTATTATTCTATAGTACAAGTATTTTTAAAAAATTTTAGTTACATAAGCCGCGTTGAGAAGCTACAGAGCACCGAAACTTTGCATTCCTCAGGGCTCCGAAGTTATATTCCTGTCTTGCCCTGGATAATGACCGATTGCTGACTCTACACATAAACAATATGTTCTTGCAATCCATTAGATTTAAAGGATAAATTATTAAAATTGCAGGGATTTTCTGACCTTAAGATGCCTATCTTGGCCCAGAGGAAAACCCATACACTTCAACAGGACAATAATTTATACTCGTAGTAAAGACTAAAACTTCACATTGCACCTTATTTCTGGGTACCTGGGTACCTGCTGGAACCTCTGAGTGATTTTTAAAAAATTAGCGTGCTTCTTCCCGGTCTAAGTTTCTCAAATTGAATAATTTGATAAATAAAACAAAGAAATTGCAGAAGACAGATAAAAATATCACAATGAGTAGCAAATGAAGGCAACTTGCAGGATGTGACTTGTGCCAGAAATAAGAACTCCCCACCTGGTAATGGTAGCAACGGACCTGGCTCAAATCCCCAGAAGTGGTGAGCAGGTGGGAGGCAGGAGCTGCCTGAACAGGGAGAAGCAGAGAAGCCCTCCCGACCTTCTGACTTCTTCCAAGAGGAAGAAAGACAGGAACGGAGCTATGCACACCCCATTATTCTTTTCAAAAGGACCCTTTCACAGGGGCATAGTTAATGAACCAGGAGTGTGTTTACAGAAAATCTCTCATCATGAAAAGCATGAGTTATGGCAAAGCATTTCTCACTCTAACATTTGACAGCTCCCTCTTACCCATTGGTTTTAACTATTAATCCTATAGTTGACCACGGGCGTAGTCATCATCCTGAGGGGAAGGAAGCAGCCTCTTCAGGGCAGTCCTGTTTCATCTCCTCCAGGACACTCCCCCAATAAAAGCTGCTCTTCCTCCTGGGAAGACCTACTGAGCAATTAGATTTTGCTCCCAGAAGGTTCTGATCTGGATCAAAACAGTACGTTGATTATACCAATCCCAAAGCTATTCTGGAAAGACAGCTGAAATTAACTCTCTTCTGTTTCTTATTCCATACATTTTTAGAAACACTATCTAGTACAACATTTCATATGTTTTCCAATGAGACCAGGTAATAATACTAGAATAAAGCATACTCCAATAATAAAATGCCAACAATAGAAATTCTCAAAATTTTAATATAAACCTCTTCCTATTATCAACATCCTAGTGAAAATTTAATGCTCAAGATTAAATCTTCTCGCAAGTTCAAAGAAATTAAAATCAAAAATTAAATTTTTTCCCTGTAATTTGAAGTGCAAAGTTTGGAATTCTTAAATAAAAGTCTAAAAACTATCCCCCCTAATTTATTATTCTTTTCATCAGATTTCTGAATGTTACCTGGATTAAGATATTTTGCTGTTTGGGGACTTTTTTAGCAGCACTGACTCTATCATCTCTTCCAGAGTCAACCTCATTACTTCAGGACCTGAATTAGTTAATGTAATGCCAACTGTATTTGGTGTAAATACCAAAATTTTAGTGTTTTAACACAATAAATGTTTATTTTATGTGGATTTCCCAGTTAGCAAGAAGGAAAGGAAATTGTGTTCTGCTGTATATAATCATTCAGGGGCTCATGCTGATGGAAGCTCTGCCATCTTGACATGTGACTTCCAAGATCACCCTAGCCATCCAGATCTTGTAGGAAAATTGGGAAGAATAATAAAGAAGGCATGACCATGTCTTAACTCCCAAAGCCCATAAGTCACACATGAGAGGAAGGTCAGGCACCTCTGGTGGACGTCTGCCTGTACTACAGAATCCCAGAAATTCGTTTAGCTGAACGACAAGCTTTTAGCATGTCTCATTTGTCATAGAGTCCAGAATTAATGGGACACGTGGTTTATCATCTAGCACTAGAAAATTTAGAATATAAAGCAGTGCCCAATTCTAAAGCAGTTATTCCAGACAAATGTTATTTTATGAAACCAATTAAATATTGTTACCAAAGACCGTAACAGAAAAAAATCAATGATATCTACAGGAAGAAGAAAATCTCCCTAGTTTTAACCTGTCTGTCAGTATAGACAGCTGTCCAGAATCCATAATCTGTGGCTTTAAACTCAAATCAGGAACAATTTCTAGTCAATTTTGGACCTGTGCATTTACTATTTATGAGGGATATTCACCTGTGCACAAAGTTCTAATTTCCATTTCCTACTTTAATTTCTATCAAGTGTTTCTGGCACTTAATACTGAACAAATCATAGACTCTACCTAATAACAGAGCATTTACATCCTCTTATGAACAGGGTTTTCAATCTTGGGCCTCACAGAATATATCTAATGCTTTTTTGTTATGGAAATATTTAAAAGAAAACAAAAGCTGGCTCCTGGGGAATGATTTTTCTCTCTTGGGTAATTAACCAATACAAAGTCAACTGGAGACCACCAGGTGTGAAGTGACTCTTCACCTGTAGCAAGATCAGGTGAAATTCAAAGTAAGCCTCCTTTGTTGCTGATGAACATACATGGAATTTGGGGTAGTAGATCCATCACTGCCTTCCTAGACCTGGCATTAATAATTTAAGGCTAGAACTTTACTCATGCCTTTTGATAAAGGTGAGCAGAACAAAATTTCTTCTGCCCAACAATGCCCAAAACTCCTTAAAGACTCTTTTTTCCCCTATGTCTCAGCCACACTTGCTTCGACCTAAATCTATCCTTCTAAAAGTTCGGCCCTATTTCATCCCTGCAGAATCATTAAAAATAAACCTATTCTCTCTTTCTTCTTCAAATGAAGACAGCTGGCTCTAGAGAGACACGCCTAGTCCTCTTGGCCGTTTCTGATTTAGATGTTGCCAAGTTCTTTAGTCATTTTTGACTTACTTTCTCTGGAACAAGCTGTAATTTGTTTGTTTTTCCAAAAGTATAATCATGAGATCTGAATGTGATATTTTAGGTAAGGAATAAGTAGCAGAAGATATTCTACTCACTCATTTCATATCATGGATTTCCAAAAATCCTGACTTTGCTTGAATTGGCATTTGTTAGCCATTTACATATCAGGTTTAGTGTTAATTAAAATTTCAAGATTTTTTAGAAATTCTGATGCATATGTCCTTAATGCTGATGTTTTTAGCAACTAAGGGAATGTTTTTCATCCAAGTTCTGAAAACCTAAATTCTTAAAACCACTTACTAGTTTTGTAAATCTAAATCACTTCCATATCTTTATGAACCTGTTTCAACTTAAATTGAGTTTATAGTTGCCCTCTTTCAAGGTCATATTAGTTTGCTGAGGCTGCCATAATAAAGGACAATAGAGTGGGTGGTGTAAACAACAAATTTATTTTCTCACAGTTCTGAAAGATAGAAGGCCAAGACCAAAGTGTTCACAGGTTAGTTCCTCCTGAGGCCTCCCTCCCAGCTGGTAGACAGCTGTCTTCTCTCTGAGTCTTCTTTACATGGTCTTCCCTCTGCGTGTTCGGTGGCCTCATCTCTCCTCTCCTTATAACAACACCAGTCATATTGGATTGGTGTTCCTATGACCTCATTTAACCATAATCACCCCCTCAAAAATCCTATTTTCAAGTATAGTGACATTCTGAGGTAGTAGGGGTTAGGACTTCAGCATATTAATGGGTTAGGGAGACACAATTCAGCTCCTAACAAAGGTGATTGTATAATAAAATGCAATAGTGCTAGTAAAGCATTCCCAGAATATATGGACTTTTTGATATGTCTCCAACATGTAGAGTATTTCCTGGCACGCAATATGTTCTTCGTTAATTAATATCTGTTGAATAAAGAAAATGAAATAAAGTAAACTGTTTTGCTAATTAAATGCTAATTAAATATTAGCTCCTTTCTTTCTCTCCTAAATCTCTTAAATTTCATTTTGCTGACAGATCTCAAATTATTCTCTACATGAATGTGTGGTGCACTCTGTTCATGGAAAACTCAGCACGATCAGAGAGTGTGCCTTGTTTTATTCCATCCTTCCAAAATGCTTAGTGAAACATTGTACACATGGAATAGTTCCTCAATAAATGCTTGTCAGCAGCCTGAATCAGATGATGGACCTTTATAGGAGAAAAGACAAAACTTTCTCTTTGCCCTCTGAAAGTTTGCTGAAAATCAACCAATAAAAGGCAGATTAGTAGGAGACAAGGCATACAAATATATTAGCATGGATGGAGGAAATCACAGAGCGATTACCCCACCACACAGTAAAGCACTGATGGCTAGATACCCTTCCTCTTAAGAGAAAGGGAGATAGGGAAGTGTGGATGATTTTAGGGGGGTAGTAAGTGACTCTTAGGGAGATTCAATGGGCTTGAAGAACAAACAAACAATGGCCTGGGACAAAGTCTGTTGAGCCCATCAAGCAAACAATAATTTGTGACAAAAGTCTGTCCAGGTGTGTTGACAGACTTCAGTCTTTCTTCTTTCAACGTGTGTTTCATTAATGAAAACTCAGGGAAGGGACCAGCGGTAATTGTTTCCTTCTTTGGCAGGTCCAGACTTTAGGCAGATAAGAGAACGTCAGAGAAAAATTTCATCATGGGCTTTGAAAAGACAGGGGATTCAGAGACACAGAGGGGGAGGTCAGAGAGACCTTGAGGCATCTTCTTCAGTTCAGCACGTCAAAGCACCATATTTTGGGGTATCCATTTTTGAAGTTTCTGTCTGAAACTTCCCTAGACGTTTACACACTAAAATCTGAGTTAGCACCTGTGGAGAAAAAGTCCATCCTATAGCTGAATGGCAAAGGATCCCACTAAGCCAGTCTCCCATTTCTAGAAACAGGCCAGTCCATTTAAACTGTTGTGTCTCATTTCAGAAGATGGTGGTGCAGACAAGCTCTCAGAAGAAAAACAAAGGTTAATGTCTGGAATAGTCTATAAGCAGTTTCCTTATAGTCTGAAAGACAGTCAGACTCAAAGCATCTTCAGTTAAAGTGGAAGTAGGCAGTGGCAAGCTGATGAATTGTTCTCATTTGTAGTTTGTGTGTCACGAGGTTGTTTATACATGAGCTTCAGTTTGCAGAGCCTCAGAAAGAAAAGTAGCAACAGTTTCACTGAGTCTAAGTCAGAAAAATGGAAGAAAAATTTGGAAATGTTTGGAGACTAATAGCCAAGAAAGAATTCAAGATTCAGTTCAAATTGTAGGAAAGTGATAAAAACTTGAAGACAATGAACACCAGCCTGAGAAACGTAGGAAGACTCTGTTTCTACAAAAAAAAGGAAGAAAAAGAGAAAGAAGAAAGCAGTTAAGAAAGAAAGAAAGAGAGAGAGAAAAAAAGAAGAAAGGAAAGAAAGCAAGAAAGCAAGAAAGCAAGAAAGAAAGAAAGAAAGAAAGAAGAAAGAAAAGAAGAGAAAAGAGAGCAAGAAAGAAAGAGAAAGTTCTTCTAAATTAACCAGGCCTGGTGGCACCTGCCTATAGTCCCAGCTCCTTGGTAAGCTGACGGCTGAGGGAGGATAGTTTGAGACCAGAAAGTGGAGACTGCAGTGAACTATGATCCTCCAGGGTGACAAAGCAAGACCATTTCATCAAAACCCAAAACAGAAAAACAGAAAAGAAGCAAAACAAAACAAAACAAAAAAACTATAAACTGGCTAAAATTTAATAACAGGTATGTCATAGGTTTTTTTTCCAACACATATTTTTTCTCTTTCCAGTCTCTTATTTTTACCAAAGGCCAATTTATTTGCAAAATAAGTTTTAGTTTTATGATATTTGGCTTAATTATTTGCATAAAGTGCAACAATAGTAGTGATTGGCCATATCGATTCTATTTAAATTGGCTTTTCTGAACTCTTTCATAATGAATCTCAGATTAGACTTTTGAAGTCTGTTGAGGATAGGAAGCCAAGCCAAGGATTTGCCATCAGACTGTGTCTGTAATATCTGAATGAATTGGGTAATTTCTCTCTTCTTCCAGTCCCAAAATATCTTGAGGCTTCTGGACCTGTCAGAAAGTGACATTCTTTACTTACCACAAGGTCAGAAACATTGAAAAGGAACCATGTAGATAAAGTACCAGGTCAGCCTTTCCAAAGGGCTTTTCATCAGTTCAATAAAGTCAACCTCAATTCTTCAAAGCAGTCTGGACATATCTGAAAATATGTCATTCCAGTCAAAACCTTGATAAAATAAGCAGCATTTCTGATTGTGTCCTGTTGCAAAATAAAACATATTCTTATCTAACTTATGCAAATAATTATATTGCCATAAGATAAGAATACTCATAAACAGTTTCCAAATTCTGGAGAAATCAGGTAGAGGGAAAGGTAAATGTTTCAATTTTGCTCACAAAAGTATACTTTACCCAATTGCTGAAAGCTACACATAACTCAAAAGAAAAAAAAATCTTGACTCTGGAAAAGAAAACATAAAAAGAATCCGCAATGTTTCAAACAAAAAGTCATTAAAAATCATTTATGACTGCCATCAGTTCAGTCCTGTGTAATTAATTCTTGTTCTTCTTAATGTTGAGTTAGCAATCTTCATGAATCAATTAGGCTTATTTTATTAGAGTTCTGGAAGTTTTTATTTAGCCCAATTATATGATCCAGTGTTATTTGAAACCTGTATTTAAGAGTACTTCTCATGGATCTTTCCATGAATTTTCTTGAAGGTAAAACACGTTAGAATTCGCAAAGAGCTTTTAGAAGAAAAAACATCAGGATAAGGCAATTTACTTAATATACCAAGACATATCAGATTTCTAGGAATTCCATACAATTTTGGAACACATATTAATAACATCCATACAAATAAACACCATTTCTTATTTGACAATAATGACAGTATAATTTTAACATATGAAAGAAGCCTAATATGTCTCCCTTAGACTTTCAGGGTTCTCATTTGGACTTCCAAGGGTCCTAACATCCAAAAATCTGTTTAAGGTCAAAAAGATAGATTTAAAATTTGTTATTTGATTTTGGGAAGTTTGTCAAATATCAAAGGTTTAAAACACTTAATATCAAAATAAGGGACGCTTAAAACACTCAATCAAAATAGGATCACAGGTCACTATAAAAGATTAATTAATTTAGCCAAAGTAATAATTCAAAAATTTCAAAAAGCAAAAACCTTTACTCTTAGAGAGAAAGGAGACTCAGTTTTCCAAATAGTCAAAAGCCCTAATAAAGACAATATGAGACTTTCTTCCTCTCTCTTTACCTCCCTCTCAACTTTACCCTTGTATCAATGTATTATTAATATGAAACCTAATTTTAATAAAACCTTATAAATAGATTTATCTAATCTCATTCAGCTTTGGCCACATAAGATTGTGATAAACCTTTTATAACCTCTTAAATTTTTTCCTATTCTTTCTTTTCCCAACATTCTTTTTCCATTTAGTTTTATCAATTCTCATTTTTTATTTCTTCAATTTAAAACAACATTTAAAAATCTTTAAACTAAACAAAACTACTTTTTCTTTAACAAAAGTCATATTCTCACACCTTCTTTATAACCTTCCTTACCAAAAACACATCCTATTTTCTTTATATACTTTGCATACAGAAGTGTTTCTCTTATATCTACTTGTTTAAATTACATAGTAAACCTAACTTACAATAAGAAATATAGAAAGAAAGCAATTTTAATTGGTATGTATCAGATGCAGAGCCCAGGACAAAAGACAGACCTGTGAAGACAATGCCTGGAGGATCTGACCCCTCCCAGCATGGCCAGGAAGCATAGATGGGCCAGGGAGGATGAGGCATAGGCACTGTGGACACACATGTGTCCCTGTGCCTGACCATGGCCAATTGTCTAGACCTTAGAATTTAAAGCCTCAAAACCAAAAATATAAACTCATAGACAGATCAAACAAGCACAAAAATATCACAGAAGCAACAGCTTTGTGACCTGAAAACATCTATCATAAATAGTATAAATTAGTCTGATGAGTAGACCCAGACAAAAATATCTAAAACTCTGAAGACATTTCTATTTTGCCAACAATTTTAAAATTAGCTTTATTTACCAAAAACTACTAAAGCCACATGAACTTGAAAAGCGGGCTAGTTAATTTATGAGTACTCATTTATTTATGTTAGTGTGTTACCACGTAGCCAATATACAAACACATGTACAAACATATATGTACATGCAGACACAACATATGACATACACAGGTGCACATGTGTGTTTCTAAAAGCCAAAGATATAAAAGAGTTCCGTGTAAAAGACAGCAGAGCTTTAGACCTAAGAGTAACCTGTTCATGCTCTTGAGACTGCACAAGGAAGACAGAAGACCCCAAAATGAGGATTGTGGTGCCTTCTTCTGTGTTCCTCAAGAGGTCTCAGGATCATTACAAGTCCCTTCCAGATTCTTTCATGTGTTATCAAAGATAAGCACTGCAGGAGGAGGAGTAAAGTAAATGGGAGAAATTTTCTCATAAGAGGCAATTTGGGGAGATTTTTAAGCTTTGTAAAAGGTCAATGAAGTTTTATTTTTTCTTTAGCAAAAATCATACCCACAGAAAGGAAGTAAATGGAAGCAGCAAGCATATAACTTTTTAAAAGAGGTTTTGATTCACTGAAAAAACTTCCCATAAACAGAATACAAAATAGAAAAAGCAGAGAGTTATTTTAAAAAAGAAATACTCTTGAATATCAGCTTTTAATAAGTCGCTTACTGACCACAGAGCTCTTTAAAAAAAGAAAACTTCCCTCAAATCTCTTATTATCAAATCTTAGCCAGGACAAATCGACAATATTTTTGGCTTTTGAGCTTTTTTTGTTTTTGTTTTTAACCAAAAGTACCCTCCAAGTAACTCACCAGAATGAATAGAGCTTAACCAAAATTATGACTTAACCAAGGACACACAGGTCATCTCCAAAGAGGTGCAAAGCAGACCTCACAAAATCCAAAACTACGCCAAAGACAGCTGAAAGAAAGGAAAGGTTCATTAGCTACAAATGGGGTACAACCCATATCTGTCTCCATATACTCTAGGCTCTCAGCTTCTCAGCTGACCATCTATAGACAAAAGTCCAAAAGCCCAGATGTCCCCACAGATGGAAGAAGGCAGAAAATCAACACTTGTCCATAGAAGGGAAAAGAATGGATAACAAATGGGTACCCCCAAAGTTAAGCTTCACGCAAGTATCAAACTAAAAGGGACTGGTTATCTAACCAAGCATCAAACCTAAGGTTGTTAGAGTGAAATCATAGAATTTTAACTACTAGACTACAAGGTAAAGAAGCCATCACTGTAAATTTCACAGGGGTCCAAATCAGGCAGTTTGAGGTTACAAATAATTTTAACTTTGCTTTAGGTCAAATTTTTGTTTTTTAATTTCATCAAGATAATTTTTAAGGCTTCCTATGACACTATTATGTGTCTTTCTTTTAATCTGATCTTCCCACAAGGCAACTGTTTAGAATGAGGAGCTCTGAAAACTTTTTTTTAAATTTCAGGGTCTTTCTAATTTAAAGAATCCATCTTTTGGCCACTAATGACTAGAATTTCTTATGGTGTGCTTATTCCAATAGCAACTCAGTCCAATTAAGCTTCTTTAAGGAAATCCCAGGAAGTAATTTTTCAGGTTTAAAATAAGTGTTTTTCTTTTCTGGAGAGGACATGAAAGAGGCAGTCTCCATGATCCAAAAAAATTCACTCCCAGGTATAGGCCAGGATAGAAAATGACTCGTGTTGCCACAGACAGTTTAGGATGGTGTTTCTGTGTACAGTACCTTCAGTGTTCCACAAATCTGTAGAAAGCTGCCATTCACAGACCCATTAATCCATGACTCTAGGTAGGCCCTCCTGGGATTGTACTTTCCCAAGACTAACCAGGCAACAAATGATTGAGACAACAAAAGCCCCTTACGCCAGCTTGACATGCTTGGAACAAGAAGTGTACTGCTTAAAATCTCAGGGGTTTCCAACATTTTCCAACTGATCACTGGATATGACCCAAAAATCATGCCTCCTAGATGGCAGAGACCAAGAGAGACTGTTGCTACTAGATCTTAAATAAAGCTCTCAAAGACATGAAACAAGATGAGAGGGGAACCTCATACAGTTTTTATTTGGGAGACCTACAGGAAAGTTTATCTAAATAGATGCTGTTGTGATCAGAACCACAAAACTTACCAGTCCGCACATCCTGCTAAAACAACCAGCTAATAGAGATATGAGACCTATGTTCTACCCATGGTACCCCTCTTTGTGACAGAACAACAAACAAACAATCAAAAACAAAGACTATTTCTGGAAGGAAAGGGATCAAACAACATGAATATTCATACCAAAAAGTACACCAGAGACACTACACCCAAGACTTGTCACCTAAATCTTTTTATCCCATTACACCAATATTTTGGAGGGGAAAAAGAGACAAACTGATTTTTAGCATCCACTCAACTGGATTCTGCAGAAATAGAGGCTGAGAGTCCAGCTGGTAAGAATTTATTTCCCTTCTGCCAGTTTGTCACATCCTGAGTTTCCTTGACTGCAGCTTCCAGAAGAGCAGAGTGACTGGTTATCCTGTTCATGATGCCAAAGCTGTAGAGACCAAGGGAAAACTTCCCCTTTAACCTCTGAAGGTTTGCTGAAACTCAACTAACAAAAGGCAGGTTAGTAGAAGAAAAGGCATGCACATTTACTAACATGCATGGAAGAAATCACAGAGTGATTACCACACCACACAAGAAGGTACAGATGGTTATGTACCCTTCTTCTTAAAAGAAAGGGAGATGGGGAAATGTGGGTGATTTTAGGGGGCTAGTAAATGATTTTTAAGAGGATTCAATGAGCTTGAAAAACATACAATGGCCCGGGACAAAGTCTGTTGAGCCCACCAAGCAGACAATGGTTTGTGACAAAAGTCTTCTCAGGTGCGTTGAAGGACTTCAGTCTTTCTTCCTGCAATATGAGTTGAGTTAATGAAAACTCAGGGAAGGGATCAGGGGTGATTGTTTTCTTCTTTGGTGTGTCCAGATTTTAGGCAGATAAGGAAACTTCAGAGTACAACTTCTTCCTGTGGTTTGGGAGAGACAGAGGATTGAGATAGAGCAGGGGAAGGTCAGAAAGACCTTGAGGCATTTTCTTCAGTTCAGCTCGTCAAAGTACCATGTTTCTGGGTAACAATATCTGCGCCCCAAAACATTCTCCACCAACAATCAATGAGCTGTTTTCTAAGATTTGTTTTTCTATCTCAGGGTAGGAATTAAATCCTAATTATTCTTACATCCCACCAAAAAAAAAAAAAAAAAAAAAACCTCCATGGACTCATATAAACAGTTGATCAAAAATTTCCTCTTGAATGAAATTGAAATAAATATAATTGAATGAACAAAATGTTCTCCTTGCCAAAGGAAATTAAGAACCACTGCAATGACCCCCATTCCTATCCATACTTAAATTAATTTTTGCTTTCATTATTGTCCATTACTTCCTCTTTTCCAGCCCATGCTGCTGTTCCTTTTTTGTCATGTCCTAGAACAGGGCAAACTAATCAAATATCACTTTATCTTCTAATCTCTTTACGATCCTTGTCTTTCTCCTTCCCCCGTGCATTGTCAGTGTAAGGGCAAAGAGAATTCCCTCTGCCTCTGAAGGTTTTAGTCTAAGTTTGTTGAAATAAATTGACAATAGACTGATTAACAGAAAAAAAAAGGATACAGATATATTAACGTTCATAGGGCAAAGGAGCCACATACAAAAAGAGAGGCCAGATGACTGAAGGTTTAGACTAGGTGCCTGGGACTGCTGTGGAGGGGTTGAGGGGCATCACAGGTTATGGATGAAAGAAGGAAGAGAAGCATGGCAAGCAAAATTTGGCATGTTATGCAAATATAATCTCTCTGGAAATTTCAGGGCTGCCCTCAGAAAGAATAGATGACAGCCTGTGCTAAAAGTTTCTCTGTCAGGCTTTTAGAAGTGTGAAACTTTTAGTCTCCTTTTCCTGTGAGTTAATTTTTCCTAGATCTTGATAAGAGGGGTATGGAGGGGGGCATCAGAAAACCCTGTTTGCATCCACTATTTATCTCACTATGTAGATTTCCTCCACAGATGCAAATCTCCCCTACAAAAGGACAACTTTTCAAGGCTGTCCTGTGGCTTATAGCCTCTCTGAATAGCCATCCCACAACACGTCAAAGTATATTCTGGGGTGAAATATTCTGGTTTACTTCACGAGAATGTTAAGTTGTCTCTGTGTTGCTGATCAGTGGCTAATTTCCTTTTTATCAGGAATAAAGAAACACTCAATTGCCTCCTGCAATACCACTGGCATAATCCTGACACTATCACATCACAATGAACAGGAGGCCCATTAATAAACATGCAGTGCTGTGAAGAATTTCACTGATCCCTCTCCAGGTCATTAAATCTATACATGTTTGATGGGCAGTAAAAGAGAAATGTGGAATGATAATAGCAGCTGGAGGAGGCTGCTGCTCTCCTAGACTGCTTTAACCACAAAAAAAGGCAGGAAATGATCCATGTATTTTTTTAAATATGTATATATTCTACTCATTATTACTAATTTCAAATGCCTATGCATATTTCACAGGCAGCTGGTTCATAAATAAAATTCAGGCTGAGATTTTAGCATTAAATTATTTCAACTTCAAGTAGGGTCATGGTATTCAGTTTGATTAAACAATGAGGAGTTGGGCTGTGCTCTAACGAGAAAAGTTTTTGTGTGTGGGTGACTTGGAGGGCAGGTGCTAATCAAAACACATTTCTGTTTGTCACCTTTTAAGATATACATAAATGATGTTGCCCTATGTTGATAAGATGTTAAGCAAATTCAGATTCTAATTCCAGAAACAAGTCATCAAGCCAATAAAGATAAAATAGCCTTACAAGTTTATTCTTTAAAGCTAAAATCAAAGTAATAATTTGTAGCATGACACAGGTCAGATTACTTCAGACCTTTTATTCCTATTTCTTACCTCAATTCAAACATAAACTATATATTGTAAAACAGAAAGTTTAAAATACCCAACGTTTAAAAATTAGCAAATTCTATCATAAGCCTACAGTGGTGGCCAACATTGAAGCAATGTAAATAAAAATATTTCAATAACCCCTTGGCAATTGAACATTCAATGGTTTTTGTATTTTGAAGGGAAAAAAATGATTTCTTTTCTCACCAATTGCTAAGTTCATGGCTAAGACCCCTATAACAAAAGACAAATTAACAAAAGAAAATAATACAAATTTGCTTAATGTGTTTTATGTGACACAGGAGCCTTCATAAGACAATAAAGGCCCAAAGAAACAGGGAAACCCGTGTATTTTTATTTCTGTTCTTTGTAGACTAGGGACTACAACTAGTCCCTAAGGCTAGTTGTAATGCTCTTTTGTGTCCCCATTTCAATTTGATCTCCCCACAGGTACCAATAGGGCATTTGTTTAGGATAAGAACTCTTTCAAATACAAAAGTTTTCCAAATCAAAGGATTCATCATCTAGTCATTGACAAGTGGGATCTCCAGAAGTGCACTTATTCAAAAAGTGACATAGTCAAATAATCCTTTTCGTGATAAGACCTAGAGTTAACTTTCCAGGCTTAGAACAAATTTTTACAATGGATAAAAGGGGCATCCCTGGAGCAGGTGCAGAAGAAGCAACTCCCACGATCCAAGAGTCACTCCCAAAGATAGCTTTAAGAAAGCAAAGATCCTCATTGCCACAGGACATAGCAACTAAGGTAGAGATGAGACAAATTCCCCTGAGAGTTGGTATGGTCTGACAGACATTCCTCGGGTTTTCTCTCCTTCAAAGCTAACCACTAGATCCAGATTTCCACAACCAGCATTCCTGGTTGGTGGACACCAGGGAAAATTTCCTCTCACTAGTTACAAGCCAAGCTCTCAAGATACAATAAGACAGAAGGAGAACATTTTCTGATTGTCTTTGTCGTGACAAACACAAAAAGATAGAGACATGGGGAAAAAGACTATCTTTGGGAGTTAAATGATAAAAAAAATCAAGAGTACTTAAGCAAAATCACAAAAGTTGCTATGCCCAAAGAATTAGTTCATACAAAGATGTTTTCTCCTGCTAATCTAAACTTTGAAAGGGTGAGACAAGAAGTTTTTATATCTTCCTGTCTTGACTGAGCACTACAGACAGAGATGTGAGATAGCTGACCTTGATAAGAATCCTTATCTTTTGCTGGCTTTTGTCAGTTGTCCCAGGGTTTCATCTGCTAGCTCCAGAGTAAGTCGGGTGTCTCAGCTGTCCTTCAATGGGTACCAGAAACTATAGGGGAGGAAAGATTTCTTTCTTCACCCATTGATGGCTGAGGCACCTATAATGAAAGACAAATTAACAAGAAAAAAATACAAATGTATTTAATATAAGTTTTATATGACATGGGAGCCTTCAGAAATGAAGACCCAAAGAAACAGGAAAACCTGTGTGTTTTTATGGATGGGTTTGATGAAGAGCAGTCATGCTGAAGTATGATTAGACAAAGGGGTTATAACCTAATGTTAATAAGCTAGGAGGAATTTAGCAAGGACTGTTTGTACAGTTTCTTTTCTGTCTCAGTGTCCTCAGAGATAATAACATTCTTATCCTCCAGGTATAGGGAGGGCGCTTCTGGGATGAGAGTCTTACAATCTCCTTCATGAGAGGGGCTACTAGGGTTTACAACCTGCTTCAAGGAAGAAGAGGCAAAGGGAAGGTAAGAGTGACCTTCCTGCTTCTGCTCTATCTTCAAATGCTAAAGTGCCATATTTTGGGGTAGTGTGTCCCGAACCTCATCACTTTTATTTACTCTTCAATAATTCTAAAATGTCATGATTTGTGGTCATTTTTAATTTTGCTGAGAATGAATTTGAATCGCATCTTCCTCCCGCCATGAGCCTGATAGGATGAAATAAACTGCATAGTTAGTGAATTTACCTGGCCAACCGCATCTGTTCATTTGTTCAGGCCCAATGTTATCTTCCTCTCCCATTTGTAGTAACTCACACAAAATAATTTTATAAATCAAAAAAGAAAAATAAATTTTTAAAATATTGTTGGCCTCCTTAACAATTAGAGATAGTACTTAGGCCTAAATTTACAGCCATATCTTTGGATTTACTCATTTCTCTGGGCATCTCTTATATATACGTGAGGTATATATATTATAAAACTTCTATTTGTTTTTCTCATTTTAATTTGTCATTTGTTAGAGGGGTCCACCTCAACTAAAAACTATGAAGAGTAGAGAAAAAAATTATTTTTCCTTTCTACATATATATTTTAAAGGTAAGTGCTAGTCCCAACATTCTCTCTAAAACTTAAAGCAATGCCATTGTCTCTAAAACAAGGGAAATAATGGTACCCACTGAAATAATTGATGTGAGGATTAAATGTAATCATTTATGGTAGGTGTTGGCAATGCCTGGCAAATAGAAAGCTCTCAATTGATGCTATACATATTATTGATAGTCATTATTATAATAAGGAATTTAGTTTGAAGGATTGTATAACCATTTCTAGTATTCTTGTTACTTTTTTGGCTAGAATTACCACACTGCTTCAATTCTAAAATATAAATTTTTTCACATTGTAATATTTTAGAAATCTGGATATAGTCAGATACTCAGCATGTATATTTGATTTACTGAATTTTTTTTTCCTGAAAAGTTATTTTAAAAGTTATGGTTCATCTTATAATCAATAGAATCTTAAAACCAGATATTATGTTATATCCTATTAGTGCTGTTGAAATACTAGAGAATCCAAGAAAGCCTTGCAATGTATCACTAACCAATATAAAGTTCCCTTGGTTCATGAAGTATGATTGTGTCATCAATATCACAACTCCATATTTGCTGACTGATGTTTTAAACCAAAATATACACACTTCAAAAGACAAACTTTTTGAGAGATATTAGCCTGTAGTTACACAAAAATTTCAATAAAAGCATTATTTTATAACCATTTATGAGAAAATGCCTATTTGGCATATAAGCATAAGCTCATGTTTAAATGAAATCTAGTGCTCACAATTTCCCTGTGAATAGCAAGCAATAAGGTAGTTTTTTTTCCTTTAGTAAATGTTGAAATGTTTTTTAGAAGCCATCACTGCTTTATATCTGATTTATTTGGTAACTGGTGAGAAACCTGACTAATCAGTTAGTTGAAAAACAAAGTACATGGACAATCAGCTAGACTGACAAAATTCAAACACCCTAAAGAAGGACGATACTCCTTCAAATAATCACACCCACGTTTTCAAAAAAAAAACTTCCAAGCAGTTGTTTTATTTTAAATATGCCTATAGAAAAACAAACGTGCTATTTTTTTTTTTTTTTTTTTTGAGGCGGAGTCTCGCTCTGTCACCCAGGCTGGAGTGCAGTGGCACAGTCTCGGCTCACTGCAACCTCCGCCTCCCGGGTTCAAGCAATTCTCCTGCCTCAGCCTCCTGAGCAGCTGGGATTACAGGCGCCCGCCGCCACACCCAGCTAATTTTTGTATTTTTAGTAGAGACGGGGTTTCGCCATGCTGGTCAGGCTAGTCTGGAACCCCTGACCTTGTGATCCACCCACCTCAGCCTCCCAAAGTGCTGGGATTACAGGCGTGAGCCACCGCACCCGGCTATTGTTTTTTAAGAATTGCTTCATTCATGATATGTGTTTAAACCATGTTAAAACGTTTGACATAATTAGTGTCCCCACCAACACTGAACAAGACAGCTAAATCTTTGTAGCTCTCAGCTTTCTTGATCATGAATATTGTAGGGCAAAAATAATAACCCCCATAAATTCATAGTTGGAATGGACCTCTGTTATAAAAGACAAATTAAGAAGACAAAAACAAACAGAAGTTTATTAACATGTGCCTTTCATATATACATGACAGACACCCAGAGAATGAGTAATTCTCAAAGAAGTGGCTTTGAATTCCTGCATCTATAGCATTTTCAACAAAGAACAGTACATTTTTAAAGAAAGACAAGATAAAGAAAAAGGACTTTGAGTATCTACAAGAAGCAACCTGGGGAAAGGCAAATGAGTGGCTGATATAGGCTAGTTAGTAAAGATTGTTAATATAAATTATTCTGGTATTATCTCCAGGCCAGTGGGGGTCTAAAGCTGTCTTCAATTTTTAACCTTTGTTCTACCTAGTGTCGGGGGAGGGGGCCGGGGGGCAGTGTCAGTCCATTTTATGTTGCTGTATCAGAATACTTGAGGCTGGGTAATTTATAAAGAAAATATGTTGGCTGGGCACGGTGGCTCACGCCTGTAATCCCAGCACTTTGGGAGGCCAAAGAGGGTGGATCACCTAAGGTCAGGAGTTCAAGACCAGCCTGGCCAACATGGTGAAACCCCGTCTCTTCTAAAAATACAAAAAATTAGCGGGGTATCACGGCGTGCACCTGTAGTTTCAGCTACTTGGGAGGCTGAGGCAGGAGAATCGCTTGAACCTGGGAGACGGAGATTGCAGTGAGCCAAAATCATGCCACTGCACTCCAGCCTGGGAGACAGAGCAAGACTCCATCAAAAAAAAAAAAAGAAAGAAAGAAAAACACAGAGAGAGAGAGGAAGGAAGGAAGGAAGGAAGGAAGGAAGGAAGGAAGGAAGGAAGGAAGGAAGGAAAGAAGAAAGAAAGGAAGGAAGGAAGGGAGGGAGAGAGAAAGAAAGAAAGATTATTTTTTTCCATGGTTCTGTGGGCTGGAAATTAAGAGAGGCATGATGCCAGCATCTGCTTGGCTTCTACTGAGGGGCATCTGCTGCAACATAACATCGTGAGAAGGTCAAAGAAGAAGTGGACACATACAAACACAGAGAAAAGAAGAGAGAAAAAAACCTGAGGAGTGCCCTGGCTTTATAACAACCCACTCCTGTGGGAACTAATCCATTCACATGAGAACTAACCCAGTCTCAGGAGAGTGAGAATTTACAAACAAGAGAACAGAATCAAGCCATTCATAAGGGATCTGCCCCTATGACCCAAACACCTCCCACTAGGCCTCCCAACATCACACACTGGAGATCAAATTTTAACATGAGTTTGGTGGGAACAAAACAAATCATACCCAAACCACAGCAGGTAGTATATATTTTCTCCAAGTAAATTTTATGTTCCACTTCTAGACAAATAAAAGGAGGACAGAGAGCTCTTCTGCATCTTCTTCTTCTTAACTGTCTTCAGCTCAACAATCCCTCATATTTTGGGGAGACATATTCTCGTCTCTTACCAGCTAAAGATCTTTGTGATGTATAAGGTCTAAGAACTACTGGAAGGGAAAGTAGGAAAGTCCACCAGGAAAATGAAAGCAAAATTGGAAATGGAAAATGCTAGGAATAGGGTCAGCATCTACTGAACAAACTCTAGTCATAAGGAAAACGAGAAATATCACTGTCTTATTATAAGAGTAGTTTCTTTAAACTTTTGAGAGGGACCACTAAGAAAATTGACTGAATTCTCTTCTGCAAATATGGCTAAAAAATCTGATCTCTAAAGATGAGCAGTCAAGCTGATGTGACAGCTATTGACCTAACTCCTTCTGAAAGATGGAGAATACATACTAATAGAATACATACTATTTACTAGTATGTAAATCGTTGAGCTGAAGACAATTAAGAAGAAGATGCATATTAGTATAATAGAATTCTAACATCACAGCAAACTCTGAAAACAAAGTGCTTTTGTTTGAATTCCAGCTATGCCACTTTCTAGCTGTGTGACCTTAAGGAAAATATTCAGCTCCTCTCTGCCTCAGTTTCTTCATCTATAAAGTTGTGGCAAATATTATCTATCTCACGAAATAGATTGAATAAGTCAATATAAATTAGTGCTTACACTGGTGCCTGACACATTAAAAGCATGCAGTGTTTTTTATTGTTAAATGTATAGATGTTTTGTTCCTTTACATCTTGCTCCAATTGGCATCTTTTGTCATAGCTTATAAGTGTTTGTAAGTCAGCAACCATTGATTCATATTTACCCTGCAAAATAAAGAATATGTAATCCTTTAGAGACATAATACCTATGGCATAGTCATGTCTTGAAATATTAATCTAATTGTTCTCTGTGTATTTCTCTCTCTCCTTCTTTTACCTGCAGCCAAAGGACTGACTGCTCTTTCTCCTCAAACAGACTGGAACAGAAAAAGAAATTCAAGTAAACCTTTAGCACAAGTGCAAGAAGAAGATTCTGCATGGCATCCAGAGTGCCTCCAAAAGACTAGACAAGCCTGGGTAGGAGGGAAAAAGAGAAAGAAGGAGGATGGTTCAGATAGGATGTGAAGGAGGGTCTAAAGGGAGAATTCAAAAAAGGAAGGTGAACAATAACTTTCCATGACAGATGAGCAAAGAGCAAAGTAGAAGGGCCTCTGCTGAAGATGGGCTGTCCTCTAGCATGGATCATTCTTTCACTGTCCCAGTGAGGACCCTGTCCTCAAACCCATACTTTAAAGGACGCTTCCCTGGCCCTTCTTCAGCTGTGTCCCTCCTCACTGGTAAGGAGTCTGTGAACCAAAGGAGACATGCCTATGTGAAAACTGCACTCTCCTTTGTACACTATATGCTAGGGAGCTCCATTGTCTCTAAGCTGCTTCCAGGACCTATGCCAGTCTTCTCCAAGCTCTGCTTCTAATGTGCCCAGTCTTAGGCCCAAGGTGTGGCCACAAGAAAAATGCTTGCAAAGATATGGTCAGAATTTGGACTTGTGGCTGAGGTGTACATAGGAATGTACATAAAGACCCTCATAATGCAGGATTGAGCTGGAAGTGAAATGAGAAGGCAGAGCCAGCTATGGGCTGTGTATTAGTCCTTTTTCATGCTGCCGATAAAGACATACTAGAGTCTGGGAAATTTACAAAAGAAAGAGGTTTAATGGACTCACAGTTCCACGTGGCTGGGGAGGTCTCACAATCATGGCTAAAGGTGAAAGGCAAGACTCACATGGCAGCAGACAAGAGAAGAGAATGAGAACCAAATGAAAGGGGTTTCCCTTTAAACCATCAGATCTCATGAGACTTATTCACTACCACAAGAATAGTATGGGGGAAACTGCCCCTATGATTCAATTACCTCCCACTGGGTCCCTCTCACAATACAAGGGAATAGTGAGAGCTACAATTCAAGATGAGATGTGGGTGGGGACACAGCCAAACCATATCATTCTGTCCCTGGCCCCTCCCAAATCTCATGTCCTCACATTTCAAAACCAATCATGCCTTCCCAACAGTATCCCAAAGTCTTAACTCATTTCAGCATTAACCCAAAAGTCCACAGTCCAATGTCTCATCTGAGACAAAGGAAATCCCTTCTGCCTATAAGCCTGCAAAATCAAAGCAAGTTAGTTACTGCCTAGATACAATGGGGGTACAGGCATTGGGTAAATACAGCTGTTCTAAATGGGAAAAATTGGCCAAAGCAAAAGGGCTACAGGACCAATGCAAGTCCAAAATCCAGCAGGGTAGTCAAATCTTAAAGCTCCAAAAATGATCTCCTTTAACTTCATGTCTCACATCCAGGTCACCCTGATGCAAGAGGTGGTTTCCCATGGTCTTGGGCAGCTCCTCCCCTGTGGTTTTGCAGAGTATAGCCTCCCTCCCAGCTGCTTTCATGGGCTGGTGTTGAGTGTCTGTGGCTTTTCCAGGTGCATGACGCAAGCTGTCAGTGGATATACCATTCTGGGGTTTGGAGGATGGTGGCCCTCTTCTCACAGCTACCCTAAGCAGCTCCCCAGTGGAGGCTCTGTGTGGGAGCACCCCACCCCACATATCCCTTCCACACTGCCCTAGTAGAGATTCTCCATGAGTGCCCCACTCCTGCAGAAAACTTCTTGGACATCCAGGTGTTTCATACGTCCTCTGAAATCTAGGTGGAAGTTCTCAAACCTCAGTTCTTGACTTCTGTGCACTTGCAGGCTCAACACCCCATGAAAGCTGCCAAGGCTTGGGGCTTGCACCCTCTGAAGCCACAGCCCAAGCTGTATGTTGGCCCCTTTTAGTTACAGCTGGAGGAGCTGGGATGCAAAGCACCAAGTCCCTAGACTGCACACAGAAGAGGGACCCTGGGCTCAGCCCATGAAGCCATTTTTTCCTCCTAGGCCTCCAGGCCTGAGATGGGAGGGCTTCCACAAAGGTCTCTGTCATGCCCTGGAGATATTTTCCCCATTGTCTTGCTGATTAACATTTGGCTCTTCGTTACTTATGCAAATTTCTGCAGCCAGCTTGAATTTCTCCTCGGAAAATGGAATTTACTTTTTTATTATTTTGTCAGGCTGCAAATTTTCTGAACTTTTATGTTCTGCTTCCCTTTTAAAACTGAATGCCTTTAACAGAACCCAAGTCACTTCTTGAATGCTTTGCTGCTTAGAAATTTCTTCCATCAGATACCCTAAATCATCTCTCTCAAGTTCAAAGTTCCACAGATCTCTAGGGCAGGGGCAAAATGCCACCAGTCTCTTTGCTAAAACATAACAAGAGTCACCTTTGCTCCAGTTCCCAACAAGTTCCTCATCTCCATCTGAGGCTACCTCAACCTGAATTTCATTGTCCATATCATCAGCATTTTGGTTAAAGCCATTTGACAAGTCTCTAAGGAGTTCCAAACTTTCCCACATTTTTCTGTCTTCTCCTGAGCCCTCCAAACTGTTCCTACCTCTGCCTGTTGCCCAGTTCCAAAGTCACTTCCACATTTTTGGGTATCTTTTCAACAGTGCCCCACTCTACTGGTACCAATTTACTGTATTAGTCTATTTTCATGCTGCTGACAAAGACTTATCAGAGACTGGGCAATTTACAAAAAGAAAAAGATGCTTAGTGCACTCACAGTTCCACGTGGCTGGGGAGGCCTCACAATCATGGCAGAAGGTGAATGGCACATCTCACATGGCGGCAGAAAAGATAAGAGAATGAGAACCAAGGAAAAGAGTTTTTCCCTTATAAAACAATCAAATTTCATGAGACTTATTCACTACCACAAGAACAGTATGAGGGAAACTGCCCTCCTGAGTAAATTATCTCCCACTGGGTCCCTCCCACAACATGAGGGAATCATGGTAGCTGTAATTCAAGATGAGATGTGGGTGGGAACACAGACAAACCATATGTAGGCTGGGTCCTGTATCTTTAGCCTGTATCTTCTGGTGTAGAACTATAAAAAGTATGAAATTTCTAAGTTGGACTCTGACCTTCTAAGTCATGTTGAAGGTATGCTTGTCAAGAATATGATAGAATATATTTCATTTACAAGTTTATCACCTTGATTTTTTGCTTTTAAAGATTTAGACTTACCACGTATGTGCTTCCATTTGTATTCTTGCTATGAGTTCCACGAATGTTAGTCATGTCCTATGAGTAGGGAGAAGATGGCCCTGCCACTGTAACATGCATATTCCCGTTGTCTTAGTCCATTTTGTGCTACTATAACAGAATACCAGACTGTGTAGTTTATGAACAAAAGAAGTTTATTTGGCTTATGATTCTGGAGACTGGGAATTCCAAGATCCAGGGGCCACCTCTGATGAGGGTTTTCTCATTGTATCCTCCCATAGCAGAAGGTGGAAGGGCAAGTGAGCACATGAGACAGAGAAAGGATGGAGATGAACTTTATCCTTTTATCAGGGACCCACTCCTACGATAGCTAACCCATTCCCACAATAATGGCATCAAACCATTAACAAAGGCAGAGCCCTCATGACCTAATTACCTTTTAAGTGCCTTATCTTTTAATAGCATCACAATGGCTATTAAGTTTCAACATGAGTTTTGAAAGGGGGATTCAACCCATACCACCAGTTAACTATGAGGTTTCTGCACCCTAATCAAAGCAGTCATCCACTAGATTTTAAGCCCCAAAGGGCAAATATCATATATGTTTTATTCAATACTATATGTAAGGGTTGGCAAAATAAAACCCACAAACCAAATTCAGCTGTCTGCCCATTTTTGTGTGACCGATGAGATATGAAAGGTTTTTAAATGATCAAGAAAAAAATCAAAGAATACTATATGGCAACTGAAAATTACATGAACTTAAAATTTCAATGTTCATAAATACATTTTATAAGCCACAGTTATTTGTTACATGTTATCTATGGCTGCTATCACACTACAATGGCAGAGTTTAACAATTGTGGAGGCCACAATTGTTATGGTCCACAGAGCCTAAATTATTTGCTCTTTGTCTGAGCATAAAAATTTTTGCAGACTTCAGCTATATACCCAGTGTCTTCTAAAATATGTAGGATAAAATAAGTGTTCGATAAATATTTGTTAAATAAATGAATAAAAGAA
Organism: Homo sapiens; assembly: GCF_000001405.40. Taxonomy (NCBI): domain Eukaryota; kingdom Metazoa; phylum Chordata; class Mammalia; order Primates; family Hominidae; genus Homo; species Homo sapiens. The sequence goes on from NC_000004.12 coordinate 67,354,264, forward strand.
TAAATAAATGTCTTCTAGTAATAATTAATTTGCTTGATGTCATAGGTGAGAACTATAGCCCCGTCTCGGAGGACAGGGCTACAATATGTCATAGAATAAAATTAAATATCATAACCACATGTTATAAGCAACACTACATATTGAAACAGAAATCTGATCAAAAAAGTTGTTTGGGATACTTGAAATTACAGGCAGTGTCTACAAGGTGCCTCCCAGAGTAGCAAAACCTTGATGAATTTAGCCAGTTCTGGGGTTTTTATGAAGGTTGCAAGGTTCAGACTTCATTGGTCCTAAAAGAAGGTAGAGGAATCCATCTCTCAAGGATAGAACTCAGAAAACTTATGTAGGAAGTCAGAATGCTAATTTTTGAGTTTACATTAGAAAATACAACCGTTTTTCCCACCAGAACACTGTTGCCTTTTGCCTCTATTGGAAGACTATTAGAGTTTTCCAGAGAAAAGCAGCATGATAAATTGTGTGTGTGTGTGTGTGTGTGTGTGTGTAGACACACATGCGTATGCACATGGAATTGGCTCACAGAGTTATGGAAGACAAGAAGTTCCAAGATCTCCCATCTATAAGTTGTTGACCAAGGAAACCCATTGGTGCAGTTCAGGTTCAAGTCAAAACCTGAGAACCAGCAAAGCCAATGGTGCAAATTTCAGTCTGAGGGCCAAAGGACATAAAATGAGATGGCCCCACTCAGGAACACAGGCAGGAAGCAAAAAGGGATGCATTCCTCTTTCCTCTGCCTTTAATTCTATTCAGATCCTTGACTGATTAGTTGATACTAACTCATATTAGGAAGGAAAATCTACTTAATTGGGTCCACAGATATAATGCTAATCTCTTCTAAAACACCCTCACAGACATACCCAGAAATAATGTTTAATGTGGGCATCTTGTGGCCAGTCAAATTGACACATAAAATCAAGCATCACAAACACCTACCTGGAAGAAAAAAACATGTAATTAAATGTGATTTAGAGTGCACAAAATCTAAGCAAAATATTATCTAATTCAGTGGATTCATGGCATAAAACTGGATTGCCTGTTGTATTTGTTTTCACAAGACTTAATCATTATTGTATGTGACCCACATCTCCTTTTCCCCTGATCAATGCTTAGATGGGAATTACCAGCCCTTACTGATACCTCCTTGTCTATACTTCTGTGCCTGACCTACTTTCCTTTATGAGTGACATATTCTTTTGTTAGTTATATCTACTCATTCCATCCTCCAGTTAATTCTAGGAGGACTGGGAGTCATTTTGACTTGGTTGACTTTGCTGGTCTCTGCTATGATTTATAATGTATGTATTGATTTTATAGTTTAATACAAGATAGAAAATATTATTTTCCAAGCTCCAGCAGAGGAGCAAGACAAATAGAAAACTCACTATACCACCTCCTATACTGCCAAATATAGATGTAACACGTACACAAACACACAAACACAGAGTCTGCATATAAGTATATATATACACACATATGAGACATCTACCACATGTATGAACATAGAACAGAAGCCTGCTAATTTTTAATCATTCTGGATATAATCTAGAAGAATATTTTGTTTCATTTGGCAATAAGGCTCTCAAACAGTTAATACTGGATTTATATAAAGTTACAACAAACAACTTTCAAAAGGGAAAAACATTACAGCTAGCATAGGTGGTATGTTAATAATTATAAGAAGCCATAAATGCTTCTATAAATAGCAAATTGCACTTAGAACACTAAATGATGATGAAATCATTGCAGGAGAAACCAAAGCATCTAAGCAATTATTAAACTGCAGTGATGAGCTAAGAGTATCTTCATATTTAAAAGTAGCTAACATGAAAATTAATTTTAAGTAACTTTAGTTAAAATTTTCTAGTGCTTTCTATATGCCATGAATTTGGTATGTATTCCCTTTCAATTAATTCTCACAGTTCTAAGAAACAAATATCATTATTTTCTTTATTTTTGATAGTAAGAAAACCGAGGCGGTATTGTGACATAACCCTCAAGTGCCTTAAGACAGTTTGAATTAGGACTCTACCACTTACTGATAGTGTCAGCTTGAGCAAGTTACTTGTCTTCTCTGTACTCCAAGTTTCTCATTAGCGAATGAGATAATTCTTGTAACTGCCTCAGAGTATGGTCATTAATAATAAAATTAGATGAAATAATTTTTTAAGTTTATAAATAATACTTGGCAGATAATAAGTGCTCAGCAGATACTCTACATTATTAGAATAGTTGACATTTTTGAGGTTACCTTACAAAACCAGCATGTTTCAGGAACAGGACTACAACCTGAGTTCATTTTATTCAAACACCCACACTCTCAATCTCTACACTTGAAGGTACTGTTTACTCAAGAACTAGTGAGGTTATACTAAATTATGTATAAGACCCCTAAAAGTCTTTTATTCTTCTTCAAAGATCTTAAGGTTGTTTTACATTTTTCCCACCCCAAGAAAAGTAACTTATTGACCATTTCCATGTCTTTTTTGAAGAAATGTCTAATCAACCCTTTGCTCGTATTTTAATTCAGTCATCTTTTTATTACTAGGTTGTAAGAGAATTTTATATATTCCGGAGACCAGTCCCTTATCAGACATATAATTTGCAAATATTTTCTCCTATTCATGGGTTGTACTTTCACTTTCTTTAAGGTATCATTTGCAGCACAAAAGTTTTTCATTCTGAAGCAGTCCCAACATACCTATTTTCTTTTGTCACTTGTACTTTTAGTGTATCTCATAATGATTGCTTAACCCAAGGTCAAGAAGATTTACTCATATGATTTTTATAGTTTTGGCTGTAATATTTAGGTTTAAGATTCATTTTGAGTTAATTTTTTGCATGGTGTGAGGTCTGTGTCCAAATTAATTCTTTTGTATGTGTGTATTTCATTGTCCCAGCACCATGCTTTGGAGTCTATTCTTTCTCCCCATTTAATTGTGTTGACACCCTTTTCAAAAATCAATTGACTGGCCAGGCGTGGTGGCTCATGCCTGTAATCCCAGCACTTTGGGAGGCCGAGGCGGGTGGATCACGAGGTCAGGGAATTGAGACCATCCTGGCTAACATGGTGAAACCCCGTCTGTACTAAAAATACAAAAAAAAAAAAAAAAAAAAAAAAAAATAGCCCAGCGTGGTGGCAGACGCCTGTAGTCCCAGCTACTTGGGAGACTGAGGCAGGAGAATGGCGTGAACCCGGGAGGCAGAGCTTGCAGTGAGCCGAGATCGCGCCACTGCACTCCAGCCTGGGCGACTGAGCAAGACTCCGTGTCAAAAAAAAAAAAAAAAAAAATCAGTTGACCATAAATATATTCATTGATTTCTAAACTCTAGATTCCATTCCATTAAACCATATGTTTATTCTTATGACAGCAACACGCTGTCTTGATGACTGTTTCTCTGTAAAATCTTTTGAAATTGGGAAGTATAAACCCTCCAACCTCATGCTTTTTAAAGATTGTTTTAGATATTCTGGGTCCTTTGCAGTGAATTTTAGGATCAGCTTGTCAATTTCTGCAACAACAACAACAACAACAACAAAAAGCCAGCTGGCATTTTGATAAAGATTGTATTGAAGCTGCAGCTCAATTTTGACGGTACTGCCATCCTAATAATCTTAACTCTTCTGGTCCAAGAACATGAAATATCTTTCCATTTATTTCTCTTTGTCAATCTCTTTCAAAAATATTTTATAGCTTTTGTGTACAAGCCTTGTATATCTTTTGTTAAATTTATACCTAAATATTGTATTCTTTGTAACTGTTATTGTAAATGGACTTGTCTTCTTAATTTCATTTTTGGAATGCACATTGCTAGTGTATAAAAATACAACTGATTTTTATATATTGATCTTGTATCCTGCAACCTTTCAAAACTTGATAATTAATTCTAATAGTTTTTTAGTAAGCCCCTTAGGATTTTCTCTATTCAAGATTATGTTATCTGCAAACAGAGATAGTTTTACTTCTTCATTTTCAATTTAGATGCTTTTAATTTTATTTTTCTGCCTAATTGTCCTGGCTAGAACCTTCAGTACACGGTTGAATGAAAGTGTCAATAGAAGACATTCTTGTCTTGTTCTTGATCTTAGGGGTAAAGTTTTAAATCTTTAACCATTATGTATGATATTAACTGTCAGTTTTTCATAAATGTCCGTTGTCTATTTGGAAAATTCCCTTTTCTCTTTTTTCAGTGTTTTTATAATGAAAGAATGTTAAAATTTGCTTTTCCTTCATCTACTGATAATCACACAGTTTTTGTCCTTTATTCAACTTGTGATACTGTGAGTTTTTAATAAGAAATGAGCCGGGCAAGGTGGTGCATGTCTGTAGTTCCAACCACTCGGAGGCTGAGGTAGGAGGATCCCTTGAGCCCAGTAGTTCTAATCCAGCCTGGTAAATATAGTGAGAAACTACCTCCAAAAAGCCTTTTTTGATCAAATCAATAAATTGAATTAAATATATATTTGGTCTTCATCCAGTTTCTCTGCACACAGCTTCCAAACCCTTGGAATCTCCAAGTTAACGAGTATCTTTATGTACGCTAATGAGATGACTAACTGGGGCTCCTGGATAGACTCAGGATAAGCCAGAGGAGACCAATCTTGTTATTAGAGCATTAGAACTTTCAGCCTCACCCACTGACCTCTGGGAAGGGAAGAGGAGTTGAAAATTGAGTTGATCACCAATAACAAATTCTTTAATAAATCATGCCTACATAATGAAGCCTTAATAAAAAACAAAAAAGACAGGGTTCAGAGAGGTTCCAAGTTGCTGACCATGTGGAGGTACTAGTAGGGTGGTGCATCCAGAGGAAGCATGGAAGCCCCACATCCTTTCCCCCATTCCTTGCCCTGTGCATCTTTTCTATCTTACTATTCATCTGTAACCTTTGTAATATCCTTTACGATGGGATAGCTACTAGTAAACATAGTTTCCCTGAGTTCTGTGAGCCCTCCTAGCAAATTATCAGACCTGAGGAGGAGTGCAGGAGCTTGTGGGAACCCCAATTATATATACAGCTGGTTGGTCAAAAGCACAGGTCACAACCTGGGACTTGCAATTGGTGTCTGAAGAGGAGGCAGCCTTGTGGGACTGAGTTCTCAACCTATGGGATCTCATGCTATCTCTGGGAAAATAGTATCAGAATTTAAATGAACTTTAGGATACCTACCTGCTGTCTGCAGAATTATTTGGTATAGGGAAAAAGAAAACATACATCTGATCACAGAAGTATCAATAATATAGTAGGAAAATAAACAGTTATAATAGGAAATCTATATCAATAGTATATGTAGTTTTCTTACTGTACACTCATGGTATACTTTCATTAATTAATTTTTGAATGTTAAAGCAACCTTGTATTGCTCAGATAAATCATACTTGGTCAGGTATATAATCCTTTTTATATTCGATGCATTAGGTTTGCTACTATTTTATCGTGGATTTTGTGTTAACATTCATTGGAGAATTTGGTGTGTACATTTGTTTAGATGTCATTGTCTGGATATCAACATAATAGTGTCCTCGTAGAATTAATTGGGAAGGGCTTCCTATGTTTTAGAATGAAATGGGATTTTTTTCTGTTTTTTGAAAGAGTTTGTGAAGAATTGGTATCCACTCTTCTTTAGTAGAATTTGCCAGTGAACCCATCTGAACTAATATATCTTTCTGCTATATTGACCCTTTTATCATTAGAAAATAACTTTATTTTATCTCTAGTAACTCAATTTGTCTTAAAGTTTATTTTGTTGATATTAGTATAGTCCTGCTCTTTTATGGGTGTTGTTTGAATCATATATCTTTTTCCATTTTTTTTCTTTCAGCTGTACTTTTTAAGCAAAAGCGCATCTTCTGTAAACAGCACATAGTTGGATCTTGTTCTTTGTCCAATCAGACAATTTCTGCCTTTTGATTAGATTGCTTAATTCAGCCAGGCACAGTGGCTCATGTCTGTAATCCCAGCACCTTGGGAGTCTGAGGCGGGAGGATCACTTTAGGCCAGGAGTTCAAGACTAGCCTAGGAAACATAGCAAAACCCCATCTCTACAAAAAAAGAAAATAACTTTAAAAAGAAAAAAAAGATTGTTTAATTCATTTACATGTAATGTTGTTATTGATAACACTGTTACATGTTATCACTAATAATAATGTTATTATTGATATAGTTGGAGTTACACCTGCCATCTTGCTTTTTGTTTTCTACACATTTCGTATCCTTTTCCCTCTATTTTTCTTTTATTGACTTGTTTCATAGTAAGTGAATATCTTCTATTAGTATCATTTTGATTTTTTTTGTTTTTTTTGTTATTTTCTTAGTGATTAATTTACAGTTTACAATATATATCTTAACTTTTTACAATCTACTTAAGACTTAAACTAACACAGTTCAAGGAAATATAAAAATATTACTGCTACATAGTTCCATTCCCTGTCCTGCTTTGTTTGTGCTATTATTGTTACCTATGTTTTGTCTATAAATGTTGCAAACCAAACAATACTTTGTTGTCATTATTACTTTTTATAATCTTATATCTTTTAAAGAGGCTGAGAAAAGAAAAGAGAGCAAATATGTATTTGTAGAATTTGCTGTATTAATCTGATTTACCCTTTTTGGTTCTCTACATCTCTTCCTGTGAATTTGAATTACCATCTGGTATCACTTGCTTATTCACAGCTTTGTCCCCACCCATTTTCTTTGTTCTAGTATTGTCAAAAATAGTATTTTTGTACTTTATAGGCCCAACAATATAAGGAAATATGCAGCTATAGTGTCTTTCATAATCACCTACGTTTTGTCTTTATCTTTGGCTTTCAGTATTTTGAGTATAGTATGTCTGAGTGTAGATCACTTTGTATATATCTTCTTGGCATTTGTTGAACTTTTTGGATTATAGGTCAATGTTTTCACCAAACTTGGACTTCTAACATTATTATTTCTTCATTTATATATTTATTTATTTATTTATTTGACAAATCTTGCTCTATTGCCCAGGCTGGCGTGCAGTGGTGCAATCTCAGCTCACTGCAACCTCCCCCTCCTGGGTTCAAGCGATTCTCCTGCCTCAGCTTCCCAAGTAGCTGGGACTACAGGAATGCGCCACAGTGCCCGGCTAATTTTTGAATTTTTAGTAGAGACGGGGTTTCACTATGTTGGCCAGGCTGGTCTCAAATTCCTGACCTCATGATCCACCTGCCTCAGCCTCCCAAAGTGCTGGGATTACAGGCATGAGCCGCCACGCCCAGCCTAAATTATTATTTCTTTTGTCCCTTTTTTCTCTCTTCACCTGTGGTACTCCTGTTGCTCATATTTTGTGCACTTAATGGTGCTCCACATTTCTCTGAGGATTTGTTGATTCTTCATTCTTTTTTGTCCTATTTTTCAGATTGTAGAATCTCTATCTATTTTCAAGTTTGCTGATACTTTATTCTGCAAATTGAAATTGACTGTTGGATGCCTCTAGCGAATTTTTATTTCAATTATTATACTTTTCAACTCCAGAATTTTCATTTGTTTCTTTTTTATAATTTCTATTTCTTTATTTTGTCTCCTGTATTTGATGAGACTTTGTCATTGTATCCTTCTTTAATTCTTTAAGTATGCTTTTCTTTGGTTTTCTGAACATATTTATAATAGCTGCTTTGACATCTTTGTCTGCTAAATCCACCATCTGTGCCTCTTCAAAGGCAGTTCCTATTACCTGCTTTTTTATTTCTTTTGTATAGCTCATATGTTTCTGTTTGCATATCTTATAATTTTTTTGTTAAAAACTGGAAATTTTAGAAAACATATTATAGCAACTCTAGTTACCAAATGATGCTTGAACTAATTATGCGAAGTCTATTTCCCCTACAGTGTGCAGCCACTGATGTCCCTAGTCAGTTTTTCTCTTTTTTGACTGACAACCTATAGGTCACCTCTCGATTGACATAAGCCGCTTATTGGTCAAAAGTTCTGCTTAAGCCTACCTACTCGGTTAGATTTTCATTCTTTACCATTTGATGTGTATGTGGCCTAATGGCTTCTATCACAGTTCAAGGAGTTTATATTTTTGGCCTCCACATTCGGCCAAGGACTAATAGCTGAGAAGCTCCTTGTTTAGTGACTCCTGAGAGGATAAAGTCTTGGGCATTGTATTAATCAGGGTTTTGCAGAGAAACAGAACTAATAAAATATATGTATATGTAGAAATATTTATTTTAAGGAATAGGCTTACATGTTGGTTGGTCTGGCAAGTCTGAAATCTACAAAGGAGGCTGGAGTCCCAGGGAAAAGTTGACATTGTTGCTTGAGTCTGAAGGCAATTTAGAGGCAGAATTCTCTTTTCCTGTGTTGAACCTCAGTCTTTTCTCTGTTAAGGCCTTCAACTGATTCAATGAAGTCCACCCACATCATGAAGCTTAATCTGCTTTACTCGAAGTCTACTGATGTAAATGTAAATCTCATCTAAAAACTACCTTCATGGCAACATTTAGATCAGTGTTTGATAAACATCTGGGGACTGTGGCCTACCCAAGTTGGTACATAAAATTAACAATCACAGACATGGCACATAGTCTTTTACATTGCCAAGGATGAGTAGGATTATAGTTTTAAGCCTGACTTCCTAGGAGTTGACCCTAAGTAAAAGTAGCTTCTTATTCAGTCAATGTTTGGTCAAAGGTTGTATTTAACACTTCCACGGCAGTGAAGCTTCTGCCTTGTGTTGATGGCTATGTGCTTCTTGGGGAATGTTTGTAAGACTACCCTACATTCTGCTCTGAGTGTTCCCAACTGGGTGCAGCCTAGCTGTGCACATAGCCTTCCTGATCCCGAGTTGACTGAGATCTTAAAAACGCTCTTCTTGGCTGTTTCTTTCCTTATTTTGTTTTTTGAATAATCTACTCTGCCATTTTGCCTGTATCATGGAACTGCCACTCTCCTCTTAAGTGTTCTCCACCAAGGTTGGGCATGGGCTCTCCACTTTCTGTTCCACATAAAGTCCCTTTAGGCAGAGCTATGGAGTAATTTGTCTTTATGGCCTGCCTTTACCCTGGGAAGAATCCCTGTGACACTGCCCCAGAGCTAGGGGCAGAACTGCTTTTCCCAGAGTGACACAATCCATCACTATGAGTGGGCATGGAGAGGTGCAAACAAACTCTGGTCTCCTTGGCTTGTCCCTCTTAGTGTGGAGCCCCTTTGCTACAAATGAGCTCTGCCTGCTGCCTGGACTAGAGCTTCTGCCCCGTAAGTGGGAGCTTCTGCTACGCAAGGCTTGGGGAATGCAGGGTGAAGGCAGAAATGCCAGCATCCTGCCCATCCCTGGATGAAACTGTGGCCCCAGACTAAGTGCTGGTGAGAAAGAGCCCCATTGTTTCAGCCACACATGCCTGCAGTAAAACTGCTGGAACTTGGTAAGACAAGTGCCCAGGTAAAACTGCTGGAACTTGGAGCTGAGGGGCAGAGAGAGGAAAGATTGCAGTTCATGATTCTGATGCCACAAACTGTGTTCTTAAGGAGATTTGTAGATTTTCTTGAATGAATGTATCTAATACAATTTCCAGAGACTTTAAATGATAGTGTTTTATAATTTTCACCTAATGGTTGTTTCCATGGGGAAACCATCTACCGAGGACCTTATTCACCATTTTCGAAGTCCCTCTATTCTTTTACGGAGCCAAGCTTTTTCTTGCCTTGAGTCTTCTCCCATGTTATTTCCTCTGCCTGGAATCCACATTGCCTGACCATTCACAACCTGAACTCCTGCCTATTCTTCAGGTATTTGATTGAACGTATATTCCTTAGGAACACCCTTCCTAATCCAACATCCAATACACTCCAATCTGGATGAAATCATCTTGTTATAACAACATCCTAAGCTCTCATGACATCTGATACTTTCTTTCATAGTATGTATTGCAATTGTAGTAGTAACAGGTTATTAAAGGGGATTTTTCCTATTTCTGGTATTTGTAACTAAAGCTCCACTGCTGAAAATAATAGGCACCAAGCATACCCACATTCTTCAAAGACAGCCCATAGGATTTACCAGTAGCAGAATCAGCCCTACTGTAATCACCTGGATTCAAGCCCATGTGACAGATAGTAATTTCTAAAAGGAGTTATTGGAAGTTATAGAGAGTTTTGAGAGAGGTATCCTTTTCCCCAAAGCCCAGACATATGTGTGTTACTCATGGGTGGAGTAGACACTGCAAAAGGTAGCCAGGTTTGAGGAACTTGACTGAATCCTGCAAAGAGAGTGGCCTTAGAGGCGAGGGGAGCTTTGCAGCAGGTGATTAACAGGCATACCACGGGAGGTAGAAGAAGGAGCTGAAGTGGAGCTACCAATCATAGCACTAGTTGATTAAAAAATCTTTTGACTCTTTTCTGTAATTCTCCTTCCTTACATTCCCCCAAACCCACACTCTACTGATGGGGCCCAAAGCGACAAAGTAAGTCAGGATAAAAGGAATAAAAAAGACCATGCCTCCCTTCCCAGTGCCATGCCCCTTTCATCGAAAATCAGGCCCCTTTCATCGAAAATCAGGCCAGAACTGGGAGAGGGAAAAAAAATGTGGATCAGACAAGAGAATTAACTTCTCGATTGACCTGAACTGGATTGGAATTTTTTATGCCAGATGGTAACTGGGAAGTTATTGAAGCTCCCCTAAAGGTCATTAAGGAGTGAGAAAGAATCACCAAATATACAGAAAGCACAGACTAGAGAAAAACACAACTATTTCATGCTTGCATCCCACCATATTCATGCAGCTTAATTAGCTGGTGTGATAATTCTGTAGTTTTATAAAGTTCTTAGTGTGTTTATTTGCTTAATGTTTATGTCTTCCAGTAGACCATAATTTCCATGGAGGCAGAGGTTACATCTCCAGCACCAGCCCAGCTCTGACACATAGTGGGCCTCTAATTAATATTTGTTGAATAAATAAATGAATATATGCAGAAGCGAATGCTTTTGATTTTTCATTTAACATTTTTCAATTGTTCAGAATAATAGTCAAAAATGTGCTTTGTGGTATCCACATATAAAAGATATAAATATCAGACTAGTCAATTAAAAATGAGAATCTGAGGAGTAAAAAGAAATTTGGAGAAAAAAAAGAAAGAGCCTCTGCTGAGAGGATTACTTTCCTTTGGAAATGTTATTTTAAGTATAAACTTGATATTCCTTGGACAGGGAAGATTGTGGAGAAAAAGTAAAGGATCAGTCTGCTGGAAAAACAGCCTCCACTAAAGTAGCTATTGCTTGTTCCAGAGAAAAGGCAGATGGGTGGGAGGTAGAGGAGTTCTTTATCCTGTGCTCTTCTCTTCTTCTTATAATGTCTCTTAAGGTAATATTTCATCCAGAGTGATTGCAGTCCCTGAAATTTCAAGAACAGGCAGGTCTTCTTTTACAAGCAACAGTAAAAAATTTTTGAGCAGCTAAGCATGTTACCAGGGAATTAATAATAAATCTGTACAGATTGATATTCCCCTGAGATAAAACGAAAGAGAAAATATTAAAAAACTGATGCTTCTGGCAAATGAAAAACTAATGGAGTGTGTATCTCTCAGTGGAGGGGAAGAACGCAGCATTTGCTTTTATTCCCAAGACTAAAGCCTGCCATACCAGGTAATGATCAGATCTCTTCTCACGTATGCTGTGCTCTCAATACCACTGACAAAAACTAAATAGCATGGTGCCAAGACCCAGTAGGCTTTGGCTGGAATGCCAGTTCTACCACTAATTAGCTGTGTGACCTCAGACAAGTAATTTCATGTCCCTGAGCCTCAGTCTTTGCAACAAGAAACAGAGATAACACCTGCTTCATAATGTTTTCAGAATTAAGCAGGAGCATGTGCACATTGGCTAGTATCTAGTAAGGACTCAGCAAGCTTCTGATTCTTTCCCATAATATGGTACATTTTTCTAGGTCATTTAATCTTTATGTTAAAAAAAATCCTTTACTCCACATAAACTAGCAACTCTTTACCTACTAGCTCACATTCTACTCTATTTTAATAACAAGTCAAGGTCCATAACCTAAGGAAATTGTTCTTATCCAATTTTATAGACATCAGTTTCTTGAAAATGTTAATCATGCTTCTTTGAATTTTATCTCCTTCCACCAGCCCTTCCATCCCCACCCTTATTAGTCACCAGTAGATTATAAGAGCAGCGAAGCCAAGGTCTATATATTTTTTTCACTGTTGTAACATCAGCATATAACATAGACTCTAGCACTCTGTAAGTAATCAGTATGTATCTATTACATGAATGGAGGAATGTAAGATATATTCATCAAAACAAGCTAACTGCTGTATCAAACAACCTCAATATTTCAATGTCTTAAATCAAAGAACAGTTATTTTTTACTTAGCCACAGATGAATGTGAGTCATCTGGTGGCTATAATCTGCACTATCATTCAGACACTGAGATCTTTTCATTTAACTATTCCACTCCCTCCACAGCCTCGAAGTCCTCCACTAAATCTTCTGCATCCAACCAGCAATTAAAAGAAGAGCAAGGCCAGACACGGTGGCTCATGCCTGTAATCCTAATACTTTGAAAGTCTGATGCAGGCAGATCACCTGAGGTCAGCAGTTAGAGACCAGCCTGGCCAACGTGGTGAAACCCTGTCTCTACTAAAAATACAAAAAAAAAAAAAAAAGAGCCAGACGTGGTGGCATGCATCTGTAATCCCAGCTACTTGGGAGGCTGAGGAAGGAGAGTCACTTGAACCTGGGAGGCGGAGGTTGCAGTGAGCCAAGATGGTGCCACTACCCTCCAGCCTGGGTGACAGAGTAAGACTCTGTCTCAAAAAAAAAAAAAAAAAAAAAGGAGAAAAAGAAGAGTAAGCCAATGAGAAGGACTTACAGGAAGGTTTTAGGAGCCAGGCCTGCAAATGACATCCATTACTTCCCCCTCCCATTCCATCAGCCAGAACTTAGGCCTGTGTGCCCACCTACCTTTAAAGGAACCTGAAAAAACGTAATACAACTGTGTACCCAAAAGGAAGAAGAAATTGGTTTGATGGGACCCTAGCCAGATTCTTTAACTTAATAGGCAGTCCATATCTGTTGAGTGACTAAGTGATGGCATTAGGAATTGGGCAAACAGTTGTATCCAACAATAATAGCCAAGGTTAGGGAACAGGAATCTAGGAGTCAGAAAAACATGAAAATAAAGGGAAGGAACAGGTAAGGAAAAACTAAGATCCAAAATAAGAGACCAGGACTGAAAATCAAGGCAGAAGTTCTACAACTCCAGAGACGTTGGCCAATATCATAGATCAATATTATCAAATATTTGCACCAAACCAATAGCAACAAAAGTAGCTGCTCAAGTTATGCCTGTTTTGAGCCCAAACTATTGTGGAAACTGAAGCAGGGTAGGCTTTGTGTAAGATGAATGTGTTTAAGTATGCAGAAGTAGAAATTCAGAGGCAGAGACAGTCAATAATATAAACAACCAAAGCCATAAAACAGCTTACATGAAAGCTGCTCTTGGCTGTTACCCACTGAACATGATTGGAAAAAAATATGGCTCTTCCATAACCTCAGGCCTCTGCATTCTTTGTTCCCTACTGGTGTACTTTCAGACCAAGGGGCAGATTATAGAAAGGTCATGCTTTGCCGGAAGGAACAGGCCTCATCCTGGAAGACAGGCACAAGATTCCCTGCAATACATAAAAGGCAGGACCTGCATCTGCAACCCTCACCTTGGCGACTGGCACCTTTGCCTGAACAAGAACAAGGTGCAGCACTACCCATCCAATCATCCCGTAGCACTGCCCTTGACAGGCCAATGACAAGACCATTCTCCCATCTCACTTGTAGGTTTCCCTTTTCAGCACATTTCCCCCCTGCCAGGCATCATAATTAGTGCTTCTCTGTGGGCTTAATTGTACATTTGTTTTGATTAATTAGCCTCAGAGCTGACTTGGCAGTTATTGAGACATTGGAGAGGGTTCTGGATTTATTTAGTGTTCATACCTCTGCACCCTCTGGGACTCTTCTTTCTGTCAGCAGCAAAACTTCAAGTTCAAAACTGTCTGTTTTAGAAAATGTTTTATGTGTCCAATTAACTATTTGTCATGTTGAGGTAAGTACAAAGATAAAATCTCACCATCTTGTGTAAGGTGATGGATGTGTATCTTTTTATAGTACCATGGACCAGGAAACTCAAGAATCAATTTCTATACTCTGAAACAATGACAAAATTGTCTAATATGTTAATTTGTGCTGTGACACATTACTCATGATGTAACCTTCCAAATGGCTTCTCAAAATCTTAACTTCCCCCCACCCCTACCCTCTGCCCTGAAAGTTTTCTTAAATCTCTACCTCCAGGACTCAATGCAAAAACTGAAGCTGGTAATATTTAGCCTAGCAAAGTAGAGCCAAGCATCACAGTAAGGTTTATGGAGAATCCAATCAAGAGATTGAAGATCTGGGTTTGGATCGTATCCTTGTCACTAAGTAGCTGATTAGGACTCCCAGACATCCAACTATAAGAAGTTTAATGTAGGGAATGTATTAGCTCCTATAACTAAAACGTCCAGGGACTGGTCTTCAGACACAGCTAAATCAAGGAGATCCAACCATGTGGCCAAGGCTCTGTGTTTCTCCCTCCTGTGCTTGGACCTTCTTTACTTTTTTTTTTTTAATTTAAAATTATTTGTGTATTTATTTTTAAATTTTACTTTATGTTCTGGGATACATGTACAGAATGTGTAGGTTTTTTACATAAGTATACGTGTGCCATGGTGGTTTGCTGCACCTATCTTAAAATTCATAAAATTTACAGAAAACCATTAAGAAATTTTATTCTCTCTACTCTCCATTCTGCAGTTTGGACTACTGGGGCCTTGTGATTTAAATGACTTTTCTAAAGTCATGATTCTGCTAAGTGCCAGAATTGTAAGACAAATCTGTTTTCTACCTAATTCATAACTAGTTCTTTCCAGAACATAATGAGCTGAACATTCAGTTCATGCTTGAATCTAGAAAATTATACTATATTTTTACATTAATCTGGATATACCATAGGTGTTTTAAACTCCCGGAAGATAACTATATGTTCTACTCATAGCTAACATTTATTTTAGTGCTATTATGTTATAGACACTGTTCTAAGTATTTCACATCTATCAAATAATTTAACCCTCAGATTAGTCCTATGAGATCAGTTCTATTATTGCTATCTTCATTTAACAGATGAAAACATGGAGGTTCAGAGAGGCTAAGTAACCTGCCCAGGGTCTCAGCTTCAAAGTGAAGGTTGGTGCTTAAAAAGCCTATGCTCCTAACCTATGCATACTACCGTTTACATATAATAATGGCCCATGATGGCTGGAGTAATACATAAGTCCAATTCTATAGTAATCAGCAATAATAGAGAATTTTTCCAAACTTTAGAAAATGTTTTCAAATAATTGCCTATTGAATTACAAACTGGACAATTTCCTCTTAGGTTTTGCTGTTTTGTATTCTCACCAGTGCCGAGGTGAGATATGACTGAAGAATAAATTCTGTTTCATTACCTGTATATTTTAAATGTTAAAACATTGTTGAATAACTTGTATCCTGATTGTTCATAGTTTGTGCCGGCTGCTACTCCTGTGAGTAACTTCTCAATGTCAGTTGTCCCAGATCCAGATACTTAGCCACTCTTCTTCTTCTACCTTCTCTCATAGATATTTTCATTCATTTATTGAATTTTCAACCCATGTATAGGCCCATGGAAGCTAAATTTCTATCTCTAGCCATAGCCACTGAGTTCCAAATTTAAATATGCTTTTGTCTTTCGGCATATCCGCTTGAAATTCCAATAAATAGCTCAAATTTAACACAATTGAAGTAGAACACTGTAATCCCTTCTGCTCTCAAACACAGAGCAGGAAACAAAAATAAAAATAAAATCTGCTCTTAGCTCAGTATTTTCCATACCAGTTAATACCACCCCATCCACCTAGTTGTTCTCCCCCAGATTAGAAGTCATTCTTAACCATTTACTTCCCTTACACTCTGCATTAGTCCTTTAGCACATCCTCTCAGCTGTACTTTCAAACCATTCTCTCCTATCTATCACCTTACCTTCTTCTCCACTGCTATCATTCTAAGCCAAACCACGTACATCTCTTACCTGAATTACTTGGTAGCCTGTTATTTGGTCTCCTTGCTTCTACTCTCTCCCCTTTATAATAAATTTTCTATATAGCAGCTACAGGTGTATCTTTAAAAGGTAAATCTCAGTGTGTTGCTCACGTCCCTTTCCTGCTTAAAGACCTCCAATGGCTCCAGTGGCTTTTCTCTTCAGACAGTTTGTTCAAGACAGCTAGGGCAGACAGCCAATTGCAGCCCTAAGTACCTGGGTCTTGCAACTCTGCCTCATTAAAGTTAATGAGACTGCCTCTCTCTCTCTCTCTGAATACCCATAAACAAAATTTTACATTAGTTTCCAATTACCTCATTTGAACCATGGGCCCAACGCAGAACCAATCACTATAGCAAAGGGATAAAGTAATGTTAATCATGTGAGCCATGTAGACTGCAACTTATACCCCTTTCTATGGTAAGAAACAAGGAGGAGAAGAGATCAAAACACAGTGACAGACTTATCATAACATTTTGGAAATGTCATCCAAAAAATGAAAGATCAGGTGCTATTACCAGATGCAAAGGACAGAAAGGCTAAACAAACAAGAACACCAGAAATTTGCTACTTAATTATTTAAACCAATCACTTATTCAATCTGAAAAATAAGCGTAAGAATATCACTATTGACTTTACATGGAAGTACAAAGACAAAGCACAAAAAGTGCTTCCAAAAAAGGCCTTTGGGGAGAAACTTGTTAGATACTTTACAAAATAAATTACATTGCTTGTACATTGCTATTGAAAGTATAAATTTGCATGATGACTTAGGAAAACAATTTGGCATTGTCTTGTAAAGCTATATATTATAAACTCTAAAGCCTGGGAATTTCTTTCCCAAGTGGCTGAGACAGGGGTGATCATCAAACATTTTATCTGCTCCCCTACAGTTCTTACTTCACTTGAGTTAGGTTTGACCACTGGGCTACTTCAGGTAAAGGAAATGTGGATAGAAGTTGTATTAATCAGTGTTTTCCAGAGAAACAGCCAATAAGATATGTGTGTGTGTGTGTGTGTGTGTGTGTGTTTGTGTGTGTGTGTGTGTGTGTGTGTCTTCCTAGATATTATATTAGTCCACATGATTATGGGGGCTACATCATACAATCTGCCCTCTGCAAGCTGGAGATCCAGGAAAGCCAGTAGTATAATTCAAAGATAGCAGGAGAGCTACTGGTATAGATTTTAGTCCAGATCTGAAGGCCTGAGAACTGGGAGCACTGAAGGCAGAAGATCAATGTCCCAGCTGTAGCAGTCAGACAGAGTTAATTCAGTCTTCCTCCACCTTTTGTTCTACTCAAGCCTTCAACAGATTGGAGGATGTCCACACACACTGAGGAGAGCCACCTGCTTAACTCAGTCTGCCAATGCAAATGCTAATCTCTTCTGAAGAAAACAACTTCACAGGCACACCCAGAAGGAATGTTTAGTCAGACATCTGGGCATCGCATCACCCAATCCAGTTAAGACATAAAACTAACCATTACAAAAGTCATCTGTCACTCTCAGATGAAGCACTGAAAGGCCCTCTGCCGTTCTATCACATCCCTCTTCCCCTGCCAAGGAGCCAAAGGAGGTCTCACATTCCTGAAGACACAGCTACATGATAGCACAGTCTCTGTCAGCCTTCGTCCCTGGAAGTCCCCCACCAAGAAATAAGCCTTTATTGTGTTAAGCCATATATGTATAGGAGTTAATTTGTTATCACAGCATAATGGTTTATATGTCTGATACAATCCTCAAGAGAACTTCTGCACATGTGCAAGATGACCACAGTAACACTGTTAGTAATGGTAAAAATGCTCAAGCAACCCAAATGCTCATTGACGAACACAAAGAATAAAAAAGAATCATGATGTATTTCTGCAATGAAATACTGTGTAGTGGCAAAATATATTACTATAAGCAACACTACATATGAATCTTAACATAATGTCAAGTAAAAAAGTCAGTCACAGGAGACTATATATAGTTTGATGCCCTTATCAAAGGTTTAACAATAAGCAAGGAAAATATATTATTTAGGCATACAGATAGCAAAAATTAGGATTAATCCAATTTTATATAACTGAGGTCCAAATAAAGAGATACGTATTAATAATAATAACAATAGTAATACTAGTGATAGCAATTGCAAGTTTAGAAATACTGAAACACTTTAGGCAAAGAGAATAGAACTGGAACTGGTAAAAAGAACTTAAACTGTTAATATCACAAACTCAAAAATATAGGTTTAGTTTATTTTTATTTACTCTGTCATTTTGCATGTAGCATCCTTTCCAGCTTCCAGCTTGCATCTTCAGTAAATGTGTATAAACATCATAGAATGGTGTTTGGTTTGGTTTGGTTTGGTTCGATTTTAGGAGGATGGAGATGACATCTAAAGAATGCTATTGAAAAGACAGTCTCAACAAGGAAACTAATTCCAGTTGCTTTCAGTTTTCAAATTTCTGTGAAGAAGGAGCAGTCATTAGCAAAACTGTGAAGTCATTGAACTGTGTTTTTGGCTAACAAATCTCCTAAGTTTGAGCCCTTGTTCCCTTATTCCCTTTAAGCTACCTTTATCTTCATATTCTCTCCAGTCTCTTCCCTGCTGAAACATGGTTTCAACAACAAACCTGACCTCTTTCTCTGTAATGTATTCCTCTTTTCTCCACTTTCTAAAAACTATCTCAGGGCAGTCTCAACGACAAATATGGCTTTGACAGCCACTATAAGCTAATAACCCCCCAAATTTACACATTTCTCTCCTGAGCAACAGAATGGTAATGATAACTTCTCATTTGTCATCTCCACTTGGGTGTCTGACAGACACCTTCAGTACAAAACACACAATAGTAACTTCTTAACTTCCCCTCAAAATTTGTTCTTTCTCCTACTTCCCCTTCTCCTTTTTTAAATCCCATACTTTATTTCAAAACCTCTTTTTGTTTAATGCTATCACTAGTTACCCAGTTTCCAGAACCATGGATCTGGAGTTCATCCTAGACAATTTCCTGTCTTTAGATGCCTGAAAGAGTGTTTCCTATGGGATTCCAACAGCAGTGATCAGGGCAAAAATGAATGGCTAGAGAGGAAGACATAAAGACTGTTTTTGAAGACACATGAGTTACTTCCAGGAATCCCCATAAGTAACTGAGGGGGTTATTAAAGAAGGCAGGATATGTGATATCAAGAACAACTACAAACCAGAGGAATTTAAGTTACTCAATTTTACCCAAAAACTAATAAAACCTAGACATTTCCAAATTACATAGTTTGGATGTCTGTTTCTTCCACTATATTGTAAATCTCTGGAGATCGTGAGCTATATTTCATTAATCTTTGATTTCTCAGTGCCTATCATGGTACCCAACATACTGTAGATACTTAATACTATTTAATATTTAAATGAATAAATTCATATAAAAGATAACTTTTCCGGAGCCATTTACTTTTTTTATGATTGAGGAAATTCAGTGGCAGAGTGAGCCTTCCTCTGAGTCCCTGATCAGCGAAGGAGTCATTGCTCCATTATCTTTCTCATCAGGCCATTCCCATTGAGAGATGCGCTTCAGGCCAGGGCTTCTGGATTGCTTGTCAGCAAGTCATCTTACTCTGCACATAACATGTTTTCTAGCTCCACATAAGTAAACAAACAGCAGAAGAAAAAAGGGGAGAGTCAAAAGATCAGGAACAAATAGATTGCTATCTTTTGGAAACACTTGCCTCAAAGGATTTGGCAGCACTACTCATAATAATTTTGTCTATGTTTTTTTGAAGCATCAACAAATAATATCATTTAAAAAAAGCACAATGTTTTCAAAGGATGCAAACGAGAGGAAATAAAAAGGATATTATTTCCACTAGCATCAATACATACCAATCTGGTTAAACTTTGTGGAAGTCACGATAAAGGGATGCCTGGCTATAGTCACAGGAGCACTATACACTGTATATTTGTTATAAGCGATCCACTGTAAACTGACTATTTTCTTCCTCATGTAATTTTAGTGTTGTTTTTTAGAGCATGTTTATTTATTTACCTTTTGGGATTCCACATTTTTGTCAGGTCATTTCCCTTATGGTATAAGAACTAATGTGAGATGTTCATGATGGTGACATTTGTAAAGCCATCCAATGGAATATAATGAGGCCTGCAGTCAATCAATAAATAATGTTGACCTGAAAAGAATAGTGAAAACACAACTTATACCCACAAGTAACTACTGACTATGAACTGTTCTGCAAAATATCATGAAAAGAACACTGTGTCCATGACAACCCAGCAGGTGAGCTCTGATGGTGTTCTGTTGGGTTTTTTTTTGTTTTTTTTTTTGCTTTTTCCATCTTGGGAGGGGGGTGAGTGTGCATTCACATGCTTAACAGAGTTAATAATAACTTCTAAATCTGGCATTTCCTGATAATACTACAAGCTTTTAAAACAGCTTTCATCCAAGGACCTTTAAAAGGCCTAAAATCAAGCTAGTACTATCAGCATTTGAAAGATAAAGAAGCCCCAAAAGATTATGCAATTTGCCCAAGGTCAGTCTGAAAAACTTGCTAAAGCAAAAATACAATTCAAGGTAACCAACTCCCAGTCTGTTGTTCTAATTATTAGACAATCCTCTCTTGTGTCAGGCTTGAAGCTTTGCCTTAGATTCTGAAAACGTTCAATGGATCGCTGAAGTCCAGGGAATGTTCCCAAAGGGCAGCTGTGGTTAATTGAACATCTTGCAACTTGCAGAAATCTGTTATTACTCTCATTAATTAGTTTAAAGCATTTCTAACAAAACAAATTCTCAAAACACATGAAAATTAAGGATTTCCCCTTTGTTTTATAATCTCACAAATGAAGATGTTAGAAATAAGTTATAATTGAAATGAATCTATCACATTTTCACTTATAACTCAATAAAAAATAAAGCCTTAATTGTACTATGTTAGGGTAGCTATAAAAATGTTGGATGTATAAAGCCCTTCCACAAACACTGTCTTTGTGGTGCAGAGCGCATTCTAAATTAAGTAGCATAAAAACAATAGGAATTCATTGTCTAAAACAGCAAAGCACTATAAGATGCTAAGCAATAATGTCTAAGACACTGTCTCTTTCATCTTTGTGCTGCTATACTCGCTCTTCTTATAACCCAGACCACTTTTCCTCTCTCATCTCTCCTTCTTCAACATGTTAACTACCAAAACACAACTCAGATACCGCCCTTGCCTGAATCCTTGCCAGCCTGCTCTTCCCATCCATATTCTGTCCCATCTCCTCAGGCTGGAACCTAGCCCTCCTCTGTACTTCTATATTCTCCTGACTTATCCATCAACCACCTATCTTCCTGTGTTTAAATGATCTCCTTGTACATTAGACTGAGCTCCAAGAAAGCTGGGAAAGTGTTTATTTTATAAAGGTGTGAAAAGATTATTCATAATTTCCTGTGATCCAGCTCAACGCATTTAAGAGTTTAGAAAAATTGTCCCAAACTGGAAAAATAGATTTCCCTACTTTGGCTCCAACATGTAAAAAACTAAGAAGTTGCCTGATATGGTTGGGCTTTGTGCACCCACCCAAATTGCATCTTGAATTGCAGTCCCCAGGTGTTGAGATCAGAACCTGGTGAAAGGTGATTGCATCATGGGAGCGGTTTCCCTAGTTCTGTTCTCATGATAATGAGTGACTTCTCATGAGATCTGATGGTTTTATCAGTGTTTGGCAGTTCCTCCGCTGCTCTTCTCTCTCCCTCCTGCCACCATGTAAGACATGCCTTGCTTCCCCTTCACCTACCGCCATGACTGTAAATTTCCTGAGGCCTCCTTAGCCATGCAAAACTGTGAGTCAATTAAACCTCTTTCCTTTATAAATTACCCAGTCTCGGGTACTATCTTTACAGCAGTGTGAAAAGGGACTAATACATTGTCATTCTCATCCTAACAACAAGAAGAAAGCTGAATAAAGTGAAAATCAGTGACTTTCCTTTGACCCCTCAGAGAACTGAAGTTGTGGGGAAAACAACCATCCCAAAATGTGGGGAAACAAATGAATCCAGAGAATCATGTCTAAGATCTGCTTACCTGGAGCAGAAGCTTCTGGAGCTATAAACTAATAGGAATAGTTAAATGACAATTTTGATGAATTTCTAGAGGCTGTGTATGGACCGGTGTGAAAATGAGAAACTCCCAGAAGCCTCAGACTTAGGGGCCCCCACACTTTCATGGGTTTTATGTCTGGCAACTCTGCCAGGTTCTCATGGTGAAAAGCCAAAGCCAAGAAAGATTTTGTGGCTCTGACAGGTGCAAGAGACAAGTAACCAGTATGAAATGCCCAGAGCATTTTCCATTATAAAGCCCACTTTCCAGAAAAAGACTTTACCAGAGCCTTATCCCACATGAAGATGGGTACTTCCCTGATTCCCGTTCTCTCTAGCCTTCTAGTCTCACACGAAGGGTAAAAATAAAACTAAGAAACACTTGTGAAGATTATACTCCAGGCCTACTAAAGGACTGAAATTTAATCATAAGATTATAGAGTCCTTCTCCTGCCCACACCTTTACCATCACACCAACAAGGCTCTGGGGTAATAGGAATGGACTGCAGTTGAAAGATCTGCAAAATGCATACTCTATCCAAGGAAGAATTTAGGGAGATCAAGGACAACAGAAAGAGAAAAACAACGATGTTCAAAAGAATGTGAAGCCTATGACACCTACAGCTATAGTAAACATTAAACACAGATCAACTCCTACTCAGATTAATATGAATATTCACCCTAAAGACTTATTTATCTCAGTCCCTATTACTCAATACATGTTTGACTTTCAAAAAAAAGGTTACAAGCTGCCAAAATGCAGGAAAAACACAATCTGAAAAGATAAAACAAGCATTAGAACCAGAATCAGATATGACACAGATTTTTGAATTATCAGACAGGGACTTATAATAACTATAATTGATATATTAAAAACTCCAATGAAAAACAGTGGAAAATATGCAAAAACAACTAGGTATTATAAGCAAAGATTATGGAAACTCTAAGAAAATATCAAAAGAAAATCTAAAAAGCAAAAACATTAACAAATGAAGGCTGTCTTTGATGAGGTCACCAGCAGACTGAACACAGCCAAAGAAAGATTCAATGAGCTTGAAGGTAGGTCAATAAAAAACTTCCCCAACTGAAATTAAAAGACAAAAAATAAATTTTTACAGAAAAACATCCAAGAACTGTAAGATAATTTCAAATGATATAAATACATGTAAATAGAATCCTAGGAGAGGAAAAAGAGAATAGAGCAAATAAAGAAAAGAAAGGTTTGAAGTAATAATGGCTAAGAATTTTCTAAAATTAGTGACAGACACTGTTTTGGTGTCTTTGTTTTACTATAAAAGAATACCTAAGGTATGTGCAGAGATCACATGGTGACACAGAAAGTAAGAGAGAGAGGGAAGGGAGATGCCAGCCGTTTTTCAAACAACTAACTCTCATGGAAATGAACATGAGTGAGTACTCACTCAACTGCCCCACTGCAAGCCCAGGGAGGGCATTAATTTATTCATAAGGGCTCCAACTCCATGACCCAAACACCTCCTATTAGGCCTCACCACTGGGGATCAAATTTTAACGTGAGGTTTTGAGTAGTCAAATATTCTGCATTCTACTCCTGGCCCCTCAATACTCATGTTCTTCTCATATTGTAAAATATAATCATCTCTTCCCAATAGTCCCAACTCTTAACTGCTTGTAGCATTAACTTAAAAGTCCAAAGTTTCATTTGAGTCCAAGGCAGGTTTCTTACAGCTGTGAGTCTGTAAAAGGGTCAAATATTCCAACCATAACAGACACCAAACCACACATCAAGGAAGCTTAGAGAACACCAAGCAGGATAAATATAAAAAAAAACGTACACTCCGGAAATTCAAACTACAGAAAACAAAAGACAAAGCCTTGAAAGAAGCCAGAGGGAAAAAAAATTCTTAACCTATAGAGGATCAAGAATAAGAATTATAATGAACTTCTCTTCAGAAACTATGCAAACAAAGGAGAATAAATTAAAATATTTAGTGTTGAAAACAGACAACCAAATGTAGTTTTAAAAAGGGATTTATTAACTTTTATTGAAGAGAAGATATTCTTTTTAATAGCTTTTTTGATATATATAATTGATATATAATATATACTGCATATCTAAAGTATATAACTTAATAAGTTTTGACATATCTACATACTTATGAAACCATTATTACAGCCAAGATAATGAATATATCCATCACCTCCCCTAAGTTTTCTTGAACCATTTTGTGATTCTTCCCTCCCAGCCCTCTTTGGGCAACACCTGATCTGTCACTGTGGATTAGTTTGCATTTTCTGTAATTTCATGTAAATAAATCATACACTATATTATTTTGCATTTCACTTCTTTCACTCAGCATAATTATTTTGAGAATTATTTGTTGTAGCATTATCAGTTGTTCATCCCTCTTTATTGCTGAGCATTAAAGAGGATTACTTTGTATCTATGTTCCACAATTTATTTATCCATTCACCTATTATTTGGCTATTTAAGTGGATAGCTCCCACTCTCCACCATAATAAAACCTCAGCACATCTAACTGAGAGCTCCCCCAGTCACCTTCATCAAGGCTGGAAACTTGGCCCACCAGCGGGTGTTACATCTACTTACCTGCCTTAGCTACAACCAGTGCCCTACTCAGGGATACCTTCCCTATTGCCCTGAAGCCTGAACCATCAACTCAGTAAATAAAATACTGGGGCAAAATTATTTTAAATAAATTAAATAAACTGTCCTCCACAAGAGAACAAGATAAGCTTCAAGAGATCCCCGCCATTCCAACCCCATAGAAGGCAATAAACCCACCCACACACCAAGAATATAACTACTACAACCAGCATTGGGGAGAGACAGCACACAAAGACTCTCTATAACTAAGGAACTTATACAGAGTCTTCAACCCTAAAAGCACCAAGATTAAAATTAGGATAAAATAAACATAAAAGTCAAATCCTTAAGAGGGAAAAATGAAAAATAAACCACAGTCTAATCAAAACTAAATTCAAGAACAATGTGAAGAAATAGTCTACCCAAATGAGAAGGAACCAGAGAAGTAATTCTGATAACATGACAAAACAGGGTTGCATAACACTGCCAAAATATCATACTAGCTCCCCAGCAATGGATCCAAACCTAGAATACTGAAATTGCCAGATAAAGAATTCAGAAAGATGATGATTAAGCTACTCAAGGAGATACCAGAGAAAGGTGAAAGCCAACTTAAAGAAATTAAAAATACAATCCAGGATATCAATCAAAAAAATTCCATATAAACAGATGTCATAAGGAAAAAACAACAAGAACTTCGGGAAATGAAAGACACACTTAGGGAAATATAAAATGTGGTGGCAAAGTTTCAATAATAGACTAGAACAAGTAGAAGAAAGAATTTCATAGCAGGAAGACAAGGCTTTTTAATTAACCCAATAAGACAAAGAATAAAGATTTTTTTTAATGAACAAAGTCTCCACCAAATATGAGATCATGTAAAACAGCCAGACCTTAGAATCATTGGTGTTCCTGGGGAAGAAGAGAAATTTAAGTTTGGAAAAACTTATTTGAGGAAATAATCAAGAAAAACTTCCATAGCCTTGCTGGAGATCTAGACAACCAAACACAAGAATCTCAAAAAACTCCTGGGAAATTCATCACAAAAATATCATCACCAAGGCACATAGTCATTAGGTTACCTAAAGTCAAGAGGCCTCTCCCTCTCCCTCTTCCTCTCCCATCCCCCTCCCCCTCTCCCTCCCTCTGTTGCCGAGGCTGGACTGTGCTGCCGTGATCTCCACTTGCTGCAACCTCCCTGCCTCGGGCTCCCGTGATTCTCCTGCCTTGGCCTGCTGAGTGCCTGGGATTGCAGGCATGCACCGCCACACCTGACTGGTTTTTGAATTTTTGGTGGAGACGGGGTTTCGCCGTGTCGACCGGGCTGGTCTGCAGCTCCTGACCTCGAGTGATCTGCCTGCCTTGGCCTCCCGAGGTGCTGGGATTGCAGACGGAGTCTCGCTCACTCAATGCTCAATGTTGCCCAGGCTGGAGTGCAGTGGCATGATCTCCACTCGCTACAACCACCTCCCAGCCGCCTGCCTTGGCCTCCCAAAGTACTAAGATTACAGCCTCTGCCCGGCCGCCACCCCATCTAGGAAGTGAGGAGCATCTCTGCTTGGCCGCCCATCATCTGGAATGTGAGGAGCCCCTCTGCCCGGCTGCCCCGTCTGGGAAGTGAGGAGCGCCTCTGCCCGGCCACCACCCCATCTAGGAAGTGAGGAGCGTCTCTGCCTGGCCACCCATCATCTGGGATGTGAGGAGCGACTATGCCCGGCCACCCCGTCTGGGAGGTGACAAGAGTCTCTGCCTGGCCGCCCCGTCTAGGAAGTGAGGAGCACCTCTGCCCAGCTGCCCCATCTGGTAAGTGAGGAGCACCTCTACCTGGCCACCCCGTCTAGGAGGTGAGCAGAGCCTCTGCCCGGCCGCCCCGTCTGGGATGTGAGGAGTGCCTCTGCCCGGCCACCACCCCATCTGGGAAGTGGGGAGCGCCTCTGCCCGGCCGCCCCATCTGGAAGGTGAGGAGTGCCTCTGCCCAGCAGCCACCCCATCTGGGAGGTGAGGAGCACCTCTGCCTGGCCGCCCCATCTGGGAACTGAGGAGCGCCTCTGCCCGGCCACCCCGTCTGAGAAGTGAGGAGCGCCTCTGCCCGGCAGCTGCCAAGTCTGGGAAGTGAGGAGCGTCTCTGCCTGGCAGCCACCCAGTCTGGGAAGTGAGGAGCGTCTCTGCCCAGCCGCCCATTGTCTGGGATGTGAGGAGCGCCTCTGCCCGGCCACCCTTCATCTGGGAGGTGAGGAGCGCCTCTGCCCGGCTGCCGCATCTGGGAAGTGAGGAGCACCTCTGCCCGGCTGCCCCATCTGGGAAGTGAGGAGCGCCTCTGCCCGGCCGCCCCGTCTGGGAAGTGAGGAGAGCCTCTGCCCGGCCGCCCTGTCTGGGAAGTGAGGAGCGCCTCTGCCTGGCCGCCCCGTCTGGGAAGTGGGGAGAGCCTCCACCTGGCCACCCCATCTGGGAGGTGAGGAGCACCTCCGCCCGGCCGCCCATTGTCTGGGATGTGAGAAGCGCCTCTGCCCAGCCGCCCCGTCTGGGAGGTGAGGAGCACCTCTGCCCGGCTGCCCCTTCTGGGAGGTGAGGAGCATCTCTGCCCAGCCGCCCCGTCTGGGAAGTGAGGAGCACCTCTGCCTGGCCGCCCTGTCTGGGAAGTGAGGAACGCCTCTGCCCAGCCACCCCGTCTGGGATGTGAGGAGTGCCTCTGCCCGGCCGCCACCCCATCTGGGAAGTGAGGAGCACCTCTGCCTGGCCGCTGTGCAATCTTCCAAATGTGAAGTGACAGCCTTTCTGCAGGTGTACCCAACAGCTCCGAAGAGAAAGCGACCATCGAGAATGGGCCATGATGACAATGGCGGTTTTGTCGAAAAGAAAAGGGGGAATGTGGGGAAAAGACAGAGAGATCAGATTGTTACTGTGTCTGGGTAGAAAGAAGTAAACATAGGAGACTCCATTTTGTTCTGTACTACGAAAAATTTTTCTGCCTTGGGATGCTGTTAATCTATAACCTTACCCCCAAGCCCGTGCTCTCTGAAACATGTGCTGTGTCAACTCAGGGTTAAATGGATTAAGGGCGGTGCAAGATGTGCTTTGTTAAACAGATGCTTGAAGGCAGCATGCTCGTTAAGAGTCATCACCACTCCCTAATCTCAAGTACCCAGGGACACAAACACTGCGGAAGGCCGCAGGGACCTCTGCCTAGGAAAACCAGAGACCTTTGTTCATGTGTTTATCTGCTGACCTTCTCTCCACTGTTATCCTATGTCCCTGCCACAACCCCCTCTCCAAGAAACACCCAAGAATGATCAATAAATACTAAAAAAATAAAAATAAAAAAAATAAAGTCAAGAGGAAAGAAACACTCTTAACAGATGTGAGACAAAATCATCAGGTAACGTATAAAGGAAAACCTATCAGACTAACAGCAGATTTCTCAGCAGAAACCCTACAAGCTAGAAGGGATTGGGGTGCTATCTTTAGCCTCCTTAAACAAAATAATTGTCAGCCAAGAATTTTGCATTCAGCAAAACTAAGTTTCATAAATGAAGGAAAGATAGTCTTTTTCAGACAAAAAAGTGCTGAGAGAGTTTGCCACTACCAAGCCAACACTACAAGAAATGCTAAAAGGAGCTCTGAATCTTGAAACAAAACTCAATATACACAAAAATAAAACCTCCTTAAAGCATAAATCTCATGGGGCCTATAAAACTACAACACAATGAAAAAAACAAGGTATTTAGGCAACAACTAACATGATGAGTAGAACAATACCTCACATATTACTACCAACATTGAATCTAAATGCCCTAAACACTCCACTTAAAAGATACAGAATGGAAGAATGGATAGAAAGCCACCAACCAAGTATCTGCTGTCTTCAAAAGACTCACTTAACACATAAAGATTGACATAAGCTTAAAGTAAAGGTGTGGAAAAAGATATTCCATTCAAATGGACACCAAAAGTGAGCAGGAATAACTAGTCTTACGTCAGACAAAACAAACTTTAAAGCAACAACAGTTAAAAAAGACAAAGAAGGACATTACATAATGATAAAAGAATTAGTCCAACAGGAAGATATTATAGTCCTAAATATATATGCACCTAACACTAGAGTTCCCAATTTCATAAAACAATTACTACTAGACTTAAGAAATGAGACAGCAACACAATAATAATGCGGGGACTTCAATACTCTACAGACAGCACTAGATAGATCATCAAGACAGAAAGTTAACAAAGAAACAATGGATTTAACAGATATTTACAGAACATTCTTCCCAACAATTGCAGAATATACATTCTCCTCATCACCACATGGAACACTCTCCCACACAGACCATATGGTAAGCCACAAAACAAGTCTCAATAAATTTAAGAAAATCAAAATTATATAAGGTATCTTCTAAAATCACAGTGGAATAAAACTGGAAATCAACACCAAAAGGAACCGTCAAACCTATAGAAATACATGGAAATTAAATGATCTGCTTTTGAATGATCTTTGGGTTAACAATGAAATCAAGATGGAAGTTTTAAAAAATTTTGAAATGAATAATAATAGTGACACAATTTATCAAAACCTTTGGAATACAGCAAAAGCAGTGCTAAGAGAAGAGTTCATACCATTAAATGCCTACATCAAAAACCCTGAAGGAGCACAAATAGACATAGACAACCTAAGGTAACACCTCAAGGAACAGAGAAACAAGAAAAAACTAAACCCAAACCCAGCAGAAGAGAGAGAGAAAAAAAAAGAAGATCAGGGCAGAACAAAATAAAATTGAAACAAACAAACAAAAAACCAAAAGATAAATAAAAGAAAAAGCTGGTTCTTTGAAAAGATAAACAAAATTCATTGACCATTAGTGAGATTAACCAAGAAAAGAAGAGAGAAAATCCAAATAAGCTCAATTAGAAATGAAACAGGAAATATTACTTTCATGCACGTCCGTGTGAAGAGATCACCAAACAGGCTTTGTGTGAGCAACATGGCTGTTTATTTCACCTGGGTGCAGGCGGGCTGAGTCTGAAAAGAGAGTCAGCAAAGGGAGATGGGGTGGGGCCGTTTTATAGGATTTGGGAAGGTAATGGAAAATTACAGTCAAAGGGGGTTGTTCACTGGTGGGCATGGGCGGGGGTCACAAGGTGCTCAGTGGGGGAGCTTCTGAGCCAGGACAAGGAAATTCGCAGGGTTAATCACTCAGTTAAGGTGGGGCAGGAACAAATCACAATGGTGGAATGTCATCAGTTAAGGCAGGGCAGGGCCTTTTCACTTCTTTTGTGATTCTTCAGTTACTTCAGGCCATCTGGGCATATATGTGCAAGTCACAGGGGATGCGATGGCTTGGCTTGGGCTCAGAGGCGTGACAATTACAACCAACACCACAGAAATACAAAAGATCATTCAAGGTTACTATGAACACCTTTATGCACACAAACTAGAAAATTTAGAGGACAGGGATAAATTCCTGAAAATATACAACTCAGCTAGATTAAGTCAGGAAGAAATGGAAACTCTAAGCAGACCAATAACAAGCAGCGAGATTGAATTACTAGTAAATATAAAATGCCAACAACAAAAAAAAGTCCAGGACCACATGAATTCACAGCTGAATTCTATTAGACATTCAAAGAAGAATTTGTACCAATCCTACTGAAACTACTCCAAAAGATATAGAGAGTATCCTCCCTAAATCATTGTATGAAGCCAGTATCACCCTAATACCAAAACCAGGAAAGGATATTAACAAAAAAGGAAAGCCATAGACCAATATCCCTGATGAACACAGATGCAAAAATTCTCAACAAAATACTAGCTAACTGAATCCAACAGCATATCAAAACAATAATACAGCATGATCAAGTGGGTTTCATACCAGGGATGCAGGGATGGTTTAACATACGCAAGTCAATAAATGTGATTCACTACATAAACAAAATTAAAAACAAAAATCACATGATCATCTCAATAGATGCAGAAAAAGCATTTGACAAAATCCAGCATCCCTTTATGATGAAAACCCTCCCCAAAATTGTCACAGAAGGGACATACCTCAAAGTAATAAAAGCCATCTATGACCAACCCAAAGCCACCATCATACCAAATGGATGGAAGTTGAAAGCATTCCCCCTGAGAACTGAAACAAGACAAGGATGCCCACTTTTTTTTTTTTTGAGACGGAGTTTCGCTCTGTCTCCCAGGCTGGAGTGCAGTGTCGCGGTCTTCGCTCACTGCAAGCTCCGCCTCCTGGGTTCACGCCATTCTCCTGCCTCAGCCTCCTGAGTAGCTGGGACTACAGGTGCCTGCCACCTCGCCCAGCTAATTTTTTGTATTTTTAGTGGAGACGGGGTTTCACCGTGTTAGCCAGGATGGTCTCCATCTCCTGACCTTGTGATCTGCCCACCTCGGCCTCCCTAAGAGCTGGGATTACAGGCGTGAGCCACCGTGCCTGGCGGATGCCCACTTTCACCACTTCTCTTCCACATAGTCCTGGAAGTCCTAGCCAGAGCAATCAGACAAGAGAAAGAAAAGGAAAAGAAAGAAAAAGGAAGGGGAGGGGGAGGGGAGGGGGGAAGGAGGGGGAGGGGAGGGGAGGGGAGGGGAGGGGAGGGGAGGGAAGGGAAGGGAAGGGAAGGGAAGGGAAGGGAAGGGAAGGGAAGGGAAGGGAAAGGAAGGGAAAGGAAGGGAAGAGAAAAAGAGAAGGGAAGGGAAAAAGAGAAGAGAAGAAAAGAAAAAAGAAAAGCATCAAAATTGGAAAACAAGAAGTCAAACTGTTGCTGTTCACTGGTGATACAATTGTATACAAACAAAACCCTAAAGACTCATCCAAAAAGCTCTGGACCTGATGAATGAATTCATTAAAGTCTCACGACTTTACTGACTTCAGAATTGTATATTGGCTTATAGGTTTGAAGCTAAATGGGAAAGGAGAAAAAAAAAGTCTCACGAATTTACTGAATTCATTTATCACTAATGAATAGATCACTGATACATGCTGGGCATGGGCCCAGCATGCGGCTGTCTCTGTCTTCAATTGTTGTTGATGCCAGTTTCTGCTATTATTACTCCCTCAGCTCAGGCCTCTAAGGGCCAGCCTCTACGTTTCCTTTTGTTTTTCTCTCCCTGGCCCTTCCCTTCATTTCTCAAAGTAAAAAACAGGCTTCCTTTGGGAGCAAGATTTGCAGTGGCATGCTGGGCCCAGGAAGCCTCAGGGAAAATGAGGAACCTGTTAGCAAATGTGTGGGAAAGCACTGGGGAAATCCTTACAGTGTGGGAGGTTTGAATAAAGGGTGAGATTAGTTGAGGGAGAATAGAAAAGACAATTTATTTATTTATTTATTTTTATTATTATACTTTAAGTTTTAGGGTACAAGTGCACAACGTGCAGGTTTGTTACATATGTATACATGTGCCATGTTGGTGTGCTGCACCCATTAATTCGTCATTTAGCATTAGGTATATCTCCTAATGCTATCCTTCCCCCCTCCCCCCACCCCACGACAGGCCCCTGTGTGTGATGTTCCCCTTCCTGTGTCCAAGTGTTCTCATTGTTCACTTCCCACCTATGAGTGAGAACATGCAGTGTTTGGTTTTTTGTCCTTACGATAGTTTGCTGAGAATGATGGTTTCCAGCTTCATCCATGTCCCTACAAAGGACATGAACTCATCAATTTTTATGGCTGCATAGAGGGAAACACAGTTGTGTTCAAATCTTGGCGCTGCCACATACTAGCTAAATGGCCTGTGGCAAGTAATGTAGCCTCTCTGTTCCTTGGATTCCTCATGTGTAAAATGGGCATAGTAGTCATACTACCTAATTGGGTTGTTCTGAGGAGGATGTGAGTTAATACACATAAAACTCTTAGAATAATATTGAAAAAATGAAAGATTATTGTTGACGTAGACTGGTAAGGACTCACCATAACATGTATTGATGGAAATATATTCATGGTAATATTCAGTGAAGATGTCACAAAATAATGTGTATCTTTTAGCACATTTTGTCAATATGTATAAATATACAAAGAGAAATCATAGAAAAATATACTTCAATATCTCTGGATTAGGAGATTACAGGTCTTTTTATCTATTCCTTTTCATATTTCTATCCCTATGGAATTTTCTAGAGTAAACTTTTATAATAAAGAAGTAAATATATTTTGATATGTAATGAAGGAACAGCATGAAATTTTTAGAGTTGATTGATAGAAATCAGATTCTCCAATATGTCCCAAGAAATTAATTTTAACTTTAAAAGGCCCTAAGAATTCACAAGAGTCTCAATTTTTTGTTTATTAGTATGATGTTTAAAGTTATAGTGCCTGCTGTTATCCAGCTTTCCTTTTTAAAATGCGTTTATCCTTGTCAGCAAAGGACACTGTGCTAGATTTTCTCCCAACAAGTAGGCAGGAAATGGACAGGCCTTTAAGAACAGTCACTTAGGCAGGGTGTGGTGGCTCCCACCTGTAATCCCAGCACTTTGGGAGGCCGAGGCAGGCGGATCACCTGAGGTCAGGAGTTCAAGACCAGACTGACCAACATGGAGAAATCCCATCTCTACTAAAAATACTAAATTAGCTGGGCATGGTGGTGCATACCTGTAACCCCAGCTACTCAGGAGGCTGAGGCAGGAGAATCACTTGAACCTGGGAGGTGGAGGTTGCAATGAGGCAAGATCGTGCCATTGCACTCCAGCCTGGGCAACAAGAGCTAAACTCTGTTTTAAAAAAAAAAAAAAGAAGAAGAAGAAGAACAGTCACTTAACGGCACAAAAGCAGCTATATGTTACCCTCACCTTGAAAAACTGAGTAACCCTGACAACTTATTAATAATATTATCCAAAATAAAAAAGTACTATATATTATATTATATTATAATGTGTAGGGAGTAAATATATATAAATGTAGGGAGTTAATATATATATTAATATAAATATACTCTCCTTACATTTATATATATATATATATATATATATATATATATATATATATATATATATATATATATAAACTCCCTTTATTTTTACAACAATCTTATAAGGAGGGTATTACTATTAGCCAAATTTTATAGTGGGGCCACAGAGGTTAAATAACTTGCCCCAAATCAAACAACCAGGAAAGGAATAAACCAAGATTCAAACCAAAGCCTGGACATGCAGACAGGCACTCAGACTAGCTTTTAGCTCTAGGAACACAGAAGCACACATTCACACAATACAATACAGAAATGGAAAGTGCCTTAGTCCATTTGGGCTGCTGTAACAAAATACCATAGACTGGGTAGCTTGGAAACAATAGAAATTTATTTCTCACAGTTCCAGAAGTGGAGAAATCCAAGATAAAGACACAGGTAGAGTTGGTGTGTGGTGAGGACTCACTTTCTGGTTCACAGACAGTGCCATCTTGCTGTGCCCTCAAATGATGGGAGAGGCAAACCAGCTCTCTGAGGCTCTTTTATAAGGGCACTAGTTCCATTTATTAGGGCTCCACCCTCATGACTGAATCACATCCCAAAAGACTCCCTGCCCCCATCTCCTAATGCCATCACATTGGTAACTAGGTTTCAACATACAAATTTTGGGGGGACATAAACATTTGGACAGTAGCAGAAAGAATCCTCAGCATACATTTTATAATTGTCCCAAAGCTTTTCCCAGCACTGACCCCACTGACTTTAGAATTGTATATTGGCTTACAGTTTTAAAGCTAAATGGGAAAGGAGAAAATACCACCACTAAAAACATTGAAACATAAGGACATCACACACCTTTCTATGCATAACATCTAAAAACAGTATACTGTAAGTCTGGGAACTAAGCAGTACAGTAGTTGTGTTTTTTTTTTCTTGTCGTTATAGAATGTAAATGTCGTTCATTCATTTGTTGCTTTTTTCCACAAATATTCCCACATGCCTGTTCTATTGCAGGCACTGTGTGGTAGGCACTGATGGTGGTCTCAACAGTTCACTTAGGAGCACTTTATTTTTTATTTCGAGCTTCTCAGATCATCACTCACTGGAATTCAGAGTTAACAGAAAGGAAAATATACCTGCCTCCAAGCACATTCACACTCCTGCATGGCCATAGACCACAAGTTTCTCATGTTCCCTAAAAAAGGCACAAATTTTTTATTCTCCTTTAGCAACATTCAATTTTATATATATATACACACATATATATGAATTATATGTATACATATATGAATTATAGTGAAAGCAAATAAATATCTATACAAATAAATGCAAATGCAATTGAAAGACATATATACCCTGTAGGTATCTTTGTAACTGAGGATCCATTTATGCCTAATGATTTTTTTAAAAAAAGGCTATGAAAATGACCATCCTCTGTAAATGGTGGCTAAATCTAAGTCTGTACCCATTGAGGACACTTTGTTTTGATGGTGATGACGTCTTCCTCCTTCCTCCACTGCAGGGAGAACTCTTGATGAGTGTGCCTGCATCCTTTATTATGGGAGGCATGCTTTGTAATGGAGTCATTATCTTGCTGAGGACTGAGTAAGAGAAAGTGTTCCTTCTTCTCTG
The DNA here is from genome assembly GCF_000001405.40 of Homo sapiens. Taxonomy (NCBI): domain Eukaryota; kingdom Metazoa; phylum Chordata; class Mammalia; order Primates; family Hominidae; genus Homo; species Homo sapiens. The sequence goes on from NC_000004.12 coordinate 67,389,599, forward strand.
TATTAAAGTGCCTGCTCCTTGACTCAGTTATTAAAATGAGGACGCAAATAGCTCCTTGTTCTAATTTTCCTTATCAGCCTCCACAGGGCCCATTTCAGGCTGTCTGTGAAGTGTTAGAATGCAATTGTGTGCTTGAATAAAATGGAGAAACTGAATTAGAGCCTCTTACGACCATTATATTGTCTTATTTAGTGACACTGTTTGCCTCACCATTATGAAGCAATGAGCTAAGTGTTCTTCCGGAGTAATAATAATAATATCCACATTTAACCAGCACTTTACACTTGCAAAGCACTTTCACATACTTTATCTCTTGTGAACCCTGCAACAATGCGAAGCAGATCAGGTGGGTGTCATGATCACCAATTTACAAAGAGGGGGAATGAATTGTGGTTAAGTTATAGGTTTAAAACTTCAAAGGAGGACATGAAAGCCAATGAACCTGGTATTGGAGAAGATGAAGGAATTTGAGAAATGGCAGGTGCAGGAAAGGTTCTCTGACCTTTCTCTGAAGGAGGTCATAAGACACACATCTGAGCGATGCCCTCTCTATACCTGGAGGAAAGGAGCATCCTTATCACAGAAGACAGATTGTCAGGTGAGAGGAATCTGAACCCACAGGCCTTGCTAGGTTTTCCTAGTTTCCCCTTTATAGCTCATACCCTTTTCTCCTATCATATTTCTCCACTAATTTCCACACTTCATCAAACCTAGTATAAAAATGCTCAGGTTTAACCACTTCTTCAGGTCTTCATTTCCTTATGAAGGCTCCCATGTCATGTAAAATGTATATTAAATAAATTGTATGTTTTTATCTTGTTAATCTTTTGTCATGAAATCTCAGCCAATGAACCTAAGATGGGTAGAGGGAAAAGATATGTTTGCTCACCTACAACCACCTGACTAATTTCACTGATCAATTTGTATTTTGGGTAAGTATAAGGTTTTCTTCCAGCAGAATGCACATATATGACTTTCAGACATTTTATTTGTTGAGCTTCTACTATGGGCCAGCACTCTGCTGGAGACTGGAAATTTAAGATAGAAGTACAAACCCTTGTACTCAGGTTGTTCACAACACAACCCCAGGTGGAAAGAAACTAACCAGGAAAGTGTTTGAATTTCCCATTTGATGATGAAAGATTTCAGTAAATGCCACCTCTAAAATATGCTTCCTTGGTTTACGGGTTGAATATTCCTTATCCAAAATGCTTGGGACAATAAGTGTTTCAAATTTATGATTCTTTTGGATTTTGGATTATTTGCATTATACTTAACACTTGAGCATCCAAAATCTGAAAGTCTAAAATCCAAAATGCTCCAGTGAATATTTCCTTGGGCATAATGTCCGTGCTCAAAAAGTTTCGGATTTTGGAGTAATCAATCTGTACTGATTTCTTCAAGCTGAAGGCACTTAGTGAAAGTAAATGCAGGGAGGAGATGTCCCTGAACTCCCTTCATCTGCCTAAAGACAAATGCTCCAAAAGGAATTCAATTGTCATCAATCCCCTCCCCAGGAATTTCATCAACCAGAGGAGATTAAATTTTGTCACAGAAGAGGAAGACCAGAAGTCAACAGCACACCCAAATTTTGTCGAAAGCTATCATCTATTCTTTGAAAAAGCCATTAATCCCTCCCCTAAATCATTTGCTCTCCCTTAAGTTGCCTACATGCCCCCTCTTCTCTCCTAGATGAAGAGGGTATATAGGCTTCTATATCTCACTGGGTTGGGGAGTATTCACTTTTCTTTCATATGATGCCCTCATGCATGTAATAAATACTATCTTTTTTCCTATTAATCTGCCTGCTGTCAGTTAATTTCATAGACACAGTTATCACACTCTCAGAGGGTAGAGGGAAAGCCAAGTCTCTCATTCAATGGTTTGTAAATCCCCAGAGGTTTCTAAAAATATTTGTGTCATTGCCAAAAATAGGTTGCATCATTACCAAAAAGTAGCATCACATCTTAGCCTCCAGAAAATAAAGTCTTGACAAGTATCAAGGTGGTAACACTCTGGATAGGAGTGGAAATGTAACAGCGGGCAATAACAGAGGAAGGGAAGGAAAGCAAGGGAAAAGACATGATGCGATACAGTAACACACGACTATAGGGGCTCTCACTTCACAATGAGCCAGTAGTAAGTTGAGGAGCAGTTGTGTTTATTCTATCTGGGAACTTCTCCAGAAAGGTTGTAAGAAGGAGCTACTCTCCCTAGAAGAGAGAAAGGATGGGGAGCTTATGTGCCAGGCTCCCGTTTTTTGTTTTTTGGTGTTCTGTTTCTGCGTTGGTTGAGATTCACTTCATGGGGAGCTAGATTGTGTAAATGATCCCCTCCTGTTCATTCGGAAAGCTGGTTTCCACTGCTAAGGGATGGTGTTTTACTCGAGTTAAAACGTGGAAGGAATGCCTGGTAAGAGTAAAGCATCAATCAAGAGAAAGAGGCAGGGAGGGAGGGAAGAAGAAAGGGAGCCATAGAGGGACTTTGAGATAGTGCATGATCTTTGATTTCAATAGAGCATCCCTTACATTTTTAGGTTTTAAACTCAATACATAAAACAATTATATGATTTTTTATTTTTTCCCAGAACACACTGAGTGGAGATTACAGATGCAATTCCTTTTTTGCATGATCTTGACAAATTATGTTTCTCTCCTTCAGAATGCTTTCCAGTTTATACTCATTGGTATTATTTGATTAATAACCATAGCTTCCAAAAAATAGTAAATTTTTGATAACAAGGATCAAGTCTGATTTGAATTTTCATCGTATCTCCAGGAGCTGGCACTTAGTAGGCAAATGCTTGTTGAGTAAATAAGTGAATGGATAAAATAAGCGTGCTCGAAACAATCCCTGAGTTGTTGGCACATAGCTACATTTCAACTAGCTTCTCTGGTGACGCTGTCGTACAGACCTAAAATACTTCTATGTTTTGTCTTTTTGTTGTTGTTGTTCTCAATGGGTCATAAACATGAAATGTTTTTTTCCTTGTCTGTTCTTCAACTCTTCTGCCCACTCTTCACTTTCTAATTCCTGGGTCCTTTGGACAAGGAAAGGAGATTAGAGGAAAATGGCATATTTTTATTTATGGATGCTGCTGGGTCTCTCTAAGATATGGATGCCCTTTGGGTGGCAAGGGTCCAAATACTGGCTTTTTTGTGGAGTGTGTGTGTGCATCTTTGGAACAGAGAAGTTTCTGCAGAGGCCCCAGCTGCACTGCTGCTCATTGATGTGGGAGATCAGCTCCAGTTCAACCCTTCCAACATCCCTGTAGCTGCTATTTCTGGTAGCCTACCCCTCAGGATCTTGCTCCTGGGGTCTCTTCATCAGGAAACCCACCCTCTTAGGCAGATGGGGGAAAAGTATTAGCAAGATGGCCCAAGCCAAGCTACTTTCCAAAGTATCTACTTGTCAAGGAGGATTTTCAGTTATAGCAATGTGAAGGGTCAATAATTGCTTTCCACAAAAAGAAAGAAAAGAAAAAGTATAAAATTGGATAAAATTGTCCAAAACACCCATTTCAGAGCACTGGGCATCCTCACTCCAAGCTATCCATTCTTTCCTAAGCCTCTCCAACATCGGAATTTCTGACCTTTGTCCTTTGTACTCAAATCACTCCCAGGTGATTAGATGACTAAAGCTGATCTAATTCCTGTCATGGTATTGATATGTGTGCATGATATAATGGTTTAGCACATGCCCATGCCACATTTGCAGATTACTGGATGCTTCAAATCTTTACCCATAAGGAAGAAGAAATAACAAAAAATTTTAGCACTATTAAAAATTAGAGATATATTTTAGACAGAAAAGAGAATGATTCTTCTAGTTCTTCCTAAGCCTATCACATACCTAAGTTGCTGCCTCCTCTCCCTCCTATGAGCATTAAAATCTATATTTGTAGTTAAGTTAAAGAGAATTAACTAACTTTATAAGATTTTTGTGACACACATTTTGAGATAATTGAAGACCTCCTGATGTGCCAGAAATCCAGAAACTGAAATTTCCTGCACTAAATAATTTAGCAGTTTGTGGAGAGCTTATTCACTCAAGATTATTTCCAAAACAAGACCAAATACCCAAATCTTCCCTCCAGAGCTTTGGCTCTAATCCTTAAATTATTTTGATCTGCTTTCACTGGAGCTTCTTGTGAAAACTGAGCTATAATTGCTAGAGGTACTATAAATTAGATGGTATGTTATGTCTTTTTCTTTCCTAAAGTTAAACTGTTAACATTAGTAAGAAATTGATTTTGAGTCATTTATTAATAAACAGATTGAAGGGTTCACAGCGCCACCTAGTGGTATAACTTGTAAGTTTATGCAACTTTCCTTGATCTGAGTTGTAGTCAGAATTCTATACCAAAAATAAATGTTAAAAACTTAATTTTTTAATGGAAGTAATTAACATACATGCAAGTGTGTGTACCTCTTTTGTGAGATCATTCAAAAACTTCTTTAAAATTACTGAATTTAGTGTGATTAGGTTGGTGCAAAAGTTATTGCGGTTTTTGCTTTTTTTTTTTTTTTAACGACAAAAACAGCAATTGCTTTTGCACCAATCTTTTAGAAAACCTGGCTTGGCTCTGCTAACTTCCAGCCATATGACCATGAGTAAGTTTTTAACATCATTGTGCCTTGAGTTTCTAATCTGTAAAATTTGGGGAAAAAAATTGTTCTTGAAGAAGTAAGATGTTGAAGAAGGATAATAAAAGTGCTGAAGGTGATGGGATTCAGGACCTGCTACCCCCAAAATAAGTCACCTTGGCATTTGAGAAAACAGCAGAAACAGGAAAGCCATAAAACTTAGCCGACCTTCTTCTAAAGTAGGTTATAAGAAGCTTATATGCCCTGCCCAGAGGAAGGGAATGTCACACAAGGACACAGAGAAGAGCCTGAACAAACAGGCCCTGCTAAGTTCCCCCAGTTTATTACCCATTAGATCATACACTTTTGTCCTCCCAGCATACTTCTGCATGCCTAGCCATGAAAATTACCCAGTTTGCCCTGTTTCTTTGCGATGAGAGAGAAATACTATTCCCCACAAGGGCTAAGAAATAAATGCAGAGCAAGGAATTTACTTACATTAATTCCAGTTCTGAAGAATGAATTTTTCAGTTTGATGGAAACATGAGACAATAAGGTACTAATAAGAGAATTTTAAAAATTGTACAAGCAATGCAGCCTGGCAAGAGAAGAAGTAAAACCTGGGACATGAGAGAAAAAAGTGAAAAGGCAAGAGACTAGAGATCATAATGAGGTGAGAGAGCAGATAAGCCATAAATAAGGAAGAAAAAGATCCAGAAGGCCAGGAGGTAACAGAGATTCATTCCAGAGCTTTCCAGATGATGACGATGTCACAGATGTGCACAGAGGTGGATGTCACAGGGGTAGAGTTACCATAAGGCTGGGTGTTGGCTGATTTGTCCGGATATGGAATGCTCAAGGGCAGCAGAGAGAAAAGACCATCAGCTGGAGTCAAATCCTTTCATAATTGTGGGAGAGAGACCGATACTTAAGAAGATGACAATAAGAAAGGAATAGAGATGGGATGGGCAGATTCCATCAGTCCAAAAGCATGTGGAATTTTTGCTTGAGGGTGTCAGTTTCCTCAATCACTCAATCAGCCTCTTACTCCATCTGTGTGTGGATGTGTATATATGTCTGTGTCTCTGTCTCTCACGTCTCTCTCTCTGTCTTTCCCTCTTTGTCTTTCTTCTGCATAGTGTCCCAAAATTCCTAGTGTAGTTTTAAGCTTTAATAACTTCAAAAGTATAAATGCTACCAACAGACACACATGTTCACACATATATATGCACATACAGAGACCAATTCAGAATCTTGAACTTGGGAAAGCTTCCAAGTTTATTCCTTGAGGTACACAAAACAGCTGGTCAACTATTAAGATGTAGCACTATTTCCATTTCAAAAAATAAGGTCATGCTCCTGGGAAATTTTTGCTAAATGACCCAGGTAACAGCTTAGAGTCCCTGGATTTTAGCCTGTCCTTACCCACCTCATGAAAAGAAGTAAACTACATTAAAAACATATTTTAATAAAACTACAGTCAATGATTTTTTATGACAGGGTTCAGGACATGCTATACCAAACTGTAACACTGTGGCATACTGAATAAGCTAAAGGAATCTGAGGACCTCAGGTACAGGGAGAACTCTCTGACCTTCCCATGAAGCAGGTCAGAAGACCTCTATCTGTGTGGTGCCCTCCCTATACCTTACAGAAAGGAGCATCCTTATCTCAGAAGATGGAGGCTCAGACAACGGAATCTGAACCAACAGGCCTTGCTAAGTTTCCCCAGTTTACTGCTTTTAGCTCATGCCCTTTTTGTTCTATCATATTTTTCCATGACTTTTGACTCATCATCAGACCTAGTATAAAACACCCTAGATTAACCATTTCTTCAGGTCTTCATTTGCTGATGAAGACTCCGACATCACATTATATTAAATAAATCTGTATGTTTTTTGTTTCTTATTAATCTATTTTCAATTAATTCAGACTCAGCTGAGAACCTAGAAGGGTAGAAGAAAAAAATATTTTTCCTCCCTTACATATATGGTAGTATATGTTATATATTATACTGTGTCAGCATATTGTTTATTACGTATTATGTATGATACACTTTTATAAAAGTACAAAAACTGAGGCTGTCCTATTTTTAGCATGTGTTCATGGGTGGTGGAATATCATAGCTAAAGCAAGGACTCTAGACTTAGACTATCTCAGTTGAAAATGTGATTCATCAACTTAATAGCTAATCTTTGGTTAGGTAACCATCTTAAGCCTCAACTTTTTCTACTACACAATGGGATGGTACTAATACTACTCACCTCATAGGATCATGGGAAGGATTTAAAGATATAACATGGAAAGCCACAGTAATGCATCAGAAAGGTTTCCTTTTATTATAAAATTAGCTCAACCCCTTTCTATCATTTCTCTCCTCTTCCTTTTCTTCTTCACTCTTCTTAACTTGGCCTGCCTCACAATAATGTGAGGTAGGAAGTTTAGCCTAACTTGCTTCTGAATCTACTTTTTCCAAATTCATTATAGAAAAAAAGGTACTTCTTTTTTTTCCTAATCTCCTCTCCCTATATGAGAATTTGGGACCAAAATGTAAAACAATTCACTTCATTTGAATTCCAGGGAGATCTTAGCATATTTGAGCTTTGTGTCTACTGACTGTAATCGATTTTGTTAGGTTCTAGTCCTTAAACCAAAAAGAAATGTAGATTTATTCTCAGCAAGTCAAATTCTCATTTCTTGCTGTTCCCTGGACACAAATGAGATGGAGATTATTAAAAGGTTAAAATATTTTTGGAAACCATAACTATTATGCCTAGCTTTAATTAACCCTTCCATTGAATTAATGACAGGGTTAATTAGCTCAAATAGGATACAGCTTTTAGTTTGGGAAAATAAAGCCTTAGAGATTAGAGTCATTCTTTCACCATCTTGTGGTTTCATTCCCACACTGCAATGTGTTAAATAGATCTTTTCTGTAAAAGCTGGATAGCTACATCGTTTATCTACCTAATTTTAGTATATCTTGGCATGTATTTAAAGCTGCCACTTAAAACTACCAGACGATTGCATTTTGTCCTTTTTTCTTAAATGCCACATACTCAAATGTTCGGTCTTGATATCCCTCTAAAAATGGAGAATGTTTTCATATACATTTGGCGATAAATGAGAAAAGATGCAACGAGGAACAGCTGAGTTTACAAAGGAAGGCTGACACTTGCACAGTTCTGTGGGTTTCTTACTTATACACTACATTCTCTGCCAGTGTATCATTCATAGTTTTAATCAAGACAAATAATGATACCCTTAAAGGACTCAATCAATACAATTTGACTACTAAACTTGAAGACAAAGTGTTTTTGCTGTTGTTTTTATTAACTTTTTATCCATCTGTCTGGATGGTCATTTTCTACATCGCCCTTACTTCATTCAAACTACTGACAAGGAGAGAGCCTGAAAGCTACCCTCATGGGCAGAGTCGTCTGCACTGGTGAGGTAGACACAGCCTCAGGGTATCAGTGCCAAGATCAAGAAAACTCTTAAGTTTTCTAATTCCTCATCTACTTTTATTTCCATCACAGACTTAAAATATGTTCTTATTTACATAGTACAAATAAAACAAAAATTCTCTTATGTTTCCATGGTTCCAAAAAAGACTACTAGAGCTAACCTTTGAAGCCAAAATGGAACCAACACTCAGAACAAGCAAGTCTGTAATTTTCCAACTAAAATTATAACTGAGCTTTGGACTACAGACAGATCCATCCTTAAATAATGCCCTGCTTTGTCTCAGATACAGCATTATAAATGAATTCACTAGAAAAGACTTCCTATTCTTTATCAGTTAGCTATTGTAGCAAATAGCTAGCTATTTCCTTTCTATCAGTTAGCTGCATATGAAACTATACCAAAACTTAGTAGCTTAAAACAGTAATTCTGCAGGTCAACAATTTGGGCTAGGCTCAGCTGGTTGATTCTTCTGATCTTCACTGGGCTCATGCATGCATCTGTGGTCATTTGCTAGGTTAGCCAGAAGATGGCTGGTCTAGCATGGTCTCAGCTGGGATGACTTACCTCTGCTATACATGGTCTCTCATCCTATAGCAGGGTAGTTGAGACTTGTTCTCATGATGTCTGAGCAGGTTTCTATGCCTTATCAAGGCCTAAATTTGGAAGAGGCCTGAGACACATTCAAAGACTCTTGAGGCCTTGGCACACTGTCACATCTGCTGCATTCTATTGGCCAAAGTAAGGCCCAAGGCCAGCAGGATCACTTTGCAAAAGGCATATATACAGGGAAGAGTGAAGTGTTGTGGCCCATTGTTTGCAATGTTCCATGTTTATACCCAACACAACAAAAAGAGTGTTTCACATCTGCTCGGTCTAAAGGTTGGTTCACTTCTGTGAGTTGAATACAGGCACCAAAAAGAAGTTACTGAGAATTCTTCTTTCTAGCATTATATGAAGAAATCCCGTTTCCAAAGAAGGCCTCAAAGAGGTATAAATATCCACTTGCAGACTTTACAAAGAGAGTTTTTCCAAACTGCTCTATGAAAAGAAAGGTTAAACTCGGCGAGTTGAACGCACACATCACAAAGTAGTTTCTGAGAATGATTCTCTCTTGTTTTTCTACGAATATATGTCCTTTTCTACCATTGGCCTCAAAGCGATTGAAATCTGCACCTGGAAATTCCACAAAAAGAGTGTATCAAATCTGCTCTGTCAAAAGGAAGTTTCAATTCTGCTAGTTGAATAAATATAACACAAATAAGTTTCTGAGAATTCTTCTGTCTAACATTATATGAAGAAATCCCGTTTCCAACGAAGGCCTCAAAGGTGTCCAAATATCCACTGGCAAACTTTACAAAGAGAGTGTTTCCAAACTGCTCAATCAAAAGAAAGGTTAAACTCTGTGAATTGAATGCACACATCACAAAGTAGTTTCTGAGAATGATTCTGTCTACTTTTTATACGAAGATATTTCCTTTTCTACTTTTGGCCTATAAGCGCTTGAAATCTCCAACTTCAAATATCACAGAAAGAGTGTTTCACATCTGCTCCATTGAAAAGAAGGTTCAACTCTGTGAGTTGAATACACAGGACACAAAGAAGTTACTGAGAATTCTTTGTCCAGCAGTATATGAAGAAATCCCGTTTCCAACGAAGGCCTCAAAGAGGTCCAATTTTCCACGTGCAGATATTAAAAAGAGAGTGATTCTAAACAGCACTATGAAAAGAAATGTTAAACTCTGTGAGTTGAACGCTCACATGACAAAGTAGTTTCTCAGAATGATTCTGTCTAGATTTTATACGAAGATACTACGTTTTCTACCCTTGGCCTGAAAGCGCTTGAAATCTCCACATGCAAATTCCACAAAAAGAGTGTATCAAATGTGCTCTGTCTAAAGGAAGGTTCAAGTCTGTGAGTGGAATACACACAACACAAAGAAGTTACTGAGAATTCTTCTGTCTAGCATTATATGAAGAAATCCCTTTTCTAAGGAAAGTCTCGAAGAGGTCCAAATATCCTCTTGCGGACTATCCAACCAGAGTGTTTCCACACTGCTGCATGAAAAGAAAGGTTAAACTCTGTGAGTTGAACGCACACATCAAAAAGTAGTTTCTGAGAATGATTCTGTCTAATTTTTATACGAAGATATTTCTTTTTCTACCATTGGCCTCAAAGCGATTGAAATTTCCACATGGAAATTCCACAAAAAGAGTGTTTCAAATCTGCTCTGTCTAAAGGAAAGTTCAACTCTGTGAGTTGAATGCACACAACAGAAATAAGTTACTGAGAATTCTTCTGTCTAACATTATACGAAGAAATCACGTTTCCAACGAAGGACACAAAGAGGTCCATATATCCACTTGCTGAATTTACAAGGAGAGTGTCTCCAAACTGCTCAATCAAAAGAAAGTTTAAACTCCGTGAATTGAACGCACCCATCACAAAGTAGTTTCTGAGAATGATTCTGTCTATATTTTATACGAAGATATTTCCTTTTCTACTTTTGGCGTATAAGCGCTCGAAATCTCCAACTGCAAATATCACAAAAAGAGGTTTTCACATCTGCTCCTTCTAAAAGAAGGTTCAACTCTGTGAGTTGAATACACAGAACACAAAGAAGTTACTGAGAATTCTTCTGTCTAACATTATATGAAGAAATCCCGTTTCCAACGAAGGCTTCAAAGAACTCCAATTATCCACTTGCAGATATTACAAAGAGAGTGTTTCTAAACAGCTCTATGAAAAGAAAGGTTAAACTCTGTATGTTGAACGCACACATCAAAAAGTAGTTTCTCAGAATGATTCTGTCTAGATTTTATACGAAGATATTTCCTTTTCTACCCTTGGCCAGAAAGAGCTTGAAATCTCTGCATGCATATTCCACAATAAGAGTGTGTCAAATGTGCTCTCTCTAAAGGAAGGTTCAAGTCTGTGAGTGGAATACACACAACACAAAGAAGTTACTGAGAATTCTTCTGTCTAGCATTACATGAAGAAATCCCTTTTCTAAGGAAAGTCTCAAAGAGGTCCAAATATCCTCTTGCAGACTTTGAAACAGAGTGTTTCCAAACTGCTGCATGAAAAGAAAGGTTAAACTCTGTGAATTGAACGCACACATCACAAAGTAGATTCTCAGAATGATTCTGTATAGTTTTTATACGAAGATATATCCTTTTCTATCTTTGGCCTAAAAGCTCTACAAATCTCCACGTGCAAATATCACAAAAAGAGTATTTCACATCTGCTCTGTCTAAAGGAAGTTTCAACTCTATGAGTTGAATACACACAACACAAGGAAGTTATTAAGATTTATTCTGTCTAGCAGTATATGAAGAAATCCCGTTTCCAATGAAGGCCTCAAAGAGGTCCAAATATCCTCTTGCAGACTTTACAAACAGAGTGTTTCCAGGCTGCTCTATGAAAAGAAAGGTAAACATATCACTCTTATTTGAATACTTTTATATTTGTTCCTATTCAACTTAGGACAGTATTATAATAGAACAGACTCCCAATGTTACCAATAAGCTAATAATGTTGCTATAGAAACTTATTCAAATCATTTATACACATTTTCCACATAATACAAATTCTGTTTTAACATGACCACGTTGTACATTAACCCCACAAGTTATAGCTGGGAATTGATAATTAACCTCAATGCCACACAGAAAACCAGTGTATCCCAGTGAAAAAAAAAAAAAGCAGTGAACTACAAATCAAACAAAACAGTTTTACTTTGGTTCTACCAATGACACCCTATGATGGTGTCTTCATGATTAAAACTAAGGACTAAGTAGTTAAATGACTTCTTAAGTTCCACTCAATTAAAATGAAAAGAACTAATAAAGAGGAGAGAGGAGAGATAGTGCTTAGAAGAAAAGGGTTTCCAAGTTTCATTGGATATAGACATATTTCAGGAGTTTCCTAAAATATCCTTGTTGGGAGAAAGCCTGGTAACCTAGAAAGCTGGCTTGAGAAATAGAAGACCTGATCTCTGCTCCCATCTCTACAACTTATTTGTCAGGGACTTTGAGAAAGAAATTGCTATCCATAGGCCAGCATTTGCTCATTTCCATAAATTAAGGCAATAGACTAAGTGATTTTTTTAAATCTCTGCCAATGCTTAATAAATAAATAAATAAATAAAAAGCTGTGGCGGTTCCTGAGTTCACTGTATATAATTACTATGCGTGCCTCACTCCCATCCTTACTCAACCTCCCACTCCACTTTCCATCCATCCTGGAAAAAAAAAAAATCCAAAAATGTGTATGTCAAATGGCCTTAATCCAGTTGGGCTAAGAGTACTTGCAATGTAAATGAGAGAATTCAATATGCTAACATTTGTAGTGAGTGACAACTTGTTTGACAATCAGATTACATGACAGACGAGACAAGAGAAGGCTGCCAACAGCATACTGGATGTGTGACTGGGGGTGTGGTGTGAGAAGTGACAGTGACATGAAAGAAATAAAGGCTTTTTTCAGAAAATGGATGATTCAACAGAGTATAAATGAAGCTGTTCTGGGGATGGCAGATAAGACTTTCTAGATAAGCTGCATGAACACCTACAAGGGACTGGCAATTAGAAAAGGTTTAAAACCAAAATTCAAAATAGGAAGAGAATAGAATTCAGGGGAGCTGAGCAGGGGTGTGTGCCAGAAGAGAGGAAATTTGGGGTGATTTCTAGAAATAGGGCTCTAGAAGAGAACCAGCACTCAGTTTAACCCAACAAAATCAAAAGATGCTTGCACATGCATGTTTATAGCAGCACAATTCACAATTGCAAAAACATTGAACCAGCCTAAATGCCCATCAGTCAACGAGTGGATAAAGAAACTGTAGTGTACATATATAGATATGATGGAATACTACTCAGACATAAAAAGGAATGAATTGATGGCATTTGCAGCAACCTGGATGGGATTGGAGACTATCATTCTAAGTGAAGTAACTCAGGAATGGAAAACCAAACATCGTATGTTCTCACTCATAGGTGGGAGCTAAGCTATGAAAATGCCAAGGTGTAAGAATAATACAATACACACTGGGGACTCAGGGGGAAAAGGTAGGAAGGAGGTGAGGGATAAAAGATTACAAACTGGGTTCAATATATACTGCTCGGGTGATGGGTGCACCAAAATCTCACAAATCACCACTAAAGAACTTACTCATGTAACCAAATATCACCTGTTCCCCCAAAACCTAAGGAAACAAAAAATTAAATAAATAAATAAATAAATAAGAAATTTTTAAAAATACTCTTTCCTCATGGAGCATTTTAGAAAGGGAAAACAGAAAGTTTTTATGGGATAAATAAAGCAGGAAATGGGTTCCTGGGTAGGGTCAGGGAGGTTGCACTTTTTAAAAGATTAGTCAGGGAAGGCTTCAATGAGAAGTGGTATTTGAGTACAGACTAGAAGGAGATGAGTGCAAAGGTTCTCTACCACTTGTATGAGCCTGATGACTCTGAATACACACAAGACATCAGGCAAAGCAGATTCATTACTCACAGATAGGCAGCAAGAACAAACAAAAGCCTAAGATCCATGGCGAGCCAACCTCCCAAGGCTCAGGAAAGCTGCTCATGGTGGCTGGACTCTCACCTGTATGTGCCCTTTGCCAAACAGCAGCTAACAGACCCCCAAAGCATGCACCATGCCCTGGGTTTTATACCCTGGACGCTACTTGGACCACTGAGTTCAAGCATTGTAAGACATTCTGTTCTAGGAGGAACAAGGATATATTCTGGGCTGTTCCAGAGAGTTCCTTCTTATCTCAGGACATTGCATTCTTGGTACATTCTACAGCTATTCTAAGTATTACAATTAGTAGTCTGAGAGAGACAGGTCAGTCCAAGCCAACCAGGGACATGTTCTACTGCAGTGAGGGGGTTATACAGGCTGACATTTGAGAACAGATGTTCAAAGCAGATCATGCCTCATATATACTAAGATCTGCAAAGAGGCCAGTGCAGCTGAAATGAAATGAGCAGGTAGGGAGAGATGTAGTTCAGAAAGAAGAACTAGTTTGTGGGCATGTTGGAAGGCCTCTGTGAACTTTTTCTCAGAGGATCACAGGAAGATATGGGATGGCTTTGAGCAGAGAGACGTGACCTGACTATCATGAAAGTAATGGGGCTTTGGTCTCAGTCTGGTCATGTTGGTTGCATAAACTTATTTGTATGTTAAGAAGGGCAAATATACAACAGAATCAAGATCTCTAAATCAGTTTATTCTTTATTCAATAAACAAATATTTAAGTGAACAAATGTAAGCCTAAATTCTAGAGATACGACAATGAATATAACACAAACGTGCCATAGGAACTTAAGATTTAGCAGGAGAGATAAACAAGAAGACAGTCACAACTCAGATGTAACTTTACTTCTTTTTTTTTTTTTTTTTTTTTTGAGATGGAGAGTCGCTCTGTCGCCCAGGCTGGAGTGCAGTGGCGCGATCTCGGCTCACTGCAAGCTCCGCCTCCCGGGTCCACGCCATTCTCCTGCCTCAGCCTCCCGAGTAGCTGGGACTACAGGCGCCCGCCACCACGCCCGGCTAATTTTTTTTTTTTTTTTTTTTTTTTTTTTTTTTTTGGTAGAGTCGGGGTTTCAGCGTGTTAGCCAGGATGGTCTCTATTTCCTGACGTCGTGATCCGCCCACCTCGGCCTCCCAAAGTGCTGAGATTACAGACGTGAGCCACCGCGCCCTGCCACTTTATTTCTTTATAAACCTAATTTGTTTGTAGGTCTCCACTCAATAGTAGAAAACAAAGTAGGTTACCTATTCACAGTAACTTATTCACATTTGCATTTAAAAGAAAACAAAACCCTCTTCCAATTTAGTTTAGTCTCTGGTTCTCCCAGAGGTTAGGGTATTCGCCTCTCAGAGTATGCAGGAAAGCGAATTTGACAAGAGAGAAGTGACTCTTCCCATGTGTTCCACCCACTTGGCTGTGCTTATGAGCATCTCTCCTTCCAGCCTCTTTCAGCTGGAGTGTCTGGAGTGTCGGAGTGCAAGCTGTTCTCCCTGCACTGTCAAGAGCAAAGGTCTTCCCCACCACTGAGGACTAAGCTTGGGCATGGCCCTTGCGGGAATTGCTGGTTTTCTGCATCTTTCCCAAGACCCCTAACTGGCCCCCAGCTTTGGGCTACCCACTGCCAGCGAGTTGGCCCTACGCTATCAGCCACATTCCACAAACCCCAGAGGGTCAGGCACACACATCCGCATCTTCCTCATGCCAATCATAGGCTTCAGAAAATCAAGGAGGGTAAACTCCTACAACCACTTCCCATTGGAGAGAGGCACTCTGCAGGGCATCTCTCCACAGCCTCTCAGATGGAAAGCCAGGCACAAACGCACTTTGTTTTTGTTATCTTCCAACCTCTCTGACTAGTCTTTATTTTCCCAACTAAAGGTGCAAACCCTGAGGTGGAGGCACGGAACAAGCTCTACACTCTGTTCTGCTACTCTCCTCTCCCTCCCCAACCCAAGGTCCTACCCCAGCTGATAAGGACTTCCAACCTCCTTCTGCATGATAAATGCCTTGACATAGCCTGTTTCCACTCAACAGTTTTGTCTCAAGATCCTTTACACTTGTAAAAAATGTGGGGAGTTCAAAGGGCTTTTGTGCAGATTACATATATTAATATATTTTTTATTATACTTTAAGTTCTAGGGTACATGTTCACAACCTGCAGGTTTGTTACATATGTATGCATGTGCTATGTTGGTGTGCTGCACCCATTAACTCATCATTTACATTAGGTATATCTCCTAATGCTTTCCCTCCCCCCTCCCCCCACCCCACAACAGGCCCCAATGTGTGACTGTTCCCTTTCCTATGTCTAAGTGTTCTCATTGTTCAATTCCCACCTCTGAGTGAGAACATGCAGTGTTTGGTATTTTGTCCTTGTGATAGTTTGCTGAGAATTATGGTTTCCAGCTTCATCCATGTCCCTACAAAGGACATGAACTCATCCTTTTTTATGGCTGAATAGTATTCCATGGTGTATATGTGCCTCATCTTCTTAATCCAGTCTATCATTGATGGACATTTGGGTTGGTTCCAAGTCTTTGCTATTGTGAATAGTGCTGCAATAAACATACGTGTGCATGTGCCTTTATAGCAGCATGATTTATAATCCTTTGGGTATATACCCAGTAATGGGATTGCTGGGTCAAATGGTATTTCTAGTTCTAGATCCTTGAGGAATTGCCACACTGTCTTCCACAATGATTGAACTAGTTTACAGTCCCACCAACAGTGTAAAAGTGTTCCTATTTCTCCACATCCTCTCCAGCACCTGTTGTTTCCTGACTTCTTAGTGATCACCATTCTAACTGGTGTAAGATGGTATACATATATTAATATTTGATGTGTTAGAAATCAAATCTGAGATAATTTTAAAATATTTATTTACACGTTAATTTAAAAATAATAAATTTATTACTAGTTAACATAACTCAAATAACATTTTGGGAAAAATAACTCAACTTTTTTTCTTTTATTTTTTTCTTTCTTTTTTCTTTTCTTTTTGGAGACAGGATCTCCCTCTGTTACCCAGGCTGGAGTGCAGTGGCACAATCTTGGCTCACTGGAACCTCCACCTCCCAGACTCAAGTGATCATTCCACCTCAGCCTCTCCAGTAGCTGAGACCACGGGCGTGCACCAAGACACCTAGCTAATTTTTGTATCTTTTCATTTTATTTATTTTATTTTTTTTTTATTATACTTTAAGTTCTGGGATACCTGTGCAGAATGTGCAGATTTGTTACATAGGTATACTTGTGCCATGGTGGTTTGCTGCACCCATCAACCTGTTATCTACATTAGGTGTTTCTCCTAATGCTATCCCTCCCCTTGCCCCCCACCCCCTGACAGGCCTGGGTGTGTGATGTTCTCCCTCCCTGTGCCCATATGTTCTCATTGGTCAGCTCCCACTTATAAGTGAGAACATGTGGTGCTTGCTTTTCTGTTCCTGTGTTAGTTTGCTGAGAATGATGGTGTCCAGCTTCATCCATGTCCCTGCAAAGGATATGAACTCATCCTTTTTTATGGCTGCATAGTATTCCATGCTGTATATGCGCCACATTTTCTTACTCCAGTCTATCATTGATGGACATTTGGGTTGGTTCCAAGTCTTTGCTATTGTGAACAGTGCTGCAGTAAACATATGTGTGCATGCGTCTTTATAGTAGACTGATTTATAATCATTTGGGTATATGCCCAATAATGGGATTGCTGGGTCAAATGGTATTTCTGGTTCTAGATCCTTGAGGCATCGCCACACTGTCTTCCACAATGGGTGAACTAATTTACACCCCCAAAAACAGTGTAAAAGCATTCCTATTTCTCCACATCCTTGCCACCATCTGTTGTTTCCTGACTTTTTAATGATCACCATTCTAACTGGTGTGAGATGGTATCTCATTGTGGTTTTGATTTGCATTTCTCTAATGACCAGTGATGATGAGCTTTTTTTCATATGTTTGTAGGCCACATAAATATCTTCTTTTGAAAAGTGTCTGTTCATATCCTTCGCCCACTTTTTGATGGAGTTGTTTTTCTCTTGTAAATTTAAGTTCCTTGTAGATTCTGGATATTAGCCTTTTGTTAGATGGATAGATTGCAAAAATTTTCTCCCATTCTGTAGGTTGCCTGTTCACTCTGATAATAGTTTCTTTTGCTGTGCTGAAGTTCTTTAGTTTAATTAGATCCCATTTGTCTATTTTGGCTTTTGTTGCAATTGCTTTTGGTGTTTTAGTCATAAAGTCTTTGCCCATGCCTGTGTCCTGAATGGTATTGCCTAGGTTTTCTCTAGGGTTTTTATGGTTTTAGGTCTTATGTTTAACTCTTTAATCCATCTTGAGTTAATTTTTGTATAAGGTGTAAGGAAGGGGTCCAGTTTCAGTTTTCTGCATATGGCTAGCCAGTTTTCCCAGCACCGTTTATTAAATAGGATATCCTTTCCCCATTGCTTGTTTCTGTCAGGTTTGTCAAAGATTAGATGGTTGTAGACGTTTGGTGTTATTTCTGAGGCCTCTGTTCTGTTCCATTGGCCTATATATCTTTTTTGGTACCAGTATCAAGCTGTTTTGGTTACTGTAGCATTGTAGTATAGTTTGAAGTCAGGGAGCATGATGCCTCCAGCTTTGCTCTTTTTGCTTAGGATTGTCTTGGCTATACAGCTCTTTTTTGGTTCCACATGAAATTTAAAGAAGTTTTTTCTAAATCTGTGAAGAAAGTCAATGGTGGCTTGACGGGAATAGCATTGAATCTATAAATTACTTTAGGCATTATGGCCGTTTTCACTATATTGATTCTTCCTATCCATGAGCATGGAATGTTTTTCCATTTGTTTGTGTCCTCTCTTTATTTTCTTGAGCAGTGATTTGAGGTTACACCTTGAAGAGGTCCTTCACATCCCTTGTAAGTTGTATTCCTAGGTATTTTATTCTCTTTGTAGCAATTGTGAATGGGAGTTCACTCATGGTTTGGCTCTTTGTTTTTCTATTAATGGCATATAGGAATGCTTGTGATTTTTGCACATTGATTTTGTTTCCTGAGACTTTGCCTAAGTTGCTTATCAGCAGGGAGTTTTTGGGCTAAGATGATGGGGTTTTCTAAATATACAACCATGTCATCTGCAAAGAGAGATAATTTTACTTCCTGTCTTCCTATTTAAATATGCTTTTTTTCTTTCTCTTGCCTGATTGCCATGGCCAGAACTTCCAATACTATGTTGAATAGGAGTGGTAAGAGAGGGCATCCTTGTCTTGTGTCAGTTTTTAAAGGGAATGCTTCCAGCTTTTGCCCATTCAGTATTATATTGGCTGTGGGTTTGTCATAAACAGCTCTTACTATTTTGAGATTCGTTCCATCAATACTGAGTTTATTGAGTGTATTTAGCATAAAGCAGTGTTGAATTTTATCAAAGACCTTTTCTACATCTATTCAGATAATCATGTGGTTTTTGTCATTGGTTCTTTTTATGTGATGGATTACGTTTACTGATTTGCACATGTTGAACCAGCCTTGCATCACAGGAATTAAGCTGACTTGATCATGGTGGATAAGTATTTTGATGTGCTGCTGGATTTGGGTTGCCAGTATTTTATTGAGGATCTTTGCATTGATGTTCATCAGGGATATTGACCCGAAATTTTCTTTTTTTGTTGTCTGTCAGGTTTTGGTATCAGGGTGATGCTGGCCTCATAAAATGAGTTAGGGAGACATCTCTCCTTTTCTTTTTTTTCTTTCTCTTTTTTTTTTTTTTTTTTTTGGAGATGGAGTCTCACTCTGTCACCCAGGCTGGAGTGCAGTGGCACAATCTAGGCTCACTGCAAGCTCCGTCTCCTGGGTTCAAGCCATTCTCCTGCCTCAGCCTCCTGAGTAGCTGGGACTACAGGCACCTGCCACCACGCCCAGCTAATTTGTTTGTATTTTTTTTTAGTGGAGACGGGGTTTCACGTGTTAGCTAGGATGGTCTCAATATCCTGACCTCATAATCCACCCACCTCAGCCTTCCAAAGTGCTGGGATTACAGGCGTGAGCCACCGCACCCGGTCAGGAGTCCCTCTTTTTCTATTGTTTGGAATAGTTTTAGAAGGAATGGTACCAGTTCGTCTTTGTACCTCTGGTAGAATTCAGCTGTGAATCCATCTGGCCCTGGGCTTTTTTTGGTTGGTAGGCTATTAATTACTCCTCAATTTCAGAACCTGTTATTGGTCTATTCAAAGACTCGACTTCTTCCTTGTTTAGTCTTGGGAGGGTGTATGTGTCCAGGAATTTATCTATTTCTTCTAGATTTTCTAGTTCATTTGTGTAGAGGTGTTTATAGTATTCTCTGATGGTAGTTTGTATTTCTATGGGATCAGTGGTGATATCCGCTTTATCATTTTTTATTGCATCTATTTGATTCTTCTCTCCTTTCTTCTTTATTAGTCTGGTTAGCAGTCTATTTTGTTAAGTCTTTTCAAAAAACCAGCTCCTGGGTTCATTGATTTTTTGAAGAGTTTTTCGTGTCTCTATCTCCTTCACTTCTGCTATGATCTTAGTTATTTATTTTCTTCTGCTAGTTTTGAATTTGTTTGTTCTTGCTTCTCTAGTTCTTTTAATTGTGAAGTTAGGGTATCTATTTTAGATCTTTCCCGCTTTCTCTTGTGGGCATTTAGTGCTATAAACACAGCTCTAAACGTTGCTTTAGCTGTGTCCCAGAGACTCTGGTACGTTGTGTCTTTGATCTCATTGGTTTCCAAGAACTTATTTATTTCTCCCTTAATGTTGTTATTTACCCAGTAGTCATTCAGGAGCATGTTGTTCAGTTGCCATGTAGTTGTGTGGTTTTGAGTGTGTTTCTTAATCCTGAGTTCTAATTTGATTGCACTGTGGTTTGAAAGACTGTTTGTTAGGATTTCCATTGTTTTGCATTTGCTGAGGAGTATTTTACTTCCAATTATGTGGTCAGTTTTAGAATAAGTGCTATGTGGTGCTGAGAAGGATGTATATTCTGTTGATTTGGGGTGGAGAGCTCTGTAGATGTCTATTAGGTCCACTTGGTCCAGAGATGATTGTCAAGGTATTCAGAACTGAGTTCCTGAATATTCTTGTTAATTTTCTGTCTCGTTGATCTGTTTAATATTGACAATGGGGTGTTAAAGTCTCCCACTATTATTGTGGGGGAGTCTAAGTCTCTTTTTAGGTCTCTAAATACTTGGTTTATGAATCTAGGTGCTCCTGTATTGGGTGCATATATATTTAGGATAGTTAGCTCTTCTTGTTGCATTGATCCCTTTACCATTATGTAATGCCCTTCTTTGTCTTTTTTAATCTTTGTTGGTTTAAAGTCTATTTTATCAGAGACTAGGATTGCAAACCCTGCTCTTTTTTTTTTTTTTTTTTTTTTTTTTGCTTTCCATTTGCTTGGTAAATCTTCCTCCATCCCTTTATTTTGAGCCTATGTGTGTCTTTGCATATGAAATGGGTCTCCTGAATACAGCACACCAATGGGTCTTGACTCTTTATCCAATTTGCCAGTCTGTGTCTTTTAATTGGGGCATTTAGCCCATTTATATTTAAGGTTAATATTGTTATGCATGAATTTGATCCTGTCATTATGATGCTAGTTGGTTATTTTGCCCATTACTTGATGCAGTTTCTTCATAGTGTCAATGGTCTTTATATTTTGGTATGTTTTTGCAGTGGCTGGTACCAATTTTTCCTTTCCATATTTAGTGCTTCCTTCAGGAGCTCTTGTAAGGCAGGCCTGGTGGTGACAAAAATCCCTCAGCATTTGCTTGTCTGTGAAGGATTTTATTTCTCCTTCACTTACGAAGCTTAGTTTGGCTGGATATGAAATTCTGGGTTGAAAATTCTTATCTTTAAGAATGTTGAATGTTGGCCTGGTTTGTAGGGTTTCTGTAGAGAGATCCTCTGTTAGTCTGATGGGCTTCCTTTTGTGGGTAACCCCAACTTTCTCTCGGCTGCCCTTAACATTTTTTCCTTCATTTCAACCTTGGTGAGTCTGACAATTATATGTCTTGGGGTTGCTCTTCTCAAGGAGTATCTTTGTGGTGTTCTCTGTATTTCCTGAATTTGAATGTTGATCTGTCTTGCTAGGTTGGGGAAGTTCTCCTGGATAACATCCTGAAGTGTGTTTTCCAACTTGGTTCCATTCTTTCCATCACTTTCAGGTACACCAATCAAACATAGGTTTGGTCTCTTCACATAATCCCATATTTCTTGGAGGTTTTCTTCATTCCTTTTCATTCTTTTTTCTCTAATCTTGTCTTCATGCTTTATTTCATTAAGTTGATCTTCAATCTCTGATATCCTTTCTTCTGCTTGATCGATTCAGCTATTGATACTTGTGTGTGCTTCATGAAATTCTCGTGCTGTGTTTTTCAGCTCCATCAGGTCATTTATGCTTTTCTCTAAACTGATTATTCTAGTTAGCAGTTCCTGTAACCTTTTATCAAGGTTCTTAGCTTCCTTGCATCGGGTTAGAACATGCTCCTTTAGCTCAGAGGAGTTTGTTATTACCCACCTTCTCATACCAACTTCTGTCAATTCATCAAACTTATTCTCCATCCAGTTGTGTTCCCTTGCTGGTGAGGAGTTGCCAGCTTTTGGAGGAGAAGAGGCATTCTGGGTTTTGGAATTTTCAGCCTTTTTGCACTGGTTTTTCCTCATCTTCATGGATTTGTCTGCCTTTGGTCTTTGATGTTGGTGGCCTTCGAATGGGGTTGTCACGTGGTCATCCTTTTTGTTGATCTTGATGCTATTCCTTTCTGTTTGTTAGTTTTCCTTCTAACACTCAGGCCCCTCTTCTGCAGCTCTGCTGGAGTTTGCTGGAGGTCCACTCCAGACCCTGTTTGCCTGGGTATCACCAGCAAGGGCTGCAGAATGGCAACAATTGCTGCCTGCTCCTTCTTCTGGAATCTTCGTCCCAGAGGGGTACCTGCCAGATGTCAGCTGGAGCTCTCCTGTATGAGGTGTGTGTCGACCCCTGCTGTGAGGTGTCTCCCCGTCAGGAGGCATGGGGGTCAGGGACCAACTTGAGGAGGCAATCTGTCCTTTAGCAGAGCTCGCGTGCTGTGCTGGGAGATCCGCTGCTCTCTTCAGAGCTCGCAGGCAGGAATGTTTAAATCTGCGGAAGCTGCGCCCACAGCTGACCCTTCCCCCAGGTGCTCTGTCCCAGGGAGATGGGAGTTTTATCTCTAAGCCCCTGACTGGGGCTGCTGCCATTCAGAGGTGCCCTGCCCGGAGAGGAGGAATCTAGAGAGGCAGTCTGGCTACAGCAGCTTTGCAGAGCTGCGGTGGACTCTGCCCAGTTCGAACTTCCTGGTGGCTTTGTTTACACTGTGAGGGGAAAACTGCCTACTGAAGCCTCAGTAATGGCAGATGC
The DNA here is from genome assembly GCF_000001405.40 of Homo sapiens. NCBI lineage: Eukaryota > Metazoa > Chordata > Mammalia > Primates > Hominidae > Homo > Homo sapiens. The sequence goes on from NC_000004.12 coordinate 67,412,561, forward strand.
CCCCACCCCACACACCCGCCCACATCCACAACAAGCTCGAGTGTCCCAGGTTGACTTCAGACTGCTGTGCTGGCAGCGAGAATTTCAAGCCAGTGGATCTTAGCTTGTTGGGCTCCATGGGGGTGAGATCTGCTGAGCAACACCACTCGGCTCCCTGGCTTCAGCCTCCTTTTCAGGGAAGTGAATGATTCTGTCTTGCTGGCATTCCAGGTGCCACTGGAGTATGAAAAAAAACTCCTGCAGCTAGCTCAGTGTCTGCCCAAATGGATGCCCAGGTTGTGCTTGAAACCTAGGGCCCTGGTGGTATAGGTACCCGAGGGAATCTCCTAGTCTGTGAGTTGTGAAGACAGTGGGAAATGCATAGTATCTGGGCCAGATAGCTCCGTCCCTCACAGCGCAGACCCTCATGGCTTCCTTTGGCTAGGGGAGGGAGTTCCCCAACCTGTTGCACTTCCTGGGTGAGGTGACACCCCTACCCTGCTTCTGCTTTCCTTCAGTGGGCTGCACCCACTATCTAACTAGTCCCAATGAGATGAGCTGGGTACCTCAGTTGGAAATGCAGAAATCACCAGCCTTCTGCATTGGTCTCACTGGGAGCTGCAGATCGGACCTATTCCTACTCAGCCATCTTTCCCAGGCATCAATGTTTGTATTTTTTGTGGAAACAGAGTTTCACATTGTTGCCCAGGCTGGTTTTGAACTCCTGGGCTCAAGCAATCCACCCGTCTCAGCCTCCCAAAGTGCTAGAATTACAGGCATGAGCCACCAAGCCCAGCCAACTCAATTTTTCAAAACAAAAAAATTAGTTTAAAAAAGTGGCATGGTTTTACATTTTTGCCAATTTATAATATCTAGCTTAATAGAAGACAGTTGTATTCTCATCTTGACTTCTGTATGCAATGTGATACAATATGCTGTTTGAAAGAAATCTGGTCACACAGATATGTAATTGGAAAAGGGAGAAATACTATCATAGCCTTTTTAGATTCTAGGGTGTATGCTTCTTTTACATTGAGCTAACATTGATAAGTGGTATTTTCTTAAAGTTTGTTGTAAGGTGGCATCTGAACAGCCAAATTAACAAACTTTTTAAACTTTATGATGTTAAAATTTGTTGGACTTTCTTACATCTCAAATAGATCTTTTTACACATACATAATTTTGTATCATGCATGGCTCATTTGAAAATATTGGTTCACTGAGTTATGTGGATCATTCAAATGCTGATGCATTTCACTATACCATATCAAAAACTCACATTTGTTAATATATCATCAGCAAAGTCTTTATGTATTGGGACGCAGTGAAGTTCAAGGTAGTAGATACAAGTCTTCAAGGATAATTCTAATTTTCACTTGAAAACTCAAATTTACCATTGGAAACAAATACTGTCAGTTGTTTTCCCTGAAGTTATAAGCTCATGTAATTCATTTCCAAGACAAGATGTTTGCCAAATATCCAAGTCTTAATAACAATTGCTTATTTGTCAATTGGTCACTCAAAAATTATATTTCATAAAAATAGTGTCTGGTCCAGCTCACAAGTCAAAAAAAAGTGCTTTTCCTTTGGACAGTCATGACATTTTTTAATAGCTTTATCAGGATAAAATTCACACAATTCACCCATTTGAATTGTACATTTCAATGATTTTTAGTATATTCACAGAGTTGTACATTGTACATCATAACCACAATCAATTTTAGAATGTTTCAATTACCAGCCAAAGAAACCAAATACGCTTCAGCCATCATCTTCCAATTCCTCTATCCTCCCCAGTGATAGGCAACCACTAATCTACTTTCTGTCTCTATAGATTTATCTATTCTAGACTATCATATAAATAAAATCACGTGGTTTTTGTAACAGGCTTCTTTGACTTACCATAATGTTTTCAAGGTTCATCTAAGTTGTAACATATATCAGTACAGTACTTCATTCACTTTTATGGCCAACTTAAGATCTAGGTTATCTATATGATGAAATATTGTTTGGCCATAAGGCCTCAAACAGCTGATGCTGCTTCCATTTTGGGCTAAACAATGCTGCCAAGAACATTACTGTACAAGTTTTTGCATGGAGATATATTTTAATTTTTCATGGGTATATAACTAAGATTGCCATTGCTAAATCATGTGATAACTCTATGTTCAATCATTTGAGGACCTGCCAGACTGTTTTCCAAGCAGCTGCACTATTTATCATTCACACCAATAGTGTGTAAGGGTTCCAGTTTCTCTTCATCCTCTCTAACCCTTGTCTTTATCTGTCTTTTTTTATATTAGCCGTCCTAGTGGGTGTGAAGTTGTACCTCACAATGGTTCTATTTGCATTTCCCTGATGGTTAATAATGTTGAGTATCTTTTTATGTGATTATTAGCCATTTGTATATCATCAGTGGAGAAATGTATTTTCTAATTATTTGCACATTTATAAATGTCAATCGAGTTATAAACTCAATTTATCTCTGTATTATTCGATTGTAGGAGTTCTTTATATGTTCTAGATACAACTCTCATCAGATTTAAAATTTTCAAATGTTTTCTCCCATTCTGTGGGTTGTCTTTTTATTGATGTCATTCTTTGAAGCATAACATTTTTTAAATTTCATGATTTCTTGTTTATTTTTACTTTCATCCCTTGTGGTATTGGTGTCATATCTAAAAAACCATTGCCTAAGGCAAGGTCCACAAGCGTTACATCTATGTTTCCTTCTATAAGTTTTATAGTTTTAGCTCTTAATTTACGCCTTCAATTCATTTTGTATTAATTGTTATATACATGGTGAGGTAGGTGTCCAAATTCATTCTTTTGCATGTGGCTATCCAGGTGTGCTAGCATTGGTTGCTGAGGAGACTATTCTTTGTCCATTGAGTTGTCTTGGTACACTTTTTAAAAACCAGTTGACAACAGATGTATAGTTTTATTTCTGGATTCTCAATTCTGTTCCATTGGCCTATATGTCTCTTTATGCCAGTGTCATACAGTTTTGATTACTGTAGCTTTGTGGTAAGTTTTGAAATAAGAGAAAAATGAGAGTCTCACTTTGTTCTTTTTGCACACTTGTTCTGGCTCTTCTATAATAGGTCCCTTGAATTTCCATGTGAATTATATTTTATTTTATTTTTGAGACAGAGTCTTGCTCTGTCACCCAGGTTCAAGTACAATGGCACAGTCTCAGCTCCCTGCAACCTGCACCTCTCGGGTTCAAGCAATTCTCATGCCTCAGCCTCCCAAGAAACTGGGAATACAGGCATGTGCCACCATGCCTGGCTAATTTTTGTATTTTTAGTAGACTCAGGGTTTTGCCATGTTGGCCAGGCTAGTCTCGGACTCCTGGCCTCAAGAAATTCCCCCATCTCAGCCTCCTAAAGGGCTGGGATTACAGGCGTGAGCCACTGTACCTGACTGTGAATTTTAATTTGTCAGTTTCTGAAAAAAAAAAAAAAAAAAAAAAAAACAGCTGTTATTCTAATAAGAATTGTCTTGAATCTGTAGATTAATTTTGGGAGTACTGCTACTGTGATGGTTAATTTTAGGTGTCGACTGAATTAAAAAATACCTAGATAATTAGTAAAGCATTACTTCTCGATGTGTCTATAAGGTTGTTTCTAGGGGAGGTTGACATGTGAGTCAGTGGCCTGAGTGGGGAAGATCTACCCTCAATGTGGGTGGGTGCCATCCAATACCTTGGGGCCCAACTAGAACAACAAAAAAAGAGGGGAAAGGATTTCTTCTCTCACCCTCCAGGACCTAGGCTACACTCTCCTCCTCTGCCCTTAGAAAGCAGAATTCCAGACTCTGCAACATTGGGACTCCAGGAGTTAACACCAGCAACTTTTCAAGTTTTCGGGCCTTTGGTCTCAGACTGAGAATTACACCAGCCTTCTGGTTTTGATCATTTTAGACTTGGACTGAACCATGTTACAGGCATCCCAGGGTTTTGAGCTTAAAGATGGCCTGTTGATATGGTTAGGCTTTGTGTACCCACCCAAATCTCATCTGGAATTATAATCCCCATAATCCCCATGTGTCAAGGGAGAGACCAGGTGGTGGTAATTGGATCATGGGGCAGTTTTTCCCATGCTGTTTTCATGATAGTGAGTGAGTTCACATGAGATCTGATTGTTTTATAAGTTTTTGGCTGCATAGTATTCCATGGTGTATATGTGCCATATTTTCTTAATCCAGTCTATCATTGTTGGACATTTGGGTTGGTTCCAAGTCTTTGTTATTGTGAATAGTGCCGCAATAAACATATGTGTGCAAACCTGCACGTTGTGCACATGTACCCTAAAACTTAAAGTATAATAAAATAAATAAATAAATAAGTTTTTGTTAGTTCCTCGTGTTCATTCTCCTTCCTGCTGCCTTGTGAAGAAGCTGCCTTGCTTTCCCTTTGCCTTCCACCGTGATTATAAGTTTCCTAAGGCCTTCCCAGCCATGTGGAACTGTGAATCAATTAAACCTCTTTCCTTCATAAATTACCCAGTCTTGGGCAGTTCTTTATAGCAGTATGAAGAATGGACTAATACACCTGTTGTGGAACTTCTCAGCCTCCATAATTGCTTGGGCCAATTCTAATAAATCCCCTTTCATCTATCTGTCTGTCTATCTATCTATCTATCTATCTATCTATCTATCTTCTATCTATCAATCCATCTACTGTTCCAGTTGGTTCTGTCTCCCTGGAGAACTCTAGTTAATATAACTACCTTAACAATATTAAGTCTTTCAATCCACAAGTATGGCATATCTTTTTATTTAAGTCTTTCAACCCACAAGTATCGGATATCTTTTTATTTATCCAGGCCTTCTTTAATTAAAGCAAAATGTTTTTTAGTGCTCAGTGTACAACTCTTGCACTTCTCTCACCAAATTTATTCTTCAGCATTGCATTATTTTTGACGCCATTGTTAATGTGATTGCTTTCCTAATTTAATTTTCAGATCATTTATTGCAAGTGCATAGAAATATAATTATGTTTGTATATTGCTCATGCGTCCAGCAATGGGCTAGACTCATTTATTAGTTCTAATAGTTTTTTAGTGGATTCCTTAGGAATTTCTATATATAAAATTACATCATCTGCAAATAAAGATAGTTGTACTTCTTCCTTTCCAATATGGACACCTTTTATTTTGTTTACTTCCCTAATTGCCCTTACTAAAGCTAACAGTATAATGTTGAGTAGAAGTGGCCAGAACAGCTTTCTCTTGTTTCACATATTAGAGGGAAAGCATTCAGTCTTACCCCATTAACAATTAACCACATTAGTTAGTTGTGGGTGTTTCATAGATGCCCTTTAGTAGGTTGCATAAATTTCTTTCTATTTCTTGTTTATTAACTGTGTTTACTGTGAAGAAGTATAGAATGTTGTCAAATGCTTTTTCTGCTTATAATGGGGTGATCATATGGTTTTTGTTCTTTATTCTATTGATGAGGTGTGTTACATTAATTGATTTTCAGATGTCAAAACGGCTTGTATTCTTGGAATAAATCATACTTGGTTATGGAGTGTAATCCTTTTAATATACTGCTGGATTTGATTTGCTAGTGTTTTGTTGAGGAATTCTGTGTCTATATTCATAAAAGACATTGATCCGTAGTTTTCTTTTCTTGTAATGTATTTGCCTAGATTTGGTATCAGGATAAAATTAGCCTCATAGAATGCATTGGGAAGTGTTCTCTCATCTTTTATTTATTGGAGGAGTTTGTGAATAATTGGTATTAATTACATAAATATTTGACAGCATTTACCAGTGAAGTCACCTGGTCCTGGGCTTTCCTTCATGGGAATGTTGGTATTACAATTTGAATCGCTTTACATGTTATAAGTCTATTCGGATTTTTTGGTCTTTCTTGAATCAGTTCAGGTAGTTTGGGTCTTTCTAGAAATTTTTCATTTTATCTAAGTTACCTAGTTTATTGCCATACAGTTGTTCAACTACGGAACTTTTGTACATAGCAGAAGTGCTCTCTATATATTTCCCATTTCACCACGCAGAATATTGAAAAATATGTGCGCTCAAGGATCAAAATTTAATAAAATTAATTTTTTACTGCTTCAGCAAGGACATTCTGAAGCTATTTTTTTAAAAAAAACGTAATTCCTTGGTGATGAAGAATACAATGACTACGAGGGCATTTGATGCCAGTATCCAGAGGTCCACAGAGTATACCTTCAGAAGTACTGGCTTATACTAAAGACTCTGTACTTCAAGTTTGGGCTATTTAAGTCATGCATATCCTTTTTCTCTTGTAAAGTTCTTGCAAATGAAAGCCTTGCTTACCAGACTATTGTTTCTGCAATGCTGTTTTAACAATTTTTTTAAAACTAGTTAAAATGTTCAACTTAGCAATGTCTTCTTTGCTTTCAGTTATACCAGCTCGCACCTTGAAGCAATGGTATCTGAGCTTCAATAAATGGAGACCTGCAGGGCAAAAAATAACAATTTCAGGGAAGAAAAAATATTGTTTCAAATTTTCAAATTTTACTTCCTTTCACAGGCAGTCATATTATAGTTCTGCGGGTGCTTGGATGAAGAAAAGCACTGGTGTCTATGAAAGCGCAAAGAATAGGTGCCAAAAATCACTTCTGAGCAGAGGCAAGGCATGGAGGGTAAAGAAGAGCACGCCATAGAGAAAGGGCACATGCAAAAGATCCAAAGATCAGACAGCATTTGACCCAGTAGTTAAATGGAAGTCTTTTTTTTTTTTTTTTTTTTTTTTTTTTTTTTTGGCTGCAAGGCAAACTGAAAGGATATAGCTCTAGAAATAAAACTGTCAAGGTAAATAGGAATGGTATGATATCCACTCACATTGATGAGGGCAGGTCTTCTTTACTCAGTCCACTGATTCAAATGCTAATCTCTTCTAGAGACATGCTCACACTCTCAGAAATGTTTCACTAGCTATTTGGTAAAAATATTGTTTAAAATCCTCAAATTTTATTTCCTCTCATGGGCAATCATATTATCATTCTGTGGGTGCTCTGATGAAGAAAAGCACTAGTGTCTATGAAAGCACAAAGAATGGGTGCTGTTCATTGTTACATTAAGGACGTGTGACATACTCTTGAGAGCAATAGGAGAGACATGAAAAATCACTTTGGCTACAGTGTGCAAAATAGATTAGAAGAGCAAGATAGGAGGTCAGAAGAGCAGTTAGAAGATTGTTGAAATAATCCAAATGAGAGAAAATGGGGGCCGGAAAACACAGTGGCAAAGGGTGAAAAGGGCAGGTAGATTTTTAAAACAGAAACATAAAAACATCAAAACTGACAAAATTTTAAATGCAGAGAGTGAGAGAGAAGAAAATCAAGAATAATGCCTACGTTTCTGATGGATGGTGTGTCATCTTAAGATACGCAAGAGTGGCCAGGTGCGGTGGCTCACGCCTGTAATCCCAGCACTTTGGGAGGCCGACTGGGCAGATCACGAGGTCAGGAGATCGAGACCATCCTGGCTAACACGGTGAAAACCCGTCTCTACTAAAAATACAAAAAAAAAAAAATTAGCCAGGCGTGGTGGCAGGTGCCTGTAGTCCCAGCTACTTGGGAGGCTGTGGCAGGTGAATGGTGTGAACCCAGGAAGCAGAGCTCGCAGTGAGCCGAGATCGCGCCACTGCACTCCAGTCTGGGAGACAGAGCGAGACTCAGCCAAAAAAAAAAAAAAAAAAAAAAAAAAGATACACAGGAAGGGGTTGGGGATATTTAGGTGAGAAGTTAATTAGCTGAGTTTGGCACAGGCAGTTTTGGGTGTTTATGAGATATGTGAGTCGAGATATATGGTGAATTATTTAACAGAAGTTTTCTGTACATTGCTGAGAATAGCCAAGTTAGTTTCTGCTCATTTTTATTTATACCATTTTGCAAGCTTGTGTGAGTATCTTCAACAGCGCTCAGTAGCTTGGGTGTAAGAGCTAGTATGGCTGATGACTTGGTGATGATGGAGCATGCTGGGATAATGACACTGGTTCCAGCAATTCTAATTTTCAAGTGGGGAAGAAGAGCTTGTGCCACAGAAGTCAGCAACTGTGGTCCCAAGAATAACAGTCTCCAGAAACATCCTTCAACTGTGCAATTAAAATTGAGGGTGGCCGATAAACAGGACCCAGAAGAGGAAAGCCCATGGAAGGAAAGAGACAGATCAGCAAAGTTGTATTGCTCTCACCAGGGCTTTTTCTCAAGGCAAAATTCCTGTTGTGACATAGACATCTTTATTCCATTTTTTTCTTTTTCTCACCTTTCCTTTCTGTTTTTTTAGTCAAGATTCTGAGAAGGAAAAAGCACTATATTTTAAGCTAGAAAAGACATGATACAGGAAATCAGGTGCTTACAGCCTTATTGATAGGGATGATGCAGCAGGTCTTCTCAAATGATGCTCATGCAACACAGAAATGATTTTTGGGGGCAGATACCACCTCCGAGCCTGCCCTTGTAGCTATGCTGGAGCCACTCCAACACTCTCTGGACACCCAAGAAGATGGAGAATAGTCACCTGAAGATTCAATACAAGGAATAGGATGTCATATCAAGAAATGACAATTGCCAGCATTGCATTTCAACACCCAGGAAGCTAGAGAAGGAATACTAGAACAACATTGTGGGGAAACCTAGTGTTTCCATAACATTGCTTGCCAAAATCATGAGCCAAGAACCACTGGAGAATGGCCCCCTGTTTACACCTACCTTCCAAATCTCATGTAAGTGCATTTATTTGGCAGAACCTAATATGCATTTAATGGCTAACACGGTGAAAACCCGTCTCTACTAAAAATACAAAAAAAAAAAAAAAAAATTAGCCGGGCGTGGTGGCGGGCACCTGGAGTCCCACCTACTCGGGAGGCTGAGGCAGGAGAATGGCGTGAACACAGGAGGCGGAGCTTGCAGTGAGCCGAGATCACGCCACGGCACTCCAGCCTGGGCGACAGAGCAAGACTCAGTCTCAAAAAAAAAAAAAAAAAAAAAAAAAAAAAAAAAGATACACACGAGGGAGATAGGGATATTTAGGTGAGAAGTGCATTTAAAACCTAGATGAAAGGGGGTCTTGGAAATGTAATTTTTGCCTTTTCAATCAATCACTCAACGGAGAGGAGGGCAGAGTAGAGTTTAGGTGAGTCAATTCAGAGAACCCACATCCTGGGGATGCCAACAAAGAGGAAAATGTGTTTTTATTTTTTTTATTTTTTCAGAAATGATGTGTACCCTCCTCCTCGCCCTATTCAGTGGATCTATGCCAAGAAATGATTAGGAAGTTACATTTCTGGCCCTCAGATGAGAAGTTACTAAGCCTTTAGTTTCTCTTACTTAAATTTTTATTTGAGGTTTCACCTTTTCTCATACTTTCCTTGAGCCTTGTGTCACACCTGATGGACTTTTCCCAAGCCAAGATCACTTTCAAATCAGACATCCTATTGAGTGGCAGGTACTGTTCAAGGCACTAAACACACAAAAATGAAGAAAGGAATTGAAAAGCCTGGTCTTTAGGAACATTATATTATAATAGGAATGATAAACAACGAATAAAATGATTAAATAAACTACAAGCTATTTTAGGAGGTGGCCAGAGCTGTATTTAGTCCAAGGCTATTTGTCCCCCACTACTGAGGCAAGATCCTTCTGAGTAATTTTATTAATGCCCCATGTCTCATGAGGTTTTCCAGTCTGGCTGGTGAAAGCAGACACTATGCACTGTTTCTCCAGTTCCTCTCAGTTATTTCCCCAGCCTTGGGTGGTCTCCTCACAAGCATGAGCCAAATGTACTCTGCTGAACACTTTGGGAAACTCTCCAGCGCCTTGGTCTCCCTTGACTCTCAACTTGGGAAGTCTACTAGCTCTCCTTGGGTTCCTCCTTCCTTTTGTCTCACATTCACAGGATAACTGTGTTGTATTTTATGATGTCCATTGTTTTGTAATGCACTATTTCATGTATTTTCTCTGCTTTGGGGGTTGTTTTAGGCAGGAGAGTAAATCTAGTCCCTTTTACTACATTATGGCTGAAAGCAAATGTTCTGATGACAGCCCCTATATGTCCCAGTTGGTATGTTTACTAATTTTATGAAATGGTAGGACAAGATACATGAATATTAAACTCTGACTCTATCACTAGAGAGCCACATTGATACTTAAATGTTGATGACTATAAATTTTATGAGGGATGGTGTGATGGTTAATTTTACTTATCAACATGACTAGGCTGTGGTACCCAGTTGTTTGGTCAAACATCAATCTAGACATTGCTGCGAAGGTGTTTTTAGATATGATTAATATGCAAATCAATAGATTATCCTCCATAATATGAGTGGGCTTATCCCATCAGTTGAAGGCCTTAAGAAAAAAGACTAAAGTTCCCTAAAAAGGAAAAAATTCTGCTTCCAGACTGTATTCAGCCTCAAGATCAATATCAACTCTTCCCTGGGTCACCAGCCTGCTGGCTTGCCCTGCAGATTGCAGACTTAGCAGCTCCAACAATCTTGTGTGTCAATTTGTTAAACTCTTTCAAGATATTAGATTATATATATAATCTTCAATTGGTTGTTTTTCTGAAGAATCCTGACTAACATAGTTGTATATATGTCTGTCTTTTTCACAGCAAACCCAAGGGAACTGGAATAGCTCTTAAATAATTCAAAACCGTGCTATCTTGAGTTCTTTGCAGCACTTCTTTATTTAGAATACCAAGACATATATAATCCAGTTTGTCTCTGGAAATAGTCTACTAATGACAGAATATATTGAATTGGTCAAAACTTAAGGAAATCAAAAGTTTGCTCCTCTGCTGGCTATTGCTGACACACAAGGCCCAGAATAAGAATTTTAAGGTTGATTCTATTGTCTTTGGTATGTTCTATATCTGAAATGTCTATTACCTTAATCCTAGTGTCGTTCTCTCCCCGTGCACCATATCTTGCACACTATTACCCAAACTCATCCCTCACAGTATTAACAGCCACAGGGATTGTGGTGAATCAGAATAATCCCCAGGACTTTTCTGACAGAGATACTAAGGAAAACCGTCTTTTGCTTTGCAGCATGGCTAGAAGAATGTGTAACTAGGACTACTTGTGGCCATCTTCCTCACTTGCAGCAGGAGAGAATGAAAGCCACACAGGAAGAGTGAAAGAAAGAGCCAGATATTCTCTGCCAGGGAAGAATCTCAATTTCTAGCCTCAAGTCTTTGCTCTCTTTAGATTTTCTTTCTTGTGAACTGCTGCAATATCCTTCACAATAATGGGAGCCAATAAATTCATTTTTGCCTACTCTATTAGAATTGGGTTGGGGGTGACTGGAACTAATAGTGATTGGACATGTTTGCACCTTCTTGTTATTGGAGATTCCCATAACAAGAACTAGAGGTGTAGCAGCATCAGAGTGATTGGACTGTACCACTGCAGGGAGAACACATGTTCTAACATGGTGGAGAGATTTAATGTGTGATTCAAAATTATATTTTCTCTGTGAGTCGGTGGAGATCCAGAAGTTAATATTTTGATGAACAAAGTTATCTTACAAACTATCTTACTATTGATCATAAAAAATTCATTGGTTACCAAAAATTTCTTTAAGTTCCTTGCCTAATGCAATTAATTAATTGTTTTAATGCAAAAACACAGATAGAAAAACAACAATGAGATGCCACTGTATACTACTAGGATGGCTATAATTTTAAAAAAATAATAATAAGTATTACTGATAATATGGAAAAATTGAAACCCTTACGCTTTACTGGTAGGAATGTAAAATGGTGCATTCACTGTGGAAAACAGTTTGGTGGTTCCTCAAAATGTTAAACATAAACTTACCATATGACCCAGCAATTCCACTCTTACATACATACCACAAAGAAATGAAAGCAGAGACTTAAGCAGATACTTGTTCATTAATGTTCACAACAGCATTATTAACAATAGCCAAAAGTTACAAACAACCTGAGCACCCATCAATAGAGGAAGGGACAAACAAAATGTGGTCTATACATACAGTGGAATGTTATTCATCTATGAAAAGAAGTTAAGTTTTGATACACATCACACATGAATAAACCCTGAAAATATGCTAAGTGAAATAAGCCAGATACAGAAAGGCAAATGTTATAAGATTCCACTTACATGAAATATCCAGAATAGACAAATTCATAAGGTAGATTAGAGGTTACTAGGGGCTGGGGGAAGTGGGAATGGAGAGTTACTGCTTAGTAGGTATAAAATTTCTGTTGGGGGTGAAGAAAAATTTTGAAAATAGATAATGGTGATGGTGGCATAACATTGTGAATATAATCAATGCCACTGACTTATATGCTTAAAAGTGGTAAAAATGGTAATTTTATGATATATATATCTCAAATATTTATCTTTTACCACAATAAAACAAATGATAAAGCACACACACATACACACACAACTAGAGAGACAGTATTATATGTGCGGCAACTAAGAACAAAAGACAATGGCTGCGGGTCAAACAATTTGAGGTTCAAGTAGGAATCTTTGGGAATGTTCTTGATTAGTTTGTATCCCCATTTCTTTATCTGCAAAACTAGCATAGGAAGTACAATAGCTAGTTCATGGTGTATTAGTTCATTCTCACATTGCTATAAAGAAACACCTGAGACTGGGTAATTTATAAAGAAAAGAAATTTAATTGACTCACAGTTCCACAGGCTGTACAAGAAGCATCACTGGGGAGGCCTCAGGAAACTTACAATCATGGCAGAAAGAGAAGGGGAAGCAGGCACATCCTGCATAGCTGGAGTAGGAGGAAGAGCAAGAAGTGGGAGGTGATACACACTTTTCAAAAAGCAGATCTCGTGAGAACTCACTCACTATCATGAGAACAGCAAGGGGGATGTCTGCCCCCATGATCCAATAACCTCCAACCAGGCTCCTCCTCGAAAATTGGGGATTACAATTTGACAAGAGATTTGGGTGGGGGCACAAATCCAAACGGTATCACATGGGTTGGAGGAAAGATAACATTTATATAAAGTATTAATTTTGCATGGTAAACATGGTGGATAACTATTAAATATTAGCTGTTGTTACCATTATTATTGAGTTCACGCTCTACTTTAGTAATCTCCGCATTACCCTACAGTACTGAAAATTCTACTCATAATTTTTATATCATTATTTATTTAATTTGTATGAAATAATTATTTTAAAATTGTATTTTCAATCTGGAGCCTGTATATGTGGTTAAAAACTTGAATTTCAAAGCATAGGCTAAAAACCTTAGAAAATAAGGTAAGGGAAATTAAGAATAATATGAAAATCTTGAGAATTCTATGTGACATTGTGTTGCCTCTGGGATGCCAAGCCATGACAGTGCAAAAATGAATCCTGCCCATCCACAACCAATGATTGCATAGAAAGTTACAGTAGCAGCAGTTATCTTAAAATCCCAGTATGTACTGAGGTACTCTTTTAAAAGTTAGGACATACCATTATTGTGCAGATAACAATTAGCCACAATCACCTATATATTCATGTATGTTATTCAGGAAATCCTGAGAGATGATTGCATAAAATTATCATTTAAACTTCAGAGGTAAATTACTGGACTATTCCGTTGTCTAAGAGCACTCAACTCTTGGCAGAACAATTTAGTTAAAAGTACAATTAAGCAAACAAATAAACAATAGTTTGAAACTCACTTCAATTGTAAAGTGAAAATAATGGAAGTAGTAGGTTTGGAAAAATCCAGCTATTTTAGATCAGAAAATGACTTACTTATCTATGCAAATGGCTAAACAATATGTGAGATGATGGGGGTAGTTTATGCCAGTTCCTTATATAAACAACTGAACTATTTCATGCCACTATTGTTCATGTTCTTATTGTTTCTTAGTTTATTGTAGCAAACCGTATTTGTAAAAGCAAAAAGTAAATAAACTTTATCCTTAAGAAAGTTGGAGAGGGGGCCAGGCATGGTGGCTCACACCTGTAATCTCAGCACTTTGGGAGGCCGAGGCAGGTGGATCACCTGAGGTCAGGAGTTCGAGGCCAGCCTGGCCAACATGGTGAAACCCCATCTCTACTAAAAATAGAAAAATTAGCTGTACAGGGTGGTGGGCACCTGTAATCCCAGCTACTCGGGAGGCTGAGCCAGGGAGAATCGCTTGAACCCTGGAGGTGGAGGTTGCAGTGAGCCGAGATCGTGCCACTGCACTCCAGCCTGGGAAACACAGCGAGATTCCATCCAAAAAAAAAAAAGTTGGAGAGGGACAGCTCAATCTCACCCATCATTAGGTCAAATTTCTTTGAAGACTTAAATTTTGCTCAACAATTTATTTGGATTTTCCTTCCACATTATTATGTCTCTGTGTTAATCTTTAAATAATATTCTAAATTATTAACAAGGAAAAACTCTTATCACAACGGTTAGAGCAAGATGGTCTTCCATTTTCTTACTGATTCTGAAAAATTGATATAAAATAAAGAAAGCAGACACTGCACACTCAGGTAGTATCTCTTCTCTATCTTGGTTTCACAATAGTTGCTGGGTTTGTTTTTTTTTTTAAGGGGATCTCAATGTGGCAAAAGTATTTTATGTTGTCAGGGTAATCACTCTAAAGAGACATGCAAATCATCTGGTAGCACTTTCAGACATATTAATTGTTTCTTGGGCTGCTGTAACAAACTACTTCAAACCTGGGGTCTTAAAACAAGAGAAACTTATTACCTCAGAGTTCTGGAGGCTAGAAGTCTGAAATCAAGTTGCCAGCAGAGCCACACTCCCACTAACGGCTCTCGGGGAGAAACTTTCCTTGCCTCTTCCAGTTTTTGGTGGCTCCCAGCATCCCTTGACTTGTGGCGGGCATCACTCCAAGCTCTGCCTCCATTTTCACATGGCCTTCCATGTATTCCTGGGTGTCCTTCTGTCTCTTAGAAGTGAATTTAGGGCTGACCCTAGTACAGCATAAACTCATCTTGATGCTTACTTTACATCTACAAAGTCCCTATTTGCAAATGAAGTCACATTCTGACATTCCAAGTGGACGTAAATTTTGGGAGTCATTATGCAACCTAGTAAACTAATGAGGGGAATGGGCCTTGGCTTCAACAAATTTGAGTTCAAAAACCCAAGTCTTTCCCTTTCTAACTCTGTGACCTTAGCAAATCATACATCTCTGGACTTCAAAGTTTTTCCTCATAGATAAAATACAATGAGATTGTATTCAACACTGGAAATATTAACTATGCCCTGTTCAAGTATTTGGACGTGGTTTTTAAAATGTCTAATAACATACTTAAAGAGTGGGAGTAGGCCGGGCGCGGTGGCTCACGCCTGTAATCCCAGCACTTTGGGAGGCAGAGGCAGGCGGATCATGTGGTCAGGAGATCGAGACCATCCTGGCTAACACAGTGAAACCCCGTCTCTACTAAAAATACAAAAAATTAGCCAGGTGTGGTGGCGGGCGCCTGTAGTTCCAGCTACTCGGGAGGCTGAGGCAGGAGAATGGCGCGAACCCGGGAGGCGGAGCTTGCAGTGAGCCGAGATCGCGCCACTGCACTCCAGCCTGGGCGACAGAGCGAGACTCCGTCTCAAAAAAAAAAAAAAAAAAAAAAAGAGTGGGAGTAAATCAAGTAGTGGGAAAGGAATGACTCTTCATAGTTGATTCTTTATGAGATATTCTGAGCAGTTTAATGTTTAAAATTGTGACATTTTTATTCTGAGATAATATAGATAGGCTAAAAAGGATAGTGAACGTATTGCTGAAATACACCACTTGAAGGAGCCAACCGAAAAAAATAAAATATAATAATTAGTAGCATAATCCAGGTCATTAAAAACTGTTTCAAATTCATTTCTTATTTCAAATCCTGTTGTGAATATATCTCCTCTCAATAATAACCAGTATAAAATGGTAGTAGCTTATACTCACTGCTAGAAGCTGAATTTTGCCCCTGAAAAGTTTATACGTTGAAGTCCTAACCCCTGATACCTCAGAATATGAGAGTATTTGGAAATAGAGCCTTTTAGAAAGTACTTAATTTTGGCTGGGCGCAGTGGCCCATGCCTGTAATCCCAGCACTTTGGGAGGCTGAGGCAGGTGGATCACCTGAGGTCAGGAGTTGGAGACCAGCCTGGCCAACATGGTGAAACCCTGTCTCTACTAAAAATACAAAAATTAGCCGGGCATGGTGGCAGACACCTGTAATCGCTGCTACTTGAGAGGCCGAGGAAGGAGAATTGCTTAAACCCGAAGGCAGAGGTTGCAGTGAGCCGACACCGCGCCATTGCACTCCAGCCTGGGCGACAAGAACGAAACTCCATCTCAAAAAAATAAAATAAAATTTAAAATAGAAAGTACTTAAGTTCAGATGAATATGTTAGGATGGGTGCTAATCCATTACGACTGGTGTGCTTACAAGAAGATCAAATTTGGACACAGACATATACAGAGGAAAGACCATGCAAATACACAGGAAAAACACAGCTATCTACTTAGCAAGTTGAAAAGAAACCAACCCTTCCAACACTTTGATCTCAGACTTTTAGCCTTCAGAACTATGAGAAAATAAATTTCTGTTGGTTAAGCCACCTGGTCTGTGATGCTTTTTTTTTTTTTTTGGCAACCTTAGCAAATTCATACAGTCACCATTCATTTTTGCATACCACACTGAATCTAATCATATTTAGAGTTTTTTAAAATCAAGAAGCAGCACATCATTGTCTGCTAACTTCTCTATGTGAATACACTGTCTAGATTGGCATGTAAGCACAAACTGCACAGATGACTGGTGCTTCACTAAGTCCAACTTGCTTCCCAGAACAAAGGGAAGTTTGCCTTACAGATAAATCTAGGACTTTGCCTATTAGGATCTAGAACACTGGCCTCTGCTTTAATTGTTTTTTTCTGTCTTTTTCACTAAAATTCAGAAAAATTCCTAGGTCTAATATCATGCAGGGTCACCCTATTACAATACTACGGGGTTTCAGAGAAAGGAGAGCTCACATTGGGTCAGGGGATGGGAAATGCTTCATTAGAGGGTGGCATTCAAACCATACTTCATCCCCACACCCCCCTTAGGGGAAAGTGAGAACGCAGTCTCTCACTATCACCAATTATGCAGTTGAGTTTCCCACATTTGGGGAAATCGCAGGGGTCAGCACATCCTGAGTTTAATGGATAAACCTCACCCTGGGAAAACCACCTTTGTGATCATGGTATTTCCTCTGCCAGCTAAGTATCAAACCATACATGAGCGGGATAGGCAGCAATTAACAGGCAGTATACTTTAACTGGAAATAAAAGATTAAGAAAATCAGTGAAGTCTGGAAAATTTGGTATTTAGAGAGAATGGTTTCATATCATTAAAGCATGTATATGTTTAGGGGGTGGTGCATAAAGACTTCAAAAAGTATTCTAGAAACAAGTTATTGATTATTATCATTAAGGTTAAAAAATTTGGATATTAGCCCAAAGAACAAATGTATTTCAACTTACATGGGATAGCTGTTAAAAATAGCTTCCTGAGCCCCATTCACGAATAAATAGGAATCTCTGCCAGCAGGCCTCCAATATGTGCATTATAGCTAGCTTCCCAGATGCTGCTTATTATCACACTAAAATTTGAGAACTACTGCAATAGATATTAGGAAACTATTAAATGGCCCTGCAAATTTTTGAGCAAAGAATAACCAAATTATATCTACACTTTAGGATGATTAATCTAATAATGATAGGTATTCAAGACAAGGTAGATATGGGTTTAGGAAGTTGATGCACCAGTCAAGGCAAGAGACAATGAAAGTTGAGATAAAAGTGGATATAAAGGGCTTTTTGTCTTACCGTGCAAAAAATATGACAAAGGTAGGAATGTAGAATTTTATAGCTCACATATAAGAGGATGAGATAAAGAAGTATCAAGGATGACTGAGTGTTAATATTGAGTGTCAACTTGATTGGATTGAAGGATGCAAAGTATTGTTCCTGGGTGTGTCTGTGAGGGTGTTGCCAAAGATTAACATTTGAGTCAGTGGACTGGCAGAGGCAGACCCACCCTCAATCTGAGTGGGCACCATCTAATCAGCAGCCAGCACAGCTAGAATAAAGCAGGCAGAAGAAGGTGGAAGGAGCTGACTAGCTGAGTCTTCTGGCCTTCACCTTTCTCCTGTGATGGATGCTTCCTACCTTCAAACATCAGACTCCAAGTTCTTCAGCTTGTGGACCACTGGACTTACACCAGTGGTTTGCCAGGACTCTCTGGCCTTTGGCCACCGACTGAAGGCTGCACTGTTGGCTTCCCTACTTTTGAGGTTTTGGGACTCGGACTGGTTTCCTTGCTCCTCAGTTTGCAGACAGCCTATTGTGGAACTTTACCTTGTGAACATGTGAGTCAATACTCCTTAATAAATTCCTTCATATATACATCTATCCTATTAGTTCTGTCCCTCTAGAGAACTCTAACTAATACAAAGACTAAGTATTAAGTTGTGGTAGGGTTAATTAGAGATAGGGGCATCATAAGGAAAAGGCTGTTGAGCATTTAAGAGGGAGTACATGATGGATTCAGACTGAGACATGTTGAATTTTGCTATTCTGGTAGGACATCCAGAGCAAGACATTCAGCTGGCTGTCTAAAATATAAGCTGGAGTCTAAGAGTGACGTTTGAGCTGAAAATACTGACTCAGCATTTATCTGGAAGAGATGATGATTGAAGCAATCTGAATGGATAACACTTGGCTCTTATATATCCAACATAGGCCATAGGAGAAAGTCACACAGAACCAGTGAATTTAATGACAAACTACAAGAATTTTAAATTGAAATTTTATTGTTATGATTTCTTACATTGTTAAGTTTATAATAGTTTACATTATGATCAGTACCTAAAATTATATTCTCTGGGCCTTAGGTTCATTTTTAAAACTAAAAACAAACAGCCCTTACAATGTAATTGTAATGAACACATAAGTATTTTTCTTGTAAAATCAAGTACAGTAACAGCTAAAGAATTGTGTCACCTGGGTCATCCTGGTCCTTACTGTTTCCAGTATCTTCTGTATTTACCTTGCACATTCTCAGTTTTCTTCATATGGTGCCCATTGGTTGTAAACTTTCTGAATCTTTTCATTTTGACAACCTATCCTACCATGACTTGATTGTTTGTTTACAGATTCAAGATTTGAAATCATTTTTATCTCAAGCTTGGAAAGAACTGTTATACTACCAGTATTGCTGAAGTGCTCCCAATGCCGATGCTTATTCCTTTGTAATGATCTTGTTTTGTCTCTGAAAGCTTCTAGGATTTCCTTTTTATCATTAGAGTTTGAATTGTTATCAAAATGATGCTAGATTTTATTTTTCTTCTTGGCTCTTAGGGGACCTTTTCAATCTAAAGAAATCTTTCTATCTTCAGTTCAAAAAAAAATTGTCTTCCATCATTTTCTCCTTTCCACTCCCTCAAGTGTATCCTTATGTGATTTCTATGAATGCTGTACCCACTAAATCTACCATGTCCCTTAACTTTTCCATCACGTTTCTCATCTATTTATTTTATTATTTATCTCTCTGTGACTTTATCTTTCAGATTGCCGATCTTTTTTTCAACTGTGTTCTTTCTAATATTTAGCATGTATACTGAATATTTAAATTTCCAAGAACTCTTTTGTATCTTCTAATTGCTTCTTTTTGTTTAGTAGTCATCTTTGTTTTATGGATCCAACTTCCTTAATACTCCCGAAGACACTAAGTAGAATTTTAATTTTTTTTAAATTCTCTTCTCTTACCTAAATTGTTTCTTTTTCATCCAGGTGTTGGTTGTTCTGTCTGTTCGTCTTGATCTGTCTCTTCCATTCTATTCTTTTTCCTCCTGTGTGAGTTGCATCTGCAGTTTGGTTGTCCTGTTTCCCTAACAATCCTTTTGAAGAAGAGGGTAGGCTTCATAGAAAGGCATGACACTTGTCAACAGGCAGAGTTCCCTGTAAGATAGGTGGCCTGGGAACAGACCAACAGGCAGACAAGGCTACCATTTGACAAAATAAAGAGGGGTTTACTCTGAAGTCAAAGTGCTTTAGCCTTTTGTACCCATGAGTGCAACACCCTATCCTTTTAATTTTCCTCTGTATTATTTTGAAGGACCCCAAGATCTATTCTACTTCTTTCTCAGGATCCACCCAAACCAGAAACCTGCCTCAGGACCCAATGAATTTCTTTCAAATTATGGTACTTAATCTATTACCTGAACCAGAAACCTCTGGGTTAGTGTTTTAAACATTTTCCATCTTCTTTTAGCTAGCAGTCATAATTATTAAATAATATTGTGATACTGTACCTTACATTCAGTATCAACAACAAAATTACCTTGCTTTCTTTTAAGAGACTTTTTTAGAGTAGTTTCAGATATACAAAAAAAATTGAGAGGAAAGTACAGAGTTCTAGTATGCAACCTCTTTCTCTGATACACACACAGTTCCCACTATTAGCATCTTGCATTAATGTGGTACATTTGTTACAACTGAAGACCATCACCTTGCATTGTTATAGCACTTTTTTTTAATAAAAACATTTAGTTATCTAATTTAATCATCAGATAGTAGGTGTCCAATAAATATTTTTGAATCATTGAATGAAATTAAGCATCTGCACATGAGCTACAATTGGTTGCAATTAAATCATATGGCAGAAGAAAAATATTAAAATAACTATATTTTTAGTTTCAGCATCTTTCATTTGCTAAAGTATGTCTTCCAGACTACTAACAATTCCTTGGAGTGAACATTTGATATCTAAAATTTTCCCTTCATTTGGCTCATCAGGCAACATGACTATCTAAACTATGCAAATAAACACAATAAAGCAAACACTTGAAATTATCCTTTATCAAAATATTGTTTTTACAACCCCTTTAATTGTAGTAAACTTCTGGCACAACTTATTAAAACTGGTTTTACAAAAAACATGCTCTTCCTCTTACCAACATTTGAGTCATCTGAAACATTGCTTTTGAATGCCCACCCTGTGCTGGGAAGAAAATTTATCCTAATCATCAAATATTTATGGTAAGTGATATGGTTTGGCTGTGTCCCCACCCAAATCTCATCTTGAATTGTAGCTTCCATAATTCCCACGTGTTGTGGGAGGGGCCCAGTGGGAGACAATTGAATCATGGGGGCAGTTTCTCCCATGCTGTTCTCATGGTAGTGAATAAGTCCCACAAGATCTGATTGTTTTATAAGGGGTTTTCCCCTTTTACCTGGCTCTCATTTTTCTCTTTTTTTTTTTTTTTTCTGAGATGGAGTCTTGCTGTGTCTCCCAGGCTGGAGTGCAATGGCATGATCTTGGCTTACTGCAACCTCCGCCTCCTGGGTTCAAGCAATTCTCCTGCCTCAGCCTCCCAAGTAGCTTGGATTACAGGCGCCTGCCACCATACCTGGCTAATTTTTGTATTTTTTTAGTAGAGATGGGGTTTCACCATGTTGGCCAGGCTGGTCTTGAACTCCTGACCTCCAGTGATCCACCTGCCTTGGCTTCCCAAAGTGCTGGAATTACAGGCGTGAACCACCGCACACCCAACCTCATTTTTCTCTTTTCTGCTACCATGTAAAATGGGCCTTTTGCCTTCTGCCATGATTGTGAGGCCTCCCCAGCCACGTGGAACTGGGAATCCATTAAATCTCTTTTTCTTTATAAATTACCCAGTCTCCATTATGTCTTTATTAGCAGTGTGAATACAGACTAATGCTAATAATCTTCCTAGTAAGATTAGGAAGTTGCCAAAGGAAGAAAATGCTCAAATGCTGAAAGATAGATATCTTATACTACATAAATCCTCCAAAAAAAAAAAAATAGTCTCAGTAATTTTTAACTTGTGTTTTCTGCTTTCGTGAGCAGGATTCTCTTAGGCAAGAAAAAAAAAAAAAAAAGCGTCTGTTCATAGGAGTCAGATCTAAAACTTAATCCTTCATTGGGTAGAAATCCACCTCCAATGACAGCTCAGAGTTTCATAGCATATTCCTGTCATAACTGTTATTTTCTTGAATCCTTAACTTTGATGGACTTTAGAAATCAGCATGTTGAAGGGCAACCCACTCGGGTCCCCTTCCACACTGTGGAAGCTTTGTTCTTTCACTCTTCACAATAAATCTTGCTGCTGCTCAAAAAAAAAAAAAAAAAAAAAAAAAAAAAAAAAAAAAGGGCAACCCACTCAGATCCCCTTCCACGCTGCAGAAGCTTTGCTCTTTCACTCTTCACAATAAATCTTGCTGCTGCTATAAAAAAAAAAAAAATGCACCATGTTAAGAAGATTGATTGCTGAGAGGAAAAACCTTTTGTTTGGTTGCATACTGTTAACAACAAGAGGCCATTGGAGGAAAAAGAGCAATAGTCAAATAAGGAAACCACCATTATTTTCTTTTTGCATATGTTCTATATGTTTTGGCCCTATTACAGAGTAATCAGGATTCCCCAAAAATAACTGCCTATGAGTTTTAGAACAGGTAGGCATATAAGAATAAGATGAGGCCTGGGAGAGTTGAATTGTAACAGTGTACACGTAGAAGCCCACTGAAGAAGTCTTAGAGATTGTTCTTATCTTCATTTATCTTACACTTGGCAAAGAAACTTAAAAAAATTTGGTTGAAAGGAGTAAGTCAACTTCATATGCTAATTACTGTCTTGTGATCCTTTTACTTATTAAACTTCTTAATATAAGCCAAGAACTCTGACATAACATAATGTTTAGACCCACTTTCCTAATAGAGTTGACCCTTGAACAACACAGGTTTAAACTGCATGGGTCCACTTACACATGGATTTTCTTCCACCTGCCACTCCTGAGATGGCAAGACCAACCCCTCCCTCTTCTCTTCCTTCACTTTACTCACCATGAAGATGACAAGGATGAAGACTTTTATAATAATCCACTTCCACTTAATAAACAGTAAACATATTTTCTCTTCATTTTGATTTTCTAAGTAACATTTATATTCTCTAGCTTACTTTACTGTAAAAATGTAGTATATAACACATATAATTTATAAAATATGTGTTACTTTACTGTTTATATTATTAGTGAGGCTTCTAGTCAACAATAGGCTACTAGTAGTTAAGCTTTGGAGGAGTCAAAAGTTTTATGCTATATCAGTCCATTCTCACACTGCTATAAAGAACTACCTGAGACTGGGTAATTTATGAGGAAAAGAGGTTTAATTGACTCACAGTTCCACAATCTGTACAGGAAGCATGGCTGAAAGACCTCAGGAAACTTACAACCATGGCAGAAGGTGAAGTGGAAGCAAGCACATCTTCACATGGTGGCAGAAGAGAGGGAGAGAAGAAAGAAGTGCCACACACTTTTAAGCCATCAGATCTCATGAGAACTCACTCACTATCACAAGAACAGCAAGGGGGAAATCCACCGTAATGATCCAATCACCTCACACCAATTCCCTCCCCAACATTGGGAATGACAATTTAACATGATATTTGGGTGGGGACACAAAGCCAAACCATAGCATATGGAAATTTTTAACTGTTTGGTTGATCAGTGCTCTTTACTCCTGCATTATTGAAGGGTTAACTATAAATCTTTAAAAAAACACACACACAAAAAAAGAATATTTACTTAACACTGCAAGGAATATTTAAGAATATTTATCTTAAACAGTATCTTACTTAAAAAAAGTAAAATTAGATGTATTACTTTAAAAATCAGTGACAAAACTTTGTTCTTAAAATTCTGGCCACAGAATTAAAATATAAAATACAAATTATAAGTTACACAAAGGTGTAACTCATAAAATAAAAAATATACATTTCAGTCATGTACACACACACATACATTTTGCAAATAATTTATATTCTGAATTTATATTATATAAATCTTTAAAAGCTGAAAGTTTATCAAATTAACAAGTTTAATAAAGTGACTATACATTAGATAAACATGGAAAATCAGTTATTTTCTAATATCCCATCATTATCCATAAAATATTTTATGAAAAAAAATCTGAGTATCTACAACAAGAAAATTAAATGCCATGTAATAAATTGCTTACAAGAGTCCAATTATTTAGACCACGTAGTACCCATGCCCTTTGCTATGTGACTTTGCAGTTCCTCTTTCCAAAGAGATAAAGTCTATCCCACCTTCTCACCCCTGCTAAAATTTGGGGTGGGAAGGTGGTGATTTGTTTTGGCCAATACAGTAAGTCTAAGGTTCTAGAGACCTTGAATATTTTTGCTTGTTGCTTTTTTGTTCCTGCCATTGCCAAACAAACAAGCCTTGTCTAGCTCACTAGCCGGCTAGAAAAGGAAAGATATACAGAACAGCCAAGTTGTCTCAGTCATCCAGGAAAAGCTATCTTAGATGAGGTAATACCAGGTGATCTCTAGATGTGAGTGACTGCAACCAAGATTAGCAGAGTTACCTCACCAACCAGCAGCTGGCCACAGTCAAATAAGCAAATCCAGTCAAGATCATTCAAGCCAAGCACAAATTAACCAAGCCCGAGAGACTCATAAGCTAAGTAAATGTTTAACATTAAATGCCACTGAAGTTCAGCAGTTGTTACACAGCATTATTGTGGCAATAGATAATTGATACATACTATTTAAAGACATTACTAACATGGAAATATATATATTCTTATATTTTCTAGATTTCCTAAATGGCCCTAAAAGAGTTAATACTCATATAGCCTTTACTATATGCCAGGCACTGCTCTTATTTAGACCCCATAATAATTCTCTAAGAAGGCACTATTATCATTGTCATTTAATAAATGATGTAACTAAGGCACAAAAATTTTAGTTTCCCCAGATCTCACAGCTCAGTGGTGGAACTAGGAATAGAACTTTAATAATATGGCTTCAGAATCCATGGTTTTAACTATTGCACTATAATACATTTTGGACATTTTGCTTACAAAATTAAAAATATATATCCATGTATTATAAATATACTATATATATATATATAGAGAGAGAGAGAGAGAATATAATTTTAGTAAAATAAAACTATTTTGGTATTATGCTAGCTTGGTACAACCTACATTCCAGCCTACCCATACACACATCCTCAGCTGTGTTGAGAGTGGAACCTAATCCAAACCAAGCCAGGCATATTTTTTCATCAGAAAGTATAAAATTGGAACAAAGAAAGAATCTGTCAAACTTTGAACTGGAACTCTACAGGGTCACCTCTGAAGCATATGAAGAAGCCAAAAATATCAGTCTACAAAGAAAAAGATGGTGAAGCAGATTTTTAAATAGAACCAGAAATCAAAGACCATGATGCCTCCTAAAGAGAGGTGTTGTCTTAGTTCCTGATAACTTTTCAGACATGGGTTTCAGCGCCTCATGAGATTCAATAACAATCCTGGCCTTGATTCCTATAAGAAACCCATATATTCTCTTATTAAGTTCTTCCTTTCTTCCTAAAATAGTTTGAGTAGTTTTCTGTGGTAGATAGAATAACATTCCCCCGAAAGATGTCCACATACTAATCCCAGAACCCAGCAAAAGGAACTCTACAGATACGATTAAGGCAGGGATGTTGACATGAAGAGATTATCCTGTATTACTCAACTGGGGCTGATGTAATCACAAGGGTTTTTATAAGTGAAAGAGGGATGCCAATAGTGAAAGCAACAATAAAACAATGGGTTGAGAACATAAAGGGGAAAAATAGAGGCAAGTTGTTTCTTCATTGCAAATTTGCCTAGGGTGTGATTTTACAAAACAGTGTTTAGCAGTTTCTTTGACAGCATAGTCCTGCATACAATCCAGGAATTGTGCTCCTAATTTTTGCCCAATTGAGTTGAAAACATACAGTCACACAAAAACCAGCACACAAATGTTTATAATGGTTTTATTCATAATTGCCAAAATCTAGAAGCAAGCAAATGTCCTTCAGTGGGTGAACAGCTAAGAAAATAAAGATGTATTCATACAATGGAATTTTATTTATCAGTAACAAAGGAATGATTGACCTCCAGTTTCCAGGCCAGCACATAAGGAGCTGGAAGTCACCATTTCATCCTAAGAAGTAAAAAACTGAACAAACAGAAATCAATGACTCCTTTGAGATATAACAGAGAGTTGGGGTCACAGGGCAAACCACTGCACCTCAAGTTGGAGAGACCAACAGCCATAGCTTGCTGTAGCAGAAACTCACAAATACAAACTCACCAGGGGAACCAGTGGTGAAGTAGGGAAACCTTAACTATAACTGATGAATTGCTGAAATCTCACTATGGAAAAGTCTGAGAGATAAAACTCCAGTGGGAGGCCAGTTAGCCAATCATTGACGGCCCCACACTTTTTTGAGTTTTACCTCCAGGAACTCAACCAGGTTCTCACGGTGAATATTAGAGAATAAAAAATCAGCCTGTGCTTCTTGCAGAGGGAGGGAAAAATAAACCATTTTGAAATATGCCAGAGCATTCTGTTCTTCTTAACAAGGTTTTCGCACAGGAGAAACTAGTTAACCAAACCCTAACATGCTGAGGCTTTACCAAAGTCTAACTAATGGGGGATGGGAAATACTCAACTCCGAATAGCTCTAGTGTTTCATTTGAAAGAAGAGAAATATCCAGTGCCAGCCCATGTTAGCCATCCTTTCCCACCTAAGGGGAAGGAGGTGGAAACTGAGAAATACGTGTGAAGTTCAAAGTTCAGAGGCAAAAGTTCACTAGAAGACTGAGACCTATTCAAATGACTACAGAATGATTCCTCCTCCCCACACTTAACCACATGTTACCAAAAGCCTATTTACTGCAGTTACTTTTATTCTATACATTATGTCCAGCTACCAAGAAAACATTACGAGACATATTAAAAGGCAAAAACCACAGTTTTTAAAGAGACAGAGAAAGCATCAGAGCCAGGCTCGGATATAGCAGAGATGTTGACATTATTAGACTAGGAGTTTAAAACAACTATGATTAGGTTGCTAAGGGCTCTAATGAATACAGTGAGCAGCATGAAAGAACAGATGAGCAATAAAAGCAGAGAGATAGAAATTCTAAGAAATAACCAAAAATAAATGCTAGAGATTAAAAAAAAATACTGTAAAAGAAATAAAGAATGCCTTGGATGGGCTTACTGGCAGACTGGATATGCTGAAGAAAGAGTCTCTGACCTGAAATATATCTTAATAGAAACTGCCAGAATTGAAAAGCGAACAGAACAAAGACTGAAAATATATATATATAATATCCAAGAAGTGTAGGACAACTACAAAATGTATAACATGTAATGGGATTTCTAGAAAAAGAAGAAAGAAAGGAACAAAAGAAATATCTAAAACAACGACCGAGAATTTCCTCAAATTAGTATCAGACACCATCCACAGATCCTCGAAACTCAGAAAAAACCCAAGCAGGATAAATGAAGAAAAAAAAATGAAAAGCAAAAAACCCTACACCTAGGCACATCATTTTCAAACTACACAAGATGGAAGATAAAGAGAAAAAATCCTGATCTATGGCCATACCACCCTGAATGTGCTTGATCTTATCTGATCTTGAAAGTTAATCAGGCAAGAGAAAGAAATAAAGCATATTCAATTAGGAAAAGAGGAAGTCAAATTGTCCCTGTTTGCAGATGACATGATTGTATATTTAGAAAACCCCATCATCTCAGCCCCAAATCTCCTTAAGCTGATAAGCAACTTCAGCAAAGTATCAGGATACAAAATCAATGTGCAAAAATAACAAGCATTCTTATGCACCAAAAACCGACAAACAGCAAATCATGAGTAAACTCCCATTCACAATTGCTTCAAAGAGAATAAAATACCTAGGAATCCAATTTACAAGGGATGTGAAGGACCTCCTCAAGGAGAACTACAAACCACTGCTCAATGAAATAAAAGAGGACACAAACAAATGGAAGAACATTCCATGCTCATGGATAGGAAGAACCAGTATTGTGAACATGGCCATACTGCCCAAGGTAATTTATAGATTCAATGCCATCCCCATCAAGCTACCAATGACTTTCTTCACAGAATTGGAAAAAACTACTTTAAAGTTCATATGGAACCAAAAAAGAGCCCGCATTGCCAAGACAATCCTAAGCAAAAAGATTAAAGCTGGAGGCATCATGCTACCTGACTTCAAACTATACTACAAGGCTACAGCAAACAAAACAGCTTGGTACTGGTACCAAAACAGAGATATAGACCAATGGAACACAGAACAGAGGCCTCAGAAATAACACCACACATTTACAACCATCTGATCTTTGACAAACCTGACAAAAACAAGAATGGGGAAAGGATTCCCCATTTAATAAATGGTGCTGGGAAAACTGGCTAGCCATATGTAGAAAGCTGAAACTGGATCCCTTCCTTACACCTTATACAAAAATTAATTCAAGATGGATTAAAGACTTAAATGTTAGACCTAAAACCATAAAAACCCTAGAAGAAAACCATTCAGGATATAGGCATGGGCAAGGACTTCATAACTAAAACACCAAAAGCAATGGCAACAAAAGCCAAAATAGACAAATGGAATCTAATTAAACTAAAGAGCTTCTGCACGGCAAAAGAAACTACCATCAGAGCGAACAGGCAACCTACAGAGTGGAAGAAAAACTTTGCAATCTACCCATCTGACAAAGGGCTAATATCCAGAATCTACAAAGAACTCAAACAAATTTACAAGAAAAAAAAACCCCATCAAAAAAGTGGGCAAAGGATAGGCACAGACACTTCTCAAAAGAAAACATTTATGCAGCCAAAAGACACATGAATAAATGCTCATCATCACTGATCATCAGGAAAATGCAAATCAAAACCACAATGAGATACCATCTCATGTCAGTTAGAATGGCGATCATTAAAAAGTCAGAAACAACAGATGCTGGAGAGGATGTGCAGAAATAGGAATGCTGTTACACTGTTGGTGGGAGTGTAAATTAGTTCAACCATTGTGGAAGACAGTGTGGGGATTCCTCAGGGATCTAGAACTAGAAATAACTAGAACTAGTAATGGGATAGACCCAGCAATCCCATTACTGGGTATATACCCAAAGGATTATAAATCATGCTACTATAAAGACACATGCACACATATGTTTATTGCGGCACTATTCACAATAGCAAAGTTGTGAATTTGGGTTGGAACCAACCCAAATGTCCATCAATGATAGACTGGATTAAGAAAATGTGGCACATATACAGCATGGGATACTATGCAGCCATAAAAAAGGATGAGTTAATGTCCTTTGCAGGGACATGGATGAAGCTGGAAACCATCATTCTCAGCAAGCTATCACAAGGACAGAAAACCAAACACTGCATGTTCTCACTCATTGGTGGGAAATGAACAATGAGAACACTTGGACACAGGGTGGGGAACATCAGACGTCAGGGCCTGTTGGGGGGTGGGGGGCAGGGAGAGGGATAGCATTAGGAGAAATACCTAATGTAAATGACGAGTTGATGGGTGCAGCACACCAACATGGCACATGTATCAAAACTGCACGTTGTGCACTTGTACCCTAGAACTTAAATTAAAAAAAAAAAATGCTAAGCAAGATTGGGTTTGGCTAGTACTTGAATGGGAAACCATTAGGAAATACCAAGTGCCGTAGGCAACAACAACAACAACAAAACAACAACATCCTGAAAGCAAATAGAAGAGTAAAGAAAAAGAACCCACAAAGACCACCTTACTTATAGAGAAGAAAAGATAAGAATTACATCTGCCTTTTCAGAAATTATGCAAGCCGGAAGACAGTAGGGTGAAATATTTAAAGTGTTTAGCAAAAAAAAACAAAAAACAAAAAACAAAAAACTACTAACCTAGAATTCCGTACCCTGTGAAATTATCCTTCAAAAATAAAGGAGAAATAAGACAAAAATCGATCATTTAAGGATGCAGAGAAAAGAGAACTCTTATACATTGTTGGTGGGAATGTAAACTAGTACATCCACTATGGAAAATACTACGGAGATTTCACAAAAAACTAAAATACAGTCCATTTGGTCCAGCCATCCCACTATTGGGTATCTCCTCAAAGGAAAAGAAATCAATATATCAAAGGGTTACCTGTACTTACACATTTATTGCAGCACTATTCCTAATAGCAAAGATATCAACCTGTGTGTCTATCAACTAATGAATGGATAAAGTGTTACAGATATACATATACATACAGATGTACATGTATATATACATACACATATATGTGTACATATATGTGTATGTATACACACATACACAACAAAATACTATTCAACCATAAAAATAGTGAACTCATGTCATTTGCAGCAACATGGTTGGAAATGGAGGTCATTCTCTTAAGTGAAATAAGCCAGGCACAAAAAGACAAATATTGCATGTTCTCACTAACATGTGGGAGCTAAAAAATTTGATCACATAAAGGTAGAAAGTGGAAAGATAAATAAGTGGGGGAGGATGAAGAGAAGTGAGCTAAAGGATAAAAACATACTGTTAGAATAAATAAATTCAATGTTTGATAACAGAGTAGGGTGACTATAGTTATACAAAAATGTATTGTACTCAGGTGCGGAACACCTTAAAACCCCGATTTGATCACTACACATTATAAACACATAAAAAAATTTCACATAACAACATAAATGTGTACAAATAAAAATAATAAAGACAACTTTGAAAGTCAAAAATTATAATAAAAATAAAAATGGAAAACTGAAAAACAAATAGAAACAAAGAAAAGGGACAACAGGTAAAAAAACAGTAACAAATATGGTAGACACTAATCCAACTATATCAATAATCACTTTGAATGCCAGTGGTCTAAATGCGCCAATTAAAAGTCAGAGATTGCCTGTAATCCCAGCACTTTGGGAGGCCAAGGCAGGTGAAACATGAGGTCAGGAGTTTGAGACCAGCCAGACCAACATGGTGAAACCGTCTCTACTAAAATTAGCCAGGCATGGTGGCGTGTGCCTGTAATCCCAGCTACTCAGGAGGCTGAGGCAGGAAAATTGCTTGAACCCGGGAGGCAGAGGTTGCAGTAAGCCAAGATCGCACCACTGCATTCCAGCCTAGGCAACAGAGTGAGACTCTGTCTCAAAAAAAAAAAAAAAAAAAAAAAAATTAAAAGTCAGAGATTGTCAGAGTGAATCAAGAAACAAGAACCAACCATGTGTTGTCTATTAGAAACTCGCTTGAAATATAAAAACACATACAGATTTAAAGTATACTGATTTCAGACAGGATAGACTTTAGACCAAGGAAATTTATCAGGGATAAAGATAATCATTGCATAATGATAAAGGCGTCAATTCTCCAAGAAGATATAACAATCCTTAATGTGTATGTGCCTAACAACAGAGTATACATGAGCCAAAATCTGATAGAACTTTAGTGAAAAAAAAGATAAACCCACTAATAGTGAGAGACTTCAACATCCCTCTATAAGAAATGTACAGATCCAGCAAGCAGAAATCAGTAAGGATACAGTTTTACTCAACAACTCCATCAAACAGCTGGATATATCAGACGTGTATAGCCTACTTTATCCAACAGCAGCCTAATACACATTCTTCTCAAGATCACATGGAACATTCACAAAGATAAATCATATTCTGGGTGATAAAATACACCTTAACAAATTTAAAAGAATAGAAATTATGCATTGTCTGTTTTCCAAGCACAATATAATTAAAGTGGAAACCAGTAACAGAGAAAGAGCTGGAAAAATCCCAAAATACTTGGAGATTAAACAACACACTTCTAAACAATACACAGATCAATGAAGAAATCTTGAGAGAAACTTAAAAATACTTTGAACTAAATGAAAATGAAAACAACGTCAAAATTTTGCAAGATGCAGTGAAAGCAGTGCTTAAGATAAATTTAAAGCACCGAATGCATAAATTAAAAAAAACTAAAAATAAAAAATTAATTACCTAAACATCCACCTTAGAAAACTAGCAAAAGAAGGGCAAATTAAGTTCAAAGTAACCAGAAAAAAGTAATAAAAAATAGAACAGAGATCAACGAAGTTGAAAACAGAAAACCAATAGAGAAAATTAATAAAACCAAAAGCTATAATAGTTCTTTGGAAAGATGAATAAAATTGACAAACTTCTAGCCAGGCTAAGAAAAACATGAGAAGATACAAATTATTAATATCAGAAATGAAAGATGGCACATCATTAAAGAGCCCATGGACATTAAAAGCATAATAAAGAATACAATAAAAAAACTCTACTCCCCAAAATTTGATAACCTATATAAAATGAACCAATTCCTTGAAAGACACTATCTGTCAAAATTCACAGAATCTGAAGAGAAAACAGAGTCAAAAATCCTCAACAAAATATCAGCAAATCTGATCTAACAATGTGTTTAAAAAATTATACATCATGACCAAGTGAGATTTATTCCAGGTATGCAAGGCTGATTCAACACTGGAAAATCAACTAAATGTGACCCATCACATCAACAAGCTAAAAACAAAAAGTCACGATTTTATCAATAGATTCAGAAAAAGCATTTGACAAAATCCAACACCCATTAATGATTAAAAAAAATTCCTCAATAAACTGGGAATAGAGGGGAACTTCCTCAAATTGATAAAGGATATCTACAAAAAACTGGAAGTCCTAGCTGAGCATTCAAGAGAAAGAAATAAAAGGTATCCAAATAGGAAAAGAGAAATTCAAACTATCTCTCTTGCTTACAATATGATTCTTAAAGACTCTTCCAAAAGGATCCTGAAACTAATAAACAATGTCAGGAAAGTTTCAGGATATCCAATCATTTTACAAAAATCAGTAGCATTTCTATAAACCAATAATGTTCAAGCTGACAGCCAAATCAAGAACACAATCCCATTCACGACAGCCGCAAAATAAAATAAAATAAAGTAAAATAAAATACCTAGGAATACATGTAACCAAAGAGGTGAAAGATCTCTACAAGGAGAACTACAAGACACTGCTGAAAGAATTCACAGATGACAGAAACATATGGAAAAACTTTCCATGCCCATGGTTTGGAAGAATCAATATCATTAAAATAGCTATACTGCCCAAAGCAATTTACAGATTCAATGTTATTTCTATCAAACTATCACCATAATTTTTCACAGAACTAGAAAAAATTAGCCAAAGCAACTCTAAGCAAAAAGCACAAAGCCTGTAGCATCACATTACCCAACTTCAAATTATACTGTAAGGCTACAGTAACCAAAATAGTATGGTACTATACAAGAACAGACACATAGACCAATGGAACAGAATAGAGAGCTCAGAAATAAAGCTGTACACCTACAGCCATCTGATATTTAACAAAGGTGACAAAAATAAGCAATGGGAAAGGGACTCTCTATTCAGTAAAGGTGCAGGATAGCTGGCTAACCACATACAGAAGAATGAAACTAGACCCCCTACCTTTTATCATATACAAAAATTAATTCAAGATGGATGAAAGATTTAAATGTAAGACCTCAAACTATAAGAATCCTAGAAGAGGTGAAAAGCGACGGCGCAGCACGGTGCAGCGCAGCTCCTGCTCGCCTTTCCCCTCGCTGGGCGAGAGGTGTCTACGGAGCACCCGCTGCCGCCGCCGCTACCGCTACCGCCACCGCCACCGCCGCCGGCTGCTGTCTCTATGGCGAGGAGGAGGAGGAGGAGCGCGAGCTCAGCGACACAAGTACATAAATAAAGGATAAAATATTTTATGAAACAAATCTTCAATCAAGTATAACATTTTGATGCTTGGCATCTAGACTCCCTTGTGCCCTCACTATGCCAGCGGCGACTGTAGATCATAGCCAAAGAATTTGTGAAGTTTGGGCTTGCAACTTGGATGAAGAGATGAAGAAAATTCGTCAGGTTATCCGAAAATATAATTACGTTGCTATGGACACGAGTTTCCAGCTGTGGTTGCAAAACCCATTGGAGAATTCAGGAGCAATGCTGATTATCAATACCAACTATTGCGGTGTAATGTAGACTTGTTAAAGATAATTCAGCTAGGGCTGACATTTATGAATGAGCAAGGAGAATACCCTCCAGGAACTTCAACTTGGCAGTTTAATTTTAAATTTAATTTGATGTAAGTGGGAAATAACTGTATAACCCAGACTTTTTTTTTTCTTTAATCTTAGGAATTGATTTTCCTCAAGTATGGTAACATGCTAAGTGAATTTGGTGGTTATCCTAGAAATATATAAAACGTAACATTTCAAAAGCATGGTTTTCTTTTTTACTATGGGACCAAAAAAAATACTTTGATGTTAAAGATGTTATATTTAAAATATGACTGCAACTTTTTTTGTATTTGGAAAACTTTGGGTATTGAAAGTACTTTGATAGAAAAAATTATCTTACCACATTAGTTTTACTTTCAAAAATTTTGTGTGCAATTTGAAATATAGCCTTTTATAATATTTATCCTTATTGTAAAGATTTTTATTGCAGTCATATTCCAGTTTATGAGTAGATTACATGTCAAATGCAGTAAGACATTTTCTGGAACCTTGGGTACGTTTTCCTTTCAAGTCAGTATTACATAATCATTATGTTGCCACTTCAGCCCACAAAAGCTCTCTTAATTTACATATAGGAGAACTAGTAGTATCCTTTAACCTGGTGTTTATCATATGTCAGAATCTGCATTCTAACTCAAGCCCTGGGTCTCCACCCAGTTTCCTTAGTTATAGTATTTCTATATTATTAGTAGAAGTAGTCTTGATAGCTAAGGGAAGTTTTAGAGTGTTTTTGGAGAAGGGCAGATTATTTGCAAACTGTAAGTTGGGTAAATAAAATATTTAATACATTCTAATTAAAAAAACAAAAGAATCCTAGAAGAAAACCTAGGAAACACCATATTGGACATTAGCCTAGGGAAAAAACTTGTGACTAAGTCCTTGAAAACAATTGCAACAAAAACAAAAATTGACAAGTGGGATGCAATTAAACTAAAGAGCTTCTGCACAGCCAAAGAAACTATCAGCAGAGTAAACAGATAACCTACAGAATGGGAGGAAATACTCACAGACTATGTGTCAGATAAAGGTCTAATATTCAGACTCTATAAGGAACTTAAATAATTGAACAAGGAAAAAACAAACAATCCCAGTTAAAAATGGGTGGAATACATGAACAGACACTTCTCAAAAAGAGACAAAAAGAGACATAAAAGTGGCCAACAGACATATGAAAAAATGCTCCACACCATTAATCATCAGAGAAATGCAAATCAAAACCATAATGAGATATCATCTCATACCAGTCAGGATAGCTACTATTAAAAAGTCAAAAAGCAACAGATGCTGGTGAGGCTGTGAAGAAAAGAGAAAGCTTATACACTGTTGGTGGGAATGTAAATTAGTTAGGCCACTGTAGAAAGCATTTTGAAGATTTCTCAAGGAACTTAAAATTTGACTCGGGAATCCTATTACTGGGTAT
The DNA here is from genome assembly GCF_000001405.40 of Homo sapiens. Lineage (NCBI taxonomy): Eukaryota > Metazoa > Chordata > Mammalia > Primates > Hominidae > Homo > Homo sapiens. Next base: position 67,447,932 of record NC_000004.12, read on the forward strand.
ATATCAAAAAAATAAATAAATTGTTCTAGCAAAAAGACACATGCACTCATATGTTTATCACAGCACTATTCACAATAGCAAAGACATGGAATCAACCTAGGTGCTCATCAACAGTGGATTGGATAAAGAAACTGTGATACATATACACCATGGAATACTACACAGCCATAAAAAAGGAACAAATTATATCCTTTGCAGCAATATGAATGCAGCTGAAGGCCATTATCCTTAGCAAATTAACTCAAGAACAGAAAATCAAATACCACATGTTCTCACTTATAAATGGAAGCTAAACTTTGGGTACTCATGGACATAATGATTGCAACAATAGACACTGGGAACCGCTGGGGAGAGAGAGAGGGATGGGGGCAAAGATTGAAAAAATAACTACTGGCTACTATGTTCAGTACCTGGGCAATAATATAACTATGTAACAAACCTGCAAATGTACCCCTCTACAACTAAATTAAAGTTGAAATGATTTTTTAAAATGATATATACAAGAAACCTACAGCTAACATCATACTTAATAATTAGATATTTGAAGCTTTCCCGCTAATAGGAACAAGGTAAGAATACCCCCTCTCACTATCACTTTTCAACATCACACTGGAAGTCTTAGGAAATGCAATATGACCCAGAAAAAAGCAAATAAAATGCCCACTAATAAATGGAGACAATCATAAAATTATAAAATATTTTCCTTTTCAACAGCACAAACAGGCTTCCAGTATCATAACAAGAGGGTACAACTTTTCAACAGCACAAAAGGGCTTCAGTGTCATAACAAAAGGGTACAACTTAGAGAGCTGCAAGACACAAACTCTACTTAGATAGAGTTCTTATAGGAATTTCCTCAATTTGATCTACAAAAACAAAAACAAAACAGAAAGCTAACTTCATACTTAATGGAAACTGTACACTTCCCACTACAATTTTGAAGAAGGCCATGTTGTCCCCTCCCACTATTCCTATTAAACATCCTACTGGAAGTCCTAGCTAATGCAATAAAACAATAAAAAGACAAAAAAGGTATACAGATTGGGAAGAATAAATAAAACCCTTTGTTCTTAGATGAATGATCATCTATGTAGAAAATCTGAAAGAATCAACAAAAACACTCCTGGAACTAATAAGCAATTACAGCAAGGGTGTGGAATACAAGGTTAACACACGAAAGTCAAACCCTTTTCTATATACTAACTAGGAATAAAGAAGTGGAATTTGAAGTTTAAAAGAGAATACCATTTACATTAGCATCCAAGAAAGGAATTTCTTAGGTACAAATCTCACAAAATATGTACAGGATCTATATGAGGAAAACTACAAAACTATTGATTAAAGAAATCAAAACAGAATTAAATAAATGAAGAAAATTTCATGTTCATGAATGGAAAGACTTAACATTGTCAAGATGTCAGTTCTTCCCAACTTAATCTACAGATTCAAGGCAATCCCAGTCAAAATCTCAGCAAATCATTTTGTGGATACCAACAAACAAATTTTAGAGTTTATTTGCAGAGGCAAAAGACTCAGAATTGCTGATACAATATTGGAAAAGAACAAAGTTGGAGGACTACCACAAGCTGACTTCAAGACTTATTGTAAAGCTACAGTATTCGATGTAATGTAGTATTGGTGAAGTCTTTCAACAAATGGTGCTTGAACAATTGGCCATGTAGATACAAAAAAACAAGAACCCAGATACAGACTCATTTATTGCTGGTGGGGATGCAAAATGGTACAACTACTCTGAAAGAGAGTTTGACAGTTTCTTACACAGCTACATATACTCTCATGATACTGTGCAGCAATCATACTCCTTTGTATTTATCAAAGGAATTGAAAACTTATGTTCTATGGAAAATCCTTCATATGGATGTTTATGTCAGCTTTATTCATAATTGCCAAAACTTGGAAGCAACCAAGGTGTCCTTCAGCAGGTGAGTGGATACACTGTGGTACTTCTAGACAATGGAATATTATTCAACAATAAAAAGATAGCAATCAACCTTTGAAAACATGAAGGAAACATGAATCCATATTACTAAGTGACAGAAATCAATCTGAAAAGGTCATATACTAGATGATTCAAACTATATGACATTCCAGAGAAAGCAAAACTATGGAGACAGTAGAAAGATCAGTGATTGCCAAGGATTAGGAAGGAAGGTGGGACGAATACGCGGAGCATAGAGGATTTTTAGTGTAGTAAAACTACTCTGTATAATACTGTGATGGTGAATACATGTCATTATACGTTTGTTCAAACACAGAGAATGTACAATATCAAGAGTGAACTCTGATGTAAACTATGAAGTCTGGGTGACAATGATGTGTCAATCTAGGTTCATCAATTGTAGCAAATGTACCACTCTCTTGGGGGATATTAATAACAAGAGAGTAGAGGCAGGAAGTATATGGGAAATCTCTGTACCTTCCTCTTAATTCCGCTGTGAATCAAAAATTGCTCTAAAAAATAAAGTCTTTGAAACAAATAAGAAATGATCTGTGAAGTCACAAAAAGGCAATGAAGGAAACTTAATTGCATTTTTTCTAAGTGAAATAAGCCAGTCTGAAAACGTTATATATTACATGATTCCTATTATATGACATTCTGTAAAACACAAATAAAAAAAATTCTGTAAAACACAGACCATTCTGTAAAACACAGATCAAGAAAAGGTCAGTCTTTGCCAGAGGTTCAGGCAGAGGAGAAGGTAGTTAAATTGGAAAAACACAGATTTTTAAAGTACTGAAACTATTCCATATGACACTGTAATGATTGGTACATGACACTATTTATAAAAATCCATAGACATTTACAGTATAAACAGTGAGGGCTAATGCATACAAATTTTCATGAAGTTATTTAGGAAGTCAGGATATCCCAGTATGGAATGCAGAATATGACAAAACAATCTAACTGTATTACAAAAGTATAAAACAACCTCACTGAATGGGGAAGAGAAGAAGGATGCTGACCCAAGTAACTCTGGAAATGAGTGGAGTCTGAAATTCCAAAGACAAAACAAACTGAACATAAACTGATAAAGTTGTTTCCCACTGAGGTACAGGTTAACAACTCTGAAACAGCTGTAGAGTCATGCATCACTTAACAAAGGGAATACATTCTGAGAAATGCTTCATTAGATGATTTCATCATTATGTGAACATCATAGTGCATACTTACACAAACCTATGATGTACAGCTTCCTACACACCAAGGCTATGTGGTATATATAGCCTATTGCACCTAGGCTACAAAACTGTACAGCATGATATTGTGCTGAATACTGTAGGCAACTGTAACACAATGGTAAGTATTTGTGCATCTAAACATATCCAAACAGAAAAGGCACAATAAAAATACAGCATAAAAGATTAAAAATGGGCCGGGTGCGGTGGCTCAAGCCTGTAATCCCAGCGCTTTGGGAGGCCGAGGCGGTTGGATCACCTGAGACCAGCCTAGCCAACATGGTGAAATCCCATCTCCACTAAAAATATAAAAAATTAGCCAGGTGTCGTGGTGGGCACTTGTAATCCCAGCTACTCAGGAGGCTGAGGCAGGAGAATCGCTTGAACCCGGGAGGAAGAGGTTGCAGTGAGCCGAGATCGCACCATTGCATTCCAGCCTGGGCGACAAGAGTGAGACTCCGAAAAAAAAAGAGATTAAAAGTGGTATACCTGTATAGAACACTTAATATGAATGGAGCTCACAAGACTGACTCAATACATGAGTCAGTGAGTGGGCAGTGAGTAAATGTAAAGGCCTAGAATATTTCTGTACACTACTGTAGAGTTTATAAACACTATACATTTAGGTTACACAAAATTTATAAAAACATTTTTTCTTTCTTCAATAATAAAATTAACCTTAGCTTATTGCAACATTTTTACTTTATATACTTTTTAATTTTAAAAAAATTTTGACTCTTTTATGTAACACTTAAAACACAAACACATAGTAACACTATAAAAAATTTCTTTCATTATATCCTGATTCTATAAGCTTTTATCTACTAATTTTTTTTTACCTTTTAAATCTTTTTATTAAAAATGAAGACACAAACACACACATTAGTCTAGGCCTACACAGGGTCAGCATCATCAATATCACTGTTTTCCACCTCCATATTTTGTCCCACTGAAAGGTCTTCAAGGGCTATAACACTCATGAAGCTGTCATCTCCTACAATAAAAATGCCTTCTTCTTCTTTTTTTCCTTTTAATAGAGATGGGGCCTTGCTATGTTGCTCAGGCCAGTCTCAAACTCCTGGCTTCAAATGATCCTCCCACTTCAGCCTCCCACAGTGCTGAGATAACAGGCATGAGCCACTGGGCCTGGCCAAACATTGGCAATGCTGTAATTCCTAATGTTGGGGAACGGACGTGGTGGGAGGTGGTTGAATCATGGGGCAGATTCCCTGCTTGCTGTTCTAATGATAGTAAGCTCTCACAAGAACTGATGGTTTAAAAGTGGGTGGCACTTCCCCCTTCACTTTCTCTTTCTCCTGCCACCATGTGAAGACATGCTTGCTTTCCCTTTGCCCTTCCGCCATGATTGTACATTTCCTGAGGCCTGCCAGCCATGGTTCTTTTTCAGCCTGTAGAACTGTGAGTCAATATAAACCTCTTTTCTTCATAAATTATCCAGTCTCAAGTAGTTCTTTATAGCAGTGTGAGAATGAACTGACACAGAGGGGCTGCCAGGAAGTTCTCTGAAATGCCTTCAGGGCCTTTTTCTTATCGTCTTGGCTATTATTACTTGCCTTCCTTTTAATTATACAAATTTTGGCAGCTGGCTTGAATTCCTCCCCAGAAAATGCATTTTTCTTTTCTACCACATGGCCAGGCTGTGAATTTTCCAAACTTTTGCACTTTGCTTCCCTTTTAAATATAAGTGCCAGTTTTGCATAGGGTGTTAGAAGCAGCCAGGCTACATCTTGAATGCTTTGCTGCTTAGAAATTTCTTCCACCAAATACCCTAAATCATTGTTCTCAAGTTCAAAGTTTCTCAGATTACTAGAACAGGGGCGCAATGCCTCTAACCTCTTTGCTAATGCATAACTAAAACGACCTTTGCTCCAGTTCCCAATAAGTTTTTCATCTCTATCTGAGACTCCTCAGCCTGAACTTTATTGTCTATATCACTATCAGCATTTTGGTCACAACAATTTAACAAGTCTCTAGGAAGTTCCAAACTTTCCCTCATCTTCCTGTCTTCTTCTGAGCTTTACACACTCTTCCAACTGCTGCCTGTTACCCACTTCCAAAGTTCTTCCACGTTTTCAGGTATCTTTATAGTAATGACCCACAACTAGGTAGCAATTTTCTATATTAGTTTGCTATTGCAGTGCTATAAAGTAATACCCAAGACTTGGTAATTTATGAAGAAAAGAGTTTCTACTGGCCCACAGTTCTGCAGGCTGGACAGGAAGCCCACTGGCTTCTGGGGAGGCCTCAGGAAACTCCCAGTCATGGCAGAGGTGAAGAGGAAGCAGACATGTCTTACGTGGCTAGAGCAGGAGGAAAGGAGGTGGAGCGGGGAGGCTTTTAAACAACCACACGTCATGAGAACTCACTCATTATCACAAGAACAGTAAGGGCAAAATCTGCCCCCATGATCCAATTAGCTCCCACCAGGCCCCACCTCAAACACTGAGGATTACCATTCTACATGAGATTTGGGCAAGGACACATGGCATGATTTGGGTCTGTGTTCCTGCCCAAATCTCATGTCGAATTGTAATCCCCAATGTTGGAGGTGGGGCCTGATGGGAAGTGATTGGATCATAGAGGTTGTTTCTCATGGTTTAACACCATCCCCCTTGGAGATGAAGTTGCAATAGTGAGTTCCCACAAGATCTGGTTGTTTAAAAGTATGTAGCACCTTTCACTCCCTTCTCTTCCTCCTGCTCTGGCCACGTAAGACATGCCTGCTTCCCCTTCACCTTCTGCCATGATTGAAAGTTTCCTGAAGCCTCCCAAGAAGCCATCATGCTTCCTGTACAGCCTGTGGAACTGTGAAATTGAACGCCTTTTCTTTATAAATTACCCAGCCTTGGGCATTTTTTTACTGCAGTGCAAGAACGGACTAACACAAATGCCTTCATCTTGAATAATTCCTGAAGGCTCTGCCTTAGGCTGTTTTACAATTAACTTTTTTTTTTAATAAGTAGAAGGAGTATGCTGTCATACAGTGATAAAAAGTACAGTATAATAAATACACAAACTAGTAACATAGTCACCTTTCAAGTATGTACTGTGTGTATTTGTATGTGCTATAATATTATACAACTGGCAGAGCAGTAGGTTTGTTTACACCAGTATCATCACAAACACGAGTAATGCATCAAGCTACATGATAATAGCTACAACATCAGTAGGCAGTAGGAATTTTTCAGCCCCACTGTAAACTTACAGGACCACTGTTGCATATGTGGTCTATCATTGACCAAAATGCAGCACATGACTGCACAAGCATACTGGAATAGAACAAATAAATAAATCAATGATGGATAGTGGGAGCCAGGTTTCTTACAGTTGGAGTGGGAATTTACAGGTAAGCAAGGTGAGGAGGCTAGAATGGTCCATATGAGAATGGATTAGAGTCATTAGTAGTAATTCATGTTTTAGCTCAGTTTAGAGTTGATTACATATAGAAATGTTATAATATGTGTATGTATTCAGATTAGTATACCCAGATATATTACTTTGTTTTGTAAGCTGAGAGACTCTAGAAGCAAAATGCCCAGAGTATATCTAGCACACAAATTTTGTCTTCTAATACCATTCTCTAGCAAGAGGAACCAGAGCTTCTTGGAGAAATGGCTAACTCTAGGACTGGGACAAAAAAATATAGACGATGAGCCTAGGGCATCTTGAAGTGCCAGAAAGTAAGGAAGTGCTAAAAAACAAGCAAGCAGGTAAACATGTCACAATAATAGGAATATGTCAAAGGAACACAGGAACCACCTGAGGAGCTCCCAATAGCCAAAGCTAGAACAATTTGAGCAAGAAAATAAAGTACTACTGGGTTATAACTCAAAGTATAAAACAAATATCCAAGAGTTCATACTGAATAAATAAATAATTGAATAAGTAAGCAAACATGGGAGGAAGGACTAATCTCCCTTACAGAAGAATTCCAAATAATTTATATAAATGTCCCACTCTCACATCACACACTGCGGCCTGTTGGGGGTGGGGGGCAAGGGGAGAAAGAGCATTAGGACAAATAACTAATGCATGCGGGGCTTAAAACCTAGATGATGGGTTGATAGGTGCAGCAAACCACCATGGCACAAGTATACCTATGTAACAAACCTGCATGTTCTGTACATGTATCCCAGAACTTAAAGTAAAATAAAATAAAATAAATAAATGTTCCACTCTCAAGGAGGTAAAGCATAACTCCCGCCTCATTACATATGGGCTGCACAGTGACTTCCTTTCGAAGACTACAGTATAGAAAGGAGGAGGGAAAAGGTTAACTTTACCATAGAGAAACATGGCAAACACTACCTCAGTCAGGTGATCAAGGTGAACATCAGTAATCACAAATCATGTTGATAATTTGTACCCTTAAAATGATGTGATGAAAATGGCACTTTACTTCTGTGATCTTCTTCCTAAAAATCTCATAACCCCAGGATAATAATGAGAAAAATATTAGCAAATTCCAATGAAAAATCATTCTACAAAATTCCTCACCAGTACTCCTCAAAACTGTCAAATACATCAAAAACTATATATATATAATATATACATGTTGAGGGGTCTCACTATGTTGCCCAGGCTGGTCTTGAGCTCCTGGGCTCAAGCAATCCTCCCACCTTGGCCTCCCAAACTGCTGGGATTACAGATGTGAGCCACTATGTCGGGAAAATGGCTGTTGCTTTTACACAGTAATAGATAACTGGAACAGTTTGCTACTAATATTAAGATTTTAATAAAAATACCTTTTTGTATACTAGCATTACATAGTACAATAAAATGCCTACACTAGAAAAGGAACACAAAACCATACATTCACACCTACACCCACTTTAACGCATAGATATTGGAGAAAGCAAAATGCATAAAGCAAAAACACCAGAAAAGTGACTGAAATGCCAGAAAAACACCAGAAAAGCATCCAAGAGTACATGTCAAAATCAGTGCTTCTTTGAAAAAAGGCCAAAAACTTTATGTTTCTTATTTTCCAGAAGAAACACCTTGGACACAAAATTTTTAGAAATTAGGATTAAATTAGAAAATTACATAGGAAAGATTAAACTTCAGAATTATGAAACAAACTAGCAAATAAATATGATTTATAAACAAATTGGGCTGTAATTCATTATTTAAAAATCTTTAACCTAAAAATATATCTTAATCAAATTAAATGTTCATGAATGTGTTTTGCAAGAAAAAATAGTATATAAAAAGTAGACGGACTTCAAGTTTCTGTCTCACGTAAGAGGAGAAAAAAAAAAGAGAGACTGAGAAAGACTCAGCTTAGGCCAGATACAATAGCTCACATCTGTAATCCTAACACTCTGAGAGGCTGAGGCAGGAGGATCTCTTGAGTCCAGGAGTTCAAGACCAGCCTGGGCAATATAGTGAGATCCTGTCTCAAAAAAAAAAAAAAAATGTAAAAGGAAATTAGCCAGGCATAGTGGCATGCAACTGTAATCCTAGCTATTCAATAGGCTGAGGTAGAAGGATTACTTGAGCCCAGGAGTTAGAGGTTACACAGTGAACTATGGTGGCACTGTGAGAGGCACTGGAACCGGAATAACTCCGCCTTGAATAGGGGCTGGGTAAAATAAGTCTGAGACCTACTGGGCTGCATTCCCAGGATGAGATACGAGGTTGGCAAAAGACCTCTTTATAGATCATAAAGGCCTTGCTGATAAAACAGGATGCTGTAAAGAAGCTGGCCAAAAGCCACCAAATCCAAGATAGCAACTAAAGTGACCTCTGGTTGTCCTCACTGCTCATTATATGCTAATTGTTACAATGCATTAGCATGTTAAGAGATGCTCCCACCTGCACCACGACAGTTTACAAATGCCTTGGCAACATGAGGAAGTTACCTTATATAGTCTAAAAGGGAAAGGAATCCTCAGTTCCAGGAATTGCCCAACCCCTTCCCAGAAAACTCATGAATAATCCACCCCTTGTTTAGCATACAATTAAGAAATAACTATACATGTACTCAGTTGAGTGGCCCATGCTACTCTTCCGTTTATGGAGTAACCATTCTTTATTCCTTTACTTTCCTAATAAACTTGCTTTTGCTTTACTCTATGGACCCACCCTAAATTCCTTCTTGTTGTGAGGTCCAAGAACCTGCTCTTGGGGTCTGGATTGGGACCCCTTTCCAGTAACAGTACCACTGCACTTCAGCCTGGGTGACAGAGTGAAATCCCATGTCTAAACAAATGAACAAACAAAGAAAACAAAACAACAAGATCTCATCCCAGCAACTAAGGCCCACTATTAAACTGAGAGTTAATCATAAGATTATGTTTTCCTTTTCCACACTTTACCACCACCAAAATAGTGCTTGGGTATAATAACAGGGGGTTACAATTTAGAGCTACAAAACATAAACTCTATTTAGATTTCCTAGAAACTTTAATTTGAACTACAAAAAAAAAACTAAAATAACATCATACTTTTAAAAAGACATTTCCACTGGTGTTCAGAAAAAATGTAGTAGATAAAAATTGTTTTTAAAAAGACATGTCCCCCTAAGATGAAGAAGGCAATGATGTTCCCTTTCACCACTCCAATTCAACATCCTACTGGAAGTTCTAGCTAATGCAATACAGCAAGAAAAGGAAATAAGAGTTATACAAATAGGAAAGGAAGAAACAAAACTATCTTTGTTCATAGATGACATGACTTCGCTATGAAGAAAGTCCCCCAAAATAAAAAACTTCTGGAACTAAGAAACAATTATAGTAAGTGGGAGCTTAACTTTATGCATCAACTTGACTGGGCCACAGAGTGCCAAGACATTTGGCCAAAAATTATTCTGAGTGTTTCTGTGAGGCTATTTTTGGATGAGATTAACATTTAAATCAGTAAACTGAGTAAAGCAGATTCCCCCCACCAGTGTGGGAGGGCCTCATTCAATCAGTTGAAGATTTGAATAAAACAAAATGACTAACCTCCAAGTAAGAGAATTCTTTCACCCAGATGGCCTCTGAACTGGAACATCAGCTTTCTTCTTGCCTTCAGACTCAAACTAAACCACTGGCTCTTCCTGGGACTCACCCCTGCCACCCTTTGGACTGGAACACCACCATCTCCTAGGTCTCTAGTTTGCCAATTCACTCTGTAGATAATGGGACTTGCCAGCATCCACAATCACATGAATCAATCCCTTATAATAAATATCTCTCTCTCTCTCTCTCTCTCTGTATACACACACACACACACACACACACACACACACACACCCTTTGTTGGTTCTATTTCTCTGGAGGGCCCTAACATTGAAAGGTTGCAAGATACAAGCTTAATATGCAAAAGTCAACTGATTTCCTTTATCAATAACAGCATAAATAACTGAAATTTGAAACTAAAAACACAATACTATTTACATTCACACCAAAAAAAAAACTTAGGTATGAATTTAACAAAAATTAGATAGTATCTATGCAGAAAACAACAAAACTCTAAGAAATTAAAGGAGATATAAATAAGTGGAGAGCTATTCCATGTTGATGCATTAGAAGATTTAAGATAGTTAAGATGTACATTCTTCTCAAATTCATCTATAGATTCAGTTCGACCTTAATATAAACTGCGGACTTTAGTTAACATATCAGTAATGGTTCATTATCAAATATACCACACTAATGTAAGATGTTAAAATAAAGGAAACTGTATGTGGGGTGGGAGGAGAGATATATGAGAACTTTCTGTGCTATTTGCTCAATTTTTATGGAAATCTAAAACTGTTATATAAAATCTATTTTTTAAAAAAGGCCATTCTATGGCTTCTAGAAAAAATGAAGTAGACATACTTTTCCCTATTCCCTCCACTAAGTACAGCTAAGAATTCTGCACCGTATATACAAAACATGAAAAGACTCTGAAAAGTGGAAAGAAAACAGAAGAACCAGGAACCTTGGGATCTGAGGAATGATATGACAGTGAGTTTCACAGATTTTCTGTTTTGCCTCATTTATCCTAAACTTGGCACTATAGAAGCAGGTTTCAAATTTCCAGATACTAGACACAGCAACAGGCCCACATTTTTTAGAAAGTTCCAAAACAGCCTGCTCTTTCTAGCCATAGGATCAGGAAAGTGGCAGAACTGCTCAACTCGAGTCAAACAGCATAGAGAAAAAACAGCTCTATCCCCATTCCCATCACATAATGTTGAGTCTAGACTTCCACCTTAGCCAGCTGTAACAAGACACTCCTCTTACCCTCCAGGGGTGATGCTGGGGAAAGCTGAACTGGGATTCATGATTCATGATTTTAAGCCCAGCAGAAAGAGTGCCCTCCTTTTCCTTCATTGTCGGGGGTGGGAGGGGCGAGGGGGGAGATCAGGTGGAGAAACCTAACTTCCACTCATAACCAGGAAGTAGTGAGACACCTCTCCCCCTTTATGCTGTGGTGACTTTAGTGAAGGCTAAGTGGACAGAAAGGACTTTTATCACCCTACAAGCCACATGGAGAATACTAACAAGGCACCCCTGTGCCTCTGGGTAGTTAGTAGTGGAGGCCTAATTGGGAGCCTCAATTCTGAAACCCATCTAGCAGCCCTCTTACACCTAAAGGGTAAATGGAGGCTGAGTAGAGAGCCTCCCATCTTGTAGCACGAAGGAAGCAACCCCTTTCCCTGACTGCACAATGTCAGGTATGTAAGAAGAGGTGTCAGAGTACTGCTAAACAGATTGAAATAAAATCCAAATGTAATAACAAAATATCCAAAATGTTCAGATTCAAATGAAAATCACTCCTCATACCAAGAAACAGAAAAGTCTAAAATTGAATGAGAAAAGATAATCAACAGACACCAATGTCAGGAAGATACAGATTATAGAATCTAACAAATATTTTAAAATAATCATCATAAAAATGTTCCAAGGAACAATTACAAATTGAATTGAAACAAAAAATAGAAAGTTTCACAAGTGAAAAATGCAGTGTCCCAACCAAAAGACACCAATGTCAGGATGATATAGATTATAGAATCTAACAAATATTTTAAAGTAACCATCATAAAAATGTTATGAGGAACAATTACAAAATGAATTGAAACAAAAATTAGAAAGGTTCAGCAACTGAAAAATACAATGTCCCAATCAATTAATGGACTCAACAGCAGAATGGAAGGAACAGAGGAAGAAAATAGTGAACCTGAATACAGATCAATAGAAATTACTCAATATGCCGGGCACAGTGGCTCATGCCTGTAATCCCAGCACTTTGGGAGGCCGAGGCAGGCGGATCACAAGGTCAAGAGATTGAGACCATCCTGCCAACATGGGGAAACCCCGTCTCTATTAAAAATACAAAAATTAGCTGGGCGTGGTGGCACGTGCCTGTAGTCCCACCTACTCCCAGCTACTTGGGAGGCTGAGGCAGAGAATCGCCTGAACCTAGGAGGCAGAGGTTGAAGTGAGCCGAGACCCTGCCGAGGCAGAGGTTGAAGTGACCTGAGATCCTGCCACTGTGCTCCAGCCTGGCAACAGAGCAAGACTCCATCCATCTCAAAAAAAAAAAAAAAAGAAATTACTCAATATGAACAACAGATGGAAAACAGACTGAAAATAAATACAGCATCTCAGTAATCTGTGGGAATTTAACAACAAAAAAATCTAACATTTGTGTCATCAGATCCTAGAGGGAGAAAAGAAAGAGAGTGGGCTTGAAAAGTATTTGATGAAATAATGGCTAAAATATTCCCAAACTTAGCAAGATACATAAACCTACAAACTCAAGAAGCTGAACAAACACCAAACAGGATAAACCCAAAAAGTTCACATCGAGACAATTATAAAAAAACTTCTGAAAACCAAAGATAAATTAAAAATCTTGAGAGGCACAAGAGAGAAATGTCTCAAGTCCAGGGGAAATATTCAAACGGCAGTGCATTTCTCATCAGGAATGATGGAGGCCAGAATGAAGTGTCCCAGCGTTTCTAAATAAGTGATAGAAAAGAACTGTTAACTTAGAATTCTATATCTAGTGCAATATCTTTCAAAAATGAAGGGAAATAAAGACATTCTCAGATGAAAAAAAAAATTGTCACCAGCAGACCTATCAATAAAAGAATGGCTAATAAAATTCTTGAAATAAAAAAAAACTCTTGAAACATCAAGAAGAACAAGGAACTACAAAGTGAGTAAGTATATGGGTAAATACAACAGATTTTCTTTTTCCACTTGCCTTTTATAAACTATGATTTACAGCAAAAATTCTAATACTGGTATGGTTCTCAATTTATATAGAAGAAATATTTAAAAATCAGTTATATTATACATAAAGGCAGGCAAAGGGATGTAGATGATGCTAAGATTTCTATACGCAAATATGTAAAGTGGTAACTCGTGTATGTATGTATAATAAATACTTTATTCTAGGTATTAAAATACTATATAAGCAGATAAACTAAAAATGCTACAGATAAATTAATTCTACAAAATGTTAAGCAAGCCACTAGAAGGGTGAAAAAAGACGAAACAACAGGGAACAAACTGAAAAATTAAAATAGCAGACAATAGCCCTTCCATATGAATAAATGCATTAGAAGTGAGCAGTCTAAATTTCCCAATTAAATGACAAAGATTTGGTGAGGTGTATTAAAACAAAACAAAAACAACCAACTGGGCACAGTGTCTCATGCTTATAATTCCCGGACTTTGAAAGGCTGAGGTAAGCAGATCACTTGAGGCCGGGAGTTCAAAACAAGCCTGGGTAACAAAGCAAGATCCTATCTCTATTATAATTAAAAACAATTTATTTTAAAAAACCACCCAGATCCAACAATATACTGTCTATAAGAAATTACCTTCAAATATACCAATGTGGGTAAATTGAAAGACAAAGAATGGGAAAAGATATCATTCATATATTAATTAAAAGAAAGAAAGGGTGGTTATATTAGTATGAGATAAAGCAGACTTCAAAGAAAATTACCAGCAACAAAGAGGGACATTATATAATGTAAACATTATATGATAGAAACTTAAAAAATTTATCTAAATCCTGCTCCTTCTGCAAGAAACTCTTGATACACTAGTAATAGTGGGAAACTTCCTCACCTTGATAAAGAATAATAATAAATAATAAAAAAGGATAAATAAATTAAAAAGGAGCCAAGAAGACAGGGCAATCCCAAGCACGTATGTACCAAACAAATGAACTGTAAAATACATGAAGCAAGCAATGATAGAACTGAAAGGAGAAATAGACAAATCCACAATTGTTGGAGACTTCACACTCCTCAATCTCAATAACTGATAGAACAACTAGGAAAAAAATCAGCAAGTATATACATGAACTCAACAACACCATTAACAAACAGGATCTACATGACATTTTTAGCAAATTCCACACAATAAAAGCAGAATACACATTTTCTTCAAGTACCCACAAACATATACAAAAATAGGCAGTATCTTGGGTCATAAAACAAACCTCAGCACATTTAAAATAATTACTATCATACACTGTATTCTCTGAATACAGTAGGATCAAACTAGAAAACAGTAATAAAACATAACAGAAAAACTTTTTTTTAAATCTTGGAAACTAAACAATGCACTACTATAGAATCCTTGGTTGAAGAAATCTCAAGGGAAGTAAAAGATATATACATTGACCTGAATGAAAATGAAAATACAACATAAAAATTTGAGACACATATAAAGCAGTGCTGAGAGGGAAATTTATAGTACTAAATGCATACATTAAAAAAGAGTAAGAGTCTCAAGTCAATAGTCTAAGCTGCTATCTCAATAACTTAGAAAAAGAAGACCAAAATAAACTCAAAAATAGCAGAAAATGGAAGAAACAAGAGCAGAAATCAATGAAATTGAAAACAAAAGAGAGGAGAAAATCACTGAACAATAATAAGCTGGGTCTTTAAAAAGATCAATAATATTGACAAACCTCTAGCAAAACTGGCAAGGATGAGAGAAGGCACCAATTACCAACACCAAGAACAAAACAGAGAATATCACTATAGACTCTGCAGAAAACAAAACAAACAACAACAAAAAAAACAAGAAAATATTACAAACATATCTATACACATAAGAAAAACCACATGATCATATCCACAGATGCAAAAAAAGCATTCAACAAGATTCAACACTCACTTGTTATTTAAAAAATTAGTCCTCAACTTGACAAAGAACATCTAAAAAAAACCTATGGCTAACATCAGGTGAAGACTAGATGTTTTCCCCCTATAATTAGGAAAAAGGGTAAGGACGTCTATTTTCACCACTGTTATTCAACATAAAACTGGAAGTTCTAATAGTGAAAAGCATTCAGATAGGACAGAAAGAAAATCGGCTTTATTTGCAGATGACATGGTGGTCTAAGTAGAAAATCTTTAAAAACAAATCTTTGAAAAACAAAAAACTTCTAGAACTTGTAGTGACTCTAGCAAGTTTTCAGGATGCAAAAACTGACATACAAAACTCAACTGAGAGCCTGGAGAGGTGGCATACATATGTAGCTCTAGCTACTCAGGACACAGGATACCACAAGTTCAAGGCTATTGTGCACTATAGTCACACCTGTGACTAGCCACTGCACTCTAGCCTGGGTGATATAGCAAGACCCCATCTCAAAAAAATTGTATTTATATACTCTAGCAATTAACCTGTGTAAGCTAAAAATTGTATTAAAAATACAATATCAAAGAAGTCAAACAAAAGAGGCTGTATAATCCAATGTTATGACATTCCAGAAAAGGCACAACCTTGGAGACTAAAAAGATCAGAGGTGAGGGAGATGGGAGGTATAAATAAGAGGAGCATAGAGAATTTTAAGGCAGTGAAACTTTTCTCTACAATACTATAATAATGGATACATGTTATTATACATTTATCAAAACCCACAGAATACCCAACACCAACTGAAAACCCTAATGTAAACTGTAAACTGTGGGTAATAATGATGTGTCAATGTAGGTTCATCAACTGTAACAGATGTGCCACTGTGGTTCATGGTGTTGACAGCAGGAGAGGTGCATGTGCAGGGGCAAGCAGTGTACAGGAGCTCTCAGTACTCTCTGCTCCATTTTGCTGTGAACATAAACCTGCTTTAATAAATAAAGCCTATTTTTAAAATATGCAAGACATTCTGTGTGTTCCACAAAATCTAAGATATTTATTTACCTTCTAGCCCTTTACGGGAAAACGTTGCCTACCCTGACCTTGTTACAAAGTTTCTGATTTCCTTTAATAAAGCTGTTTCCAGACTACTACTTTTATTCCTTCTCTGAAGCTTCAATTTACAATCTCAGAACTTCCTGAAGCTATTGTAATTTAATCTAGTGCATATCATGAAAGTTACATGTAAAAATCAGTAGAATATATTCCGGTATCAGAGAGATAAGATACTTTTTAATGTAAAATCTTAAAAGACTAGGAAAGGCAAAATGCTGAAGAAATAAATCACAGAACACATACTATAGAAAAATTACCATTTATAATTCCTCAAAAAATATATCTAAATCTAACAATACATGTACATGACTTTTATACTGAAAATACACAATACTAATGAAAGAAATCAAAGATCTAAATAGATGGAGAAACATACCATCATATCAAGTTCATGGATTAGAAGACTTCAAGATAGCAAAAATGTCAATTTTTCCCCAAAATGATACACAAATTTAACATAACTCATCAAAATCACAGAAGGATTCTTTGTACATAATGACAAAATTATCCAAATTTACATGAAAAGGCAAAGGAATCAGAATACCTAAAACAATTCTGAGAAAAAACAAAATGGGTGGACCACTATACCCAATTTCAAGTCATACATAATCAAGACAGTGTTGTATTGGCAGAGAGGTAGACACATAGATCAACAGAGAATCTGAGCACAGACTGCCTGGAATCTAGCTAGCTGCTGCTAATGAAACACTGCGGGTATGATACCCACCTTGCCAAGTGCAAAGGAGCTGGGTAGGTTTACTACCACCTGCTACTCCCCATTCCCTATGTGAACTCTTTTGTGCAACAGAAGCAGCTGTACTCCTACCTGTAACATCACCCCGGCAGCCAGAAAAGTGCCCGCTGATCGCTACTGGGACCACTGCTTGCCCTACACACAGAAAGTCAGAGTGCACACTTACCTGACCCAGCCTCCACTTGGCTTTGCGCCTCTACCTGCCCTGGTAGCTTAACACAAACAATAGAAACTTTTGGGAGCACTATAGCACTGCCCATTGCCTGAGACACCAGAGTACCTTCCCTGGGTAACATAAAGCAAGCACAAATCTCACCAGTACCACTGCAGCTGGCACTCTTTGGCAAGCACCACCTCCTAGCTGGAGGCCAACCAACACAGTCCATTACAGCACGTCTAGGTAGAATAACACAGTGCCAAGGAAGGGAGAAACCTGTGTGTGACTTCAGCTATCACCATTGCCTGTACCATCCTGGCTAAGCAGGAGGTCCTGAGTCTGTCCATGTGACCAGTTCGTAACTACTGCAACTGGCCTCTGAGAAAGCAAACACACTAAGGCTATTTATAACCAAGGAGTCTCAGAGCCTATGTCACTCCCCTGCCACCCCCACCACAGCTGGCCCTGGGAGCCACTGCTGGAAAATTTGAGGACAGCTCATATCACTGGATTCCTTGCAGACATTCCCCTGCACCAGCCTGGAGTGTGGCAGCCCCACTGGGTGGCTAGCCCCAGCAGAGCATTCACAGTAGTCTGGCTCTCAGGGACTCCCACTACTGAAGGAAAGGGGAGTATACCGTATCAAGGGAGCATCCCGTATGACAAAAGAATCCAGATGGCAGGCCTTGAGTTCCAGAACCTTCATTTGTGGGAAGCACAGGTGCGGTGCTGGGCTTAGCGTAGAAAGTCTGTAGCTCTACTTTGTCAGGCAGCCCTCATGCTCATGAAGGGTCTTAAAGAAAGAGACTTCTAGCCGGGCGCAGTGGCTTATGCCTGTAATCCCACCTCTTTGGGAGGCTGAGTTGGGCAGATCATGAGGTCAGGAATTCGAGACCAGCCTGGCTAATATGATGAAACCCCGTCTCTACTAAAAATATAAAAATTAGCTGGGCATGGTAGCGGGCACCTGTAATCTCAGCTACTCGGGAGGCTGAGGCAGGAGAACTGCTTGAACCCAGGAGGCAGAGGATGCAGTGAGCCAAGATCACGCCACTACACTCTAGCCTGGGCAACAGAGCAGAGACTTCTTTTCCCCCTTAATCTACCACTGCAGACAGAGCTGGGGCTTCTCCCATGGGAGCTTCATGTGGGTGCACCTTTAGACAGCCTTTCTGGAACACGTCAGGGTGACTGCATCCCCACAGGAAGAGTGCCCTCCAGGTTCAGGCTTGCATGTGGGGTAGAGTCACACTCTCTCTCTACTTGGAACACCAACGTTCCTGCAGATGAAGAGGTACCTGTCTGATCTGAATAGCCACAACACTGGGTCAGCAGTGTGACTAGGAGGTGGATCGCATTCCTGATGGCCTGGCAGTGGAACTGAGGAAAAGTCAGAGGGCAGAGTATCTACCTACTTCTTTTCCTTGGGATAGATATGGGCAAGGGTTGAAAAACTGACTATTGGGTGCTCACTACCTGGATGTGCTCGCTACCTAACTGTGCTCCCTACCTGGATGCAATATACTCAAGTAACAAACCTGTACATGTAACCCCGGATCTAAAATAAAATTGAATTTTTAAAAAAATGTTATTTTGCAGCAACGTGAATACAGCTGGAGGCCATTATTCCAAATGAGGTAACTCAGGAATGGAAAACCAAATACCCTATGTTCTCAGTCATGAGCTAAGTGAGAGGGAGCTAAGCTATGAATATGCAAAGGCATACAGAGTGGTATAATGGACTTTGGAGACTCAGAAGGGGGAGGATGAAAAGGGAGTGAGGGATAAAAAACTACATACTGGGTACAATGTACACAACTTGAGTGACAGGTACACTAAAATCTCAGACTTCATCACTATGTAATTCGTCCATGTAACCAAAAACCATTTGTACCCCAAAAGCCACTGAAATAAAATTAAAAAAAATTTTTAAGCCACATACCAAGGATGGCAGAGTCACCCTATTTCGGCCTTTGACTATACACCTCTGAACTGTTTCAATAGAGTAATAAACTTCTATCATATTAAAAAAAATAGACACAGAACTCAGAATAGATCCACACAAATATGCTCAACTGATTTTTGACAAAGGTACAAAAGCAATTCAGTGGAAGAAAGATAGCCCTTTCAACAATTGCTGCAGGTACAATCAGCCATCCACAGCCAAAAAATGAATTTTGACCTAACTCTCTCACCTTATGAAAAAACATTTAATTCAAAATGGATTACAAAACTGAAATGTAAAATGCAAAGCTATAAACTTACAGAAGGAAACAGAAAAAAAAATTTTGGATCTAGAGATTGAAGAGTTTGCAAGACACAGTATGATCTATAAAAGAATAAAAATCAATAAGTTAGACTTCATCAAAATTAAAACCTTTGCTCTTCAAAAGGCCTTGTTATGATGAAGACAAGCACAGACCAGGAGAAAATATGTGCAAACCATAAGTCCAACAAATGATTCATATCAAAAATATATTTTTAAAACTTCCAAAATTCAACATTAAAAAATCCAAACAAAAAATGATCAAAAGAGATGAAAAGGCATTTCACTGAAGAGGACATATGGATAGCAAATAAACATATGAAAAGATGCTTAACATCACTAGTCATTAGAGAAATGCAAATTAAGTTCAAGAGACAATATCCTTACTCACTTATTAGAACAGCTAAAAAAAGTAACAATACCAAATGTTTGGTGAGGGGGCAAAGAAACTAGATACAGCAGTCCGCCTTGGGGGTTAGGTTCCCAAGACCCCCAGTGAATGCCTGAAACCACAGACAGTACTGAACCCTATATATATCTATAGATATAGATATCTTTAGATTTTTTTGTTGGCATACATATAATGGTTTAATTTATAAATTAGACAAAGTATGAGTTAACAATGAAACAGAAAAATTATAATGTGCTATAATAAAAGTTTTGTGAAAATACTTTCTTGTACTGCACTTACCCGTCTTTTTGTGATGACGTGATAAAAGGCCTATGCTGATGGGATGAAGTGAGGTGAATGACACAGGCATTGTGACATAGCGTTAGGCTACTATTGTCAGGAGGATAAACTGCTTCAGGTGATCCTGGATCACAGAACCATGGTGGTATCAATGGTTGAAAGTCAAGAGCAGAAAATATTAATGACTAACGGGCAGGTAGTCTATAGTATAAATATGTTGGACAAAAGGAGGATTCATGTCCCAGGCGGGAGGGCATGGGATTTCATTATGCTATTTGGAACAGCACACAATTTGAAACTTATGGATTATTTCTGGAATTTTCCATTTAACATTTTTGGACCACGATTAACTGTGGGTTAATTGCATTCAAGGAAAGTGAAACCACAGATAAGGGGTTTATGAGACCACTGTGTCTCATAAATTGATTGTGGGAATGTAAAATGGTACAGCCAATCTGGAAAACAGTTTCCTAAAAAATTAAATGTATGCTTCCCATATGGGCATTACTCCGGAGAAACAAGAACTTAAATTTACACAAAAACCTGTAGGAAGTGTTCACTTCATCTTTATTTGTGGTACAGTCATCCATACTAGAGAATACCACTTAGCAATAAAAAAGAAATGAGCTATTGATAGGTATAACTGCTTGGATGATCTTAAGGGCTTTATGCTGAGTGAGAAAAACCAAAGGTCATACACTATATTATTCCATTGCTACAACAATATATAAGTGACAATATTACAGAGATGAAGAACAAATTAGTGATGATGAAACAGTTCTATGTTGATTGCAGTAGTTACACAAATTCACACATATGATGAAATAGAACTATACACATGCATTGTATCCTTGCCAAATTCCTGTTTTCTGCATTGTAGTTACATAGATGTAAGTAACCATTGGAAGAAATTAAAGACACATGCATCCATGTGGTAAGTAAATGGACAACAAACTGTGGAATCCTATCCAACAATAAAAATTAGAAAAATCATTAAAAAAACTCTCATGGGTGATGCCCACGATGGATTAATGGGTATCAAATTTGCCCTCCTCCAACAAACTTTAAAATAGAAAAAGATAAAAGGTAACTCTATGCAGACATTGGACAAAAGTGAAGGACGGTGATTCTTTTGTTTTCTTTTTTTGAGTCAGAGTCTTGCTCGGCTGCCCAGCCTGGAGTGCAGTTGCGTGATCTTGGCTCACTGCAACCATCATCTCCCAGGTTCAAGCAATTCTCCTGCCTCAGCCTCTGAGTAGCTGGGATTACAGGCACCTGCCATCATGCCCGGCTAACTTTTGTATTTTAGTAGAGACGGGGTTTCACCATGTTAGCCAGGCTGGTCTCGAACTCCTGACCTCATGATCCACCCGACTTAGCCTCCCAAAGTGTTGGGATTACAGGCATGAGCCACCATGCCCGGGTAGAAGTCTCTTTCTTTAAGACCCTTCATGAGCATGAGGGCTGCCTGACAAAGTAGGCAGGACTGTGATTCTTTAAAGACATGAAATTAACTCCATAGTCACCCAGTTTTATGCCTGGGGGCACTCTCCAAAACTGGACACAGAGAGTTAAGCTCAAAAAGAACAGTGGTCTTAATGGGCACAGAAAGATCACAATTTAGGGCTGTTGAGAAAACTGAATTGTGATGCAGGGTACAGAAGTGGAAACTCCACTGAAAAAGAGCTCCAGAAATCTGCACGAGGTGCCCAAGAACAGAACTTTCTGCAACTTGTATCTGTGACATCTAATGTGGTAGCCACCAGTACCATGTGCTACTAAGCACTTGAAATGTGGCAAATGCAAGTAAGAAACAATATTTTAAATTAATTTTAAATAGCTACAACTTGTGACTACTGTATCAGCCATTATAGCCCTAGAAGTTGGCTGAACAGTTGGCTGAACAGTAGGCTGCAAATGTGCAGAGCAAAATTCTGAGACATGACAGAAGCCTATGAGCTGAACAGAGTACAGAGGTGGCAAAAATCAGACGTGGCTCTGACCAAGCAGAATGGAGAGCCTTTGCTGAACCATATGGGCTTTCAGTTTAGACAAAGAAAGGCTACACTTAAGCTGGGCACAGTGGCTCACACCTGTAATCCCAACACTTTGGGAGGCTGAGGTGGGTGGATCACCCTGAGGTCAGGAATTCGAGACAGCCCTGGCCAACATGGTGAAAATCTGTCTCTACTAAAAACACAAAAACTAGCCAGGCGTGGTGGCAAGCAACTGTAATCCCAGCTACTCAGGAGGCTGACGCAGGAGAATTGCTTGAACCCGGGAGGTGGAGGTTGCAGTGAGCCGAGATCACACCATCGCACTCCAGCCCAGGCAACAAGAGTGAAACTCTGCCTCAAAAAAAAAAAAAAAGAAAAGAAAAGAAAAAAGAAAATAAAGAAAAAATATTGCTAAAGCTTTGGAAAAGAACTGTTGGAATCTGTGGCCTCCTTGAGTGAGGTCTCACCCACCCCTAGGTTGATTGGTAAAAACTACAGTTTTGTCTGGCTGTAGCTAACTGAAAAACTAGCAACTTTGCCGTAAGAGGAGTCTTGATTTACAGCAGAGGTATAAACCTACAACTTTGTAAGTCAAAAGTAAAAAAATCACTTAGGAATGGACAAGGAGTATCTGTAGTTGCTAACCAAAGGTTACAGTCCTAGTTCTTGAAGAGCAACAGAGCAGCCAGACATTTAACAAGGTCCTGGAAACAGAAGGGCAGAAAAGGGTAACATGAGCTCTCCAAACATCTTTGGCAAACTGAAATGATGCATGCACAGGGGAGACTCAAGAGAGCATGGCAAATGTAAAAACCAAGGGGAATTTGGGAACTGCCTCCTACAATGAATGCATCCCCCATCCCACACAGAACAACCAACAGTGGGTGGAAGGCTTATAGACTCAAGTGTTTGATCTTAACCTTTGTCCAAATGATTGGCTGACTGCTAAGCTATGCAGACACAGGAACTACCCCTAGCAAGCAAGAATAAATATTGAAATAAAGAACTTAAAAACTGAGCACAGACAGCAATAACTTCACATCATATATAAGATAGATTCCACAATTTGAGTCCAGTCAAAATGCTAAATTTAAAACAATACAAATCCCTTAGATATAAAACAAAATTGAGTTGCTACAATATGCTACCTAAAATGTCCAGCTGTCAACCAAAAATTATTAGACATGTAAAAACATATGAAAGTGAAATATACTAAAGGAAAAAAAGCATTCAGTGAAAACTAAATCTGTATGGGCCCAGATACTTGATTAGTCAAGCCTTCAATAAGACTTCATAACAAATATATTCAAAGAAATAAAAGTAAAAAAAAAATTAAAAATGACTCAATAAAAGAGAAATCACAATAGAAAATTATAAAGTATAAAAAAAGAGCCATCACACTTCATTCTTCCTAAGTCCTACACCAGAGTTGCTTTAAATGTGTGTATTTAATGGTTAAATAAGACCTGAAAAGGGAGTTGGCCTAAAAATATTTTTACCGTAAAACATCAATTTCTTCAGAGTTAATGAGAATTATATGCTAACCATACCAAAAACCTTGATTAGAATTTTTAGCTTAGATGTATTGATTGATATTAAAAAGGGAAAGTTGAGGCCACATACAGAAAGCAATGGCGAAGGACACTGCCTCCAACAGAAAATATGAACCAAAAAGCATAATGGAAAAACATTTACATGTAATATACTAAATAGATGTCATGCCAACACAGACACACAAGGTGAGAATACCATGTGATAATGCAAGTAGATTGAAATGCTACCGGTGCAAGCCAAGGAATGCCAGAAATTGCCAGTAAACCACCAGAAGTTAGGAATAAGGAAGGATTCTCTCCCTTACAGGTTTTCAAAGACATCACGGCCTTGACAACACCTTGATTTCAGACTTCTAGCCTCTAGAACTGAGATAATAAATTTCTGTTGCTTTAAGTCACTCATTTTGTGGTATTTTGTTACAGCAGTTCTAGGAAATTAATACAAACATGCCTTTTACCACAGTTCTCTCCCATTGGATTATTTAATAATAAATGATTTAAAATTAGTATTTGGAAAAGATGTTTTTTAATGAGTAGACATATTAATCAGGTCTCTTTTGACACAGAAATGTTCTATATTTCATTTTCATATTCTTGTCAAATTATAAAAATAATATCATAAATATGGACATCGCTACAAGCTATTATGTACAGTCACTGAAAAATCAGAAAAAACATGTGAGTTAGAAATGTTTATCAAATACAAGTCTACAGAAAACTGAATAAAATTTTTATTTTAAAACATCACAAGTAATTACAAAGACAAATATTCCAACTATACAAACTGTTTTTCACATATACATATATACATACATATATTTAAGGTTGGTTGATCTTTCATCTTTTTATCTGAGTAAAAAGAAGAACACTTTCCTCATTCCGGAGATTTTTGATGTTATAATAGTTACCTAAAAGTAAAGTGATAAGAAAATAAAAATTATTTACATATGAATCATTCTTTTTGATTAAGTATGTAGTCATCACCTGACAGTTGTAGTATAGGACACAAGATAAAAACAATTCACCTAACCTAAAGTAACTTATTTAATTCCATGAACTACATCAACAGCTAACCATGACACGTGATCCAGATGAGGCTTGAGAGAACAGAAATATAAATTTCACATCGTTATGAAAATAAATACGGAGATGAATCAGTCGAGAGTGTAAGAAAAGAAAATCTCTTTCTGAAACCAATCTTTATTAGGTCTACAGAACTGCTGTGGATTCCTCTAACCAGACATACTCATATATAGATGAATATAAAAGGTACAATGTTAAGTAGAATAAAATCTCAAAATTTTATTTATTTACTTATTTTTTGTTTTTGTTTTTTCTTTTTCTGGAGAACGGGGTCTCGCTATATTGCCCAGGCAGGTCTCGAACTCCTGGGCTCAAGCTATCCTCCCGCCTCTTGCCTCCCTGAGAGCTGGGATTACAGGCATGAGCCACCGCGCCCGGCCAAAATCTCAAAATTTTAAAAAGGCAAATGCTACTCTTAAATAAATGAGGTAACAAATAACAGCAAAAGTGAAATACAGATGGACCGCAAGTATCACATGTGACAGGCTTATTAGAATTGAGTACTATCACTGTGACTTTCTATATATTAGAAATTGAGAAAGTATTCACAACAGTGCTGACATACTAAGGATTATGCAAGTATGGCTATTATTATTGTCTCCTTCCAACAGAATGTAAGCTCTATAAAAGCAGGGATTTTTGCCTGTTTTTTCATTTATATATCCCAAATCTTGCAGCAATACATGGACATAGTAGACACTTTGTTTTGTTTTTGTTTTTGAGACAGAGTCTTGCTCTGTCACCCAGGCTGGAGTGCAGTAGTACAATCACAGCTCACCGCAACTTTGAACTCCTGGGCTCATGCAGTCCTCCTGTCCCAGCCTCCCGAGAGCTAGGACTATAGGTGTGTATCACCGTGCCTGGTTAACTTTTGCATTTTTTGTAGACACAGGGTCTTCCTAGGTTGCCCAGGCTGGTCCCGAACTCCTCACCTCAAGCCCTCCTCAGCCTCTCAAAATGTTGGGATTACAGGTGTGAGCCACTGCACCTGGCCCATAGTAGTCTCTTAATCATACTTGTTGAATGAGTGAATGAATGACAAGTGGATTAAAATGCCTATTTACAATAACTTCTGCTGTTCGATAGCTGATGAAGCATACCATTCTTGAAACAGTTTAAAATAATGTTCTAAAAACATAATTTCTTAGAGATAACATGGGGTAAATAATTTTTGTTCTCCTCTGTAATACAACATATCTGCTGACTATATACATAAATGTATTTTTTTTTTTGAGACCGAGTCTCACTCTGTCCCCTAGGCTGGAGTGCAGTGGTGCAGTCTCTGGTCACTGCAAGCTCCACCTCCCAGGTTCATGCCATTCTCCTGCCTCAGCCTCCAGAGTAGCTGGGACCACAGGTGTCCGCCACCACGCCCAGCTAATTTTTTTGTATTTTTAGTAGAGATGGGGTTTCACTGTGTTAGCCAGGATGGTCTCGATCTCCTGTCCTTGTGATTTGCCCACTTTGGCCTCCTAAAGTGCTGGTATTACAGGCATGAGCCACCATGCCCAGCCAATATTTTCATATTCAGTAGTAAACAACTCTTGTTCTCATGTATCAAAACACTAATTGGTTGGGCACTGTGGCTCACACCTGTAATCATAGCACTTTGGAGGCCAAGGTGGGCAGATCACTTGAGGTCAGGTGATCTGTTACGGCTAACATAGCAAAATCCCGCCTCTACTAAAAATACAAAAAGTAGCCGGATGTGGTGGTTCGTGCCTGTAGTCCCAGCTACTCGAGAGTCTGAGGCACAAGAATCGCTTGAACCCAGGAGGTGGAGGCTACAGTGAGCTGAGATCGTGCCACTGCACTCCAGCCTGGGTGACAGAGCAAGACTCTGTCTCAAAAACAAAAAAAAACCACCACAAAATGCTAATACACTTACCTAATGATCAAATGAAAGGAAAATATGTACCAAACTGTTCTGACATCCATCAGTCATATCACACTTCATTTTGACCACTGTGGCTTCCATTTCCATAGTGCCCAAAAACAACTATATACATGTTGTCTAAGTGAAATAAATTGTCTTACCTGAAGGAACATAGAACGAATCCCCAGTACTTAATATATAAGGTGTTTCATGTAAAGTACACAAAAGGTCACCAAAGTTAACATAAAAAACCTGTAAAAATAAAAATAAAAATCTCATTCAAAACTGAACCATGATAATACTTCAAAGGAACCTTAAAATGTAGTGGGAAGAATAACGACTCCCCACAAATGTGCTGGCTTTAATCTCCAGAACTTGTAAATACATTAAATTTCATGGCAAAAGGGACCTTGAGATGGGGAGATTATCTTTGATAATGTAGGTAGGCCCAATCTAATCACATTAAGCCCTTAAAAATAGAGTACTTTCTCCTGCTGGAAGCAGAGAAGAAACGAAAGAGAAGGAACAGTCACAGAAATTTGAAGCATGAAAGGGACTTGCACCGTTGCTGGCACTAAAGATGTGGGGCCATATGCCAAGAAACATGAGTTATTTCTAAAATCTAAGAATGACACCCTGGCCAACAGCCAGTGAGGAAATGGGAACCTCAGTCCCACAACCACTTAAAACTGAGTTCTGCCAACAGTCTGAACGAGACTGGAAGCAGACTGGAAGCAGATTCGTCCTTACAGCCTCCAGAAAGAAATACAAACCTGTCAACATCTTGATTCCAGTCTTGTAATACTCTAAAGAGAATACCTGGTCAAGCTCATGGTTCTCTCTACATAACTGTGAGATAGATAATACAAGAGTATTGTTTCTTGTTTTTTGAGATGGAGTCTCACTCTGTCATCCAGGCTGGAGTACAGTGAGGCGATCTCGGCTCACTGCAAGCTCCGCCTCCAGGGTTCATGCCATTCTCCAGCCTCAGCCTCCTGAGTAGCTGGGACTACAGGCGCCCGCCATCGCGCCTGGCTAATTTTTTTTTGTATTTTTAGTAGAGACGGGGTTTCACCATGGTCTCGATCTCCTGACCTGGTGATCTGCCCGCCTCGGCCTCCCAAAGTGCTGGGATTACAGGTGTGAGCCACCGCGCCCAGCCCAAGAGTATTAAGCCATTAAATTTGTGATACAGTCATGCACTGCCTAACGATGTTTCAGTCAACAGCAAACTGCCTACATGATAGTGGTCCTATAAGGTTACAATGGCATTTAAAAAATCGTATTGCCTAGTGACCTCACAGCCATCATGATGTCCCAGTGAAAAGCATTACTCACATGTTTGTGGTGATGCTGATGTAAATAAATCTACTGAACTGCCAGTCACATAAAAGTATAGCACATACAGGAAAAAGTGGAGGATAGAAAGTAGGACTAACTTGCAGCTCCCACTCAGATGGACAGAACAGCATGTGGAAACTCACATCATGAACTTTTTTGCCAGAAGAACTACTGCAGGAACATACCAAGAAAACTGAAAGAATTCACAGACTCTTTGAAAGAAATGGCTTGCTGCTGCAAACTCCATGAGACAGCTGAACAACCGTGAGTGCCCAAAGTGTGAAAGGGGGGAAAGTCTGCCTCCAAACACATCCTTACTGGGGAAGCTGAAAATCCAGGTCATGAGAGAAGGATTTAACCTTACCTAGAGCTGAAACGAATTGAGAGAGCCAAGGGAAATATAATAGTAGAAGCAGAGGCAGGAAGAGCCCTGTTAAGTACTCCTGGTTTCCAAGGAAACCCAAGGAAGCCATTTCTGACTTTATCTCATAGGGTTCCTTGGGGATGGCTGCCAGTGGAACTGGGGGAGGACCACAGAAAGAAGGAAACTTCCAGCTGAACTTTAAATAATTTTGATGAAGCGTGAATTTTCCTGGGCAGAATTGGGGGAAGGGCGAATAGGAAGTTCAGATACAAGCCAGGGTAGGCAGCAAGGGGCAGGGCCTGAAAGCCCAGCTTGCTTTCTCAGCAGGGAGACTTATAGCCTAGCGCAAAATGTCAGTCCTGCTCACTGGCTGTCTGGATACAAACTTGGTTTGGTGGGGCACAGTAGGAGTGAGACTGGCCTAGCCTGGCTGCTTGGGAGCTGGGTGAGGCCAGTCTGCCAGCTTCCCCCACTTCCTTGGTGACCAGTATGATGCACTAGAGACAGCCATAATCCCCTTGGGAACATAACTCCAGTGGCCTGGGAACCATATTTTCATCCCCTACAGTGGTCACAAAAAGCTCAGCCCAAGGAGAGTCTGAGCTCAGACACACCTAATCAATCCTACCTGCACCTGATGGTCTTTCTCTAACTGCCCTGTAGCCTAAGACAGGAGCTATAAGGCCCCACCCATCACCTGAGAAACCTGAATACTTACCCAGGCAACCTGTGGCAACCTTGTATCAGCAGATGCTCTCTTGAAAGTACCATCTCCTGGCTGGTGGCCAGCCACCTGCTAGCACAACCAATATTAAAGAAAACCAGCACACTAAACAAAACTACAACCAAAGACCGTCACAGAGTCTGCTTCACTCCCCTGCTACCTCCACTGGAGCAGCTGCTGAGATCCATGGCTGAGAGACCTGAAGACAGATCATATCACAAGACGCTTTGCAGGCACTTCCCAGTACCAGCCTGGAGCCCCATAGCTCTGCTGGGTAGCTAGACACAGAAGAGCAATAGCAATCACTGCAGACTGCCTCTCAGGAAGCATAATCCCTAGGGGAAGGAGGAGAGCACCACATCAAGGGATCACTCCATGGAACAAATGAATCTGAACTGCAGTGCTTGACCTCCAGATGTCTCCTCTGACACAGTCTACCCAAATGAGAAGAAACCAGAAAAACAATTCTGGTAATGTGATAAAGCAAGGTTCTTTAACACCCCCAAAAGATCATACTCGCTCCCTAGCAATAGATCCAAACAAATAAATCTCTGAATTGCCAGAAAAATAATTCAGAAGGTTGATTATTACATTACTCAAGGAGGCACCAGAGAAAGATGAAAACCAACTTAAAGAATTTTTTTTTAAAAATACAGGATTTTGATGAAAAAATCTCGAGAGAAATAGATAGCATAAATAAAAAACAATCACAACTTCCAGAAATGAAAGGCATACTTAGAGAAATGCAAAATACATTAGAAAGTTTTAACAATAGAATCGAACGAGTAGAAGAACTTCAGAGCTCAAAAACAAGGCTTTTGAATTAACCCAATCAAAGACAAAGAGAAAATAAATTAAAAAAAAAAATGAACAAAGCCTTGAAGAAGTTTGGGATTATGTTAAACGACCACACATAAGAATAATTGGTGTTCCTGAGGAAGAAGAGAAATCTAAAAGTTTGGAAAAATTTGAGGAAATAATCAAGGATAACTTCCCTGGCCTTGCTAGCAATCTAGACATCCAAATACAAGAAGTTCAAAGAGCACCTGGAAAATTCATCGCAAAAAGATCATCACCTAGCCACACAGTCATTAGGTTATCTAAAGTCAAGACAAAGCAAAGAATCTTAAGAGCTGTGAGGCCAAAGCATCAGGCAACCTATTTAAAAAAAACCTATCAGATTAACAGCAGATTTCTCAGCAGAAACCCTACAAGCTAGATGGGACTGAGGTCCTATCTTTATCCTCCTTAAATAAAACAATTATCAGCCAAGAATTTTAGTATCCAGCAAAACTAAGCTTCATAAATGAAAGAAAGATAAAGTCTTTTTCAGACAAACAAATGGCGAGAGAAATCCCCACTAACAAGCCAGCACTACAACAACTGCTAAAAGGAGTTCTAAATCTTGAAACAAAAACTCAAAATATATCAAAATAGAACCTCCTTAAAGGATAAATCTCCCAGGGTCTATAAAACACACACACACACACACACACACACACACACACACACCCAAAGTATTCAGGCAACAACTAGCACAATGAACAGAACAGTACCTCACATCTCAATACTAACATTGAATATAAATGACTTCAATGCTCCACTTAAAAGATACAGAACGGCAGAATGCATAAGCATTCACCAACAAAGTACCTGCTGTCCTCAAAAGACTCACTTAACACATAAGGATTCACATAAGCTTAGGGTAAAGAAGTAGTAAAAGATATTCCATGCAAATGGATACCAAAAGAGAGCAGGAGTAGCTATTCTTATATCAGACAAAACAGACTTTAAAGCAACAGCAGTTAAAAAGACAAAGAAGGCCATTATGTAATAAGAAATGGACTAGTCCAACAGGAAAATATCACAATCCTAAATATATATGCACCTAACACCAGAGCTCCCAAATTTATAAGACAATTACTACTAGGCCTAAGAAACGAGATAGACGGCAACACACTTATACTCAAGGTCTTCAATACCCCACTGACAGCAGTAAACAGGTCATCAAGACAGAAAGTCAACAAAGAAACAATGGATTTAAACTATACACTGGAACAAATGGACTTAATAGATATTTACAGAACATTCTACCCAAAAACTGCAGAATATACATTCTATTCATCAGCTCATGGAACATTTTCCAAGATAGACTGTATGAGAGGCCACAAATCAAGTCTCAATAAATTTAAGAAAACCAAAATTATATCAAGTACTCTCTCAGACCACAGTCGAATAAAATTGGAAGTCAACTCCAAAATGAACCCTCAAAACCAAGCAAATAGATGGAAATTAAATAATCTCCTCCTGAATGATTGTTGGGTCAACAATGAAATAAAGATGAAAATTGAAAAATTCTTTGAACTGAACAATAATAGTGACACAATCTATCAAAACCTCTAAGATACAGCAAAAGCAGTGCTAACAGGAAAGTTAATAGCATTAAATGCCTCCATCAAAAAGTCTGAAAGAACACAAATACACAATCTAAGGTCACACCTCAAGGAGCTAGAGAAATAAAAACAAACAAAACCTAAACCCAGCAGATGAAGATCAGGCCATTTGGTAGAACTAAATGAAAATATAATCAGAATTGATAGACCATTAGTGAGGTTAACAAAGAAGACAGAAGATCCAAATAAACTGAATTAGAAACAAAATGGGAGATATTACAACCAATACCACAGAAAGACAAAAGATCATTCAAGGCTCGTATGAACACCTTTATGTATACAAACCAGACCTAGATGAGACAGATAAATTCCTGGAAATATACAACTCCCTAGATTAAACCAGGAAGAAATAGAAACTCTGAAAAGACCAATAACAAGCAATGAGATTGAAACGGTAATAAAAGAATTGTCAACAACAAAAAAAGTCCAGGCCGGGTATAGTGGCTGATGCCTGTAATCCCAACACTTTGGGAGGCTGAGGCAGGTGGATTGCCTGGGGTCAGGAGTTCAAAACCAGGCTGGCCAACATGGCAAAACCCCGTCTCTACTAAAAATACAAAATTAGCCAGAATTGGTGGCGCATGCCTGTAATCCCAGCTACTTGGGAGGCTGAGGCAGGAGAATCACTTGAACCTGGGAGATGGAGGTTACAGTGAGCTGAAATCGCACCATTGCACTCCAGCCTGGGCAACAAGAGCAAAACCCCGTCTCAAAAAGGAAGAAAAGAAAAAGAAAAAAAAAATTCCAGGACCAGATGGATTCACAGCTGAATTCTATCAGACATTCAATTTATCTATCAGAAAAGAGACAAATTCTTGGAAATACACAACCTTCTTAGATTAAACCAAGAAGAAATAGAAACTCTAAATAGACCAATAATAAGCAGCAAGATTGAAAAGGTAATAAAAGAATTGTCAACAACAACAAAAAAGTCCAGGACCAGATGGATTCACAGCTGAATTCTATCAGACATTCAAAGAAGAATTGGTACCAATCCAACTGAAATGATTCCAAAAGACAGAGAGGAGTCAATACGCAAGTCAATAAATGTGAAATACCACATAAACAGAATTAAAACCAAAAAATCACATGATCAGCTCAATAGATGCAGAAAAAGCATTTGCCAAAATCCGGCATTGCTTTATGATTAAAACCCTCAGCAAAATCGGCATAGAAGGAGCATAACTCAAGGTAATAAAAGCCATTTATGACTAACCTACAGCCAGCATCATACTGAACAAGGAAAAGTTGAAAAGTTTCTCCTGAGAACTGAAAGAGGACAAGGATGCCCACTTTCACCACTTCTATTCAACATAGTACTGGAAGTCCTGGCCAGAGCAATCGGACAAAGGAAAGAAATAAAGGGTATCCAAACTAGAAAAGAGGAAGTCAAACTGTTGCTGTTTGCCAATGATATGATCATATAGCTAGAAAACCCTAGACTCATCCAAAAAGTTCCTAGATCTGATAAGTGAATTCAGTAAACTTTCAGGATACAAAATCAACGTACACAAATCAATAGCTCTGCTATACACCAGCAGCGACCAAGCTGAGAAACAAATCAAGAACTCAACTCCTTTTACAATAGCCACAAATAATAATAATAATTTGGAATATACCTAACCAAAGAGATGAGAAATCATAGACGACATAAACAAATGAAAACACATCCCATGCTCATGGATGGGTAGAACCAGTATTGTGAAAATGACATACTGCCAAAAGCAATCTACAAATTCAATGCAATTCCCATCAAAATACTATCATCATTCTTCAAAGAACTAGAAAAAGCAATCCTAAAATTCATTATGGAACCAAAAAAGGGCCTGCATAGCCAAAGGGAAGACTAAGCAAAAAGAACAAATCTGGAGGCATCACATTACCTGACTTCAAACTATACTATAAACATATAGTTACCAAAACAGCACAGTACTGAAATGAACATAGGCACATAGACCATGGAACTGAATAGAGCCTAGAAGTAAAGCCAAATACTTACAGCCAACTGATCTTCAACAAAGCAAACAAAAACACTAAGTAGGGAAGGGACACCCTATTCAACAAATGGTGCTGGGATAACCAGTAAGGCACAAGTAGAAAAATAAAACTGGATCCTCATCTGCCACCTTATACCAAAATCAACTCAAGATGGATCAAAGACTTGAAACTAAGACCTGAAGCCATGAAAATTCTAAAAGATAACATCAGAAAAACCCTTCCAGACATTGGCTTAGGCAAAGACTTCATGACCAAGAATCCAAAAGCAAACACAACAAAAACAAAATAGATGGGACCTAATTAAACTAAAAAGCTTCTGCACAGCCAAAGAAATAATTGGCAGAGTAAACAGGCAACGGCAGAGTAAACAGACAACCCAGAGTGAAAGAAAATATTCACAAACTGTCTGTGCAACAATGGAATAATATCCAGAATCTACATGGAACTCAAACAAATCAGCAAGATAAAACCAAACAATCTCATCAAAAAGTGGGCTAAGGACATGAATAGACAATTCTCAAAAGAAGATATACAAATGGCCAAGAAGCACACAAAAAAAATGCTCAACAATAACTAATGATAAGGAAAATGCAAATCGAAACCACAATGAGATACCACCTCATTCCTGCAAGAATGGCCATAATCAACAAATAGTAGATGTTGGCCTAGATGCAGTGAAAAGGGAACAATTTTACACTAATGGTGGGAATGTAAACTAGTACAGCCGCTACAGAAAACCTTAGTAGAGCTAAAAGTAGATCTACCATTTGATCCAGCAATCCCACTACTGGGTACCTACTCAGAAGAAAAGTGAGTCATTATATGAAAAAGACACTTGCACACGTACATTTATAGCAGCATAATGTGCAACTGCAGAAATACGGAACCAACCCAAATGCCTATTAATCAACAAGTAGATAATGTGGTATACATGTACCATAGAATAGTACTCAACCATAAAAAGGAATGAAATAATGGATGGTATTTGCAGCAACCTGCATGGAGTTGGAGACCATCATTCTAATAAAGTAACCCAGGAATGGAAAACCAAACATTGTATGTTCTCACTTATAAGTGGGAGCTAAGCTATGAGGATGCAAAGGCATAAGAATGATACAATGGACTTTGAGGACTCAGGGGGAAGGGTGGGAGGAGGAGAGGTATAAAAGACTACACGGTGGGTACAGTGTTCACTGTTCAGGTGATAGGTGCACCAAAATCTCAGAAATCACCACTAAATAAATAATCTCTTGTAATATGGTTTGGCTTTGTCTCCCCACCCAAATGTCACCTTGAATTGTAGCTGCCATAATCCCCACATGTCATGGGAGGGACCTAGTGGGAGGTAGTTGAATCATGGGGGCAGTTACCCTCATGCTGTTCTCATGAGAGTGAGTTCTCACAAGATCTGATGGTTTTATAAGGGGCTTTTCCCCCTCGCTTGGCAATTCTCCTTGCTGCCACCATGTGAAAAAGGACATGTTTGCTTCCCCTTCTGCCATAATTGTAAGTTTCCTGAGGCACCCCCAGCCCCACAGAACTGTGAGTCAATTAAACCTCTTTCCTTTCAAAATTACCCAGTCTTGGGCAGTTCTTTATAGGAGTATGAGAAGGGACTAATACATCCTGTAATCCCAGCTACTTGAGAGGCTGAGGCACGAGAATTGCTTGAACCCGGGAGGCAGAGGCTGCAGTGGGCTGATATCGTGCCACTCCAGCCTGGGGACAGTGGGAGACTCTATCTCAATGAAAGAAAAAAAAAAATTATCTATGTAACCAAACACTACTTGTTCTCCAAAACCTATTGAAGTAAAAAATAAAATATAACACAATTTTGTGTGGTACAAAACACTTGGTAATGATAATAAACAACTATGCCACTGGCTTATGTATTTACTATACTTTTATCCATTACCTTAGAGTGTACTCTTACCACTTATATAAAAAAAAAAAAAGTTAACTGTGAAACAGTCTCAGGCAGGTCCCTCAGTAAGTATTCCAGAAGAAACCAATGTTATTATAGGAGATGACAGCTCCATGTGTGTTACTATTCCCAAAGACCTTACAGTGGGACAAGATGTGGTAGTGCAAGACAGTGATAATGATCCTAATCTTGTGTAGCCCAAGGCTGATGTGCTGTTTGTGTCTTACTTTTTAACAAAAAAGTTTTAAAAGTTAAAAAAAAAATAGAAAAAAGCTTATAGAATAAGGAAATAAAATATTTTTGTACAGCCAAACAGTATGGTTGAATTTTAAGTATTACAAAAGAGTCCAAAAGTTAACAACAACAACAAAAGGATATAAAGTGAAAATGTTACAGTTAGATGAGGTTTATTACTGAAGAAAGAAAAATTCTGTTTATGAATTTAGTGTGGCCTAAGTCTACAGTATTTATAAAGTCTACAGTAGTGTACAGTAATGTCCTAGGTCTTCACATTTACTCAGCACTTACTCACTGACTCATCCAGGACCACTTCCAGTCCTGAAAGCTCCATTCATGGTAAGTGCCCTATAAGGGTAACATTTATCTTTTATGCCACATTTTTATTGTACTTTTTCTACATTTAGATACACAAATACAACTGTCTACAGTATTCAGCACAGAAACACGCTGTACAGGTTTGAAGTACAGAAGCAACAGGGTATCATCCTATATAGCCTAGGTTCGTAGTAGGCTATATCATCTTATGACGTTCATAAGACAAAATAGCTTAATGACTCATTTCTCAGTAACACATAGCTGTAATTTGTTAGAGCAGCAACTGAAAACTAATACAGATGTCCCCAACCCCCAGGACAGGGACCGCTACTGGCAGTGGCCTGTTAGGAATGGGCTCACACAGCAGGAGGTAAGCAGCACGCCAGTGAGTGTTACTGCCTGAGCTCTGCCTCCTGTTAGATCAGCAGCAGCATTAGATTCTCTCAGGCACATGAACCCTATTGTGAAATGTGCATGTGAGAAATCTAGGTTGTGTGCTCCTTATGAAAATCTAATGCCAACTCCCACTGCCACCACCAATTTTTGTGGAAGAAAAATTGTCTTTCACAAACCAGTCCTTGGTGCCAAAAAGGATGGGGACCATTGTAATACAGGAAGAGATTTCTTTTATTTTTCCTTATTTTGTTTTTCCTTATTACTTACTGGCTTATGAAAATTCTACAGCCACTGTAAAGATTATCACCTACACTATAAAGATTATCACCGCACTGGGCGCAGTGGCTCACGCCTGTAATCCCAGCACTTTGGGAGGCCTAGGTGGGCGGATCACGAGGTCAGGAGATCGAGACCATCCTGGCTAACACAGTGAAACCCCATCTCTATGAAAAATACAAAAAATTAGCCAGGCGTGGTGGCGGGCACCTATAGTCCCAGTTACTCGGGAGGCTGAGGCAGGAGAATGGCGTGAACCTGGGAGGTGGAGCTTGCAGTGAGCTGAGGTCACGCCACTGCACTCCAGCCTGGGTGACAGAGCGAGACTCCAACTCAAAAAGATTATCACCTACACTAAAAAAATACCTAGGCTTTATGTATGCCTCTTTAAAGGTCACATGCTTAGGACAACAAACTACTCAATCTGATTGAAGAATCAAAGAAAGCAAAAAGCTAAATCCCTATTCCCCTCAAAATCATATGTTAAACAAGCATCAAGACTAAGAAAGTAAAAGAGGATAAATCTCTCAATCATGCTGGCTTTCATATTCAAACATGCCAAATTTCATACTTTATACATAGGTAGCACACACTGGCAGTGACCTGGTTTTTTGAGCAACTAAAATAAACAGCATAAGGCCTTCAAACTTTGAGATTCAGCCATTGTTAGAAATTAGTTTGTCTCCTGAAAATTCACACTCTGGAATCTTAACCCCCCCAATGTGATGGGATCAGGAGGTGGGGAATTTGGGACGTAATTAGGTCCTGAGTGCAGAGCCTTCAGGAATGGGACTAGTGCCCTTATAAGAGACACAGATCAAAGTCTATGGTATTCTTATTATAGCAGCCCAATCTGACTAAGACATCCATCAAGAATGTTTTGCCTCAGATAATTATTTCTCCTCCTTATTTTTTATTACTACTTTGTACAATGATCATAATATACCAGAATAACAATAACAGCTAGCACTTATATAGCACTTACTCTATACCAAGCAGTATTATGAGAACTTTATTCTTATTCACTTAATGTATATGCCCACTAATGAGACAGCGACTACTTTAGTAGCTTTTTATGGATGAAGAAACTGAGGCACAGAGAGGTTAAGTAATTTTCCAAGGTCACAATGTAAATGGCAAAGGGGGGGAGTTTGAACTCAGGCATTTAGATTACAGAATTCATTCCCTAATCACTGTGATATACTGCCTCCCTAAATGGGGAAAAAAGCCCCCCGAAATGTTTCAAAGGTATTTTTATAACTTAATAAGACAAAAAAAGTTATTACATCCAAAAATAATTTGCCTTAATCAAAAAGACAAAAAAGTAATACTAAAAAGTATATATTTCTAGTGTTTTTTTCTCATCTATTCAATTTGGTTCTCTAAGCACACCTCTCCTCATTTCTGTAAACATTTAATTAAGAAAGCTTTTGAAACATACAAAAATAGAATGATGAACTCTCATGAATACTTAATGCTAACCACCTGCCCAAGCCAGAGTCTACTATCCTCACTCCATCTTATTTCAAAATAAATGCCCAGTATCATAATTCATCTGCAAATATTTCAGTATGTACTGAAAGATCAAGTGCTTCTAAAAAACATAACCGCAATACTGTTATCACACCTAAAAAATAAATATTTAATACCAAATATCTAGTTAATAGTCAAATTTCCAATCATCAGTTAAACATATCTTCAAGGATTTCTTTGAATCAGGATCCAGGTTAGCACCACATACAGTGATTGGTTGATCTGTTTCTTAAATTTCTCAATCAATATTAGCGGTTCTCAATCAAGGTGATTTTGCCTCTCAGGGACAACGGACAATTTCTGAAGACATATTTGATTTTGTCACAACTACAGTGGTGCTACTGGAATCTAATGAGTAGAGGCCAGGTAAGCTTCTACTTACAGGGCCTTACCTACAGGACGGCCCCCACTACAACAAAGAAGTATCTAATCAAAAATGTTACTAGTGCCATGGTTGAGAAACCCTGATTCCCTAGGTTTCACCTGGTTCTTTTTTATTTCTTACATTTAATTTATTGAAAACATTAAGCAGTTTGTCATAAAAATCTTCATGCAGGTGGATTTTGCTGACTACATCCCCAGGTATCATTTGAAAGATTTCACCACACTTTATTTCTTGTAAACTGGTAGTTAAATCTAGAGACTTGATCAGATTCAGGTTTTGTATTTGCTTTTAGGTTTTTTTTTTTTTTTTTCTTTTTTAAGGCATGGGGTTGGCAAGACTACTTCTTGGATAGTGTTGTATTTTTCTATCAGGAGGCACATAATGCTTGGTTGTATTCTTTTTAGTTATCTGTCAGCCACTGAGCCTTGATGCCTAGATCCCAATAGCTTATCAGGGATTGCAAATGGTAGTATTTTAACTCCAACATTCCTTCTTCACTCATTAGCTGGAATATTATTCTAATAAGAACAAACTCATCTATTATTTGATTACCTAATAGCACAGTTTATATAGAAAAGGCAGAATCAGTTGTTAAAGTGAGTTGGCTTCCTAGAATCCTCCAACAGTAACAAATTTTTGTTGTAGTAGTAGTAGTAGTAGTCTTAGAAATTCATGGATTTAGATATAATTGATACATATCAATCTACTGAAGTTATTCTTGTTAATACTCAAGTTTCATATCCTTAGCCAGCCAGTGGTAGCATCTTCAAGTTGGAACCTGAAACATGACCCAATCTTAATGGTTTCTGATTAGTAGTTTGCTATCGATTCCAAGCTCAGTTTCAGGCCTAGAATCAGGCATTCCTCCAAGGAACTGGTTCTTTTAAGTAGGTTGCTGTCACCTTTTTGTTTTTTTAGCTCTGAAACATTTGTCTAATTTTAAAAATATTCTCAACCATTTTTCATTGGGTTTTTTCTCTCTCCTGAAATTCTTATTATTTGTATTTAGGCATGCTTTTCTCTCTTCTCTACATTATTTAACTTTAATATTTTCTACTTTTTAATTTCCTTCTTGTCTCCTGGGAAGTTCTACAACCAGCTCTCATAATTAATATGTAAATTCTTCTGTAGTTTGATTTTAATAAACCTACTACTCTTCTCTTTTAAATATTCTCTAGCAGTGTTTGAAAGAGAGTTAATGGCCTATGCTGGTTCTCCATCTTGTCCTGTTTATTATCTTTTTCAAAAGCATATATTTGTAAGTGTGCTTCATGTTTTAAAATGTAAAAATACGAGTCTTATTAAAAAAAACTTCAGCTTTAATTTTCATTTATTTTCATTATAAAAAGTTAAAGGTAATATATAGAAGAAATAAAATCAACTAAAATAACTACATAATCACAGAGTAAAACATGTATTCTCTTCAAGATTTTATTTACATTTTTAAATTCTAGTTAGAAAAATAGATACTATATACAAAGAACTTTTATCTTGCATATTTGCTTAAACATTTATCCCAAGGGTCTTCATATATGGCTGTTCTTCAAAATA
Source organism: Homo sapiens (assembly GCF_000001405.40). Taxonomy (NCBI): domain Eukaryota; kingdom Metazoa; phylum Chordata; class Mammalia; order Primates; family Hominidae; genus Homo; species Homo sapiens. The sequence continues at coordinate 67,488,227 of NC_000004.12, forward strand.
AAATGCTCAAACTAATTTTAATGTGCTTAGTGCAGTACCTGGAACACATAAGTTCTGTATAACTGTTTATTATATCACAGAATGGTTTATCCCATTACTAAGTCAAAATTAAAATATAACCATTTTCTTCCTGTAGCACATTGTAGTGGTTTCTAATTCTGCAATTACCATCAATGATTCAATAAATAACTACATATGTTCAGCACCCCTCACTCTGAACTTCCAAATTACTTCCCTGGGAAAAATTTCTAGAAATGAGTCACAGGTTACAGGGTATGAATACTTTTCTAATAATTTCCATTAACTCAGTAACTATAAAGTGTCATTTGGATTTAAATGTGTATTCCTTTGAATATTAGCCAGATTACACACTTTTAAACATCTGTTACTCAAATTTCCTTTTGTATAATAAAGGCATTACAGTTTAATAGGTAACTGCTATTACTTCAGTGATGATAATTCATGTTTATCCTCATTATTAGTTACTTTATTATTATACAGGGACCATCTATGCTTTTAAAATGTGTTATTTTCACTCATAATAATAACTGGAGGCCTATAACATTTTCAGTTTGAATTAATGAATATTGTTAAATTATTTTAAATCATGATTCTAACTATACTGATGTAGTAATAATCTTTGACTTTCATATGTATCTTTTCCTTGCCTTGCCTAAATTTGCCCTTCTTTGTTAATATAAACTCAAGAGTCTTCACAATTTTTCCCTCCTTTTTGAATTTACTTTAAGTTTGTTGGCAAAGAGAATCATTCTGACTGTGATACTTTAGTAGCACAATTTCAGACTCCTGAAATGTCAGATACTGAAAGATGTTCCTTAGCTATATTTTTTAACTGCTGGTATAATGTTAAATATTCTTAAAATTTGGTGCTTTTCAAATTCTATATTCTACAATTTTCAAACTCAGACTACAAATATTTTTTATATATATAAAATATTCCTGTTATACATACACACACACACACACACACACACATACACACATATAAAACAGACCAATGTTGCAGAGGTGTATGTCTCTAAATGGGGGTGGGGGTGGAAGAAAGGAGATAAAGAGAAAGAAGGAGAAGATAGAAACTGACTCACCTTGAATCTCATTACAACTTCAGCCAGTAATATTGTTACATATAATAGTATATTATTTAGCACTTACTGAAGCAACTAGCTTAGTCCTGAGTCTATGTCTAAATAGTTAAGTAGTTTTTTTATAATCTCACTCATTTTATTTACTTTTTTCTCAGGTTACTGTTTTATTGATATATAAAAATTTTACATGGTACATGTCACATTTTAATACCTGTATGCAATGCATAATGATCAAATCAGGGTAACTGGGATGTAAGTGATTTTTGAAGAAGTCTTTTAACCTATTTCTCTACTGCATTATCATAGAAATGTGGAATTAGATTTAATCTCTATAATCCCCCCCAGCACTAAAATTCTAATGATTTGTTTGCAAACCTATATTTAAGATGTTTTTAAGTAAAGAACATTCCTTAAATTTCTGAATCTCAAAATACAGTGCTATGCAGAGAACAGATATTGTCAAATAACTGTTGGCTGGTTGACTCTAAACAGATTTAACAAATAAAAACCTTTCTCTGTGTGGTGTAGTAATCGAATTTCATTTCTGAGAAAACAGCATTTTAATGTCTCATCAAATCCAATAAATCAGAGTTCTACCAAGAGTGAAACATAAATATATAAAAAAAGTACTCACCAATATATCCTGGCCAACATGCTGCTTTCCCTTTTCTTCTTGTGGTCCTAATATCAATTTCCCAGTAGAAAAAAAGGGTGTATCCAATGTCTTGTATACCTTCAACTCACCATGCTTAACAAAAAATTGATATGTATCTTGTGGCCTTACAAGATCTAGGAGTAAAACAGTAATACAAATATAAAACAACAGCAGTATTGGTTAATGATATAACATATACACATATATATAATAAAGAGTCATTTCTGGATATAAATCTGCCTTAGAGAGTTGTTTCAGAGCATTAACTCTGGAGCTAGAATGCCAGAGGTCAAATCCTGTCTCTGTCTTAAAAGCTGCATGACCTTAGGCAAGTTACTTAAGCTCTCTCTCACTGTGCCTCAATTTCCTTTTCGATAAAATTAAATAATAATAAGTTCATCTATTCGATATTAATGAGCTGCTGTGAATATCAACGAGTTAATGTGTGTAAACTATTTAAAATATTGTCTGGCAAAAAGTACGCACTGTTAGCACCAGCTGAATAACAAAATGGCAGTATTATAGGAACTGAGACAGAAAATAGAATTAGCTGAGATAAAAAAAAGAATTCTCTATTTTTAAAGTTTAACATAAACCACAAATGTATCATCACCATGCCAATAGATTTTTTTTCCTGCTTGACTAATAATTTTTATTAGGTAAAGTTTGTGAGAAAGCAGAGTTCTAATGGTTGTTCATAAATTACTACCTCACTTACAAAAATTTCCATTACTTAACAAACTTTTCCAGATCTATAATTAATAAATTATTCTGTCATCAATGTCTGATTCTGTTTCCCAGGATATTTGGGAATGTTAGTGATCCTACAGACTACATGATATAGAAATAAATATATATATATATATATATATATATATATATATATATATAGAAATATATAGAAATATATATATAGAAATATATATATAGTAGATTCAAGAAACAAATAAGAAATGAACTTTTGACAACACTCACAATAACCTGGTAGAGTACAGCAATGCTTTCAGTTAAGACACTAAACAAAACTCCATACTTCTAAGCTCTGTTACCAAATAAATAATCTGCATATAGAGATACCTTTGCTAAGGTGTTAAGATATTAAATGAAATCTATTTTCATGGCCAAAATTTTAAGTAGGAGTACCATTATTACTACCTTTCTTTTTTTAGGAATTAACTAACTAGTTTTATTATTATTATTATTGAGACAGGGTCTGGCTCTGCACACCCAGGCTGAAGTGCAGTGGCATGATCTCGGCTCACTGCAATCTCCACCTCCCAGACTCAAGCAATTCTCCTGTCCCAGCCTCCCAAGCAGCTGGGACTACAAGCACCCACCACCACGCCCAGCTACCATTACCGCGTTTCTGATTTGACCTACTTCTCCTCTGATATAGGACAAACAGCCCTTAGTACTCAATGGTACAGTCATAACAGTTGTTAATATATTTAAATATTTCATATATATATATATATATATATATATATATATATAGAGAGAGAGAGAGAGAGAGAGAGAGAGAGAGAGAGAGAGAGAGAGAGCCTGGTTGTTAAACAGTTGCGTAATCCATAAACTCCTATCCCACTATAGCCCATCCCTTGGGGATCTTACATGACCTGCTAGAGACTAAATATTTAATCCAATACAGCAGGAGGCTTCCAGGACTTTGCAGCACCAGCTTTAAGGTTAAACCTGGCATCTGTACAACTGATTGATGCCCTTGCTAGTCATCCTCACAAAGGATTCATATCCCAGGTAACATTACTGCCATCTGTAGGCCCAGAAGTTTGTCTGTGCCCTACCCACAATCCCTGCCTGGCTTCATGATAAGCGTATCCTTGAGTCTGCCAACTATCTATCTACAATTCCCCATAAACAGCCTCTGTTCCCATGTGTCCTCCTGGTCAAAGAAGGCCTAGACCCTGTTGGGGGAGACGACATTCCTGATTGTAGCACTACTTGTGCCCCAGAGGACAAGTCCGGGGTGTTAAGTGTCCCCTGGAGCTGTCTGATATCAATATTCCCCCACAGTTGTCTTCACATAGGTTGCTCGTTGGAATTAGACTCTTCTGGACTTTAGCACTGATAGAATTGGGGAGAGAAAGGGAAAGTAGACAGGCCAATCATCAAGCAAGCAATATTTTCTTACAAATTGTTTAATTAAGTATTTTCAGTATCATGCCTGATCTTACCCATGAGAATAATCTCTCTTGTTTCTGGGTCCTTTACCCTCGTTGGCTGCAAAGGATCTCCAAGAGGTATACCTAGATTTACCATTAAGTTAGTCTCTGCAAAAGAAATACCATTGAAATACAAACTACTTACTTAAAATTATTCTCAATCCCAAAAAGTTCAGTACAAAATATAGCTATAGAGAAGTTATAAAACTGTCAAACGCAAAGAAGTCTCTTCCTATTTATAAATCACTCTGATAAACAAAAATTCAAACTTAAAAACCCATAATGATTTAATATAAAAGCAAACACCCTAAACTTCCTATTTTCTGTAAGCCTTAACATGTAAACTCTTGCATTATCAAGGTATTAAGTGATGTTTTGCATAATCTCTAAGTGAGATAGAGGTATATAAAACACTTTAGAAATGTCTATGTTAACCATAGCTTGGGCATAGGAATGGTGGGTTTCATTTGACTGGGAAATTTACTCATGAAGAAATTTATAATATGCTATTAATAATTTTTTAAGAATAAAATTAGCTTACTTTCCATTTGGAAGAAAGTAGACATTAAAAAATGAATTTTACCTATGGTATTATTTCTGAAGTTTTTGGAAGTAAATTTCATATTTTGCAAAGAGCTTCTTCTCAAAGTACTCCTATTTAAAATAAAATCTAAAAGTTACTTTCAGAAATAAGTTCATACTTCTTTCATCGTTATCAAGACAGATCCTTTTCTTATTAGATTTTTTGTTGACTTTTCCAATATTTTCTTTTGCCTTCCTTTTAGACGATATTGTGTCTGGAGATAGTACTCCACTAATCACGAATCCTCCTGAAATTTAACAAAAAAAGTAAAATATACATGGGAAAGACAAAATCTTGAAACAAAACTCCTTAAATTTAATATGGCACATTTCCTTTCAAAGTACCAAAGAATATATGTCTGCAGCTAATAGTTAAAATAACACAAATACCAACCAATTTCATTATATCTCTACCACCCTAAATCAGAGGCTGATAAAACAGGATTAGATGATGAAACATGATTAGATGGTCCTATTGCTCCCCTGAAATCAACAGTCATCAGTGGAGGCTTTTAAAAAAAAAAAAAAAAGGAGGGGGCTAGCAATGAACTATTTATAGAAATCCACATGAGTTTAGTCCTTTGACTTAGATATATCCATCAAAGAAAGAAATATGGCCAGGCACAGTGGCTCACACCTGTAATCTCAGCACTTTGAGATGCCAAAGCGGGAGGACTGCTTGAGCCCATAAGATGAGACCAGCCTGGACAACATAGCAAGGCCTCATCTCTACAAAAATAAGAAAGAAAATAACTCTACGATTAACACTACACTTTCTTGCCCACCCTACACTACTTTGTAGAAAACTATGAGAAAATGGAAAATGGTTAATAGGAAAAATAATGAAAACTACTTTACCTTTACCAGTTACAATTTTCTCACGTTCTAATCTAACGCTTTATATTATGCAATTGGAAATCTTGTCAGATGATACAGGAATAACAACATTCAGCTACCAAAGAGAAAATATCAGCATCTCTACATTAATCAGACAAAAATGAATTTAAATCCTATTATCAAAATTTGGGGGGGTGATGATTAAGTAAGGTAATGTATATAAACATGTAGTGCAGTGTCTGGCACATAGTAAACAAATTTTTTATTGACAGATATTATAACATAAATAAGTTTTACCTGATGGCCTTCCTTGATAATCTATTCGCTCTCCTCGCCAGTACTCCAAAGGTTTCAAACGTGTTCTCTTGGTCCTGCGAACATTTGGTGTGTTGGAGGGCAATACTATAAAAAGATGTCAGACAAAAGTGTATACATAGTTTTTAGTTGATGGTACTTAGCAGTGGAAAGACTGTCTTTTAGAACATGAAAGCTTTATTTTTTAGAACATGAATATTTTTCTAGACAAAAGACTAGAAAAAACAAATATTTATGCTAACAATTAAAGAAAAGCCAATGGAAAAACAGGCTACCAAATTGGCAAATATTTAAAAACCTAATAATACTCAGCGTTGACAATGTTAAATGTACACTCATCTTATCTGAACAATGCAAAGTTCTGTATACTAAATTGAGTTTGTTGGCTTATCTTCAAATTCCCATGTTCTTACCTATTTTTTGTTTGCTAAAGCTATGCTGAAGCTAACGAGAAGTTGCCTACTGCTCTTAGGCATAATGCTCAATGTTCCCCTCTGTAAATACTGAAGCCCTGCTCAGGAACATTTTTATTTCCCTTTCCCTACTCCTGATTCATCATTTCACCCCAAGACAAGCATTAAGTATTGAGAGGTATAGCAGTCTCTCATCACATAGGCCCACAAAATACTGACAATATCTAAGTTCTGGAGTAAGGCAATGAGAGAAAGCTTCACTCCTATTGGTAATCTGAGTATGAGTGAAAGAGCACTCACAGCCTCAAATAAAGGGAGAAACATGGAAAGCCACCCAACATCACAGAAAGGTGGGAACTATCATGTATCTTGACTGGCAAATATCTCTTTGGGAACCATGGATTGTTAATCTTTACATGGGCCTCTCCATGGGTTCCACAGTTCTTAGCTTTGTCTACTTACTATCCTAGCTACTGCTTTGTTTAGGAGTCAACTGGATTAAAGTGGAAGGAGATGCTGTCAAGGAAGCCATCTACCTGGTAGTTACAGTTTCTTTGACAAAATTCTCCACCCTAGCTTCATAGCTAAGGGAGGATCATGCCCCCTACTATGGGGCAAAAAGTGAGAGGGCAATAGGATTTATAAATGGACAATAGACTAATTCAAGTGGCTTGTGGTGACTTACTATGAAATTCATAAAAACTAAGTGCATAATTTTAATTTATCTGCCAATTAATCCACATAATCGTATTTCTCCTGCTTAAGAAGAAATAAGTTATATTTAGAAACAGAAACTTAAGGTATTTTTCTCAATGAAAATATTAAAAAAGAAAAATATTCTTACCTAGTTTGTGATGGATTCTGTTCTTTGGTATCACTTTAGATTGTTTTGAGTCATCTACAAAATGCAAAAGATAATATCATAAGAAATGACTGCTAATTCCATGTTAAATTAAAATGTGTTTCCTGGTCAATTTCAGTATGAGTATTTTAAATAAAGTTTGACCTGATAATGTATTTTATTACTCCTTTTGCTTTTCATTGCTCAACTATAAAAACTAAGGAAAAGAACTATTTCTCTAGACTTTGCTACAATGAATACATTGCAAGTTTGTCCAATCCACCTTATTTTGTGGTTGTTCTGTTTTGTTTTGTTTTAGACCTTTAGCAGCCTGAAACCATGCTTTTTAGTTTCTGTCTCTGGCGACAAGTGGAAAAGAGGGATGAGGAAGGGGTTTTATTGGACCAACCAGAAACAGAAACTAAGAACTCATGACTGTATTCGCTCCCTTGGACACCCCTGGTTTTTATTCTAAACAGTGTAACAGTTAAAACAAACAAACAAACAAAAAAAACAACAGATTTTCTATTGCTCATGGAAAGATGAAATAAGCCACTTGTGGATAAAAATGTAGGGCCTGATAATGGATAATTAATATGCTATTTATGAACTATCTGTAACTTTCTCTTTAAAGTTCTAAAATAGTGTAAGTGTACTGAATTTAGCAGTGTGCCAATAAGCTCAGGGGTTCTCAACTTTGGTAACTAGCACCTAAAGATGGCTGTCATCCCTTCTTTGCCTTTCTATGCACAAATGTTCTGTATCAAGAAGCAGAGTCTCGTTCCCTTCTCCTTCAATCTCTGCTGGAGTTAGTGACTTGCTTAACTAATAGTATGCAACAGAAATGATGTTCTGGGGCTTAAAAGGCTAAGTCCTAATACAATCTACAGGTTCCATCTAGAAGTCTTGGGATCTCACTCTAGGGGAAGACAGCAACAATATGAAGATTAACACAAGACTGCCATGCTGTGAGGAAACCTCATGTGGCCACATGGAAAAGCCACATGGAGGAAAAGAGATGCTTGGCCAACCTCAATGTCCCAGTTCTTCCAGCTGGGTCCAAACATGTAAGTGAGGAAGTTACCTCGAATGTCCAACCCATTTGAACTTTCAGATGACTCCAGCCCCAGCAGCTTGCATTTAACTATATAAATTCATGAGTGTACTCAAGTGGCAATTACCCAACTAAGCCAAGTCAATTCATAGAACCATGAAAGATAAATCAATCACTGTATTAAGCCTTTAAGTTTTGGGGTGGTTGGTTACGCAGCAATATACAACTGGGACACAATGTCCATGAACCACCTAAAACTGCAAATACAATTTTGTATGAAATATATACCTTTTTTCCCTAAAAAGCAGGTCTGAGCTTTTATCATATTCTCAAATGAGTCCATGAAAGCAAACAAACAAAAATTGTTAAGAATGATTGAATTAGATATTTTATAAAATTGCTGGTTTGGAAGAAACTTCAGTGATCATAACATCTAATTTCCCTGTCAGAAACAGGCAAATCTCTAGACATCAGAAGTAGATTAGTAATTGGGTAGGCCCAGGGAAAGGAAATGAAAGTCGGCTACTAAAGGGTAAAGGGGTTTCTTTTTGGGGGTTATGAAAAGGTTCTAACATCGATTGTGTCAATGACTACATATCATTGATTTGTACACTCTAAGTGGATTAATTATATGGTATGTGAAGTCTAGCTTAATAAATCTGTGTACCCCCCACCCCACCCCCACCCCCACCCCCAAAAATTCAATTTCCTATGCAGTCTCCCCTAGAACAAGTAGAGGTCTCATCTCTGTTGGAAATTCTCCTGTGACACTGGGCCTCGGAGGCAGTGTCAGAGTGATACAAGGAACCAAAGAAACAAGTAAATATACTGAGGATAATGGGAGTCAGGTTTCTCACTATTTGAGAAGAACTTGTAATAAATACAGGCGGCCAGGCGCAGTGGCTCACAACTGTAATCCCAGCACTTTGGGAGGCTGAGGCAGGTAGATCAGGAGGTCAGGAGTTCGAGACCAGCCTTACCAACATGGTGAAACCCCATCTCTACTAAAAACACAAAAATTAGCCGGGCATGGTGGCACACGCCTGTAATCTCAGCTACTCAGGAGGTTGAGGCAGGAGAATCGCTTGAACCCAGAAGGCGGAGGTTGCAGTGAGCCGAGATCACACCATTGCACTCCACTCTGGGCGACAGAGGGACACTCCGTCTTAAAAAAAAATTTAAAAATAAATAAATAAAAATACAGGCATACCTCAGAGATATTGCCAGTTCAGTTCCAGACTACTGCAGTAAAACAGATACTGCAATAAAGAAGTCAAACAGTTTTTTAGTTTCCTGGTGAATATAAAAGTTATTTCTTTTGCTGTTTTGTTTTGGTTTTTTGAGACTAAGTCTCACTCTGTCACCCAGGCTGCAGTGCAGTGGTGGGATCAAGACTCACTGTGGCCTCAACTTCCTGGCAGCAAATGATCCTCCCGCCTCAGCCCGCCGAGTAGCCGGAACCAGAGATGCACACCACCACGCTCAGCTAATTTTTGTATTTTTTGTAGAAACAGGTTTCTGGCATGCTGGCCAGGCTGGTCACAAACTCCTGGGCTCAAGTGACCGGCCTCGCCTCCCAAAGTGTTGGGTGGCTCCCAAAGTGAGCCACCATACCCAGCCAAAAGTTATGTCTATACTATACTATAGTCTATTAAATGTGCAAGAGCATTATGTCTAAAAAAATCAGTGTACATATACCTTAATTTAAAAATATTTTATTGCTAAAAATGCTAAAGATCAGCCAGGCATAGTGGCTCATGCCTGTAATCCCAAGACTTTGGGAGGCCCAGGAGGGTGGATCACTTGAGGCCAGGAGTTTGAGACAAGCCCGACCAACATGGCGAAACCCCATCTCTACTAAAAATTAAAAAAATTAGCTGGGTGTGGTGGTGTACACTTTGTAATCCCAGCTACTCTTGGTGGCTGCGGCAAGAGAATCGCTTGAACCCAGGAGGTAAAAGGTTTCAGTGAGCCGAGATCACACCACTGCACTCCAGCCTGGGTATTAGAGCAAGCCTCTGTCTCATTCTCAAAAAATAAAAATAATAAAATATAAAAATGCTTATCATCTGAGCTTTCAGTGAGTTTTAATCTTTTTGCTGATAGGGTATTTTGCCTTATTGTTGATGACTGCTGACTGATCAGGCTGGGGTGTCTGTGGCAGTTTCTTAAAATAAGTCAACAATGAAGTTTCCCTGGAGAATATAAAATGCTGTTGTATAGCATTTTACTCACAGCAGAACTTCTTTCAAAACCGCAATCAATCCTCTCAAACTCTGTCGCTGCTTTACCAACTAAGTTCATGGAATATCCTAAATCCTTTTTTGTCATTTCAAGGGTTCACAACATATTCACCAGGAGTAGATTCCAACTCAAGAAATCAGTTCCTTCGTTCTTCCATAAGAAGCAACTCCTCATCTGTTCAAATTTTGTCATGAAATTGCAGCAATTCAGTTTCATCTCCAGACTCCACTTCTAATTCTAGTTCCCTGGCTATTTCCACCACATCCAGTTACTTCCTCCATTGAAGTCTTGAACCCTTCAAAATCACCCATAAGGGTTGGAATCAACTTCTTCCAAGCTCCTGTTAATATTGATATTTTGACCTCCTCCCATGAAACACAAATAGTTTTAATGGCATCTAGAATGGTGAATCCTTTCCAGAAGGTTTATTTACTTTGTCCAGTCCCATCAGAGGAATCACTACTTGTGGCAGCTACTGCCTTACAAAATTTATTTCTTAAATAATAAGACTTAAAAGTCCAAATTATTCCTTGATCCATGCATGAGCTGCAGAATGAATGCTCTCTTAGTAGGCATGAAAGCAACATTAATCTCCTCATCTTTGTCCATTAGAGCTGCTGGGTGGCCTGGTGCATTGCCATGGATGTGCTGTCACCCAGGCTTTGTTGTTCTACTAATAGAGCAAAGTAGATTTAGCATAATTCTTAAGGACTCTAGGATTTCTGGAATGGTAAATGAGCACTAGCTTCAACTTAAAGTCACCAGCTGTATTAGCCCTTAACAAGAGAGTCACAGCCTGACCTTGGAAGCTTTGAAGTCATGCATTGACTTCTCCTCAGCTATGAACGTCCTAGATGACATCTTCTTTCAATAGAAGGCTATTTTGTCTACAGGGAAAATCTGTTGTTTAGTAAAGACACCTTCAATTATCTCAGCTAGATTTTCTGGATAACTTGCTGCAACATCAGACCTTGCTGCTTCACCTTGCTCTTTTATGTTATGGAAACAGCTTCTTTCCTTAAACCTCATGAACCAGCCTCTGCTAGCTTCAAACTTTTCTTCTGCTGCTTCCTCACCTCTCAGCCTCCACAGAATTAAAGAGAGTTAGGGCCTTCCTCTGGATTAGGCTTTGGCTTAAAGGAATGCTGTGGCTTGTTTAATCCTCTGTCCAGACCACTGAAACCTCTATATCAGCAGTAAGGCAGTTTCCCTTTCTTATCATTCATGTGTTCACTGTAGTAGCACTTTTCTTTTCCTTCAAGAACTTTTCCTTTGCATTCACAAATTGGCTGTTTGGTGCCCGAGGCCTAGCTTCTGGACTATCTCGGTTTCTGACATGCCTTCCTCACTAAGCTTAATCATTTCTAGCTTTTGATTTAAAGTGAAAAATGTGTGACTCTTTCTTTTACTTGAACACTTAGAAGCCATCGTAGGGTTATTATTGGCCTAATTTCAATATTGTGTCTCAGGAAATAGGGAAGCCTGAAGAGAGGGAGAAAGATGGGGAACTGGCCAGTCAGCAGAGCAGTCAGAGCACATGAATTTTCACTTTCTTAAGTAGCTGTGGTTTGCGGTGCCCCAAAACAATTACAATAGTAATGTCAAAGATCACCTGATCACAAATCACCATAAAAGACATAGTAATGAAAAAGTTTGATATACTGTGAAAATTACCAAAATGTGACACAGAGACACAAGGTGAGCACATGCTATTGAAAAAAAAAATGGTGCCAATAAGGCTTACTCAACAAAGGGTTGCCACAAACCTTCAATTTGTGAAAAATGCAGTATCTCCAAAATGCAGTGACACAAAGCACAATAAAACAAGGTATGCCTGTATAAATATAAATATAGAAATAGATATAGATGCCTGTATTGTATATGGTGTGTACATATGTGTATGTGTGTGTGTATATATATATCTATTTCCTATCTCTGTACACTGAGAAAGACTAGAAGCAATGGTATCCCAAACAAGGATCACGTCAAGTGCCCAAATCTTGGTTTCTAAATGCCATCTTCCACTAAAAAGAACCAGGTTTCCTGGAGCAGTAATTGATCCCAGAGCTGGGGCAGGAAAAAGACTGGAACATCTTATGCCAAAAAACAAAGACAGTATTCACAGAATCATGACAAAAGCACACAGAGACCAGCTGAAAGAAAATCCAGTGACCAAATCTATCACAATTCAAGTATCATAATAAATGGTCAAGATTTTACAACCCCATGGCATAAAATAGTAGTAGTCCATACTGATATAAATAAAAAGAATCATGAATAAAATAATTGGCATGCGGGAGAAAAACTGGCAACTAATTAATGCGGAAGGAATTAAAGAAACAGAAAATAGAAAATAATGTGGTACCATCATTAGTGGCTGATAATTCAAGTGGGAGTCTTGAATGTATGTTAAGGTTGGTGAATGGAGGTTTGACAAGAAACAGGCTATTAAGAGTATCAGAATATCACTCCACAATAATATTTATCAATTATAAGAGAAAAGCAGTGTCTTTACAGTAGAGAAACCTGGCAGACAATAACATGAACAGGTAATCAGGATTGATATCATGTCAGCAGGGCATGGTGGCTCACACCTGTAATCCCAGCGCTTTGGGAGACTGAGGTGTGCAGATCACTTGAGGTCCAGAGTTTGAGACCAGCCTGGCCAACAAGGTGAAAGCCTGTCTCTACTAAAAATACAAAAATTAGCCCAGCATGGTAGCATGTGCCTGTAATCACAGCTACTCAGGAGGCTGAGGCATGAGAATTGCTTGAACCTGGGAGGTGGAGGTTACAATGAGCTGAGATCACACAACTGCACTCCAGCCTGGGTGAGAGAGCAAGACTCCATCTCAAACAAACAAACAAACAAAAAACAAAAGCATCATGTAGATGGGTGAACGTTGTGTGCCTCCTGTGTGATGCACAAATTACATCCCCTAACTCCTAACCCTATAGCATCATTTCTGTAGTATTCCTGTCAAATATGAATGGCACACATTTGATCATGAGTTAAGTTAGGAAAAAAACTAAGAAACTGTTCCATGTTGAAGGAAACTAAGGGACATGGCAGCTAAATGCAGTCGACGATCCAGGACTGGATCTTGAACCAGGAGGAAGAAGAAACTCTGAGATCCAGGACTGGATCCTGAGCTAGAAGGGAAAAGGAACTGCTAGTGAAATCTGAATGGAGTCTGTGAATGAACCTGTGTTGTATTAATGCTGATTTCCTTATTTGTATGGTTCGAGGGTAGTTATATCCTTGTCTTGCTGAAATACATTATGGGGCATTTAAGGGAAATAATATATCATGTCTACAATTCCCTCTCAAATAGTTCAGAAAAAAGATGTATGATAATAGACGTGTATTTATTAGAGGAGGCAGGGAGGGAGATGGAAAAATGTTGTAAAATGTGGACAATTGTGAAATCTTGATGAAGGGGATATGGGATCTCTGTATAAGACTGAAATTATTTCAAAATAAATTATTTTTTAAGTGACTAACACAAGGGACAACTCCTAAATTTCAAAGATTAAAGGATCCTAGTAAGTATGGAGATGGAAGAAAACAGGTTATCTACAAAGGAAAGAAGAAATAAGGCTGCCTTCAAATTTCTATTCATAAGCATTAACTCTCATGAAGCAAAATAGCAATACGGTGATAGTTTAAAGAAAAAAAGATCATGACTCAAGATTATGTTCTCTATTTAGCTGGTGGTTCATTGTGTTTAAAAAGAAAAAAAAAATCCTGAGTCCTTGCTAGAATATGTGAGAATGTCTACCAACTTTACAAAGAAGTAACAAGTATATCTGTTGACAATAAGTGTATATATATTAAACAATTTATTAAAGGAAAAAGTACTGACACAGCGAGTCAAAAACAATTCAATCATATGCTGTTTCTTAGCCACTTTTAATTCTCTAATAAAAGTTAAATAAAAAGATAAAGAAACAACAACCAACCAAAAGAAAGCAGAAGTCACAATACTAATATTAGACAAAACAAACTACAAAGTAAAAAGCATTTAACACAACGAAGCAGATAAATTTGACCAAAGCAGGTACACTCCATATGAAGGCTTATGTGATCAGTAACAGCACTGAAATGTACATAACAAAGACTACAGAAAATACAAGGGCAAAGACAGTTGCAGTGGGAACACTTTACTTCAACTCTAGCAGTCCTTAATAGATCTCAAATAAAAAGAATACATAGGTTGAGAACATCAAGCTTAGTATGTCCAAATCTAACATCCTGTTCTTTTCCTCAAAATCTGCTTCTTCCCCAGTAGTCCCCAGATCAGGTAGTAATATTGCCATTCTTCCAGGAGCTCGGGCCAAAAACCTTCAAGTTCTCTCTAACGCCTCTCTTTTTCTTATACACCACGTATCGTCCATCAGAAAATCCTGTTGACTTTACCCTCAAAAATACCTAAAAATCCTCCTCCTGCTTTCCACTTTCTACTGCTACCACATTGGTCTAAGCCAACACCTCTCACTAGGATTATTTCAACATCTCTCCAGCTAGTCTCCTTGCTTCCAACCTTCCTCCATCCCTTCAACCCCATCAGTCAACTCCTAACACAGGAGCTGCAGTGATTCTGTTAATACAGGTCAAGTCATGTCTCTCTTCTGCTCAAAACCCTCTAATGGCTTCCCATCGCTCTTAGTAAAATTTTGCCTTTAACATCCTATGTGATCTTTCATTCTGTTGCCTCTGTGACATCATTTTTCCTACTACTCGTTCGCTCTCTTCCTCTGCTCTAACCCTCTGGCCTTCTTGGTGTTCCTCGATCAAGACAGACTCTTGACCACATAAGAACTTTTGCCCTTCATCTTCCCTCTACCTGGTACACTATTTACCCAGACAGCTGCACGGTTTGCTGTCTCATCTCTTCAAATCTTTGCTCAAATGATCACTTCCTTAGTGAGGACTTCTCTGCCCATCTACCTAAAAATGTAAACTTCATTTCCCACCCTAAAAGCCATGCTTTATTTCTCTACTCTCAACACCCAACAAATCATAAATTTGTTATCTTTTTATATTGTCTGCCATCCTGCCCCTTCCAGAAATTAAGCTGGAGGGCAGAAATTTTTGTCAGTTTTGTTCACTGACACACCCCTACCCTTAAAATAATAAGTAAATATTCCATAATTTTTCATATTTAAGAATTCCATAAATATTAAAAGTATATTCAAAAAAATATATCCACTTATGTTATCAACAAAATAACTGGATATATATCTTTAAATCCATATCTGTATACAAATTATTCCCTTTTTCAAGCACCAATGGAAAAATTATAAAAACTAAGCATACACTAGACACTAGAACACAAAAAAAACTTACTGAATTCAAACAATAAATAAAATAGACTAAGTTTTCTAGAACAATAAAATGAAACCAGAAAATACTAAAAGAACAAAATAAAACACAACTTCTTAGAATAACAGCAAAAATTGGCTATTTAACATACACCTGATATTAAACTAAGCAAAGAATATGTATTCATCTTTATATCAGCTTATGGGATTGGAGCTGATATCATTTTACAGATAAGGAAACTGAAGTTTAAGAACACTGAAATTTCTTACTCAAGATAATATAGTGATGCTTCCCGATCAGTGGTGAATGGGGCAAAAAAAAAAAAAAAAAAGAACGTAGCTAGTAAGTAGTAGAGCTAGAACCAATCCCAGGTCCATGACCCTGGAGACCAAGCTCTTAACTAATGTACTCTTAAATAACTGCTGGGTCAAAGAAAAATCACTACAATTTAGAGTATACTACAATAACACTACATAGCAAAATCTATCAAATTAAGCCAAAACTATACTGAGGGAAATTGAATGCTGCTTCTTTACCAAAGAAAAAGCAGAAAAACACAGAAAGCATTCAAGTTAAAAGAGAAAATACAATAAATCTAATGACGGGGGAAAAATTAAAAAGTTAAAAGAATAGTGATTATTAGAAAAAAAAGTATAACAGATTACAATCAAGCACGCATTTTTAGGAGCATGAAAAAATTATAAAATTCTCTATTAAGAGGCATCTTTAAACTTCAGTATGAAAATTTTCAAGTACTGAAGGCCGGGAGTGGTGGCTCACACCTGTAATCCCAGCACTTTGAGAGGCTGAGGCAGGTGGATCACAAGGTCAGGAGTTTAAGACCAGCCTGGCCAAGATGGTGAAACCCCATCTCTACTAAAAAGACAAAAAAATTAGCCAGGCGTGGTGGCAGGTGCCTGTAATCCCAGCTACTCAGGAGTCTAAGGCAGGAGAATTGCCTGAACCCAGGAGGTGGAGGATGCAGTGAGCTGAGATTGCACCACTGCACTCCAGCCTGGGAGACAGAGCGAGACTCCGTCTCAAACAAAAAAAAAAAGGAAATTTTCAAGTATTGAAAATAGAGAAAATAGTATAATGAACCCAATACAACCATCAACCAGCTTCAGTAATCATCAACAGATCACTAATCTGCTTCATGTATACCCTTATTAGCTTAACAATTTTAAATACTGGAGTAGACACCTTAAGTGCCAATATTTCATTATGTTCTACTTAAAAAACTGTCACTCATTTTCTTTCTGTCTCACTTAGGTACAGGGTCTTATTAATCTCTAACTAAGGGTCTTAAGAGGTAGGTACTCAATATACACTCGCCATCAGTGACAATGTAAACAAAACATAGCACTCCTTACTCCATATTCATAATGCCATAAAAATCAAGACAGAAAAAAAACAATAGTTTACCTGAACTTCCATGAACTTCCTCATCATCCACATCATTCTTTCCAGACATTAAATAATTATTATTGAGCCTGGAAGGTCCACTTAAGAAAAAAAGGAAACCACAAAATTAATGCTTTTATAATACATATATCTAATGTATTTGCCTTAATGATCATTTTTCTCCTAAAACTGCCATAAGTCTTTCTTATAAAACCAATAGTGATGTTACAAGTCATCAAAAATATATAGTCATCCCTCAGTATTTGTGGGGGATTGATTCCAGGATCCACTGTGGATACCAAAATCCAAGGATGCTCAAGTCCCTTATATATAATGGTGCAGTATTTGCATGTGACTTTCACATATCCTCCTGTATACTTTAAATCATATCTAGGTTACTGATAATACCTAATACAATGTAAATGCTATGTAAATAGTTGTTATACTGTATTTTTATTTGTATTATTTTAAATGTCATATTGTTACTTTTTATTGTTTTATATTTTATTTTCTGAATATTTTCAATCCATGGGGGTTGAATCAGTGGATGCAGAACCCACAGATATGGAGGGCTGACTGTACTTGCTGCATTAAACAAAGACTACAATTTCATCCCATAACTGACAGTTGAGCATCATAAGTACTGAATTTATGACTTACAGATCAGAGTAACAGACTTAGTAAATTCAAATGATAACATCCTGTGGTGAAAATCAAATTATAAAAAAAGAAAGAAATCATCATATTTTAATTAAAAAAAAATATAGCCAAAAACCAATGGAATTTAAAATGTGGTCCAGAAATTGTCAGAGATGATTCAGCCTCTCCTAGTCCTAAATCTCTTTCTACCTATTATGAACCCAGGATAAGCCTAGTCATAACCTCACAAATAGTAAAGAAATCTTAGCCATCCCTTAAAAGTCTGAGAATTTGCTAAAATTTACCCTTTATTCATTTTTTAAAAGGTTATATGACATCAGATATAATTAAGAGTAGGTAATTCAATTTGATCACTAAATGTGGTCATTTTAACATTATATGTCCAAATTCTTTAATACACCACCTTTCAATAGGTGGAGCCTAATTCCACCTCTCCCTGAATGTAGTGTGGACTCAATAAGTTGTTTCTAATGAACAGAATAAAGTAGAAATGACGGTGTACAATGTCAAAGACTAAGTCATTAAAAGACACTGTGATATCCATCATAGTCACACCTTCTCTTGGAGCATTTGCTTTGTGGGAAGCCAGTTGCCATATTCAGCAGCTGAGAGGGCCACATGGTTAAGAAACTAAGGTCTACTGGAAACAGCCAGAACGGAACTGGGGTCTCCAGCCAACAGCGATGTGAGACATTTTATAGGTGGATTCTCCAGTTCCAGACAAGACTTTAAAGGGTTAAAACCAGAAAGATGACTGCTACCTCCTGAGAATATCCGAGCCAAAACTAGCTAGCTAAGCCTCCCAGATTGCTGAGCCATAGAAACTATGAAACAATAAGTGTTTTTAAGCTTTTAACAAAATTAAAATAAAGTTCTTGGGTAATCTGTTATACAGCAATGGGTAACTAATATATACAACTATTATCCTTACAATACACGCATACCTTTCCTCTAAAACTGAAGTCTTATGCTCTCCAGAATCCAAGTTTGACTCTGTTGGTATATTACATGTATATCCACTGGTCTGAGGCTTTAGGGGAACATTCTGTGCAGTCATAATGTTATCTTCATTCTTTGAGCTTCTTGTAGATCTATAAAAATGATAAATGTATGAGTGTTTATACTTCTTCAAAATAAAATTTTCTTCCAGAAACGATACACAGGTGGGTACAAAGACAATGTAATATTGGCTATAACGAATATCAGATCACCCTGTTCAGGTTCTGAGACTTGCAACTAGCTAAGGAAGGAAACTGGTTTCTAGGACCTACCAAGAGTCCCAATTTGAAAAATTCTGATGAGAGAAATGGAGAAGACACCTGCCAAGGAAGGTGGTGAAAGGGACATAAGGAGACCTTATCTATAAGCAGCTTGATATATATTACAGTTAATCTATCATGGTTTACTGGAGAATCCATAAACAACTAAAATTGGCTTCTTTGATATCCCTAGTCAGCCTACTGAGGGGCAATAGGGTCCTCAGAGGGACTGAGCTCATCTCTTTGGTAGTTAGTTTACTCCAAATATATGCAAACAAGATACACTCTTCCTAGTGACTGTATAATTCTTCAGGTTCTAGTATCCTCCTGGGTCCTACCATTAAAGTCAAAAGAAATAAAAGTGATTACAAGAGAATACTAGGAACAACTGTATGCCAACAAATTA
This sequence comes from Homo sapiens, assembly GCF_000001405.40. NCBI lineage: Eukaryota > Metazoa > Chordata > Mammalia > Primates > Hominidae > Homo > Homo sapiens. The sequence continues at coordinate 67,507,509 of NC_000004.12, forward strand.
AATAACCTAGATGAAATGGACAAACTCCTAGAAAGACACAAATTATCAAAATTGATTCAAGAGGAAACAGTCTCAAAATACCATGAATCAGTAATCAAAAACAAACTACCCATATAGAAAAGCTCAGGCACAGGTGGCTTCACTGCTTTTACCAAACATTCAAAGAGAATTACGACAAATTATTCACAAACCGTTTCAAAAAATAGAGAGATAATACTTCCCAACTCATTGTATAAAGCCAGTATTACCCTGATACCAAAACTAAACAAAGACAACAGAAGCAAAGCAAGCTACCGATCAGAACCCCTCAACAAAATACTAGCAAATTCCAGCAACACAATAAAATAAAAGAGAGAGAAAAGCAGAGAATGGCCTGAAAAAGTGAAACAGAATGGGTATGGGATTTCTTTATGCACTATAATGATATACGCTAATATATTTTAGGACACACTGTCATTTATTTCAGTATATCCTCAGCACCTTACTGATTCCAACACAAAGTATGTATTACCTCAATAGGTTGTTGGAACTAATAAGAATTCATTAAAAGTATCTAGCAAATATTTGGCACATAGTATGAACTCAAAAAATGTTAACTATTATCATCCTAAGAAGAAAAGTATTAAGCTATATTCCTAACTATTGAAATCACATTAATCTCACTTAAAAGGAAACAATTTGAACTATACACTTAAAAAAGATTAAGACAGTAAATTTTATGTTATGTGTTTTTTGTCTGTTTGTTTTTTGAATCTCTACTTTGGGAGCCCAAGGCAGGAGAATCACTTCACACCAGGCGTTCAAGACAAGCCTAGGCAACAAAGCAAGACCTCATTTCTCCAACAAATTAAAAAATTAGCCAGGTGTGGTGGTCCACACCTGTAGTCCTAGCTACTCAGGAAGCTAAGGCAGAAGGATTATCTGACCCAGAAGTTTGAGGTTACAGTGGGCTATGATCACGCCACTGCACTCCAGCCTGGGAAACAGAGGAAGACTCTGTCTCTTAAAAAAAAAAAAAAAAAAAAAAAGTTTAACTCTTGGATGACAATAATATCTTATTAAATTTAACAGTCATAATTCCAGGTGCTATGTACTATTCCCTATTTTAATATGAGGAAACAAGTGCAGAGTACTACTTTGCCTGTGTGTCATCCAGCTAATGGTAGAGGCTGGATTTAATACCAGGTATGTCAGAGTGCAGAGCTCTTCATGCTAATTACTGCCTGTCCATAAATGACTAAATAGCACAAATTATTAAATGCTGAACAACAAAAGTAACTATATTGTACACATAACAGACATTACCTAGAACAATCAAGATTTTTCTTCTTAGCCAAGTCTGCCTCATCACTTTCCAATGGCTCACTCAGCGAACATCTGGAAATTTCATCATGACCAACGATACCTCCAGAACCTTCAGCATTTAAAAACTTCTGTACTCTTTGGTTGCCTTTAGTTGCTGTCTTCTGCCTTTTAAGTGGAATAGTTTTTTTCCTAATATTCTTAGATGACTGATTTGTTTTCTTAGTAGATTTTCGGCTACTATTGTGATGCATTGGTAATTCATTTCTTACTGAAGAATTGCTATAAACAGGACCTGAAGGATTCAATGATAACCTAAAGTTAGTAAGTTTGTCCAGATGATTTGGCTCACTGAAATACCAACAGCATTTATATTTGCATATAAACATATACACATACACACACACACACACACACACACACACACACACACACACACACACACATCTCAGGCTAAATTTATTTCCAAATTAAATTCTTTAAACAATGTAGCTCTTCAGTTTATAGATATATGAAACAGGCCCTTCAAATCTGTCACAGGCTTCAAGAAACACTCTCTGGCTCTGCCCACTGCCCTTCTGGCCATCCTTAATATCTGATATTCCCCAAGGTGACAGCTTCAGCTTTTCACTCCATATACTTTCATTGACGGACTTATCTACCCAGAGCTTTAATTACTATCTATATGCTGACACCTATAATATCCATCTACTGCTCTCCCCTATATCTGCCTCTCTTGCTTTATTTCCTATCTTAATGAAAAATACAACTACCTATTCTATCCAGATATCTAAATCAGAAATTTGAGTCATGCAAGACTACTACTCCTATCCACAATCACGCCCTAAATCCCATCAATTCTACTTTATTAATGCCTTTCAAATCTTTCAAGCTCTCCCTCCTGTCATTAGTAGAAGTCCTCATTATTTCATATCTGGATTATTAAAACAGTCTCTTTACTAATCTCCCCCTCCCTAGCCTTGTTTTTCTTCAATCCATTCCCTACACTGCTGCAAGAATCACCTTTGGAAAACAAAAACTGGATCATTACAACTCTGCTTAATTAAAGTATTTTAGTTATTATCTATAGCTTCAGGATGAAGTCCAAATACTTCAACATCAATTCATATCTACATCTAGATTTGCTTATTTCATAAACCACAATTCCCAAAACCCCCCTCCAAACAAACAAACCAAAAAAAGCCATCAGTAATGAACAATCTACAGTTTCTCTAAAGCACTGGTTGTCCAAAGGCAGTCTCTAGACCAGCAAGATCAGCATTATCTGGGAATTTGAAATGTAAATTATCATGCCTCACCTCAGACCCCAGTGAATCAAAGACTTTGCAGAGCAGGGCCCAGTAACCTGTGCCTTAATAGGCCCCCCAGACAATTCTAAAGCACACTAAATTAAAGAAAGAAAAGATCAAGCTCTCTGCTCCAGATCTCTGCACAAGCTACTTCTACTTAAAACATTCCATAACTTCCTCCTTACTCCACTCAATCACTTAGCTAACTCCTAGTTCATCCTTCAGGAAGCTTTCCCTAATTTCCAAGTCTTAGGTAGCTTGCTATCACACATACGACTGTTTACTTATCTCTACTTCTCTCCTCCAGCAGACTAACAACTCCTTGACCTCAAGTAATTGATTGGTATTTTATCTATGTATATTCCCAATGCCTAATGACAGGGGCAGGACTATGGTGAAGCAAGAGTAGCCTCAGCTGGAAAATTCAAGAAGGTACTCATTTTCAGGTCTGTGCAAGTACAGAGCCCGAACTGATACAATCCTGTGACTGACTGCCTTAAATTTTTCACCCTAGTGTCTCATTGTCTTACCCTAGTCCTGGTCCTACTTTACCTCATTCCTGCCCCATGGCAAGTACTCCATATACATTTCTTCATATATATGGAAGGGCAACAGTGTCACACGTACGACAGGCAGGCTGGGGGCAGGTCAAGTTGTTCTTCTTAACTTCAGACTTCAGTTTCTTCTTCCATCAGATGAGAGTTTAGACTATATGATATATAAAGATTCCTCCACTTTTTCGACTCCCAGCTTGATCAAAAATCCAACATCTATTTCAGGACTCTTAAATAAGTGTTTTTTGATAGTTTCAGAGATCTAGCACATTTATCCAAGTTCTGTAAGAATTTATTTACCCATCTGTTTATGTATTCATCTGCCACATAGTACTTAGCATTTCAGGCAACCTGGGGCAGAAAAGTGAGTTCCCCAAAGCAGTAACAGTATTATTTAACACTTCAATACTAACATATGCCACCTACTATGCTAATTGCATTTAAACCTTATAAAAACTCAATGAGGTAATCATGTTACAGAATGAGAAACTAAACAAAGCAATCTACTCAAAGTGGAAGAGTGATACTTTGAACTCAGATCTCACTCCAAAATCCAAAGGCTGCAACAAAATAAATACTTGCTGCTATCCATCAAGAATCTCAATGATTTAATAATTCATAGCAATAAGGCCTCACATATACAATGCCATAGTTGTACTAATCATTCACTTATTAATCTAAATGCCCCAAAGTCAATAGTATTTGTGTATGTGAATGCTACCTTATGATCCACCAATCTTTTCAGGATCACTTTCTTTAAAAAGGGACAATTCTCCCAAAACAATAAATGTTTCATATTGTGCAGAAAAAAGTTAGCAAAGCAGGTCTGAGTATACTACCCTTAAAAGGGCCTGCTTTCAAAGTTAGCCCTGTAAACTTAAATTTCAGGATTGTTCCCGTCATTTCCTAATTGGCAAACGTGGTGTTGTGGGCCTAAACTGCTTATGCAAAAAATATGGTTTAGGCAAATATTGCCTTCCTTCAGGGAGTCTGGAATTGTAGTACTTGCTAGATAGAGAGTACCTATGTGACCACCCCCAGGAAAGATCTTGGGCACTAAGTCTCTAGTGAGCTTCCCTAATAGACATTTTGCCTATTTGTCACAACTCATTGCTAGAGGAATTAAGCAGCTCCTGTGGGAATCCACTGGGAAAGGACTCTTTAAGCTTCTGCTGATTTCCTCCAGACTTAACCCATGCACTTTTTTTCTACTGAATTTGCACTGCATCCTTTCACTGTAATGAATCACAGCCATGAGTACAACTATATGCCCAGTCCTCCTAGCAAATTACCAAATCTGAGGGTAGTCTTGGGAACCTCCAACACAAGTAATTTACTTTTTTATGTGTAATAAACTATAATCTTTTAGATTATAAACTCCTTGGTGGCAGAACCTCATATTATCAATCTTTGTATCCCTCACAGCCAGGACATTAAAATAGCTGGATTATTTATATTGCCTTTCCCAACTAGAATGCAAGCTCCATGAAAGCAGGGATTTCTGGTTTGGGGTTTTGTTTTCCCACAGCTATTATCCCTATTCCTAAAATACTGTATATATTAACGCTTCAAGGAATATCTTTACCATTGATTTAATATTCCTTTTGATGACCCAATTTAACTTGGTCCTCATGATATTCTCTATATAGAAATATAAAATCAAACATAATGCCCCTTACAGAATGATTTTGTCTATGAACAAACACAATTTAAATAAAAATACTTACTCTCCTCTGATTTTACCACCCACCAATCAGATGGACGCCTGGAAATTCTTCGACTTTTCGTGACAGTTGAAGTCACTTCTTCAGGTACAAGTTTGTTCTTGGACTCACTGGAAAAGCGCTTCTTTTTAGATTCTTCCTTATCTTTTCTAGTGCTACTTTTCTTGCTTCCTAAAATAAAGAAAACCATAAAACCAATTCACAATCTACTAAAAGAGTTTTCAGAAAACCACAAGATTATAAAAAAACCGTCAATTACAGGAACTTCTTAAATTTATCCTGTGGCCTTTTCATCTCCATTTTTAAAAGTCACATGTTCTCTTTCTGTCAATTATATGTGCTGCTGAAGTAAGCACTAACTTCCTATTAAATGCAAATTTTCACACTGCTTGATAACTCTTATATACTCCTCAGCCAAAAAAATAAGTATCTTCTGAAACTGAAAAAAAAATACAGTTCCTTCCTATAACGTCCTAAGTAAAAGTAGGCAATTACTGCTTTCCTGTTTTGAAATAATGATTTTTTTCAACTTAAGAAGAGGAGATTTAAAGTGTGATTAAATTATAAACTCTGAAATAGAGGCATTATCTTGGATCATCCAGGTTGACCCAATCTAATTATGTTTCTTTTAAAAGCTGTGGTCAGAGAGATGAGATGATGGAAGAAGAGGCAAGATAAATTCACAACATGAGAAGGCTGGTATTGCTAGTTTTGCAGATGGTGGAGGAGGACCATGAGTCAAGGAATATAGGTAGTTTCAAGAGGGTGGAAAAGGCAAAGAAACAGACTTCCTCCCAGAGCTACCAGAAAGAAAGAAAACCCCACCAATACCTTGATTTTATCCCAGTGAGACATCTGACCCACAGAACTGTAAGATAATCAATGTTTGTTGTTTTAAGCCAATAAGTGTGTAGTAACTTGTCATATGACAGCAATAGAAAATTAATACAACTGATATGGTAATTAATGAGCATTATATTCACTAACCAATCTAGATACAGAATATATGTAAAAATTAGTGTGTAGAATATAGCAGGTACTCAGAAAATGTTTAATATTTACAATTATAGAGCGCATCTTTCAAGTATACTTCCTTCATATGTCTTTTCCTAAGAAATTATGGATAAATCAAAATTTTGTATCCTTCCTTTTAATCCTATGCATGTATGTATATTATCTATTATTCTACAGAACCCACCAGAATGATCTTGTTAACAGTAGAAATAATGGGTTAGTAATTTTTGTGATTACAGTGCCTAATGCAGTGTATGGCATTCAACAACTGTTAGACACATGAGTGAATGATGGAAGAGAATGGACTTTTATCTCTATAAAAAATAGTCCCACGGTACCCTGGGATTTTTTTTAACATTTTTATTTTCTAAATAATTTATCATTCTGTCTTATTCATCTTCCGATACTAACTTGTTTACTAGCCTTTTCTTTTCACTTTGCCCTCTATATATACTGCCATCTCACAAGATAAACAAAAACTATATGAGTTAGAATTAAATTATATATAAAATAAAAAGGTTCTAGAAAAGAACCTATAGGCTTTTCAGGCTCTTTGTTCATTTAGGTTTACTTTGCCTACTTGCCAAAGCTAAGTTAGGATATTAAAAAACATAAAATGGGTAGAATAATGCTCATGGTTATATTTAATATAAACACTTACCCACAGGTGGCATCTGTTTTTTGGAAACACAATCATTTCCCATCTCTTCATGCTCTTCCATATTTCTGTCTGAATTTCTTTGAAATTCGTCTTGGGTAATATGTGATGTATGTATGTTTTCATCTTTAGACTGTCCCACATCAAGCTGTTCTTCAGCTGGTTTAGCCATGAATTTTCTTCTCTGTTTTTGTTTTATAGTCCTTTTGCTTCTAGATGGTTTTTCTGCATTCTTGGAATACATTTCATATTTTGTAGATCTATAATTATTTACTGTTTCACCTATCAAAGCATAACTTGTATCCAGTACTGTTTTATCAGAGGGCTGAGATGTCTCTACTGGGTGAGGTTTATGGGAATGTTTGTCATTTGCCAAAGTCTTAGGTAATATATTATGATGCTTTTCTCTTGACTTTCTACCTTGAAGGAGTGCAGTGCTCTCAGCCGGGGATATTGTGCGTTGTTTCAGAGACCCTGCCTTTCTTGGTATTGTAATCCAAGATCTACTGGCAAAACTTTGATCCGACTCATCAATTATAAATTCATCCTCTATCAACTTCGTATCATCGGGAGGACACGAATGAGGTGGAGCAGTTGCCGCATGCCTAACAATGGGACTGAAACAGGGTGATACTTTTAACAGTTCAAAAAAATAAAGCTTTTATATTTGTTTAGTAAAGAAAATAATCTAGGAAATAAAATCTAAATTTCTTTTAAACTGTTTATATATCTCCTCAATTTTCCCTTAATCTTACAAATCTTTCCCTCCTTTCACATTTCTATGTCTGTTCACCCTTATTTATAATAGTAATGACATCACAAAAATTTAGAGCTAGAAATCTAGACATCAACAAATTTGATCCCACCCACCCACCCATTATATATACTAAAACTGAAGCCCAGAGAGATATAATTATAACTCAGATACATTGACTCACAGTCCAAAATGAATGCCACTATTATATATAATCTTATATTAAATTATATATTTGTATATATAACTTTTGGGGTCTGAATTTCTTCACATTCAAAATAAGTCAACAAGATTATTTCTGAGAACACTCCAAGTCTAATATTTGAATGGACTACTACTAAATTATAAAAAGTTGAGGAGGCCGGATGTGGTGGCTCACGCCTGTAATCCCAGCACTTTGGGAGGCTGAGGCAGGTGGATCACTTGAGGTCAGGAGTTCAAGACCAGCCTGGCCAACATGGTGAAACCCCGTCTCTACTAAAAATACAAAAATTAGCCAGGCATGATGGCGGGTGCCTGTAATCCCAGCTACTTGGGAGGCTGAGGCGGAAGAATCACTTGAACCCAGGAGGCAGAGGTTGCAGTGAGCCGAGATTGCACCACTGCACTCCAGCCTGGGTGACTGAGCAAAACTCCATCTCAGACAGAAAAAAAAAAAGAGAGAGAGAGAGAGATTGGGGACAATTTCTTCCTATCTTTTTTTACATCCCACAGTTCTTCATACATAGCAACACCAAATACACAGACGGTTGAATGAATGTAAAAATTACTAATATTACTATAGGACTGTAAATTGTAGACCTACAGAACTATAAAATAATAAATGTTGTTTTAAGCCGCTAAGTGTGTAGCAACTTATGACAGCATGTGTGTAAAAATGCATTCCAAGTTTGGGTATTTCACATATATTTTCATATTATAATCATGGTATAGAAATAAATGGAGTGTATCTAGAAAGGTAGCATAAGCACAAAAGAAATCTAGTGCCACAGAAACAGGAAAAATAAAAGGCAAGTCTTATCACAAAGCATACAATGCTACAGAATGTTATTAAATAATGAAGTCAAACAATGTTTCCCAACTCTAGACCTTTCTCCATAGTCCTAGCCCAAACTTTATGTATTTTACTAAAAGGCAGAAAGCCTATATCATGAATATTATTGTTATTTCCCATGCCCAGTGTTGTAAAAGGCTAAAGAGTAAGACAGACAATTTCAACTACAATCTTATGGCTTATAATATAACATCAACATTAATTCTTAAATTTTCATAAAAGCATGTACATGTTAAGAACATACAAAGAGATTCATGCATTTAATGAGGTGTTGAATAAATTAAGACTAGTGCATTGAGATTACACAGTACCTCCTCCAATTAGTCAGGAAACTTTCCTAGAGAAGGGAGGAATTATTCCAAGGACAGTAATCTGATAGACTGACTAATTTTACATTTCCCTGATTGTTTTAATAGCTTTAAGCACACCACATATTGCAGTGAGATACACAAAATAAAAAACAAGGTAAACATCCAAACTCCAAAGCTGGCATACGCACTCGTTTCCACTTTTTCACTAGGATAAGAAGGCTTAGTTAGCTATGTTTAGCCATAACAGAAACAAAGACAGAATGCAAAAATTAGATTATGTTTTTCTCTTTTAATTAGAACATACACAAGGAATCAGAAATGAAAATGCCTTCTCTATTCCTCTAATCGCAAACTCCTGACAAATCTTATAATGTAAAATAGCAAATACTCTAAAAAATATACTCTCTAATGGTAGAGTTTCACAAACTTATATAATTAGAAAACTCTATAAAAACTAATAAAGAACAAAGTCAATACAAATACTACAATGAATGGATGTTAAACAGAAATGATATCCTTAGGAAACAATCTTGACACTATGAAAGTTTACAATAGGGAAAGATGGCTTCTAATTAGCTACAAAAACTATGAAACGCTTTGTAGCATTTAGGCTAGATCTTGGAGGATTTCTAAGATTTGGTCACAAGGAAATGCAAGAAAGACAATCAAAAGGAAGAGCATAAGTGGAAGCAATGATGCTAGAAAGCACTGGGAATAATGAATAGTTATATTTGACTACAACAATTAAACATAAGATGAACTTTACTCACTAGAGTATCAAAAAGAACATTAAAAAATAATTTCTCAGACATTATATAATTAGCCCACAAGTATAACGCATTTGTTTCAGATGGTGGTGACAATATCCATATGAGGTTTAAAATATACACATAAAAATAATTAATCAACTACAGGAAGCAGAGACTGAACAAAAGGGGAATTTCATTCATTCATTTAACATGTTTTTATAAAAACTTCCTTTTTATTTTTGAGACTGAGTCTCACTCTGTCACCTAGGCTAGAGTGCAGTGGCACCGTCTCGACTCACTGCAACCTCCACCTCCCAGGTTCAAGTGTTTCTCTTACCTCAGCCTCCCGAATAGCTGGGATTACAGGCATGTGCCACCAAGCCCGACTAATTTTTGTATTTTTAGTAGAGATGGGGTTTCACCATGTTGGTCAGGCTGGTCTTGAACCTCTGATCTCAAGTGATCCACCCGCCTCGGCCTATCAAAGTGCTAGCATTACAGACATGAGCCACCGCGCCCAGCAATAAAAACTTCCTAGTATATTCACTAGCACTCTGATACCTATGATAGTGACATAAGGGCAGCCTAACATAACGATTTCTAAATACTGCATTGTCGGCCGGGTGCGGTGGCTCAAGCTTGTAATCCCAGCACTTTGGGAGGCCGAGGCAGATGGATCACCTGAGGTCAGGAGTTCGAGACCAGCCTGACCAACATGGGGATATCCCATCTCTACTAAAAATACAAATATTAGACAGGCGTGGTGGCAGGTGCCTGTGATCCCAGCTACTCGGGAGGCTGAGCAGGAGAATCTCTTGAACCCAGGAGGGAGAGGTTGCAATGAGCCGAGATTGCGTCACTGCACTCCAGCCTGGAAGACAGAGCGAGACCCTGTCTCAAAATAAATACATACATACATACATAAATACTGCATTGACTTCAGTCTTTGATATCACACAGACAAACCAGAAGGCAATGAAAACTGAATAAACTTGTTTTCTTTCAAGTCTAATTTAGTATCTATTAAAAAATGGCTTTGGGAGTGACTCACTGACTGGTAAAAAACCATCTCTCCTTACAGGTCAGAAAAAATTTCAATTAAAATTTTTGTTAATTAAATTACTTATTTCTAAGTTAAATAGCATTAGGAATCCTTATATATGGTTCATAGAATATAAAAGAAAAATGTCTCAAAGGGCAGTTTCTTAATAACTCACCTGGATTCACTTTTTCGTTTTACTGTTTCTAAAAACAATGTTGAAAAACTTTTTTTAGCTTGTCGTTGAATTTCATATTCTGAATCTCGTATTCTATTCTGAGATGATCCTGATGGTTTTCTTTCTTGTCCTTCCGATGTTTTATCCTCTTCATCTGATACTTTATTATCTATTTCTATTTTCTTTAACATAACTTTATCATCAAAGTTTAACCTAAAAGGTTAAAAGGAGGGTAAGCTGAATGCTCCCGTAACGTTTCTTGAGTTATAAGTCTTCCTGAACTCCTTTACAGAGACAATACAGACCAATTTAAAATTCTGTACTAGGCATTTATTTAAGACATAAATGCTGATTTGTGCATTCCAAATACATAAGATAAACTGCTCAGGAAAATTAACTTTTGTATTTATCAATAGAAAAACATGAAAGAGAAAATAATGGCTAAAGTATACATCAATGAAATGTATAGCTAGGCAATGGTTCTCAGGGCAATCTTAGAGCACTGTGACAGACCAAACTTTGAATATCAAAGTCTTAGAATATACTTAACTCCTTGGCTCCAGTAATCATACAATACTCTAAATAGAAATTACACTCATTACAGAGATCTCCAAATGCAAAAGACCTTGAATCCACTTTGTTTCCTAAAGGCCAAAGGTAAGGTCAAGAAAGAGAAACCAGCTGTCCACAAAGCATAGCATCCTCAATAATACTTATGCTCTGCTACCCTTGAAGTGACCTGATACACATCTACACTTGCAATTACAAAAAATATTGAGAAAATACAAATTGTTTCTCTTAGGAAGCAATCAAATATTATCAGAGAGAAAACACATTATTCCAGACTATAGAAAAGTTAACCTCTAAACTTCTCTGAAGTACACTTTAAGCCCTTCCTTAATTATTACAAACTGAATATATGCTAAATGTATACTTTCTCATAACATGTTAATATTCCTCCTTCCTTAGTGTAAAATAATATAACAAGATTGAATTACCATTTTTTAATACAAAAAGTAAAATTTTTAAAGTGCGTTAACATTATTTAAATAAAATGTTACCTTTTTTTGGTTTTAACTGAAACCTCTGTACTTGAAGGCAGCATATTTACTGAATTTTCAAAAGTGTAAGTCTCTCTCTTTTGGGCACTAGATGGAATAACATTTTGTGATACAGATGTTTTTGCATCCAAAAGAACAGAAGGTGAGCCAACGGATAAGTAAAATTCTTCATCAGCTTCACTGTGATGATCATTTATGTTTCTACTTGATATTTTTTTCGAGTCAGGTGTATTTTTGGAACTAACATCAGTTGCCAGAATTTTCTGATGAACTTCATGGGCCTGAACTAGAAGAAAATTATATAAAGATATTTGTCAATTAAAAGAATAATAAGAGAATCAAGCAGGCTTTTTAAAAATTCTGCAATAATTTAATCAGAAATAGTTTTCAGAAAACTCAAAGTCATTAAGATTAGAATCAAAGATCTATGATTAAAATAAGTAAGTACTTAAGATTCTTCTATCTTTGGGCTAAAAATTGGTGACCTAGGGCAGCTAGATGATATATTTACACATACACACATGGAATATAGATATAACAGATATAGAGAGATACAACATAAGCATGTGTGTATATATACATACACAGTATATATGTATATGAACATTTATCTATAATGAGAAAATTTAAAAGAATGTATCCATATTCTCTTAACCCTCACCCTTCAGAACGAGATGGCATTTCCCTGCTTCTCCCTCTAAATACAACTAACTTCCCTGGAAATTATCCATCAATCAACAACAGGACTCTGAAAGCTGGAAGAAAAAAAGGTAGACTAGCTAGGAAGCTCAAGACCAGAAACAGACAAGCCTTAGGTTTTCTGTCTGTCTCCCATATACCCCTGGACTGGTTGCTAGTATAACCTGTAACCACCAATAGGTGAAAGACAGGGTGGAGGCTGGGTGGAAATGCATTCTCTGAACAAGGTAAACCCACCGAAGACCTAATGAGGAAACTCAAGCCCCATTCAGCACTCTCGGCCATGGAGCACTCCTTACTACCTGCATTGGCAAAGCAACAAAGCCCTGGGCTGTGCTATGGGACTGTAGCAGTAAAGGAGCTCATACCAAGCCAGTCCCGCTTCTACAATCATAGATGGCAGGCGGTATGACCCACATGAAGCTGTAGAGTAGTGAAACCCCTGACCTTCACAGCCCAAGGCAACATTTTGATCCACTGATAGTATTGACACCCCAGGCCATCCCAGTCCCTACTTTACAACCAGGGCACCAGCAGACAGTCTAATCTGAGGCAAGAACAGCGTAAGAGAGGCCAGCAACCCCCTGTCCTCCACCCAATGATATAAGGAAACCCAGGACCAGCAGCTTCTAACCAGAACCCCACACAAGTGAACATGGACATCAAAAGGCATCTTCTACCCACCCCAGACAGCACCAACAGGAACTGAGCTAGAATCCTAACAGCATCAGAAAATGAAGTAGAACAAAATACCACTATTACTCTGAACACTTAACTATCATTGAAAATAAAACTCATAAAACTAGGAAAGAGGGGCTGGGCGCAGTGGTTCATGCCTGCAATCCCAGCACTTTGGGAGGCCAAAACGGGTGGATCACTGGAGGCCAGGAGTTCAAGACCAGCCTGGCCAACATGGCGAAACCCCATCTCTACTAAAAATACAAAAATTAGCCAGGCGTAGTGGCACATGCCTGTAATCCCAGCTACTCGGGAGGCTGAAGCATGAGAATCACTTGAACCCAGGAGGCGGCGGTTGCACTGAGCTAAGATCACACCACTGCCCTCCAGCCTGAGCGACAGAGCAAGACTCTGTCTCAAAAAATAAACAAATAAATAAATAAATAAATAAATAAATAAATAACACAGGAAAGAACCTATACATTAAACCAAAATAGGGCAACTATGTGCTGTAACAAAAGATTTAAGTAGTCTAAGAATCCCCTAACATAAGTAACCAAATCTCAGGAATACAATCAAAACAACTCGTCATACCAAAACCAAAACAAACCAAAAAAAAAAAAAAGTAAGAAATAATGATCAATAGACATAAATGAGATGAATCAGATTTTAAAATTATTTAACAATAAATTTTAAAGCAAACATCATAAAATGCTTTAATAATCAATTACAAATCCTCTTGTAACAAATGAAAAAGAAACTCTCAAAGTAGCATTTTTTAAAAAAAAGTTTTTTGGATATTAGCCATTATCAGTAAGTAGTGATTTTTAAATATTATTTTAAATTTTCCTAATAACAGTGATGTAAAACAAATCAAAACTACAATGAGATACTACATCACACCCATTAGGATGACTATTATTTATAAAAACAAAAGATAACAACTGTTGATGTAGAAAAAAATGGAACCTTTGTGCATGCACTGCTAGTGTGAATGTAGAATGACAGTCACTATGAAAAGTGCACAGTGGATCCTTAAAAACTTAAAACTGAAAGCAGGAACTCAAAGAGATACTTTCACACTAATATTCATAGCAGCATTACTCACAATAGCCAAAAAGCGAAAACAACCCAAGTGCCCATCAACAGATTAATAGATAAAAAGTGGTATACACATACAATGAAATATTACCCAGTCTTAGAATGAAATTCTGACACATACTACAACATGGATGAACCTTGAAGACATTATGCTTAGTGAAATAAGCCAGTCACAGATAAATTTTCTGTCTGAAATTCATGGACAGAAAAAAGTAGAATGGTGGTTGCCAGGGCTAATGGAAAAAGAGATACTGTTTAATGGGTACAGTGTTTCAGTTGTGAAAAATGAAAGAAGTTCTATGGATTCATGGTGGTGATAGCCTCACAACAATGTGAATGTACTTAATGCTACTGAACTGTATACTCAGAAATAAAGTGGACAATTTTATGTTTATATTATACAATATTTTAAAATACACTTCTTTAAAAAAGAGCAAAGGAAGTGACGTGTGTATATAAACAAACTAAAACAAAAAGTCTTGTAAAGTTAAAAAATATTAAAATACCTGACAACAGAAATAACTAACAGTAGTATTTAAGTTGGGAATTCGTTGTTTCAGTTACCATGTCTGCATAATATAACTTCTTAACTTGGCTGCATAAAACAACTATTTGTTATGTTCATGGATTCAGTAAGTCAGCAATTCAGCAGAGCACAGAAGGGACGGATTCTTCCATGAAGTCTGAGCCCTGGAATCATCTGACAGCTTGTTTACACATATTTGACACCTGGTCTTGACTGCAGGCTGGGAGTCTTTTCTCTCCATAATGGCTACTTTGGGCTTCTTCACAGCATATTGTCTGGGTTCCAAGGGCAACTGGAGAGAATAAGAAAGACAGGAAGAGAGAGAGAGAAGGAGAGAGAGATCCAGCATGCCAAGCAGAGCCATATAGCCTTTTATGACCTAATCATGGAAATCACATGTATTACATATGCCACATTCAATGTATATGTAGAAACAACCTCAATGAAGTGGATGGGGGGAAAGGTGATGACCTAAGAAAGATCAGAAATGAATCAAAGGCCAGGTGTGGTGGCTCATGCCTGTAATCCCAGCACTTTGGGAGGCCAAGGTGGGTGGATCACCTGAGGTCAGGGGTTCCAGATGAGCCTGGCCAACATGGTGAAACCCCATCTCTACTAAAAATACAAAAATTATGTGGGCGCAGTGGTGTGTGCCTATAATCCCAGCTACTTGGGAGGCTGAGACAGGAGAATCACTTGAACTCAGGAGGCGGAGGTTGCAGTGCACCAAGATTGTGCCATTGCACTCCAGCCTGGGTGATAAGGGCAAAATTCCATCTCAAAAAAAAAAAAATTAAAAGGAATGAATCAGCTGGGCATGGTGGCTCACACTTATAATCCCAGCCCTTTGGAATGCTGAGGCAGGCGGATAACTTGAGGTCAGGACTTTAAGACTGGCATGGCTAACATGATGAAGCCCCGTCTCTACTAAAAACACAAAAAATTAGATGAGCGTGGTGGCTGCTGCCTGTAATCCCAGCTACTCAGGAGGCTGAGGCAGGAGAATTGCTTGAACCCTGGAGTCAGAAGTTGCAGTGAGCCGAGATCACGCCACTGCATTTCAGCCAGGGAGACAGAGGGAGACTCTCTCAAAAAAACAAAAAATGAATGACGTCTGTAAGACTGAAGGCAAAAGAAACTGTACATAAGCACTATTCTCTAGTTGATAAAACTGTTTTCCACAGGATATGAGTCAACAATTCTGACACTCTTTTACATGTATACAGAAATGTAAAAGATAAGTAAATGGATGTTGAATGGTGAACGCCCAGTTTCTCATTCATGTAATGGGAGTTTACAGATAAGCAAGAGGAGGAGGCTAGAATAATCCACGTGGTAATGGATTAGAGTCAGAGACATCAATATGAACTTATGATTACTTCAACATAGATACAGATAGTTACATTTAAAGATATTTATAGGTATGTGTTGATACACAAGTTATTGTACACACACATACATTTACCCAGCTCTATCAGTTGAAAGGGTCTAGCAGCAACAACTCTACAGGAGTGACAGCACACCTAGCACTCAGATCTTGGTTTCTAATAACATTACCCAGTAAAAGAAATCATGATTCCATGAAGAAATGGTTGATTCTGGGATGGGGCAGGAGAGCATCTTGTGGCTCTAAAAGGTATGAAAGTGCTCAGAAACAACAACAAAAATGGGCCATGTCAAAGGGACACTGGAACCAAAGTAAGAGCTTCTATTAGCCAAATCTGCAACAATCTGAATAACAAAATAAACAGTAATGAATTATAAAGTAGAAAATAAAATTTATCCATCAAGAAAAGAACAAAATAAACCCAATCAAGCAGAAGGATGGGAAAAAATAAAGAGCAGAAATCAATAAAACTGAAAATAGAAAAATACAGAAAACTATTGCAGGAAAAAAAACTACAAAATGATAAACCTCTATCTAACAAAATTGACAACTATAAGAAGACACCAACCATCAATATGTGGAATAAAATAGGGGATGATGTCACAATAGATTTTGCAGCCACCAAAAATAGGGTAATGCTTCTGTTTGAAAACTGGCACGAGACAAGGATGCCCTCTCTCACCACTCCTATTCAACACAGTATTGGAAGTTCTGGCCATGGCAATCAGGCAAGAGAAAGAAATAAAGTGTATTCAAACAGGAAGAGAGAAGAGAGGAAGTCAAACTGTCTCTGTTTGCAGATGACGTGATTGTATACTTAGAAAACCCCATCGTTTCAGTCCCAAAACTCCTTAAGCTCATAAGTAACCTCAGCAAAGTCTCAGGATACAAAATTAATGGCAAAAATCACAAGCATTCCTATACACCAATAACAGACAAGCAGAGAGCCAAAACATGAATGAACTCCCATTCACAACTGCTACAGAGAAAATAAAATACCTAGGAATACAACTTACAAGGGACGTGAGGGACCTCTTGAAGGAGAACTACTAACCACTGCTCAAGGAAATGAGAGAGGACACAAAGAGAAAAAAATTCCATGCTCATGGATATGAAGAATCAATATAGTGAAAATGGCCACACTGTGCAAAGTAATTTATAAATTCAATGCTACTCCCATCATGCTACTATTGACTTTCTTCACAGAACTAGAAAAAACTACTTTAAATTTCATATAGAACCAAAGAGCCCATATAGCCAAGACAATCCTAAGCAAAAAGAACAAAGTGGAAGGCATCACACTACCTGGCTTCAAACTATACTATAAGGCTACAGTAACCAAAACAGCTTGGTACTGGTACCAAAACAGATATATAGACCAATGGAACAGAACAGAGGCCTCAGAAATAACACCACACATCTACAACCGTTTGCTCTTCGACAAACCTGACAAAAACAAGCAATGAGGAAAGGATTCTCTGTTTAACAAATGGTGCTGGGAAAACTGGCTAGCCATATGCAGAAAACTGAAACTGGACCCCTTCCTTACACCTTATACAAAAATTAACTCAAGATGCATTAAAGACTTAAATTTAAGACCTAACATCATAAAAACCCTAGAAGAAAACCTAGGCAATACCATTCAGGACATAAGCATGGGCAAAGACTTCATGATTAAAACACCAAAAGCAATTGCAACAAAAGCCAAAACTGACAAATGGGATCTAATTAAATGAAAGAGCTTCTGCTCAGCAAAAGAGTGAACAGGCAACCTACAGAATGGGAGAATATTTTTACAACCTCTCCATCTGACAAAGGTCTAATATCCAGAATCTACAAGAAACTTAAACAAATTTACAAGAAAAACAAAAACAAACAATCCCATCAAAAAGTGGGCAAATGATATGAACAGACACTTCTCAGAAGAAGACATTTACACAGCCAACAAACATAATTAAAAAAAAGCTCATCATCACTGGTCATTAGAGGAATGCAAATCAAAACCACAATGAGATACCATCTCACACCAGTTAGAATAGTGATCATTAAAAAGACAAGAAACAACAGATGCTGGCAAGGATGTGGAGAAACAGGAAGACTTTTACACTGTTGGTAGGAGTGTAAATTAGTTCAACCATTGTGGAAGACAGTGTGGCAATGCCTCAAGGATCTAGAACCAGAAATACCATTCAACCCAGCAATCCCATCACTGGGTATGTACCCAAAGGATTATAAATCATTCTGCTATAAAGACACATGCACATCTGTGTTTACTGCAGCACTATTTACAATAGCAAAGACTTGGAACCAACCCAAATGCCCATCAATGATAGACTGGATAAAGAAAATGTGACAGATATACACCACAGAATACTAAGCAGCCATAAAAAAGAAATGAGTTCATGTCCTTTGCAGGGACATGGATGAAGCTGGAAACCATCAACCTCAACAAACTAAAACAGAAAACCAAACACTGCATGTTCTCACTCATAAGTGGGAGTAGAACAATGAGAACATATGGACACAGGGAGGGAAACATCACACACCAGGGCCTGTGGTGGGGGGAGGGAGGAAAGGGAAGGGAGAGCATTAGGACAAACACCTAACTCATGTGGGGCTTAAAACCAAGATGACGGGTTGATAGGTGCAGCAAACCACTATGGCACAGGTGTACCTATGTAACAAACCTGCATGTTCAGCACATGTATCCCAGAACTTAAAGTAAAAAAAATATTTAAAAAAACTCAAAAAAAAAATAGGGTAGTGCTATGAACAACTTTATGCTTACAAACTTGACAGATGATTAGAAAAAATGGACCGATACCTCAGAAAACACAAACTACCAAAATTCAGTCACAATGAAATTGATAATCAAAATAGTCCTATAACTATTAAAGAATTAATATTGCTATTTAAAAGTTCTTGAAAAAAAAATCTCCTGGACCAGATGATTTCACCGGAGACTGTTACACCAAATAGTTAAAGGATTAACACCAATTTTACACAGTTCCTTCCAGAAATTAGAAAAGGGAATAATTCCCAACTCATTTAATAAGGCAAATATTACCTTGATAACAAAACCATACAAACACAGCATTAAAAAAACTATAAACCAATCTCTCCTTACTTAAATACAAAAATCCTCAAAATTTTACCAAGTCACATCCAACAATGTATAAAAAATAGCAATAGTGCACAATAATTGACATTTATAGATAACTACACCCAACAACAGAAAACATTTTTTTTAAATGCCCATTCATAAAGACATGCAATATCTTGGGTCATAAAACAAATCTTCATAAATGTAGAACTGAAATTGCACAGTGCATACTATGTCATAAAGGAATCAAGATCAGAAATTAATAAGGAAAAGATAATATGAAATTACCAAACACTGGAAAATTAACACACTTCTAAATAACCAATAGGCTAAACTCTGAAAAGATATTTAAAAATACATCAAAATAAGTGAAATGAACACAAAACATGAGATACAAAACCTGTGGAATACAGCTACAACAGTGCTGAGGGGGAAATTTATGCCAAATGAATACATTTGAAAAGGGAAAAAGAGCTCAAATCAGTAATACACCATGACCACATGGAAATTTTACGCAAGGCTGGTTAAACATTCAAAAATCAATATGTATAAGCCACCATATCAACAGTTCAGAGAAGAAAAATCATATGATCATATGGATTTATGCAAAAAATGCATGACAAAATCCACATTACCTATGATTAAAAATTCTCAGCATACTGGCAGGAGAAAATTTCCCAACCCTATAAAAAACATCTATTAAAAACTTATAGCTAACATCTTAATGTGAAAGATCAAATGTTTTCTAAGAGCAGGAACAACGCTAGAATTTTCACCCCATCCTTTTTTTTTTTTTTTTTTTTTTTTTTGAGACAGGGTCTGACTCTGTACCCAGGCTGGAGTGGGGTGGCACTAGCACAGTTCATTGCAGCCTCAACCTTTTGGGCTCAAGTGACTCTCCCACCTCAGTCTCCCAAGTAGGCAGGACTATAGGCACATGCCACTGCACAAGCTAAATTTTTGTGTTTTTTGTAGAGACAAGTTCTCACTACGTTGCCTAGGCTGGTCTCAAACATCTGGCCTCAAGAGATTCTCCAATCTCAGACTCCCAAAGTGCTGGAACTATAGGCCTACGCCACAGTGCTTGGACCCATCACTGTTATTTAACATAATACTGAAGTACTAGCTAATAATAGTAAGAAAAGGAAATTAAAGACATAAACTAAATTTACCCCAAACTACCCACAATTATTATTTTAAGTGGCACAGTACTAATTTCAGTTAAAATCATAGAACAGACATGGATACCTAATATCATCATTATTAAACAACACTGACTCAGAGATTCTAGCAAAGGCAAGAAGACTGAAATAATCAGATTAAACATAACAAATAAAACCTCTCTTTAGCTGATGACATGGTTATATAGCTTAAAGAAAACTAAAAGATTCAAATTTTTAAAGGTCTAGAATTAATTTTTTTAAAAACCTTGGTAAGTGCTGAATTAAAATTTTGATATAAAAATTAGCCTCATAATTTAAAAAAATGTTCAGAATAGTACAAAAATTATAGTACAGTTAGGATTAACCTTAACAAGAAAGTCAAAGACCCAATACTAGGAGGGAGGGGAGAATGGGGAGCCAGGAGACAGGCTTTATTAAAATATTTTTTATGATAAAACATGAAATTTACAATATTAACCATTTATGAGTGTACAATTTAATGGCATTAAGTACATTCACAACACTGTGCAACCATCATCATTTCTAGAACTTTTTCATCATTTCAAACAAATTCTGTACACATCAAACATTAAATCACCATTACCCCCTACCACAATCCCCTGCAACTTCTATTCTGCTTCCTATCTCTAAATTTACCTATTATAAATACCTCATGTAAGTAGAACTACAAAATTTTTGTCCTTTTTTGTCTGGTTTATTTCAGTTTGCATGTTTTAATGTGTTCAAGATTCTTCTATGCTATGTTATATAGCAGAACTTTGTTTTTAATGACTGACTAATATTACATTCTGTGTATAAATCACATGCTGTTTATCCATTCATCTGTTGACGGACACTTGGCTTGTTTATACCTTTTGAGTATTGTGAATAATACTGCTACGAATATTAGTATACAAATGTCTGCTTCCATCCCTGCTTTCAATTCTTTTGGGTATATACCTAGGAGGGAAGTATTGGGTCATATGGTAGTTCTATGTTTAACTTTTTGAGCAACTATCAAATTGTTTTCTATGGTGGCTGCACCATTTTACATTCCCACCAGTGATGCATGAGGGTTTTAATTTATCCGTATCTTCAACACTTATTTTCCTTTTTTTGTTTTAAATAATAGCTAACCTAGTGAGTGTAAAGTGGTATCTCCCTAGGGTCTTGATTTGCATTCTCTAATGACTGAAGATTTCAAGCATCCTTTCATATATTTATTGGCCAATTGCATACCTTCTTTGGAGAAAAGTCTATACACAGAATGTAAAGTCCTTTGCTCATCTTTTATTTGGGTTGTTTGGTTTTTCTGTTGTTGAGCTGTAGAAGTTCTTTATATATTCTGATTATAAATCTCTATCATCCTTTTCAGGTAAATTATTTGCAAATATTTTCGCCTAGTCTGGTTGCCCTTTCACACTCTTGACAGTGTCCTTCAGATTTATTTATTTATTTATTTATTTTTGGAGACGGGGTCTCACTCTGTCGCCCAGGCTGGAGTGCAGTGGCGCAATCTTCGGCTCACTGCAACCTCCAGCTCCTAGGCTCAAGCGATTCTCCTGACTCAGCCTCCCGAGTACCTGGGATAACAGGTACTTGCCACCACGCCTGGCAAATTTTGGTATTTTTAGTAGAGATGGAGTTTTACCATGTTGGCCATGCTGGTCTCAAACTCCTGACCTCAACTGATCCACCTGCCTCAGCCTCCCAAAGTGCTGGGATTACAGGCATGAGCAACCACTCCTGGCTCCAGATTAACATTTTTATAAGAAAGAAACATAACTTATTTTGTAAAAAACCTAAATAACATAAAAAATGTGAATTCTCACGAAATTACTACATAAATTAAATGCAATTCTAGTTAGAATTCCAAAAGTTTATTTGGAATTGGATAAAACTAAAAGCTCATAGAAAGAAAAAAGGCTGCAGAATGGCAGTGGAATAGTGAAGGTATTTATATCAGGACATACTATGAAGCTACTATTAGTAACAAGAGTATTGTGTTGACAGAGGAAAAAACAAATATATCAAAATTCAAAAGTATGTTGAATGTTATGTGAGATTTAATATATAATAAAAGTAGTACATTCAGAAGAGAACAGATTTTTTTTTAATTTAATAAACAGATCTGACACAACTGACCAACTGGAAGAAAACAAACTTAGAAGATTATGTCATGTTACATACCGAAACACATTCCAGATGGTTAAAGACTTAATTTTATTTTTTAAAAAAAGGTTTTCAGATGAAAAATCTAAGTTGGGATAAGACAGAACTTTTAACTAAAACAAACTTAAAGCTATAAAAGTCACACATTTAACAATTAAAATCCAACAGCCAATAAACATAAAGGTGCTCAAACTCTGGCAATCATGGAAATGGACACTAAAGTAAAAAGGAGATTGCTTAATATCAATGAATGGGCAAGAACGTAGAATAGTAAATAGACTATCAGGTAAAAGGTACTCTTACACTATTGGTGTAAAAGGAAATTATAATAGCCTTTTCTGAAAGCAGGTACAGGCACAGACACATACAAACACACATGCTTTTTTTTTTTTCATTTATGGGCACCAATTAAGGTACAGAACTATTTAAAGGCTACCTCAGCAGAATGATAGGAGTAATGACTAAATTCTTATTTTAAACCTTTATTAACTCAATGGAGTAACACTCTTTTAATCTGAAAAATAAAAAGAAAGAAAACTTTAAAAAGTAGTAGCATGTATCACTGACTAAAGGAAATGGAGAAGAAGAGAGAAAAAGAGCACTGACCATGGAGTTGTAAGGAAATCAAAAACAAATTCATCCATTTCACAATTCACAATTCTGTCTAGGCTGACCCTGACCTTCATACTCAAAGCAACACATGCACCATTAGCGTTTCTCATTTTTTAAATATATCCAAGCAAATAATGCCCATGGAGATGGCACCAACCTGATCTGTTTGTGGCTTCACTTGGTTCTACAACAAACTGTAGAGAGGCTTCTTTCTTCTTTGAAGAAACTGGAACTGACTTTGGATGTGATTTCTGGCACTGAGCACAGAAGAAATACAACATTAGAACTATTTTATTAACTTACCAATTCAATGAAATATATTTGTTTTTTAAATGGGGGGAAAAACAAGTATTCTAAAACAACAAACCAGCTGTTAAGAGTTTTATACTACTTTTTATTTTATTTCTAAAGTAATAGCTACTTTGGAAAACAATCTGGCATTATTCAGTAAAGCTGAAATTTCATACAACCTATCACAGAAACAATATTACTCTAAACAGCAACTATGTGGACAGAAGACTGAATAAACTTATTAAATAAATAAATTATAGTATAGATATACCATATTACATACGTAACAATGGAACAAATAAACTACAATAATATAAATTATTATTTTAACCAGAAAAAAAAGCAACCTGCAGAAGTACATAACAATCTTATCTATGTAAAGTTCAAAATAGACACGTAAAACACTGTAGTATTGAGATTCACTCTGCAGGAAAGAGTTAACATAGGAGGCCTGATATATTTAAAGGACCAGCTTACAGGGCTACCCCTTGGTTGGCATCTGGAGACTTAACTTTTAGAATGTTCCCTCCATTACCAACAGAGAAGGTTGCACCTGCTGCGCCAGCCTGCCTAGACTGTTTGTATAAATAAACACTGTGATCTGTGGTGAACATCTGCTTTCTTTCCTTCTGGGAGTGCGTAAAATTTTGGTAGGCAGGGGATGCCTATGGGACCAACCCCCAGTGAAAACAGGCTGAGTTTCAAAAGGCTTCTCTGAGGAGAAAAAATGTACACACGTTACTGCATTTCACTGCTGAAGGGAATGAGTACATTCTATATGGCCCCTTGAGGAACACAGGAAGCCTATATATGGATTCCTCCAGACTCTGCTAATGCGCATTTTTCCCTTACTGACCCAGCTGTGTATCCTGGCTGAATGACTATAATAAGTATCAGTCATGAAAAACACCAAAAGCAATGGCAACAAAAGTGAAAATTGACAAATGGGATCTAATTAAACTAAAGAGCTTTTGCACAGCAAAATAAACTACCATCAGAGTGAACAGGCAACCTACAGAATGGAAGAAAATTTTTACAATCTACCCATCTGACAAAGGGCTAATATCCAGAATCTACAAAGAACTTAAATAAATTTACAAGAAAAAAATCAAACAGCCCCATCAAAAAGTGGGCAAAGGATATGAACAGACACTTCTCAAAAGAAGACATCTATGCAGCCAACGGACACATGAAAAAATGCTCATCAGCACTGGCCATCAGAGAAATGCAAATCAAAACCATAATGAGACACTATTTCACAATAGTTAGAATGGCAATCATTAAAAAGTCAGGAAACAACAGGTGCTGGAGAGGATGTGGAGAAATAGGAACACTTTTACACTGTTGGTGGGACTGTAAACTAGTTCAACCATTGTGGAAGACAGTGTGGCAATTGCTCAGGGATCTAGAACTAGAAATACCATTTGACCCAGCCATCCCATTACTGGGCATACATCCAAGGGATTACAAATCATGCTGCTATAAAGACACATGCACACGTATGTTTATTGCAGCACTATTCACAATAGCAAAGACTTCGAACCAACCCAAATGTCCATCAATGATAGAGTGGATTAAGAAAATGTGGCACATATACACCATGGAATACTATGCAGCCATAAAAAAGGATGAGTTCATGTCCTTTATAGGGACATGGATGAAGCTGGAAACCATCATTCTGAGCAAACTATTGCGAGGACAGAAAACCAAACATCGCATGTTCTCACTCATAGATGGGAATTGAACAATGAGAACACATGGTCACAGGGTGGGGAACATCACACACCAGGGCCTGCTGGGGGGTAGGGGGAGGGGGGAAGGATAGCATTAGGAGATACACCTAATGTAAATGACGAGTTAACGGGTGCAGCACACCAACATGGCACATGTATACATACGTAACAAACCTGCACGTTGTGCACATGTACCCTAAAATTTAAAGTAAAATAATAATTTTTAAAAAAGCAAATAAAAATAAGTATCAGTCATGAGTTCAACTATATGTCAAATCTCCCGAGTCCTTTTAGTGAAGCACCAAATGTGGATGGTAGTGGGACCTCTGTCACAAGTGGTAGCAGAAGTGTGGACACAGTATCAGCACAGTAGAGAAATAAATAAATGACAGACTTACATGGTTTGCCTGTGTCCCCAACCAAATCTCAATTTGAATTGTATCTCCCAGAATTTCCCTGTGTTGTGGAAGGCGCCCAGGGGGAGACAATTGAATCATCAGGGTCAGTCTTTCCCATGCTATTCTCGTGATAGTGAATAAGTCTCACAAGATCTCATGGGTTTATCAGGGGTTACCACTTTTGCTTCTTCCTCATTTTTCTCTTGCCACCACCATGGAAGAAGTGCCTTTCGCCCTATGCCATGATTATGAGGCCTCCAAGCCATGTGGAACTGTAAGTCAAATTAAACCTCCTTTTCTTCCCAGTCTTAGGAATGTTTTTATCAGCAGTGTGAAAATGGACTAATACACTACACTGCTGTTGAGTGACCACAGTATGGAATTCAATGCCATAAAAAGACAGAGGCAGGCTTTCATTTTATCTCTGCTCTCTCTTAACATCTCATTAAAGATTTTTAAAAACAAACTCAGAAGGATGAAGAGAGAGACAAAGGAGTAGATGAGACATGTCAGCAAACATTTTTAGGTTGAAAAGCAAACTACTGGTAATTCAGCAACCCAGAGAGAATGGAAACATGCTAGCAATGGAGAAAACCCAGAAGCAGACAGATTACTGTTTATGGAGAAACCTATAAAGATTAGTAGAATTGCAAGACACCACTAAAAAAAAGGGGCAGGCCAGATGCAGTGGCTCACACCTGTAATCCCAGCACTTTGGGAGGCCAAGGCAGGAGTATCACTTGAGGTCAAGAATTCAAGATCAGCCTGGGAAACTTAGCAAGACCACATCTCTGTGTAAAAATAAAAAATTAGCCAAGAGTGGTGGTGCATGCTTGTGTTCCTACCTACTCAGGAGGCTGAGGCAGGAGGATCACTTGAGCCCAGAGGTTTGAGGTTGCAGTGGGCTATGAGCATGCCACTGCACTCCAGCAACAGAGCAAGACCCTGTCTCAAAAAAAAGAAGAGGCATGCAAACAGAGGGTGTTAAAAGCGTGTATAGTTGAATGTGTCTTTTGTCGCAGAAAAAAAATTGTGTATAGCAAGTAGTTAAACTGGCTGGGCGCAGTGGCTCACACCTGTAATCCCCATACTTTGGGAGGCTGAGGCGGGTGGATCACCTGAGGTCAGGAGTTCAAGACCAGCCTGATCAATATGGTGAAACCTTGTCTCTACTAAAAATACAAAAATTAACCAGGAATGGTGGCAGGCACCTGTAGTCCCAGCTGCTCGAGAGGCTGAGACAGGAGAATTGCTTGAACCCGGGAGGCAGAGATTGCAGTGAGCCGAAATCGTGCCACTGCACTCCAGCCCAGGAGTGCTTTTTCTCAAAAAAAAGAAGGTAGTAAAACCGAAGAGCCCCTCCCAAACCTATCAGAAGATTATTTACTCTCTTGAGTTTCTTAATCAGAGAGACTGTGATATTAGTGGCATAAGACACAGGTGAAGTTAAGGGCAATACATGAAAACCAGAGATATTAAGTAGGAGCATTTAAACTGCACTTTCCCCTTTGCCACATCTGACTGAAATTGAAAACAATCGCAGTTAGACTTGAACCGCCAAGCGGGAAAGATTTCTTTGTCAGAAATACTTACTAGGCCAAGAGAAAAGAAATCTACAGATATTAACACCAGGATACCAATGATGAAATGGACCAAACTACACCACAGTGACATCCACCAGTCTACAAATTTTACTAGGCATATAGAGCTTCCAATGTGTTTTAGTTTCCCACTTTCAAACAAGAGGAGACAGCTAAGGATCACTGGACATATGAAAAAGGCGAGGTAATGAGCAAAGTAAGTAAAAAAGGTACTTGCAGAAAACAGAAACTGAAGAAATATTTATGAAAAGGGTTAGATGAACCTAATGTCAAGGAATATAATAAAAATTTAGATCACTAAAGACAGATGACATGATCCTAAAAGCCTGCAAAGAGGAAAAAAATAGTCACAAAGGATCATGGAATCACAACAGTATTCTCAACAGGAGAAGCTAAAATAAAAGAAAGCAACATTTGTAAGTCTAAGGGAAAATACACCTGACTAAAAGGGAGGCTTGATATGAAAAAATATATATTATTTTTTAATTAAAGGAAAATAATTTCTAATCTAGAATTCTGTACTCACCCAAATTACCCATCATGAAGGTAAAACCATGGTATTTTTAAACAATTAAGGTCTCAAATTCTCAGAAAGCTACTAAAGGATGAGTCCCACCAAAAAAGGAGAGGCCAAGAAAAAAGGAAGATTTCAGATCCAAGAAATAAGAGTTGCAATTCAGGAGAAAAGCAAAGGGACTCTCTGTGATACAGAGAGAGTACATGACAAAACCTATGTGATAGGTCTAAGGGTAGATTGAAGAAAAAAAAAAGAGCAGGGACAGCAAAGCTGAAAATGATAAATTAATGTGTCTATGCATACTAAGACATTTATACTTAGACGTTTGTCATAGAAAACTGGTGATGAATTAGTCACAGGTGCACAGAAAGTCAAAAATGGAAAAACCAAAATTAAATCAAGAGAAAATTAAGAACTGTACATAAAGAAAATTTAACCATTAGTACTCTACATAGCTGTGACTACTGAAACAGTCATAATAATACCATAAACACTAACTACTAATCCTACTAAAAATTATGATGTACTAAAGAATGGAAGTTTATGTGTTGTGGTCGGAAGTAGAAACTATATGACAAATAAAGTCTAAACTTCCATAGTAGAAAGCCAATAAATAATAGCAAAGACTGGGAAAAAAAATCAAGAAACAGCAATATAAACATTATTTAGAAATATGGAGTCAAAATACCTAGAGTAATAGCTAAGACTAAAAAGTTGGACTTGGAGGAGGAAAAGTGGGGTCTACTATTTTTTTGTGGAATTTATGGAACTACTTTAACTTCCATGTACATAATGCCTTTGAGCTTTAAAAATCAATCTTCCAACAAATTAAGAAGAAAAGTATGTAAAAAGATAGGGAAGAGAATAAAATAGTGAACCAGAATAGACTGCTGATTCTTTGAAAATGTTAATGACAGAAAAATACCTGTAACAACACAGATAATTTAAAAAGGTGAAAACCAGCAATAAAAAGAGAGTAATAACTATGAGGAAGATCATGAAGTTGACTATACACAAATTGAGAACAGAGGAAATGTTTCAAGAAAATTATAAAATGTCAAAACTGGCAAAAGAAATATAAAAAATGCAATAGATCATTGAATAAAGTGGTAATCACACACATCCCCACCAAAACAGCTCCAACCATATGTTTTACAAATGATCCAAATTTGAAGAAACAGATCATTTTTGCTTAATCAAGTTATCCCAGAAAACAGAAGAGAAAAACTAATTTATTTCATGAAGCTCGGTTGTGTTTCAGTTAAAACCTACGGAGTCATATCTTATTTTACTTAAAGACAAACAAATATGAAGTAATAACTAGACCTAGGAATCTCAAGTTCGCAAACAGAAAAGCCTATAAGATAGATAAGTCTTAAGTCTGATTTTATTTTCAAATCAAGTAAACAAATTTCATTCCTTATGTGGAAGGCCTAGGCCAAGCTTGCTGCATGGAAAGGCCCTACCTGAAAAAAAAACCCTAACACCTACAAAGTCTCTGTTGTTTTGAAGCATCCATCTCAAGGATTAGAAAAAATTAATAATATAAAAATAAAAATAAAGAATATATGAAAAATAAAATTAAGAAAAAAATAATGAAACTAAAAACAAGCAAATGAGAGGACCGACAAAGCCAAACTTGGTTTTCTGAAAGACCAAAATTGATAAACCCTGACAAAATTAATCGATGAAAAAGACAAGGCATAGCAGGCACAGTGGCATGTGACTTACGAGCAGTAATCCCAGCTATTCCTTAGCTTAGGGAGGATCACTTAAGCCCAGGAGTTCTAATCCAGCTTGGGCAACATACCAAGATCCCTACCTCTAATTAAAAAAAAAAAAAAAAAAGATAAGGCATAAATAACCAATGTCAGGAATAAAAAAGGGGATATAACTGTAGATCCTACAGACATTAACAAGACTGGAAAAAGACATGACAAAACAACATTATCCAAATAAACTGGAAAATTTAAATAAAATGAACAAATCCCTAAAAAAAGAAAAGTAGAACATTTAAAAAAAATAGAAAATCTAAATTGTCTACTGAAACTATTAAGTAAAATCTAAATCTTTAATGTTCTATATCATCATCTAGGTAGTAGTTGTAAAAATTCAATGAAATATACACGCAATTTGTGTATTTTAATGTATTATGTTTCATAAGAAAACAAAAGTGAGGCCAGGCACAGTGCTCATGCCTGTAATCCCAATGCTTTGGGAAGCTGAGGCAGGAGGATTGCTTGAGCCCAGAAGTTTGAGACAAGCCTAGGCAACACAGTGAGACCCTGCCTCTGTAAAGAAAAATTTTAAAATGGCCGGGTGCGGTGGCTCACACCTGTAATCCCAGCACTGTGGGAGGCCAATGCAGGAGTATCACTTGAGGTCAGGAGTTTAAGACCAGCCTGGCCAACATGGTTAAACCCCATCTCTACTAAAAATACAAATATTAGCCAGGTGTGGAGATGGGCGCCTGTAACCCCAGCTACTTGGGGGACTGAGGCAGGAGAATCATTTGTACCCCGGAGGCAGAGGTTGCAGTGAGCCAAGATAGCACCACTACACTCCAGCATGGGTGACAGAGCAAGACTTTGTCTCAAGACAGATAGATAGATAGAGAAATAATAAATAAATAAATAAGCAGGCCAGCATGGTGATATGCACCTATAGTCCTAGGTAGTCAGCAGGCTGAGACGGAAGGGTTTGAGCCCAGGAAAAGTTCAAGGCTTCAGAGAGCTGTGATCATGTCATGGCACTCCATCCTGGGCTAAAGAGTGAAACCCTGTCTCAGAAAATAAATAAATAAATAAATAAATTAGTATTTTAAAATTCTCGCAAAGAGAAAACTCCTATGAATTCCATCAAATATTTGAGAAAGAAACAATAGTGGTTCATAAAAACACTTCAGGAGAAAAGAGACAGAGAAAATACTGAACAACTCATTTTACAAGACCAGTACAAACACAGAGTAGAACCTTTATTTTGAACATTTCTTATTTATTATACATTTAAAGTTATGAATTCCCTCTAACACTATTTTAGCTAAATCTCACAAGTTCTGATAAGTCATATTATTATCTTCATTCAGAATATTTTATATTCCCAACATGCTTTCTTCTTTGGCCTAAAGTCATTTAGAAGTCATTGCAGTGGACCTTGGCTTTAGAGCACAATGTCTTAAAAGGGACCAGATTTACCCTCCTGCCTGAATCAATTTTAAAAAAAGAAAAAACATACAAGATTCTCAAGAAATACGACATTGAAAAACCAAAGAGAATGATTCTTGAGATGGGAAACAAATGAGGTGAACCCTCTGATCACCCATTTCCAGATGTGACACACAGGGGAAATCCTCAGTTGAGGAGCCAAAGCTGAGGATTCAGGAAGACCAAAGTGGTTAGAATTTGCAGGATAAAGTACTGGACAGGAGACGGTTACATAGAGAAAACTGCAGAATGTGCAGATCTCTCTCAAGCATTCAATCAAATATTGATCAGAGAATGCGTTGTAAGAAAACCAGAGAAAGAACCACCCGAAGCCTTGAGGGGGAATATCCTCCCAGTTACAAAGGACCTAGAATAATCTACCAGCCAGAGTGGAAAACCTCCATAAGTAACGGGACACAGTAGAGAAGAATTTTGCCTCAGAAGGGAAGAAAATTAGCCACAGACTATATTTTGCTAGTCTTTATTGTTTCCACAGCTTCTCATATATCTAAAATTTGTTTCCATTTTTTAAAATAGCTGCTTTAGCAGGAGTGTTAGCCTTCTGTGACTTACTGCATTCTACCTAGAAGAGGAACCTCTAGCATAACCTTGATACCAAAGCCCTGTAAGAACATTTTTCAAAAAAAGACAATATTATTCATAAACATAGATGCAAACATCTTCAATATTAGGCAAACCTAATCAAAAAAAGTTAATACTTTATGACCAAGTCAAGTTTATCCCAGAAAACCTAAAGTTGCTTTAACTTTCAAAAACCATTGTAATTTATCAAGTTTCAGAAGGCCTCTCAATTCTGAAAGAAATGGTTTTGTCTGCATTGCTTGGAACCAAAAGGCTACATATGTTTAATATGTTGATTGCCTTTTACAGTTTTCTAGTAAGTGTTACTTCTAGCACTATATGATTTTTCTAATTAGTATTGTGCTTTTGAATAATTTGCCTTAGATTAGCTTCAAATACTTTATTTGAAAGTCTGCTACTTAGTATAGTTAAGTCAACCAATACTTTATTTCTGATCAAACTAACAGCAATTAAAATATATAATCAACAGAAGATTGATTTCCCCGTATAACAATGAAGTGCCTTCATTTATTAGAATATAACCAACCCTGCCAACCTGATTAGCAACTTTGATCACTGCCCATTTTCCTAAAAACCTAATTTGAGTATTATTTTAGGAGAAGTGAAAAATGTTTATTATAATTTGATAATTCTAATTCCCATAATCCCAATTCCAACAGAAAATATCAAATAAAACTTTTCACAAAATACCTCCAAATTTTATAGAAAGTCAATGGGAATATAGAATTCCCTTTCAAGAATAAGACTTACAAACAACTAAAATATACATGAGTATATTGTGTATACCTTCATTCATTAAAATATTAAACCTATACCAGCTCTTCTTTATCACTTACCTCTTTGCTTGGTGACTGAATACAAGTGTCTTTTATTTTGCGTGTTGAATTAGGCACTGATTTTGTAGAATTTGTACTAAAATCATTGGCAAGACCTAAAACAAAAGTATGAAATTTTCAAAAACAAGATATAGTGTAATATCTATTAGTCACAATTAAAAGTAGCTGTATATGACATGTGAAGAACCATCTGTTGACTCACTGACCACAATTAGCTTAAATCAAGTAGAGACCTCAATTTAATATTCAAATGTTCCTGAGAAGCATCAGGAAATGAGAAAAGCAAACAAAACACCTGAAGTATCAATATATGCCAGCTCTTCTTTCAGAGCTTGTATAGAAAACATTCTTTTCTATCATCTGCCCCTATTTCTTTGGCTGGCTTATTCTCTTATTCCAATACCTGCTGATGCTAATCAGCACTTGGAAAAGTTTT
The DNA here is from genome assembly GCF_000001405.40 of Homo sapiens. Classification (NCBI taxonomy): domain Eukaryota; kingdom Metazoa; phylum Chordata; class Mammalia; order Primates; family Hominidae; genus Homo; species Homo sapiens. Next base: position 67,540,276 of record NC_000004.12, read on the forward strand.
TGCTGTAATTTATGACTTCCTTAAACAGATATGTAAATCACCAAAGATTATCTCAAATTCTCCAGCGATTCCAAGAATTCTACACATCTATTTTCATTATATATTTTTTCTGGCTAGATGCAGTGGCTTATGCCTGTAATCCCAACACTTTGGGAGGCTGAAGAGGGCAGATCACTGGAGGGCAGGAGTTCGAGACCAGACTAGCCAACATGGTGAAACCTGGTCTCTACTAAAAAATACAAAAATTAGCCAGGCGTGGTGGCACACACCTGTAATCCCAGCTACTTGGAAGGCTGAGGCACAAGAATCACTTGAACCTGGGAGGCAAAGGTTGCAGTGAGTTGAGATAGCACCACTGTACTACAGCTTGGGTGACACCGCAGGACTATGTCTCAATAAATAAATAAATAATAAAATACTTTTTCTTGTGTATGATAATTATGTATGGACTTCCAGATTACAGTAATTTAATGTGAACTAAACGGGATGACAAATTATTGTCAAATTATTATTTTTTGTCAGTATTATCCTAAGTATACCAGAAGGTACACAAAGGATTGCATATGAACTCAAAATACCAGGGAAAATATTTTCCATATATTTAAACCCTAGAACATATTTGCTGCATTTGATATTAATTACCATGACAAATTCATATTTTCATCCATCTAACCCTTAAATTCCATCTTGAAATGAAGCCTTACTTTTTTCTTCAAAACAGTCTTGTAAGATTTCCAGAACATTCTGGCCTTGCTCTGTGTTAATGTCACGTGCCCTAATAAAGGAAAAATACAGCCTGTCATTTTCAGAAGATATTTCTTTATATTACCATCTCTTTGAAAATTCCACATCTCATTATAAAATATAAATTTACTTAATATGTAAAATATCTTTACTATTTGAAGACAAAACAAGTACTTGAGGGTCTATACATTCCCTCAAGTGAACTCTTTCCTTCCTAATAAGAATTAGTATATCATAATCTACCTTAACAATTAATATTTCTTAGTTGAACAGCCATGTCTAAAGCTGTTTTAGATTACTGCTGTATCTCAAAAACACAAATTTTTTTGAATGAATCCAATCAGTCCTGAAATGCTTCTTTAACAGACTTTACAGTCACATCTCCAAGTAACATATTCCTCCCTATAAATTCTCAAATGCATTTCTAATTCAGTATCATTGATTAATCTTAACAGTTTATGAATCAGTATAAATTTTAATTAAAAATTATATTGAGCTTGTAGATTCACAGCCAGCTATACAACATAATACAGACCCCTTGTTCACTTTACCTAGTTCTCCTCAGTGCTAATATTTTGCAAAACTATAGCATATTATCACAATCAGGATACTGATATTGATACAATCTACCAATGCTATTGTGATTTCTCCAGTTCTACATGTACTCATTTCTGAACATACTCATGTTTGTGTGTATATATACAAAATGTATCACATCTGTAGGTGCAGATAAAACAACCAGAGTCAAGATACTGAATAGTTCCATCATCACAAAGATCCTCTATTGTCCTTTTGTAATCATAACCACCTTTCTCTCATCTCCTTCCTGCCTCCTCTCATTCCTAACCTCTGGCAACCACTAATCTGTCCTCCATTTCTAAAACTCTGTCATGTGGAAACAATTATATGTAAATAGAATCATACAACATGTATCCTCTTGCCTTGGCTTTTTTCACTCAACACAATTCTATGGAAATAAATCCAAGTTGAATGTACCAATATTTCATTGCTTTTTAGAGTCAAGTAATGTTCCATGCTATGTGTGTACCACAGTGTTTAACCATTTACCTGTTGAAGAACATCTGGATTTCAATCAGTATAAAATTGACATGCATCTCTAACAGAGTGGACAAACTTTTGCTTAAAGGGCCAGATGGTAAATATTTTAGGCTTGTAAACCATAGTCTCTGTCACAACCAGTCGACTCTCCCATTCTAGCCCAAAAGCAACCACAGACAGTATGTAAACAAAGAGGCATGGCTGTGTTCCAATAAAATTGAAATAAAACCTGTGACAAAACATTTGGCTGGCCTATCAGCCAGAGTTTACTGATCCCTGATCTACAACATTCCTATTATTGAGAGCTGGAAAAGTACTATATATGCAGTAATTAAAAACTGTGAGCCACAGTGCATTATCAGGTCATCCATCATAAAGTTTTATAACTGAAAGATCTCAGAAATCATCCAGTCCAATAATCATCATCCAAATAGATGTGTAAAGTTACTTTTGGAGCTTTGCAGAAATACACTTAATTGGTCACTTCCCACAAACCAATTTAATTAGATTTCCTAGGGTGATGGAGGTAATTCTGATGTGCAAATCTAGTTAAAAACCCCTAGCTGAATCCTATGCCCTCATTTTGCAGATAGGCAAACTGAAACCCAAAATGGTCAAATGGCCTACCTCAGTTTGTAAACCTAAGTAGTATTAGTGGCCGGTTTTCTACCAGAATATATATAGGTGACTATTATAAATTCTGGCCTTGACATCACCCCAAAATACCACCTACAGGTGCACATATTGCACAGCTATAAATACACTCCTGCTATTACCTGTTTCAAGGATGAGATCCAAAAAGATCAGATTTGCCAAGGTGATAATGCAGAGTCACTATTAGAACGCAGGTCACATTAGGCAACAGCTTTTTCAAAATTTATCAAATTCGTCTTTTCTTCCCCTTTGTCATTATTACCTTAGCATAAAAGCACCTCCACCATGTGTAGATTACTACAACACCCTCCTTAAGCTACTTTGTAAACATCAAACATCTTTGCTTTTTTAAATGTGTGTGTGTGTTTATATCAGATAGCCCTTATTCCACAGAAGATTTAGGAGAGCTTATTCAAGCCTATAATAGATGCCTAAAGCCTAACATATCCATTTTATGGCTCAATCCAACTCATATGGTCTTGTTTTCCACTTCTACCCAACATATTCAACCTTCTTAAATCAGGTCTCTCTGCTACTGACAAATATATGTATTCCTACTTTGGTTCCTTCGTTAAGTTACTTTCTATGTCTGGAATATACTTTATCTTAGTCTTTAAATACCTGTTCAAGGTCCACCAAAGTTACACTACAACTTTAAAGCTTTTCTTAATATCAACAACACACAAATCCCTAATTTCTCACATGGCTGTCTATACTGCAAGTTAATGCCTAATTATATATAGGCCTACTCTCTATGATACACAAGTCATTACTTCAGTATTGCAAGTAATAATTTTTGTCCATTAAATTGTTTCACAAATGTACATATACATTTTCCCAACAGAAATCTAAGCTTCTTGTAAACAAAAGAACATACTTCTGTGCCCCATTGGACCTACTAAAATCACAGCTCAATAAACATGACGTTATTCATAATAACATCTTCACTTTTAAAAACATGCTTTTCATCCTATTACTAGTAAATATTTAACTAGAAAATTTACTTTTTACAGGTTTTACAACTAAAAGAAGAACCAAAACAACCCAAACAAGCACTCAACAAATGCACGACAGCATGTACTATTTTTCTTTTTGCCCCACTGAATAAGCTACATCTTTCTAATTTTACCATTTGATTCATTCTACAAAATGCTTTTCCCATGGCAGTCACTTAGTCAGAACTGAGACTCCCTCTTCCTGGTTCCACTATTTTATCAGGTGAATTTCTTTTTTCACAGCCACAAAGTCATTGCACTGCTTGCATTAACATTCCCGTTAGTATAAGATGACTACCCTTAATCAGTGGGCACAGAAATCATTATATTAGTCAGAGGTGATAGTTTTTCCTTTCTTCATTTAAAAATCTATTAACGATGAGAATAAAAATAATCTTAAAAGCTTAAGTACGTAAATCACCTGGAAGGTCGACAAAATCTTCTTCTGTAGCCATTTTTGAGATGATCCTGAAAGAAAAGTAAATCATCAATTTGGTTTCTTTAAGATAGAGTCGAGTAAAATTTATTTTCAAAGTAACTTCATCCAGTATGGGCATGCTATACACCAAACATCTCCTAAGGGCTCAAAACAATTTTGAGGTTATGTTATGACATAACATAGGTTATGACAGGCATTTAAAAACTGAACTGCAGGCATCTGGTAAGCTTTATTCCGCTTCTCTCCCCACAGTGAGAATGGCTTTATTGCTTTCTTCTGATTATATATAATGTAAACAATATATGTGCTCATAGTAAAAAGTATAGATTATATTATTCTTTCATACAACTCTTTATGTTTATATGTATAACGTCACATAATGGGAGATCATCGAAGCTGAAGATTTTCTTAGAAGGGGAGATAAATTAGAAAAGAAATGATACGGATTTTTATATAGTAACCATAACCAAAGTATGAAATATAGAATAGTGAACACCAAAGAAGTCCAGAAATATGTAAACAAAATGAGTTGTCGCCCCCATTAGTCATTCACAGCTTGTACCTTTTAACTGATAGCTGTCTTTCAGAAGAGTTTGTCAATAACATATGCTCCATAAATCAGCCTCAAGAACTGCATAAAAGGCCACCATTTTGACAGAAGAACTGAAAACGTCAAATTATTTCGAGACGTACTTGTTACATAATCTGTTTCTCCCAACTACCAAGTGTGACGCAAAGACACACTTTTAAGGCGTTTCAATACTTCTACCATGGGGAGAAAAGTTATTTGGAGGCCTAGGAACTGGAGCTAGACTAAAAAGCAGAAGCCAAGATCGCGCCACTGCACTCCAGCCTGGGGGACAGAGCAAGACCCCGTCTCAAAAACAAAAACAAAAAAAAACCCAGCAGAAATCACAAGCACCTCTCAAGAGTAAGACGTAGGCACAGACGAAATGACGACATGAAAACTTAAGAAATAATAAAAGTACAGTAAATTAACTCTGGTTATCGACACACGATCACACTTGATTTCAAAAATTCCTGCGGCTTTCCCACTGAAATCCCTCAGAGATCACAGCCTCAGCCTAGCATTTCCTTCTCCCCAGCCTCGGGCGCCCGTGCCCCAGCCAGCCGCTCAACCACTCGCCTGGAGCGGGGGGCCTGCACTTACCAGACCGGACGCAGCCATGTTCCGGCCCCGCTGAGCCAGCGCAACTGTCTGAGGTGGAAGCCCACACGGACCACAGCTCCAGGAAGCCGAGCAAGAAACGAATCGCCGGAATACCAGGCCGCGGCCAAGCAATAACCTTAAGTCTCAGGCGACTGCCGCGAGAGCTGCGATCCGGAAGGCGCGCGCTAACAACACTCCCCCGCCATTGGCTCCGCCCTCAACAAACAAGAACGCTTGGCCTGTGCCTGGGTTTGAACCCGGAGACACATGCGCAAAACGGGCCGCGCCGTCCAATAGGAAGCAAGCCGTTAGTGGGCTCGCCCCTTCATGCTCCAGGCCAACGGCCCTCCAGCCTGCAGACCCACCCGCCCGCCCTACCTCTAGCCGCTCTGCTCTTCCCACCTCCCTTCCTCAGCGCCGCGCCCGGGACAGGCGCGAGACTGGGCTTTTATTAGGAAGGCACGATCCTGGGAACCGCTCCTTGTGCCCAATGTAAAACTTCTCAACAGTTCTATTAAGGAATAATAAGTAATACTTGGAAGGATGAGAGGTAGAAATTGCAGACGACTTTTTTTTTAATAGAATCTTTTTTTGAAGAGATTTTTCTAATGCAGATTCGTCAGCCACGCCCAGCCCATCTAACCATCATCTCTGAAAATAATTGAATAATTATGTATAATAATGGTGATGATGGCTTGTATTCTTTTTCAAGTATGTGGGCGATATTTTTATGATGCATTGCCAACAAATGACCCACGTAAATATCTATCATTTAAGTATGATGCACTGAAAAGAATTCTATACAGAATCCTGAAACCTGCCAGCCATTGACTAGCTATGTTATGGAGGGCAAAATTGCGGCACCATTCTGGGTGTTTCCATAGTGATAGAATGGAAGTCTAAATTAGACGCTCTGAAGACTTCTCACCTGACCAGTGTATGATTCTATGAAGCTGTATCTTATTTTATTATTTAATTTAAAATTACAAGAAAATTCTAATCAGAAAATAGTTTACTAATTGAATAAATACATTAATCAGGAGTTGAGCTAATAGATTTTTAAAACATGTAGTGCTTTAACAAATGCTGTCAACTATGAAGGCCAATTTTTTTATTTTATTTATTTTTTTGATAGAAAAAAAGGAACTATGATCTCTGACTGAAATTAGGCCTGGATTGCACTCCATTCCATTAATTCTGCCATTATGGGCAACTAAGTTATCTGTTCCTTAATTCTCTTGTCTGCAAAATGAGAATACTATTAAAGTGGTTGAGATGTTGTAATTGAATAATTCCTGTTAAGATCTAAGCACAATGTTTGGAACATAGTAAGAATTCAATAATAAAGCTATTGGAATCATTATGGAGAGTTTTTTACTATGTTTGGCAGTTTTGCCAATCAGTCCAACTTATAATTTGGTGCTGTCACATTTGGAATAGATAATGATAAACACTAACATTTATTGACTGCATACTCTATGCCCAGTTCTGAAATGCTTTGCATGCATTGAAGAGAACAATTAATATTCCTGTTTTATAAACAAGGGCACTGAAACACAGAGAGCTAAGTGTCTTACCCAAGATCACATCACCACTAAATGGTAGGATGGGTTATTATCCCAAGAATTCTCACTCCACAACTGAGCTCTTAATCACTACACTCTTTGCCTCTGGGTAAGAAATTTTAGCAAGCACGATTATAGATGTAAAGTCCCACATGTAAAATTATATCCTCCTGCTTCCACTGGAAACTAAGTCCCACACTTATTTTGAGAAATTTGGAATGCAATGGCTTGTGCTGCTGCAGAAAGCAGGCCACAGAGGGCGTTGAGGATTAACTGTTCTAAAGAAAATAGAGCAGTACTCTTATAAAAACAGTTGTGGAGACTCCACAGTTTCCAGAGAAACGTTTTACTTCCATATGTACTTGTTGTAGTACTTAATAGCCCACCATGGTTTTAGTATCCTAAAATAGGATTGCTAATTAATGGGGGGAGTAATATTTATTTAAAAACCCAAGTTTGTCGTTATAAATCTCCCCCCAAAATACATCAAAGATTACTTCTTATGAACTGCTAGGACAATCTTGAAGTTTTCTTTCACAACTACTTACCTAGTTAAGGGGTGTGTGTGCATGTGTGTATTTACATATCAGTATATGGAAGTATTAACATATACATAATTAGATGTGTATATGGGAACATAAAGTATCCAGAAATTTGGCTTGAAAGAGAAGTAAAAAAAACTTTTCGTTACTTATGGTTTTAGGTACATAATTTAAAATTTGTAAATCTTGAAACTATTTCAAAGAATATTTTGTTTTAGATCTTTGATTTCCATCAAATAACTATGGTATGGGTATTTACTACCAAAGTGTCTTCCATTAAGTGTTAGCACAAAAATATTCACAACTGAACTAACACTTAAAAATTAGTCTGTATTCATTCCCACCCCACAGCTTAACATGTGCATCTGTCCTGGTGAGTGGATAAACAAATGTACCTCAATGCAGTGCAATACTCTTCAGCAATAAAAGCAAACTACTGATATACAATATGGATGAATCTTGAAAGCACTGTACTAAGTGAAAGAAGCTGGACATCAATGACTGTATGAAAAGAAATCAAATCGCTGGTTACCAGGGGTTGAGGAGGGTGGGGGAAAAAAGACTGTAAAGGAATAAGAGGGAACTTTTTGCGGTGCTGAAAATATTCTATGTCTTGATTACGATGGTAGTTACATGGCTATATCTATTTGTCAAAATTCCTAGTTAGAACTGTGCCCCTGAAAAAGGCGACCTTTTTTTTTTTGAGAAAGGTCTTGCTTGGTTGCCCAGGCTGGAGTGCAGTGGCACAATCAAGGCCCACTGCAGCCTCTACCTGCTGGGCTAAAATGATTCTCCTGCCTCAGCCTCGTGAATATCTGGGACCACAGGCATGCACCACCACACCCTGCTAATTTTTTTTTTTTTAATTTTTTGTAGAGATGGGATCTTCCTATGTTGCCCAAGCTGGTCCTGAACTCTTGGGCTCAAGTGATCCTCTGGCTTCTGCCTCCCGAATTGCTGGGTTACAGGCATGAGCCACCACACCTGGCCAAAATAGTGACTTTTACAGTAAATTATACCTCAGTAAATCTGTGAGAGCGATGATAAAAGAGAGAAAGAGAAAATGAGAGAGACTCAAAGGCACTGTATGAAAACCAAATGCAATGTGTAAACTTTGATTAGAGTCTAGTTCAAAACAAAGTAACTGTAAAGAGCATTAAGCAATAAGTGAAAATGAAAAAATTAATTTTCAGATGATATTAGAGAATTGTAAAGTTTTCTTAGGTATTATAATGTGATTATGTCTATGTAATTTGTCCTTACTCTTAGGATATGCATATCAAAGTATTTAGAGGTAAAATGTCTTGTGATATTTGTAAGTACTTTGAAATTGTTAATCATAAAGAGATTGAGATAGTTAAATACATACGGCAAAATATTAACAATTATTGAATCTAGTTCATTGGTGTGTTTATTAACAATACTCTTTCAGTTTCTCTGTATGTTTGAAATATTTCATAGAAAAATGATGGGGAAACTTGAACTTAATAAAATTGCTTAAGTTCTAAAAACTTTTGCAAAAACATTTATTATTTATTCTGCAAAAGTCAAAAGTGAAAATATTAGCAAATGACTATCATATAATTTTGTCAGAAAAATTACACATGAAAAATGAATTTCTTCTAAAAAGTATAGCATAGTCACAATTATAACAATATTTGCTAAGATAAAATAGACTTAGTTTTATGATTTTGGTTTTTTTTTATAATGTAATTTTTTTTCTTTTACTCCTTACTGCCAAATGTTGGTCCCTCTGTTAAGGAGATTCATTTAAGTATCCTTTTCTGATAAAAAATTATCCTCCAATAGAAATGCTATCTATGCTATGTAGACCATAATGGAAAAGTTAATAAAATGTGCTTGCAATGTACAGGTAGGTGGCAGCAATGTTTACAAAATAGTTTTACCACGCTATGAGTTGTTAAGGTCTGCAATGTGTCATTAATTGTAAAGTGCTATATAAATTAACTGATCTTTACATTTCCTAAATTACCTTTGTGTCAACCATTGCTTATTAGTTATAGTTATATTCTATTATGTACACATTGTTTCTCTTAAGATCACAACAAATAACACTATTCTGTAGATCTCCATTCTGCATCCTATAAGATAGGATAGTTTACTTCTAGTCAACTTATTTTCTACTCACACAAAGGAAATTTTGTCATTGAAAACACATTAAGATTTTCAAAAGCTTAATAAAATGGTTCTGCATTGTAATTTTACTCTTGAGAGGACTTAAATTACCCTGAGTGAAAATTGGCAAGTAATGTAGGATACTGTTTTTAAATTTCAGGCAGTCATTGCTTTGCAAAGTAGTACAGGACCCTTAAAAAGACCCTGTAAGCTGAAACCATGCAAACCGATCTTTGCTTGGGAAAAATTCTGATTGTTTCATGACCTTTAAAAAAAAATTATCAGCTGGAGGCGGTGGCTAACGCCTGTAATCCTAGCACTTTGGGAGACTGAGGCTGGCGGATCACCTGAGGTCAGGAGTTCAAGATCAGCCTGGCCAACGTGGCAAAACCCCGTCTCTACTAAAAATACAAAAATTAGCTGGGCGCAGTGGCTCACGCCTGTAATCCCAGCACTTTGGGAGGCCGAGGCAGGCGGATCACGAGGTCAGGAGATCGAGACCGTCCTAGCTAACATGGTGAAACCCTGTCTCTACTAAAAAATACAAAACAATTAGCCGAGCATGGTGGCGGGTGCCTGTAGTCCCAGCTACTCGGGGGGCTGAGGCAGGAGAATGGCATGAACCCGGGAGGCGGAGCTTGCAGTGAGCCGAGATCGTGCAACTGCACTCCAGCCTGGGCAACAGAGCGAGACTCCGTCTCAAAAACAATAAAAATAAAGATACAAAAATTAGCCAGGAGTGGTGGTGTACGCCTGTAATCCCAGCTACTCGGGAGGCTGAGGCAGGAGAATTGCTTGAACCTGGGAGAGAGGCTGCAGTGAGCCGAGATCACGCCACTGTACTGCAGCCTGGGAGACAGAGCGAGACTCAGCCTCAAAAAAAAAAAAAAAAAAAAATTATCAAAATATTAACATGTCTCTTGCTGTCAGTTATAAATTTATGGGGAAATGAAAAAATAGTAAAACTAATACTTATATAGCACATTGTAACTCAAAGCATTAGAAACATTGAGCATTAAAGTGCTTTAGTTCTCAGTTTTGTTTTCTATTTTTTTATTTTTGGCTCCTGACAGGAAACATGCTTTAGTTCTTTGTAAAAAAAAAAAAAAAGAAAGCTATCAAGAATAGTTTGAACAGTGCCTGCCTCCTCAGCTGTAAGTTATGATACAGTGTGAGCATCTTTTGGTGAATTGTTATACTACTTGCTAAGCCTGGGTCATTTTAAATTAAGTATATGTGGCATAGGATATATAACATATTTGTAAATTCAAGTGTCTATGGAAACTCATAAACAATAAAATACCAAAATGGTAACTTGCAGACAGTACCTAAAAGTAAGAGTTGTTTTGTTTTGTTTTGTTTTGTTTTGTTTTGTTTTGTTTTTTTCCGGAGGCTCCATCATTCACCTAAAAGTAAGAGACAACAGGAAGATAAACTAGAAGCAAAGACACAGGGCAGAAGTGATGTGCTGTTGACCTAGAGAAAATCTGACTAATATTGAAAAGTGCGGCCAGGCACGGTGGCTCATGTCTATAATCCCAGCATTTTGAGAGGCCAAGGCAGCAGGATCACTTGAGGCCAGGAGTTCACAACCAGCCTGGGCAACATAGTGAGACCCAGTCTCAACAAAAAATCAAAAATTTAAAAATTTAGCCAGGTGTGATTGCATGTGACTAGTTTCAGCTTCTCAGGAGGCTGAGGTGGGAGGATTGCTTGCCCCATGGCCCTCTGCCTAGGCAATAGAGCAAGACTCCTTCTCTTAAACTAAAAATAAAAATTTTAAAAGTGTTCATGTTGACAGAATGGAACTAGATTATGGGGCAACTTCAATGTCAGGATAACTTTTCACTTATCCTATGGACAATGGGGAACTGTGGTATAATCAGGGTTCAATTACATAAAAGAAAATTTGTAGCCAGGCGCGGTGGCTCACGCCTGTAATCCCAGCACTTTGGGAGGCTGAGGCGGGCGGATCACCTGAGGTCCGGAGTTTGAGACCCGCCTGACCAACGTGGCGAAACGCCATCTCTACTAAAAATACAAAAACAATTAGCCGGGTGTGGTGGCACATGCCTGTAATCCCAGCTACTCGGGAGGCTGAGGCAGGAGAATTGCTTGAACCCAGGAGACGGAGGCTGCAGTAAGCCGAGATCACACCACTGCACTCCAGACGAGGCGACAGAGCGAGATTCCGTCTCAAAAAAAAAAAAAAGAACAATTTGTGATGGCTAGTTTTGGCAAAAAGGGATCTGCTACCTGCATTTAACAGCTCATAAAATTTTTGAGAGGATGAAGAAACAGTGTATTTTGGATTTTCAGGAATAATTCCCAAATGCACATTGAAGAACTAAGCCATTAAGAGGCAGCTGATGTTTCTACAGTTATAAAACAAATAGAAAAATTGGGAAGCTGACATTAATGCTTATGTCTCCAAGATCATACTGACATCATGCAATCAGGAAGCCACCACAATTACAAAGCTGCCACGTTATGGAAATCACTATAAGAATTAAAGAAAGAGGAAAGAAACACAAAAAGTGGCTTGACAGCCAAAGACAGGTTTATTTTAGAGAAAACCCAAGGGGGCTTCTGGCCAAGTTAGGTCAGAGGCACACTCTCTTACAGACTAAGAGTTTTTAAGGATTCAGGGTGGGAGAGTTTATCAGAGGCTTGTACTGCTTCTGTGTCTCTTTGCTGTGCTTATCTGGGAGGAAGACTTGTGTGTCTGTTCCCATACATCTTTCTGCGCTGCAGGCATACTCCCCCGAGTCTGCTTTTAGCTTCCCTATCTTAGTGCACCTGAAGGGAAAGGAACGTGCTTATTAAGGCCCACTGTTTTACTGGGGCCCATTGTATGAGGGTGAAGTTTGGCAGTTACCCAAGAGACTTTCCCCCCACCTCCCTCTGTGCCCAAGCTGTCTTATCTGTTTTACTCTCTGCTCTTTCTGGCTGCTTGTAGTTAGAAGAGAAGTGATTTCCTTGAAATGCATGAGGCTAAAAAGGGAGCTGGAACTTAAAGTGGCAGTATTTGAGATGATGGTGCTCCTGCTCTGTCAGTCACTACCAATAAGAATTCTCCAATGAGTCTGGGTATGGTGGCTCATGTTTAATTCCAGCACTGTGGGAGGCTAGGATAGGCAAATTTCTTGAGGCCGGGAGTTGGAGACCAGCCTGGCCAATATGGTGAAACCCCATCTCTACTAAAAATACAAAAATTAGCAAGGCCATCATTGTTACAGAAGTGATATTAGTAGCTCTGTCAGAACAGTTTAATTTGCTAACCCTTATAACTGTCAGTACAAAGAGTTGCATCTGGGATGATAAGAGCTTTTCCTATTACGTATTTTCAAACTATTTTTGTAGTGGAAAATGTCACTTTTGTTACTGAGGAGTAGTTTTTGGATGCCAGGTAGATACGGGAAACTGGTTTTCATACTAGGTAACTCACAGAATAATGGTAGCTTATTCTATACTTATACAGTAGTGGTGGCACACTACTGTAATCCCAGCTACTCAGGTGGCTGAGGCATGAGACTCGCTTGAACTCGGGAGGCGGAGGTTACAGTGAGCCAAGATGGTGCCACTGCACTCCAGCCTGGAGGACACAGCTAGACTCTGTCTCAAAAAAAAAAAAAAAAAAAAAAAAAAAAAAAGAATCCTCTCAGAGCAGAAAGCCTCCTTACTGCTTCCGGCTCCAGAGCCACACCTTACCTAAAATGATATGATGATATGCACAAGCAAACTGATGTCTGTGACTTGACTATCAACACCCATGAAGCTAGTGATCAGACATTGGGACTTCTGATAACTTTGCCACAGAAAAATTAGATGCCTACAGGCCATACATGCCTTTTTATTGGTTAGAAAAGCCAAAGGTTGCCTGGTGCAGTGGCTCACATCTGTTAATTCCAGCTACTCAGAAGGCTGAGGCAGGACGATTGCTTAAGCCCAGGAGTTTGAGACCAGCCTGGGCAACATAGCCAGACCTCCTCTCAATGAAGTTTAAAAAACAAACAAACAAACAAACAAAAACAAAGGCAGCATAAGAATGAACCCCGCCTCCCTTCTGCCTTGCCAATCATGTTGAATGCTTTTCAATCTTAGCTGCAAAGAAGTCTGAAAAATGTAGATTTTATCTTTTTAGCCTCTGCAATAAACAAAAGCACACTAGAAGGGTTTGGAATGACGGTAAGCACCAATCCACCTTATTCCCTAAGGAAGGCATGAAGGATGAGAAATAAAAGAGAAAACATAGACTTAACCTTTGTATACATTGAGTTTGAAATGGTTAAAACTGAATTCATTATCCCTCTACCACCCAAACTATCTCCCCACTCTGAATTTCTAGTTTCTATTAAAGCTACCATTATTCTGTGAGTTACCTAGTGTGAAAACCAGTGTCCTGTATCTACCTGGCATCCAAAAACTATTTCTCAGTAACAAAAGTGATATTTTCCACTGTAAAAATAGTTTGAAAATACATAACTAGGAAAAGTTTTTATCATCCCAGATGCAACTCTTTGTACTGAAAATTATAAGGGTTAGCAAATTAAACTGTTCTGACAGAGCTACTAATATCACTTCTGTAACAATGATTGCCCACCTTTTTTTTCTGTTTCAAAAGACTTAAGGGAAACATTTTCTGAGTAAAAATGGCTCACTGTATCAGTAATTCTCAGGCAAAGGAGTAGGAAGCTCCCTCCATATTGTATGTCTGATAATCTCTGGAGTTGTGGTATTACAATGTGCATTTTCTCCACTGAAAATGCTGCATGTCTGGGTGTGGTGGCTAATGCCTGTAAATCCCAGCGCTTTGGGAGGCCAAGGCGGACGGATCATTTAAGGTAAGGAGTTCAAGACCAGCCTGACCAACATGGTGAAATCTCATATCTACTAAAAATACAAAAAATTAGCCAGGTGTGGTGGTGAGCACCTGTAGTCCCAGCTACTCAGGAGGCTGAGGCGGGAGAATGGCATGAGCCTGGGAGGCAGAGGTGGAAATGAGCTGAGATCATGCCACTGCACTCCAGTCTGGGCGACATAGCAAGACTCAGTCTCAGAAAAAGAAAAGAAAAGAAAAGAAAAAGAAAATGTGGCTTAACTCTATCAATAGTAATAAAAAATTTACTCATAATAAAGATTGTATTGGATTCATACCAGCCATTGATAAGCTATAAGTATTTCACACAATGGTTAAAATTAAAGTTGTATTCTTCAGGTATGAGTTGCAAAAATAAATGTATTCAATTAAAATATCTTAGAAATATACTACCGCAAATTATAATGCATATGGCAATAAATCATCAGTAAGTATTAAGCAAAACAAAGGTCAGAAATGTGGAAGTACTGGAGCAGGGTTGGTTGATTTGATTGATTCAGTACTAATAAATGGATAGAAAAGTATTTTAGAGATCCTCAATTATTGTAAAAAATGTGGATTTTTACTCAGATGACCTTATAACATAGAGGAGTCAATACAGCACTGAGATTTTGGTTTATATGAGTTAAATCTTATACTTCACCCAAAGTTGTTAAGTTATATTTGCCATAAAACCTGATTTGTAACAATCTTCTGTGACACAGATGCTACTGATGGCTGTAATGTTGGGCTCCAATAGTTTAATAGTAACATGATTGTTCTACAAGGCAACACAAGAATCATATGTCAACCAATGGTCACATATATCAGAAAAAAGGAAACTCCTGTCACAATGGAAGCTAATAATTCTCCAAACTAGAATCATATTTTTTAGCTAGAAGCTATTCAGTAAATATATGATATTGCAATCTACTTATAACCAACCCCTACTTCAACACAATCTTTCCTTTGGAAAAACTGTTTCTTGTTGATACTCAATGTATACAAATAACTACAACAGGACAAATACTATAAGAAAGAAATCGTGCAAAGTGCTTTGGGAAAGCAGAAATGAGAGTAATAACTTTTTTTTTTGTGGGGGTGAAGAAAGCTTCAGGAAATTAGGAGATGTTCAGAATTAAGGATAGATTCAGCCTGGGTCTTGAAGGACGAGTAGGACATTACCATATAAACAAAGAGAAGGAGGGGCATCTAAGCAGAGTACAGTGACTGAAAAGGTATGAGGAGACAGGGAAGATCATAGGGTATTCAGGCAACTGAGACTAAATGAAATTACCAGAGCAAAGGGTATTTTGAGGAGTTATTATTTAAAAGGGGCCCTGCTATAAAGGACCAACGTGCCATGCTTGAGCCCATTGTTGGTATTCAATAAGTATTTAGTGTTCAATAAAAAATATTTAAAAAGGAATCTCAAAAGCAATGAGAATCCTTTAAAGTCTTTTCAGTAGGGGAATATCTTGATTAGGTTGAATATTAAATGAATCAAAGAAGAAAAAGAGTGGAAACTAGGAGACTACTTAAAAGCCTTTTGCAGCTCTTCAAACAATAAGTCATGTAGTCCATCGCCTCCTTGTATAGGTGAGGAAGCTATGATACCAGAGAAGTCAAGTGGTTTGTTCAAGGTCTCAAGAGCTGGTTAGTAGCAAAATTAGTTTATGCCCTATGTCCAAACATATTTTCTACTATATTTCCTTACCTACAAATTTATTCTTCACTGCCTAAGACTTGAGGTATCTGTAAGAGGATTTCCATTGTAATGGTGCAGTGGTGCAATGACACTAGTCATTGCAGACAGGACTAACTTGTTAATATTGTTTAAGCAAGATTTTTGCATTTTGTAGTCTTTTTCAGGGAGATATAATTTGATTCTTGGTATATTAAGAATGAATTTGACGAACAAATCAGCAGACCAAAGTAACTTACTGTGTCTGATTAGCTGTTTTTAAATTGTTGCTTATATTTTAAAGGCAAAAAAAAAACTAAGTGCTTATTTAACAACAACAAAAAATCCCCTTTACATTTTTTTAGAGGTATTATTTTCTCTCACCTATGAAACTTTCTGACCATAAAGTCAGTGCGTAATCACTGATGATTCCCAGCATTCTTTCTTTATCCTTGCTTCTTTTCATTTTTCAATTCTTAATCCCTCCTTTCACTTCCCCCCTGTATTACAACAACTAACAGCTGCCAAGAAAGTGGATTAGGTCATATATTCAATCAGGAGGTTTTCCTGTTATTCAAGTCACTTTCTTAGTATACCGAAACTAAAAAATAGTTATGGTTTTTGCCTCAAAAAATTCAGTTGGACTTATATTTTATTATTTGAAGGTTGGGTAGCAAGAAGCAGGTCTAAACTTACAAAAGCAAAGCAGTCATTTTGGATCTTCAACTCCCTATTTCTGTCTTGAGCTGTTTTCATTTTGATAATACATCTGAACACTCTTCTCTAACTTACTGATAATCAGTCCGTATTGTTCTACCTCACTTTGTAGACAATTTGTCATCCCATATCTACAGCTGCAGGATCAGTGGGACCCATACTGGTGGAGAAAACCATGCAGTCTCTCCATTAGGAAAGGAGAATCAGACTGAAGACTCCTGACTTGCTTTGATTTCTAATAATAGGCTGGTCTCACTGGGCCCAGGCTGTTCTAAATCTAGAGTAGTTCTGAAATACTGAGTGTGAAATAGGCAATGGTAGAAATTCTTAGGACCCCTGTAAGACAAATCAAAATTCCTTCTAGTATTCTTTTCTCCCATCATTTCCTGCACTGTGCTACGCCAAATCCAATCTCTTAAGGACCATTTCCTACATGCAACCATTGAGTGCACTTTGGCCCCAGTATAGCTTTATAAATCTCACTAGATAACTGTGGGAAGTCCATCCATGAATCATAGTATCAATGGTCTGCAGCTCAGAAAGCACAAAAGAACAAAATAAAAGTTTGAAAACTTACAGCTTTCTCTGCCAGATATTTTTTTGCCAAATATCTTAGACTCCTTTGTGTTGCTGTAACAGAATGCCACAGACTGGTAATTTATAATGAACAGAAATGTATTTCGCTCATGGTTCTGGAGTCTGGAAGTCAAAGAACATGGCCAGCATCTGATGAGGACCTTCATGCAGCATCATTCCATGGCAGAAGATAGAAGAGCAAGAGAGGATGATAGCATGTGAGAAAGTGCCAAACTTGATTTTATAAAAAACCCACTTCCAGGCCAGGTGCAATGGCTCACACATGTAATCCCAGCACTTTGGGAGGCCACAGCAGGAGAATCGCTTGAGCCCAAGAGTTTGAGACCAACCTGGGCAACATAGGGAGATACTGTCTATACAAAAAATGAAAAAGTTAGCTAGGAGTGGTGGCGCGTGCCTTGTAGTCCCAGCTACTTAGGAGGCTGATGTGTGAGGATTGTTTGAGCCTGAGAGGTCAAGGCTGCAGTGAGCTGTGATTGCACCAGTGTATTCCAGCCTGGGCAACAGAGCAAGACCCTGCCTCTGAAAAAAGAGAAAGAAACCCACTCCCACAGCATTAATTAATTCATTCATTCATGAGGGCAGAGGCCTCATGACTTAATCACCTTCTAAAAGTCCCATTTCTAAACACTGTTGCATTGGGGATTAAGTTTCTAACACATAAGTTTTGGAGGACACATTCAAAACATAGCACTAAATATTCATTGGGAACTCATGTACTTGGAATATCTACTGGCAAAAAAAAAAAAAAAAGAAAGAAAGAAAAAAGAAAAAAATTCCATATTCCGTGTTCCCATAATTGTGGTTTATATTTAGTGAAGCATCAAATGAGCATGAGATACAACTATTTTTTTTATTTACACAAAACTTGACCCTAAAATATTTAACCAACAGAAGTAGTACTAATAAAATTATTCTATGAAGTAATTTTTAATGAAGCTGAGTTTATTCAAGTCATGTCTTCTGCAAATAAAAATGGACACCAATAAACAAAAACAAAGATAGAAAGAATAACTGTGTTCTTGATATCTCCCCTAAAGTTCACAATCTCTACACCTGTTTCTTTCATCTTCTGGTGATGTTAATCTTCTGTTTATTTTGCGCTTTAAATCTAAGCACATGTGGATTACCCAGAGATTGCCCTCTGAAAGTCAGTCTACACCTGTTCTTTCTTACCTCACAAAAAGTAATGGAAAAAAAAGTGTGTGTGTGTGTGTGTGCGTCTGTGTGTGTGTGTGTCCTGTTGGTGGTAGTGTTGGTGGTTAAAAAGCAATTTGGGACTTCCTCTTTGAACAGTTGCCTTTTCCTCTCACAGAAGGAAGATTTCATTTTGTTTGAGACGAGAAACCAAACCACACACCAAAGAGAGGGGTATGATGGCTAAGAAGCCCCCAAAACCAGCCCCTCGCAGGATCTTCCAGGAAAGGTTAAAGATTACTGCTCTACCTTTGTACTTTGAAGGTTTTTTATTAATCAAGCGGTCAGGATACCGGGTGAGTCTATAGATGATAATGTTAAACCTAAGACTTCTGTTTTAATTTAATATTTATTTCATGGTGATGTGATGTGTTAAGACCTCCTTGTTTCTGTTGAAATTAAATCATCTTCTCTTCTTTGAGCTCAGAAAAATGATTCCAATTTTTCATAATTTAAATACAATGTCTGGCTTAAACCTGTATGTATACACATATATAATATGTATAATAACAGAGGTTGTAATATTAAGGCACTAATATAAAAAAGTCAATAAGCTAAATTTCCAAAGAATTTATTTAAATATCACAAAAGATTTTGGCTTGGGAGATAAAATGTTTCTTGTATTTTCTCCACAATTTATTGCTATGCTTCAATGATGACATGTACCATTAAGATAAAATGATATCATGATTAAAATTAAACCTGCTCCTGTTCTGAGTCATTTGAAGTTTATAATGATCAAATTATTAAAAATGGCTTTTGTAAAAATTGTTAAAATGACAAAGTTCATACTGTTTAACATTATATATAGTTATGTGTTCTAAAATACTATTCAAGATAGTGACTTTTAATTTTTGGGGTACTACTGTGGGTATTAAGTACACTAAGCTACATAAATACCTTTGCTCTAAGAAAATCCATGAAGCATTCTGTATTTTTAAATGTAATAATTAAAACTTATAGTTAGTTAAAATCATTACTTTTAAAACAGTAATTATGGATGACTTGAAATTAATTAGAGAAATAAGCCCAAAATTGCCTGTTATTAAATAAAAAAATCATTAAGTTAGGTCAAATTTTATGAAATTGTATACTGACTAAAACTAGAAAAATTTTAAGGTTTTCAGAAATTCCATCAGAAATGTTTAATGATGCTAAAATATATTTTCTGAGGATTTATGAATACTTGTGGAAAAATTATATATATGAAAAATCTATAATAGCATATTCACATTTCTTACATATATAATCAGATCATTTACTATTTGAGAGTAAAGACATGGTAATTTGTATTCTGTTATGGATGTTAAACATGCATAAATAATTACCTTTCAGTTATATTAGAATTTTTTAGATTGATCCTATATGCTTTTAATGTAAATTCAATCTTGTCACCACAGGTAAGCCACATAGTCACACTTTGCCAGGAAAGGGAAGTTGAGAAAAAAAAATTCTAATTAGTAATTTAAATCAGGTTGTTCATTGAATGTTTTCCAAGGTATTTATAATAACTGTTTATGATAGCAGTTTTTTTTAAATGCTTAAAGAAGACATGTCATTGGTATGGTTAGCAGAAAGAATAAGAATTTTAGAGTGTCCTTTATCTGATGGTTTTGCCACTTATAGCTTGTGATCTTGTGCAAGTTACTCAATCTCCTTGAGACTGTTTCAACTATAAGATAGAGAGTATACTACTTGCTACTTGCCTCCTAAGGTACATTCTAGGATTCAGTAGGTGTTCAATCAATTTATTCACTCAACATTTATTGTGTGCCTCCTATGCACCAAGCATCACTCATTTCTGGAGAATATGGAAAAAAACACAAAGATTTTATTTTCAAGAGGCTTAATATAGTAGGAATGATGTCTTCCTTACCAAATTTCTACTCTTTACCTTCTCTTAGAAAGCATTCTTTGAAGCAGAATGAATACCTATAGGCATAAATATTTCCAATGAAATTAACTTGTGTTTCTATTTGAATTTATAGTAAAGTATCTTTGTGTGTGTGGGTGTGTGTCTGTGTGTGTGTGTGTGTGTGTGACAGTGTCTCCTCTGTTGCCCAAGCTGGAGTGCAATGGTGCAATCACTAGTCATGCAGCCTTGACATCCCCGGCTCCGGTGATTCTCCTGCCTCAGCCTCCTGAGTAGCTGGGACTACAAGCGCATACCACACCCGGCTAACGTTTGTATTGTTTATAGAGACAGGGTTTCATCACGTTGTTCAGGTTGGTCTCAAACTCCTGGGCTCAAGCAACCTGCCCACCTTGGCCTCCCAATGTGCTAGAATTACAGGCATGGGCCTCTGAGTTAGACCACTAAGTACCTTTTACTTGTATGTCAGGGAGAAGAGAGCAAGAGGATGACAATAATACCTACTTATGTGGTGGTTTCAGGGATTAAAGGGATAGCATATGTAAAACACCTGGCTCACACTAAAGGTTAGATTCATTCTCTTACCCTTTCATCACTTATCATACTCTTATTCAGGTACTAAAATTAGTTTGAGGTCTGCAAGTAATATGACTCCAAGGAGAGTGAGCATGGTGATAATTAGAGTACTTGAAAATAGAAGCTATGAGAAAAATCTAAGCAAAATAAGTGGAATTTCCAAGCAATTGGCAGCAAAGTGCCAGGGAATCTTTGAACAGAAGGTGAGCCAAAGGTATATAGCCAAGTAATCTTTGGAGCTGATTGGCTAGAGGAAGGTGAGAGGCTCTGCAGAATGTAAAGTTGGGTCTCTGCCAAAGTCATTCAGAACATTTAAACTAGAAAAAATATAACTGAAGAGTAACCTGGTCTATAAAGGCATGAAATGCTGAGAGGTGCTTCTTAGCTATTTTTTGTGGGGCACTTTTAAGTATTTAAAGAGCTTTTCCCCAGGAAAATGTAACAACGTATACCATTTTGCATGCAATTCTAGAAGGTTTCTAAATCTGAGGTCAAGAACCCATGAAAAACACATAATCTTTATGGAAAAGATAATGTGGGAAGATTTATTTAAGCCACAGCACTAGGATTCTGAATTAACCAGGAAGATGTGTTTATTATCAAAGCTGTTAAATGCCACAGTGGAATACCATTGGCATCGCAGTTCTTACAAATGGGAAAATTTCTCATTTTTTCTGGGACCGTTTGAAAATAAGAGAGAGTGTGGGTGGGCCGGGAGCGGTGGCTCATGCATGTAATCCCAGCACTCTGGGAGGCCCAGGTGGGCGGATCACGAGGTCAGGAAATGGAGACCAACCTGTTCAACATGGCGAAACCCCGTCTCTACTAAAAATACAAAAATTAGCAGGGCATGGTGGCACGCACCTGTGGTCCCAGCTACTCGGGAGGCTGAGGCAGGAGAATCACTTGAACCTGGGAGTCAGAGGTTGCAGTGATCCGAGATCGCGCCACTGCACTCCAGCCTGGCAATAGAGCGAGACTCTGTCAAAAAAAAAAAAAAAAAAAAAAAGAAAGAAAGAGAGAAAGAAAGAAAAGAAAAAGAAAGAAAATAAGAGATAGTTTGGGCAACGTCTCATAATTTCTTCAATCTGTGATGTGCTAAAGTAAAAAAAAAAAACAGTGTGTGTGGGCCGGGCCCGGTCCCAGCTATTCGGAAGGCTGAGGCAGGAGAATCGCTTGAATCTGGGAGGCGGAGGTTGCAGTGAGTCAAGATCGTGCCACTGCACTCCAGCCTGGGTGACAGAGCGAAACTCCGTCTCAAAAAAAAAGGAAATTTTTTAGGGCTGTCTAAGTTGTGCTCACACACAGTTCTCTATGGCAGTAATCTCCAAATTTTAAAATAACACACTCCTTTCAGGAAAACATTTTGAGCACAGATCCCTAATATAAGAATATTAATTCAGCCGGGCGTGGTGGCTCACGCCTGTAATCCCAGCACTTTGGGAGGCCGAGGCGGGCGGATCACGAGGTCAGAAGATTGAGACCATCCTGGCTAACAAGGTGAAACCCTGTCTCTACTAAAAAAAAAAAAAAAAAAAAATTAGCCGGGCGAGGTGGTGGGCGCCTGTAGTCCCAACTACTCAGGAGGCTGAAGCAGGAGAATGGCGTGAACCCAGGAGGCGGAGCTTGCAGGGAGCGGAGATTGCGCCATTGCACTCCAACCTGGGCAACAGAGGGAGACTCCATCTCAAAAACAACAAAAAAAGAATATTAATTCATTTGGAAATTATAAATATATATATTCCCGTACTATTAATCCATGTAAATTATTTGATATATAAAAAATGAATTAAGAAATATGAAATAAAATATAATTAAATATTCTAAAATTTTCTCTCCCAATGGATCATCTTGCACACCTTTGGAATTTATGCATCCCATTTTGGAGACCACTATACAACATTCTTCCTTAGGTAAATGTACTTTACTTGCGCACAAAAACAAAGAATGAGAGCTTTTTATTGGGGACAGAGGAAGAGAAACTTAACTGGAGCTTGCATTGTAATTCATTTTTGCTAGTTAATTCATTTTTGCTAGTTGTATTAATGAGAAAAGAGCACTGGGAAGTCAAGAGATAAAAGTATCAGTCCAATTCTAGAATTTGGGCGATTCCTTCACATTTTTAAATCTGTTCTCTCCTTTCTAAAAAGAATAATTACTCTCTTGCATAGCTGAATAGGTTGCTCCAATGACTAAGTGGACTATATAATAATGAATGCAACCTTTTGAGGTATAACATATAATGGATCCCATTCTAGGCTCTTAGTGTTCTGTCACTGTGATCCTTACAGTAACTCTTCTGGGTAGAAATTATTTTATTCACTTCACAAATGAGTGAGTAGGTGAGGCATGCTGGCTCATCCCTGTAATCCCAGCACTTATGGAGGCCAAGGCAGGAGGATTGCTTGAGGCCAGGAGTTGGAGATCAGCCTAGGCAATATAGCGAAACCCCATTTCTACAAAATCAAAAAATTAGCCAGGCGTGGTGGCACACCCTGTATTCTCAGGTACTCGGGAGGCTGAAGTGGGAGGATCACTTGAACCCAGGAGTTCGAGGCTGCAGTGAGCTATGATTGCATCACTGCACCCCAGCCTGAGCAACAGAGCGAGACCCTGTCTCTCTAAAACAACAACTCCAAATAAACAAATGAGTGAGTTCTGGCCACAGAGGTTATTCAAGGTTCCTCTTCCATTAAGGAGGCTAGCTTGGATTTGATTGTGATGCACTTGACCATGCTGCTTCTCAAACTCAAATTCTACCATTTGATTGTAGGTTTCCTAGTTAAGCTAGTGATAAATTCAGAAGTCTTATTTCAGCCTCTTTTCTTACATCAATGATTTCACACAAACGATTGTTAAAAAAAAAAAAAAAGAAATTTGTGCTTCATTCCAAAGATATGTCCTTCCAAATTAATTTTTTTAATTTTTAAGTATTTCTCTAGATATGAATAGGTACCTAGATGTTGTTTATTGAGATTGATATTTATAAATGACTCAGATTCTATGTGTATTTATTACATCTTATCGAAATGAAATCAAGATTGTGACCTGTAAGTCTCTGCATACTGAATATAAGTTTGGTCTGTCCTTAGGTTTGCAGCTGTGGTTGCAGTTCACATGGTCTAATGCTATTTGTAACCTTACTTTTCCTCCAGGGCTGCCTTTGCTTTCAACTTAGTGCCTTTATACTTGCTTTTCCCCCCATTTAATAAATCCTTAATCCTTTCCACAAGTATATACGTTTGCTTACCTGTAAAACTCCCATTTTTCCCTATTTAACTTTACCCAATTCATATCATTCTTTTGAGACTGAACACCTCTACAATTTTTCTCGATAGTGCAATGGAGGTCTGCATGTACATACAGAGGGAATTCAATAAACCTTTACTGGCTATCAGTAATACTAGTTTTTATACCTTATGGCAGGGTAATACTGTAGTTATGAGGCTGATTAGGACGATGAACAGAGTGGTAGGCTTTGACTTCAGGGTTTTCTCTTGTATTTTTTTCCTCCAGGAATCATACAATCCTGGAGTTGGACTAGATCTTAGAAGCCATACTTTAGTAAAATTGCACAAATGACACTTTGGGAGCCTGAGGCGGGTGGATCACTTGAGGTCAGGAGTTCGAGACCAGCCTGGCCAACATGGTGAAACCCTGCCTCTACTAAAAATACAAAAATTAGCCAGGCATGGTGGCATGTGCCTGTAATCCCAGCTACTTGGGAGGCTGAGGTGGGAGAATGGCTTCAACCTGGGAGGCAGAGGTTTCAGTGAGCAGAGATCAAAATCACACCACTGCATTCCACCCTGGGTGACAGGAGACTCCATCTCAAAACAAACAAACAAACAAACTACACAGATGATAAAGTTCTCAGAACAATATGCATTTCTCTACATTCCCATCTCCTCCTGCACTGTTCCTCACCTGCTTCCCAGCTCCAAAAAACAGGAGAGCCTTGATTTACTCCTTTCATTGCAGAGGCTTACCATTAATGCAGGGTGGGGAAGCCTTAAAAAGAGTTGGTCGGATAAGCAAAGAAACAAAACAACTTGCAAGATAAATTTTAATTATTTTGTTATGTAATTATAGGTCAGATTGAGAAAGTACAAGTATTTTTTAACAGAGTGAAAAAAACTAGTCACTCCCATATGGTTTTTTACAGAATGGCTATCTGATCGCAGTGCTAGTATATATTAGCAACTTCTCAAGCCAGATTTCTAAATGGATTTTTAAACCTCTTTATTTAAGAAAACATGAAAGGGTGATTTTACATAGGAATGACAATGGGTTTCATTATTCTGGTTTAGAAAATATTTCCTCCTTCTCATACATATTACCATTGAAGGAGATCTATTTTAGAAATTTTTAGATACTGCTATCACACCCACACATACAAATCACCACATGGAAGAAGTATTATGTGGCTAATAAAAAATGCAAAGTTCTTGCCAATAATGTGAGTGTTGAGGCAATGCTCTTCTTTTTCTTTTCTTTTCTTTTTTTAAAGTGCCTGACATTTATGAAATACTTGCTATGTCCCAGGTCTTAGGTGCTTTACACACATACATTATTAGTCCATTCAATTATTCAACAACTCTATGGAGCAATAGCAGGAGGTGGTGTTGTGTTTATGGGGTACTCCTAGTTTTGGGTACTCCTATTTTTGGTTCCTTAAAGTAAACTCTCATATGGGAGACACAATAATAATTATTATTATTCAGTGTCTTTTGATATATTCACAAACTTATACAACCATCACCAGTATCTAATTCCACAACATTTTCATAATTTCAAAAAGAAGCTCCATGGGCAGTCATACCCACTTCTCTTCCCCCCTCAACCCAACTGCTTTTTTTTTTTTTTTTTTTTTTTTTTTTTTACGAGACAGAGTCTTTCTCTGTCGCCCAGTCTAGAGTGCAGTGGCGCGATCTCTGCTCACTGCAACCTTCGCTTCCTGGGTTCAAGAGATTCTCCTGTCTCAGCCTCCCAAGTAGCTGGGATTACAGGCGCCCGCCACTACTCCGGCTAATTTTCATATTTTTAGTAGATACAGGGTTTCACCACGTTGGCCAGACTGGCCTCGAACTCCTGACCTCAGGTGATCTTCCCGCCTCGGCCTCCCAAAGTACTGCGACGACAGGCATGAGCCACCGCGCCTGGCCCTCTTCCCTCTTTTTTACATTTTTTATATACTCTTTTATTAGAATTTTTCTTCTCCCAAGTTTGAAACCAGCCAGACACAGAAATCACACAAATGAAGATCAGTTAGTTACTTTTATTATTGACAAATTATCAATGTGCAGTTTAGATTTAAGGCCAAAACTGTGCTTATATTTTACTCCAGATTTGGGTAGCCTTGAGCTACATCAAGTCACTGACTCAGATTAAGAGCCACAAGCTGAACCTCTTGGAGGCCCTTTGCCACATGGCAGGGAACAGAGCAGTACACTCACTCTCTCCTGGTAGACTGAGCTGAGAGAGGACAGGAAGGGGCTGAGCTGAGCTTGCTGCCTCCCAAACACACCTATTAGATACTCAGTCCTACTCTCTGCAAAGGAAATAATTCACCCTGGCAGTACTGAGCAGAATAGATTCGAAAGTAGGTTGGACACGGTAGCTCATGCCTGTAATCCCCGCACTTTGGGAGGTTGAAATGGGCAGATCACTTGATGTCAGGTGTTAGAGACCAGCCTGCCCAACATGGTGAAACTCCGTCTCTACTAAAAATATAAAAATTAGCTGGGAATGATGGAACATGCCTGTAGTCCTAGCTACTGGGGAGGCTGAGGCAGGAGAATTTCTTGAACCCAGAGGGGAGCAGGTTGCAGTGAGCCAAGATCACGTCACTGCACTCTAGCCTGGGCCACAGAGTGAGTGAGACTTCCATCAAAAAATAAAATAAAATAAAAATAGAGTAGATTAATAGATTAGAAAGTATAAGAAAGTGGTAGAAAGACAGGTAAAGGGATACTGTTATAGCAATAACACTTTACATCCTATATAAAAAGAAGGAAAGAAAAGACTTTGGATGGGGTTGAAATTAAGATGTGTTTTCTTGTCATTAAACTGCTTGACTGAGACGTATCAGGTATATATTGGGCATCTGGATTTCAGACAAGAAAGAGAATCTCTTTGCCTAGTTTTATAACTACTTCTTTGAGGACCATTTATTGGCTGATCCTTCAATAATATGCCCTTTTGAATTGTTCTTTTCTATGGTAATTTGTTCCTTGGTTCAAGAGGCATCAGCAGGTTCATTGCATGTTATAACCAGTTCTCAACTGGGGGGAGGATAGAGTGAAAACACAGCAGGGCTTGAACAAAGATACCTTGTCCCAAATTCCAATGTGCCCCTGAGGTTGATTGCTGCAGTCACACTACCAATTTGTTCAAGTCTTACTGTATGTACCTCTCTTTGAAATATGACTTTTCTGCTCATCCTATAAAGAGGCTGAATCTATTTCTCTAATCTTTATTTTATGTTTCAAAATTGAACTTACAGCAAACAATAATTTTCTAGCCTTTGAATCTGGATTGGGTTATGTGACATGTGTTGGTAAATGTGACACAAGCAAAGTCTTAGAATAAGCTTGCCCATTGGGTTTTGCTCTCTCTTGTTCCTGGTAATCCTTCTGCCAGCATGTGTCAAGTCTAGGCTAGCTGACTGGATAAAAGAATGGATAGAGTGAGACTCCAGTTGTCCCTCCCTTCCCAGTCATTCCTGCCTTCCCAGCTAAGACCCTAGACAAGTAAGTGAGGCCACCTTAGACCATTCAGCCATAGCCAAGCAAGCCCAGATCAGAAAGGCCGTCAGCCAACCATAGAATGGTGAGAAATAGAAATCATTTGCTTATTTTAGTCCACTAAGTTATAGGGTGACTTGTTACATGGGAGAAGCTAACTCATATATTATCTTATTAGGCATGAAGACAAAGAAAGAAAAGAGTTCTACCAAGAGCATAAGAAAAAAATGGTGATTGTAGTTCAAAATGAATTTAATCTTGAGCTTCCTGGTAGCCAGGGAATTAAAAGCAAAATTGAGTTATAGAGTCGTCATTATTTGAGAAAATAAGCATATAAATTCTGAAGAGTCGACAAACATTTTACTGGTTAAAAAACATAAAGGATATGTTAATATTGAAGAGACACAAAATACCATAAGACAAAGTATCTTCACATGCACAATAAAAGAGAAAACCCTTTATATAACTTTCTTATATTAATCGCCAATATCATGATGGTTCAATAAGTTGTAAAACATCAGCTTATCAAACCATAAAGGAAGGAATGATTAACATGTTTATTAAAATAACAGGAATTTTTTTAAAACACACTTTTGGGAAAAGCTGCATATGAAAGTAAATCTTTAGATGTGAAAGGATTTTATTTTTAAAACTTACTTGCCATTCTTTTGTAATATAGTCACTCTTCATATTTATTTAAATAAACTTAATTGAATGAAATGGGAGTTTAACTAGGTTATTTAAATATTTTAAACTTCAAAAGTCATATTTCTGTAGAATCTAGAGTAATATGAATGTATTAATAATTAAATATTCACCACATCAATAAGATTTGGATTTTAAAGTTCAGCTTTGATGGTGTTCAATTATCAATTTCTCACATTTTCTTGATCTGTCAATAATATATACTATTTACTGAACCCCAGCTATGAGCCATGTACTCTGCTAAGTGCTTTACATGTATTAATTCATTAAATTATTTCATCTGTCCTAGAAGGTAGATATTATATGCTTTTCCTATGCTGGGCCCTTCACTGGTCCATCTGACATGCGTAGGCTTCCACTGAAATTGCATAAAAAGTCTTAAATCAATGAGGAAAGTTTTAGAAAATGAACTACTTAAACACAAATCAAATTACAGTGATGAGTCACTTAACAATGGGGATATATTCTCAGAAATGCATTGTTAGGTGATTTCATCATTGTGTGAACATCACGGAGTATACTTATGCAACCATAGATGGTATAGCCTATTACACACCTAGGCTATATGATATAGCCTATTGCTTCTTGGCTACAAACCTGTATAGCATGTTATTGTATTAAATACTGTAGGCAATTGTAACACAATGATAAGTATTTGTTTATCTAAACATATCTAAACATAGCAAAAGCAGAGTAGAAATATGGTATAAAAGAAAAAATGGTATACCTGTATAGGGCACTTACCACAAATGGAGCTTGCAGGACTGGTAGTTTCTCTGGGTAAGTCAGTGAGTGGTAAGTAAATCTGAAGGCCTAGAATATCATCAGATACTACTGTAGACTTTATGAACACTGTACACTCAGGCTACACTAAGTTTATAAAAAATGTTTTTCTTTTTCATTAACAAATTCATCTTAGCTTACTGTAACTATTTTACATTATAAACTTGTTTAATTTTTGACTCTTTTGTAATAACATTACCTTAAAACAAAAACACATTGTACAGCTCTGCAAAAATATTTTATTTCTTTATATCCTTATTCTATAAGCTTTTTCTATTTTTAAAATTCTTTATTTTATTTTTTTTTACTTTTTAAGCTTTTTGTTTAAAACTAAGACACACATACATTAGCCTAGGCCTACGCAGGGTCAAGATTATCAATATCATTATCTTCCACCTTCATATCTTATTCCATTTTGTGTGTGTGTGTGTGAGATGGAATCTCGCTCTGTCGCCCAGGCTGGAGTGCAGTTGCATGATCTTGGCTCATTGCAACCTCTGCCTCCTGGGTTCAGGTGATTCTTCTGCTACAGCCCCCTGAGTAGTTGGGATTACAGGTGCACGTCACAATGCCTGGCTAATTTTTGTATTTTTAGGTAGAGATGGGGTTTTGCCATGTTGTTCAGGCTGGTCTGGAACTCCTGGCCTCAAGGGAGTCGCCCACCTCAGCCTCCCAAAGTGTTGGGATTACAGCGTGAGCCACCAGGCCCAGCCCCAGTGGATGGCCTTTAGGGGTAATAACATGCATGGAGCTGTCATCTCTATGATAGCAATGCCCTCTTTAGAAATACCTCCTGAAGAACATGCTTGAGGCTGCTTCACTGTTAGTTATGTTTTTTCAAAGTAGAAGTAGTATACTCTAAAACAATGATTAAAAAGTATAGTATAGTAAGTACATAAACCAGTAACATAGTCATTTATTAATCATTAACAAGTATTATTTACTGTACATAATTATATGTCCTATATTTTTGTTTGACTGGAAATGCAGTAGGTTTGTTTGCCAGCAT
The DNA here is from genome assembly GCF_000001405.40 of Homo sapiens. Taxonomy (NCBI): domain Eukaryota; kingdom Metazoa; phylum Chordata; class Mammalia; order Primates; family Hominidae; genus Homo; species Homo sapiens. The sequence goes on from NC_000004.12 coordinate 67,570,326, forward strand.
CACCACAAACACCTGAGTCATGCATTGTGCTACAACATTATTGACAGTTGATACGAATTTTTCAGCGCCATTGTATCTTATGGGACCACTATCATATAGGCGGTTTGTCATCCACCAAAAGATCTTTTTGTGGCACATGATTGTATATCCTTATCTGAAATGTTATACTAAAATAAACTTGAGAATGATTTAATCAAGTGGTGGCATGGGCCTGTAGTCCTAGCTACTCTGGAGGCTGGAGTGGGAGGATTGCTTGAGCCCAGGAGTTCAAGGCTGCAGTGAGCCATGATTGTACCACTACGCTCCAGCCTGGGTAACAGAGCAAGACTCTGAAAAAAGAAAGAAAAGAAAAGAAAAAGAGAGAAGGAAAGAAAGAAAGAAAGAGAAAGGAAGGAAGGAAGGAAGGGAGAAAGGAGGGAGGAAGAAAGGAGGGAGGGAGGAAGGAAATAAAATGTTAAGCCAGGTATGGTGGCATATGCCTGTAGTCCCAGCTACTTGGAGGGGAAGCTGAGGCAGAAGAATTGCTTGAGCCTAGGAGTTGGAGAGTCCAGCCTGGGGGACATATTGAGACCAGAGAACCTATCTCAAAAAATGAAAAGAATTAAATGTAAAATTAAGCTATAAAAATTAGAATTATCCAGGATAAAGAAGACTTCTTATATCACACAAGCAATTAAGAAAGTTACAAAGGATAATATTATTAGAAAAATAGTTGAATATACACTAATGAAATAATGTTTATGGTTTCTTTCCCACAGGAGTATGAGCATTACTGGACAGAGTTGAGAGGAACTACTCTTTTCTTTTATACCGACAAAAAGAGTATAATAGTAAGTAAATATGTTGAGCTGATTCCATTGTTTCCCAATATACCCTTGTCACATAGCATATTATTCATTTTGGATTTTCTGCCATCCAAGAATAAAGATGCTCTGGTAAAATTAATTCAAAAAATAAAGTTTAAATCTGTGGGGGCCGCCAATGATCACAGGAACGATGGTAAATTTTCCTGGGCAATTCCGAAGAAGATATTGACTCATGTTTTTTACTTTTCATTATTTTCTTTCTGATTCTGATAACTAAACTTAGTTAAAAAGTGAAAATTTTTGACAAGACATCTGCACATATATTGCTTAATACCAAGTGATAGCTTCAATTTCTCCCACTTTTTATCTTGCTGTAGCATGCAGTTATAATTGGAAAGGAACAAAATGATCTCCAGAGCATGCAAAGCCATTATTTAATTTTTCTGAAAAGACAAAAACATATTCACAAAGCAGGACTTCTAAAGGCTTAAACATGAGAATAACAATAAAGGGATTCTGAGGTTTATTTATTCATATTAATTTCAAATTTTGATTGTATGTTTCAGTTCTTCCAGGAATAAGATATAGTATTTTAGTGGCAAATGCTTACCTACCTTGGAACACTATAAGAGACTTTATGAGCCAGTAACTTGATTAAATATAAACATTCTGGATCTGGATATAGTAGCCCATCTAATAATTAGAACATCATTATTAGAAGCCAACATCTAATGAAAGAGACAGAAAAATAACCTGTGTAATGTAGAATGTTTTCAAATGCCATAATAAATTTTACAAAATTAATTTCTCTTTTGTGCATTCCAATTTCCCACTGATGTCAGTAAATGTAAAAGAGCTTTTATTCTAACCTTTTCTATTGCACAGTAAGTGAGAGAGCTAACAATTTTTGCTCACTTACTACATGGCAAGAGGCAGTAAAGCTTAATAATCGAGAGCCTGGTCTCTTCAGACAGCCTGCCTGGGTGTTTGTCCTAGCCCTGCCACTGTTAACTGCAGAATCTTGGGCCAGTTACCCCACCTCTCTGTGTCTCAGTGTTATCAGACAGGAAACTGGTAGGAAACAGAAGACATCTCAAATTGGGCAATTTGAAGAGAATTTAATAAAGTTTTAATAAATATGCAAAGCAGTGAACAGGGTGTAGGAAAATTACAAAGATAGTACAGAATCCTGAGGTTAAAACAGTGTTCATTACCATGCCTAGGACTCAGAGGAAAGAGTGGGAAAGTAGTGTGAATTGTATGGAGATGACTGCCTTAAGGAGAGTATGATCTTTGACTGAGGGAGCAACTGCTTATGGTAATAAATACCCACCCTCACTCTTCTGATCTCCTGCCACTGTTCTCCAGTGGTCCAACCCAATAGGAACTCAAAGGGTACGGAGCCCCTTGATGTTGTCCATACAGGTCTCTCTCCTGCCGCAGAGTGTTGGGTGGTGAAGGAATAAAAGTGAATCTAAAAGAGCAAACAAAAGATCTCCAACACAGTCTTCAAATCTCTAAAATCAGAATAAAAATAGTAGTCCATTTTATAAGGTTCTCAAAATAACTAAATGAGATAGTACATGTAAGGACCTAAGAGAGTAGCTGGCACATAGTAAGCATTCAGGCATTTTACATGCATTGCCTAATTTAAGTCTCACAACTCTGCAGAATGGGTGCTATTTTAATTCCGGCTTTATAGATGAGATTAGTGAAGTTTAAAGATTAAGAATTGTACAAGGTTAGATAGGTAATACGAAAGGTACAATCCAGGTCTTGCTCCTAAGCCAGCCTTCTTCATCACCATGCCATGAGGAAATTGTTCTAGTGAAATGTCTCAGAATTGCCCATCTACCAATTTTTGTTAAGAGTATACAGACCTTTTGGGAACTTTTTAAAGTGATAGTCTCAGAAGAAAGCACTGGGATAGACAAGGTGAGAAGTGTAGATTTTTGTCTTACAAAAGGGAAGAATTTAAAGCTGGCTTTAAATATTTGAAAGGCTGTCAGGAAGTCGTGTGAAAGGGTCACTGAATTTGTTTCATGTTATTCCAGAAAGAAGAGATTAGGACAATGGATGAAAATTGGAGGAAAGTTGTGGCTTAATACAAGAAAAAACTTGCTAGTAGGCAGAGGTGCTCAGGAGGCATGAGTTCCATGTTAGAGATGTTTGAACACAGACTGGATGACTAATGAAAGGATACCCTGGCAGAGATGCCATCAGATGTCAGTGAGGTTAGACAGATGACCTTTAAGCCTCTTCACAAGATACAAATAAAAACAAAAAGATATGACTTCCTTTCCTCTAATCAATGGATCAGGCTACTGCACTCTAACTAACTGCCACCTCTTCCTCTGTTGCTTCCTCCTTTGTTGCAGCAAAACTCACTGAGCTTGATCTAGACAATCCCTCAGAAAAAAGATTTCTGTTTAATTTTAGATTCTTTCTTCCTTTGAACCTCCCTTCCATATTTTTTGAATGTATTTATTTTTAAAATTGACATATAAAATTGTTTATCATGATGTTTTAAAATATATATACATTGTGGAATGGTTAAATTGAAAATAACTAGGCCAACTCGAACTTTCTCTCAAACTCATCAATATAGAAATAGCTTTGGAAAAAAATTATATACCTATTTTTATGTCCTACTTTACTCAGAAAAATAAGACTTACAGATATACAGTAAAATAAGTCATATTGGCTACAATTGAAAGAAACATAAAAGGAGATAAAAAGAACTCAAGAATGAGGCTAATTTAGTAAAAATATATATATCATAAAAACCCTACTATACTTACTACAGGTAGTTCTTTCTACTACTAGAAGGCAAGCCCGTTGCATATAGAGAGTGGAAATTGACCAATTTCTCAGAAGAAATATTTTTATTATACTTGGATAGGATAGGAATTTCTTAATAGGATTGCCATAATCAGTGGTGTGCAGTAAATGCTGAATAGCTTTCTGGAAAAAAGTATGAATATATATATACATAAACTTGTTATAAATATTACTGATATGAACAATGTATAGTACACAATTAGAAAAATACACAATAGTCTTTATTGTAATGTCCATACAGACAATTGATTCTCACAGAATGCTTTCCTTGATTTTTGCCTAACTCTTGCATTGGTAACCAACTGTCAATGTAATTCGATCATAATTTGACAAATGGAGATTTAAATGGTATTTAAATCTGCTCTTTCCATAATAAATTTATTATCATTAAATATGATATTTGACATGAATATTTTCTAATATTTTCATTTACATTAATGAGTAAAAAGAAAGTAAAATGATGTATGTCAAAACATCATGTATGTATTAAAATCAATAAATGTGAGCAATTTCTTTGCTGAATTAGATAATAGTTTTTGAATTCTGGAAGAATATTTTGTCAATTTTTGTTCTATTTAGAGTGAAACAGATTCAGACACAACAAACCTATCTCATCTGCATATTAACATTTTTTCCTTTACTTTTTAAAGCCTACACCAAGGGCCAATAATCTGGATGATGGGCCAAATCTGGCCTATGGCCTGATTTTCTTCAGTTTTTGAGCTAAGAATGTCTCTATATGTTTAAAGTGTTTCTAAAGAAAAAAACAAAAACGAAGAATGTACAACAGGCTGTATGTGTGCCTGAAGTATGGTACTGTTTGGCCTTTTGCAGAAAAAAAGTGCTGCCCCTGGACATCAACAAAATAATAAATCAAGCTTGATTTGTAAGGTTTACCAATTTGCATGGTGTAAAATACTCTCACTGTGGCTGATTTCAACCTAACAGTATGACCTCACGGAGCATGTAGTTGGGAAGAAAAGCACAGTAGCACAGTATTATATGGTATTTTCACCATCCAGAAATGAAGATGTAAATAACCTTAAGAACATAGAGAACAGTAAAATATAGAAATAGAATGTAACAAATTTTGTTTTAATTACCTTTGCTTTGAATATAATTTATTTACTGGTATGTTTATATAATTCGATTTTTAAAATAATGGCTGTGTTTAACAACTTGCTTGCAAAATTCCTGAAAATTTAACAATTGGCTTTTGCAAACCTGTGTGAGCCAGGTTCAGCACACCACCACATAATACATTTCCACATGTCCTCTGGGATTAGGAAAACCAGGATATCATACAAAGTACTAATTAGTTGAAAGGAAGATATTACTTATTTTGCTTCCTGCTAGAACTAATGTGTATTACCCATGAAATAATGTAATGTGATCTTCCTTTATCTTTGCAGTATGTTGACAAATTAGACATAGTAGACCTCACATGCCTTACTGAGCAGAATTCAACTGAAAAGAACTGTGCGAAATTCACCCTTGTTTTGCCGAAAGAGGAAGTACAACTGAAGGTGAGCGAGGAGAAACAGTAGTCTGTAAAGGGTTGTGGTTATAAATAACATTCTTCACATCCAGTGGCTGAAGTAAAGAGAAATTGTAAGACAGGCTAAGTCTTACACTTTGTTAATATTTTTGCTTGCGTCTGGCCAAGACCTAGTTTTCTGAATTGGAATTTAAAAAGACGTGTTCACTTGTTTAGCATACAAGCGCCACGAAACCAGATACTCCTGCCCTCTGACAAAGTCAAGGATCCCACCTGGTGTTTGCTAAGGTTGTTCTTGAATCAGCATTCAAAATGAGCCAATAAAAGTCACCCAGTAACCACGGTAATAACATAAAGAGAACAACTTGTATTAAATAAGATATACTCGGAGACTTTTCCTGGGAGATTACTGATTGACCTTGAAAAGCACTGGTCTGAACTTCCGTGTAATAGGAATCGCCTGTACTAAGGAGATCGGACCCCCATCCCCCAACTCAAAACCTATATTTTAAGCAAGCTCCCCGGATGATTTGCAGATATGATAGTGAAGAGCACAAGACTGGTGTCAGATACTTGGGTCTGAATTTGGGCTGTTTTATTAGTTATTCATTCATTGTGATTATAGGCAAGTTACTTACCCTTTTTGTGTCTTTGTTTCTTCACCCGGAAGTAAGTCTCCTCTCAGATGAAACCCCCTCACCAAGGCCTACCTGGAGCACTTTATTACAGTGGCAACGTTTTTCTCCTCTCCTATGCCCCTAGTTGGACTCCTAATCTCTCTTACCCTGCTGTACCTTTAATTTTTCTCATTTCTTTCTTTTCGACACTATAAAATTTACTATTATGTTTATTATTTATCATTCCTTGCTAGACTCTAAACTCCATGAGAACAAGGTTTTTTTTTCGTTCCCTAATATAAACCAGTGTGTAGAATAGTGCTTAGCACTTAAAGGTACTTAGTAAATATCTGTTAAATGAACAAATCTATAAAACAATCAAACAAGCAAAAATAATAAGACCTTTTGCCAAGTTGCCTTGAAGGTTAAATCAAGTAATACCTGTGAAGTGCTTAAAATAGTAGCTACCACTAAAAGTGCTCAAAATATGTTGGCTGCAGTCTTGACCTCCCAGGCTCAAGCAACTTTCTCACCTTAGCCTCTCAAGTAGCTGACACCACCACAACAGGCTAATTTTTTGTATTTTTTGTAGAGACATGGTTTCACCATGTTGCCCAGGCTGTCTCAAACCCCTGAGCTCAAGTGATCCTCCCACCTCAGCCTCCCAAAGTGCTGAGACTACACGCATGAGCTACCAACCCTGACCTGGTATTGTTATTATTAGTAATAACATAGTACTAGTATTTACAGCTAAGAATTGGAAGTTTCTACTATCAAATTTGGTTGTCCTGAATTTAAAGCCAGTCCATTTTAACTGCTAATGGAGAGAGTAACTGTGAATTGACATACTGCAAAAGTAAGTTTTCTAACATTTAATTTTTTTGAGTAAATTTGTACATGTTCATTTGTTTTAAGTAAGCAAACAGATTACAGCTGTATGTCTTCTGACAAAAGAAAATAGTATTGAAATATTTCATAAAAAATACACATTAGTAGTTCTAAGCCAAAAAAAGAAAATGAATTATTTTTTAGGCTCAGTCATAATTATTTATTTTATGCTCAATCACTCATGTATTTCCTTCTTTGGCTTTATCTGTTTTTGTCTTCAACTTTAGACAGAGAACACAGAAAGTGGGGAAGAATGGAGAGGCTTCATTCTTACAGTAACAGAGGTAGGAAGCTCACTGCTTTTGATTGATTCTTTTTTTTTTTCAACAAATATCTGCTGAACACCCTATGATCCATGCAGAGTGAAAGTGGCTGAAGATATAGCAATTGAAAAAGATAGACCTAAACTCTTGCACTTACTTATGAACATTATATTTTCATCAGGTGGTGGAGAGGGAGAAAGTAAACAAGTAAACAGATGATCATTTCACATTGTGACAATTGTTATGAAGAAAATAAACAAGGCAATTCGCTAGGGAGTAACGGGTGGTAAAGGAGATCTACTTTTTGGTCTTATCTGTTTGACTCAGTGGTCCTTTGTATATTCTGATATTTGTAGCTAATACAGCATGTTTGAAAATACATTCCAATTTCTTTTCTTTTCTTTCTTTCTTTCTTTTTTTTTTTTTTTTGAGATGAGGTCTCACTATGTCACCCAGGCTGGAGTGCAGTGGCATAATTTGGCTCACTGCAACCTCCACCTCCAGAGTTCAAGTGATTCTCCTGCTTCAGCCTCTCAAGTAGCTGGGATTACAGGCATGCACCATCATGCCCAGCTAATTTCTGTATTTTTAGTAGAGATGAGGTTTCATCATGTTGGCCAGGCTGGTTTGGAACTCCTGGCCTCAAGTGATCTGCCGGCCTCGGCCTCCGAAAGTGCTGGGATTACAGGTGTGAGCCACTGTGCCCGGCCTCTGATTTCTTTTTTATTTATTTAATACATATTTATAGAATACTAGCCAAGATGAATTTTATAAATAACATAGACAATGTAACAGGGAGAGACCATAAAAATGAAAACTCACCTTTAAACATTTCTTCAGTGAGTCTTAAAACAACAGGATGCTTATCTGTTCAACTCTGTGGTGTTTTATCAGAGGCAAATAGTAAGATCTACTGCTTAGAGTTAACTCTTGCAGTAAGATAATGTCCATTATTTTAGATAAAGCCACTGTAGCAATTGCCTTGGAAACATGACGTTCTTTGATAACCAGCCTCCCAAGGAGCACCATGTTCTCTAGTAATTTAAAAGGATATAAAAACTGTGTTTATTAGAGTCAGTTAAACACAGATTCTATCCAAAGCTAGTTTCTAAGTAAGCCATTGCAGTCATCTGAAATAAGCACTGCACTTTACCAAGTTGATGGATGCAGGTTCTTTATTTCAGCCAGTAACAGGTAAAAGTTAGAGGTTCAACTATTGTGTAGGGAAGTTATATGAGGCTAGAAAAGCGGACCAGTTAAAGATGTGAAGAACATGTTGACTTCTGAGAGGGAGAGGAAGGAATCCTGGGGAATTGCACTCTTTCCCTCTGTTGTGGAAAATATCTCTGAGTGGTATGGTGCTTCCAATACCGGGTATAACTATCCCAAAGGTATGTGACTAAGTATCAAGGAGTACACTAAAAACTCTGGCAAAAACTTTTTGCATCCCCCCGGTACACTAAGTATGTATAAAGTTTTGGCCAAACATTTTGTTTTTAGTTTCTTTCCTGGAGTAAAAATAAAAAGCATTATTTTTATATTAAAATACACACATAAATAAGTAACAGAATATAAAATCAAATTTATGTGAATTTTTTTTTTTTTTTTGAGACAGAGTCTCACTCTATCACCCAGGCTGGAGTGCAGTGGTGCAATCTTGGCTCACTGCAACCTCCACCTCCTGCGTTCAAGCAATTCTCCTGCCTTAGCCTCCCAAGTAGCTGGGATTAAAGGCACGTACCATCATGCCCGGCTAAGTTTTTTAAAAAATATTTTTAGTAGAGGTGGGGTTTCACCATGTTGGCCATGCTGGTCTCAAACTCCTGACCTCAAGTGATCCTCCCACCTCAAGTGATCCTCCCACCTCGGCCTCCCAAAGTGCTGGGATTACAGGTGTGAGCCACCACGCCCAGCCCATGTGAATTTTTAAGAGAAGACAAGTTGCCTCAAATTGTGTATTCTGTAAATGTTGTTTTGTGTTATGATTCCAGATCATGGTATATGAACATTTACAGTATGTTGTTATTAGGATGACTTTAGTAGAGAAGTGAGAGAAGCTCAGACTGTATGTAGTTGAAAGAGCTGAGACATTGCTTTTGAATCAAATAAACCCCAGTTTGGGTCCTGGTTCCATAACTTACTAGCTATTTGACTCTGGACTAGCTATTTAATCTTTCTGTGCTTGATTTTTTTTTCTATTTGTATTAGGCCATTCTTGCATTGCTATAAAGAAATACCTAAGACTGGGTAATTTGTAAAGAAAAGAGGTTTAATTGGCTCCTGGTTCTGCAGGCTGTACAGGAAGCATGGTGCCAGCATCTGCTCAGCTTCTGGGAAGGGCCTCAAGGAGCTTTTACTCATGGCAGAAGGTGAAGGGGGAACAGACATATCACATGGTGAGAGTAGGAAAGAGAAAGAGTGGGGAAGAGGGACCACACACTTTTAAATGACTAGATCTCACAAGAATTCACCCACTAACATGAGAAAAGCACCAAGCCATGAGAGATTCATCCCCATGACCCAAACACCTCCCACCAGGCCCCACCTCCAACACTGGGGCTAATTTAACATGAGCTTTGGTGGGAACACATATCCAAACTATGTCACCATTTGTAAATTGGGGATAACAATACCATTTTTTTTTTGAGATGGAGTCTTGCTCTGTCACCCAGGCTGGAGTGCAGTGGCTTGATCCCGGCTCACTGCAAATTCCGCCTCCCAGGTTTAAGCAATCGTCCTGCCTCAGCCTCCCAAGTATCTGGGATTACAGGCACATGCCACCCAAAATTTTTGTATTTTTATTAGAAACGGGTTTCATAATGTTAGCCAGGCTGATCTTGAACTCTTGACCTCAAGTGATCCACCCACCTTGGCCTCCCAAAGTGCTGGGATTACAGGCATGAGCCACTGCGCCCTCCCGTATAACAATACTTTCTAGCATTTCTGTGAGGAGTTGCAATAAAACATGTACAATGCTTGAGCTATAATAGTCAATTAATAAAGATATGTGTTTCATTAGGTATTTTCCCCCATTATTTCATTTTTTTCTGGTATATATGGAAATTGTTTTACTGGTTATTATCTTAGTTATCTAAAATGTCTCTAAGCCTTTTTTATTGTGTATCTGTATTAGTAAATGTTTGTGTAAATTTTATATGTACTTGTACGCATATTAAAACATATATAATAATAGAAATTAGTGAAATAGTAACTTAATAGAAAGTGAAGTTATAATGTTTTCTTCCCATACTCTAATGGACTTTCTTGTATACCTCCTGGAAAGCATGCACTCTTCTCTGAAGATAAAGGTGATAATCACACAAGGCTGCCTCCAAATAAAGACTTGCTAGGGTCACGTACAAAAAATATCTTACCATTCACACTATACCTTCTAAGAGCACAGAGCTGGTCATAATGAGGTCAAAATTGCAGGTATGAATATAAATCAGAAGGACATATATAGGTGAGTCAATCTGAAATACATCTCTAGGAAAGGTAACAACCACCACAAAACCAACTAATAAGTAGAAAAGTATCATAATTCTAACATGTGAATGAATGTTTGAAACACACCACAGACGCAAAATTTCGACCTCTGACTGCTGCTCTTCAGTCACCTAATGAACAGTTCCATCTGAATCCCATGTTGCCATATGGCTGGGGGAAATCTTTTCAGATAACTTATGAGAGAGTGAGGTACCTTGAAGGTGTTCTGGAAAATCCCTGGCATTGATGAACTAGTGAGCTCAGAATGAAAAATATGAGGTTTGTTGTTACTTGAATTAGCTTTTAGTGCAAGGCGGGGTGTTCTTTGCTTTGGGGCCAAACCAAAAGGATGATTCCTTGGCAGAAGGGTAGGCACTCTGTGCAGGTTGTAGTTGGTGCAGAGGCGGTTCTGAAACACCCAACCTAGACTAAAATCCTCTGTTTCTTATTCCCTTAGTCCCTACTCATTCACCTCTGTCAGGTAACTGTAGCCCTATAGGACCAGAACAGGGTCGTCTTTACTAAAGTTATAAGTTATTAAGCTGTTTTCTTGCCTGCCTACTCTTTTAATTGGTTTCAGCTGTCAGTTCCCCAAAACGTGTCACTCCTACCTGGGCAAGTAATTAAACTGCATGAAGTCCTAGAGAGAGAAAAGAAAAGGAGGATTGAGACAGAGCAGAGTACGTCCGTGGAAAAAGAGAAGGAACCAACTGAAGATTATGTGGATGTACTGAACCCTATGCCAGCGTAAGTGCACAATGAACTGCAGTTTATTCATTCGATTGTTAAAACTAATTTCTAATTATAAAGGAGAGTTAGTCACTTGCTCTTGTTAAGCCAGGGACAATAAGCAGTCTTGGGGATAAACTGTATATCTCTGCGTACATGCCATATTTCCTCTTCTATGTCATGATCAACAAAATGCAGATTTGAACCAACCATCTTACCACACAGGAAATCCCCTTCCACCCACATCTTTAGAACAAATAGATACTCTTTCCAGAGCTCACGCCTAAATAAAAACTCCCATGAAGAAGGCAGGAAAAGATATTTTTTCACTATGCAAACTCTATGATTGACTGATTTTCTCTCAGAAAATTATACCAATAAATTTTCAATACCTAGAATGTTCTATTCAACTGACCAATTAGTCAGTAGTCATCAAGCTTGTACTTTGACAAAGGCCTTGTGTAAAATGTTTAAGGTGTTGGAAAAATAAAGAAGTGCAGAAAATGCTAAATTCACCAACATCCTACATTTATTTTTTATATTATTGAAAAGATTCTGAGCTCTTTCCTCCTGGAATCTTGGTGGTGTTGTCAATAAAACTTGTCCTGGTACCCTGTTTGACATCAGGTTCTGTTGCATACTCTATCTGTACTACAATCACTGAAACCCGCCAACCATCATTTTTACCTGAAACCACCAGCAACTGATGGACTGATAAGTTAAAAGTCACATGGACTGCTAATTTTTCTTTTTTCTCAATAAAACAAGTAATATATGTTTATTATATATAAAAGATTAAAATCATTCCTTGTTCCACCGCTCAGAGATATTTGCTATTAACATTTTAGTTTTTTTTTTGTTTTTTTTGTTTTTTTTGAGACAGTGTCTCACTCTGTTAGCCAGGCTAGAGTGCAGCACGATCTCAGCTCACTGCAATCTCCACCTCTGGGTCTCAAACGATTCCCATGCCTTGACCTGCCGAGTAGCTGGGACCACAGGCACCTGCCACCGTGCCCAGCTAATTTTTGTATTTTTGTAGAGACAGGGTTTTGCCATGTTGCCCAGGCTGGTCTTGAACTCTTGAGCTCGAGTGATCCACCCGCCTTGGCCTACCAAAGTCCTGGGATTACAGGTGTGAGCCACCATGCCCAGGCTTCTACCAGATTTTTTCTATTAGTTTTTTTTTTTCTATGAATATGACTATATATTTTCTTGACTACGATTTACAGGTGGTCTGTATAAGTTGAACAATGGTTAAATGACTTTTTGACTTTAAGATGATGCAAATGCAATATGCATTCAGTATAAACTCTACTTTTCGAGTACCCATACAACCATTCTGTTTTTCACTTTCAGTATTCAATGCATTGCATGAGACATTCAACATTTTATTATAAATAAACTTTGTGTTAGATGATTTTGCTCATCAATAGGCTAATGTAAGTGTTCTAAGCATTTTTAAGGTAGGCTAGGCTAAGCTATGATGTTCAGTAAGTTATGCATATTAAATGCATTTTCAGCTTACGATATTTTCAACTTACAGTGGGTTTATCGGGATATAATCCCATCATAATTCAAGGAGCATCTGTATATTATAAAAATGAGAAGTGCTTTATTTTTTATTTTGCACATAAAAATAACAACAATGCCATAGAAAGACATATTACACCAAAATAAATGAGTGCAAACATATTTAAATATCAGTTGTTTAAGACATAGACCATACAAGAGAAACATTTACAGATGTTTTGTATCCCCGAAAGGAGACCCCCAATAAATATTTATCCGAGAACCTACTTATCAACTGAGACTGGGGATACATTGTTAATTCTTGTTGGTAATGATGATTATATACTGATCAGTAGATAACTTTTCAGGTTCTCTTTGTATAAAAAGGCTTTGGAAGAATTAAGGAAGGAAGACCTTAACGTTAGCATACACAGAGTGGCACAGGCTTGTAATAATAGAGCATTGTAATTACATAATTGGAATAATCAAACCGGAAGTTTTAAGAAAAGTTAGCAACTGCAGCTCTCAAAGTTATTTTGGTAGTATTTTTTTCAAGTAATGATCTTCATCAGTTAAAAAAACAATTCTGTTTTTTTATCTCACCTCTGTAGATGTTTTTATACAGTGTCCCGGAAAGAGGCAACTGAGATGCTCCAGAAGAACCCTTCTTTGGGAAATATGATCCTGAGGCCTGGTAGTGACAGTAGAAACTACTCCATCACTATTCGGCAGGAGATAGAGTATGTTTATTTTTTTTAAATGTATGGAATTTTTAAAAGCGTGGTATCACTAAATACAAGTCCAGATCAGCACCTGCTATGTGTTTCGTTGGGGCTGAAAATATGAACACAAGTGGCCGGGTGCGGTGGCTCACGCCTGTAATCTCAACACTTCGGGAGGCTGAGGCAGACGGATCACAAGGTCAGGATATCGAGACTACCCTGGCTAACACGGTGAAACCCCGTCTTTACTAAAAATACAAAAAATTAGCCAGGCGTGGTGGCACGTGCCTGTAGTCCCAGCTACTCGGGAGGCTGAGGCGGGGGAATTGCTTGAACCCAGGAGGCAGAGGTTGCAGTGAGCCGAGATCACACCACTGCACTCCAGCCTGGGTGACAGAGTGAGACTCGGTCTCGAAAAAAAAAAAAAAAAAAGAACACAAGAATAGGGAGGGAATGTCATAAAAGCAATGCTAAAGACTGAGCCAATGCTAACATTTGCAGCAGGGAAGAAGAAAGAATAACACATTATTTTGGTCCTGGATATAGTTGCATTGTTCATTCATTCAATTCAACAAATATTTATTGAGCAGCTGCTATATGCCAAGCAATACTCTAGGCACTGAGAATACGCAGTGAAAAAAACAAACATCTCTGTTTTGGTTTGAGTTGATTAGCAATAAAAGTATAAAAAGAAAAACATCCCTGGCTTCAATCTTCAATGAGTTTACATTCTTGTAGGGAGACATAGACTTAAACACATAACTAAAAATATATGTGGCCATAAGGTCTATAGAGTAAAATAAAGCAGGAAGAGAGAGATGGGAACCCTCAGAGGTGACAAAGGGAGCACATTTTTATGGTTGCTATTGTTTTAATATAGAGTGGTCAAGGAAGACCTACTTTATTGACTGATTTAAGCAGAGAGCTGAAGGAAGTGAGAAAATAAACCCTACCAATATCTGGGGCAAAAGTGCTCCAGGCAGCAAATGTGTATGCCTTGAGATAGAAGAATGCTTGACTTGTTCAAGAAAAGAAAAAGGCTGCTGTGACTGCAATGAAAAGAGCAAAGAGAAAAGTGGTAGGAGAGGAGATTCCAGAGTCAGGGTAGGGACACATCACTCAGAGCCCTACAGATCATTGTAGGGACAAGGGTTTTACTTTGAATGACATGAGAGGCCACTGAACTGTTGTCATAATCTGACTTATTTATAAAAAAGGGCCACTTAGGAGCCTCTTTGTCAAGGTTACTAATTTCTTTCTGGTAAAATGGTCTAACTTTGATAAAGTCAGTAACACTTAAATGCAAACGTTATTTTTCTGTGTAGTTGGGGTAGTTAGATCTTTTAATAGACTCCAGCTTTCAAAGTCTATGAGAACTTGCACTTCATTGGAGACTCTGGCTTAGTTAATACTTCCACAACTGATAATATAATTTAAATATCAAGGTTATGTCCTACATAAAAATGTTCAGTAAATGACTTTCTTTAATATATATGCATAAACAGAACTTTGACATTTGAATTTGCTATTCCTTATGGGGATAATATTATTTTATTAAATTTTATACTATAACATATCTATCAATAAATCTATCTACTAATCCACCCCATAAATATCTATAATTCTAAATATGAAGATATGTATGGTGAATAAAGGCAGTTAAAAAGAAACAACTTCCAGAGACAAATTTAAAACATGGCATTATGGCTACATTGCTAGTGTGTGCCACAGCCCAATAAGCTTTATTCACTTGCCAGTAAACAGATCCTTGTCTTATACACTAGTCATGGGCACTGAACAGATGGCAAGAATGTTAGATGGTAAATCAGGTCATGGTTCTTTGTGTAAGGAAATGTGTGTGTGTATATATCTCTGTGTGTATATTTCTACAATGAATGTCTGTCAACTTAAACTTGTGGTTTCATTATTTTTTGTTTATTATAAACTAACGATTGAAGTTAATGGATTTTCAATTCTATTGAAATACAGTAGAAAATAATAGATTTTTCAATTACAACCTAATTTGATGTATAATTTAATTGACTGTCTTGATACAAATCCAAAAGAAATCATTTTTCTTATTGTTATGACTGCCATTAAACATCAGTGAACTTAGAATAATTTGTAGGAGAAAAGTGGATTTTTCTCTTTACTATATCCTGGTCAAGAAGTTTGTCCTTTTTCAGGATTTACGAAATTGTGTATGACATAAACTACAGCATATCCTTAACCGTTTACTTCCACTTTTAAAGATGAGAGGATGTAACACTGAATTAAAAATTAAGAGAGAGCAGATTTTTAATAGAAACATAATCTAACTGCTTAAATGTAAAATTAGAACACCAAAGAGCGTGATTTTTTTTTCCTTAATGTCATTCCTTTCTTGGTCAGATTGAGTGGTTGATACATTTACACGTGACCCCTGTCTTACTATTCTGCATGAAATGAACAAACTCTCAAGACCTGACAGCTCCATAAAGACTGCATATTTCGGCCAGGCACGGTGGCTCACACCTGTAATCCCAGCACTTTGGGAGGCTGAAGCAGGTGGATCATGAGGTCAGGAGTTTGAGACCAGCCTGACCAACATGGTGAAACCCTATCTCTACTAAAAATACAGAAATTAGCTGGGTGTGGTGGCACGCACCTGTAATCCCAGCTACTCAGGAGGCTGAGGTAGGAGAATCGCTTCAACCTGGGAGGCGGAGGTTGCAGTGAGCTGATATTGCACCACTGCACTCCAGCATGGGCAAGAAAGCAAGACTCCATCTCAAAAACAAAACAAACAAACAAAAAAACTGCATATTTCTTGCACAATAGCAGCCTGATCCCTTTTAAGGTGGTCTAGATTAGTCCAACTCTTTCATTACATTTTCTATACAATTAACTATGAGAAATAACTGTTTTCTGTTGCAGATGTGGTGTGTGACTAAACACAATGAATTTCTGTACTTAGTGTCACAGTTTTTACTCACAATTGTATTGTATTTAAGTTATATATTAAGCTCATGAGAGTATGGAAAAGGAGTTCATATCAAAGTTGCATAATTCTAAATTTAATAAGTTCACTTTTGGTTTGAATTCATATAGAAATTCATGCTTTTGTTAGCTGATGGTCATCAAAACTTACAACATTTTATAAAACTAATCATTCTCCCCCTGCAAAAGTTCATATTTGGAAAGCAAGAAGTATATTGGTTAAACTAAAGAATTCTAACACTAGAGTCAGTATGCACTTATTTAGGCTTTGAGAAATAGTTCATACCTGGAAGTGGATACGAAAAATTCAACTGTATTGCACAAATTTTCCTTACATGCCAAATCCATCTATGATGTCAAAGTTTGTTAAATGTATTCTCTAATGCCTCAAAACAGGTGTTTCAGAGTACCTGAATTTAATATCTTCCATGTAACAGGTCACTTAAAGGATAACAGTTGTACAGAGTATTAGAATTTTAGCTTGTTATACTGTACGACTTAATGTAAAGAATTTGGTAGAAACCTCGGCTATTGGGAAGCAGTTGTATTACCCACAAAACCAATTCATTCTCTTATAGGTTATGGGAGAAATGTTCAGTCATGCAAGTTAGATGAGTGTGTCTGGTAAAACATTAGCTGAAAAGTACAAGTTAGTTTACAAAGCAGTATATGAAAATAAAATTATCTCCATCTGTTCACAGAGCAGCTGTGGGAGGGAATACTTGTTCTCAGGAATAAACAAAAGCCATTCAATGCCAAATTACCAGATGACTCTTGTCTCAATGTAGACTATCATCCACCTTTACCTAGCCCAATGGTGCGTGAATTCATAAGACATAAAGCTGTTCTTACAACAGAACTTCATGGCTTGGTTTGGTTTTCTTGAAAATGTTATGACTAGGTACCAAGCTAGCAGTATGGAAACTTTGGAAAGCCATTAGCTAAGGAAGCAGTAGGAAATATTTACCCAAACTTTATTTCTTTGCAAAAATGGAAGTCAGAAGCTAAGAACAAGTATTTATAACCACATTTAAGGGGACACCTTTTCTTTCTTTCTTTTTTTTTTTTTTTTTTGAGATGGAGTTTTGCTCTTGTTGCCCAGTCTGGAGTTCAATGGCGCGATCTCAGCTCACCACAACTTCCACCTCCCAGGTTCAAGCAATTCTCCTGCCTCAGCCTCCCGAGTAGCTGGGATTACAAGCATGTGCCACCACGCCTGGCTAATTTTTTTTGTAGTTTTAGTACAGACGGGGTTTCTCCATGTTGGTCAGGCTGGTCTCGAACTCCTGACCTCAGATGATCCGCCCATCTCGGCCTCCCAAAGTGCTGGGATTACAGGTGTGAGCCACCGCACCCGGCTGGGGACACATTTTCTTAAAAAAAAAAAAAAAAAAAAAAAAAAGACTTGCTTCTTCTGTTTTGAGGTCAGCATCAGGAAATCTTAATATAGCAAATTCTATCAATCTTGTTTTTTTCATCTCTTTTTATTTCTTTGGAAAAGCAGAACAAAACAGAATATGAAAGGAAAGCAAAATGTCTAAAAAGAGAGTCAAAACCTAAGCAACTTCAATGGATTTTTTTTCCCACCTCTTTCTGTTCCAGAATTTCATTCTGTTAGTCAAAAGTTCCAAGATACCTTGTTGACCTTTGCCACTTTTCCTCCCACAGCTTTGCCATAGACGACGACGACGATGATGATGATGATGATGATGATATGATGTCTTTTTTTTGTTGTTGTTGTTGTTTTTTGTTTTTGTTTTTTTTGAGACGGGGCCTCGCTCTGTCTCACAGGCTGGAGTACAGTGGTGCGAGCTCGGCTCACTGCCATCTCCGCCTCCCGGGTTCACGCCATTCTCCTGCCTCAGCCTCCCGAGTAGCTGGGACTACAGGTGCCCACCACCACGCCCGGCTAATTTTTTGTATTTTTAGGAGAGACGGGGTTTCACCGTGTTAGCCAGGATGGTCTCGATCTCCTGACCTCGTGATCTGCCTGCCTCAGCCTCCCAAAGTGCTGGGATTACAGGCGTGAACCACTGCGCCCGGCCAATATGATGGCTTTTAAAAACAACAACAATCGTTGTTCTCCTTATAGGTTACCATTTGTGGGTGCTATGTTGAGTACTGGCAAACATTTCCTTCAGGCGCAATAAAAACTTTGAGACAGACAGTATTTTCCATGTTTTACAAATGAAGAGGATGAGACTCACAGAAACTACTACATTAAAACAATACATTTAAGAAGTAGTAAAAATGGTTATAATTTACTGAATGCTTAAATGTGCCAGACACTGTACTAAGGGCTTTGCAAAGGTTAACTCACAGCAGCCCCTTGAGGCAAGGCACCATCTCCATTTATAGATGAAGAAAATGGAGGTTCAGAGAACCCACATGACAATCAGAATTTGAACCAAGTTTTCTATCAGTCTTCCAACGAACAGCAATCCCTTATTTAATAGGAATACAGGAATTGTAATTGAAATTGTAGAGTTTTCAAAAGTAACTGTGTGATTACAAAGATCTTATTATGATGTGATAAAGATAAAGCCAGGTATAACCACCCTGAAAAGGTGCTGTATGACCTTCTGTGTCCAAAAATGCTTCCTTCACCAACTTGTAACTGATTCCTGAAGTTTCAGCGTTAAGGAATGTTTTCTTTTAGGAAGGAAAAGGGTTGGTTGGGTTTTATCCCATGTTTTGAAAGTAGGTTATTGGAATTTATGAGCTGTTTCCATTGTGATGTCCAATTGAGAGGTGATTTGGATATAATGGTGAATGAGAAGAGTCCCCTGAATAGAAGACTTCAGTTTCAGTCCTAAATGAAAACGGAAGGAGAAGCGATTTAAAAAAAGAAGGTAGAAAGACCCTGTGCCTAGCTTAACCTGCTGAACACTTTTGTTTTAGACAGCTTCTGTACATAGGACAAATGCTTAATTAGTGTGTCATTCAAGCAAATGACAATGTAATAAATGCTGTTCATTTGTCAACACTAGAAAAAGTTTTCATCCTAACATGCTTGCCGTACAAATCAAGGGAATTCAAGACAAACATACTCTGGTTCAAAACTAACTGACAAGGATAGTGACTTCTGATCTCAGTGTAAATTTGCTTAGTTCTAGCAGATAACATTATGAGGTGGGGGATCCTAATTTTTTTTTTTTTGAGACAGGGTCTCATTCTGTTGCCCAGGCTAGAATGCAGCGGCACCATCATAGCTCACTGCAGCCTCAATCTCCTGGATGCAATGATTCGCCCACCTAACACCTGAGTAGCTGGGACCACATATGCATGCCACCATGCCTGGCTAATTTTTTGAATTTTTTTGTAGAGATGGGGTCTCATTATGTTGCCCAGTCTGGTCTCTAACTCCTGGGCTCAAGTCATCCTCATGCCTTGGCCTCTCAAAAGTTCTGGGATTACAGGCCTGAGCCATCCCACTCATCCAGCTCCTAATATTTTAAAAACTCAACTTTATAAATATTTATTCTGTGCCTAATGCTAGAATACAGTGATGAATAGGATATGCCTCTTGTTCATAAGCAGTTCATAATCAATAAAATACCCTGTATTTGAGTGGTAATAATTTTGAGTGCTATGTGACTATAGAAGAGGAAGACAATACGATTCATGTAATGTACTTACATTATCATCTATATGTTCATATAGTGCCTAAGACCCAGTATTTTCCATATCTCCAAGTCAGCCCCAAAGTTAGTGGATATCCAGGGTGGTATATGAGCTAATATGAATAACAGCTATTGAGGGGTTTCTGGTTGGATTGGTGACAATGTAGGGTAGAAAGCAATGTACTTTTAATAATTCTTTCTACTTCTCTCAATATGGAGAATATATATTTGATTTTATATACCTACATAGAATTTTATTATGTTGTTTACTTTCTAGGTTACTGACATTAAAAGAATTATTTCTGCCTGAAAGATTTTTAATTCTTGATTCCTTTTTTCCTGTTTATTCTTTCTAATTCACCCACTCAATGACCCAGATTACCTATATCCCTAGTGAGTAGCCCCCACAAAAAGACACTCTGCAAACCAGGTAAACAGAAAATAAAAAACCACGAAGGATTTTTTTTTTTTTTTTTTTTGCCAAACTATAGTCATGACAACATAGGTTGATTATACAGGTGATATTTTATATTTACTTTAGTTTGCATTTACCCAATTGTATAATAAAATGGAGACTAACCATTTGTTTCATTGTAGCATTCCAAGAATCAAGCACTACAAAGTGATGAGCGTAGGACAAAACTACACTATTGAACTGGAAAAACCTGTAAGTAACTATTTTTGTTGTTGTTGATGAACTTCCTCCCGATTCCTTATAGCCTCCTAGTGCTGGCAAAAAGCAGCCAAGTTAAGGAGCCCTGAATGTGGCAGATATACAAGGTGAAAAGTGAGATTCAGGAACAGGTGGTGAGGCAGAGTAAAATATAATTTGCTTCTAAAAATTCTTTCCACTTTTCTTTTTCTGCAAATTTCTCAAGGTTTGCAGAGAAAGAAAAGTGGAAAAAATTCAGAGAAAGAAAGATACTTTTGTTAAACATTCTCCAATTATAAATCTTCAAATATGTTTATTTCTAATGGGAAGAAATCTGTAAATGCCTAATCCTCTAATACCTGTCTTGCTGAAGTTCAGAAATCCTCTCTTAATAGCAACATAGTAGTGAAGAAAGCATTTCTTATTTGTCTTGAACTCTTCTCCCACCCAAGCTGACTTACCATGGGGCTAATGATATAGCTAAGCACTTGACATATATCATCCAATGTAATTGTTATCATTACCCTGAGGTAGATATTGTTATGCCTTTTATACAGGTGAGATAATTGGTATTTACACTGTTCTGAACCAATGAGAATGTGGTGATGTGGCCTACATTCCAGGATGCTGAAAAAGAGAATATAGCTCTGTGATTTTAGGCTGCAGTAGTGGGAAGATTGAGTCAGGAAAGTTGTCTCTGGATATCTTAAATAGAACTGGTGGGTCTTGAAGATATTTATATTTACCTAGTTCCTCTGCTTCTCCAGGTCCATTGTGTTGATCAAGTAGAAAAAGGAACAGTGTGGTTGAATTTTTTATATTTTGGTCATAATTCTTAGAGAGCAAGGTAGCTGCTGATTCATAGAGCACACTTACATCTTTGCCATAAGTGCCTCCCAAAGCTTCTCAGTTATCAGATCCATTCCTGACTAGACTTTTAAAATAAAATTCAATAAAGAAGGCAGAAAACTAGATTGCTAAAGGATAATCCAAATAACTAAGTGACTACAAGCAATGGACAAGGAAGAATAATGTGTCATCTTTGTAACTGGGTAAACTGGGGCTCATTTCTGTCATTAGCTCATACAGTCTACAGTGTAAGGAAAACTAACAGCCTGGATTATTCTTTCATTTTTCACCCTCCCCAACCATACTCCTCAACCCCTCAGTAAGGTTGTATTTTTGTGATTTTTTTTTTTAGAGACAGGGGTCTTGCTGTGTTGCCCAGGCTTGAGCACAGTGGCTGTTCACAGGCACAATCATAGTGCCAGCCTGAAACTCCTGGGCTCAAGCGATCCTCCTACTTCAGCCTCCCGAGTAGCGGGAACCACAGGTGTGTACCACTGCGCCTGGCTCAGGAATTCTTTTTCCTCTTCAAGGTTATCTGGTATATTTATTCTGATTTCATTTGTATAAAAATATTAGTTTAGGGGTAGAGACACATTTTATCTACTCCTAGACCGGCAAATTATCCTGTTACAATAAAATACTAAAATGCTTAAATTCTCTGGTTTTAAAGGTTATTTGCTTTAAAGCATAAGAAACCAACTACAGCTAACTTAAGAAAAAATAAATTTATTATAAGAACATAGAATGACTGGAAGGGTAGCAAACCTTCAGGGACTAGGACGCAGTTACTTGTGCTAAGAACCATCTGATTAGGAAACTGGATCCTTCTTTGTTCTTCTACTCAAGTTCAAATTTCAGAAAGAAAGCATTTTCTAGCTAACTTGAGTCACATTTTTTGCTCCCCTCATTTTTTAAGGGACAGGGTCTTACCCTGTCACCCAGGCTGGGGTGCAGTGGCACTATCACAACTCATGCAGCCTCGAACTCCTGGACTCAAGGAATCCTCCTGCCTTAGCCTCCTGAGCAGCTGGCACTACAGGTGTAAGCTACCACACCTAGCTAATTTTTTCAATTTTCGTAGAGACAGGATCTCGCTATGTTGCTCAGGCTGGTCTGAAACTCCTGGTCTCAAATGATCTTCCCACCTGGACTTCCCAAAGTGCTGGGATTACAGGTGTGAGCCACCACACTTGGCTTACATTCTTATGCTTTAATTGAGGGAGAGCAAGGTACCTAACTATTGTCTACCAGATTGTATTCAATGGGAAAGGTGGTAATTCCTCAACAGAGAATGGACACATGGTCAATTAAAAAGGATAAATAAGACACAGGGATAGGTAAAACTATGGTCATACAGTAAGCCATTGAAGTGAAGTAATGACAGTAATCTCCATTAGATTCCAGTTGAGCCTTCTCTTACTCTATACTTATGCAGGTGATGCTGAGTTTTCTCTCACTCTCTATTAATACAGGTAACACTCCCAAACCTTTTCAGTGTCATTGATTATTTTGTGAAGGAGACTCGAGGAAATTTAAGACCATTTATATGTTCAACTGATGAAAACACTGGTATGTTTTTCACTTCATTGCTATGTTAAGGGAAACAAAACAAAACAAAACAAAATCCCCAAAACTCTGCATATGATTGATAGTACCAGCCAGGCAGGAACTGTAGTTCAGTCTTTAAATTTATCCATTTGGAAATCATTTTGTCACTCAGTCTGTGAAAATAGGAAAGTACCAATATGTATTATGAACAGAGTATGGGTGCATTTTAGGGAATGGAAAACCCTGAGGTATGTAGTATTACTATTAACTTCATTCTATCATTCTACTCAGCTTTATCTAACAAATTCAGAGGTAAGAGGAAACCATAATCATACAAGTTAATGGAAACCAAATGGAATTTAAAGGGATAGTCTGTCAACAACGTTAGATGCGTAATACAGGATAAAATGAATGAAGATTAAGAAGAGACGATGAAAACTGGTGATTAGCCAATAGATGACTTGAGAGAGAGAAGTTGTATTCCACTATGAAGGCAGAAGTCAGATTGCAAAATAACAAGGAATGAGTGGGTGGTGAGGAATTACAGATAAAGATTGTAGCTAGGACCAGCTACAGAATTTGCCAGCCCCTTGTTCATAAATTAAGAATTTCAAAAACAGTTATAGCAAACCATCAAACCGAGCATGAGACCCTATGCAACTGCACAGTTTACACACCCTTGAAACTGGCTCTCTTTGCAATCCAACTTCTGGCAGAGCAAGCCAGGCTGAATGTAATAGTCTCTCTCTATCTTATGCAACAGTTCCTGGTACACATGGTCACTGGCAAACTGTAAGCAGGAGAGAGAAAATATCTCCAGCTTGTGTGGATTTTAGTTATCAAAACAAGTCTCTTTTTCTACAGATTATGGGGGAAAGCAACCTTATTTGGCTATCTGCATTGGGGCATATCTGGATAGTCTTATTAATTAAAAGGATAGCAAGTTTAAAAGTCCAAGTTCTTAAAACATGATTATGAATATTGTGATGCTAAATAATAAGAGTAACCAAAACCACAGACTCTCAGGATCTGAAGGAACTTTAGAAAATTATAGTATCTTATCTGTTTAGAACTCACCTGCACATTCAGTACAGGAAACATCTCTAGGATATGACCCCTTCAGCTTGTTTGTAAATTGTGAATGTAAGAGGGCTTAAATTTGATTTTTGAAGCAGCACAGTTCACTTCTGGACAGTTCTCATATTAGAGAATTCTTCCTTGATATTGAGTCTGAAGCATTCCTTCAACTTCTACATATTAATCCAATTTCTGGCTTTGAAACAATACGACTTAAAAGGCCATCAAATATTTAAAAATGTCTACAATGTCTTCCCTCAGTTTTTTACTCTCTGTCATCTAAATTATTGGTTCCTGAATTTCTCTTACTCTCATCTTTGATGTTCTTTTTACATTGTCTAATTTTTAAACTTGTCACTTAAAATATAACCCTACTGAATAATAATGTTGAGCATCTTTTTATATGTTATTTGCCATTATATATTTTATCTGGGAAAGTATCTATTTAAATCTTTTGCCCATATTTTTATTGGGTTGTTTTTTCTTTCATGCTTGTTTTGAGAGCTCTGAACCGATACAAGCTTTTTGTGTGTGTGCATGTGTGTGATTGGGAAGTATTTTCTTAGTGGGTGATTTGTCTTTTCATTTTTTTAACAGTGTCTTTAGGAGAGCAGAAGTTTTAAATTTTGCTTCTGTAGATTGTACTTTGGTGTTATACCTGAGAACTCTGCCTAACCTAAAATCACAAAGACTATTTTCCTGTTTTCTTTTAGAAGTGCTGTGATTTCATGTTTCACATTTAGATCTATGATACATTTTGAATTATTTTTAAACTGGGAGGGATGTGTCAAGGTTCATTTAGTTGCATTTAGATGGGTAATTGTTCCAGCCCCATTTGTTTAAAAAGATTATCCCACTGAACAGGGCAGCCCACACCTATAATCCCAGCACTTTGGGAGGACAAGGCAGGAGGATCACTTTGAGAGCATCCTGGGCAACATAGGGAGACTTCGTTTCTACAAAAAAAAAAAAAAAAAAAAAAAAAAAAATGCTGGGTATGGTAGCACATGCCTGTAGTCCTAGCTACTTGGGAGGGTGAGGCAGCCAGAAGTTCAAGGTTGCAGTGCACTATGACTGTGTCAATGCACAATGTGAAAGGGCAAGAGTGAGACCCTTTCTCTAAAAAGTAAAAATAAAAATAAATGCTTCTCCATTGAATTGTCTTTGCAACATTTGTAAAAATCTGTTGACCATTTTTGTACGGATTAATTTCCAATGATATATGTTCCTACCCTTTTGCCACACTTACTATTACTATAACTTCGTAGTAATTCTTGAAATTAGGAGGATTAGTTTGTTCTTTGCTCTTTTCTTTTTCAAAATCGTTTGGACTAGTCTAGTTTCTTTGCCTTTCATTCTAAATTTTAGAATCATCCTGTTGCCATCCAGAGAACAATCCTCCTGAGACTTTGACTGGATTATGTCGAATCTGTTGATTAGTTCAGGAAGAACTGACATCATAATATTGAGTCTTCCAGTTGAAGAATGCAATATATTGGTACATTTGGGCTGTCCTTGATTTCTTTCATAGTACTTTGTTTCAGCATACAGCATTGGCACACATTTTGATTTATAGGTATTTAAATTTTTGTTGCTGGTAAATGATATTCTGTAACATTTGAATTCCATTGTTCATTGGTAGTGATATGGTTTGGCTGTTTTCCCACCCGAATCTCATCTCGAATCGTAATCCCCAAATGTTGAGGTAGGGACCTGGTAGGAGGCAATTGGATCATGGGGCCGGTTTGCCCCATGCTGTTCTCCTGATACTGAGGGAGTTCTCATGAGATCTGATGGTTTTAAAGTGGCCATTTTCCCTGTGCTCTCTCTTTCCTGCCACCTTGTGAAGACGTGTCTTGCTTCCCCTTCACCTTCTGTCATGATTGTAAGTTTCCTGAGGCTTCTGTAGCCATGCACAACTGTGAGTCAGTTAAACCTCTTTCTTTGATAAATTACCTAGTCTCAGGTAGTATCTTTATAGCAGTGTGAAAATGGACTAATACAAGAATTGGTATTGGCAGAGTCGGGTCCTGCTATAAAGCAACTTTGGAACTGGGCAACGGGCAGAGGGTGGAACAGGTTGGAGGTCTCAGAAGAAGACAAAAAGATGTGGGAAAGTTTGGAACTTTCTAGAGACTTATTGAATAGTTTTGACCAAAATGCTGATAGAGATATGGACAATGAAGTCCAGGCTAGGTGGTCTCCAATAGAGATGAGGAACTTGTTGGGAACTCGAGTAAGAGTCATTCATGCTATGCTTTAGCAAAGAGACTTGTGGCATTTTGCCCCATCCTAGAGATCTGTGGAATTTTGAACGTGAGAGAGATAATTTAGGGTATCTGGCAGAAGAAACTTCTAAGCAGCACAGTGTTCAAGATGTGACCTGGCTTTTTCTAAAAGTATACAGTCATATGCATTCACAAAGAGATGGTTTGAAATTGGAACTTATGTGTAAAAAGGAAGCAGAGCATAGAGGTTTGGAAAATTTGCAGCCTGACCATGTGGTAGAAAAGAAAACCCATTTTCTGGGGACAAATTCAAGCTGGCTGCAGAAATTTGCATAAGAAACAAGAAGCCAAATGTTAATCACCAAGACAATGGGGAAAATGTCTCCAGGGCATGTCAGAAATTTTCAAGGCAGCCCCTTTTATCACAGGCCTGGAGGCCTAGGAGGGAAAAATAGTTTTGTGGGCTGGACCCAGGGCCCCACTGCTCTGTGCAGCCTCAAGACATGGTGCCCTCTGTCCCAGCTGTGCCAGCTCCAGCAGTGGCTAAAAGGGGTTGAGGTACAGCTCAGGTTGGTGCTTCAGAAGGTAGAAGCCCCAAGCCTTGATGGCTTCCATGAGGTGTTGAGCCTGCAGGTGTGCAGAAGACAAGAATTGAGGTTTGAGAACCTCTGCCTAGATTTTAGAGAATGTATGAAAATGCCTGGATGTCCAGCCAGAAGTCTGCTCTAGGGGTAGAGCCCTAATGGAGAACCTCGACTAGGGCAATGCAGAGGGGAAATGTAGGGTTAGAGCCCCCACACAGAGTTCCCACTGGCACTGCCTAGTGGAGCTGTGAGAAGAGAACCACCATCCTCCAGAACCCAGAATGGTAGATCCACCCACAGCTTGCACCATGTGTCTGGAAATGCCACAGGCACTTAATGCCAGCCCATGAAAGCAGCCGCAGGGGATGTACCCTGCAGAGTCACAGGGGTGGAGCTGTTCATGGCCCTGGGAGCCCACCCCTTGCATCAGTGTGCCCTGGATGTGAGACATGGAGTCAAAGAAGATTATTTTGGAGCTTTAAGATTTAATAATTGCCTTGTTGGCTTTCAAGCTTGCATGGATCCCGTAGCCCCTTTGTTTTGGCCAATTTCTCCCATTTTGAATGGCTGTATTTACCCAATGCCTGTACCCCCATTGTATCTTGGAAGTAACTAATCTTTGATTTTACAGGCTCACAGGCAGAAGGGACTTGCCTTGTCTCATATGAGACTTTGCTCTTGGAGTTTTGGGTTAATGCTGAAATGAGTTAAGAATTTGAGGGACTGTTGGGAAGGCATGATAGGTTTTGAAATGTGAAACGGATATGAGATTTGGGAGGGGCCAGGAGTGGAATGATATGGTTTGGCTCTGTGTCCTCACCCAAAGCTCATCTCAGATTGTAATTCCCAGGTGTTGAGGGAGGGATCTGGTGGGAGGTGATTGGATCATGGGGGCAGTTTCTCCCATGCTGTTCTTATGATAATGAGTTCTCACAAGATCTGATGGTTTAAAACTGGCAGTTTCCCTTGCACTCTCTTTTTCTCTTGGCTATTGTGAATAGTGTTGTTATAAACATAGGAGTGCAAATATCTCTTTAGTACACTGATTTCCTTTCTTTGGGGTATATACCTAGCAGTGGGATTGCTGGGTCATATGGTAGTTCTATTTTTCTTTTTTTAAGGAGCCTTCATCCTGTTCTCTATAGTTGCTCTACTAATTTACATTCCCACTAACAGTGTATGAAGGTTCCCTTTTCTCTATATCCTTGCCAGCTTGGTTATTGCCTGTCTTTTGAATATAAGCCATTTTAAATGGGGTGAGATGATATCACCTTGTAGTTTTGATCTGCATTTCTCTGATGATCAGTGATGTTGAGCATCTTTTCATATGCCTGTTTGCCATTTGTATGTCTTCTTTTGAGAAATGTCTATTCAGATATTTTGCCCATTTTTAGTTGTTTTATTAGATTTGTTTCCTATTGAGTTATTGAACTCCTTATACATCTGGTTATTAATTCCTTGTCAGATGTGTAGTTTGCAAATATTTTCTCCCATTCTGTGGGTTGTCTCTTCACTTTAATGATTGTTTCCTTTGTTGTGCAGAAGATTTTTAACTTAATGCGATCCCATTTGTTTATTTTTGCTTTGGTTGCCTGTGCTTGTGTCTTACTCAAAACATTTTTGTCTAGACCAATGTCTTGGAGAGTTTTCCCAATGTTTTCTTGGAGTAGTTCCATAGTTTCATAGTTTCAGGTAATGAAGCGATGCTGAATTTTATCAAATGCTTTTTCAGCATCAATTGAAATGATCATATAACTATTGTTCTTCATTCTATTGGTACAATGTATTACATTGATTGATTTACATATGTTGAGTCATCCTTGTATCCCAGGGATGATAAATCCCACTTGATCACGTTGGATAATCTAATATGTTGTTGAATTTTGTTTGTTAGTATTTTGTTGAGGAGTTTTACATCAATGTTCATCAGAGATATTGGCTTGTAGTTTTTAAAAATGTGTCTTTGTTAGTTTTGTTATCAAGGTAATACTAGCACTGCAGAATGACTTTGGAAGTATTTACTCCTCCTCTATTTTTTGAATCATCTTAGTAGGATTGGTATTAGTCCTTCTTTAAACATTTGATAGAATTCAGCAGTGAAGCCATTGGGTCCCAGGCTCTTCTTTGCTGGGAGACTTTTTATTATGGCTTTGAACTCATTATTTATTATTGGCCTATTCAGGTTTTGGATTTTTCATGGTTTCATCTTGGTAGGTTGTATGTGTCTAGAAATTTATCTATTTCTTCTCAATTTTCCAATTTATTGGCATATAGTTGCTCATAGTAGTCTCTAATTATCCTTTTAATTTCTGTGGTATCAGTTGTAATGTCTCCTTTTAAATCTCTGATAGTATATATTTGAGCCTTCTTTTTTTCTTAGTCTGAGTAAAGGTTTGTTGATTTTCTTTTTTCTTTTTCTTTTTTTTTTTATTTTTGAGATGGAGTCTCAGTCTGTCACCCAGACTGGAGTGCAGTGGCACAATCTCAGCTCACTGCAACCTCCACCTCCCGGGTTCAAGCGATTCTCCTGCCTCAGCCTCCCAAGTACCTGGGATTACAGGTGTGTGCCACCACGGCTGGCTCATTTTTGTATTTTTAGTAGAGACAGGGTTTCACCATGTTGGCCAGGCTGGTCTCGAACTCCTGACCTCAAGTGATCCACCTGCCTCGGACTCCCAATGTATTGGGATTACAGGTGTGAGCCACCATGCCTGGCTTATTTTTTCAAAAAACTTTTTGTTTCAATAATCTTTTGTATTTTTTTAAATTTAAATTTCATTTATTTCTGCTATGACCTTTATTGTTTCTTCTACTAATTTTGGGTTTGGTTTGTTCTTGCTTTTTTAGTTCTTTATGATGCATCATTAGGTTGTTTATTTGAAACTTTTCTACTTTTCTGATGTAGATGCTTATTGGTATAAACTTTCCTGTTAGTACTGCTTTTGCTGTATCTCATAGATTTTGGTCTCTTGAATTGCCATTTTGATTTGTTTCAAGAAATTTTTAAATTTCCTTTTTAGTTTATTCATTGACCCACTGGTCATTCAGGAGCATTTTGTTTAATTTCCATGTGTTTGTATAGTTTCCAAAGTTCCTCTTGTTACTGATTTCTAGTTTTATTCCATTGTGGTTGGAGATGATGCTTGATATTACTTCAATTTTTTTTTAATGTTTTAAAGAGTTGTTTTGTGGCCTTACATATGGTCTGTCCTTGAAAATAATCCATGTTCTGAAGGAAAAAATGTGTATTCTGTAGATGCTGAATGAAATGTTCTGTAAATTTCTATTAGGTTCATTTGGTCTATGGTGCAGATTATGTCCGATGTTTGTTGATTTTCTGTCTGGCTGAAAATGGGGTGTTGATGTTTCTAGCTATTATTGTACTGGGGTCTATCTCTCCCTTTAGCTATAATAATATTTGCTTTACATACATGGGTACCCCAGCATTGGGTGCATATATATTATATATATTTGCAATTGTACTTCTTGCTGAATTGACCCTTTCATCATTATATAATGACCTTTCTTTTTATAATTTTTGACTTGAAATCTATTTTGTCTGATATAACTACTCCTGATTTTAGATTTCTATTTGTGGAATATCTGTTTCCATCTCTTTAGTTTTAGTCTATGTCTGTCTTTATACGTGAAGTATGTTTCTTGTAGGCAACAGATCAGTGAGTCTTGTTTTTTATCCTTTCAGCCACTCTATATCTTTTGATTGATGAGTTTAGTCCATTTATATTCAATGTATTATTGATAAGGACTTACTACTGCCATTTTGTTACTTGTTTTCTCATTGTTTTGTGGTCTTCTCTTCCTTCCTACCTTCTTTCTTGTCTTTTTTGTGAAGGTGATTTTCTCTGGTGGTATCTTTAATTTCTTGCTTTTTATTTTTTGTGTATGTTGTAGGTTTTTTAAATTTGAAATACCATTAAGTTTTCAAATAACATCTTATAACCCATTATCTTAAACTGATGACAACTTAACGTTGACTGCAAAAACAAGCAAACAGAAACTAATAATAGCTCTATACTTTAACTATGTACCCACACTTTTAAATTTGTTATTTCTATCTTCTTATACTGTCTATGTCTTGAAAAGTTGTAGTTATTTTTGATTGGTTCATCTTTTAATCTTTCTATTTAAGATATAAGTAGTTTACACACCACAATTTACGGTGTTATAATATTCTGTTTTGTCTATTACCACCAGTGAGTTTTGTCCCAAAGAGATAAGATGACTTCTTATAGCTCATTAATGTCCTTTTCTATCAGATTGAAGAACTCTCTTTAGCATTTCTTTTAGGACAGGTCTGGTATTGATGAAATCCCCCAGCTTTTGTTTGTTTAGGAAAGTATGTCTCCTCCATGTTTGAAGGATATTTTCACTGGATATACTATTCTAGGAGGAAAGTATTTTGCCGTCTGCACATTAAATATGTCATGCTCCCCTGGCCTGTAAGGTTTCCACTGAGAAGTCTGCTGGCAAATGTATTGGAGCTCCTTTGTATTTTGTTTGTTGCTTTTCTCTTGCTGCTTTTAGGATAATTTCTTTATCCCATCCTTGGGAGTTAGAATATTAAGTGCCTTGAAGTAGTCTTCTTTGAGTGAAATCTGCTTGGTGTTCTATAACCTTTTGTACTTGAATATTTATATCTTTCTCTAGATTTGGAAAGTTCTCTGTTATTCCTTTGAATAAACTTTCTACATTGATATCTCTGTCTACCTTCTCTTTAAGACTAGTAACTCTTAGATTTGCTCTTTGGAGGCTTTTTTTCAAGATATTGTAGGTGTGCTTCATTCCTTTTTATTCTTTCTTCTTTTGTCTCCTCTGTGCATCTTCAAATAGCCTGTCTTCAAGCTCACTAATCCTTTCTTCTGCTTGATCAATTCTGCCCTATTGAGAGATTCTGATATATCCTTCAGAATGTCAATTTTTCAGGTCCAGAATTTCTGCTTGACTTTAAAAAATTATTTCAATCTCTTTGTTAAATTATGTGATGGGATTCTGAATTCCTTCTCTGTGTTTTCTTGATTTTCACTGAGCTTCCTAGAAATGGCTATTTTGAATTTACCGTCTGAAAGTTAACACGTTTGTCACTCCAGAATTGGTCACTGGTGCTTTATTTAGTTCATTTTGTAAGGTCATATTTACCTGTATGTTCCTAATACTTATGTTTGTTGATGTCTGGGCATTAAAGAGTTAGGTACTTAATCTAGTCTTCACAGTATGTGTTTGTTTGTACCCATCCTTCTTGGAAAGGTTTTCCCAGTCTTCAAAAAGAATTGAGTATTCTGATCTAAGTCGTTGGTCACTGCAGCCATATATACATTAGGGGGCACATGGGCCCAGGAACACTGTGACTCTTGAAGACTTGTAGAGTACTGCCTTGATGGTCTTGGGTAAGATCTAAAAGAATGTCTTGGATTACCAGGCAGAGACTCTTGTTCTCTTCCCTTACTTTCCCCCCAACAAATGGAGTCTCTCCCCACCTCCTCTCTCTCTCTCTGTGTGTGTGTGCTGAGCTGCCTGGAGCTGGGGGAGGGGTGGACATAAGCACTCCTGTGCCACAACCACCATGACTGTGCTTGCTGGGTCATACCTGGAGCCAGCACAGCACTGAGTCTTGGCCAATGCCCATGGTGACCATTGTCTGGGTACCGCTGATGTTCACTCAAGGCTCAAGGGCTCATGATTTGGCAAATGGCTAATCCAGCCAAGCTTGTGTCCTTCCCTTCAGATTGGTGAGCTCCTCCACACCAGACCAGAGTGAATCAAGAAATGCCATCCAGGAGCCAGGGCCTGGAGTTAGGAACCTCAGCAATCTATTTGGTGCTCTATTCTACTGCAGCTGAGCTGGCACCCAAGGTGTAAGGCAAAGCCCTTCCCATTCATTCCTCAGGCAGGAGTTTCTCCCCATGACTACCACCACCCTAGTCCTGTGGCAAGTACTGCCCGGCTACCACTGATGTTCACTCAAGGCCCAAGGGCTCTTCAATCAGTTTGTGGTGAATACTGCCAGGCCTGGGTCTCTCCATTTAGGGTAAGGGGCGCCCCTCTGACCCAAGGTGGGTCCAGAAATGCCATCCAGGAACCAAGGTCTAGAATTGGGAACCACAAGGCCCTGCTTGGTGTTCTACCCCACTGTGGCCAAACTGGTTCCCAAGCTGCAAGACAAAGTCTCCTTTACTCTTCCCTTTCCTTTCCTTAAGCAAAAGTCTCTCCCTATGGCCACCACAGCTAGGAATGTGCTGGGTCATACCTGAAGCCAGCACAGCTCTGGGTCTCAACCCAAGGCCCACAGCAAGTACTGCTTGGCTACTGTTGATGTTTATTCAAGGCTCAAGCATGCTTTAGTCAGTAGGTGATGAATACTGCCAGGACTGAGTCCTTCCCTTCAAAGCAGTAGATTCCCTTCTGGCCCAGGGCGTGTCTAGAAATGCCCAGAAGCTAGGGCCTGAAATGGAGGCCTCATGACTCTGCCTGATGCCCTGTTCTACTGTGGGTGAGCTGCTTTCCAACTGAGTTGCTTTCCAAGTTTATGCTCCCCTCTTCTCTACTCAAGCAGAAAGGAGGAGTCTTTCCTGGAGTTGTGCTGCCTGAGATTGGGGGAGGGGTGCCACAAGCACTCCCCTGGTCACCCCAGCTGGTGTCTCACTAGGTCATGTGCACTACATGTCCACTGGCTCCAAGCCCAGCACAGCACAGGACTTGCCCAGGACCCTCAGTGTTTGTGGCCTAAACTGCCTTTCAAATTTATTTCGAACCCTAGATCACTTTAGCCTGTGGTGTTGAGACTAGTCAGAGCTCAGATTCTGCCCACTGGGATGGATGATTTCTCTCTGGCAAGAGCTGGTCTAAATGCTCCCTTCTGTGGTCCTGGCTGAATTCTGCCCTGTGTTGCTTTCTACTGTGACAAGTAGCACTGAGTTACAATGCAAAGTGCCACAGTCACTGTCTACTTCTTTTCCTAAGCACACAGATTCTCTCTCTGCACGAGCAGCCACTGCTGGGAGATGGGGGAAGAGACCAGGTTGGCAATTCAAGACTATTTTTCCTACCCTCTTCAGTGTCTCTTTCCTTGCTATGATGTTAAAACCAAGTACTGTAATTGCTCACCGGATTTTTGGTTCTTATTAAGGTGCTTTCTAGTGTAGACAGTTGTTTAATTTGGTGTTCCTGTGGTGGTGGGGGCTGATAGCTGGAGGGTTCTATT
Organism: Homo sapiens; assembly: GCF_000001405.40. Lineage (NCBI taxonomy): Eukaryota > Metazoa > Chordata > Mammalia > Primates > Hominidae > Homo > Homo sapiens. Next base: position 67,604,444 of record NC_000004.12, read on the forward strand.
TGGCCATCTTGCTCCACCTCCTCTCTCCATTGGGTTTTTATAGCTTTTCTTTGTTGAGAACATCTATCTTTATATTCATTTCAAGAATGTTTATGACCACCTCATGAAGCATAGCTGCTTTAAGGTCTTCATCTGATAATTTCAACATCTTGGTTATCTTAGTGTTGGCATCCATTGTCTTTTCCCTTGAAAACTGGGGAATTGGTCAAATTCCTTCTTTTGTATATCAAGTAATTCCTGGTTTTTCATATATCAAGTAATTCTGAATTGTGTCTTGGACATTTTGAATATTATGTTGTGAGCCTCTGGGTCCTGTTAAAATTCTCTGGTGCATTTTTTAAAAGCAGGCAACCATCTTGATTAGATTGAACCAGTTCTCTCTTACTTTCTGTGGGAAGCCATTCCAATATTGGTTCAGTTTTCAAAGCTTCTGTTATGCTGTTTTGGGTCTGTATTCAGCCTGGGACTTGGTTGTGGTTTATGCCTTAGTTTAGCTGTCAACGCCTTTGCCATCTGTTTTGTATCTGGTTCTGTGCATGCACAATTCAGAGGTGAGCCTGGAATTTGTGTCACTTCATACACAGAACTAGGAAATAACTCTTTTCCAGCTGTCACCTCTCTGGGATTTCTCCATACTCTCGAGCCGCCAAGGGTCCTTTTTCCTGGTGTTCTAGCTAGAATGATGGAGCTTATTAATGACACCTGTGCTGTAATTGCAGTTCTGTGAGACTGCAGTTGCCCAATCTCTCCAAGAAAGTTAGAGATAAGAAAGAGAAAAATGTAATTCCAATTCTCCCCTCTGCCCACCTTTCCTGATTTCTCTGGCTGGAAGGCTAAATTTTCTCTTGGGGTTTTAGGTGCCCATGCTGTCACTGCCAAAGTACTGCACCTTGACTAGGGGCCCCACCCTCAGGGCAGGGCCAGGGAAGAAAAAATAGACAATACAAAAAAAAAAAAAAAGCACCTTAAGGATTTTAGAAACAGACAACCAGATTGCTATTGGTATATGACTGAATGTGTTCAGTTTGCTTTGTGGTCGGGAACAAACTACTCAGCCTCCCCCTGCATTTCAGATGCCTTTGTTATAGGGACTGGGGAATGACATAAGAACAGATGGAATTAGAGGGTCCTGTGAAGAAAGACTTTAAATAATTAGAATATTATCTGTAGTGTAACGTATTTTCTTTCAAAAGCAGAAAAATGATGGAAAAGTACATGACAATGAAAATAGGACTTTTTAAGAAAAGCTACACAAAGATAAAAACTTATCTTGACAAATAATGCTGATATTTTAAGAAAACTTTGTGGAACCCTAACATTGCTTCAGGAATTTGGACTCATAGCTGGCTGTGGCACAGTGAGACTGCTAGTACATCAAACTTGGGAAATGGGAGTTGTAGAGCAGGTAAGGGTTCCAATCTGGAGATTTGGAAAAAGCTAATATGTAATAAAATATTATCTAAAAGAAAATAAGATTTTTTTGATCCCTGTTAACCCATGTCAGCATTTGGCTCTCTCTTACACCAGAAGACAAGAGCAATAATGGAACAAGAATGGTCAAAGATATTTCCCAACTCCAGAAATTAGCAGTTTAAACTAAAAGCCGCTTCAAAATATAAGGCCTATTAAGCTAAAGAGGAAGAAAAAAATTATTAGGTACAAAGTTACAGGTCCAGGATAAAATAAAATTTAAAAAAGCATCTGAATATTCAGTATTTATTTTCCTAACAATTACTAAACACACCAGCAATGTTCCACACACGAGCAGGAAAATCAACTCACTGAAAATAAAGAACCACCGTTTTCTACAATATTGGTTCGCTAATTAAGTTTTTCTACCCACAATTTCTAGGTCAAGAACCCAGTATGGAAGGGAGAAGTGAAAAGTTGAAGAAAAATCCACACATTGCATGAAATACAATGTGAAAGCTCCTTTGTATATCTTGGTAATTTATATTTTCAAAACGAAGTTCTTACTTTTAAAGAGAATTACCTATATTCTCCTGATACTGATTACCAAGTCATTCACCTGAACACCAGAATTAGAATTAAACATTGTACCATACAATTTCATTATCTTATCAGAATGAAACCAATTCACAGGGAAACTAGAGACTACGGCTGTGGTGGTAACCTGCAGATATACACATTCCCATGCACTGACATAAGTTGAAAACACATAGTACTTTCTAGATGGAATTTTTTTCTTTAGGCCTCAATGAAATACATTTCCCCTATATAATTCCAACAGCAGTTTCTCTAGTTCTAAATTTTACCAATTCCCAAAAAACCTAAGTTTTGCTGAAATCTGATTTGACCAATTTATCAAATATGTCATTTTAATTACCTAGCTGGAAGTTAGAGACATGAAATGTACTAGAGGAGCCCTTTTCCAATGGAAATATTATATACCACATTTTTTGTTAATGGAAATAAATGTCTTCATTCCCATGTTTTTCCCTGGTGTCATCTTTTTGCCACTCAAAATCAGCCCATTATTTCCTTACAAAGATGGTGAAAGGCTGTATCATCATCTTGTCGTAAGTACGATGAGCCTGATTATAAGTACCTGGAGTTCTTAAAAATATGGAACCATCAGCCCCAGACTGCATCTACTGAATCAAAATAACAGGGATATTTTTTCATAATTTTTTTCTTCAAAAGCAAACTTCTAAATTGATTTTGATGGTTATCAATTTGGGAATCACACAATCAACTAAGAATGAAAAGATATGGTCTATATTCTACAGGGGAAAGACTATGTGAGACAGAGGGAGAAAACAGCCATTGACAACTCAAGGAGAGAGGCCTCGGGGGGAAAAAAAGATCAACCTGGCCAAAACCTTGAAAATCCGGCTTCTTGACTTGTGAGAAAATAAATTTGTGTTCCTTAATCCACATGGTCTGTGGTATTTGTAATGACAATCCTACCGAACTAATTCAGTGAGCTTCCTGGGATGCCTGAAAATATGAAGAGTTCTCTCAGACTTACTGAATTATAATTTTGGGGGTGGGGGGGCGGCGCTGAGGCTGGTCCAGAAATCTGCCTTTTAAGCATACAACACAGGTAATTGCTATACATAACAAATTTGAGAACCAGTTCTTTAAGATCTACTATAATATGAAGATAAATAATCTGTGTAGCAATATATGCAAAATCAAGTCAGGCTTTCTTTTAAATGGAGAGGCAGTGACAATTAATAAGGAATCATAAATATGACAAATGAAAACATTGAGAAATGCTTTTCTCTATGTCATTTTGATCTTTTAATTTCTGGAGTGTGAAAATACTTTATTAAATTTCAAATGAGATTGTATTTTAGTTTAAACCTGACAAAAAAGTGTATAATAAATATGACCCAATGTTTACTTTTTGTCTAAAAAAAAAATTGGGACATAAAGCCTGAGCATTAATGTTAAGTATTTATTGAAATGTATTGAGTATTTATATAAATCACTGTTAATGTAAAAATTATAAAAGCAGCACATATGTATTATTCTCAAGGGTTTTACAATTGAGTTGGTCAAAATATAGGTAGATGAGACTAAAGAGCTCTAATTTCTTATCATTTCAAAGTGTTGAGTGAATTCTTGCATTCTATAAGAAATTAGAGTGCTTAATATAAAAAACTTTTAAAAAGTAGATTCCTAAAGTCGGTGACACATTGTAGTTGAATGCAATAAATGGAAAAGTAACCGACAAGAGAAACAGAAATCAAAGCCCAGGGCCTTGCCAATGTGGAGAGTCTCACAGGAGACCGACAATACATTTAGCTGGAAGAAACAACAGAAACAGGGCCACAGACATTTCAGAAACTGAAAGCAGCAAAGATCGTAAAACAGCCCTCATAGTTTCAAGAACAGACATATTAGAAAATATCTGTAGGGAATAAACAACTATAAAAGTGATCTAGCAGGTTTAAAAAAGAGAACCAAACAGAACTTTTAGGACTGAAAAATAAAACCACCACCACCACCACCACCACAACAAAATAGATGGCTGTAAGTAGACAAGAAACACATGAAGAGGTAAGTAAACTGGAATATGGGTTAAAATAAATTATACAGAATAAAGCATGACAAGAAAGAACAATTGAAAAATATAGAAGAGAGGGTGTTAAAAACTGAAGACAGAACACTGAAGGTCTATCACGTTTAATGAGAATCTCCATAGAAGAAAAGATAATGAGGAAGAGGTTATATGTGAAGTAGTATTTGAGAACTTCTCCAGAACTAGTAATCAAAGACACAAATCCAGATTTAAAGATCTCAACAAATCTTAAGCAGGATTAGTAAAAATAAATCCATACTCAGAAACATATTAATTGCATAAAACCAAAGCAGATAAAAAAAGAGATTTTTTTTTTTTTGAGACAGAGTTTCGCTCTTGTTGCCCAGGCTGGAGTGCAATGGTGCGATCTCGGCTCACTGCAACCTCTGCCTCCTGGGTTCAAGTGATTCTCCTGCCTTAGCCTTCCGAGTAGCTGGGATTACAGGTGCCTGCCAAAATGCCCAGCTAATTTTGTATTTTTAGTAGAGATGGGGTTTCTCCAAGTTGGTCATGCTGGTCACGAACTCCCGACCTCAAGTGATCCACCCAGCTTGGCCTCCCAAAGTGTTCGGATTACAGGCGTGAGCCACTGCTCCTGGCCAAAAAATAAATTTCTTTAAAGGTGTAAGTGTTAGGCTGACAGCTGACTCAAGAACAACAGAGGAAGTCATGAGAAAATGAAAAAATATCTCCAATGCCAATGTGCTGAAAGATAATAAAGGCCAAATTAGGCATCTATATTCAGCAAAAATATCTTTACAGAATGAGGAAAAAATACAGATATGTTCAGAAAACAAATCATGAGCAAGTATGCCACCAGCAGACTCTCACAAAATGAAATTCTAAAGCAAGTATTTCAGATAAAAATTTATCCCAGATGGTGTTTTAGTCCATTCAGGCCACAGTAACAAGACATGATAAACTGGCTTATAGGTGACAAAAATTTATTTTTAGGGGTTGGGAAGTCCCAGATTAAGGCACTGGTACATGCAGTGTCTCGTGAGGGTCCACATGCCGGCTCAAGGATGGCACCTTCTTGCTGTGTCCTAATATGGTAGGGGTGAGAGATCTCCAGCCTCTTTTATAAGGGCTCTGCCCCCATGACCTAATCACCCCTCAAAGGCCCCATCTCCAAATTACATCACCTTGAAGATCAGAATTTCAACACATAAATTTTGGGAAGACATAAACGTTCAGCCCATAGGAGTAAGTCTTAGATACAAAAAATAATGAAAAGCAAAGAAAGTTTTATATATATGTGTATGTATAAACACAAACACTGACTATATAAAGTCTTAGAATTAAAGAACATTAAAGTACATGACAACAGAATTAAAACACACAATACAGATAAAATATATGACAATAGTACATAACTTGGAAATTGAAGAGTTGTTCTAGTTATTATATCTGCACAATAAATAACTCTAAAACTTAGTTGCATAAACAATCCATGTTCATGGAGTCGGTAGGTTAGGGGTTTGGCATGGCACACCACAGAACAGTACCAATGGCTTGTTTCTGCTCTGTGAAATCTAGGGCCTGGAATCATTTGAAAGTCTGCCTACTCACATGTCTGACCACCTGATGCTGCCTGCAGGCTGGTAGCATGAGATTTTCTCCATGTGTGCTAGTTTGAGCTTCCTCACAACATGGCGTCTAGGTTCCAAAGGTGAGCTTTCCAAGAGAGCAAGTAAAAGAGTGAGAGAGAGCCAAAAGGAAGCCAGCTATATATCCTTTTATGACCTGACCTCAGGGGTCTTAATGGGGACTACAGTGTAGTAAGCTTCTAGAAGAGTATGTGGGATTGAAAATATTGCTGTAGCCATTTTTGAAAAATAAAATCTGCCAAAAGGTAAAGGTAATGATTAACTTTAGTCTTATATAATCTGAATATGTATGATGGAATATAATTACTAAAAGACAAACTAGTAAAGAGAAAAAATGTGTATTGCTCAAGGAAAACAAACATCATTTATTTTAAGAAAGAATTTAACAAGGAATTAGTAAACAGGTTTTGAGAAAAGTGAAAATGTCCACTAGGGACACAAATAAAGGCAAAAAGATGGGATTAATAGAGCCTAGAAGCCTTTAAGAGATACCCTCCAGAATGCCAGAGAAAAGTTGGAGTCTGGAAACAAACCACAGCTGCTAAAACAAGAGCCATTGCTGAGGTGATACTGACAATATTGGGAGGCTAATGGGAAGGGGAAAGTCTCTTCTCCATATCTTCAGCATTCTAGTCTCTTAGTACTCTTTCTTTGCAGGACCTAAAAACAAGCCAGATGGCAAAGGAGAAGCACAGTTTGCAAAAAGTGCTAGGCACAAAGTCCCAGAATACAGATAAGTGAGTCTAGAGTTGAGAGACAATCAATAACTGGCAAAAACAGAATAATATAGTAAGTCAATACTAATTTTAAAAGGCAAGAAAACAGAAAAAGAATCACAAAATAGGTTAGACCAAAAAAACCCCAAAAACAAAAACCCTAAACTCTCCCAGAACAAACTAAAATGGCAGAAACAAATCTAAATATATTGGTAATTATATTAAATGTAAATGGCACAAGTGTTCCAGTTTAAGACAAAGATTATTCTATTAGATTAAAAATAATAACGGCCAGGTGCGGTGGTGCACGTCTGTAGTCCCAGGTACTTAGGGAGCTGAGGCAGGAGGACCACTTGAGCCACTGCACTTTGACCTGGGCAACATAAGAGGACCTCTGGATCTAAAAATAAACAAAACAAAAAACTCCACTAAAATCCTAAATCTATTTTGTTTACCAGATACACATTTAAAACATAAAGATACAGAAATATTAAAATTAAATAGATGAAAGAAGTTACTCTGTGAAAATACTGACTAAAGGAAGGCTAGTATAGCTACAGAGAAAACAGACTTTAAGGCAAAACATATTACTGATACACTGCATAGCGATATAATTCATCAGAAAAATGTAACATGTTAAACTACATGCAGTCAATAATTATTCTCAAAATATATAAACCAGAAACATATACAAGGAGAAAGAGGCAAATCAAGATCATATTGGGTGATTTTTTAACATACTTCTTTCAGTAATTGACATAATACGTATATTAAAAATCAGTAAGGATATAGATTTAAATAACACAATTAACAACCCTAAAAGATACATTAGATGGCTTGTTTTTAGATCCCACAAATAACGAGTACTAGGAGACTAGAATGCTGAAGATATGGAGAAGAGACTTTTCCCCTTCCCACTCTCCCTAATTACTACAGAATATACTGGTTTCAAATGCATAAACATTGTTTAAAAATTTATCATATTCTTGGCCATAAAGCAAGTCTCAAGTAATTTCAAATAATTAAAATCAGATTTTTTTATGACAAAAATTCAATTAAACTGCAAATCAAAAAACATAATTAGAAAAGCCCATGTTTGGAAAAAAAGAAACACTCTCCTAAAAAAGGATTAAAGAGAAAATTCCAATGAAAATTAGGAAAATATTTTAACTAAATATGACCATTATATATCAAAATTTGTGGAATATGACTATAATAGTTGAGTAAATGTGACTATATTACAATAGTATAGAGATAACTTTTAAATGTGTATGTTGAAAAGGAGGACAAGTTAAAAATGAAAGAAGTAACCCATCTCAACAAGTTAGAAACAGAATAGTGAAAAAATCCCTAATAAAATAGAATAATATTGATAAAGGCAGAAATTAATGGAATAGGAAACAAACATACTATAGAAAGGATCAACAAAACCAAAATTTGGATCTTAGAAAAGATTAAACTATTTTTGTTTGGAGTTAAAGTTATGTAGAAAATTTTAAGAAATGGGCCGGGTGCAGTGGCTCACGCCTATAATCCCAGTACTTTGGGAGGCCGAGGTGGGCGGATCATGAGGTCAGGAGTTCAAAACCAGCCTGGCCAACGTAGTGCAACCCCGTCTCTACTAAAACTACAAAAATTAGCCGAGTGTTGTGGTGGGCGCCTGTAGTCCCAGCTACTTGGGAGGCTGAGGCAGGAGAATTGCTTGAACCCAGGAGGTGGAGGTTGCAGTGAGCTGAGATTATGCCACTGCACCAGCCTCAGTGACACGACGAGACTCTGTCTCAAAAAAACAAAACAAAAAAAAAGAAAATTTAAAAAAATGTGCAAATAGTTTAGAGAATCACTACAGAGTTTATTGTTTCCAGGTACAAAAACAATACAAATAAACCAACTGTATTTTACACATAATCAACAGGAAATAATGTGGGCTAAGTAATTTGGATTAACATTCTCACTTGAAAACATTTAGAAAAGCTGGATAAAATATACTTTTCAAAGATGTAGGAAGGCAGCAGGGAGCTGATAAGTTGGTGAATAATTACCATGCCAATAATATCTGAGAAAAGATAGAAATTCAGAAAAATGAACCATTCATTTGGGACCACTGTGTTAGGAGTATTTATAGATTGCAAAAGGCCACTGGGAAGTTGAGTAGATAGAGCTAAGGGGCTAAAGATTCAAAAAGAGTCCAGGGTCAGTGAAGAGGTAAGGGCCTGGTAACTCCAAACCATGCTTTGAAACCCTGAATGGTTGAACCCTAGAAATAAGGATGAACAGAAGAGCATTACCACAGTCTGTGGCTCAGCTTTCAGTCACCTAGGTGACCTGGAAAATTTCAGTATCTGAAACTGGATCAAAATAATCCTAAATTACTAATGCAGGTACCTGCCAGAAGCAAAAAACTCTGTGGAGGATAAAAATATCATTCTGAGCATCAAGTTATTTCTAGTTTTTTCAAACAATATTGGTAAATAATTAAAGGTAACCAGGCACACAAGGAGACAAGACAGTAAGAATGAAGACTAGAACAAACAAAATAAAAACAGACCCACAGGCGGGTTTTGATTCTGGAATTATTAGACAGACTAGAAAATAATTATGCTTTTCATTTTGAAGCAGATAAGAAATTGAAAATTTCAGCAAGACAATTAGAAACTGCAGGAGTGACAAATTTACATGCTTTCAATTAGAAATATGAGAACTGAAAATACAAGGGGCTGAGAATAACCAAGATACTCTAAAAGAACAATAAGTTGGGAGGATTTGTTTGGCCAGATATCAAGAATATATCAGCTACAATGATGATGATGATGGTATACTAGCACAGGGATAGAAAAAAGGGAAAAAATGTTTAGAAAGAGATGTAAGGACTAAGCTCTGATATTTTGTTATCTTGCCCAAATTCCTGTCTAAGGAGTCTGGGGAGTCATGCTCTACAAACCATAAATTCTCATCAGATGGGTTTTATTTAACCCTGTATATTGTGACTTAACTTTCCAATCTGACTCTGGCATAACAAGAAAGAAAATCAAAATATTTTACCCCGAAATATGTTTCTCTGCCATATCTTGAAATGGCCCTGCAAAGCCATCCCTTGTGGGAAAAATCTACATTCTATAAAGAATCCCCTTTCCCCTTTACCCATTTTTTTTTTGTCCTTCCTTCCTTTCCAAATCCAGGAGATAATCAACTAAGACCCAGGCATCCTTTTAGGTCCAATAAGAAACACTTTACAACCTGCTCTCTTTGAAGTCTGCTGAGAGTTTCCTCTGCACAATAAAACTTGTTCTCCACAATCTCTTATTTAACCTGAATATTTCCTTCCTATTGATCCCAGGTCTTCAGATAAACTCGACCAATTGTCAACCAGAAAATGTTTTAAATTAACCTATACCCTGGAAGCCCCCGCTTTGAGTTGTCCTGCCTTTCTGAACCAAACCAATGCATTTCTTAAACGTATTTGATGTCTCATGCCTTCTATATAAAACCAAGATGTACTCTGACCACCTGGGGCACATGTTCTCTGGACCTCCTGAGGGCTGGGTCACAGGCCATGGTCACTCATATTTGGCTCAGAATAATCTCTGAAAATATTTACAGAGTTTGACTCTTTTCATCAACAGATGTTGATGAAATCTGTATTCACATACGGGTATAATACATGACTTTGGTGGCACTATAGAAAGGAGGAATAAAACCCAGATTTTTCAATAAACGGTAGTGAGGCATCTCCTAGCATACACCAAATTAATTCCTCATGAAAAAAATTTAAATATGAAAGGCAAAACTAAAGCTTTAAGAAGACGATATATAAGACTATCTTCATGACTCCAGGGTAGGGAATGGTTTTTTAAAACAACTCACGCTCTAATTTTAAAACACTCATACTTCCTAGTACTTAACCATTAATAAATTGTTTTTATCAAAGAACATCATAAGGGAGGGAAAGGCAAGCCACAAATTGGGAGAAGATATTGGCAACTATACAGCCAACAAAGAATAAGATTTATAAAGATCCTTTATGAATCAATGAGGAAAAAGATTAGCAACACAACAAAAACGTGTGGCAGTCCTGACAAGATACTTTACAAAAACAGAAAGTCAAATTGGCCAATAAACTTATGAAAAAATACTCAACTTCACAGGTAATAGAGAAATGCAGAGTGACACTTCAATGAGATACAATTGCACATCCACCAGATTGGCAAAATTAAAAACAAAAACTGTTAACACCAGCACTGACCAAGATATGGAGAAATATGGTTTGGATATTTGTCCCCTGCAAATATCATGTTGAAATGTGATCCCCAGTGTTGGAGGTGAGGGCTGGTGGGAGGTGTTCGGGTTATGGGGATGGATATCTGGATCCCTCATAAATGGCTTGGTGCCCTCGTTGAGATGACGAGTTCTTGCTCCATGAGTTAATGTGAGATCTGATTCTTAAAAATGATCTGGGACTTCCTCTATTTCTCTCTTGCTCCTCTAGCCATGTGATACGCCAGTTCCTCCTTTGCCTTCTGCCATGATTGCAGGGATGCTGGTGCAATGTTTGTACAACCTGCTGAACCATGAGCCAAATAAACCTTTTTTCTTTATGAATTACCGAGTCTTGGATATTCCTTTATAGCAACACAAAACCAACCAACATACTAATGCTTAGAAAAAAATTTGTAATCATCTAATAAAATTTAAGATATGAATACCCTATGACCAAAAAATTCTACTCCTAAATATATACTCTTTGTACTAGGAGTTACATAAAATGATGTTCATTGTGAAACTGTAATTGCCTGAAACTAAAAACATCCCAATTGTCTACAGTAAATAAATTGTGGCATATTAACAGAAAAGTAAATTACACAGACATAATGAAGAATAAAGTACAGCTACAACCAACATGAATCAATCCCATCTTGAACAAATGCAGCTACAAAAGAATGTATGATTTTAAATAAAACTCAAAAACAAGCAAACTGTATTGTTTAAGTTTACACACATAGGTGGTAACACTATAAAAACAAAGAGACAATTATCATACAAGGTAGGATAGTGGTAATTACCAAAGGGTACGTGGCAGGGAGCTGGTTGTGACTGGGAAGGAACTACATGTGTAATTTCTGAACTGCTGTCAATATATTCTACTAAGCTGAGTGCTAGTTATATAGTTGCTTTAAAATTATTCCTTGAACTGCATATTTATATTTTATGTATTTTTGAATATATATGTGTTTTTGAAAAATATATATTTCTCAATAAAAAAACAAAGTTATGACATAGAGCAAAATGAACACATATTATCAATGGATACTTAACTCTGATCCTCAAGAGCTCAACTCTGATTTTTTTTTTTTCAGAGAAAGCATTCAGATTATATGTTTTTGAATCTATGAAAAGTAAAATCGCTAAATCCATACACAGTGATTATATAAAATTAGATATTTGCAATCACAATGAATATTCATTATAGTGGAAAGATTTAGGTCACGAGATTTTTTTTTTCCCTAAAAATTTCAAAAGAACAATTTTCTATCTTCATTTTACTAATTATAAAATAAACATAGTTGCTTTTTTAATGTTCCATGAATATCACCAGAGTGTGACATAGTAGATTAAAAAATAAAGATATACATTTATTTCCATGTCCTACCTTTGGGACAATTTATGAGGAACTTATGGACAAGTAACAGAACTGCTTTGAACTCTAAAAAGAAATGGACTTTACAAATCCCTAACCAGTAGTATGGGATTTACCAGATCCTCTAGGTTTTACATGGTCACGACTATTTCTCTCCAACTGTTTTAAAAGAATTTCCTGGAGCCATCTGAGGACATTTGAGGTAATGTCCTTCCACACCTAATAACTGCTGTATCTCCATGATTGCAAACTTGAAAATCAGGAAACACCAAAGCAACATTACTCACAAAATAAACAGCAAAATCAGAATCTCTGGAGTCAACTTATGAAACATGATTTACAAAGATATTCTTACATTTCTTAATTTATTTTTAATAAGTAAAAAATACTCATTGAAACTGTACAAAAATCAAATCATTAATTTTTGCACCTGGTATTTCAGTCATCAACAGCAATCTCATGGTACAGAAATAAAATAATGGGAATTATCATTAACTTCACCCTGGCTTTCTAGCTTAGTAGAACCAAACAGAAGAAATCATGGCAATAACCATTAACTATAGAAAAAAAGTAATGGAAAAATGGTTGCAGGTTTAATCACAAAATGAACTTAATTTTTGTTGATTTTGTTTTATCTGCTAAAACACTAATATCTATAAATATGAACTGACAGCATCGTTCTAAATTTACTTCTGAAGAGCTGTCGAGACTTCAATAAAATATAAGCAAGTTACTGGATCATATTTATGGACTGCTGAATTAACTACCCGAAAAGTATCAGTTACTTTCAAAGAACACAAAACAAAGTGAACGTGGAAAAAAGCCTTCTTTGCAAAAGTCCTTTTATTAGTCCTATCCTCTAAAATTCCAAGCCACAGAGCCTTGATATTCCTGGATTCTGTTTTAAGTAACCTTAGTTTTAAATATGACACTTGGGATATGCACAATGGGAAAGGGTAGGATATGTGAACAAAATTTAATTTCTTTTTTCCAAAGGTAGTCATTTTCTTTAAATTCATCCTATCCACTTTTGCCCACTTCCCCATGTACAGATTATCCTTTAGTCATACAAATTCACTCTCCACTTCCACATACATTTTCCCCACTTGATGGTACTTTTACAAGAGGGAAACAATACAGCTGGTTGATAAAGTAATTTAAACTATTTGTAAATGAAATAAAAAGAAAGTAGGTATAATACATAGTGTAAAAGATACCAAATTGGAGTAATATTGATGTTAATCTAGTTTTTTATTTAACAAAGTACCTACTAATGGTCTGAGCAGGAGAGTAGAAGGAAAGGAGCTAGAGGGAAATTACTTCCTATGGTTAAAAAAAAGCCAACTGCTTCAGAATGCATGACAGTCTTAGTAATAAAAGAATCATTTACTATTTTCACTGAGTTTACAGTGTTGGGTACTACTGTTTACATCATTTTAATGAAAGTATTTATAAAAACATCTGCAATAGTTCATATCAGAAAACAAAGTTTCTCTCAATAAAGACCTTAAAAAATAAATTTTTATCTTCATTAACTCCCTTTCTGGGAATGGGAATGAAATAACATGCTTCTGTTTAAAAAAAAAAAACAAAAAAAACACAAAATTTAATACCCTAATTAGGTTTCTGGAAAAAAAAAAGACTACCCTAGCAATAATTTTTAACATTCTACATTTCATCTATTTCTAAAGACACTCCCTTTACAAAATCTTTTAGTTTTATATATTAGGACAATCAGGTTTAGAGTCTCACATAAATAAAATAGCCACATTAGAAGGCATACTGAAGAATCAAATGGTTAGCCACATTTGTCTGTTCACATTCACGGATTCTCTAAGAGCGTTGTGAGAGTCCATATAATACTGTTCACGTTTAGTCTAAGTTAATATGTCTCATCTGACCTATTGCTCCTACAACACTGATGCTATCAACAAAAATCCTGATTTTGGGGACACAGTGATATAACAAACTGGTTAAACGAGCAGAGGTAATAGGACAGTAAACTGTAACTGCACAATTTAAAATATCCACCCTTCATCCACCACTACCATACTTCTTCCCAGTGGTATTAAATTCTCAAAGCCAAATCATATCAGAGGTGCAGGATGCCAAACACTATTTGCATAGAAAATCAGTCTTCAAGACTAAACAAAAAAGAAATTCATAAAATTAAACTTTTTGAATAGTTGCATTCGTTGCTTTCAATTTCTTCATCCATATCTGTTCTGGTCATACATATTTTTTCCTTCTTTTTATCCAGAGAGATTAATACACAGATTAATACACAAAACTTTTGTAAATAGCATTCCAGTTCAAAGTTGCTTGTGATCATAGCCACGTGTGAACCGTTAGACAAGTGTATGCTATGCCCCAAAATGTTTTATAATTCTTCAGTGCAGTTTCTTACTGATGTTTCCCTTAAAATTAAGGCTTAATGAAAGAGAAATCCATAGTATTATGAACTGATTTTCTTTAGCTTCTGAATTAAGTGCACTCTTTCCAAAATCAAGTGGTCCTGGAGTAACGTTAAGACAACTTGTATTAATCAGTGTCATGACTGAAGTAGTATCTTACTGGAGGTCCCGGCAAATCTTCATCTCCATCAATGTCTGGAGCAAATGACACAGTAAGATCCACATATTTCTTTTCAGTAGTAGGTTTTACAAGTTTATGCATTCTAAGAAAAATAAGCAAGAATGAATACTTTGGTAAATTCTATAAAATGAAAAAATGATTTGCTGACTAATGCCATCCAGAGAACCTGGACTTGTATCTAGACTTTAACATCTAATAATAATCTGCTTTCACATATTCATTTTTCTTTACTAAAAGGTCTGAACTCATTTATACTCAAGACACTCATTTACCTAACAGTGAATAAATTTGGACACACTGGTCATGATAAAGAATACAAACCATTTATTAAAAGACAAAAAAAGGCTCAGCGTGGTGGCTCACGCCTGTAATCCCAGCACTTTGGGAGGCTGAGGCAGGCAGATCACCTCAGGTCAGGAGTTTGAGACCAGCCTGGCCCACATGGCGAAACCCCATCTCTGCTAAAAATACAAAAACGAGACGGGAACAGTGGCACATGCCCGTAATCCCAGCTACTCGGGAGGCTGAGGCAAGAGAATTGCTTGAACCTGGGAGACAGAGGTTGCAACGATTTTAAAAAATTGATTTTCCTCCTAAACTTCCTCTTAAGTTTGGAGGCATCATAAATTCAAGCATTTCTCTGTAAACAGTAAAAAAGCAAGCTAGAATTTAAACCTTAAAATGTAAGCTAGAAATACAAAGTAAAAGACATTCTTAGCTTTTTCCCTTATGTCCAATCTTTATCCTATTTACTGAAAAATCACTCTTTGCTATAGCCACTACTGCCTTAAATGAAGTCATCATCTACACACCCCTTACATCATTGTATTGGCTTCTAGCTAGCTTTCTCTAGTCTCTTTTCTACTTCCAATCTACACTGCTCCTAGAATTCTCTTAAAATATAAATTTGATGTATTCTCCTGCCTAATAATTTTATCATACACTGTGTACCTACTTCATGCCAGGCTCTGAACTATATCGATTTAATCCTCAGTAGCTCTTTCCATTTCACAAAGATATTTTGTCCCGTACATAAACTTTTCATTCTTTCCACCATTCATGATCATCACCTCATACTTGAGTCATTCCAAAAAAAAAGTGAATTCTAAATTCCCAAATTCAGAATTTAGTAGGAATTCTAAATACTACTCTTAATTTATCCAAGATACTTAGGTATCCTAATGAAAATCAATATAAGGCAAATTAATGCCTTAGCTAATATAACAGTAGCTTTACTTTTGTATGTATGCTCTTTTTAGCTGCAAAGACTGTTGCTTTTGCCTGGAATAATCCTTCTTCAAAGGTAGCTCAAATGAAATCTACCCTGAACTAGAGGTCTGAGTTAGCACAATACTCTGTAAAAATTTTCATTATCACAGTTATTCAATTATACTTTAATGATTAACATGACCAGAGGTGAGACCTAGCCAGGTCACTGTCTCAAGAGTTACAAGCAGAGGAAACAACTAAAGCAAAGGTCCTACAATGGAGCATCATTAGAGTGAGTATTCAAGGACAAATAAGTAGGCCAGTGTAGCTGGAATATTGTGAGGGCAAAGTAGGGAAGGAACTTAGAAGGATAACTAGGAATCAATTTCCTTTAATAGACTGTGAACTGCTTGAGGGCAGGGCTTGATGACCATGTATGATAACAAAATATTAACAGGACTAACATTTATGGAATACTTCTTACATGCCATTACACTATTAGCCCTTACTAT
Organism: Homo sapiens; assembly: GCF_000001405.40. Lineage (NCBI taxonomy): Eukaryota > Metazoa > Chordata > Mammalia > Primates > Hominidae > Homo > Homo sapiens. The sequence goes on from NC_000004.12 coordinate 67,620,772, forward strand.
TATTTCAGTGCTCAACTATGGGCACAGTCATCCCTATTTGTGGATTTGTAGCTTTTTGAAACTAAGTTTCAAAAGCTACTCAAGGTAACAAAACTAAGCAGCTGAGCAAGAATGTGAACCCAGGTCTTTCTAAAGCCAACCTCATGCTATTAATCATAATCCCACTGACTGACTTAATGTGTTCAGTACTTAACAGGTACTCAATAAATACTTGCTAAAAGGTCAATGTAATAAAATGAAAAATATTATCATGCTGGAGGTTTCAAATATTGGCCAAATCTTAAAAGCATTTTTAAATAACCTGCCGCAAATTTTAAACTCCACTAGTCAATACACTTTATGATCACGTACAGTCCACTGCAGCATAAAATAAAGGAATTCTAAACACTAGCCTTGCTTGATCCAAAAGATACTGAGGGATCCTAATGAAAAATAATATAAGGCAAATTAATGCCTTAGCTAATAAAATAGTAGTTTTACTTTTTAAGGTACAGATAATTCAGACTAGATCATAATTTAAGAATGATTAACCTCAACTGATTATCATAGTTAAAGCCAATAGATACGTTAAACACAACCATCATGCAGAGATTCATTTACTAGTCTGACAAATATTTGTTGGTAACCTTTTATTTGCCAGGTATTGATCTAAGTGCTTGAGATACAACAGTGACAAGATCAAATAAAGATTCCCACTCTTGTGAAATATATGTTCTAGTAGCAGGTAAATAGCTAATATACAGTACATGGGCCGGGCACAGTGGCTCACGCCTGTAATCCCAGCACTTTGGGAGGCTGAGGCGGGAGAAATCACCTTAGGTCAGGAGTTCAAGACCAGCCTGGCCAACATGGTGAAATCCGTCTCTACTAAAAATACAAAAATTAGCCAGGTGTGGTGTTGGGTGCCTGTCATCCCAGCTATACTCGGGAGGCTGAGGCAGGAGAATCGCTTGAACTCAGGAGGCAGAGGTTGCAGTGAGCTGAGATCGCGCCACTGCAATCCAGCCTAGGCGACACAGTGAGACTCCGTCTCAAAAACAAACAAACAATAAATATAAGCAAAATACACAGCAGCACAGCAGTCATAGGACAGTAATAAGTGCTCTGAAAAAAAGAAAAAGTAGAGAAGAGTAAAGGGGACTAGACATACTAGACTGGGGCTGAGGACAGGTTGCAGTATTAAATGAGGCCTCTTTAGGAAGTGCAAAGACCAGGGGTGAGACTTGGCCAGGTCACTGTCTCAGAGTTACAAGCAGAGGGAACAACTAAAGCAAAGGTCCCATGCTGGAGCATGATTAGAGTGAGTATTCAAGGACAAATAAGGAGGCCAGTGTAGCTGGAATATTGTGAAGGGAAAGTAAGGAAGGAACTTAGAAGGATAACTAGGAATCTAAATTTAGAGTCTTGCAGACCACGATAAAGACTTTAGCTTTCTTTGGTTCTTTCTTCCTTTCAGTCTCTGCTCAAATTCCACCTTAACAGGTGAGACTATGATAGGCAAAGGGAAAACCTAGACTACTCAGTATAATATAGCAACTCAACACCCCCAACTCCCCATATTTCCTTTTCTCTTTATTCTTCTTTAATTTCTCCATAATACTTACTATCACCTAACATACTTGCCTTATTGTTATGCAAACTCCTTAAGTAGGAAAGAACTTTGGTTTGCTAACTGCTATCTCCCTAATGACTAGAATAGTACCTGGCACACAGCTGGCACCTTAAACAATAATTTGTTGAATAAATGAACAAAAATAGTGATTTGGCAGTTAGATTACTCATAAGCCTGGTCATTAAGTGTCTCAACATAAGAGACGGATCCACTTTTACTTAAGTGTACTGGCCAAATCAGGTTTCTAAACCTATTAACTGAAGAGCTGAATCTCTCGAGAGGTAGCCTGTTGGCCTTCACCTGGCAGATTCACTGTCTTTATTAATGTCATTAGACAAGACTAATGCTTTTATCTGAATTATAGTAACCTCTATATTTAATTTTTTAGTGTGCATCAACTTACATTTAAATTCTTGTTAATCGCTGCATATAATGTTGAATACTTACGTTAACTTCAATCTTTTTGCATGACCAGGCATTACAGGAACATAAAGCATTTTGACTCCCTGTACCACCATTGTTGGCTCAATTCCATACTTCTCCTAAAAGTGAATATCCAAAAAAGAAACAATGAAAGCCTCGCTCAAACATAAAATGCTTATTTAACATTGTTCGTAAACAATGTTTTATGACCAGTAAAAAAAGCAAATTCATGGTAAATAATTATAACTTCCAATAAAATTATAAATAAAAACAAAACAGAAACCAGACATAAAGCTACTAATGAACTAAATGAACAAAAGTATCTCACTTTGACTGCATTTATGAAATCCAAGAGGGTGAAATCTTCTTTTCCATGTACGGTCCATCGATCCCAAATTGTAAATGATATTCCATTTCTGTTACAGAAAAATATTCAGAACAGAAACATTGAAATTTTCTTCCTTTTAGTGATGACACACACACAAAAAAAACCCACTTTCAGAAGTCCATTATTTGTGATCAGGCTAGAAATTAATGTGGGGAAATAAAGGATAATATATCTTCTAAAATATTCCATAATCTTATTTCTTCATCACATCATATAGATAACCACTTTTAATCAGTACCTTGCTGATCCTTCCAGTGTATTATAAATCAGTATGTTTTAGCAAGACAGTGTTGTCTCTCTCTTTTTAAAATGGGTTTCACTGTGTGGATGTTCCAGTACCCCATTACTGGACACTTCGGTTATTCTAATCATTGGCCACGATAAATAATGCCAGAATAATTATCTTGCAAATATATAGTTTGAGACTTGTGCAAATGTATCTGAAATATAGTGCTATATATCCCTTACTGTGGATTATAGTATTTTGTACTCTCATTAGTAATGTATGAGAGTGTCTGCTTTCTCACACCCTTGTTAAGGTAGGTTTTTTTTCAAGTTTTTGGTTGTTGCCAATCTGAAAACTAAAAAGTACAGGCCCAGGAATTGTTCTGCTTTGTCTCAAGCTTGTGGAATTCTTCTAAATCTCATGACCTACAGTCAGACACCAGGGTACCTTCTAATTCATCTGGCAGACACAGATGAAACCATAATGCCAAATAATGTGGCAGATAAAGTGCTGTAAGGGTTCTTTGGCTACTTTAGTCAGAAATATTTAATGAAGATGAGGTTTGAGCTGATCTTGAAGTGATGGCAAAAATTTACACATACACAATAGAAGAAAAAAGAGGTGAAGCTAGTATTTTTCCCTTTTAAAAGGTAAAATATTTTATTTCATTCTCATTATACAAGAGAAATAGACTTTCATACATACCTGATTTTAGTTTTCCTTACTTCAGTTGTCTCTGTAAATACTACAATTGGAATGGCTAAGTTAAGAAAACAATTTTTGTAAGCTTCAAATGGATAGCCACCAGTTACTTTGATCATCTCCAAGGCAACCTAGATAAAAGAAGGTGATCTGATAATATAAACAGCCTAAAACTATCCGTGATTTTAATTGCATCTATTCAACTTTCACGTTTTCAAGCATTTCTCTGTGGATAGTAAAAGCAGCTATGGGACTATAGTAATATAAATTTCTTATTACAGGTCTGTATACTTTTAGTATATTTTATACTTTCAAACTTTCAACCTACTCTATACATGTTAACAGTTATTTAAAAAAATATTAATTCAACCATACAGTCTCCCTATTTTGAAAGCACATGCTGTAACTCAAAAAATAACAACAGTCTAAAATCACTTAATACAGGGGTAAATAACTACATAGCTTCATAGATAATTACATAGAGTAATGATGTAATATGGTATAATAACTAGGGCCGCACTTAAAGATTCTGAATCATTATGAATAAAGATTAGGGAAGTTCATTTTATTCAAGAAAAACAGAGTACCTGCTTTGTATGAATGACGTAAAGATCAGTGAAAAGATTATTGCCTATAAGAAAAATCATAATCTATCTTGAGCTTATTTTTTATTTTAAAAATGTATATTTATGTAATACTTCACAATACAGATGACTGCATTTTCAGAAAATATTTTGAAATTTTAAATTATGAGATCCAATATTTATCCTTCCCTCTCTAACATCTCTGAGTGACTGGGTTGGTATGACGGGGAAGTCAGGGAAGAGGCAATGAAAAAGGAGCATTTTTATTCAAGGAATAATAAACTTACCAAGCCAGAAACTGTAGCAGTGGTTGTTGCTATAGCAGGTATAATTTTACCAGCTATGCGCTTTGTTTTGAAACGGTCAGCTGGTTCAATGCTGTACATTTTGGCACGAAGATTTGATGCAGCTGTGATGAAATCTATGTGTCCATTATGATCATCATCTTTTTCAAATGAAAGCACTGCCATCTGAAGGTCACCTGATTATACCAACCAGATAAACAAAGTTCCACAGCAAGCAGTAAAGATTTTACTAGGTAAAAAGCAATGTGAATTTACTAACTTTCAAAGATTCCTTTTTATATTTTTTAATGACTGAGAAACATAAGAAAAATTCAGGCAACTAATGTTATTGAAGGCCACAAAAACAGCTTTTCCCATGATTAAAGAGAGCCAATTTTTTTTAATTAAAAAAAAAAAAACGATGGTTTTAATGCCACTAAACTAGAGACGTTTCTGTATTTAAAAAAACTTTTTAATAAATAGCAAAATAAGAAAGTTGTGTACTGCACATCTCCTATCAAGTGGTTTACAATAAAAAAGCCAACATTAGGTATAGTTCAAAAATTTATTCCATAAATCCGACTCTGAAACATTTTCCCTCTGGTAACTAAGAACAGGGTCAGTTGGTCAAATTAAAATAAGTAATTTCTGAAATCTTTGTAGATCAGTGGTTCCCAAGATCCTTCTAATTATTGTTATTCTGGGTTATTTTTCCTGAAATTCTACTGGTCCATGCTTAAAATCTCAAAAGTTTGGAAACCACTGATTTATAAAACTAAAAGACGGTGAGCAGGTCAAAACAGATGAGTGTATGGCTGCTTTTAAGGAATTAAAAATTCAGTTTTCCTGTATTTTTATATTTAAGTCCATCTAGCAAGGAAGTATATATAGGTCATTCTGTATTCCCTGTCAGTAATTATGAACCTAATTACTAAAGACTAAGAACCTAAGAATATTTCTGTTTATAGTTCTTTATCCTAAAGTGATTTAAATGGGTCTGTCCAAAGATTAGTTTCCACAAGGACCCCATTAAACTGAATTTTTAATTCCTTAAAAACAGAGCTTTTCATTCATGGTTTTAGACCTGCTCACCATCTAAAGAACTAAAACAATCAGAAAAACAACAACAATGCAGTTAATGTGATTTGGAGAATTAGACTTCAATCTTTGAGAGTAGGGCAATAGTGGGGAAGATGATGAATTTAGTCACAGTTAAAGATGAACACTGACTTTAATATGATCATGAAATCAATCAATATTGTCATCATTATTATTGTTGTGATTAAATTCCACAAATTCTTAGGTGTAGAGCTTAGTGAAAATAAAAACTCATCCAGTTCAAAACATTTTTATAAAGATTTTCCCTTACTTTTGGTGGCTTCATTAGATAAAATAGCCTTTTCTAGTTGGAAAATTGCATTCCTCTCATCTTCACTGCTAATAGGAACATGGTCTGGTTTCCTTGCAGTTTCATCTGTTTGAACAACCTTTGAATATATGAATATATTTTTATTAATGTTATCATTTCCTGCATCTGTTTGGTTACCATTTAACTGTTTTATCAAATTACAAAGAGAAAATATTTTCTCTATATATTTTGATCAGATTATTAATCATTGGTCCAATGTATTTTATACGTTCCTTTAGAAGGTATTATTATGTTATTCATGTATGTATTTTATTATCTATCTTCTCGCACAGGCATGTAAGCTCTATAACAACAGGGATCTTTATGTATCTTGTTCACTGACAGAACTCCAATATATCTAATTTTTAATACCCACAATGATACAGTGGGCATAAAAAATATTTACTGAGTAGCTCATACAATCTAAGTCCATACTGATCTTTTTAAAAATTCCACACTAGAATAAAATTAGTATTAATCAACACTTTGTGATTCTGACAAATCTACTTTAAACGCATGTTGCTTTGCTCTAACTAGTACAGAGCTGCTTCACATCAAGGAAACTAAAGCAATCCATAAGATATATAATATGGCCATCCTTTAAATATTCACTGACTGCTGTTAAGTTTTTTCCTTAAGAATATGCCTTCTTTCATATAGAAAGTTTGGTAGGATTAAGGGAGTACATACCACAAGTAATTTAACCTTAAGAAATTACTTATTAGATATTCCCTGAGGGCACGGAAATTAATATTCTCAAACCAAGAAATTAGCTTCATTATCATGAAGTAATATTTATTTAAAAATACACTCAAATCATCGTTTTACAAATTAAACATTATTACAAAAAATTAAGAAATATTAAGGAGTCCAGGAAGGAGAAACTTTTGTTTGTCTGAATGGCTAGTTGATATTTTTGGCTGTGACATCTGTAACCAGCAGTACCATACCTGAAACTTCGGTGTGAGCTCCTTTAGGGAGTTGTGAAAAAGCCCACAGTTCATGTTAAAACTGTAGTTAAATTGCTCAGGAGAATTTATTACCCTCAGACTTTAACACAGATAGAAGCAATGCAAGCCAGAAAACATACCGAAGCAAGAGCAATAACGGAAAGTAAAGTTAAAGCATTTTTCCTTGGCTTCTCTCTAGTTTTGCCCTTGGAAACATGGGCTGGGAACCTTCTTTGGGATTTCTGTTTATCCTCACCCTATTTTTATTCTTTATAGGCTATAAGTCATAAACATTGTGTTCTGCAAATCCATCTACCTGGGCAAAATCAACTGCCCTACAAGTCTTTTTTTTTTTTCCTAAAATAAAAACGCAGAACGAAAGACTGCACACGTCACTTCTTTCTTGAATTTTGCAGGGAGGTGGTCATTACTCCACCTTTTCTGGTATAGCTAAATTTTGTGGATGATTTTTAGAGAACATACAAGAAAGGCATATACTGAACATGTAAAAAAGAAAAAAAAGTTTTCAAACTTTTTTATTTACATTGCCTAAATTTCATGTTCCATCTTTACCAATACTCCCTATTGCTTTTTTTTTTTTTTTTCAATGTATTTGCCTGGCAAAATCCCAACCCTAGTTATATCCAATTTTCCATCCATTATACAGTATAATACCACCCAAGCAGCTAAATTCTGGCTGGAGAAAAGATCATTACCCTTTCTCCAGCCACATTTAGTAGGATACATTAAGCAGATTAACATTAAGTGGATCTTCAGTATTGTCTTGCGTTTTACTACATCTTTTAATTAAGTGACTCTTCCACTTCACTGGACAATTATTTCATACCTTCTTTTCTTTGCTCTTACTTCCTTTATCTTCTTATCCCCTTCACTCTGAGCTACTAAGCTAGCTTCTTATTTCAACTAAGAAAATATTCTTTCTTTATCATAGCCCCAACTATCTCTGTAATTTCCTCATTTAAGACTCTTCCCCTTGTATATTCTCTTCTAGACGAGTCCTGACCTTAAAAGCTTTTCAAGGCCTTTCTCTGCACTTATTTCTGCTGCCTACATTGCTCTTTCACTATTCCTTTACTTCCTTCAGGTTTCTGCTAAAATGTTACTGTTATCAGAGGTTTTCCTCACTTCCATCCCATATAAAATTATACCAGCTCCATCACTCTTTCTTTTCCCTGTTGTATTTTTCCTTCTTAGCACTTACACTCACACTGCAATATTATGTACTTATTAGCATTTTTGTTTATAGTCCCTCTCCGCCCAAAATACATTGGTCCAATGTATTTTATACATTCCTTCAGAAGGTATTATTATGTTATTCATGTATGTATTTTATTATCTATCTTCTCACAAAGGCATGTAAGCTCTATAACAACAGGGGATCTTTATGTATCTTGTTCACTGACAGAACTCCAATATATCTAATTTTTAATACCCACAATGATATAGTGGGCATAAAAAAATATTAACTGAGTAGCTCATACAATCTAAGTCTATACTGATCTTTTTTAAAATTCCACACTAGAATAAAATTAGTATTAATCAACAGTTTGTGATTCTGACAAATCTACTTCAAACTCAAGTTGCACTGACAAGAGCAAGAGCAAGAACCATTCATTGTGATATTCTCCAGGTTTAGAATGGGACTTGGTACAAGTCCAAATTCCCAAACTATTTGCTGAATGAATGATTTTTTAAACATACCTTATTGGAAGGCTTGAATTCCTGAATCTTTACTTCTGAAAGAATATTCAAGAGGGCATCTGCTGATAAGTCCTGTTTTTAAAAAAGTAATTTTACCAACAAACATATTCTTCTAAATTCTAAAGCTAAAAATATCCTACAAAAGGTCCTTAATCATATTACAATATATGAATATTTCATTATCTGAATATGTAGACATCCATTTGAGACATTTATCTTTATTTCTATAAAAATATCCCCCCATAAAGGTTATGGGGGAGGAGAAGGTAAGGGGTAAAAAAGTACTTATTAGTCAACAAACTTGAAATTTTAGTCCTTCTGCAAATTTTTTAAAAGGCATTTTTAGGACTGGTTGTAAATATAAAACTGAGTGACTTGATCAGTCAGTTTTAATTCCCTTAGCTTTATGTTTTATGTTTTTAATGTTTTACAAAGTTCCCTGAAGTAAGTTATACTCAATAAGTAAAATAAGTAAATGGAATTCATACCTTAAGAAGGAGGGAGATATTTAAATGGTTAAAGATGAACTTATATGAATTTAAAGCTATGGGTTGTATTTACATTTGTCATTGAGAAGTTGCTTGGCAAAGGCTGAGACTTAGTGCTTTTGAGGTCAATTACCACACTCACCACTAAATTACCACTGATTTTCCCAAAAAGAATATCAGACTGAATGCCACTATTTTTACCAAATATTTACAGTTTATTTGTATGAATTCCAAAAAGGATTAATCTAAAACAGATATTGTTATCTGAATCCAAAACAGCCAGTGTTAATTATGGGATCTGATTCATGTTTCTCTATTTAGCCCACCTAAAAGTACAGCAATTTACTTAGCTAGAATATGCATTTGTGAAGAAAAGAGATGCCTCTCAAAACCGTATGAGGCTCTTTAGATGTTAGTCAATGAAGATGATGTTTAAGAGAATGAGTATGATGCTAAAGTAAGAAATGTCAATATAAGGGAGCATTTTCAGATTTCCTGAAAAGCACATAAATTATCACAAAATAACAAACAAATGTTAACAAAGAAAATCTCTACGCAGTATTTCAAAATTGCGATGAAATGGTTTGCTGTGGCTTTTTAGAATAACTAGGATAACTGAAGCTGCTAAGCAGGTTATAAATATTCTTAAAACAAAGTTTAACTGCTTTTAACAAATAATGCTGTTTCACTGCTTCAATTCAGAAGGAAAAATCCGACTTCTACTTAGCAATACTGCAATGAGCTTTTAGCTTCCATTATGTTAGTATGGGTAAAAATACAATAAAAATTCTGTATCAAAAAGAGTGATTCTTATAACAAACAAACATGTTTTGATGCAATTAGTGCATCAGTCATCTAATTCTAATTTGGTTTTGCATCACTTGCTAAGGCTTAAAGAATATCTTACCTCTTCTGCAAATGGAATACAATATACTGTAGCATATAGTTTTGCAGCATTCTGAAGGAAACTGAGGTGCCTTTTGAAATTAAAAAATAAAGCAAAATTTGAATGTACAGTTTTAAAGACGATATTTAACTCATTATGAACTATAGCCTTTAAATGTAGTTTGAAGAAATATAACCACAGAATTATTATTTCAAGTTTTTTTTTTTAAGTTAGACAAAAATATTCTGGTCTACACCAAAACACTACAGAAGTTATAAAAGACAAAACATCAAACAGTTATTCTCAAAAACACTTAACATTCAGGTAGTGATCATGACTACCTTGGGAAGAGGAGTGAGTGGACAGAACCAGAAAACTCAGACCAGTGAACAATAATTCATTTTAAGTCATAAGAAATATTATACATTTGGTCTTAATGAGTATATATCAAGTTCAAACTAAGTAAATGTGTTTATTTAAAAACAAAAAAAGAAAGTCTTATAGAAGAAGCAGTCCAGCATAAGGTGACTGGAAGCCTAAAACCACCACCAGATGAGAAAATTAAGCATAGAGTTATCTGCTGAAAGGAAGGTTAGTGAATGCAAGCTAAGTGTTTAAAAATATATATACATAAGGTTGGGTGTGGTGGTATGCACCTGTAATCCCAGCTACTTGGGAAGCTGAGGTGCGAGGATTGCTTGAGCCTAGGAGTTCAAGACCAGGCTGGGCCACATATGTGAGACCTTGTCTCTTTCAAAGAATAAAAACTAAATTAAAAAAATAGAAAAAATATACATATACACACAAGTGTGAATCTAATGTGTATCTAATATAGTGTTTCCAGGTATTCACACAAAGACCAACTCCTCTGAAAATAATTTGAGATTTAGGGAGTTATTCAGTAGTAATTATTTGTTCCTCCATATAACTGAAGATTCTTATATTTGATTTCATTAAATGTAAAAACACATTGTCATTTTACTAATTTATGGATAAAGTAAAAAAGGTGATTTTGGTTTCACCTTAGATATTTATTATAAATAATGAGGTTATTTACCATGTAAATGAATGGATTCACATTTGTGTGGGAAGGGTTGTGGCTGGCTTTCTTGGTCAGAATGACTTGTTAACTCTTAAATGAACAGGGATGAAATAATTTAACATTAAAGAGCCTAAGGTTTTCACTCTGCAATGTACAGTTAAGGAATTTACAGTAAAGAAATATATAATGAAGGATACATAAAACTAAATATAAATACTTACAAAGGCTCATTTAAATCAAATTTTATTGGAGAGGGTGGCCTCTTTGGTGACTGCCAAAATAAACCTGGCAAAAAGATACAAATATCATTTTCAATGTATGTAGCCAGTAATAAATGTCATTAAAATTTATTCTCAACATTTATACTTACTGCCATCTTTTAATCGTATGTCCAGAGGGAAACAGTGAAGAAGCTGAAGAGCCTAAAGAAAAAAAATGAATTAAAGACACCCACTACTTAATATTATCTGAGGAAAAATTAAAAAATAAAATTAAAAAATGTGTGTAGTAAATATATGCACATGATTCAAAAATCAAAACACATTAAAAGAGACACAGTGAAGTCTCCCTACCACCCTTGTATTCCATCTGTCCATTCTCCTGTCAATGTCCCTCATAAATGAAAAATTCAAATATCATTTTCTATCACTATTTGTAGGTTTATTGGGAGGTGGTATCTACAGCAAACAAATGTAGATTACTTCACTCCTTTTTATATAAATGGCATATTTTACATGTCATTCTGTTCTTTTTAAAGAGCTAGTACTTAAATAACAAAACCAGAAAAAACACACAGTACTTTGTATTTTTGAAATTGATACATGTTTGAGATTTGCTTCAAAATCACCTGGGGGAAGGTAAGAATGAACGGGAATGGTGATGAAACAAGATTTATCTATGAATTGATAACTGCTAACCCTGGGTGATAGGTAATTGACAATTACATTAGGGTTCATTATACTATTTCCTCTACATTTCTATGGCTGAATATTTTTCATTATAAAAAAAGTTTAAAAAAAATGCACAGAAGATAAGAACTAAAGAGTTCCTTAGATTTTTGAAACGGGTCATTGATAACCATGTTAAGAACAATCTGAAGAGTAATGAGCAAAGAAGTCAAATTTACTGGGTAAAGAAGTGGTAACATTGAGTAGTACAGACCACTTTTCCAAGAAGTAGAGCTCTGTTGAAAGTAAAAAGAAGAAGTATAAACGAAATATTTTTTAAGTGGGGTGTGGTGGCGTGCACATGCAGCCTCAGCTACTTAAGGGCTGAGGCAGGGATCACTTGAGCCCAGGAGTTCCAGGCCAGACTGGAAAACATAGGGAAACCCTGTTTTTTTGTTTTTTTTTAAAGTTGTTTCTAAGGAAGATGAACTTAAGATCCTAAAGAGAGGGAAAGACTAAAGAGAAGGCAACACACATTCCAGCAACTATATTTAACTGGAGGTAAGAATAACAGCTAATATTTAGTAATTTTTTATGTGCCAGGCTCTGTTCTAAATGCTTTGTGTTACCTCCTTTTATCTTTACCACTACCTTATGTATTAGGTACAAATTTATTATTTCTATTTTACAGATGGGGAAACAGACATAAAATGTGATTATCAGATATGGGTGGAAATGGCAAAATCTCAGCAAAATTTCTGACTAAATGTCCCTATTTTCTCAGTTTCTTGCTTCTTCTATTCTGAACAAACTTCTTTTAGATTAGCATGTGTTCTCATTTAACTTACTACTAATTTCTGAAAAGCTTGCCAAAAGAAAGAATACACATTTCAGGTCAATGAAATTAATTTGTTAATAACTAAATAAGCCAAGATCAGACCTTTTCTTAATGTCTCACAATGCATACTTACCTTATGGTTAAAATATTTTTCAAACTTTAATCTTGCTAATTCTACACACTGGGACCAATTTCTAGGTCTTCTGCTAAGTAACTTTATAACTTGAAAACAGCCTTCTAAACTGTGTCCACTCTGTATCTTCTAGAATGGGAGAGAAAAAAAAAATCAACATACTTCCAATTACAAACATATACACATCCCTCACCAAAAGTTAGCCTAAGTTTGAAGTGTCAACTCATGTGTTTTATGCTTTTCTTTTTTCACCTCAAGCTCCTTTTCCCTTCCTTCTTCTTTAACCTTTCTTTTCTTTTCTGTTTGAGAAGGGGAATGGTAAGAGATAGCATACAAAATTTTAACTCTGATTTCTTATCTTACAAGTTATCCTCATATTTTCCTAGCTGTAAGTTATTAGTACTATAATATATGTACTCACTATAAGTGCTATGAATATTTGATACTAAAAAGTGGGCCTTGTTAGCAAAAGATTAAAAGAAAGTGAGAAAACATCTTTAAAGTTGCCTTCACTATAAGAGTAATAAGTCTTGGAGATTATTGTTCCCTCATGAAATTTTAACTAGAACTTACCTCAATTTTTTCTTTCCAAAGGGCTTAATAAAAGCCCTTTTATTATTTGTAGCCCTTCTATCATAATTATCATATCTTTATTAGCTCGCACCATACGAATTGCTGTTTTGTGAGTCGAACATGCTCAAATATCGACAATTCCATGTAGTTCAAACAACCAAAATGATAATTTGTGACCTAATTTCAAGATTCCTTATGTATCATTTCATTTTTTATATACAATCACTCTTTATGGAGGTAAAATAAATCACTTGTAGATGACTTGAAAATAAGATTACACTGACACAAAGTGTTAAGTTTGTATTAAAATTTACTGATTTTTACCTGTAAGACTTCTTCTGCAGATGAATAGGTTTGCCAAAATTTGTTAAACAATGAAGGTTTGTGGGAAAAGGAACTTTCAAACTGTAACAGAGAAAAGAAAAAAAAAATTACAAATAGAAGTCTGTTTAAAGTCAGAAATATCTTCTTTCTCACTTCAAAGAAAATAAATTTAAAAAGGAACTTTTACCTTATCTCTTGCCCACTGTATGGTATGTTCAATAGCAGCTGGAAAGGATTTTAGAGTACAAAATGGTATTTCCTCTTCTGGGGGATCCCGCTAATTTATAAAATATGACAACAGGTACTTAAGGGGAAGCAATGACCAATTTTTATTGATTTAATCTAGTTTTGAGCTTTAAGCCTATTAAAAATCCAAAAATAAATAAAATCCAACCAGACATTTTTATATCTTCTCTCTCTTAGGCAATAAGAGAAGTTAATTCTTTTGACATTTAACCTATTTGTTAATAGCTATGTAATGCCAAACATGAATCTTATTTATTATTTGTGTACTCATTTAAAGCACCATGTAGTACTCATGACACACCATCATCTATAAATCATTTTTTTCCTCATGAATCAAGGTGACATTTAAAGTTTTATAACACTGCCCCGCTTTGAAAAGTAATTCAGGAATACCCAGTATAGTGCTCAGAAAAGCATGAGTTTTTCCATGGAGAAAAACATCTGGGAGCAGAAATATGTCCTCAATGCTTGAGGTTTCTTGCAGAAAGCATGTATTAAATAAATGGTAAATACCTAAGTCGTTTTTTGTGGATAAAGTACCATTGAAGAAATCCACATTCTATTATAGAGTACATTTTGCCTAGGTTTATTGGTTTACCTAATCTAAAATGACTCACTTTGTCTCAGCAAGTGAATAAAATTTTATGTCTTTGTTGACAGTTCTAGTCTCAATCTAATAGTTTGTTCTTATCAAACAATCTTAAACTCAAAGGGTATTAGAAAACTAAGCAGCTCTGAGAAATAAATAGTAAACAGAAGAATAATGCTCCAGAAACACCAGACACAAAATTCTGATAATTAAAAAAAAGTTCAATTATATTTTAAAAAATGTACATGCACATATGTATGAACATCATTGGCAGAGCAAAATCAGAAGGATTAGGAAAGCTAAATCAAATTGTTGATTAAGACAAAAATTACAAGATATAAAAAAGACATCTATTTCAAAATATTGATTCACTTACATGACTATTGTAAGACTCAGTCAAATGCGGTACAATAACTTCAGTGTGTCCCTTAGTGCCCATTGTTCCAGAATCTAAAAGAGGCCTTAGATTTGCTAAGCAACGACTATTTGAAAAGACAGCAAGTAAAAAACAAAAAAGTGAGCAATAACAATGTAACCAAAGGACAACCTACAACTTTCTATTGACCATTTCACATACTGATCACTTCTTGAATGCAGTATTTTAGGAAAACAGATATACTACTATCAAACAGTGGATCATTCCTGTTCCCCTATTCTGCAATATACATATACATCTAGTAGTACCCTAAATCTGGGGCTTTCTTAACCTTTATCTCTAGGTTAATTCCTAACAATATTACTCCTTTTCCCTTGCTTTATATTTCTTCTTTGGTTATTTTCTAACTACAAGTTCTACCACACTATCTCTTCTCAATATTTTCTTTATCCCAAATAATATTAATCTTCTTTCTCAACACTTACAATACCTATATTCTACAAATTTTTATTTTTTAAAGTTTTATTTTCTTCCCCTCTTTGGCCCAAGATTACATACTTTTCACATTTTTCAACTGATAAATTCTCCCCTGTTAATATATCTGCTCTACACCCTAACATTGAGGAGTCATATAAAGATGTAAGGTGAACACATTTATAGTCATTCATTCATCTACTTATTTAAGGAATATTTACTAAATGACATCATATGTTGGGCACTGAGGATACAATGACGGAAAGTAAATGGTCCCTGGATGAATGATTTAGTGAGGACACAAACATTAAATAAATATGCATATCAGTAAAAATGAGTGCCATGAAGGAAAAAGTACATAGTGTTATGAAAATCACCATAGGAGGATTTAATTTAGAATTTGGGGGAAAAGAAAGTCTGTTTTGATAAAGAAATTTAGGTCCCTCTCCCTCTCCTGCTCCCGCTCCCCACGGTCTCCCTCTCCCTCTCTTTCCATGGTCTCCCTCTGATGCCGAGCCGAAGCTGGACTGTACTGCTGCCATCTCAGCTCACTGCAACCTCCCTGCCTGATTCTCCTGCCTCAGCCTGCCTAGTGCCTGCGATTGCAGGCGCGCACCGCCACGCCTGACTGGTTTTCATATTTTTTTGGTGGAGACGGGGTTTTGCAGTGTTGGCCGGGCTGGTCTCCAGCTCCTAACAGTGAGTGATCTGCCAGCCTCGGCCTCCCGAAGTGCTGGGATTGCAGACAGAGTCTCCTTCATTCAGTGCTCAATGTTGCCCAGGCTGGAGTGCAGTGGCGTGATCTCGGCTAGCTACAACCTCCACCCCCCAGCCGCCTGCCTTGGCCTCCCAAAGTGCCGAGATTGCAGCCTCTGCCCGGCCGCCACCCCGTCTGGGAAGTGAGGAGCGTCTCTGCCTGGCCGCCCATCGTCTGGGATGTGAGGAGCCCCTCTGCCCGGCTGCCCAGTCTGGGAAGTGAGGAGCGCCTCTTCCCGGCCGCCATCCCGTCTAGGAAGTGAGGAGTGTCTCTGCCCAGCAGCCCATTGTCTGAGATGTGGGGAGCGCCTCTGCCCCACCGCCCCATCTGGGATGTGAGGAGCGCCTCTGCCCGGCCGCGACCCTGTCTGGGAGGTGAGGAGCGTCTCTGCCCTGCCGCCCCGTCTGAGAAGTGAGGAGCCCCTCCGCCCAGCAGCCACCCCGTCTGGGAAGTGAGGAGCGTCTCCGCCCGGCAGCCGCCCCGTCCGGGAGGTGGGGGGGCAGCCCCCACCCGGCCAGCCGCCCCGTCCGGGAGGGAGGTGGGGGGCAGCACCCGTCTGGCCAGCCGCCCAGCCCTGGAGGGAGGTGGAGGGCAGCCCCTGCCCGGCCAGCCGCCCCGTCCGGGAGGGAGGTGGGGGCCAGCCCCCACCTGGCCAGCTGCCCCGTCCGGGAGGTGGGGGCGCCTCTGCCCAGCCACCCCTTCTGGGAAGTGAGGAGCCCCTCTGCCCGGCTGCCACCCCGTCTGGGAGGTGTACCCAACAGCTCATTGAGAACGGGCCATGATGACGATGGCGGTTTTGTAGAATAGAAAAGGGGGAAATGTGGGGAAAAGATAGAGAAATCAGATTGTTGCTGTGTCTGTGTAGAAAGAAGTAGACATACGAGACTCCATTTTGTTCTGTACTAAGAAAAATTCTTCTGCCTTGGGATGCTGTTGATCTAATCTATGACCTTAGCCCCAACCCGGTGCTCTCTGAAACGTGTGCTGTGTCCACTCAGGGTTAAATGGATTAAGGGCGGTGCAAGATGTGCTTTGTTAAACAGATGCCTGAAGGCAGCATGCTCGTCAAGAGTCATCACCACTCCCTAATCTCAAGTACCCAGGGACACAAACACTGCGGTAGGCCACAGGGTCCTCTGCCTAGGAAAACCAGAGACCTTTGTTCACTTGTTTATCTGCTGACCTTCCCTCCACTATTGTCCTATGACCCTGCCAAATCCCCCTATGCGAGAAACACCCAAGAATGATCAATATAAATAAATAAATAAATAAATAAATAAATAAAAAGAAATTTAGGCTGAAACTGAAAGGATGAAGAAAAAAAGCTAAACTAGATGAAGAGTAGATAGGTAGATTAGAGATCAGGAATGTTAAAGCAAGAAAAACAGAACTTCCTGAGGCTGAAGAATACTGTGTGCAAGTCTCTAAGGTAAAAAAGTGCTGAAGGCCTGGTAAGGAAAAGGCACAGACAGAAGGAGGGGTGGCAGGTCAGAGCTGCTGCGGGTAACCAGCATGAGCTTGCCTGGTAGAAGAACATGAAAAAACAGAAGAATATGCAAACAGTTAAGGGAAAGTGCCAAGAAGACAGACTTTCTGCTGCTGCCCACAAGCAGAGGGACCTGAAGACCATGCAGCTGAAGCAGAAAAGGGAAAACGAGAAGGAAGAACCTAAGTAGCTTTGTGGTTTGGTGTCCACCCCCGTGCCCTTCGCCTCTGTGCCTGAAGCCAGTCCCACCATGCTCACGTTTCCTCCTCTAGTACTCACAGGACCCAGGACTGATGGCATTCCCTTTGCCCTGAGTTTGCAGTGGGTCCTTTTTGTGCTTCCTTCTCAGGTAGCCTTTCTCTCCTGGGGCATTTCTGGGGGTGAAGGAGTTACTCCTTCTATGTTTTCTATTGCAGTGGGACTCACCCCAAAGTATTAAAAATAGCTTTACAATTCAGAAAAAACAAAAGACAGCCAAAAAACTGAAAGGCACATACAGCTAGAATAAGGGGAGCCAAGGAAGACTGGTAAATGTTACTCTGGCATGGTGAACAGGTGAAAAGTACTCCATGAAAAACATTTAGGTTATGTTACAGATTTTGAATTTCATTCTAAGTATAATGAGAAATCATCAAAGGGTTTGTGTTTGAGGAGTACTACAATAGGAACATAAGGAATAATCAGATAATTCCGTAACTTTTCAATAAGTAATGTGGGAAACAGAAGTGAAAACTAAAGACAATTCTGTAGGAACATGAATTTCAAGAACATACCTGTCTACGTATCTCCTGGCTTCCACATTATCTAATGCTGTAATAATTACATCTTGTTTAGTATAGAACTCATCATTGTAAATGGTCTCAGTGGTTGGACATACTTTGTTCAGGTGTGCATCTATCTTTATTTGAGAATTTATTTTCAGAGTAGCATCAGCAGCAGTGTAGCTTTTAGGTTTCTAAACAAATAATATAAGCAGAAGGAATATGTTAAACAACAAAAAAAGGACTATGATTTTTCTATATATTCCAGAGTGATAAGAATGTGTAAGTTCAGTCATAGTCCATACATATATAATGAGAGTAATGAGACCAGTTTTCATTTTTGGCTTGTAGAAATTACATTCACTGTAATCACACTACATTAATAATGCACATTAGTCCAAATAATTTACAAATTATTAATAAAAATCTAAACACCTTCTATCTTATAGTTAAGTACTTTACAGTTCTTAAAAAAAGTTAAAAATCCAATTACAATTTTTCCCTAGTAATGATGTTTGACTTGGTAAGTGCCTAGAAAAAAATGAGAACACATTCAGTAAAACATTGGAAATCAACTCTGCAGAAGATAAGTTCTTAGAGGTATGCGAGTTGAATACTTTGGTACTAACATATTTTAAAATTATTATTTCTGGATGGAAATATTTTCAGAAATTATTTGTGTTCCATTTTATAAAAAACAGTCCAGTAGTTCCTCATCTGCCTTCCACAACCCCCCAAAATGCCTAAAACTACAGACAGTACCAAACCCTATATATACTATGTATTTTCATATACACACATACCTATGATAAAGTTTAATTTATAAATTATGCATAGTAAGAGATTAATAACAATAAAACAATACAATCATAACAATATACATTAACAAAAGGCATATGAATATGGTCTCTCCCTCTCAAAATACAGTATCTTATTGTACCACACTGTACTCACCTATTTTCAGATCCTGGTTGACCATGGCTAACTGAAACTGTGGCAAGCAAAACTGGATACTGCTGTAAGGGGTACTACTGTACTCTAAATATAATTTATTCTTTCTTTTCTTAAAAAGATTTAGTGACTATTTTTAAATCATGATTGTTATTTCAGGTGCTGTCACTGTTCATCTGCATTTGCTTTGGCATTAAATATCTTTAGGCCATTCTGTTTAAATTCACACATCTAGTTTTAACGGTATTTCTGTCTCTTCTCACATTCTTAGGCTGACACATTTCACTTATTAGTGTTCTAAGTGTACAAACAAATCAAAACTTTGTTAGAACTCAGTAAAATAAGAATGAACAGGACTTTATAGTTCTTCTCTAAGTAAAATGCACCAAGTTAAGCAAATACACTTTGCAACATATTTTAGTTCACAACGGACCCTGTTACTTTGTCTATTATATTTGGATAAGCAAGGCAATTAGATTAACTATGACATCTGTTTTAGTTACTTTCTGTTCATGACATTACTAAGCTTAGTTTACTAAGACTTGCAATGAGTTGTTGAACAATAAAGAAAAAACTTCTTTTTGTTTTAATTTTTTTAAAACTTTTTTTTAGGGTAGAACTGGTTTTTCCCTAGGTTGCCCAGGCTGGTCGGGAACTCCTAACCTCAAGCAATCCTCCTGTGTTGGCCTCCCAAAGTGCTGGGATTATAGGCATGAGCTATTGTGTCTGGCTAAACATTCCTAAAGTAAAAGCAAATCTGCTTGACTTAAAATGCTTTCTTGCCTGACTTAAATATTTTGATTTATATAAAAAAGGAGAAAATTGAGAACAAGCATTATTTTACAATAAAAACGGATGTTGGTCAAACGATCAAAAGAGCACAAAAATTCTAAGTGCTAAACTTTTATCTGATTTATGACAAAGATAAAAAAAGACACTGCCAAATTTGCTACCAAAACCTCAAATTAGAAACATATTTCTATATACTTCCTTTCTAAAATTGAATGAATGTCAACATACCCTGGTGATTACAAAATGAAAAAAATACTGCCTGTTTCACAACTCAGGTTTCAATTCCAAAATCAATGCAAAAATCAATATTGTGCATTAAATAATTTAATATTTTCCCTTTTGTCATTTCCATTAATTGATAATTTGAAAGTTTCTAATAAAATAACACGATTGTTCAATCACTATTTTCTATTTATTAAAAGGAAACTCTTTTTTGTATAATACATGATTTAAATTTGAAACAGAATAGCAACATACCTGTATGTGATGAGGACGAAATAGGAACTGTCTATTTAAGTTGGATTTCTCTATCAAGTCAGGATCTGTAACTGTAATCTAATATCAAGAAAATATGGCTGAAATTACATAATGGATACCTTTTAATCTATTTTTCTTTTCTCAGTATGACTAAAAAAGTCCTGACAAATTATTCTAAATTAGTCTGGTTGGTAAAGGTCATAATGATACAAACATTCCCAAATAGTTACCAATACTACTCTTTTATGTTTTATTTAATTGTAATTAATGTTTTACATAGGAGCACATCAAACAAAATAGCTGAGGCCAATTGCAATTCCTGTTCAAAACTTTTTTCTAATTATTCATAACAAAACAAAACTTTTTAGAACTATGAAATGGATTACCTGCAGAGGAGCTAGCTCTTCTTTCTAAACTGGTATTTATTCTTAATCTCAACTAATTTGGGAAGAATGCTTATATGTATCAATTTGAAAGGAACTCTGGCTAAAGCAGAGGCATACAAACTTTGGTCTTGAACTCCTAACCCCCTAATTAGGCATGCTGCCTATTTTTGTAACTAAAGTTTTATTGAAACACTGTCATACTATTTAAGAATTGTCTACCGCAGTTTTCATGATCCTAGGGGCAGAACTGATAAGTTGTGACAGAGATCTTTGGTCTGCAAAGTTGAAATATTTGCAATCGTGTCCTTTAAGAAAAAGTCTGCAGACTCATTCTAAAGGACGCAAGATGAAAGTAAACTCAAGATCATCTGAAGAGTATTCAAAATGCATTTGCCACTTTAGCATTTTTAAACAAGATTTGCCTAGATGTAGAATGTCTCCGACTATATTCCACATTCATTTTCTTTTAGTTGTTATTTCCCTGATATTTTTAATATTTCTGTGTAATTATGTTAGGGAGTGTCTCTTTTAATGGAAAAAAAATCAAACAGAAAATATCTTTTAACAAAAAAGCTTAATCAATTCATTGTTCACTGATATTAAGGCTTTTTCTTTCTACCTCCTCCAATTCTGCTTTTCATTCCCCTGTATTTTTGCCTTGTACTGGACTGACCAAGTTTTCTTGATTCCTACTGCCCCCAACTCCCCAAACTGGTTTAGAAGCTAAGTGCCTAATGTTATGTGGTTATGCTCAAAATTTTAACATGCTTATGTGACTTAAGATCTAAAATTTATTAAAATTTCTATCTTCCTGAAAACCGAGAATATCTAAATCATTTAATTTGGAACTCTCCAGTCTGCTTTCCATGAGATCAGTTACACTTAAAACTTTTAACCATCTCACTCTAAGGTTTTAAAAAATCAATACTCATGTAAATCAAAGAATGCTGACAAATGCCTCTATATACCCTTTACACACTGCCCACACAACCTAACATCTTTCAGTAAGAACCAATAAGTGGTAGTAATCTTTCATCATTTTATTTGTCAGCTATCTTTACTTTGCTCTCCCTCTTGAACTGAGTATAGGTTAATAGTAATTTTCCATTACACTATGAAGATATGCTTCCATTATCTTCTATTTATTGCTGACGAAAAGTCTATTATGCAATCTCTTTTTTTAATCTTTGCTTTTGATTTGTTTGGTACTAGTTTATCTTTCCAATTTGAAAACACTTGTCTTTCTTTAACTCTGGGAACTTTTGTCATTATCTTTGGAATATATTGCTTCTTCTCCCTTATCTTTATCTCTGGAAATTCTACTAGACCTATGTTGGACCTTGCAAACGCACTTCTTTCATTAAAAAAGGATATCTTTCTGCACTACATTCTGGGTATTTATATTTATCTTCGATTTGTCCATTCTCACCTCAGTTATATTTAAATTTTAATATTAGCGATTATACAGAAATTCTTATTTGGCTTTATGTAAAAATTTCAGTGCCTTTTTTTCCCGTTTCTAGCTCTCTTTATCTCTGATCATTTTTAACTTTAAAGTTTGTTCTATTTTCTGTAAAATATTCTATTATTCACCAGCATGGCACAAGTATATATATGTAACTAACCTGCACATTGTGCACATGTACCCTAAAACTTAAAGTATAATAATAATAAAATAAAATTAAAAAAAATTCTATTATTGGTAGCACTTCTATCATCTATAATTCTTAGGAGACTAATTCTTTTATTTGCCATGGCTGATTCTTGTGGTGGTTCCCTTTCTAGTGAATAGTCATTTTTTAATCTGAATTGTCTTTAATGAAGGCTGACTTTTTCTGCATAGTCCTGAGTGTGTTATTATCATCATGATGCAGTTTTACATTTGCTTTAAAGGCTGTAAGTTTTAGTGGTCTTAAATTTGTTATATTCCGTTCTCTGCTTTAAGTTTTATATGATATAATTTTGGACCCCTTACCCTGGTGTGGTACATGCTCTGAGTTTCAATTTCTCATTAGTGACTTCTGTTTTTACTTAAAGTTTTGGACAAACATTCAAGATAGAAACACTTGTAAGTACCCATGGCTTTCAATTTAGGATTTTTTCTTCTCTCTTGGTTCCTGGGACCTGGGAATTTCTCTTTTCAGCTTGGCTACATTACACTTAAAAAAATGTATACAGTAAGTCTGTGTTTCCAGTAGTATAGAAGCATGTCCACATTAACTTATCTTGTTTTGTTATCTGAAGTCAGTAGGTTTCTTCATTACAGTTCTTTTCCTGACCTTTATATGCTAATGTGCATCATGAATTTCCAAGGAGTTAAAGCATTTAGGTGATTCCTAAACTGATGTAACCAAAGACTTTCTTCTTTTTAAAATCAACACAAGTAATAGTGGTTTGTGAAGCAGTATTTAGGAAATGTTAATATAAACATAGAACATCTGCCTGTTAACTATGATAGTAATGTATGATCTTTTGAATTGGAATAATAAGCTAAGTTTAATAAACTTTTATAAAAGGTGATCCATCATATAAATTTTAGCCATTTAATCAGTCTTCTGTTAGTCACCTTGATATATCTATGAAATCACTAATGGAAGACAGTTTATCTTAAAAGGCAAACAGCACCAGTGAAATAAATTTCTATTTAAATATATGACATGGCTTGCAATTAACTCACATTTAGAGTCTTAAGAATTTAAATTGTACACTGAGCTTTATATTTTTCCCACTACTTTTAATACTCTTTAATTGAAACTACATCTGAGTCCTCTGCAACTTTGTAATGTTAGCTTCAGTTATCTTAAACATTTAACAATAAACACTATCTAACAGAAATAACAACATATTTTATAGCTTGCAAAGCCCTTTCACATTTGATCATCACAATAACGTTATGAGATAGGTAGTACAAATGTCAGTTTCACAGTAGTAGAGAAGGAAACTGAGAAAAGAATTAATTTGCTACAAGGGGAAGAGAAGTAATTTGCTACAAGGTAACATAAGTTTTGAAAAGTGGTCAGAAGGGCATGACAATCTTCCAATTTTTAGTTTAATGCTCTATTTTCAAAAAACTGATACTTCAGATTTATGCAGTCAAATATAGCTGAAAAAGGGCAACAACAGAAATATAAACTTTTAACTCTCAAGAATTGATATCTTACCATTCCTTTCTCTTTGCTTGTGCCAACACCAAGTAAAGCAAAATTTTTCAACATTTCACAGCCTATGGCTCCACACCCTACCTATGGAGGAGAAAAATGGTATATATCAGATTAAAATAACCTATCTGTGAATCATTTTACTTTGAAATATTTAACAGGTTTATTTTACCACTGTTTCAACGAAAAAAAAAAGTATAAACCAAATAAGGAAAAGCATAATTGTACAATTTCTTTAAACAGAAGACATTTAAAAATTCCAAATAAAATTTAAACATTGAACTGCTTATGTAAGATAGAAATAAACACAATATAATGTTAATACAACATTTAAAAAAAAGATTCCTCCCTTTTGGACATTTCTCAAAACTCATTTACTGAATAAAACTATTCTAAGACTTCTACTATTATCTAAAATTGATAATACTAGATTCCATATGCATGTAAAAAGCTCAGTAACAGTTGATTTTCAAAACATTATTTTAAAGATGATTAATAAGAATAAGCAGTAATTTTCAGGGCTAATTTTAATAATTAAAACAATAAATGGCAGGGAGAGTTGTTTTATGTTATTGGGGAAAATTTCCCTGCCAATGCACTAAGACAATTAAGAAATACAGAATAGGCTGGGTGAGGTGGCTCACACCTGTAATCCCAGCACTTTGGGAAGCTGAGGAGAGTGGATCATGAGGTCAGGATTTCGAGACCAGCCTAGCCAATATGGTGAAACTCCGTCTCTATTGAAAATACAAAAATTACCTGGGCGTGGTGGCACGCCCCTGTAGTCCCAGCTACTCGGGAGGCTGAGGCAAGAGAATCACTTGAACCAGAGGCAGAGGTTGCAGTGAGCCGAGATCATGCCACTGCATTCCAGCCTGAGTGACAGAGCGAGACTTTGTCTCAGAAAAAAAAAAAAGAAATACAGAATACACTTCTATATTCCTTCATTTAGTGAGAAAAAAATTAAAAACCCACCAATTTTCAAACATATTTCTAGAATTTAATTTTTGAAATTATCATACTCATACTTTTACTTTAAAGATATTAATTAGACCAGAGGATGGAAAACTTTTTCTGTAAAGGGTCAGACAGTAAACAATTTCAGCTTTATAGGCTGCAAGGTCTCAGTTATTACAACTACTCACCTGTACTCTACACACTTAGACTCAAATTTGTTTTAATGAATTAAGTTGATATACGATAGCAGTTTGAACATACTATTCCCATGATTATTGATACTTACTAAGAAGATGTTTAAATTTTGCAGTTTCTGACACAAAGTGTCTCCAATGCAAGCTCTTAAGGCATCATATCTATCTCCTCTGAAAAAAATAACATATACCAAAAAGCAGAAATAAAAAACATTAAAATTAGTTTCACTGTCATTAATACCAATTTAATGTTGTACTTTAAAAGGAAATATTCTTTAAAAGTTTCCCCTAACCAATCTTAATTGAAAAAGAAAAGCCTCCATAAAGAAATCCATTTTTCCTTTTTCCACTTGGCTTAATAGTCTAAATACAAATGACTTAAGTGAAGGTGACTTTGGTTTATCTAGAAAAAAAATTTTCCTAAGCCAGAGATTTTTAAGGAAAGTTCTTAGAGGAATCTACGGATGGGCTTTGGAGCTGATAACCCACTTAAATCAAAGGCAGAAATTTGGGTTATGTGTATTTTAGGGAGAATAATTCTAAACTTTTCATTCTCAAAAAGATTTATGACCCAAAAAGGTGAAGAATTACCTATATAAATAAAGACTGCAGATAGCAGTTTTTTTCCATCTAATGTCATTATGGTATTTTAAATGCTAACCATTCTCATGGGATACAATTTAAAACTTTGCATTCACTATTTATCAAGTAGTAAAGAGATATGACATTATTATGACACTTAAAATGATTCCTAAGTAGAGAAAAAACAACTACAAAAGTGATTTGGGAGAAAAGACACATAAAACAAAGGTATGTTTAGACAAAACTTTTAAAATCTATTTGCCTGTTAGTAAAAGCAAGAGAAATTTCATTATTACCGTGGGAGAAATTCTTCACATTCAGGTTTGCCTAGTGATTCAACAATATCTGCTGCTTCAAGATATAACTTAAAGTAGAAGATTAAAAACACAATTATTATGTATAAAACAAATTACTATAAAAAGAAGCTCCTTTATAGTTATTTAATAGTCATGAAGAAAAAAATGATAAAATAAGGCAATTCAGAGTAAAATATTTAAAAATATAATTAAAAATATATAATATACATTTCTATATCTCTCATTAAAATAATGGTAAAGCCTGAAGGAACTGTTGACAGATATAATTTGATTCATGTCACTTAGCCATCACAAACATGATGTATCCTAATTTTAAACCAAAGGAAATTTCACCTCCAAATCTATTTTTCATAACTACACAAAAGCTTTAGAAGCCCCCATTCAATTTCAGCTACATTTGAATAAGCAACTTGATTACTTTTTGTTTTTTGTTTTTGATTTTTTGAGACAGAGTCTTTCTGTTGCCCAGGCTGGAGTACAGTGGTGTGATCTCTGCCTCCTGAGTTCAAGTGATTCAGCCTCCTGAGTAGCCAGGACTATAAGTGCGTGCCACCATGCCTGGCTAATTTTTTTGTATTTTTAGTAGACATGGGGTTTCACCATGTTGGCTAGGCTGGTCTTGAACTCCCGACCTCAGGTGATCTGCCCACCTCGGCCTCCCAAAGTGCTGGTATTACAGGCATGAGCCACTGCGCCCAGTCATAATTTGATTACTTTTTGAGAAGAAAGTACCTACTCTGTATTTATTTTTCAGCTTGGATATATAATCTATAATTATACATACTATGTGTATGTGTATGTCATCTATAATTTCACACACTATAGGAAAATAATCTAGGAAACCAAAATTTCAGCATTTTTAAAAATACCAAAGATAATTAATTTAAGTTAATGAAGAAAAGAACTGAGTCTTAATCTCATTTTCATTTAAGTAACTTGTGTGGCTAAATTTGAACATGAACAAATGGTTATTTATTTTATTATAACACAGAATCTATATTAACAATTAATTTCTATTATTTCTCATGGTGTTTTTTTTTTTTTTTTGAGACAGAGTCTCACTCTGTCGCCCAGGCTGGAGTGCAGTGGCACAATCTCGGCTCACTACAACCTCCGCCTCCCAGGTTCAAGCGATTCTCCTGCCTCAGCCTCCCGAGTAGCTGGGACTACAGGGGCGTGCCACCATGCCCGGCTAATTTTTTGTATTTTTAGTACAGAAGGGGTTTCACCATGTTAGCCAGGATGGTCTTGATCTCCTGACCTCGTGATCTGCCCGCCTCGGCTGCTCAAAGTGCTAGGATTACAGGCATGAGCCACTGCGCCTGCCTTAACGGTCATCTTTAAACCAGATTTTTACTAATGTACTTGTATTCTGTGTTGAAATAAATAATTCAGCAGCAAAAATAGCATTATGTGAGTACCTTTTAAAATATAAAAAAATGAGCCGGGCGCAGTGGCTCACGCCTGTAATCCCAGCACTTTGGGAGGCCGAGGCGGGTGGATCACGAAGTCAGGAGTTTGAGACCAGTCTGGCCAACATAATGAAATCCCATCTCTACTAAAAACACAAAAAGTTAGCCAAGTGTGGTGGTCTGCATCTGTAACCCCAGCTACTTGGGAGGCTGAGGCAGGAGAATCGCGTGAACCCGGCAGACAGAGGTTGCAGTGAGCTAACATCGCGCCATTGCACTCCAGCCTGGGTAACAGTGTGAGACTCTGTCTCAAAAAAAAAAAAAAATTAAAAAAAAAAGATAAATGGTATATTCAAAATGTTTATGGTGTTTCAACAGAGAGAGGGCCTGGAGGCAGTATCCTTTCACACCTTGTGCCAATTATTTCTGCTGGCAAAAGAAATGGGGATTTTTATTCCATCTTGTGATGTTCATACCCCATGTAACTCTAAAACCTGTACCACTCCCATGTTTTCCACTTTTGTAAGTTTATACCTAGAAAGGGAACCTGAACGTTCATGATAGTAAAAGATTCCATGGAACAAATTCAAGAGTCCTGAGAGCCCGAGAATGCTAAGCTTATGGTACTGGAGAACAATTACCTATAAGGATAGAACATTCATTCCCTTACTATCACAACTAAGGGAAATATATTTGAGAAGGCAACTTTGGGTTATATCTCAATAGCCCTAAAATATCATCCTGTTAATTTCAATCATAGAATCAAGTGTTGGAGGCATACTGCTTGCATCTCTTTCATGCATCAAAAAGTATTTTAAGGTCGCTTTTCTAATATATTAATACTACATTATAATATGTAACACATTCCATTTCACGAGTAAAGAATTCAACTTTAAAAACTCAGAACTAACCCACTGGCACAAAGGAGAAAATTTTCCTGTTACAGCTTTCAATACTTCTTGGCTGGCAACACCTCCTACTGCTGCAGCAAGTGGAGATAAAAAGCCTTGGGCAGTCCAAGAGAGCCAATGCACAATGTCAGCATTTACATCAGGCTAAAACAAAAGCCATAAAAGACAATAACATTAACAGCATTTACACAGTACACTTAAAATTCCAATGACTAAATGTGAGAATTAGAACTTAACTTCTAAAAAAGCTATTCAGTTCCCCTACTAAATATCTCTAAAAATGTCCCAATTTCATGATAACAGACCCATTTGCGTGTTACCTTAAGTAGTGTCTCCCTTTACTAGTATCTGCCCATTTTTGTCTTTGGATTCTATATGTCACTCTAGGGCATCATTTATAATTAACTCGAATATCTACCATTTATAGTTTTTGTCAAAGAACAGTTCTGTGATGCCAGTCAGACATATTTACAAATAAACAGATTTTTTTTAATTTAAAAAGTTTGTTAATGAAAACTACTATGAAAAAACCCTGAACTATGATAAAGGAAAATAAAATGATCTTAAAAATGATAAGCTATCAGTTTGTGTTGAAAGTTGTAAATAAAAACTGCAATTAATAATAACACAATACACTTAGAGATAATGTTTTCAATTACACTTAAAAGTTATGTATCTCAAAACAGAACATTTTAAAGGAAATATTGGAAAACTGAATTTTAGATCTATTATTTCAGCAATTTCTTATATGTGACAAAGATCTTTTCACGAGCCCTGTTTTCTTTCTCTTCTTATTCTTTAAACATTAGTAATCTTAATTTTATCACTAAACTTCAAGTTTGCCTAATTAATCTTTTGAAATCCTATGTAAAAGAAGAGTTCTTGTACACAGAGGAGAGGACAGAGAAGAGTTTTTATTACACTCTCAAAAATATTTGTGACACAAAATGGTTACTACTTACTATTCCACCCCTCCATTTCAACTTTCTATATCTCATTATTTACAACTATTGAGCACTAGCCTCAACCAAGATCAATTACAATTTAAATTCTGCAATTTTTGAATGCAGATATTGTTGGTGGTGATAATATTAAAAACAATGATGAGAATGATAATAACAGTATAAGTGGGTACTTACCATGCCAGGTTATCTATTAAGTCCTTACACAACCTTCAAAATAATCCTTATAAATATAATTTCTATTATACAAGTAAGAAAACTGAAACATTGAAAAATTAAGTAACTTATTCAATATTTTATAGCTAGTAAATGGTGAAGCCAGGATCTGGACCGAAAAAGTCCAACTTTATAGGTTTATTCTCAGCATTAGGTTATGCAACCTCCCAGGATTCCTTATTTTTTAGTACACAAACATCTAAATTTTGGGAATTTTTGGTTACCATAGGATAAAGACGGCAGCCTATAGCTAAATTTCCCCAAATAATCTCCAAAACATATGCATAATCACAAGAAGAGAAATAAAACAGTGACAGGGCTTCAGTATTACTAGAAAACAGAATATTATAAATTTCAAATTACTTGTAAGTAGAAAGACAGATTGCAAACTCCATCAGCACTCTCTCTGGATTTCACATTGTTACAATCTCGGACAGAGAGCAGAAAATACGAAGAGATCACAGAAGAGAGTGAAAGGCCTTATGGTAACAAAACACAGTCCTAAGAAAAAGAAAGACCCACACTAAGTGCAGAAAATATTGATGAGAGGTATAAAACTGGTGGCAGATATCAGCTGTCAAAGAATGTCATCCTGGGAGAGAAAGATGTAAACAAAAGAGGGGAGACATTCTTTGAGAGAGAAAGCTAAAGAGAGAGATGTTAAGAGTTTGGTAAAAATCAAAGAGACCTACAAAACACACCAATACCTCTCCACCACAAAAAGGTCATCCATTAGAAGCTCCTTTTCAGTATCCTAAGAGAAGAGAATACTACAAAAGTAGGAATCTAAAAAGCACCTAAAACCCTTATCCTGTCCAAAAAGTAAGCACAAAAAGCATTCTACTTTACAAAGCTAATGTAAGAAGAAAACAGAAAACCAGAATCAAAACATTTCAGCTACTGAAAATCCACACCCCCACAACTAACCAAAAGTCAGAGGATATTTAAGTGAATTACATATTCTTAACAAGCACTTGGCAACGTAGGGGAAAAAAACAACACAAAAAACCTTGAATCAGGAATTTAAAAACTAAGAACAGAAATGATCCATTCTACCCTTCCAGAAAAGAAAAGAAATACTTAAACAACATTTGACTCTGCATATCAAAATGGGCTTATGGTGTACGTAAGAAACTTTACTGAATAATCAACTCTGAGATATAACCTGGTAAAACTATTAGATGAAGACAAAGATTAAACACATAGGGCCTTAAAGCAAAAAGACCAGATTACTTCTAACAGTATGAAAATTCGGCTGCCATCTGATTTTTCAACAGTAAAATATAAAGCAAGATACCAGTGAACAAAGTAAGAGCCCAGAATTTTACATCTAGCCAAGCTTACAAGTATGAAAACTACAGAAAAAATATGAAACATATAAAAACTCAGGGAATACCATAATTCTGAGCTCTTTTTGAGAAACAGACTAAACCTGACTTCAAGACTTAATATAAAAGCCACAATAAGCAAGACAGGATGGAGCTGGCAAAAGGACAGAAACAACATGAAGACAATAGAGTACAGAAATAGACCTACATATATATGGTTAAAAAAAACTGTTGACAAAAATGCCATGACATTTCAATAAAGAATAGCCTTTTCAACAAATGGGCTAGAATAGCTGGACATTCATACACAAAAAAATTAACTTTCATCTATACTTTGTGCAGTATATAAAGACAAACTCATAAAACTACAAAAGAGTGCATAAAATTAGTGTAAAGTCATGTACACTGATCTGTACTTTGTATGATCATGTCTTTATCAATACTTTGCACCATATGCAAAAATGAACTTATAAAATTACAAAAATATGAATTGTCTAGAAGAAAACAGCTTTTTGACCCTGTGTTAAAAAAGCTCTTAAGACAAAAAAGCACAAACCACAAAAAGTATTCTTTTTGTGATTTGATAAATTGAATTTCAGAGACTATTGTAAAACACGTATCTGATAAAGAACTCATATCCAAATATATAAAGACATATAAAAACCCTCTCAACCAATAATTAAAAGCTATTTTAAAAACAGGCAAAGATTTCAAAAGACAGTTTATTAAAGAAGACATATGAATGGCAAATAAGCATATTAAAAGATATTCAAATTCATGGCCAGTGATATGAAAATGAAAACCAAAATGAGATACTACCACACACATAAAAATGTTTAAAATCATATAAACAGACAACACAGAGTGTAAGGAAGATGCAGCACAACTGAAATTCTCATACACTTCTGGTGAGAATACAAAACGGTACAGCTACTTTGCAAAACAGTTTGGCAGTTTCTTATAAAATTAAACATGGTCTTGGTCCTCCCAGATGGCCGAATAGGAACAGCTCGTCTGCAGCTCCCAGCGAGATCGATGCAGAAGACAGGTGATTTCAGCATTTCCAACTGAGGTATCTGGTTCATCCCACTGGAACTGGTTGGACAGTGGGTGCAGCCCATGGAGGGCGAGCCGAAGCAGGGCGGTATGTCACCTCACCCAGGAAGCACAAGGGGTCAGGGGATTTCCCTTTCCTAGCCAAGGGAAGCCATGACAGACTATCCTTGGAAAAACGGTACACTTCCGCCCAAATACTGCACTTTCCTCACCATCTTAGCAACCGGCAGACCAGGAGATTCTCTCCTGTGCCTGGCTTGGTGGATCCCACGCCCATGGAGCCTTGCTCACTGCTAGCGCAGCAGTCTGAGATCCACCTGCGAGGCTGCAGCCTGGCGGGCATACAGGTGTCCGCCATTGCTGAGGCTTGAGTAGGTAAACAAAGCAGCTGGTAAGCTTGAACTGAGTGGAGCCCACCCCAGCTCAGCAAGGCCTACTGCCTCTATAGACTCAACCTCTGTGGGCAGGGCTTAGCTAAACAAAAGGCAGCAGACAACTTCTGCAGACTTAAATGTCCCTGTCTGACAGCACTGAAGAGAGCAGTGGTTCTCATAGCATGGCGTTCAAGCTCTGAGAACAGACAGACTGCCTCCTCAATTGGGTCCCTGACCCCCATGTAGACTGACTGGGAAACACCTCCCAGTAGGGGCCGACAGACACCTCATACAGGTGGGTGCCCCTCTGGGACGAAGCTTCCAGAGGAAGGATCAGGCAGCAATATTTGCTGTTTTGCAGCCTCCGCTGGTGATACCCAGGCAAACAGGGTCTGGAGTGGACCTCCAGCAAACTCCAACAGACCTGCAGTTGAGGGGCCTGACTGTTAGAAGGAAAACTAACAAACAGAAAGGAATAGCATCAACATCAACAAAAAGGACATCCACACCAAAACGCCATCTGTAGGTCACCAACATCAAAGACCAAAAGTAGGTAAAAATACAAAGATGGGGAGAAACCAGAGCAGAAAAGCCAAAAATTCTAAAAACCAGAGTGCCTCTTCTCCTCCAAAGGATTGGAGATCCTCGCCAGCAACGGAACAAAACTGGATGGAGAATGACTTTGATGAGCTGACAGAAGTAGGCTTCAGAAGGTTGGTAATAACAAACTTCTCCGAGCTAAAGGAGCATGTTCTAACCCATTGCAAGGAAGCTAAAAACCTTGAAAAAGGGTTAGAAGAATTGCTAACTAGAATAAACAGTGTAGAGAAGACCTTAAATGACCTGATGGAGCTGAAAACCACAGCACGAGAACTTCACGATGCATGCACAAGCTTCAATAGCTGATTCGATCAAATGGAAGAAAGGATATCAGTGATTGAAGATCAGATTAATAAAATATAGCAAGAAGACAAGATTAGAGAAAAAAGAGTAAAAAGAAATGAACAAAGCCTCCAAGAAATATGGGACTATGTGAAAAGACCAAATCTGCGTTTGACTGGTGTAACTAAAAGTGACAGGGAGAATGGAACCAACTTAGAAAACACTCTTCAGGGTATTATCCAGAAGAACTTCTCCAACCTAGCAAGGCAGGCCAACATTCAAATTCAGGAAATACAGAGAACAACACAAAGATACTCCTCGAGAAGAGCAACCC
This sequence comes from Homo sapiens, assembly GCF_000001405.40. Taxonomy (NCBI): domain Eukaryota; kingdom Metazoa; phylum Chordata; class Mammalia; order Primates; family Hominidae; genus Homo; species Homo sapiens. The sequence continues at coordinate 67,654,220 of NC_000004.12, forward strand.
CAAGACACATAATTGTCAGATTCACCAAGGATAAAATGAAGGAAAAAATGTTAAAGGCAGCCAGAGAGAGAGATTGGGTTACCCACAAAGGGAAGTCCATCAGACTAACAGCGGATCTCTTGGCAGAAACCCTCCATGCCAGAAGAGAGTGGGGGCCAATATTCAACATTGTTAAAGAAAAGAATTTTCATCCCAGAATTTCACACCCAGCCAAACTAAGCTTCATAAGTGAAGGAGAAATAAAATCCTTTACAGACAAGCAAATACTGAGAGATTTTGTCACCACCAGACCTGCCTTACAAGAGCTCTTGAAGGAGGCACAAACATGGAAAGGAATAACTGGTACCAGCCACTGCAAAAACATGCCAAATGGAAAAGACCATTGATGCTATGAAGAAATTGCATCAATTAACGGGCAAAAAAACCAGCTAACATCATAATGATGGGATCAAATTCACATATAACAATATTAACCTTAAATGTAAATGGGCTAAATACCCCAATTAAAAGACACAGACTGGCAAATTGGATAAAGAGTCAAGACCCATCAGCGTGCTGTATTCACGAGACCCATCTCACGTGCAAAGAGGCCCATAGTCTCAAAATAAAGGGATGGAGGAAGATCTACCAAGCAAATGGAAAGAAAAAAAAAAAAAAAGCAAGGGTTGCAATCCTAGTCTCTGATAAAACAGACTTTAAACCAACAAAGATCAAAAGAGACAAAGAAGGCCATTACATAATGGTAAAGGGATCAATTCAACAAGAAGAGCTAACTATTCTAAATATATATGCACCCAATACAGGTGCACCCTGATTCATAAAGCAAGTCCGTAGAGACCTACAAAGACTTAGACTCCCACACAATAATAATGGGAGACTTTAACACCCCACTGTCAACATTAGACAGGGCAACAAGACAGAAGGTTGACAAGGATATCCAGGACTTGAACTCAGCTCTGCACCAAGTGGACCTAATAGACATCTACAAACTCTCCACCCCAAATCAACAAAATATACATTCTTCTCAGCACTACATCGCACTTATTCTAAAATTGACCACATAATTGGAAGTAAAACACTCCTCAGCAAATGTAAAAGAACAGAAATCACAACAAACTGCTCTCAGACTACAGTGCAATCAAATTAGAACTCAGGATTAAGAAACTCACTCAAAACCGCACAACTACATGGAAACTGAACAACCTGCTCCTCAATGACTACTGGGTAAATAATGAAATGAAGGTAGAAATAAAGATGTTCTTTGAAACCAATGAGAACAAAGACACAACATACCAGAATCTCTGAGACACATTCAAAGCAGTGTGTAGAGGGAAATTTATAGCACTAAATGCCCACAAGAGAAAGCAGGAAAGATCTAAAATCGACACCTTAACATCACAATTAAAAGAACTAGAGAAGCAACAGCAAACAAATACAAAAGCTAGCAGAAGGCAAGAAACAACTAAGATCAGAGGAGAACTGAAGGAGATAGAGACACAAAAAACCCTTCAAAAAATCAATGAATCCAGGAGCTGGTGTTTTGAAAAGATCAACAAATTGATAGACTGCTAGCAAGACTAATAAAGAAGAAAAGAGAGAAGAATCAAATAGATGCAGTAAAAAATGATAAAGGGGATATCACCATCAATCCCACAGAAATACAAACTACCATCAGAGAATACTATAAGCCCCTCTATGCAAATAAACTAGAAAATCTACAAGAAACGGATAAATTCCTGGACACATACACCCTCCCAAGACTAAACCAGAAAAAGTTGAATCTCTGAATAGAACAATAACAGGTTCTGAAATTGGGGCAATAATTAATAGCCTACCAACCAAAAAGAGTCCAGGACCAGACGGATTCAAAGCCGAATTCTACCAGAGGTACAAGGAGGAGCTGGTACCATTCCTTCTGAAAGTATTCCAATGAACAGAAAAAGAGGGAATCCTCCCTAACTCATTTTATGAGGCCAGCATCCCCTGATACCAAAGCCTGGCAGAGATACAACAAAAAAAGGGAATTTTAGGCCAATATCCCTGGTGAACATTGATGCAAAAATAAAATACTGGCAAACTGAATCCAGCAGCACATCAAAAAGCTTATCCAACATGATCAACTCGGCTTCAGCCCTGGGATGCAAGGCTGGTTCAACATATGCAAATCAATAAATGTAATCTATCACATAAACAGAACCAACGACAAAAACCACATGATTATCTCAATAGGTGCAGAAAAGGCCTTCAAAAAATTCAACAGCCTTTCATGCTAAAAACTCTCAATGAACTAGGTATTGATGAAACGTTACCTCAAAATAATAAGAGCTATTTATGACAAACCCACAGCCAATATCATACTGAATGGGCAAAAACTGGAAGCATTCCCTTGGAAAACTGGTACAAGACAAGGATGCCCTCTCTCACCACTCCTATTCAACATAGTCTTGGAAGTTCTCGCCAGGGCAATCAGGCAAGAGAAAGAAATAAAGGGTATTCAATTAGGAAAAGAGGAAGTCAAATTGTCTCTGTTTGCAGATGACCTGATTGTATATTTAGAAAACCCCAACATCTCAGCCCAAAATCTCCTTAAGCTGATAAGCAACTTCAGCAAAGTCTCAGGATACAAAATCAATGTGCAAAAATCACAAGCATTCCTATACACCAATTATAGACAAAGAGATAGCCAAACTGTGAGTGAACTTTCATTCACAATTGCTACAAAGAGAATAAAATACCTAGGAATCCAACTTACAAGGAATGTGAAGGACCTCCTCAAGGAGAAGTACAACCCACTGCTCAACGAAATAAAAGAGGACACAAACAAATGGAAGAACATTCCATGCTCATGGATAGGAAGAATCAATATCATTAAAACGCCCATACTGCCCAAGGTAATTTATAGACTCAATGCCATCCCCATCAAGCTACCAATGACTTTCTTCACAGAAGTGGAAAAAAACTACTTTAAAGTTCATATGGAACCACAAAAGAGCCTGCATAGCCAAGACAATCCTAAGCAAAGAGAACAAAGCTGGAAGCATCATACTATCTGACTTCAAATTATACTTTAAGCCTACAGTAACCAGAACAGCATGGTACTGGTACCAGAACAGACATAGAGACCAATGGAACAGAACAGAGGCCTCAGAAATAACACCACACATCTACAACCATCTGATCTTTGAGAAACCTGACAAAAACAAGAAATGGGGAAAGGATTCCCTATTTAATAAATGGTGCTGGGATTAGCCATATGTAGAAAGCTGAAACTGGATCCCTTCCTTACACCTTATAGAAAAATTAACTCAAGATGGATTAAAGAATTAAATGTAAGATCTAAAACTATAAAAACCCTAGAAGAAAACCTAGGCAATACCATTCAGAACATAGGCATGGAGGAAGACTTCATGACTAAAACACCAAAAGCAATGGCAACAAAAGCCAAAATTGACAAATGGGATCTAATTAAACTAAAGAGCTTCTGCACAGCAAAAGAAACTATCATCAGAGTGAACAGCAACCTACAGAATGGGAGAAAATTTTTGCAATCTACCCATCTGACAAAGGGCTAATATCCAGAATCTACAAAGAACTTAAACAAATTTACAAAAAAAAAAAAAAAAAGAAAACAAAAAACAAACAACCCCATCAAAAAGTGGGCAAAGGATATGAATAGACACTTCTCAAAAGAAGACATTTATTCAGCCACCAGACACATGCAAAAATGCTCATCATCACTGGTCATCAGAGACATGCAAATCAAAACCACAATGAGATACCATCTCATGCCAGTTAGAATGGCGATCATTAAAAAGGAAACTACAGATGCTGGAGAGGATGTGGAGAAACAGGAACGCTTTTACACTGTTGGTGGGAGTGTAAATCAGTTAAACCATTGTGGAAGATAGTGTGGCAATTCCTCAAGGATCTAGAACTAGAAATACCATTTGACCCAGGAATGCCATTACTGGGTATACACCCAAAGGATTATAAATCATGCTACTATAAAGACAAATTCACACGTATGTTTATTGTGGCACTATTCACTATAGCAAACTTGGAACCAAGTAGGTAGGGTAGGTATATAAGAGAAACAAAGATATATGTCCACATCAAAATCTATATGCAAGTATTTGTAATAACTGTATTCATAATTGCTCAGACTGAAAACAGCCCATATCTTCCATCAAGTGATGTAAAAACAAACTGTAGTACATCTACACAATGAAACAGAAAACCAAATACCACGTGTTCTCACTTAGAAGTGGAAGCTAAATGATGAGAACACATGGATACACTGAGGGGAACAACACGCACTGGGGCCTACTGGAGGGTGGGAAGAGGGGGCGGAAATGACTAACAGGTACTAGGCTTAATACCTGGGTGATGAAATAATATGTATGACAAACCCCCATGATGCAAATTTACCTATATAACAAACTTGTACATGTAACCCTAAAGTTAAAAGTTAAAAAAAATGAAATGAACATGTAACAAAATGGATAAAACTCAAGTTAATTATATTTAGTGATAGAAACCAGACTCAAAAGACTACACATACTATATGATTCCATTTATATGACATTCTAGAAAAGAAAAAATCTATAGTGGATGCTAAGGTTTGGTTATGGGCTAGGGAGGTAATTATAAAAAGGCCTGAGGGAACTTTTTTGCATTACGGAATGGTTTACATTTGATTGTAGTGGTGGACCCATTACTGTACACTTTGAATTAACTGCGTACATCTGAATTGATTGTGTACAAAATTTTTTATAACTACACACCCAAAGAGTGAAAAATTTACTTTATGTAAATTTCCCATCAATAAACTTGATAAATCCCTAATCACATTCTTCTGTTTAATCACAGACTTCTACAATCTATTTCTAGCTTTTCATACATTTTATTTTCTCAAAGCACTATATATGCAATAAAAGGTCTTTCATTATGGCTAGTGAGTCACTGTTTTCAGTACATTTATTATTTCTTTCTTTGTGTAATTATAGAACATATGATATTAAAGCTTTTACCACTGATGTTAAGACTCTCACTTCCTGAGATGGTTTGGCTGTGTCACCACCCAAAATCTCATCTTGAATTGTAATCCCCATAATCACCACATGTCAAGGTGGGACCAGGTGGAAGTAACTGGATGGTGGGGGTGGTTCTCCCATGCTGTTCTGATGATAGTGAGTTTCACGAGATCTGACAGTTTTATAAGCGTCTGGTAGATCCCCTGCTTGCACTCACTCTGTCTTGCCACCCTGTGAAGAAGCTGCCTGCTTCTCCTGTGCCTTCTGCCATGATGGTATAGTTTCCTGAGGCCTCCCCAGTCATGTGAAACTGTGAGTCAATTACCTCTTTCCTATATAAAATACCCAAAACTGGGTATTTTATATAGGAATATATAAAATACATATATTTTATATAGCATATGCAGTGTGACAACAGACTAATACAGTAAATTGGTACTGTAGAGAGTGGGGTGCTGAGATAAAGATACCCAAAAGTGTGGAAGTGACTTTGGAACTGGAAAACGCAGAGGTTGGAATAGTTTGGAGGGCTCGTAAGAAAGGAAGATGTGGGAAAGTTTGGAACTTATCAGTTTTGACCAAAATGCTGATAGTGATATGGACAATGAAGTCCAGCCTGAGGCGGTCTCAGATGGAGACGAGGAACCTGTTGGGACTAGAATAAAGGTGACTCTTATTATGCTTTAGTAAAGAGACTGGTGGCATTTTGCCCCTGCCCTAGAGATCTGTGGAAAGTTGAACTTGAGAGAGATGATTTAGGGTATCTGGTAGAGAAATGTCTAAGCAGCAAAGCATTCAAGGGGTGACTTGGGTGCTCTTAAAAGCATTAAGTTTTATGCATTCACAAAAAGATGGTTTGGAATTGGAATTTATGTTTAAAAGAGAAGCAGAGCATAAAAGTTTGGAAAATTTGCAGCCTGATGATACAATAGAAAAGAAAAATCCATTTTCTGAGGAGAAATTCAAGTCAGCTGCAGAAATTTCCATAAATAACAAGCAGCCAAATGTTAATTGCCAAGACAATGGGAAAATGTCTCCAGGGAATGTCAGAGGTCTTCAAGGAAGCTGCTCCCATCACAGACCTGGAGGCCTAATAGGAAAAAATGGTTTTGTGGGGTGGGCCCAGGGCCTTGCTACTTTGTGCAGTGTCAGGACATGGTGCCCTGTGTCCCAGCTGTGGCTAAAAGGGGCCAATGTACAGCTCAGGCTGTTGCTTCAGAGGGGACAAGCCCTAAGCCTTGGTGGCTTACACATGGTGTTGGGCTGTGGGTGCACAGAAGTCAAGCGAGATTTGGGAACCTCTGCCTAGCTTTTAGAGGATGTATGAAAACACCTGGATGTCCAGGTAGAAGTTTACTGCAGGGGTGGGGCCCTCATGGAGAACTTCTTGCTAAGGCAGTGCAGAAGGATAATGTGGGGTTGGAGCCCCCACAGAGAGTCCCCATTGGCACTGCCTAGTAGAGCTGTGAGAAGAGTGCCACAGTCCTCCAGATCCCGGAATGGTAGATCCAACGAAAGCTTGGACCATGAATCCGGAAAAGCTGCAACACTCAATGCCAACTCATGAAAGCAGTCGGAAGGGGGGCTGTACCTTGCATAACCACAGGGTGAAGCTGCCCAAGACCATGGGAACCCACCTCTTGCATCAGCGTGACCTGGATGTGAGACATGGAGTCAAAGAAGATCATTTTGGAACCTTAAGATTTAATGATTGCCCTATGGGATTTTATAGTGCATGGGGCCTGAAGTCCCTTTGTTTTGTCCAATTTCTCCCATTTGGAATGGAAGCATTTATCTAATGTCTGTACCCTCACTGTATCTAGGAAGTAACTAACTTGCTTCTGATTTTACAGGCTCATAGGTGGAAGGGACTTGCCTTGCTCAGATAAGACTTTGGACATGGACTTCTGGATTAATGCTGGAATGAGCTAAGACTTTGGGGGACTGTTGGAAAGGTGTGACTGTGTTTTGAAACGTGAGTACATGAGATTCAGGGGGTACCAGGGATGAAATGATACATTTTGGCTGTGTCCCCACCCAAAATCTCATCTTGAATTGTTATCCCCATAATTGCCACATGTCAAGGGCAGGACCACGTGGAGGTAATCAGTGAGTGATAGTGAGTGAGTCTCATGAGATCTGATGGTTTTGTAAGAACCTGGCAGTTCCCCTGCTTGTACTCACACTGTCCTGCCACCCTGTGAAGAGGTGCCTGCTTCTCCTTTGTCTCCTGCCATGATTGTAAGTTTCCTGAGGCCTCCCCAACCATGAGGAACTGTGAGTCAATTAAACCTCTTTCCTTTACAAATAACCCGCCTCAGGATTTCTTCATAGCAGTGTGAGAATGGACTAATACAGTTCCCTCTCATTTTTATAAAATAAGAACAAAAATAATAGAATCTTCAAATAATTGCACAAACATCACCATGTTTATAGCTGCTCAAATAAAACTGTTGACAAGCAGGCACTGGCATCATAACACACACAAAAAAACCATTTTCTAGGTGAAATGTTTAAATCTAAATCTGATGTACGAAATGTGATAAAGAGATATGAATGTATAATATATAAAACAGGTGACTTATATAAGAAAGCTAACATATATAAGTTTAAGTTAACAAATCAAGTAAATCATAACAGAATAATAAAGAATAATAGTAACAGTTAAAAAAATAGCAGCAAATATTAATTACTATATGTCACATGGCATTTCTAAGTACTTTACAAAATTAAATTATTTAATGTTCACAATAACCCTATGAAGGTAGGTTAACTCTATTTTATAGATTTATAAATTAAAACAGAACAAACTGAAAAAAGTTGTCTAATGCCACAGAGTAGCAAAGCTGGATGTGAAGGATAAGAGAATACTAATATACAGAACACTTATGTATTAACAAACAAATATTCGGACAGCCATAAATTTCAATAGTCACCTTCTCTTCCAAGGTTTCACTTATAGATGTTGCTAGTTTCAACAGTTCTTCTGAATCTTGTTGGCATCTACAACTCAAAACAGAACACCCTAACTTTAATTTTCTCAACTGCCATAAACAGTAGGACATACTCAAAATTAAAATTTAGGAAATATATAAAAGAATGTGGGATTTTTGCCAACAGGTAGCACAAAATGTTGTACTGATTTAAAGATGATTGGCTTATAAATACATTACTTCAAAATCACACTTATATCAGTATATAAATAAGTTTAGTTTTTTTTGTTTTTTTTTTTTTGAGACAGTCTCACTGTCACCCAGGCTGGAGTGCAGTGATGCAATCTTGGCTCACTGCACCCTCTGCCTCCTGGTTCAAGCGATTCTTGTGCCTCAGCCTCCCAAGGAGCTGGGATTACCGGCATGCACCACCACGCCTGGTAATTTCTGTATTTTTAGCAGAGACAGGGTTTCGCCATGTTGGCCAGGCTGGTCTTGAACTCCTGGCCTCAAGTGATCCACCTGCTTCAGCCTCCCAAAGTCCTGGGATCATAGGCGTGAGCCACAACACCCAATCCCAAGATTTAATCCCAAATATAAAAAGCAAAAACCTTCTCCAACAGTACTCTGACTTAACAGGATATAAAGTTAAAAAAAAAATTACTATGTGTTAATAATTCAGTAATTCTCAGAATTTTTTTTGTTTTAAGAAGCTTTAATTTTTAAAGGCTTCAAAGTGGAAAAATTCACATTTAGTATGATTCCACTTTTATAAACCAAATTTCTCCACTCCCACCAGGAAAAGGACCAGAAAGTCATAATAAATGTTTGCACAGCTTGGTATATCTATTGGTATTGTAATTACAAAGGGCATAGTTACTTTTTAAATTATAATTTCTGAACTACTACTTTTATAAAAAGGAAAATACTTATTTTTAAACTTAAAACATTACCCAACATTTGGCTTGCGACTGTATTTCTCCTGAAACTGGTCCAAGGCAAGCATAGCTGTGTGAATCTCTAAAGGTGCCTATTGAGAACATTAAAAATCGGCCAACATTTACTGAGTGGTTGTATGTCCCAGGCACTGGGCTAAATACTTTTAAAACATTATTTAACCATCATAATAAACACATTAGCTTAATACTGTTATTAACTCTATTTAACAAATAAGAAACCTGAAGGTTAGAAGTTAAATGACTTAACCTCAAGGCCATGAAGGTAAATGATCTAATCCCCTTTCCTTATTAAAATTTACAAATTTGGAAACTGTTAGTTCCTTCCTTATCACATTTACTGCTACAAAATTACATCCATTTTAAAAAAAAATAGAATACATACTCAAGGCTTTTTTGGTAAGAAATATGTATTGTATAAAATGGTACGATTCAGAAAATCTTTTAATAAGATCATCTTTGTACAAGTTATTGAAATCGTCTTATAATTATCAAAGTTGGCAAATCATTATAAAAGTGAAACTTTTTCCTATTACTTTATCATTTTTTTCTATGAGACAAATTCACATTTTTAATCCTCAGAAGTCAACTTTAGATATGTGAGTATAACCTTTATTATACTCACATTATAAGGCCCGACAGCCAGATACCTACATGGTTATTCCATTTTAACTTCATAATCACTCACTAATTCTCATCTCTGATTCTGCTGCCTCTCTCAAACCTGCAAAGTGTTTATTTACCTCAGGGTTGCTAAAATCCACAATAAGGCACTTTGGATGTTTTAACTGCCTCTCCAGTGATTCCTGATAGGAAGGAAAAAGTCATTACTTCAGAGTGAGTGAGTGATTATTTGACAAAATATACTGTTACATGTCAGTGCGCTAAAAACTAGGGAACTCTCCCAAGGGTCTGAAATAAAGTAGGGTTGGGCTGGTATGTTTTAACTGAAATATAAACTAGCTACCATTATTATGACCATACTTAAAAAAAAAAGTTAAATGCAATAAAACAACCTGCTCTACATAATAAATTTGGGAACAATTAGTAAAAACATTTGCATACTTTAAAAAATTTATTATTTTAATCTAAAAGCTACCATATTTTTATAATACCAGGTTGTCAAGACTTATTAAATTCTGTGTGAAGAACTCAAAGGTAAAACAAATGAAACCCCCCCTAAAAAAAACCCAAAACACCCACCCAATCTAAAATTGAGACATATCCAATTAAAAATTGGAGACAAAACATAAGGAGATATGCAGGAGCACATCTGACTAGATATAGTATTTTAATTTTTTTTTTTAATTCTAACTTTGGGTTGAACAAAGCCTTGTAAACGACTGGAGTTGTTAATAGTTCTGGAAAAGAAAAGACAATTATGTTAAAACCTTGAGAACTTGTAAGAAAAAACAGAGATGTGCTAGCTTATCCTGAGAAGGAGCCCAAGGATTTTAGTAGCACAAGATCCCTTAGTTCCCTGACACCACATTCTCTATATTCAGCTATTTACATTTTGCTTTCAATGCCAGTCGTTTTTAGAAATTATTTTACATTTCCAACATATATACTGTTTTTTGAAATTTATAAAATTAAATTAAAATTTAAAAACCAGGATTAACAAGTATAATTTGAATATCTTCATTTTAGAAAATTAAATAATAATAAAGCAAAACAACTCTTGCTAAATCTTGAAAATACATTAGTTTTATTTCTTGTCTTAGAAAGTAAATTGTAATAAGTATGATAAACTCTTTGATAATTCACAAAGATACAGTTCCTTTCGGGTATACCCATTTAGCTCAACTATATGTATATGGTATTCTGGCTATAAAAGATGTGTAAGTTTTTTGTTAATATCCATTTTATTCATTTATTTCATTAGATTAATTCCATTTCCCTCAAAGTGGGTACAAACAAAAAAATAAAAATAAAAACAAATTCTGTTCCACATTTAATCTGTTTGGTTAACTGAGTAGTTATTTGTCTCTTCTGCCTTTCTTTTTCTGTAAAAAAATGTTTTTTAAGCCGAAAAAAAAATACTTACAAAAAAAACTGTTTTAGGAGTCTTAACTTGGACAGCTATGCCTCCATGTAAATATGGTTCCAGTTCTGTGGTGTCACCAATACTAAAAGAAAATGGCGATATCACTAGAAGACAAAAAATTTAAAAAATCATTACACAGGGATATAGATATTTAAATTTCAACTCTTATTGTCATAAGAGGTTAATTATCCCTAATTTACAAAATTAAAGAATTCCAGCATAGTGTTTTTTTTTGTTTGTTTGTTTTTTTTTTTTTTTAATGAAGAGCTGGGAGGAGTGTGGGGAACTAGGCAGAGTATTTTTTCCAATGTGAAACTCCAGGACTTAAAAATAACCAAGGAAACTTACAGAAAAAGAGTAATGAGGGCTACTCATTATTAGATATTAAAATATATCATAAAGCCTCAATAATATAATAATAACTACCTATCATAATAATATAATATGGTACTGGTTAATAAACAGACAACTGGAAAAGATTAGAGAATTCAGAAACAGTCTCAAGTACACAAAGGACAAAATCAAGGTGGCACCTCAATCAGTAATGAAAAGATAAGATTATTCAATAAATCTTATAGAGAAAAAAGACAACTGGGAGAATACCTATTGCAAATGGATAAAAGTTTTAGGTTTCAAAAAAGATGCTCATAATTTCTCAGATAAAAGCATGGGAGAAAAATTCCTTTAAAACCATGTAGTAAGGAAGGCTTTTCTAAGTAACACTAAATAACAACCATAAAAGAAAATATTTAAAATTTGACTATAAAAACATAAAAAAGAAAACCTCATGACAAAAACCCATCATAAGCAACATCAAAAGATAAATGGCAAACCAGGAAAATATTATGCTCTGTCTGGGCATGGTGGCATGTGCCTGTAGTCCCATCTATTCAGGAGGCCAAGGCAGCAGGATCACTTGAACCCAGGAGGCTATAGTGTGCTAAACTGCACCTGTGAATAGCCACTGTACTCCAGCCTGGATAACACAGTGAGACCCTCATTTCTTAAAAAGAAAAAACATGGTCCGATAACATTTTCATCTATATTATGACATATTAGGTAGCTATAAAAGAAAATGTTTCTCATTTCTAAACCATTTGCTTATTCAAAAAATTAAGTTAAAAAACCAAGTAAGCCCCCCCTTTACTTAATATATTATATAATACAGGCATATATACTATATAATATGTAATATATACTATATATGTGTATATATAGTAAACATATAAAGTAGACAGAATGGTCAGCAGAGTGAACACCAAACTCAGCTGCTGTTACCTCTGGAGAGGAAAGGAAGTCTGAAGTAGGATTCATTTTTAACCCTATTTAAACATATACACACATATATATATCTAGAATAAGTATGTATTATTTTAGCTATTTAACAATGTTTTTTGGCTGGTCATGAGGTTTTTTTATCTTCATACCTGTAATGCCAACACTTTGGGCAGCCAAGGCGAGAGGATCACCTAAGCCCTGGAGTTCGAGACCAGCTTGGGCAAAATAGAGAGATCTTGTCTCTACAAAAATAAAAAAGTTAGCCAGGTGTGGTGGCACACACCCGTGGTCCCAGTTACTTGGGAGGCTGAGGTGGGAGGATCACTTGGGCCCAGGAGGCTGAGGCTGCAGTGAGCCATGATCATGTCGCTGCACTTCAGCCTGGGCAACAGAGCAAGATGCTATCTCAAAAAAAGAAGCAAAAAACAAACGAAAAAACAAAAAAACAAAACAACATTTTTTCATGCTAGCAGAATATTACTTTAGATCAGTAAGTAGCAATTTATAAATGTTAAGGAAAAAAAAGCTTCATAACAGCCACTCTATTTAAACTTATTCATCTCTCCCTCCAAAGAATTTTTGGCACAAAATGTGGGTTTTCTTTCTCTTTATTTCTTTACATGCTGTGGCTCCTCTTTATACAAGCAGCCTCATAATGTGAACTATCACCACAATTCACCACAACATGGACCCCGAAATTACAAATAATAATCCTAAATGATTAATTTTAATAAAAAACAGATATATTATTTAATATCTATGATATGAACCTGTATTCAAAATAATTAGATATAGTCAGGAAACAAAATTAAACAGTTTTGTTATACAACATGCATGCTAAAATTACAAATAGTAATCCTAAATGATTAATTTTAATAAAAACATATTCTTTAGTATCTATGATCTGAACCTGTATTTAAAATAATTAGATGTAGCTGGCAAACAAAATCAAATAGTTTTGTTACCAAAAATACTTAAATATAGATTCAAAGTTATCTATAAACAGTTTGTAATAAGAATTGATTTTTCCCTCTCCTGAGGATATATTTTGCCGTCATTAAAAAAAAAGTAATTCCATTTACTGTCTATAAACTAAATACAGTTATATTTTCAAATGCCCTAAAGATAAAACTGAATCAATTTCCCCTAAATAGGTGTAAGCATGCCATATAGTTATGCGTTGTCCAGTACTTTGACTCTTTTAAACATGGCTGAAGGAAAAACACAAACTACACAGATTAACGCTGCTATAAATTCATTATATTAAACTTCAAATGGGCCCTATATGATGCCTGACATCTTTCCATTTTTAAGAATGTCTACTTTCCTCCTGGTTTCGGCACCTTTCATTTCCTTTTGGCAATGACTTCGCATTAGTCCAGTAAAAAAACAGACCCCTTCAACTTCTTGCGAACAAACCTACAAACTTGCCTGCAGACACGACATTCATCCCTTTTATTCAAGCCACTGAAAAAGAACATATATCCCAACCAACATCTAGACATCTTCCTTTAAATACTTCATTGCCACCTCATTTTACAAAGCTAAACTATACTCTTTATCTTATCTCCAAAACCTACTCCCTTTCTTGCATTCCTTAAGTGAATATGTTGACTGACCATGTAGAAATCTTCACTCACCTATAGTATGTGATCAAGTTTCCTCCTAAATATCTTAAGACTTGTGAGCTTAATTCTCCCTGCCAGCCCTGCTGTATTAAATTTCTTGTAGTTCCTTTAGTTCTGTCTTGCATCTGCGCCTTTTCTGTTTGTCTCTGCATAAATGATCTTTTTTCAATACCTTCCTAAGCCAATGCAACCTTCACATTTTAATCAAGACACCCTGTCCCACTGCTGCTGTCCCAAAACTGGGTAGGTTTCCCTGCTAAGTTCAGTGTCCCCAGAATGAGTATACTCTCTTAATATCATCAGTGTTTAACAATGTCTTCACTTGGATCGAATATTTTGAGGCCAAGGGCTTTGGATCATGTCTCTCTGAGTTGACATTCTGTTCCCAACACTTAGTGTCTGAACTATAAATTTGCTGAATAAGTATAAATGAATTAATAAAACACATTGACTTACCCGTTATTTGTTGTATAGATCCATTTAAACCTGTCATTCCATTAATTTCTCGAAATGTTAGGAATTGTCCTGTCTCCAGTTTGTGAGGATGATTTTCAAGGCAAGTAACAATGCCAGGATTTGCCTAAAAATAAGAGTAATCTATTAAAAAAGAACTTCTTTTTTGTATTCTTTGTGTACAAATTCAAATCTTAAGCAAAAATGACAAAGTTACCATAAAATTCTCAAAACCGAAATTCTAAGCTATTCTTCTGTTAGTAAAAGCAAGCCTTTAAAAAGCTATCACAAAATAATGATCAAATTATTACTATTTTTTAAATGAATGCTGAAAATATAATTTCTATGTTTGGTAGGAGATGTTCAAAAATTCCACAGAAAGGATCAAATATTTAATAGATTCAAAAATTCATGTAACTTGTAAAAAACATTCCAAGTTACCTAATAGTTTTAAATGTGAGAAAAAACCATGGGCATAAATGATAAAAGCCTAACACTGAAGATCAAAGAACAGTAAAGAAGGAGGATAGAAATTTTAAAGATGGGAATCTGGTAGCTTACAGCTTGCTCAACACTTTAAAGAAATATTGTGTAGCTTATCAGCTATATTTCCTATAGTATTCAATAAAAGATAACACCAATGCAATAAGAATCCATACCATATTTTGGAATTTATTCTCTGTGTTTTTCTCAGGGACAAACTAAAATCAACTAGAGAAGGTAAAAGGTTAAGTCTTAATATGCCTGAAAGAATAACTCAGGTAGATAATAATCACTCTTTGAGCAGAAAGATATACAGATTGACTTTTTGATAAATTTTTCCTAAAAGGCATGACAGAGACAGTACTGGGTCTCCATCACCATGAGATTAAACTGGGTTTAAAAATAAAGTGTAAAGACAGAAGTACAAATTACAAATACTATTATGTTAAAGTATATTATCATTCCCTTATTTTGTCTTCTTTTGGACTTCAATGTAAGTTGATTACAAAGAGTACAAATAAAGTAAATTATTTAGGTAAAATAATATTAAAAGGGGATCATAATGATTTCTCCAGTTCTTTTATGCAAAAAAAAATTGAGCTTATGCATGATCAAGAGTGCGGTTAGAAAATTTAGACTTTTGAATCTGAAGGTTAATCAAAACTTTCTACACCTTCTAAATAATGCTTTAGAAATATAACAAATTAGAAATGCTTTTCTCTAATATGATTTAAGTGTGCCTTTTTAGAGTATTAGGCTAGGTGACTTACAACATACTTAGTGCATCCACTATCTAACACAATAAACAATTCAGTAAACACTGAATCACAATTCATGACCCACAGGAGATAACATAGAATAAAATTAAAATTAAAATTTATGACAAGCAAATGTTGCTCTATCAAGTATTATTATTATTTTTCTTTCTTTATTTTTGAGATGTGGTCTCACTGGGTCACCCAGGCTGGAGTGCAGTAGCGTGATCTTGGCTTACTGCAACTTCCGCCTCCCGGGTTCAAGTCATCCTTCCATCTCAGCCTCCTTAGTAGCTGGGACCACACACCACCAGGCCCGGTTAATTTTTTGTATTTTTGGTAGACATGGGGTTTCACCATGTTGCCCAGGTTGGTCTCAAACTCCTGAGCTAAAGTGATCCACCCCTGTCAGCCTCCAAAAGTGCTGGGATTGTAGGCGTGAGCCACCATGCCTGGCCCTATCAAGTATTATTTGTTAGAGAAAATCCAGAATATTTTTAACAATAATGTTCCAGTTTTAATACAATGCAGTCAAGAAATTAGCTACATATTCCCTCATTATCTTAAAACACTGTAAAATAAATTTTGCACACTGCAATACTTTGCTGATACCACCTTTCTGAAAACAGCATTCACATCAACTTTAACAAAATTTATTTTAAAAGTTCATTAATATAATCATACTTGCGTTATGTTTGAAATGAAAATTTCTTTTGGTTCTTCTCCTGTTGTATCTAAAACTTCAAATTCATCACCGAAATCACAAAATAACCTTGACCAAATTCCATGTACATCTGCACTGATAAACTGTAAAATGGCAAAAACAAGTTCAATCTTATTTATATAAAGAAAAAAACACTCTAGTATCTTAGGCCATTTCATAACAATTTAATTTATAATTAAGTATACCTTACACAACCTATAGAATACAAAGTAAATCATAAACAGGATAAACTGATGCAGAATAGTTTAGGAATCAAAGATTTTCAGTACTTTTAGTAAATGGATGTCCAGTATAACAAAATTAGAATATCAGCATATCATCTTTATAAATTTTTAAATAACAAAAATTCTGTGACTTTAAAATTTTGTGCTTGTCACAAAATTCAAGCACAACATAAAAGAAATAGATAACTCTGGCTTAATAGTCCAGCAGTGAATTCTTACTTGTTATTTTAGGAAAGAGGAATGAAGTGCTCATTTACCAAAAGCAGCAGAGTTAATGGAAAATAGAATAGAGCTAAAAGCTGAGAGCAGAGTCTACAGAAAAAAAAGGCTGAAAAACTGACATCACAAATCAAAGCCATGAAAGGTAAAACATTAAGTTCTTAAACAAATCATAAATGTTTTATTAAAAGCAATTTTTCTAACACATGCATTGTCTCCATTCTGAGAATTTGTAAAGAAATTATTTTTGGGCTTAAAGCTATTTTTAGAGCTACTGCTAATAAAGAGAAATCCTCATTCTGTAATGCACCCAATCTTGCATAAAATAATGTTTTTCTAACATAATTAAGTATATTGATATTACGGTATAAGAACATATTAAAATAATTTATAATCCCAATTACATGAAGTAGTGATATGGATAACAGA